>NC_000008.11:115714222-116964222 GCF_000001405.40 Homo sapiens | reverse complement strand
TCTTTTTTAATGCCTCCAATATCTTATTAGGAAAAACAGGTCAAATTAAGACAAACTAATTCAGCTCAATTTGTCTCTTTTCAGCTTCAGGTCTTATAAGATTGTAAAAGCCCACACCTATCCAGATCGAATTTTATGTAAATTTATTGAACTATCAAACTCCTTGTGAACTACACTGGAATGAATGCCTGAGTACATAATACCTTTAATTTATATAAAGGCTGCTTTCAGAAGGCCTTTAACGTTTCACAAAGGTTATTAATCCTCAGAACAATCTTTTGAAGTTGGTAGGGAGAATAATTTACCAAGGTGCACAGTAACCTTGAAGGAAATACTTTCTCATTAAAGGTAAGTTCAGTAAAATGGTACAGCTGCTGTGCAAAGCAATTTGGTAGTGCCTTAATAAGCTAAATAAAAAATTACTGTGTGACCTAGTAATTCCACTCCTGGATATACACTCCAAAGCAATGAAAACAGGTGTTCAAATGAAAACTTGCACACAGTTGCTCATAGCAGCACTATTCACGATAGCCAAAAAGTAGAAACAACCCAGATGCCCATCAACTGAAAAATGAATAAATAAAATGTGGGATATCCATACAATAAAGTATTATTCAGCCATAAAAAGAAAGGATGCACTAATGCAATATGGACGAAACCTAAAAAATACTATGCTAAGTGAAAAGCCAGATACAAAAATTGTATTGTTCCATTTATATGAAAAATTCAGAATTGACAAATCCATAAAGTATATTAGCAGTTGTCAGGATCTGGGGAGGAAGAGATGAGGTATGGTTTAATGGATACAGCGTTTCATTTGGGGGTGATGAAAATGTTCTGGAACTAGGTAGTCATGGTGGTCGCATCACACTATAAAGTGCTAAGTGTCACTAATGGTCAATTATATGTTATGTGTATTCTACCACAGCTTTTATTTTTAACTTTCAAGTTAGTTCAATTATCAGGTTTCTGGAAGGGCTTAACCATAGTCCTGCTCAAAATCTAAGAGGGCTATTGACAGCTGCAGGGTTCTCACGGGCCTTGGGTTCTAGAGAAATAAATAAAGCCCAATTTAAGTAATTTCCACAATTCCATGATGTGAGATTTTTCCTTCAAGCCTGAAGATTTCCTACATTCTTAAAGTCTTTCCTGACCTCTTCCACTCCCAGGCCAACTGAGCTGCGTGTTTCTCTCTCTTTAATTTCACCAAACTACCAGGTCACATCATAACTTTGCTGACTTGTCCCCTTCCCCGCCAGACTCCGGGTTCCTTGAGGCCTGCAACTTTTCCTTGTACTCTGCCTTGTACCCTGCTTTGGCACATGGGAAAGTTTCCAAAAATTACTCTATCTTATATGTTAAAATGATAACCATACGCTGCTCCCAAATTATTAACCTGTTAATTCACGAAGTAATCCTTCTAATAAAGGGTATATCAGTTTTTCTTCCAATAAACTGAAACCAGGGCTTTGCAGGGCAGTGTCAGACATGAAAAGCAGCACCTTTAGACATGACTCTGGTTATACAATATTACCTCGTGAATAAATGTATTGAGAGCAACATGCAATTTTTGGGACTTTTACTGTTTGCTCTTTAATTTCTAATTCTGTGAAAACGAATCAACTAGTGACTAAACTGAACAAACTCAAACTATTCCCAGGCTACTGATGCTCATAAAATCCTGTGACCTTAATGCCATGACTAGAGTGAGCATCAGTAAGAACAGTTTGGGGACGGATTGAGGAGAATAAAAGCTATGATGGGATAATGTGTTGACACTAACGTAAAAGGAGAAGGTTAAAATGAAGACAGGAAAAAGGGAGGAATTACTTAAGAGCATTAACATAATCATTTTTTATATGCAGGTGGCATGGCTTTTCTTGGCATAACTTAGGATCGGCCTACACAGAAAACTGGTGCTTATTGTTAGTTACTGCTCTATAAGGTCTATTGTTCAACTGTCCTAAAGCCAAAAGTCATCACTGCCGGCAGCCATCACTGAACCTAATTGCCTTACAGTTAATGAGCCAATAAAATGAGTTAACTTATCTAGTTTCTAGCCACGTATATGGCAAACAATTTGTCTTCAATGGAACACCAGAAATAGATTAAATTATCTTTTTTGTTGTTGCTATTAGCTGCTAGAAAGCTTAGAGCTCAACATTCAACTTATTGTTTGCAAGTATCCAAGACTAGATATTTCAAGTACTGACTGCTGTGATTTGAATGTGTTCCCCAGAAATTCAAGTGTTAGAAACTTAATCCCTAATGCAACGGTGTTGGGATGTGGGGCCTAGAAGGCGTTTAGGTCATGAGGGCTCTGACCTCATGCATGGATTAATACCATTCTGAAAAAGGCTCATACAGGAGTTTGAGGCTACAGTGAGCTATGATTGTACCACTACACTCTAGTCTGAGCGACACAAAAAAAGGGCTCATGGAAGTAGGTGCTCTCTCTCTCTTACCCTTCTCCCTTTTAGCAAGTCAGGACATAGCATTCTTCCCCTCCATAGTATGCAGCAAGGCCCTCCCCAGAGGCCAGGGCCTTAATCTTGGACTTCCCAGTCTCCAGAAATATGGGAAATAAATTTCTGTTTTTTATAAATTACCCATTCTGTGGTATTCTGTTATAGCAGCACAAACAGAATGAGACCCTAAACTTGCTCCACTGTCAACCATTCTGCAGTTTTATTTCTCTTTGTCCAACCATCTCATTCATGTCTTTTATTCTGTTTTTACATTGCATATATACTTGTAGGTTGCCATAAATCTTTTTTATTTATTTATTTGTTTTGAGACGGAGTCTTGCTCTTTTGCCCAGGCTGGAGTGCAGTGGCGCGATCTCGGCTCACTGCAAGCTCTGCCTCCCGGGTTTAAGCCATTCTCCTGCCTCAGCCTCCCGAGTAGCTGGGACCACAGGCACCTGCCACCACGCCCGGCTAATTTTTTGTATTTTTAGTAGAGACGGGGTTTCACCGTGTTAGCCAGGATGGTCTCAATCTCCTGACCTCGTGATCCAACCACCTCGGCCTCCCAAAGTGCTGGGATTACAGGCGTGAGCCACCGCGCCTGGCCCATAAATCTTTTTAAAACAAGGCACTCCATTAATATAGATAACAACTACATCTTTAATAAATTAGCAAGTGAATAAACAGTTTTATTTCATTTTCCTTCTTCCCTTCTTTTCTCCCTTCCTCCCCACCTCCCTTCCTTCTTTCCTTCCTTCCTTCCTTCTGTACTAATAATATTACAGAGATCTTAAGGATACTCATTGCTTAAAATAGGAGAGTCATAAAGAGCAGAGGTATAAAAGCAAGTCACAATAGCATGCAAACATTAGGGTCTTTCACATTCTTTAAGATGAAAATTAAAGAGGAGATTTTCCTCATATTACAGTCTTGTTAAAGATGTCAAGACCTGCATTTCCCACAGTTTCTCAGATGTGATTGCTTCAATTATTCTAGTTACTCTAGATTCTGCCCATTCTACCCTACACAAGTAGAAAGAAATAGGAACACACACATACACATACATATTCCAAATATATTTAGTCAATTAGTTGAATGAATTTGTAGAGTTGTTCTCAAAATAACTGGATGTATAAATAAATTCTACTATTTCTACCTCTTACTGCGACGTTGTATGTGGAGACAAGTCTATGGACTGGGGTGATGAGATCATGTCTCTGATTACGAATACTTACGGTATTTCCCTTTGTAAAGGCAATGAGAGTAATGAAAGAAGTGAGACAAGTTACATGCTTTTTCAACTTCTTACCACAATGTCCCAGTAATTATCTTTTCTTAGATTAAAAATTTCATGATTAACATCAGTTTAAGCAAACAAGACCTTTTGAACTTTCTATCTTCTTCTGTTAATATTAATAAAGAGCATCCTTTCAAAAAAAGTGAAGGTCAAATGTCATCCTCTATTCTATCAAATGACGTAGCATTCTATGATACATTACTTCATTGGTCCTTACAAACTAACAGCTCCTAAAATATGATGAGATAGGCAGCTTCAGCTAGGGCTACATACATTTTCCCACCTGAAACAAACAAAATAAACACAGACAAAATATATGAAATAAAAGTTTTGAACACATTAGGCAACAAAGGTCAGTGATCTCTGAAAGATGGAAAACAAACATGGGAATCCCTACAAGTGACCCAGATGACTGCCTTAAGAAGTTCGAGGCTTCAATGCAGGGAGTAGCCTGACAAGCTCTCTGAGTTGAAGAGATAGAGTTGAGAGCATGATGACCAACGAAGCTAAAGATTGCAGGACAGAAAGGTGAGGAAAGAGACTCAAGATCTTCAGGGGATATGCCCTGATAATTCACCAGAATGTTTATAAACACATGCATATAAGAAAATTGCCCATGTGCACAGAAAGAACGATCTGAAAGGGCTAAAGGAAACCCAGTCTTCACACAGGCTGGGAATAGCGCCTGTCTCCAACAGCCATAGTGGAAATTTTTATAATTCATAAGACCTTGGACAGAGTACTCAGAAGGATCTTGCCTCCATAGCTGGGAATAGTTAACAGTAGACTAAATGCTGCTCTGGTTCCATCTAACAACTATGAAAAGCAGAAACTGAAAGGATCAAATGGTTTCTAAGTAATGTAACTGCATCCCAGAAAAAAAACTGCAAGAATATTTATAGGAACACAAAAATATCTGGCACACAAGAATGTGAAATTTATAATGTCTGGCATTCCAATTAAGGATTCTAGGCATAAAAAGAAGCAGGAAAATATGATCCATAATGAGAAGAAAAATCGATCAATTGAAGCCAATCTAGAACTAACATTGATACTAAAATTGACAGATAAACACCTTAAAACAGTTACTATAAAATTATTCTATATGCTTTAAAAGATAAGTGGAAACATGGAAGATATGGAAAATTTCTAGACATGAAAACTATAATGTGGGAGATCAAAAGTATAATGGATGGGATCACTAGCCGATTAGATACTGCAGAAAAATAATTAATGGGCTTGAAGATATGGCAATAGAAACCACTCGAAACACAGAGAGAAAGTAAATTTTTAAAAAATGAAAAGAGTGGGCCGGGCACGGTTGCTCATGCCTGTAATCCCAGCACTTTGGGAGGCCGAGGCGGGCAGATCACGAGGTCAGGAGATCGAGACCATCCCGGCTAACACGGTGAAACCCAGTCTCTACTAAAAATACAAAAAATTAGCTGGGCATGGTGGCAGGCGCCTGTAGTCCCAGCTACTCGGGAGGCTGAGGCAGGAGACTCGCTTGAACCCGAGAGGCGGAGGTGGCAGTGAGCCGAGATCGCACCACTGCACTCCAGCATGGCCAACAGTGAGACTCTGCCTCAAAAAAAAAAAAAAAAAAAAAAAAAAAATGAAAAGAGCATCAGTGGGCTATAGGACAACTTCAAGAGGTCTAATATACATATAAGTAGATTCTCCAAGGAAAAGGGATAGAAAGAAAAAAATACTTAAAGTGATGATAAAATTGTTTACAAATTTAACGAAAACTATAAACCTTGAGACCCTCAAAAATTCACAATACCCAAGCACAAGAAACACAAAGATAGACACATCAAAGTACATCATAATCAAATTGCTAAAGACCAGTAATAAAAAGAAAAATCTTAAATGCAGCCGACACACTACCTACAGAGGAACAAAGATAAAAATGACAGTAGAATTCTCACTGGAAATGATGCAAGCAAGAGACAGTGAAGAATCATCTTTAAAGCACTGAAAGAAAAGACTGTCAGCCCCAAGTCTATACTTAATAAAAATATATTTCAAAAACAAAAAGAAGTAAAAACTTTTTCAGGCATACAAAAGTTAAAAGAGTTCATTATCAGCTTACCTGCACTACAAAAAAAAAAAATGTTAAAGGAAATAATTCAGGCATTAAAAAAATAATACCAGATGGAAACATGGGTCTATACAAAACAATGCAGAGCACTAGAAAACGCCATAACCACTACATTCCTAGAATGGAACCTCTTTCAATGTTGACCGCACCCCTGCCTAAGTGAGGGCCCATGTGCAGAATAAGAAGAGCGGTCCAGCCCTGACGTGGCATGACTTAAGACCTGCTTGGGAGAGCACAATGTGTTCAACATCAGTTGAAGAAAATAAGTGATATTGCTAACAAAGGCACATTAGAATCATGGAATAGAAGCCTTGAAAGCACTCAAAGGAGATAGGCACAGTCAAATCTGGATGATTCCCTGACACGAGGCATAGATCCTGTGGGGAAGATGGGTGACAGTGGTGGGAGGACACAGGGCTGCCCTCAGGTGCTGTAGACTGGATGTTCACCATGGTAAGAAAAAGACCATGAAGGGAAAAAGCTGGTGCATGGCTATTGATTTTTGGTTGCCCAGTGCCCCAGATACTTCCTGTTTTCTGATGGGAATAAATATCACCCAAAATCAGCATGTCAGCACCAGTCTAGTTGGCCAATATCATACAATCCCACAATAGAAATACCTCACCATTCAGCAAGAATGATCCTCTCACCAAGTCACTGTCCTAGGGCCAGAGTCTCAAGACAGTCCCCTAGTTTTGAGTCTCAGAGTTTCTCGGGGCATCATGTTGACCCATTGCAGGGGGAAGGGGCTGACTGCCTGAGTTTAACAATGGGTGCTGTCTAGGCAGGGCATGGTGGCTCACGCCTGTAATCCCAGCACTTCGGGAGGCCAAGGCAGGTAGATCACTTGAGGTCAGGAGCTCCAGACCAGCCTGGCCAACATGGTGAAATCCTGTCTCTACTAAAAGTACAAAAATTAGCCGAGCATGGTGGCACATGCCTGTAATCCCAGCTACTCGAGAGGCTGAGACAGAAAAAGCGCTTGAACCCAAGAGGCGGAGGTTGCAGGAGATGGCGCCACTGCACTCCAGCCTGGGCTACATAGCGAGACTTCATCTCAAAAAAAAAATAAAAAATAAAAAATAAAAAAAAGAATGGTGCTGCCCATAATAGCCCTTTAACTATGTGAAAGAAATTATCATCTTAGCCCTATGTCTTCTCACCTACAAAATAGCTATCTCAGTTTCTTTAACTACTCCCATGAGTTGAAGGATGATTTTATAAGTAAAGAAATATAAAAAATGCCACTTTTTTATGTGTAAGACCATCTGTACCCTGACAGGGTCTTTCTTAATTATGCTGTACAGATGATAATCTGTAGTATTTGTATATTTGTTTTGCACTCATATCATGAGTATTGAAACTATTTGAGTCAAAATTATTCTACATGTCACTTATTAAATGAAAATGTGATCACATAGCCAATGATAGTCATTTTTGGTATGCTTTAAGGCCTATGAATAAGATGTTGACTACTTTGTAATTGGTACCAGTCATTTGTAATTCTGACAGAAAGATACAGATTTATTATATTTTAACATTTTTACTTCGGTGCCTTGATGATGAATTTAATTTTGAAACATTTCAGGATTACTTAATTCAAGTTTCAAAATAGAACTCAACTTCATTTAAGTTGGCATTTCATTGATTTAAAACATGAAGTCCACTTTCTGTAATTCTCCATGGGATTAAATAAGAGAGAGACTATCCAATTGATTTTTTTATGGCATCCCCTTAGTAGATATGAATTTCTATTATATAGATATACACTGTTTTTTTAACATGCTTTTAAATCCAATGAATTGTATTTTCGTTGTAAGCATGATTTTTACTAAAAGATAAGAATCACTAGAAAGTGAAGTTTTTACTATAGTATAGACGACCCATCTAAATTTCTGGCCCTGAAATTTTCATTTTCGATGAAATCGAAATGTCATCTCTACCACACTTCAGTTACATCCTGGAATTTGTCATGGCCTAGAAATGCTTCAGCTTCATCTTACTCTCTCACCTTAACCCCTTATTTTGACTGTTACTCAATTTCTCTTACTATAGCTATTTTCAGCCTGTCCCTTGAACCCCTCTGCTGCCTGCCTCCAGTCACCTTAAGTCTTTAATCTTTACTCAAAGCACACTTTATTTCATCATCTTTGCATCCATTCTGTTGAAATATTTTCAGTTTTATTGCCACCTTGTCCATAGTCTGCTTATGCATGACAGAATATGAATCCTGCTTTAATGTATCTATTCACCTTTCACAGTTAATCCTGGGCTGCTGTACATTTATTGCCAACATAAATTCATGATCACCAACCTCAACTAAGTTCTCAACAGTGCTTATAATCTTTCTGAGTTTTGGTAATGCACTCTCATTTTCCATTTTTTCCTGTTTGTTTCCTACGGATGCCATAACAAATTGCCACAAACTGGATGGCTCAAAACGAGAGAAATTTTTTCTCTCACAGTTCTGGAGGCCTGAAGTCCAAAATCAAGGAGTCAGCAGGGTTAGTCCTCTGAGCACTCTGAGGGAGAATCTGTCTGTCCCACAATTCTCCTCTAGTTTCTGATGGTTGCCAACAAACCTCAGCATCTCTGTCTTTTTGTTTTCTTTTTTTTTATTTTTTTTTTTTTGAGACAGAGTCTCGCTCTGTCACCCAGGCTGGAGTGCAGTGGCGTGATCTCAGCAACTTTTGCCTCCTAGGTTCAAGCGATTCTCGTGCTTCAGCCTCCCAAGTAGCTGCAACTATAGGCATGCACCATCACGTCTGGCTAATTTTTATATTTTTAGTAGAGACAAGGTTTCACCCCATTGGTCAGACTGGTCTCAAACTCCTGGCCTCAAGTGATCCACCCACCTCAGCCTCCCAAAGTGCTGGGTTTACAGGTGTGAGCCACCGCACCCGGCCAAACCTCAGCATTCCCTGGCTTGTAGGTGCAGCATTCCACTCTCT
Organism: Homo sapiens; assembly: GCF_000001405.40. Taxonomy (NCBI): domain Eukaryota; kingdom Metazoa; phylum Chordata; class Mammalia; order Primates; family Hominidae; genus Homo; species Homo sapiens. Next base: position 116,955,402 of record NC_000008.11, on the reverse strand, counting down.
TCTTGTCTTCACATGGTGTTCTCTCTGTGTATCTTTTTGTGTCTTCACATGGCCATCTTCCCACTGTTTGCATCCGTGTCACTGTTTCTCTCTTCTTAGAAGGACACTAGTCATCAGATTTAGGGCCCACACTAGCCCAAAATGACCTTATCTTAATTAATTGCATCTGCAAAGACCCTATTTCCAAATAAGGTCTCATTCTGAAGTTCTAGGTGGACATCTATTTTGGAAGGATACTATTCAACCCAATACACCAGCTATTTCAAATTGTTCCCACTTTCCTCAGATCTCAGATCCCATCATTTATTTCTTCTTCACTGTAGGCACACAACCTTGAATCCTTGAATTTTACTACTTCACAGACAACGGAAGCCATCAAGAATTCTCTCAACTTTTCATCAACTGATACATTTACCTGGCCCTCTACCATGCCCACTTATAACAATGGATGTGGCGTTCCTCTTCCAATCTTAAGCTTTATACCTGTACTTTGTAGACCCTTCCCTCTCACTTTCTCAAGGCCCTCACTCTATCACTGACTTCTACTCTTATTTACATCATTGATCTCTACTCTTATTTGGCTATCCATTAACATTTAAGCACACTCAAATATCTCACTTAGAAAAAATAACTAAAAAGAAACTTGACATCACATTTTTGCCTAGCTACTGAGCTATCTCCTCCTTTCCTCTTAAAAACCAAACTATTTGAAAGAATGTTATACATTCACTGTTTTCATTTTCGCATCTCCTGCTTACTCCTTAACCCATTATTACTCAGATTCTACACCTACCATTCCACAGAAATTGTTCTTTCCAAGGTCTTCAATGGCCTTTATGTCACTAAATTTAAAAGATATTTTTAGTCTATCATACTTGACCACTAGACAAGCCCTCATTACTAGTTTTCTTTGACACCATACTCTCTCTCTCTTTAATAGCTTTTCAGACGTCTTTGTAGGGTCCTCTTTTTCTGCCCAGCCATCAGATGTTGACATTTATGATGATTCTATCCAATTCCTCTTTTCTCTCCTCTTGGTTTTAGTTAATTTCTTCCACTGCCATGGGTTTCAAATGCCATTTAATATTGCCTATTTGATGTCTCTACTTAAATGTATCAAAGACACCTCAAACTCAATAGTCCAAAACTGAACTCTCATGTCTCCCCATTCCAAAGTCCCATCCTCTTCTGGTGCCCTCTACTGTCATAAATGATATTACCATCTACTCATCTTTCCATGCTAAAAATGAGGGCATTATCTTCATTATCTTATCTCCAACTTCTCCCTCACTCCCACATCCAATTACTTACCAAAAATTATTGATTATTCTTCTCCTAATTATTTCTAAGTTAGGACTACTCTCTGCATCCTCACTAACACCACCCTACTCCAGTCTCTTATCGTCTGACCTATTTGCTGGCCCTAAACCTAATCCAACTCCCCTCAGATTCATTCTTTCCACACTGCTGCCAGAGAGATGCTTATTCAAAGCAAATATGAGAATCCTCTACTTAAATCTCATGAATGAATTACAGTTTTAAGATGGAGTAGAGATCTTCTGGAACTCTATTCCAGAAAGAAACAGGAATTCAGATTTCATCTTTGATTAAATCAGAAATAAATAGAACTTGAAATGGGGGAAAACAGAAAACGAGATGAAGAAAAAAAGTTGATAGAAAAATGCTACAAAACCCAGCAGAGCAGGGAAAGTCAGACATGAGTGCCTGCAAATTAAGAATTTCATAAGAAGCAAGCAAAATTGCCCACATAGAACCCTAGAAAGCTGCAAGTTCCAGGTAATACAGGAAGTAGAGATGAGATGATAGTAGAAGTGTTTTTACAGAGCTGTGGAATGATATGAGAAGATTCGGCCAAAGATTCAAAGAAAGCTAAGCAGAACAAGCAATGTAATTATCAACATCAAAGGAAATGAAAATTTATACAAGAAGAAAATATAATCACAGTCCACTACTTGACTCAGCATGGAACAATAATTAAAATTATAAATAGAAATGTAAGAAAAATACAAAATAGTCGTATTAGAAAGAATAAAGGGATTAGGAAGAGAAAGCATAAGAGATATAAAATTCTCCTTTGTCAAATGGAATCAACCTTGATGCCCATCAACGATGGATTAGATTGAAAAAAAATGTGGTACGTATTCACCATGGAATACTATGTAGCCATAAAAAAGAACAAAATCATGTCCTTGCAGCAACATGGATGCAGCTGGAGGCTGTTATCCTAAGCAAATTGACATAGGAACAGAAAACCAAATACCACATGTTCTCACTTATAAGTGGGAGCTAAACTTTAGGTACTCATGGACACAAAAATGGCAAAATAGACATGGGGGTCTACTAAAAGGGGAGAGAAAGGGAGGGAGGCAAGCATTGAAAAACTACCGGGCACTATGCTCAGTATCTCGGTGCTGAGATTAACCATGCCCCTAACCTCAGCCTCACGCAATATACCCAGGTAAAAAGAATCTGCACATATACCCCCTGAATCTAAAATAAAAATTGACATTATAAATAAATAAATAAATAAAATTCTTCTTTGTCATAATAGGAAGACATAATGTCTAAAATCTATAAAACAAAGATGCTTACTCACATTATCTAGAAGGTAAAAGAATTGGAAGTGGCCAGGCCCGGTGGCTCATGCCTGTCATCCTAGCACTTTGGGAGGCCAAGGTGGGCGGGTCACTTGATGTTAGGAGTTCAAAACCAGCCTGGCCAACATGGTGAAACCCCATCTCTACTTTTTTTCTCTAAGAAAACAAAAAAGTTAGCCAGATGTGGTGGTGAGCACCTGTAATCCCAGCTACTCGGGAGGCTGAGGCAGGAGAATCGCTTGAACCCGGAAGGCGGAGTTTGCAGAGAGCAGAAATCATGCCTCTGCACTCCAGTCTGGGTGACAGAGGGAGACTCTGTCTCGGAAAAAAAAAAATTGGAAGTAGTTTCCTTTGGGGTGAGGGGCCATGATGCCTTCAAGGGACTGATAATTTTTGTGTAAGACTTTTAGAATTATTTAATTATTTGTATATTATGTGCAAGTATTGCTATAATAAAAGTTAAATTTTAAAATATTTTTCAATGGTTTACCCAGGCTCTTAGGATACAGTCTGAACCCCAAAGCATGGCTTGTGAGGCCTGTCATGATATGTCCACCTCTGTCAACCACTTCAGCCACACTTCTTAACACCTTCATTCTTTCTTCTAAGCACCAACTATATTGAGCTTTCTTTACTCCCTAATACAGATGATGACTTTGCTCACCTCTAGCACCTTCTATGAGCTGTTGTTTCTCTCTAGGATTGCTACCTGCTCCTCCTCCCAACCTTCTCTTGGCTATGCTCCAAAACGCCTTCTCTCTTGTACCACATCCAAGGTAAGTTTGCTTCCTATTCACTCCCTTAGCACTCAACTTTCCCCTAAGACAGCATCTACCACATGTATCATAATATCTTATTGAATTATCTGTTCCCCACCCTGCCATCTAGACTACAAGCAACATGAGAGCCCAATCCCATCTTTTCAGGTTTATTGTCCTACGCTCAGCATCCAGAAAGATGCTTATTTTAAAACTGATGCTCAACACATACCTAGAACAGTGGCTGGCACCCCGTAGACACAACAAAAATGTTGAATGAATGACAGGAAGAGAGAGCAAATTTGCACTGTTAGATTCATGCTGTTCAATAAAGTTAACCCAAGGCAAAATTATAAAAATACAAGGAATCACCAAAAAATTGGAAGATGGGATTTGGGCTCTCATGTTGCTTGTAGTCTAGACGGCGGGGTGGGGAACAGATAATTCAATAAGGTATTACGATACATGTGGTAGATGCTGTCATAGGGGAAACTTGAGTGCTAAGGGAGTAAATAGGAAGCAAACTTACATCGGATGTGCTACAAGAGAGAAGGCGTTTTGGAGCATAGCCAAGAGAAGGTTGGGAGGAGGAGCAGATAGCAATCCTTGCCAGGGGCCAGGGACAAATGGTGTTAATTTCAGTATTTTTCTACTCTTCTTTTTAAACAAGCTTCCCTTGTTTAATTGCTCACTAAGCACACTTTAAATAAAGCTCAACCTTTTGGTATCACCACCTAGGTTAATTCACACTAATGAGTTGGTAACAACATTGTTTCAAATTAAAACCATTAGCAGGAGATGCCCATGCTTAACCCAAAGAATCTTAAAGATGATTATGAGTTCGATGCCTTACTCTACAAGTTTCTACAAATGAGAAAATTGAAGCCCAGAGACATCAATGACTCACCAGGTATCACAAAGCAAATTCAGCTCAAAGCTGGGTCTTCAGATTCCCAACACTGCATTCCCTCCAGGAAGTAACATCTCTTACTTAGGGAGAGAGACATCCTGGGAAGACAGCATGAGGGTGATATTTCCAAAGTTAGACAGGCAGGCTTTCTTGATGCTTCTTAAAATTCAATAGCCTCACGGCACACCTACTTCAGCTGGTTACTGTAAGATTAACGAGCTATCAGCTATGGCAGCACCTGGTAAATTATAAACTGGAAAGCAGTTGGTAAACTGTAAGGTACCTGGTAAACTGTAAACCGTAAAGTCCAGTAAAATACTGGTGGATTTCAGAGGACATTGTCCTCTGACCCTGACAATCCCACCTTAAAATCTTGAGATATTTCTTAGCATGAAAAGTCCCAGACTGAATCCTGCAGAAGTTTAGAGCAACTAGTACCCTCAGTACCAATTTGGAAGCAGTAATTATAGAAATTCAATTCAGGCTGTTTTCTGACAGTTTGCTAAACCTCCCTGGTATAAAAATTTAAGAGCTGATAAACAGTTTACTATTTTGCTGCCAGTTCAGTCCTGAGACGCCTTAGGAAAATATTTCATCCCCACTGCTTCCAGTTGCCAAAAAACAAAATGGCTTCTCTGACAGAATCAGATAGGTAGTAGGTCTCCTAGGCATTAGAACATCCTTAATGAGGGTGAGCATTGGGAAATGTTTTCAATAATTAGAACATTTACCGCAGGATTCTAGAGTCTCCACAGGGTTCAGGAGAGGATTCTTCTCCAACAAGCCTTCCTTCAGTATGCATTAACTGATCTCCTATTGAGAGGTGACAGCATGCTGGCAGCCCTCGCAGCCCTTGCTCGCTCTCAGCGCCTCCTCGGCCTCGGCGTCCGCTCTGGGCATGCTCGAGAAGCCCTTCAGCCCGACACTGCGCTCTGGGGGCCCCTCTCTGGGCTGGCCAATGCGGGAGCCAGCTCCCTCTGCTTGTGGGGAGGTGTGGAGGGAGTGGCGCGGGCGGGAACCTGGGCTGCGCGCGGCGCTCGCGGGCCAGCGCGAGTTCCGGGTGGGCGTGGGCCCCGCGGGCCCCGCACTCGGAGCCGCCGGCCGGCCCGGGCAGTGAGGGGCTTAGCACCCGGGCTAGCAGCTGCGGAGGGTGCGCCGGGTTCCCCAGCAGTGCCGGCACTGCGCTCGAATTCTCGCCAGGCCTCAGCTGCCTCCCCGCGGCGCAGGGCTGGGGAACTGCAGCCCGCCATGCCCGAGCCTCCTCCCAACCCCCGCGGTGGGCTCCTGCGACGCCAGAGCCTCCCCGACGAGCGCCGCCCCCTGCTCCGCGGCGCCCGGTTCCGTCCACCGCCCAAGGGCTGAGGATTGCCGGCGCAGGGCGCGCGAGACTGGCGGGCAGCTCCGCCTGCTGCCAGTGCAGGATCCACTAGGTGAAGCCAGCTGGGCTCCTTAGTCTAGTGGGGACTTGGCGAACCTTTATGTCTAGCTAAGGGATTGTAAATACACCAATCAGCACTTTGTGTCTAACTCAAGGTTTGTAAAACACACCAGTCAGCACTCTGTATCTTGGTAATCTGGTGGGGACTTGGAGAACCTTTATGTCTAGCTAAAGGATTGTAAACACACCAATCAGCACCGTGAGTCTAGATCAAGGTTTGTAAACGCACCAATCAGTGCTCTGTGTCTAGCTAATCTAGTAGGGACTTAGAGAACTTTTGTGTGTAGCCCAGGGATTGTAAACGCACCAATCAGCACCCTGTCAAAACGGACCAATCAGCTCTCTGCAAAATGGACCAATCAGCAGGATGAGGGTGGGGCCAGATAAGGGAATAAAAGCAGGCTGCCAGAGCCAGCAGTGGCTACCGGCTCTGCTCTCTTTCAATTGTGTGGAAGTTTTGTTCTTTTGTCCTTTACAATAAATCTTGCTGCTGCTCACTCTTTGGGTTTGCATTGCCTTTATGAGCTGTAACACTCACTGCAAAGGTCTGCAGCTTCACTCCTGAGGCCAGCAAGACTACGAACCCATCAGAAGGAAGAAACTCTGAACGTGTCCGAACATCAGAAGGAACAAACTCTGGACGCACCGTCTTCAAGAAATGTAACACTCACTGTGAGGGTCCGTGGCTTCATTCTTAGTCAGTGAGACCAAGAACCCACCAAATTCTGGACACACTATTGCATAGAATTCATCCTCGCCAAAGGCATATGTGAAACATTTAAGCAACGTAATGATGTCTCTGAAGTCCTGTGCCGATAGTTTCCAATGATATGTACAGTTGCCATCAGAGATGCACTATCACAAACCTTTGTGGCAGGAGGTTTTGGGGGATTAAGTTATCAGTTAGGGTGCTTTCAGGTGCAAGAAACTGAATACCCCAATAAAAGTGCCTCAAACAATTGGATTTTATTATTGTTATTGTCTCACAGAACAAGACTAGCCATAGGTAGGCAGTTGCAGGGTGGGGTCAGAAGCTCATTGATGTCATTGAAGACACTGCTTTTCATCTTTCTGTCCTGTCATCTTCAAAGTGCCGCTATATTTCCCACCTAGGTCACAGGGTGGCTGCAGCATAGGCAAGCTTTACAATTGCATGTGAAAATACCTGGAAGAAAGAAAAAAAGAGATAGGGAGGAAGACACCTTATTTTCTCTCTTCATGTAAGGGGAAAAAATTGTTTCTCAGAAACCCCCCAGTAAACTTCCCTTTATGTTTTATCAGACACAACTGGATTCAAAAGCCATCTTGAACTGCAAGAGGGACTGGGAAAAGTGAAGCTATCATCTCTGTCCCTATCTTGGAATTGGGCACTTCCAACAGGCAAGAAGGATGAGCAAAACACTTGTTGGGTTGGCTGTTGTAAAAATAAGCCACTATTTTCATGCTTCTAAACACTTTATGTGTATTAGTCCACTAGATCCTCATAACAAACTCTTGGGGTAAGTATGATTCATAATCATTTACAGATAAGCAAACTGAACTGCAGAAGTGTTAACATAGTGAGGAAGTGAAGGAGCCAAGATTCCAACTCCACCATCCGGCCGCAGAGGCTGCACAAGGCGCGGTTCTCAGCCAGCAGCGTCTGCCACAGCAGGCTGCCTCTAAAATCATAACACGTAAAAGTTCTAAGTGATGTTTGTCTGTCTCAGAAGTGCAAATGTGACATTTGCCCCTGGCTGCAGTCATGGTGTGGGTGAAAAGAGCAGAGGGGCATCCAAGAGTGACAAGAATTGCTTTCTGTCATCATCAAGGCTGCGTCAGCTCACGCTGTGGTCAGGTAAGGTTTGAGACCAGGAGAGTCTACTTCATTGCCAGGGGCCAGGGACAAATGGTCAGCTGTCCATCATGCTGTAACGGGAATCAGAAAGTCTTGGCAAGTCAGGAGCAAGTGATTGAAGGGTCCAGTTACAAGCCGGCAGGATTAGAATAAAATAGAGGCTCTAAGTTAGAGGAATGTTTTAGGGGGCATTTCCACTATCTCTCTCATTTTCAAATGAAAAAAAAATGAGGCTAAATAGGGTGGAGTAATTTATCCAAGATCACTCAACTAGTTTAGACAGGATGTGAGGGCTTTTTTTCAGGTGGACACCAAGTAATAACTTGGAGGCATGTCTTCAATGAGACCTTCATTGTCTGACTCCTGCAAAAAGCATCCCTCCTAGCAATTCATACATTCTTCTATTATAATATTGAATTTACTCACTAGTTCCAGGTCTCTCTCATTAGTTTGGGAGGGGCCCAATAGCCAGACCACTCCAAACATCAGATGTGAATCTTGACATCTCTACGTGCTAGCTGAGTGGATCGTCATAAATTACATCATCTCTCCAGTACTCACTCTCTTCTTCTGTAAAATGGGAAGTGCGATAGTTCCAACCTCACAGTTTTGTTGGGACAATTACGTTGTAAACATACATAGCGCTGCATGCCAGGCAGATTCAGGGGTTGGCAAGTAGCAGCGACTATTCACTTTTTATCTTCCTGCTGCCTATTCCCATGTTTGCTAAGTCAATTTTTGAATCAACAGAGGGAACTCTGAGACAACATCCTAACAGCGAGCAGGTGGCAGAGGGTCACCAAGACATAAAGATGTGAGGAAGAGAAGGGCGCAGGGAAAGTATCAGTCCAAAAAGGTAGTAAGATCATATGAAACTAAAGATATGGAATAAACACATGACGTAGAAGTTCATTCGCCATTAACTCATTCTCCCAAACCTGATTTGAGTTACTTAAGATTTAAATAAGACAGGTCCCATTTTCACTGGCTTCCTTAGAGAGACCTAAAGAATTTAAAGCAATTTGCTTTAGGTCATATAGTTGGTAAGTGGCAGAGCCAGGACTAAACACCAAGTTCAAATAGCTCCAAAAACAGGTCCTATACACCTACAAGTCACTGTGAGGATTAAATAAGCTGATACATGCACAGTTCTTGGCACAATGGCTGGTACGGGAGTGGTGGCTGATTCCTTTGTTAGTTTCATCATTATTACTTTTCAACAGATCCCTCTTGTACTGGTCCCAGAAGAGAAAGACTATGACATTATTGCTCCTCAGGAAGAGGTGAAGCCCTCTCACCCCCAATATGCATCAATGTCAGAATCAGGAAGCAGATGAGAGGTACACAGCCCCCTGAGAAGCAGTGCTTGACACAGGCTACTGTAATAGGTGTCCACCCATCTGAATCCTACTGCCCAGCACTCAGCTCAGATGGAACAAGAGGCTGCCAGACGAGAGGTAGGCAAGGTGGCACAGACTCAACTGTCACCCTAACTGTATTTCTCACCCTACCATAACCTTCGTTACTGACATGGTCAAAAAGGAAACAGAGGCTGCGGCAATGGCAGCAGCAGCAACAGTGAAAGCAACCAAGAGAGAAGGCAGCTGGCACTGGAGGGCATCGTGCCAGGTTCCAGGCACAGAGGGATTCTGGCAGTGATTACAGCGGTAAATAGAGCTGATGGTTGTGCCGGGACCCTAGGCCCTGCCAGGAAGGGAGCAGGGGAGATGAGATTCTTATAATTACACTCGTTTAGACTCAGCCATCATGGGGTTACCCACAGAGGACTCTGATCTGTCCCCAGGCTGGGAGTTGCAGAAGCACCTGTTACAGCAGAAGTCATTTGGCAAGCCAAACAAAATGCGGATTCATCCAGGCCACCTGTAAAGGAATTTAATGCCTAACAACCTATGCAAAGCTTCTAATTGTCATAATTAATTTGGCATCTATTCACTGGTAGGTGCTAAACAAGTACCATATGGTGAAAGCCCATTTCCTGCTAACGTGGTTTAATCCCCCACATAATTAAAGCTGTGAGAAATTGTGTCATTTGAAAAACCCAAGCACAATATTTTCCTCACAAAACTGTTTTTAGTGTCTCTTCTTTTGGCCCTCTCTCTCCCACTATTGTTATGAACATCTTACTTTCTTCATTTTATCCAGCTACTGCTTCCCCGATGCATAATTTAGGTTATAATTATTTTCTCATTTTCCCCTCCAGCTGGCACCAGTTTGATCGCTCCCATTTCATAGATCTTTACAATGTCACACTGTTGCTCCAGCTTATTTAGAAATCCTGGAAAGAGGGGAAGTGGAGATTGCAGGGCAGCCTCAGCCCTCAGAAAAGTTTCTCTGCTTTCTCATGTGTCCCAGCTGACAGGATGCCAGGCCAGCAAGCTAATGACCAACAGCTGAGCGCCATGGCAAAGAACGATATAAAGACAATCATCTGGCTTCTGCTACTTTACAAACAAAAGGCAAGAGATAGCATACTGGAGAGAAAACAAAATAAAAACTTTTAATAATGATAGTGTCCCATGTATCAATCTCCCATTGTATTTCCACATTGCACAGTTAATATCAGAGGCCACCTCCACTGACTCAGACTTCCATAAACAAGACACTTTGGACACAAAGGAGTTTCTCGTTCTGTTTCTGTATCTGTCGCCTCTAAAAAATACAGTGATCCAAAGTTCATCACTAAAAGATGTGGGGAAAAAGTGGTGATCAAAACTTTGCAATACAATAATGGACCTTTTTAAATCTAAAAATGTGAAAATCAATGCATCAATTTTCATACTTTCTCTTTTAAATTTTCTTTCTTTTGATCCCCAATATATTATCAGTATAATCAAATGACATTAGTATTAACCAACATCAGCAGTCTGTATTCTGTAAGGAATTGAGCTCATACAATGAATCACCTCGAGTATTTTTTAAACACAAAATTACAACAATTTATAAATGTTAATCTTTAAAATGCACTTGAGAATGATTGTCCCAAAGGTTAAGTGGAAGCTTTTTCAAAAAACAGATCACAAGGAACTATGCCAACCCTTTCCTAAAAATTTCTATAAAATTCAAAGGAAGAAATAAACAGGAAATCTAGTTTACAAATGAAATTTAATATAGTAGTCGTATATTTATAGGCCAAGAGCTCATACGTAAAATGTGTGAAGGAACACAATGGTCAGATATTGAGATGCTGGCAACTGCTCATCTGCCAATGCTGAATTTGGTAATTCCTCATTTATACAGAGGGAAATTAAGTACCAAAGGGCTAGAATAATTTACTTATTGTGGACAAAAAAGTTAAGGACAAACTAAACTTAGTCCAGATAATTCTCAGATCCTCACACACATAAAACAACTTGCATTTATTTTATTTTTATTATTTATTTATTTTTTCGAGGCCAAGTCCCCCTCTGTCACCCAGGCTGGAGTGCAGGGGCATGATCTCGGCTCACTGCAACCTCCATCTCCCAGGTTCAAGTGATTCTTATGCCTCAGCCTCCTGAGTAGCTGGTACTATAGGCGAGCACCACCACGCCTGGCTAATTTTTGTATTTTTAGTAGAGATGGGGTTTTGCCATGTTGACCAGGCTGGTCTCAAACTCCTGAGCTCAAACAATCTGCCCACCTCAGCCTCCCAAAGTGCTGGAATTACAAGCGTGATCCACCATGCTTGTCCTTGTATTTCTTTTAACAAGAGAAAGACTGTGTCTCTTCTGTTCTCCTTTGTCTTCAAGAACTGATTTTTATAGTTTATTAAATATTAAAATTACATAGCTTGTTATAAATTAATTTGTATTTTGCAGACAATAACCATTATAAATATCACTTAGATCTGCAACTATTTTTTATTAACTTTACTGTTTGCATTAAAAAGACAGCACTTTTCGGGTACAGTTAGATAGTCCAATTCAACAGTAAGAACCATTTTAACTCCTAAAACTGAACAACTGTATTAGTTATGAACACTAGATACAAGTCATGAAACTCCAGCTTGAATTTACTTAGGCAAAAAGAGATTTTATGAGAAGGATATCAGAATATTTCATGTACATAAACAAGAGCAAGGCCTGGAGTCTTATACAGCTTGACCCCAGGAACAAGGAAGCGAAGCACCCTCCCTCCCTCCCTCCCCTTTTGTGCTTTTAGTGGTTCCGTTTCAGTCACCTCCATTAGGGTGTGGGCTTTCTCACATGGTGACCACCAGCAGCTTCCAAGCCCCTGATCCACAGCTTCTACTGGCAGAAATAGTCATCTACTCTTTTAGTGCCCATTCAAAAATCCTAAGGACAAACCCATCTGCCTGCCTTGAGCTGCATGACTATATCCAGGAAGATGGAATACCCTTAGTCACAGACCACCTAAAGGGCATGGTTAGAATCCAAGTAGAAACAATTCTCCACAAGAAGCAGGGCAGGCTGCTGGACAGACAAACTGAGAATAATCAAGTAAAACAAAACAAGCACAAACTCTGAAAGCTCAGGCAATGCCAGAAAGGTCAGGTGACACAAGGTTGAATACCGAAAGTTGGCATTAAAGCATTCTTTGAGTGAGAGAGACAGAGAGAGATTTATCTATAGTTATATTTTACTTCTATGTCCCAGTAAAAATAACAAATAAATAACTTTAAAACTTGGTAATACATCATTTTTCTCTCCCCTCTCTTAGATGTTTTTCTGTCACCTTCCCCTGTCATTTGTTTTGGGTCTATAAATTGCCCCTCAAAACTTATGCAAAGCATAATGTGTTCATCAGAATTGTTTCAGGGTTGTATGCGTTAGTTTTAGGATCCAGAGCTTCGCGTGTGCTTTTTTTTTTTTTTTTTTTTTTGAGATGGAGTCTTGCTCTGTCACCCAGGCTGGAGTGCAGTGGCAGGATTTCGGCTCACTGCAAGCTCTGTCTCCTGGGTTCACGCCATTCTCCTGCCTCAGACTCCTGAGTAGCAGGGACTACAGGTGCCTGCCACCACGTCTGGCTAATTTTTTGTATTTTTAGTAGAGGCAGGGTTTCACAGTGTTAGCCAGGATGGTCTCAATCTCCTGACGTCTTGATCCGCCCGCCTCGGCCTCCCAAAGTGCTGGGATTACAGGCGTGAGCCACCGCGCCCAGCCCTTGCGTGTGCATTTCTTTATTCCGGATTCGCAGCATCATCTTTTGGGCTTTGGGAGTCTGATGTAATTTCCAGTTCATACTCCTTTTTCAATTGCTGCACTTTCATGTTTAGGTCCAGTAAAGTTCTAGCCAGCTGGTGGTTTTGGAAATGCATTTCCACCTAAAAGTTAGAAAAAAATAAAAATTTTATTAGCCTGAGATGCAGATCAAATGAAACCACTCTCTGACTACACAGAAGAAATAAGAAGTTTGTAGGAAAAGAAAATAAGATATCAAGGAAGATGTATTTCTCATCTTATTCTCCAGTTTTAACTGTTTGGTCTGGCTATAAAACTGACTTTCTATATGACAAGGTAAAATCCAGATATATAAATAGTTTTTGAAATGGCTTGAAATGAAAACAAAAGTAGCTGATGCACAAAGCTGTCCATATGAAAAATACCTATGCACCGAAGGCTGTTTTCAAGGAATAGCATGTGATCCACAATGAAATCATTTATCTTTATGCGCCTTCTGAGCCACAGGATAACTGCCTACAGCCACCTGAGTATTCAGAATCTGTGCTATTTACTTGATTACTTATCATTTCAAGTTTTCAGGATTTTAAATGGTCTACCTGCTGAGCAAAAACATTTAATGACACCTTAGAGACACATGTATAGTTATGTGTACTTATATAATCTAACATTTTTCACTCTGGAGTGAAATCTGTTTCATATCAAGGCTGATTTATACCATCCTTCAATGGGAGTTTATGAAGGTCCTCGTGCGTTTAAAAAAAGATCTCTAGGGCATGTTACCCGGGGGCAGTCCAAGAAAGCTTAGTCCAACATAATCTTTGTATTATAACTGAAAACTAATGATCAACTACTTGCAAATTTCTTCAGCTAGGGCTTGTTTAATGCAGTTCACGAGGAATTTGTTCTCTCTGCTAAAAAAGCTTCATCAGCTTGTCAATAGAAACCACCCCAGGATGAACCAGGACAGTGTGTTGGTAAAAAGCAAATATTCATGGTCATCTGATTTGCAAAATAAAGCTACTGGATAAAATTATCTTTCAGTTTTTCTCTGAGACATTCCTCTCCATTCTGAAGCACCTAGAATCATTTTTCTGACAGCAAGAATTAGCAAAGAATAAAGTAAATGAATATCCAGCAAACAAGCACTAACAGTAACCACACAACCACCACAACAAAAAACCCTTGCACCTTGCCTGCAGGAAGCTTCAGCTCTCTAGGGTGGCCCAGATGCTCTATAATCCTGCCCTACTTTGAGCTTCCTTTCCTGGCCCTCTTTCCCATGCCAGCTCCCATTGCAGCTGGTCAGAAACCTTGCCAGTCCCTAAATAAATGCTGAGCTGAAGCTCACCTCTTTCTGTCCCCATTTCTGTTTAAGATGCCCTTTGCCACCTCTCTCTGCTGAACCCAGTCAAATGCCAGCTCTTCTGAGAAGCCCTCCCTGATTGCATGGGCAGACATAATTGCCTCTCATCTGTGCATCCACAGCACTCTGTACAAGTGCCTCATAACACGCTGACCAGACGAGACTGATGATTTTGAGGGTAGAGGCTGTATATTATTCATAATTGTATCCCCAACTAAGAGTGCACTGCCTGGGCACACAACCTAGTAGGTTCTCTGTGTGTTTGTTATAAGAGTGAGTGAATTAATTAATTAATTAATTAACTGATGAATATCCGTCCTGTACTTTCATGCAAGAATCAAGGAGAAAAATTATTGGTAATGATTTACCATCTAAGTAAAATAAGTATGTATAATTCACACTTACTTAGGAAATTCAAACATCAATGGTTCTTTAACTTTTCTTTCATCAAGGATCCCTCTGAGAATCTGATGAAAGTTATGAACCCTCTCTGAGGAAAAACTATATGCACATCAAAAATTCTGCATACAATTTTAGGTATATAGAACCCCTGAGATGCACTCACAGACCCTAGAAGTGAATGATTCTTACTAAGAAAACCCAGTCAAACAATAGAAAATAGTATAAATTGCAACACAACTCTAAATTAATTAAATTTGTTCATCGTTCCTTACGAATATCATCCTAATATATGATACATGTACACTTGTATAGGAATATATGTCAGTTCCTGTAAAAATCCAGTTAATAGCCGAAAATTGAAAACTAAGTCTTCTAGTGGTAATGATATTAAGGTACAGTATCCACACTCCTTTGCCTCTTCTTTATGACCAGGATAAAATGATTGACCAAGATGTTGACCATCGTCTGTAACCCAAGGACACATTATTTGTGTATGTGTAAACTTCTCTGGTTCCTTTCCAGAAAAACTCCTGATTTTTTTATAGGAATGTATCAGTTCTTTTTTGGTACAGTCAGAGTCCAAGGTCTATAGTAATCATTATAATAATAAGAGCCACTAAACAATACCCATGGTCTAAGCATTTCATGGAATATTATCTCACATAAGCTCTGGAATCCTATGAGATTATAAATTCCATTTTACAGATGGGTAAACAAACTCAAACTGGCTAAGTAACGATCCCAAAGTTGTAAGGCCAACAAGTGTTAGCAGAACCTGTAAATGGTAATGTTGGTATTTGAGCCCTCATCTGTTTAGATTTTATTGCCACCAGCGGTCTACAGCCATACCACCCTGAACGCACCCGATCTCGTGAGATTTTATTGCCACCCCCAACATATTGCTTGTCTAAAGCTCCTAACAAGCAACTTATTAAAATGTTATGATTGAAAGCTGTCTCTGAGCTTATTCAGTGTAATCTCCTCATCTGATTTAAATATGAGTCCCCTGAGGCTCAGGAAGGAGTACCGGCAGATCCCAAGACTACAATGCAGAGATGGCTGCGCCAGGTTTCAGCCTTCCAGTTTAGCATCCTGGCCCATAGCACAGGCCTCCAGTGGCCGAATGAGGTGGCTCCGGCTACCCTGCAGCTCAGACTCACTGCTTAGACTCAGGGTGAAAACCAGGTGTTTCTTTGACATTGTTGGATAAGATAGTAAATCTGGTAGTAAATCTAATGTAACCCATGTTAACAATCTGAATCTGACACGGAATTTAGGATATTGTCCTTTTTTTGTTTTTGAGACGTTGTTTCACTCATGTCTCCCAGGCTGGAGTGCAATGGCGCAATCTCAGCCCACTGCAGCCTCTGCCTCCCAGGTTCAAGCGATTCTCCTGCATCAGCCTCTGGAGTAGTTGGGATTACAGGTGCCAGCCACCATACCTGGCTAATTTTTGTATTTTTAGTAGA
Organism: Homo sapiens; assembly: GCF_000001405.40. NCBI lineage: Eukaryota > Metazoa > Chordata > Mammalia > Primates > Hominidae > Homo > Homo sapiens. The sequence continues at coordinate 116,939,463 of NC_000008.11, read as the reverse complement.
GACAGGACTTCACCATTTTGGCCAGGCTGGTCTCGAACTCCTGGCCTCAGGTGATCCACTTGCCTCGGCCTCCCAAAGAGCTAGGATTACAGGCATGAGCCACAGCTCCGGCCTAATACTGTTCTTCTTAAACTTAGAAATGCGATAACATTCTTAAATAAGACAATTTACTAATGGTTGGCTCAGTTCTAAAGTAGTGGTTAATTGTATTAGTAATCAGTGCAAAAGAGAAGAATTTTCCAAGTCAAGTCTCCACTGCACACTTTCCTAGGCAGCACCATTTTAAAGTCTGATTGCTCCTATTCATTGTGTCCTTTTCAAGTTGTGACTAATTTCCAGTTTTTTGAATTAAAAAAAATCAGTCAGCTAAAATATTTACCTATACACCCTCCTGTTTAATATTCGGATGTAACCTGTGTAATGTTCGAAATGGTGCAATTTTACAAAATACCTTATCACTTCCAGTTTTCTAAATTATTACCCACGGGAAAGATAAGAATAAAACTTGCGGGGCATAAAGAAAGAGTTACTGATGGACACACTCCATCAATCGCAAGAGAGAGTTTATTTCATGGAAATTTCCTCCTCCGCGAGCCATACATACACATAGTCACAGTTCCCTACAGGGCAGAAAACTATAGAAACGGGTTGGGGAGGAGACATCTTGGGTATGTCACTGGTAGACCAGGCACCCCCGCCCCCACCCCCCACCATGGGTCCTGCAGGGCCCTTTTCCTTCCCAACGATGCTGGGGAGGCGGGGGCGTCAACGCCGTGTCCAGACCTGAGGGGCCCCCCAAGGCGTCGGGTGGGCTACGCGGCCAGCGGCTCTGCAGCTGGAGGAGAGGACCCGGGAGAGGGAGCCCTGGGAGCCGTCCGCCTAGCCCGCTCTCTCACCAGCTCCGCCCGCAGCCTGGCCAGGGTGGCCTCAACGCCCGTCCAGCTCTGCTCCTCCCGCGCCGCCGCCGCCGCCGCCGCCTCCTGCACGCGCCTCGAGATCGCGCGCTGCACCGCCCACTGGAAGGCGCGCGTCAGCCGTCGTCTGAGGTCCTCCAGCAGCGGGCTGGCGGCGAGGGCCTCCTCCTGGATGTCCGTGCTCCTGCCGTCCCCGAAGAAGTCGCACGCGGGACGAGGTGGGAACCAAAGCTCCGCTCTACCTGGGAGTCCCTGGAGCCCCTGGGAAATTCTCTCTCTGCAGCGGCGGAAGTCCCCGGGGCCCATCGCGGAGACGCCTGGTCACTGCTCTACCGCTGCTGCTGAAAGATGAGTTTCTAAGTTTGATGTTTAGGGCGGGGTCAGGGCGGGGGCGGAGGTAATTCAAGGACCCTTGCCAAGTGGGATGCTGCAACTGCCCCGCCATTCAGAGACGCTCCTTTGCTCCCAGTCCCATCTTAGTCCTCCATTAGCGACAGAGGAAGGAGGCGGTTCCCATAACTCCAGGAGAAGTTTAAGCTGAGTCGCTTTTTTCTGCTGCTTGCATTGAAAGGAAGTCTTTCTAAGGAGAAGGCTTGGTAACTGAGCAGTCAGCCTATGTAAGTGGAAGTTGAGGTACAGGTGGAAGGTTTATGACCAAAGGTTAGAATATTTCAACCCAAAGCCTTCCTGGTTGCCTTGATCGTCTAATACGTCATTCCTTAAAAACAATTTTTTTTCTTCCTACTCTGCCAGGCACTTTGCCAAGTTTGGGGAATGCAAAGGCTTAATTAGACCCCTCACCTTTCCCCAGGTATTGCCCGCAGTCAAGGGGGAGAGCCTTGGCCCTGCTTGCTAGTTAGAATGTACCTTCTACAGGTTCAGTAAGGCATACCTGGAAGTCTGAGTCTCCATGCTCCTTTCTATTTTGACTCCTGTCTGCCATGTCCACGTTTATGAAGGGGTTAAAATGAAAAATCAAAATTCCCCTTAGCCCAAAGTGTGTGTGTTTAATTCCCAACTAATAAGGTTTGGCTCTGTGTCATCACCAAATTCCAGTGGAATTGTAATCCCCAGTGTTGGAGATGAAGCCTGGTGGGAGGTGATTGGATCATGGAGGTAGAGTTCTCATGAATGGGTTTAGCCCCATTCCCGCCTGGTACTTTATAGTGAATGAGTTCTTACCAGATCTGGTTGTTTAAAGTGTATGGCACCTCCTCTCTCTCTCTCACTCCTGCTCTGCCATGTAAGACACTTGCTCTCGCTTTGCCTTCCACTATGAGTAAAAGCTCCCTGAGGCCTCCCCAGAAGCAGATGCTGCCATGCTTTCTGTATAGCATACAGAACCATGAGCCAATTAAACCTCTTTTCTTTCCAAATTACCCAGTCTCCGGTATTTCTTTATAGCAGTGAGAGGACAGACTAATACACCAACTCCAGGTAATCATGTGCCAATATTACCTGTATATCCTTTATCAAAGAACATATTCTGCCTCTTTTTGATCTAATAGGGAATTTCTAAAAAGGAGTGAACAATCAAAACTTTTGTATGATCAAAGAATGCAATTACAAAAAAAAACAAAACATAGTTTAGACACAACTCTCATCTTATTCATCATTCATTCATTCATTCATTCAAAAGTTACAAGTCACTTGCAATGTTCCAGGGTCCATGGTAGGCATTGAAGGCAATAACAACTGATTTTTATTCATGCTTAGTATGTGCCAGGCAATTTTTATGTATTAATCTTCACAGCAACCTTGTGAGGTAAGTACTATTAGTTTCTGCATTTTACAATTGAGGAAACTAAGGCAAGAGATTAAGACGTACACCAAAGATCTCAAAGCTGGTAAGGGATCCACTGGAAATTTGCACCTAGGAAGTCTGGCTTGTGCTCCAAACCACTGGGATACACCCTGGATACGCTTTATCTCCCAAAGAGGAAGAGAGTTGCTCAGTTTATATGTTGCATGAGTGAGTGAGTAAGAGTGAATAAGTGTTTAAATTCACTATGTTCATAAAATTCGGCTCTATTGAAATGGCTTAAGGCTCAACTGGATAAGGAACAATACAGGTTACTCAGCCTGTGCAGATAATCTACTAAATTGAACAGCTTGCAATAGTTTACAACCCAAGCACAGTAAAATTCCTACCATTGTATATTGCTTCATAAAGATTCCCTAGAAACATCTGAAGATGTGTTGTCTTGGTAGAAATTATAAAAATCCATGTGGTCTGCCATGCAGCAATGGAGTGTGAATTTAGGGTTTTTTGTTTGTTGGTTGGTGATAGGTTGATGGGGCTTGAAAACCACCACTAGTCAATGTACAATATAAACGTTTAAAATGAATTTTTTGCTATGATTTTTCACTTCCATTTCCAGATCATTTACTTCAACAAGAATTTCAGTTAAGTTCAATTTAACTCAACAGTGAATGGCGCATGTTCAGTGTTAAGAATTGTGCCATATGAGGGAGATACAAAGATGAATAAGGCATAGTTTTTGTCCCCCAGAAGCTTAAAACCTGAGGAAGCAAATTTATTGATTCATTCATTTAACAATATTTATTTAATGTCTTATTATGTACCAAGCATTACACAAGGTGCTCAAGCTACAATGGCAAACCAAGGAGACAAAATGTTTTTTTAAAATAAACTGGTTTACCACAAATTAATAATTTTCCTCTATAGGTTAATTTTTCAGTTGTGGTACACCTTGAATTTTACAATTTTTTTTCTTTCTCTTACACAGGCAAAGCAAATTGAAGAATTGGAGCACTGAATATAACATCCACAGACATTTGAATTAGAAAATGTATTAATTATTTATTGCTGCATAACAAATTACTCCAAAATTCAATGGTTTAAAAAAATAAACATTTATTTTCTCTGACAGCTTCTGTGGGAAAGAATTTGGGAACAGCTTAGGTTATGGTCCTTAGCTTTTATGCTGTTGTAACCAAATGTCAGGCAAGGTCTCCATCCTCTGAAGCTGGATGTGATTGGCGCTGGAGGATCTGCTGGCAAGGTGAATCACTTAGATGAATCACTCAAATGCCAGGCAATTGGAGCCAGCACTTGGTGGGAGGCCTCAGTTCCTCTCCATGTGGACTCTTTCCTACTATTGTGTAAGCGTCTTCATGATATAGTGGGTAGACTTCCCTCAAAACAAGAAGAGAGAAATACAGAGAGCCAGAGAGAAGCTCTTTACATGTGCTCTGAACTACATTTTTATGACCTGGCTTTGGAAGTCAGTTATTACCATTCTGCTGATCAGTATCAAGTCTCTAAGTTGGAGCTATATTCAAGGGGAGGAACCTCAGCTCCACCTTTTGAAGTAGGGAGTATCAAAAATTTCCAAATATATTTTTAAACTACCATGGGAGAAACATATGTACATTACACGTAAGTAAACAATGATACAAATGACTTCTGACTTCCTGCAGAAAAAAAAAGGAGTCCAGAAAACATTGAGATATTTTTAAACGCAGAGAGAACTAAATTAACACAGAATTCTAAGTTCAGCAAAAATATCCTCCCAAAAACCAATCTCAAAAAGCATGTTTTTAAAAAAGGAAAATTAGGAAAATTTGTCACAAGCAGGCTTACACTATAAGAAGTACTAAAGGAAATTCCTCAGCTGAAGTAAAATAATAGTACAGGGAAACACAGATCTTCAGGAAGAAATGAGTAACATAAGAAATGGTAAGTATCTAGGTATACGTAAGTGACTTTGATTCCTCTTAATTAATAAACATATGGTTTTATATATATGTTTTTAAAAAACAAATATATATATTGTTATATACATTTTTTAACTTAATGGTTAGGAAATACCTATATCTTGTTCACAACAACACAAAACCCATTTAGCACATACTAGGTGATCAATTGCCTAGTTAATTAAACTGAACAAAATATTTGATTCCCTCTATTTCCCTGATCTTCATCTCTGGCATTTGTTTCACTGCAGTAATCCAGTCACATGAGCCACACCTGAAAGTATGCTATCACCCAGAATGATATCTTTAAAAGCCTGAATTCTGAAAATCTATTCTCAGTCCACATCCTTTTTTCTATCCACAATTCACTCTGACCCCTCAATTCAAGAGAAATGACTTTCTGAAGTACTCTTCTGTTTCTCTTTTCCCACCCAGAATCTTGTGGTAAATTATTTCAGCTAACTCATATCAGCACCTTCTAGTGCTCTATCCACTTGGCCTTCTGCCAACCCTACCCAGTTAATTTCAATCCTATTTATTCAATGTCTTTACTCCTGTTTTTAAGCAGTCAATGTGATGCCCGACTTCAGATGTCCTCTCAACATTACACAACCATCCCTTGATTCATACCTCCCTGACCACCTCAAATCTCTCACAAAGACCATGTGGACTCTGACCACCACCTACCCTCTCATTGTGTCTCCATTCCCATTATACTGCACAGAAACCATTTTTTACTTCACTGAGGTGAGAATTGACAACTGTTAACTCACATAGCACTTAGTATATGCCAGCTACTATTTCCATTTGCTTTACATTCCCTTCTCACACCAACCCTATGAGGTAAATGCCAAAACTAACAACATTTTACAGATGGAAAAACTAAGGCACAAAGACATTAAGTAATTCCTTGAAGGTCGCAACCCTTAGAAAGTCATGGAGTGAGAAGTTAGCCCCATTCTGTGCTGTCTGCTCCTGGTACCTTGCCTTTTCATAAAGATGATCAGGTGGAGACACCCTCAGTTTATATTTCTTTTACCTCCAAACATCAACATCTTAACCTATTATTCTGTTTTCACCACCAAGATCAAAGGGGGAACAAGAGAGAACACTTAGAAGAGAGCAGGATGCTTCCTCCTTTGAGCCAAGAACAGATGAAAAATGGGTGAAGTTATAAATAATGAAAAGGCGTAACATATAGAAGATAATTAATAAATCAACCAAAGTAAAAAACGGGCTACAGAAAAATATGAAACAAATATAATGAAAAGAAACTCATTCGTGTATATTCATTGCAGCACTATTTGTTATAGTGAAAACTGTAAACAACCAAAATATATACCAATACATGTGGTAAGATTGCTTGATACCCAGTCAATCTCCATTCTCCCCTTCCTCCTTACTAAAAGAACCTGATTGTTGGTGGTATCAATATATCTGACTAAAGTATTAAATTTCCCTTAATTCCTGACAGAAAGGGATGGCTATGTGTTAAGATATGACCAATGAGATATAAGCAGGAATTGTTAGGTAGGACTTGTACAAAAGTGTTTTAAAGGTGGACTGACTTTACTGGAACACCAGTGTGTTCCTTACCTTTCACTTCTTCCTGACTGGAATGAAGATTTGATTGCTAGAGCTCCAACAGTCACTTTGGGACCATAATATTACCTTGAGGATGGGAGCTACACTCAGTATTAGAACACCAAAATCAGTCTATCTCTGAAAACGCCACAGAATTATCACATATGCCCAGGACTATACAACTTTTGTTACATGAGAAAGATAAAACTTTTAATTTTTTGCCAAATTTTTTAGTCTCTGTTACTAGTGCCAAAACTAATTCCTAACACAATGAGAAGAAATATTTAATAAATTATGGTATACCCATAATTTAGAATTCCATAGGCTCAATCTTTAAAAAGGTGGATCCATGTACTAGCATGGGAAAATGTCCATAACATACCGTCAAGAGAAAAAAGTAACCAGGCATGGTTGCACATGCCTGTAGCCCCAGCTACTAGGGAGGCTGAGGCTGGAGGATCACTTGAGCCTCGAAATTTGAGGCTGTAGTATACTATGATCATGCTTGTGACTAGCCCCCTGCACTCCAACCTGGGCAACATAGTGAGACCCCCATCTCTTTAAAAAAATAAGAGAGAACAGTAAACTGTGAAATAATATGTAACATATGGTAGAATTTTTTACACACTATAGATAAATGTGTTTGCATGTGTATTTAAAAGGGTTTAGAAAAATGAGTGCAAACTTGTTAGCAGTGGTTATCTTTGGGAGCTGGGCAGCAATGAATGTAGGAGTCTTTTATTCTTTAATATGTGTATCTCTTTATTATTTCAATGTTTAACAACAAATACATGCTGCATTACTTGCGTTATAAAAATAATGGGTGTGAAGAAAAAGAGAAGTCGGTAGAACCCATTCTACCCTAACTACTTGGGATTTCTTTGGACAGGGTTCTGCTTCATTGGCACATGGGGCAACTTGTAAAGAATGCTATGCAGTTGGGAGGCTGAGGCGGGTGGATCACAAGGTCAGGAGATTGAGACCATCCTGGCTAGCACGGTGAAACCCCATCTCTACTAAAAATACAAAAAAATTAGCCAGGCATGGTGGTGGGCGCCTGTAGTCCCAGCTACTCGGGAGGCTGAGGCAGGAGAATGGCGTAAAGCTGGTAGGCAGAGCCTGCAGTGAGCCGAGATCACGCCACTGCAGTCCAGCCTGGGCGACAGAACCAGACTCCGTCTCAAAAAAAAAAAAAAAAAAAAAAAATGCTATGCAGGCCGGGCGTGGTGGCTCATGCCTGTAATCCCAGCACTTTGGGGGACCAAGGCAGGTGGATCACCTGAGGTCAGGAGTTCCAGACCTGCCTGACCAACATGGTGAAACCCCGCCTCTACTAAAAATACAAAATTAGCCAGGTGTGGTGGTGCATGTCTGTAATCCCAGCTACTTGGGAGGCTGAGGACGGAGAATCGCTTGAACCTGGCACGTGGAGGTTGCAGTGAGCTGAGATCATGGCATTGCACTTCAACTCAGGCAACAAGAGTGAAACTCCATCAAAAAAAAAGAGGGAATGCTATGCAGTCGTCTAAACATATCAGGCAGTGAATTAAAATACAATCTGAAAGTTCAGATTCATTTGTTTTCACTTTCTATTGATTTTCATTTCTCTTTGGGCTTTAGTTTTAGGTATTACATACATAGGTAAAATATAAATATTTATGCCATTCATTAACCTGCATTTTTTTTCTTGTGTCTTGACTGGGTCCCAAATTTACATCTTTTAAATAGGTATGATCCAGAAACCTGGCAGCTATGTGCTGCAAGACTGCCTTTCTGTTGAATCACTCCTCTTTGGCATAGACACCAATGTGAACAATAGAAGAGATTCACCTGACTTGGAAATCTCAGCCAAAATGCTGTGGGCTTGGTAGAAAATATACCTAAATGCATCCCTTGTGAATTATTGGTAAATGCAGGAAGCCATTTGAAACCTTCAGTTACATAATACCAATCACATAATGGTTCCATTGTTTCACCAAAACAACAGACTCTCAAATATTTATATGAGTTGATTTTTTAGGAAATACCAACTATATCTGCACCATATATCTGCAAATATATCTGTACAACAACATTTTCAAAATGTTCCTTTACCATTTATCAAAAAGGGTTGAGGAACCCCAAAAGATAAGATTCTCTCCTTAAAACTCTGAATAGAAATGGAAACATACCTCCTATCTTTTTGATTGAACTCTTCATAGAATCCATCTGATTGAGAAGTGAAATCAAATTATACAGATCCTAAACAAGATTTTAACCATAAAGTGTTATCTCTTCTATCAACATAACATTAAAATTAAATTGAAATTAAATAAAATTAACATTAAATGTTAAAAATGTAACATTAAGTTTCTAGTAAGAAAAAACAAGGTGATATTTAACCACAACTTACCCACTAATGCTCAAATATCAACAAAACTAAGTGGGGTTATTGGGAGCACATAGGCTTTCTCCACTGGATTGAAAAAGACTATTACTTCTGTCAGGAGACCACTTCTACCTGACCTGTATCAAGTTGATCAAAAAAGAATCAGAATTTCTAGAAGGATTTTATTACTCATTATTTTATCTCCTTTCTATTGAATAGAAAAATGAAGGTCATTGCTTCTTGCATCTTATTTACACACCAATATTACTTTTTATGAGATCCTTCTATAACTCTATAAAGAAGAATTAACAGTCATAACAACATTAACAACCTCCAGTAGACACAGAATAGAAAAACATTTGAAAAATTATGATGCATAAAAGAGAGGAAAAGAGCCAGATATTTTAAATGATCATGAAGATGAGAAGAAACAGTTGGTACTTCAACTTAATGGTTTGTTGTTTTAGGGAAAACACTAGGGTTATCATGTGGAGACTTAGTTTCTGTGTAATATTGAAACAGCCTAACATCTAAAATCATGTGCACCAATTCACACTGCTTTTGATGTACCTAGAATTAAGGAACATTCATTCATTCAATATTCATTCATTCAAGAAGAATTTTGGGAAGCCAGGTGCAGTGGCTGCACCTGTAGTCCCAGCTACTCAGGAGGCTGAGACAGGAGAATTGCTTGAGCTCAGGAGTTTGAGGCAGTAGTGCACAATGATCACACCTGTGAATAGCCACTGCATTCCAACCTGGACAACCTAGTAAGACCCCATCTTTTTAAAAAAAAAAGTATTTTGGAGTACCTATCATCTGCCAGGCACTATGCTAAATACTGGTATGAACACTGTTTTTATTACTGTTGCCTTTTTTACATTAATTTGATTGTCCTTTCTTAGTTTATTTCATTTCACCCTTTCAAATTCACATTCAGTGAAAAACAAATGAGTTTCCCAGTCTTGAAAAGTACTAATATTGAAAATTAGCATACATGACTGAAACCATTCCATTAATAAGACAATAGCAATACTATCTCTCTTGCTTTAAATCAATTTAATGATTAGATGCTAAAATTTTCACAGGGACGTAGCTTGTTGGTTGAGTGATGACTCTCTTTGACTACAGGAATACTCACATTTCTTAGCACAGGTTCAGTGCTTAAGCGTGAACTACAAGATGAAGAGAGTACCTGCAGTGAATTGTACTTGTTAGTTACTTCAGTTTTAGTTTAGTGTAAAACAATATAGACACCTGTTTTTCAAAAAACTTTTTTTAATTACAGAAAAATCCTAGATGAAAATAACAAATTGTAGGGGCACAGGGATCCCGTTCACCTTCTGAAGGTTCCCTGAAAATAAAGTGACAAAAGACCGATTAATAGGAGAAAAGCATACAAATTTATTAATGTACAGGGGGAAAAAAATCACAGAGTGATTATCAAGTAACCCAATGCAGTACAGAAGCTTATATACACTTTTTCATAGGTCAAGAGAAAGATGGGGAATATAGACCATTGTTTTGAGGGATGGTAAGTCATTAGGAATGAATGGACTCCAAAAGTGGAAGGCAGAGACATTAAGGGAAGGTGAGACGTGGTGCTGTATGGGCACAAAGTTTGTCTTATTAGGCAAATAAAGTACCCCAAGTAATTTCTTAGGGCTGTCCTCAGAAGAACAGATGAAAAGTCTCTCTCAACGTGGTGCTGACTCCCAGTCTCTTCTCTTCTCTGATGGTTGATCTTTCCTAGTTATCTAATGAGATCCCTACAGAGGGGGTTTAAGACAATTGAGGGAGGGTGCAGTAGCTCACGCCTGTAATCCCAGCACTTTGGGAGGCTGAGGCAGGAGGATTGCTTGAGCCCAGAAGTTCAAGACCAACCTGGGCAACATAGCAAGACCCTATCTGTACAAAAAATTCTTTTTAAAAAATTAGCCAGGTATGCTGGTGCACACCTATGGTACCAGCTACTTGGGAGGCTGAGGTGGGAGAATTGCTTGAGCCCAGGAGGTCCAGGCTGCAGTGAGCCACAGCTGCACCACCGCACTCAATTCTATGTGACAGAGTGACAGGGTGAGACCCTGTCTAACAACAACAAAAAAGGACAATTGCATTTATTTTGGAAAGAAACTTTCTTGGTCAATTAAAGAAATTCCAGAGTCCCTTCCTGCACTTAAAGGAACAAGACAAGTTGGAGTGGGGAACGAGACAAGGTTAGAAACTCTTGCCTCTGAAGCAGCATCTAAGGCCTCTCAGCATGTCAAAGCACAAGTCTTTGGAGTATTGCTTTCTGAGCCTCAACAAAATCAAAATTAGAAAGAGAAAAGTGACTCCTGAGAAGTGATTCTTTGAAAGGGGAAGAGAATAATTAATATACTGGTAGAAACATTATGTCTGGAAATTGCAAACTCAGTAACTCAGTTACTCAGAGCTCTTAACTGTGTAGAAGGAATTAGACCAGCAAAGTGCAAGGAAAAGGGTACTAGAAATCTACAAATGTGGGCTCCTTACTTATTCAGATTTTGACTCCGTGCGAAACGCTCTCTCTCCGGGCTTCTCTTTTTTCTCATTTGTTACTGTTAAATCAAGTTTAGCCTAAAGCTGTCTCCTTACATATTTTAAGTTTGGCCTAAGCGTGTCTGTGTACATAGTGAACTGTAATTTAACTGGATGTGTAAACAGACAGTAACCTACTCTTATGCCAATCACTGAGTTTCAGCTAATCAAAGGCGGCCAACTATTCAAACCGTGTTCAAATAAGGCAAATGCTCAGCTGTAACCAATCTGGTTGTTTCTGTACCTCACTTCTGTTTTCTGTACATCATTTTTCTTTTTATGTCCAGAAATCTTCTTTGACCATGTAGCTGCACCAGAGCCTCCCTGAACCTGTTCTGGGCAGGGACTGCCCCATTCATGAATTATTCTTTGCTCAATTAAACTCTATTAATTTTAATTTGTCTAAGGTTTATCATTACTTTTCTACAAACTACATTTGCTGTGCTCAGAAAATTTCTCAGGCAATTTCACTTCTCCGTGTCTTTGCACGTGTGCTGTTCCTTCACGTGGAATGCCCTTCCTGCCTTACCCAGCTCTTCTAATGAGTCTTCCCCAGATTCCCAAGGCAAGAAAAGACTCTCTCTCCTTTGTGTGTTCCTACCACTGCATCCACAACTCTAGTTCCTGATTTTTATGCTACATTCTAGTCCCCATTATTCCTTTTAATCTGTGAGTTTGTGACACACACACCTTCTCTTTTTTTGGTCTGATCTGTTCCATTTTTGCTGGATATTAAGCTACACTCCAGCTCTATAAGATTCAATGGATTTCAAGTACCTCATAGAGAAAATTATGCATTTATAAGTCCAGGAATACACAACTTCTTTTTAACCATAGCATCAGATGATGCTAGCTCACTTTTGCAAGCATTAGTGAGCAAAGTACAGAAAACAGTAGGAGACCCTCACTTGCTGCTTTCCAGTACCTGGGAGCCCCCTGCTGTCCAGAAAAACAAAAGACACTGCAGCCTCTCCCCAGGCTAATAAGGCAGCGCTGGACACTTAACATGCAATCTTTAAAACTTACCATTTCATACACCAGAGCATCAATATCAGCTGTTCTTACTATCCTCCTTCTGAATCAACCACGTCCTCTTTCTGGGTTTTTAACTTTTCTTAATGGTACCGCCATGATCCAAATCACCCTGGATCAACACCCCCACCCCCATTCTTCCCGCCCCTACTCATTTTTTCAGCAGTGTTGCTATTGTTTCTTGAACTTGGGCTATGTGCCAGGCTCTGAGCTAAGCTCTTCACATGCATTACATATCATTTAATCTCTCAATAGCCCTATAAGTCAGGCTATGCTGCTCATTTCAGTGAGAGGACGGCTGAGGTTTCGGATGGTTAATTAACTTGCCTGAGGTTATATATATGGCAGGGACCAAAGCTGGGACTTGAATCAAGAATTCAGCTGCAGAAGCCTTAACCACTTGCTTCCTTCCCACACACTGTTTTTTCAAGCCCAGCCCATGTCCTCCTTGCGAGGCCAGCTCCTACTGCAATTCAGCTTCTCATTGTATCACACCTGAACTACAATCAGAGTCATAGCTACACTCCTCACCTTCTGCCTCTCTCATTCAACTAAAATCTGATATTTCACCATTAAGGTTTTATTAATTTTGTTAACTGGGTACCTAATATTGGAGCTCCCTACTCTTTCTGAACTCGCAGACTTTGACCTTTAAAACCCTAAGGCCATGTTTCAAGCCAACAGCATTGTCTGATCTCATCTCTCCTTCACCCCTATGTTGTGGTGAGTCCATGAGTCTCACTCAGCCTGCTCTGCTACCCTTGTCAAACACTGACAACGCCACTCCAGCCCTGGTATTCTTCATTCACTCTAACTCTCTTAGCACTGGCATAATAGGTAAGAGTTGGTTTTGGAAGCAGGCAGATTTAAATCCCTACAGAGTTACTTTTCAGTTTTGTAATGTTGAATAACACTTATCACCTAGCCTAATTGGATACTGGATATTTGAAAGCCTCCCCCCGAACCAAAGTCATTGTACAGATAATGAATGTGAGGTTTTAAAAATTACAGAGTACCATACTCTTAACTCTCTCTTCCACAAAAACCTCAAAATAATAATACCTATAATTTTTGACTACCTAACTTGCACCAGCAATGCGCTATTTTGTGAAGCCTAAGATATAAGCATAAACAATAACTGTTAGATAAACTTTGTAAGAGCAAATGCAAATGACGTTAATAACTGATTTTTTTAATTATTGCAGTATTTTACCAGCAAAATGCAGCAGTAAATGTGTGCTGGTTGAATATAGATGAACAATTGTGCACTTTACTATGTAAAGTAGATAATTTCAAACAAATGAATGGTATAACATTTGAATAACATTTTTATTTTTATTTGTATAGAAGATATATTCCAATATACTTGAATATGCTGAGCTAATTCTCTTTCCACACTCCCCAAATTATCTTCCCTCCCCACCACATACATAATAGCTTGAAATTTCTCATATCTGGCCAGAAAAGGGTAGGGGGTAGGCAAGAAAAAAAGGTAACGCATGGTGGGCAAAGATGGTCTGAGCCTCCTAGATTATAGACGTTGCATAACTTTCCTGGCTGCAAAGTGTTTGTTTCAGAGGCAGAACCCAGCCAGAGAAAACTTCACTGACTCCAAGTTTGCTCAGACATAGTGAAATGGCTAGTACTGACTAGTTCCTCCACTCTGGCTGTCTATTTTTTATTTATTTTTTATTTTTTTATTTTATTTTATTTACTTTTTTTTTTCTTTTTTTTTTTTGAGATAGAGTCTCGCTCTGTCACCCAGGCCGGAGTGCAGTGGTACGATCTCGGCTCACTGCAACCTCCACCTCCCGGGTTCACGCCATTCTCCTGCCTCAGCCTCCCGAGCAGCTGGGACTACAGGCGCCCGCCACCACACCCGGCTAATTTTTTGTATTTTTAGTAGAGATGGGGTTTCACCGTGTTAACCAGGATGGTCTCGCTCTCCTGACCTCATGATCTGCCTGCCTCGGCCTCCTGAAGTGCTGGGATTGCAGCTGTGAGCCACCACGCCCAGCCTCTGGTTATCTATTTTAAAGAGCCCTCGGATAAAATTGTATACCTGACTTTTGCTTTCTTATAGACTTACTTACTCCAAAGAAAGAGATATTAAATACAGAGAGAATTGGGCAAGGACCCAATATACTTGTGAAACCTCAGTGTGCTAGACAGGTGTTTATTTTGAGAAATATCTTCCTGGCAAGTATGTTGTGGGAATGAAGACTGGAAAGTAGAACTGAATGTTTCATAATTCGAAACCTGACTTTGAAGCCTAGAGTCAAATACCGTATAGTAATTAATTTATCTAAAAAACACACAAAATGATGTAAACTTTAGTAGTGATACTGAGGTGGGAAATTAAAGAAAAATAAAATTAAAAAGAAAGAAAAATAAGCTTTCCTGTATTAGGCTGACTTGTCCCAGAGATAGCAACAGGCACAGCCCAGACCCAGGAAAAGTCCTGATAATATTATCTAATGCGCTCTGGAGACTCTCCCAGCACTCCCTCAACACAGGGAGAAGAAAAAACAAATTTTCCTTTGTTTTATGGAATGAGTTTATAGATTCTTGTTCTCTGTAACTAGTAACTTCAAGTATTCTGTTTTATCTAAGAAGTACAATGAAGGTCATCAGAAGCCTGAGCAGGCCTGAACTACCGCTGCCTGGGCACCATAGTAAACGTTATGAGATGAACCAGTGCAAGGCTCTTTAGAGCAAAACCTAGATAATGGACATCTGGGTTGCTTGGCAATGGTCATGTGTAATCCTGAGTTATAAACCTGTCACAATTTAATTAATTGTTCTGCCTCTGTATCCTTGCTTTCACGTGACCGTAACCATAAGCCTGCTTCAAACTAGCCCACCTCTTTTGTGAAGTGTGTATAAAAGTCAAGTGCTGTCTTTGTTCTGGGCCCAGTCTTTGGACATTGAGTCTGCTAGGTCTGAGTGCATTCAATAATAAATGTATCCTCCTGTTTACACCCCAAGGTCTCTCTCTGGTCCTCAGGATCCCGCAACAATACCTAAGCATCAATAAAACACCATCTACTTCCCCACAGAGGCAGCTTGCAAAGTGTGATGAGTTTTCACAAATGACACTGTGATAAATCTCTTTGTGGCTTGCGGGGCTCTCAGAAGATACAAGGGGAAAGGGCAACAAAGCAGACTGAATGAGGGTCAGGAACTCAGAGGAATTGCCAAGAAAAGTCATGACCAGGATGGGCGTGGTGGCTCATGCCTGTAATCACAGCACTTTGGGAGGCCGAGGTGGGCAGATCACCTGAGGTCAGGAGTTCGAGACCAGCCTGGCCAACATGGCGAAACCCCATCTCTATTAAAAATACAAAAATTGGGCTGGGCACGGTGGCTCACGCCTGTAATCCCAGCACTTTGGGAGGCCGAGGTGGGTGGATCACGAGGTCAAGAGATCACGACCATCCTGGCCAACACAGTGAAACCCCGTCTCTACTAAAAATACAAAAAATAGCTGGGCATGGTGGTGCGTGCCTGTAGTCTCAGTTACTCAGGAGGCTGAGGCAGGAAAATCGCTTGAACCCGGGAGGCAGAGGTTGCGGTGAGCCGAGATCATGCCACTGCACTCCAGCCCGGAGACAGAGTAAGACTCCGTCTCAAAAAATAAATAAATAAATAAGTAAGTAAGTAAATAAATAAATAAATAGGCCGGGTGCAGTTGCTCATGCCCATAATCCCAGCACTTTGGGAGGCCAAGGCGGGTGGATCACTTGAGGTCAGGAGTTCAAGACCAGTCTGGCCAACATGGTGAAACCCCATCTCTACTAAAAATATAAAAATTGGCTGGGAATGGTGGCACATGCCTGTTGTCCCAGCTATTCAGGAGGCTGAGGCAGAAGAATCACTTGAACCTGGGAGGCAGATGTTGCAGTGAGCCGAGATCGTGCCACTGCACTCCAGCCTGGGCAACAGAGTGAGACTCCATCTCAAAAAAAAAAAAAAAAATACAAAAATTAGCTGGGCGTGGTGGTGGACAACTGTAATCCCAGCTACTAGGGAGGCTGAGGCAGGAGAATCGCTTGAACCCGGGAGACAGAGGTTGCAGTAAGCCAAGATTGCGCCACTGTACTCCAGCCTGGGCAACAGAGCAAGACTCTGTCTCAAAAAAAAAAAAAAAGGAAAGAAAAGTCATGACCAGAAGAGTAAGCAGAGGTTGACCATGATTATTAGGACTCCTTTTTCTGGCCACACCAGGAAAATCACGTATTAAATAAGCAGTATACAGAAAATGCCTTAGCTAATGAATCATAAACCAATTTAGTTTGCCCCTTTGAATAACCTTCAAGCAAGCAAGAAGCAACATAAAAATAATTCCCGGTGTGAGAAAGGGCTTACTTTCCTCAATGTCAGTATCACGTCCTAATCACGGACCAGTGAAGGGAACCTCCAGAATCTCCAAGAAGCTTTATTTAGCCTCAAGGAATAGGAACACTGTTTTAACTTGCTATGCCTGTTAACATAGTTCACCAAGGAGGGGAACGTTAGCTGATATATTTTCGAATGATCTTCAGCAGGATTTTTGAGAGTTTTCTAGTGAGTTCTAAGTTAATTTTAAAAAATTATTTCAAGAAATTTGGACTCTTTCTAGAGAAATAAGGGAACAAATTTTCAATAAATGCTTTATTTATCTAGAAAGAGTTTGTCAAGATTGTAGTTCAGTGATTTAAGTTGAAGTACCAAATATACACCTGAGCTGGAATAATGGGAAAGATTCTCTATTACAGGTTTCAGTAATTGAATAACTGGGAAGAAAATGTTACCAAAAAAGAAGTTGGGGCATAGGAAAAGAGGCTAAGAATATAAGTATTTCATTAAAACAACCAGATAGCATTCATTAACTATATTTTGTTATCTGAAAGAAAGCAAAAGGCAAGCACTCAATACATACATTTTATTCTCTAAAAGAAAGGTTTATGATTTAATAATGTCTTTTTTTCTTTTTTGAGATGGAGTCTCACTCTGTCACCCAGGCTGGAGTGCAGGATTACAGGTGCCTGCCACCACTCCCATCTAATTTTCGTATTTTTAGTAGAGAGGGGGTTTTATCATGTTGGCCAGGCTGGTCTTGAACTCCTGACCTCAAGTGATCCTCCCACCTCGGCCTCCCAAAGTGTTGGGATTACAGGTGTGAGCCACTGTGCCCGGCCCAATAATGTCATTTGTTAAGTTTTCTGATTAAAAATAATAGATGCTTATTGTTGAAATCTTGGAAAATACAGAGATAAATAATTACACCCAATTTCACTACCCAGACATGACTGCGGTTAATATTATAAAATTATCATTCAGCTGCTTAACCTGTCTGAGATTCTGTTTCCTTATTTATCAAATGGGGTTAATTACCAACCTCTGAGGGTTATTATGGAAATTAAACAGATAACACATGTGAAAGGTTAGTGTGCAGTACAGAGTAAGCACACAAAAAAGGCTAGCTGTCTTTGTATTTCAATGCATGTATCCATTTTTATTTTATAAATCAAGGTCTAACTTATCTGTTGTTTTGTCCTGATTCTTCCATTAAATATACTATGAACATTTGCGTAGATAAGTAAATATTTTTTTAACATACTCTTAATAGCTACATGGGTTGTAGTCCATTTTATAGGTCTCAACTAGGTGCAATTTTGCCCCCAGGGGACATTTGACGATGTCTAAAGACATTTTGTATTGGCACTACTGAGAAAAGGGAGCTACTACTGGCATGTACTTGGGAGACACCAAGGGTTCTAAACTTCTTGCAATGCACAGGACAATCTCTCCCAAGACAAAGAATTCTCCAGCCCAAAATATCAAAAATAGTGAAGTTGAGAAACTCAAGAATGTATGAAGATATTTTCTAAATCAAGCCAGTCGTCTTAGACATTTCAATAAATTTTGTTATTATTATAAGTAACACTGGAAAGATAATTCTGGTAGTTACTGTTTGCTGAGACTATTCTGTAGTCTGTGTGATAATTTACTTTAAATTGCTTCAATATAAACATTTTGGGGGGTGATGTGTGTGTGTGTGTGTGTGTGTGTGTGCCTACACGCATGTGAGCTTGCCCTTGATAGCATAATGCACATTATCCCTAATCCACATCCTCTGGACAATTAATTAGCACTGAAATATCCTAAGAAGAATCAACATTTTAAGAGTAGATTACTTGGTACTTAAACTATTCTTATTGGTATCTACACCAAAGGTTGTGTTAATTAGTCTAAGTGGCATTAACAATAATTTTCTTTGATGTAATCAGTGATGTTTGTTATAGGTGAGTCATAAGGAGTAAGTTGTAAGACAGTGCTCTTGGATGCTGGAGGTGCAGTAATAGGTCAAGCCCAGGAATTCAATGCCATCAGTAAAGTATCTGAAGTCCCTGACAGATCCTGAAACATGTTTTACTCTACACAACTTTACTAACACAACACTGGTCCTGCCTTCAGGCCATTGTTGTGTTAGCCTTTGAAGCAAAGTGCTGGTTCCTGGATATAAAAGAGACAGCCTCTCTGAGAGGCTCGTAGGTAGAATATTTTCAAATTGGTTTTTTGGGAAATATAAGAAATATACCTAAAACGTTAAAACCATGATTTCCCTGATATTGTTGTTCAACTACTTTGAAACAGACACAAAGACACACACACACATAAGTGAAACCCAAAAGACTGCTATTTAGAAAAAGCTGGATATAGGGTCTTGGCATCACACAGAATGTGGTTTGATCTATAATCTTCATAGATCTGTGACTTGGAACAACTTCCTGTTCTGAGCCTCAGTTTTCTTCATAAAGTGAAGATCGCAGTGTTACCAACTTGAGCGTAGTTGTGATGATTAACTGAGACATTAAGATGTATTAGAATGCTGGCACATTGTAAGCATGCTGTAAATGTTAGTGTTATTTGCATATCTTTCTATCCAATTCTACTTCATTCCTTAGGACAAATTTATAGAAATGTAATTTATATGTATATGTACATATAATGATATTTCAATGTAGGTTCATTGATTGTAAAAAATTGGACGGGAATTTTTTTAAACTGAACCAGTTTTCAGGTTCAAATGGAAATTGTAAGTCTGTGGAAATATCTAGAAAAAATTTAAACAAGAAAAGATAAGACTATCCTTACCAAATATTAAATGCACACTGTATCTCATTTTGTTATAAAGAGTTTGAAGCCACATGGATTTATGCGTTACCTTGATTAATCTTTAAAGTCGTGCTCCTAGTTTGCTTTTTCTTTTCACCCTAGAGGCATTGCAACATAGCATGATTTGAAATAGATGAAAGATATACCTCTTTCTCGTCCTCCCTCCTCTCCTCTTTCTCCTGTAGTATTATTTTGAACATGGATATATTATCCTGCAAATCATTTTGAGGATCTAGAAACCAACCACCAGGGCTTTTAAGTACCTCAGTTAGAAGACTATTGAGTTGGATGAAAGACAGGCTGGTGTGCCAAGCAAAGTTGTTTCCAATATATCCCATAGATGAGAGTTTTTTGACCCCCACCCACACTATTGACATTTTGGAAAACTTGGGGAAATCCTTTGTTGTTGGGGGTCTGTCTTATGCAGCACAATGAAGAATGTTTAGCAGTATCCCTGGCCATTAAACACTAGATGCCAGTAGCAAGACTCTCCACTAACCCTGCCTCCCCCAGTCCCACCCTCCAGTTGGGACAACCAAAATGCCCCCAGATATTGTCCAATTTCTCCTGGGGGATAAAATCGCCCCTGGCTGAGCACCACTGAACTAGACAAAAGGGAAGTCATGGAAAGGTTTGACGGAAAGAGACACAATCAAAATCTCAATATTATTTTTATTAATTGCATTTAGAAGCAATTTCAATGTTAATGTGAGGGAAAGTGTGTAATAGTTTTTACAAAACTGGTGAAAAAAGATAAATCTTGGAATAAACAGTCCAGAAATAGATTAATGCTATTGAAAATGTGGTGAAATAGGCATGCTCACACAATATAATGGTATCATAATATAATGGTGTAAATCAGTACAATTCTTGGAAAGGTAATTGTCTATATGTATCAATTTAATGTGTGTCAAATTAATAAAATATTCATACTTCTGGGAACACATATACTTGTCAGAATATTGTGAAGTTGTTAAGAATTATCTTTATGAAGAGTATGTAATAATATGCAAACACACCTATGTCACATTAAGTGAGTAAATACCCAGAATACAAAAAATGTATATTCAATATGAACACAATTATGTTAAAAAAATAATAAAAGTTCAGGAGGGTGTGGAACAACATTTAAATTGCTTTTCTCTGAGTGCTAAACATTGCATAGGTTACTTTTCTGCTTTCTGTTTCTTTTATTTTAACATTTTTTCTATAATAAGCATGTGTCAACTAAGAGGAAATTTTGTAAAAAAAAAAAATCGAAATTTTACAAATTGAATGGAAAAATTTGAAACAGCAATTAACCAGTGTTTTGTGTTTTTTTTTTTTTTTTGGTTTTTTTTTTTTTTGCCTTCATTGACTGTTCCTCTTGTTGACAATTCACTGCCTTAGTTTTCCTAGAGAGACATTTGTTTTCTGTTGGGAAAATCCCCCACTTACTGGTTACTTATCCAGGAAATATTAAAAATTGAAGTAACATATAACAAACGTTTAAACTGACCTGATTTTGAGTCAGTGCTTTGGGGCTGCTGGTGATATATTTTAATTTTGGTCTTAATTTGTCTTCTTTTCCCTCACATGGGTGACATTCCATTCTAGGAGGAACTTTGTACTGGTTCTACTTATCGGTCATTGTCATTCCTGACAGTATTCGTCGTGAAATGGAGACATATTAGCTGCAGCTCAGGGCAAGAAAGAATCTGAATTGAGATTTGTTCATTTGAAGTAAAGTCTAGTTATAGTTATGACTTCAAATATTTCTTTATAAGGAACTCAACTCTACTCATCTACCTTGCCTTAGATTTAGAATGCAATTCTTCTTTTTTATTTGATGTTCACATTTTTCTTCAGCCCATGTAATTTATTTTATGGCTGGCATCTTGGTTAGATTAATTTTTATCATTTACTCTCAGATATGTTAACACTTCACATAATTTTATTATTTCCTGCCTTGAGTTAGCATGATGTATGCTTAATGAAATATCCTACCTAAGCTAAAGGATATTCATAGAGAATTGTAATAAAAGTACTAGAGACATGAAATATATTGAGTTATTTTTAGAAAATGAATCAAGATAAATTTTAGTCATGAATAGCATTATTTTATATATACACCAAATCCTTAATAATATTGTCTAATTCCTATTACTATTAAACACATCACTACGATGTCTCTTAATTAATATAATAAATTATTGCTATTGGACTTTGTAATCTCAAGAAGTTATTAGTGAGACAAAATTTGATGCCATAGTCCAGCAATCATAAATATCTATTGAGAAGTGCTTAGTAACTAAAATAACTAACTGGCAAAATATCTTTGCTTTTAGCTTTTCTATTTAAGTAGAAATGTTCCCATTCTGGTGAGAATTCTAAAAATGTTAGATAAAGCCTATTTATAATGTTGTCATTAGAAGAAAGACTCACAATTAATAAGCTTTATGTATCAAATTTGCAGGGAGACACTATTCTGGTGAAAGTTGATTTGACCTACAAATTGATTCTATGGTATAATTAGGCACATTTTTGCTATCTGTTCTCATGGACCAAAAGAGTCATTTATTAATTTGCAAAAAGAAAATACAACTGTCAAGCCAACCAGAATGCTTATCAGTTAACATGTCAAAAGTCTAATAGAAAACCAAACTATTATATCTATTTTAACCCCACATAGCAGCCCTTCAAGTGAGTGACGTTTTAAGAGGCCAATAAGTAATACTCTTTTCTTCCACTCTTGAGCTTGACATTCACTAAGAAATAAAATTATTGACAAAAGCTTTATTGGAGGATGAGGCTTGGAAATGCAGCTACGATGATCTTTCTTACACTGCTGCAGCATTAAATTGCCACAAGGAAAAGTGAGCAACTGAGTCCTCAGGGGCTAAACATGGCCTTGGAAACTTGAGGTACTGATGAGTTTTAATTCACTGAGGTTGCTTTGTGAGATGGGATAGTATTAGACAAGTATAGTCATGCACTGTATAACAATGTTTGGGTCAATGGCAGACCACGTATGCAATGGTGGTCCCATAAGATTAAAATAGAGCTGAAAAATTCCTATCATCCAGCAACATCTTGATGATCCTGACTCTGTGTAGGCCTAGGCTAATGCGTGTGTTTGTTTCTTTATTTTTGACAAGAAAGCTTAAAAAGCTAAAAAATAAAAATAAAAAATTTAAAAATAGAAAAAAGTGCCTTTAGAATAAGGATATAAAGAAAATATTTTCTATAGCTGTACAATATGCTTGTGTTTTAAGCTAAGTTTAAAAAAGATTAAAAGAGTCCAAAAGTTTAAAAAGATTAAAAGTTTATGAAGTACAAAAGTTATAGTAAGCTACAGTTAATTTAGTTTCCCTAGAATATGTATTTTTAGGATATGTATGTTTAGGATATGTATTTTTAGAATATGTATGTTAAAGAATATGTATTTTTCTACATTTAGTGTAGCCTAAGAGTAAGTGTTTATAAAGTCTACAGTAGTGTCTAGTAATGTCCTAGGCTTTCACATTCACTCACTACTCACACACTGACTCACCTACAGCGCGTTCCAGTCCTGCCGCTCTATTTATGGTAAGTGCCCTGTATAGGTCCACCATGTTTATTTTTATATTAAACTTTTACTTTACCTTTTCTATATTTAAATATGTTTAGATGCACAAATATTTACCATTGTGTTACAATTGCCTACAATATTCAGTACAGTAACATGCTGTAAAGGTTTGTAGCCCAGGTGTGTAGTAGGCTATACCATCTAGGTTTGTGTAAGTGCACTCTGTGATGTAAACACAATGGCAAAATCACCCAAGGGCACATGTCTCATCATATCTCTGTTGTTAAGTGATGCATGACTGTACATCAAAATCTTAGTAGAACAAACCTGACTTTGTTCAAAAATTTTGTGTGCTAGGAAGGACACTGGCTTAAAGGATTTTAATCATTAAGAAGGCATAACACATTTTAATATGTCTGCACCTAATAAGAAAGTTTTATCACTGGGACAGAATAAAGAGTCAAGAAATGAACTGACTAAAATACAGTAAATTAATTTTTGGCCAAGGGATCTGATCAATTCAGTAGGAAAAAAAGAAAGTTTTTTTTTTTTTACAAAACACTACTGGAACCGGATATTCATATGGAAGAAAATGAACTTCAATCCTTATCTAACTGGACACATAAAAATTAATTTGAGATTGATCACAGACCTAAACATAAAATCCAAAAATATGAAGCTTCTAGAAAAAAATATATATATTTGAAACATTGGATTAGACAAACATTTCTTAGATAGGACACAAAACTCACCAACCATAAAACGAATTAAATTGGGCTTCATCAAAATTAAACAGTTGCCTTCATATAAGGACATCATTTTTAAATGATTATGCAAGCCACAGACTAGGAAAAATATTACAATACATATACCTGGCATCTAATCTATAAACTAACACCCAGAATAAAAAAGAACTTCTACAAATCAAAAACAAAAAAAAAAGACGAGCAAATCCAGTTATTTAAATAGGTGAAAACTTGAAGAGATACTACACAACAGAAGATATACAAATCCTCAGTAAATTCATGACAAAGTTGCTTAACATCATTGGTAATTTTTAAAAATTCCATTTGAAATCACAGCGAGATAGCATTTCACACTGACTAGAAGAGCTAACATGAAAGAGATTCATGACACTAAGTGATGGTTAAGGATATGGTGTAGCTGGAACTCTCAGTGAAAGTGTAAAAGGATACAACCACTTTAAAGAAATTCAGGAAATTTCACATTAAGTTAAGCATGTACTAGCCATATAACCATATGACTCCTCTCTAGACGTTTATCAAAAAGAATTGAAAACATACATTTACAAAACTATTTATACAAAAACATTCAATAGTTTTACTCGTAATACATAAAACCAAAAGCTGCTCAAATGTCCATCCATAAAAGAACAGGTAAACAAATTTCATTAAATTTGTACTGTGGAATACTACTCACCGATAAAAAAAAAATAACAGACTACTTGTATTTGTGTGCATCTCAGGAACATTATATGGAGATAAAAAAGCTAGGCACACACCAAAATATATATTGTATGATTCCAGTTATGTCACATTCAAGAACAGGTTAAACTAATCTGTGACGACAAAACTCAAAAAGTGATTTCCTTTGAAAGGGTGATCTTTGACTAGAAAGGGACAGGAAAGAACGTCCTCGGGTGATAAAAAATATTTTATATTTTGTTTGGGGTGTACTTACAGGTGTGTATAAAATTGTCAAAACTCACTGAACTAAACATTGAAAACGGCTTTTTATGGTATGTAAATTTACCCCAATTTTAAAAATTGATTAACCTGATATTATTCTTACTCTTTTTAACTATAAAACTTGTTATTATTTTTTTGCCAAAATCTCTTGTGCATTTTGAACTTAATGTAAATACCCTTTGTTCTATTTTCAGTTCTTTTATATAAAGACTTTATATTAAATCCACATTTAAATCAGAAACACTCTGATGCAAGCAGATAGAGAAAACACGTCTTTTTGTGTCTCTTCCTTGGGAATGAGAAAACTTGCCCCAGAATCCACCCAGCAAATATAATTTAATTGGCCAGAATTGGATCATGTTCCCCATACCTGAACCAATCACTGGCGAGAGAATGGGCTGTCTTTAAACCAATCAGGAGCACCCCTGGATCTGTAGGTAGGTCAGGTTCTCCTGAAGCACACAGCTGTGTGAGGAAAACAATTGAGATTCTGTATGAAAAGATGAAGAGAGGAATGGATGACATGGGAGCAACCAATGGTGTCCACTACAATAGGTGTTACTATTACTATTAGTTTTGGAAAGTTAATGTTTATTTAACTTATCTAAGATTTATACCCCACTATCCTCTTACTTTCTACTGTAGACAACAGAAAGTAAGACAAACAGCAAATTTATAATTTTCTCTCTGCTGTGAATCCCCCAAGCTTGTTACAGGAAAATGAACAATTATTAGAGTAAAAATCTGTTTTTATTGGGCATCAATGAACACTCCTAGTGTAGCAACTTCAGCAGAGAATCTTTTGGTTTTAAAGATAAACATTTTGTTTAGATGTACATGTTTTCCTATTTACAAAGTAATATCAAATGACCAGCTGAAAAATATAATAGAAAAAAAGATACCAGCAGCAGCAACAAAAACCATCAAGTACCTGGGAATTAACAGAATATTGAAGAACACAGAATATGGAATGCATATAGAACATTTTATATTTAAATACATACATATAATATCTTTAAAATGATATACTATACAATATACAGTATTAAAGAATATATTAATAATGTCAATATACTCCAACTCAAACTACAAATTCAATTCAATCCCAATCAAAAGTCCAGCTCGATTTATTTAGGAACTTGACTGACTCAATCTAACATTTATATGGAAGACGAAAGGTCTTTAGAAAAGAACAGCTAAGAGGACCAAGATGGCCGACTAGGAACAGTTGGGGTCAGAGGCTCCCATCCAGACTAATGAAAACTGTGAGCGACCTGCACTGGCAACTAACGTATCTAGGTTCTCTCACTGGGACTGACTAGGTGGCTGGCGCATGGAGAGTGAGGAAAGGCAGGGTGGAGCCGTGGTTCACCTAGGAGCTGCACAGGACAAGGGGAGCTCCCACCGCCAGCCAAGGGAGGCGGCGACTGATTGTGCTACCCCGCCTGGGAAACCATGCTTCTTCCACAGATCTGCAACCCATGGATCAGGAGACCCCTCATGAGCCCATGCCACCAGGGCCTTGGGTCTCAAGCACGGAGCTGTGCAGATTCTCAGCAGCCGCTGGGCTGGAGTCCGTCTAAGACGACTGAGCTCCTGGAGGGAGGGGTGGCAGCCAACACCGCAGCTCCTGTCAGCCATTTTCCCCTGCCAGTGCCAGGGAGATTGGGCAGTTTGGACCCAGGAGAAATTCCCCACAGTGCAGCACAGCAGCTATGGCAAATTGTGGCCAGACTGCCTCTTTAGGCCAGACCCATACCTCCTTACCAGGCAGGGCCTCCCTGCTGGAATTTCAGCAACTCCAGCCAAGGGTTTAAGGACAGAACTCTGATCTTCCTGGAACAGAGCCCCTTGCAGAAGGAGTGGCCATAGTCTCCGCAGGATCAGCTGACTCAGTCTTTCCCCCTGCTGGCTCTGAGGAATCCGGGCAGTCCGGAAGAGTGGGATTCCCACCAGCACAGCACACCCGCTTGTCCAAGGGGCAGTCAGAGTGCTTCCTTAAACGGATCCTGGATCCCATGCCTCCTGACTGGATGAGATCCCCCAGTAGAGGTCGCCAGACACTTTATAGGGGAGCGTTCCCACTGGCTCAGGTAGGTGCTTCTCTGGGTGGGAGCTCCCAGAGGAAGGAGCAGGCAGCCATCTCTGCTGTTCTGCAGCCTCCACTGATATCTCCAGGGAAGGGAGGCACCCAGGTGAATAGGGCCTGGAGTGGACCCCCAGCAAACCACAGCAGCCCTACGGAAGAGGGGCCTGACTGTTAAAAGGAAAACAAACAGAAAGCAACAAAAACAACAACAGCATCCGCAAAAAGATTCCCACAAAAATCTCAAAGGCCAGCAGCCTCAAAGATCAAAGCTAGACAAACTCACAAAGATGAGAAGGAACCAACGAAAAAACGCTGAAAACTCAGAAAGCCAGAGTGCCTCTTCTCCTCCAAATGATCTCAACACCTTTCCAGCAAGAGCACAGAATTGGGCGGCTACAGTTGCACAGGTTCCTTTACCTTTATCTGGATTGATCCCTCCTCCCTTCTTTACTTCACAACTCAACCCTTCAAGACTCAGTTTAAGAGAAGTCAATTGCTTATTTTATAAAGTCTGTTCTAAGCCTCCCAGGAGGTGGAATGAGTGACGAAATCATTTCAGCTCTGTAGGATCCCAAATCATTCACTCACTCAGGACTAACTACATGTATTTCAGATGAGATGTGTACTTGCCTACATGCAAGCTAGATGGGGACAGGGATATGGTTTTATTTACCTTGTTATCCCTAGGACTTAGCACACTAATTATGTGCTTCAAAATGGCTAGAAATATAATGAATGTTGCAGAATCATAAAATCTAGCCCAACCTTATTCTGGCTGAATTCCTTCCACAGTTCCACAATTCTTCTAGTATAACTACTGGGAGTGTGGGAATGGAGTCTGAAGGCCATGTGAGTATTTATCTCTATGTATGAGAAAACTCAGGAATTAAACCAAAACTATATAAACTTGAGGTTTAAGATATTTTTACACATTTTTTATGTAAAAAGTAACTCATACTAGTTGCAGAAAATATAAATCGTAAAACACAACTCTAAGCACATTCTTTCTTTCATCCATTATCAAAAGACTATGATTTGGTACAGTATCATATCCTGGTTAGCCCTTAATAGATTAAAAAGAACTGCAGAATACATTTTCACCTTTACCGAACAGGTTCACCTAACACAAAACTTCCAATTGCCTACTGAGTAGACAAATTAAGCATGATCCCTGCCCTAGGTGACTTTATATGGTAATCCCTTGTCAGCCTCTGGGATGTACATTCTTAAAAAATCGTATTTTTGTCAAACTCTAGATTAACATAAATCAAGGTCTCATATAAAATAGGTCTCATATAAAATTATTTAAATAGCATTAAATATATATTTTTAAAAATAAAATGATCTGCTTCCAAAACAAATCAGATTCACGACATTAAACTCACTTGTTTTAGATAATCCTCATGAATTACCTTCTTCTATTGTTCAGGTTACATTGATGTGTTATCATTTTGCTAAGGCAAAATCAATTTCCTCACAATTTTAATGTGTGGCAGGTCTTTTAGGTCTCAGTATTTTTTAACTAGACCTTACTGGCTTGAAATATACTTTTGTTAACAGCTGCATTCTTTTTTTTTCTTTTATTATTATTATACTTTAAGTTTTAGGGTACATGTGCACAACGTGCAGGTTTGTTACATATGTATACATGTGCCATGTTGGTGTGCTGCACCCATTAACTCATCATTTAGCATTAGGTATATCTCCTAATGCTATCCCTCCCCCCTCCCCCCACCCCACAAAAGGCCCCGATGTGTGATGTTCCCCTTCCTGTGTCCATGTGTTCTCATTGTTCAATTCCCACCTATGAGTGAGAACATGCGGTGTTTGGTTTTTTGTCCTTGGGATAGTTTGCTGAGAATGATGGTTTCCAGTTTCATCCATGTCCCTACAAAGGACATGAACTCATCATTTTTTAGGGCTGCATAGTATTCCATGGTGTATATGTGCCACATTTTCT
Organism: Homo sapiens; assembly: GCF_000001405.40. NCBI lineage: Eukaryota > Metazoa > Chordata > Mammalia > Primates > Hominidae > Homo > Homo sapiens. The sequence continues at coordinate 116,910,820 of NC_000008.11, read as the reverse complement.
TAATCCAGTCTATTGTTGTTGGACATTTAGGTTGGTTCCAAGTCTTTGCTATTGTGAATAGTGCCGCTATAAACATACGTGTGCATGTGTCTTTATAGCAGCATGAATTATAATCCTTTGGGTATATACCCAGTAATGGGATGGCTGGGTCAAATGGTATTTCTAGTTCTAGATCCCTGAGGAATCGCCACACTGACTTCCACAATGGTTGAACTAGTTTACAGTCCCACCAACAGTGTAAAAGTATTCCTATTTCTCCACATCCTCTCCAGCACCTGTTGTTTCCTGACTTTTTAATGATCACCATTCTAACTGGTGTGAGATGGTATCTCATTGTGGTTTTGATTTGCATTTCTCTGATGGCCAGTGATGATGAGCATTTTTTCGTGTGTTTTTTGGCTGCATAAATGTCTTCTTTTGAGAAGTGTCTGTTCATATCCTTCGCCCACTTTTTGATGGGGTCGTTTGTTTTTTTCTTGTAAATTTGTTGGATTTCATTGTAGATTCTGGATATTAGCCCTTTGTCAGATGAGTAGGTTGCAAAAATTTTCTCCCATTCTGTAGGTTGCCTGTTCACTCTGATGGTATTTTCTTTTGCTGTACAGAAGCTCTTTAGTTTAATTAGATCCCATTTGTCAATTTTGGCTTTTGTTGCCATTGCTTTTGGTGTTTTAGACACAAAGTCCTTGCCCATGCCTATGTCCTGAATGGTATTGCCTAGGTTTTCCTCTAGTGTTTTTATGGTTTTAGGTCTAACATGTAAATCTTTAATCTATGTTGAATTAATTTTTGTATAAGGTGTAAGGAAGGGATCCAGTTTCAGCTTTCTACATATGGCTAGCCAGTTTGCATTCTTTCTGGTTTTGTTGCAACATGCTCCTGTAACACTTGCTTTGCCATAAGTGATCAAAATGCTTAAGGGTAGTTTTTCTAATCATGTGTCCACAGATTGAGGGAGTGGAGAGCACATGTGTGCACACACACACACACACACACACACAGAGAGACACACACACACATATTCTCTCTCTTTATTTTCCTCATAAACACAAACCTTTGATATCCGAGCGTGGGAGCTAAATTTACATTCTTTAATGAGACTTAACCAAATAACTTATTTAATTTTTAATCAGGCTTATTTATAGATACAAGACCCTATTATCTCTATAAAAGAAAAATTGTCCAAAACCTGGTATGGGATAAAACCCTATTTGGTAATGTTATTCAAGACTTACCTCTGGGAAGAAATTAGACTTCCTGATAAAATGCATAACAATTTTTCGTGAGGCTTAATGGGTTTCGGACTTGTTCTAAGAAACCAGTAATCTACCCTCCCAGCAGACTCTCACTCAGTGACTGTTAAGAAATATTAAATTTTTATTCCAACAAAGATGAGCTAACCATCCTCTTTTCCGTAAAATGTCCTTACTAAGATAAGTGCTTATATTGGGTTTATGTTTGCGTATGGGTTTGGGTCTTCCATATCATCATTAAAAGTTTATAATGAGAGAAGGAATCAATCAGTTTCATTCTGTGAAGGTCATACCCCATCTTGATAACAGTGCTCTGTTTAAAACAAAAGGGAACAATTTTGTATGTTGAAAATGCATGTTTGGGTCTGCAAATCTTTAGTGAAATAAATTCGCCACAGAAAATGTTTATCAGAGTAGCTATAACAGAAAGCATTTAACAGGGAATTTCATGCTTACCACTTGTTTTGAATTCTAAAAGGTGATGTTTTTACTATAATGGGAGTACTTATGTGGAATACTGTCTAATTTTTACCATCTGAAGACTGTTCTTGAAAAGTATCTCATCATCTTGGGTCACTTCAGCCTGACAGTCTATTCATGGAATCAACTATCTGTGATATTAGCTGATAACTCATTCTTGTTTGCCTCATATATCTGTTTAAAAACATTCGCTGAATCCCATGAAGACATCTTCTTAAGGTAAAGTAGAATGAGAATCATCTAAGTAAATCAACGAGTGAACTGCAATTTTTGTCAAAACCAATCTTGGCCTAGCAGCCAAGTTTTTTCCATCAGGGAACATGATTTCCACTCTACCCTGAATTTAGGACAAACTCCACAAAACTGGAGTTCCATGAACTATTAATTTAATAGATAAGAACTAATTCCCAGATGTTTTATGCTATTTAAAATGAAAGATTTATTTGCCTCTAAGCCATACTCAGAAAACTTCACATGGCAAAAGCCTCTTCAGCATAAATAAACTGAGAAAATTACATGAAAGTCAATTTTCTTCCCTACTTGGAAATGTTTGACTTTCTGGGATGAAGAAATTATTATAATTTCCTATAAAATTATAGATTCAACTATATGAGTGTAAGCACTAATAAATATGTCTTAATGGAAATATGGAAAGTTATTGCTGGCATCCTCTACTTCCATATTAGAAAACCAAAAGACTCCTCACTCTATCCTATATTTCATGAAACAAGCTACATGGGCTCCATAGTCTGTATTTGGAACAAGCCATCAGAGTAATAAATGCAATCTGGGATGAGTTGTAAAATTACACTAGATGTGCTTGAATTGCACAGTTAAAAGAGATATTGGCTTTTTTATTTGATCATTGGACTTCAGGCAAAGAGTTGTTTTATTCCCAAGAGATCCTGTAATATTAGGAAAGACCTGCAGGATGCAGTAGAGACAACCGGCAAAACCAAATTTCTATAAGCTAGATAGGTATTAGCTGACAGTTGATCCCATGGGTTGTGGTATGAGGTAGACCTCAATTCAAAGTGACTATGCCACTTACCAGCAGATACTTAAACCCCCCTAAGTCTCAGTTTCCCCCTCATGAAATGGGATTGAAAATAGTACCTATATAAGAATATATAGGTAATATTTTATTTCTTTCTAGAAACTAAATAGTGCCAGTGTCTACTTTCACTTACTACGTATCAAAGTGTCTTTAATATAGTAAATACTCAAGAAATAGAAGTGATTATCAAAATCAGTAAGTGATTAACCAAATCAGTAAGAATTACCAACTTAAGCCCATTGGTTAAAAAGCACAGTCTATGAAGCTAGAGTTCCAGGATTTAAATACACCCTCTACTGCTTCCTAGTGATCTTGGGTTAGTTACAAAGCCTCTCTGCTGTCAATTTTCTTGTCTGTAAAATGGGAATGATGATGGTACTTACCTCATAAGGTTTTCATAATGATTAAATTAACACATGAAAAGTGTTCAGAACAGTGTCTGACACAGAGAAACCACTATATAAATGTCAACTGCTGCTATTAGTAGTAAAAACCTTGAGTTAGAAAAATGTTCTTGAGTTAGAAACCTTGTAGTATGTAGAAACCTTGAGTTAGAAAAATTCAAGATCAGATACAAATCAATACACATGGCCCTGAACTAAGCAAGAAAAATCATCCATGTTCCATTTTCTGGGAAATTCATAGCTTGAAAGTGACACTTGAAGACTATTATTCCTGGCCATGTACAGTGAGCCAAAAGGACAGAAACAAACGTGATGGTGTGAGGGAGGAAGCCTCCCACCATCTTACCCAATTTCATAATTACAGTTCCCTCCCAAATAAACCAAAAGCTTCCACAAGATTCCTCCTCTGCTATCCTGATTTTATCTAGGAATTGAACTATTAGCATCATCCTTTTATTTTGCAAGGTAAGACATCATTATCACACCTGCCACCATGCATCCTATAAGAGCATGAATCTAAGAACAAACACCCTCTCTCCCACCCTCTCCATGCCTGTGAAAGCCCTGTTCTTGGGTAAATGAGAAAGTATCAAAGTACCTTCCTATCCTCTCCCCAAAAAAATTATAGTTAAGTTTACCGTCTTAGAATGATATTAAAGGAAATTAAATTACATGTAATTTATCAGGCCACCCAGGCCAGATAGAATAACTCCTGAGACTTTTCTGGGAATATGTGAATAAAAACTTGGAGAATAACCCCAAATCCTTCAAATTTGTCCTGGGTACAATCTTTCCAATACTTACCCACCTCCATTAAATCAGTCAACTCTTCTTTTTTTATCTCAGTTATCTCCACCCTAGTGCCAAACCCATCATTTCACCCTAGTGAATCATTTGAAGACTACTTGACCACTGCAACAACATTTCTTCCCACTGCAGCCAAAATAATTTATAATTATTCAAATATGATTGTACCAGCAACCTGATACAATTTCTTTAATGATTGCTCATTGCCTTTAAGATAAAGTCTCGGCCGGGGCGGTGGCTCACACCTGTAATCCCAGCACTTTGAGAAGCCAAGACGGGCAGATCACCTAAGGTCGGGAGTTTGAGACCAGCCTGACCAACATGGAGAAACCCTGTCTCTATTAAAATTACAAAAAAAAAATTGTCCAGGCATTGTGGCACATGCCTGTAATCCCAGCTACACAGGAGGCTGAGGCAGGAGAATTGCTTGAACCCAGGAGGCGGAGGCTGCGGTAAGCCGAGATCGTGCCATTGCACTCCAGCGTAGGCAATAAGAGAGAAACTCCATCTCAAAAAAAAAAAGAAACAAAAAAAAAACCCATAAAGTCTCAAATTCTTGATATGCTTCACAAGACCCCTCACATGTGAGTGGTGGGGAGACAAGCAAAATGAGTTGTGGTTGGATAGATTCCATCACCATATGCAAATGTGCAAACTTGTCTAACTACATTAACATATTGTATTAGTCAGGGTTCTCTAGAGGGACAGAACTGATAAGATATACATATATATATATATGAAGGGGAGTTTGTTTATTAAGTAGTATTAACTCACATAATCACAACGTCCCACAATAGGCTGGGGAGCAAGGAAGTCAGTCCAAGTCCCAAGGCTGAAGAACTTGTAGTCTGGTGTTCAAGGGCAGGAAGAATCCAGCACGGGAGAAAGATGTAGTCTTTTCACATTCTTCTGCCTGCTGTTATCCTAGCCATGCTGGCAGCTGATTAGATTGTGCCTACCCAGATTAAGGGTGGGTCTGCCTTTCCCAGCCACCGAATCAAATGTTAATCTCCTTTGGCAACACCCTCACAGACACACCAAGGATCAATACTTTGCATCCTTCAATCCAATGAAGTTGACACTGAGTATTAACCATCACACATACACTACTCAAACTTATAAGAAGTAAATTTAGTAATTAGAGTACCCAAGATATACTAGACCTTTAATAAAATATGCCTACCAGTGTTGTTGTCATTATCATGATCTTCATTATTATTGCTTTCATAATATAAAGAGCATTTTAAAGTTTTCCTAATTTCTGCAAACTGAATGTCTCCAGCTCCCATTACATGTTGCTGTGTAACAAACTGCCCTAAAATACAATTGCATTTAAAAATCAGTCTGTTATGCTCACAATTCTCTGTATATAAAATTTGGTTGGGGGAAAATGGATATGGCTTATGTCTGCTCCAAAATATCTGGGCCCTCATCTAGGGTAGCACAAATGGCTGAAGAGGGATGAGGTGACTAAATTGGGGCCATAAGACAGTGGCCTTGATTTTTTTCCCTATGGCATCTGCTGAGGCTGGAATGTCCAAGATGTCTTTTTTGCTCACATTCCTTGTTCTTTGACTGGAATGGCTGGAACAGCTAGGGGCTGACCTGCATCACTCTCTCTCCATATGGTTTTACTACATAGCTAGTTTGAGTGTCTTTACATAATGGTGGTTCACAGTAGTTAAACTTTTTAGATAGTGACTGGCTTTACTTGGAGCATTCTAAGAGGCCCCATAGGATGCTGAAGTTTGTTATGATCTTCCTTGGAAGTCTCAAAACATCACTTCCATTGCACTCTTTGCCAGACCAGATTTAAAGGAAGAGGAGAAATAGACTCTACCTCTTGACAGAGAAATGGCATGTTTTAGGGTAGAAGGAATTGGTGGTGACCATTCTTGCATTCAGTCTACTATAGCTCCTCACTGCCTCTCTGGCCCCAACAATCCCTTCCCTTCTGACCTCTGGATAGCATGTATTTATACGTCCAGATTTGAAAGTACTACACTTTTCAGTCACATTACAGAACCACATTAATAGTGATAGCTAAGGCTGGGCGCAGTGGCTGACACCTGTAATTCCAGCACTTTGAGAGGCCGAGGTGGGCAGATCAGGAAGTCAGGAGTTAGAGACAAGCCTGGCCAACATAGTGAAACCTCATCTCGACTAAAAATACAAAAATTAGCTGGGTGTGCTGGCACGCACCTGTAGTCCCAGCTACTCAGGAGGCTGAAGCAGGAGAATTGCTTGAATCTGGGAGGCAGAGGTTGCAGTGAGCCGAGACCGCACTATTGCACTCCAGCCTGGGTGACAGGGCAAGACTCCGTCTCAAAAAAAAAAAAAAAATAGTGATAGCTAACATTAACAGAGCAACAACTCTGTACCAGGCACTGTCCTCAGTTCTTTACATGAGATAATTCATTTAATTCTTTAAACAATCTTACAATATTTTTATTATGGTATTTTTTAGAGACAATAAAAATGAAGTACACAGAAGTTAACTAACCTTCCACACAACTAGAATCAGTGGTACTGCCAGGATTGAAACCCAGGCAACATTGCTTCAAAGTCATCTGTCCTAACCACTACACGGTATTATAAAGATAGTGCCTTTTCATCCATTCATTCCACATCTATTGAGTACCTGCAACTGTTCTAGAACATGGGGGATGTAGCAGCAAGTATAAAATAAAAGATCTCCATCATGATAGAGATAATTTGCTGGTATGTGCACAGGGGTAAGGGGAGATCAGACAATAAACATATAAATAAGAGAATGCATAGTCTATCTGATGGTAATAAGTCTATCCTAATTTCCTTGAGCACAGTAAGGAGAGTAAGGAGTGTCTAGGGTAAAAATGGTAGTTACTGTATTCGAAAGAGTGGTTAGGAAAGGCTGATTTGATAAGGTAACATTTGAGCAAGATCTGAAGAGAGTGAGTTAGTAAGCCTTGTAGATATTGGGAGGAAAAGCCTCCTGAGTAGATTGGGACAGCAAGTGCATGGACAATGAGTGTTATGTTCTAGGAACAATGGAATAGGAGCACGGAGGCCAAGTTAGCTCGCATGGAATGAATCCAAGAAGACATTTCTGTTGCTCTAGATCATTGTCATGCTGGACAAGTTTAAAGAACTTCATTACTAATCTACGTTGGATTCCATTGTGGGTCTTATCCTTCCACACTTGCTCTCCTATAGCAATTCCTTTTTCAAAACATTAATATCGTTATATTTCTGTAAAATTATTTACAAAGTGTAAACAACCCAGATCATAGCCACAAATAGAAATAAAAGCTACAAAGTAACTTATCCACCCCACCCCTATGATGTTTCAGAGCCAATGAGAATTGAAAGGTGAGGCTGAGCTCTTCCATTCTCTGAATGAAGATAACCAGGCTTCTTGACTTGAAGAATTCCCCAAACTGACTTTGCCTCTTTTTACATCTCAGAGTGGTAGGAAATCCTAATAATCATGTATCATTTCCTTTCTAAATATTTTTCAACTCTGTACTTTCCTGTTTCTCCTCCTTCCTCTCTGATTTCTTCTTCATCTTCTCTTTGTTGTCAGGTGTTCTAATAGGTAGTGTCCACTGAGGCTCTCATTTTGGCAAGCAGCTCTTCTCTTGATTTACCCATTTAGCCATTTCATCCACTCCCGTGACAGATGATTTCCAAACTTACATCTTTACCTGTGTCCTCTCACAGGGATTCTGATCTCATATTTCCTATTACATAGAGGATATCTTTTTTGGTTGTTTTGTTGCCAGATTCAAATATGACATTGAAGGCCCCCTTTTAGCTCTAAAATGCAAAAAGAAAATTCCTATTACCAATAAATTTTGACCACTTTTCCAAGCAGCCATGCCATCAATGGAACCACTGTTCCAGGAGCTGAGACAATATCTTGGATTGACTTTTACTTATACTTCCCCACCCTCATTTGAATCAAGTCCATTAAAATGATTCTAACACTTTCATGCCTTCACTGGCTGAGTCCTATAAATGAAATAATATATACATACCAGTTAACAGAGTAACTGACACATAGTAAGTACTCGAGAAAAAAAAATAGTTGCTTGCTCTCAACACCAAAATGATTTTAATTCCTAACTGAATAGCTCTGCTTATGCTGTTCACCACATCCGGAATCCCTCATTCATTTTTTTCTTCCACCCACTGAAAACTAGTCCATTCATCAAGAATCAACTTTAATTCTACTTCCTCCTCTACTTCCTCTACTTCATACTCTTTTCTGCATTCTTTGAAAAAGAACATGGTTTTTAGTACTATAGGTTTTGTTATCTAGTAGCACAGAAAAGAGCTACTGTATAGTAAGCAATTAGAAAATAAGCCATGAAGCACTTTAAGAACAGACTCAGTTCTAAATCCTCTCTTTTATTTCCAAAATATTGATGGTTTCTGTGAGACCTCAGTTCTTGTCTCCTTAGTTTAAAAGAATTTAAATAAGAGCACCTGGCAAAGAAGGTGCAGCATACAGTGATTTATTGCAAAAGAAAAAGAATATTTTGAAAGGTAGGTACAGAATAGACAGGACACCCTGAGAGAGAGAGGATTCAGGGTGGGCTGCCCATAAGGATGAGCCAGCAAAGACTGGCACTAGGGAGACTCCCTTTATGGGAGTTTTACATAATAATTCATAAGAAGGTGGGAAGAGGCGTTACTAGTAGGTATGTTCTGGGTGGTCCTCTGGGTGCACATGCACAGTAGCTGCACATGCTTGTTCATGCATCGTGTGTCTCATTAGCATCTGAAATCTCCACCCAGGAGTGTATTTTTCACTATTGAAATGAGCAAAGCGCCAATTTGAGGACTGGTAAAATCCAAGTGCACATGCTCTCTAGAAGGAAAAGTCCCCACCGCAGATAGCTTTGCTTGAATGAGCTCAATTATACTGCGAACGCTGAGGCCTGTGTTGGTTGTATGGCCACCACGATCACTGCGTCCTGGCAACATGGTCACTTCCTTGACTACCTATCCTGCCTCAAATGCACATAACCCATTGATAGACCCATAGCAATGCAATAAACACCTGTCGACTAACTTTCAGATTATGATCTGATTATAAAAATAAGAGTTACAGTCTCTGTCCTCGTGCATCTTACAATCTAGCAAAGAAAATATATATTAAACTAATAATTATTACAAACAGTTGTTCTCTATGTTTCTGTGCAGTGAGATGTCTCCTTCACATTTCAAGATTAGATCAATTTTTTTCTTTTTTCTTTCTTTCTTGCTTTCTTTCGTTCTTTCATTCTTTCTTTTTTCAGGGTCTCTACCTCTATACAGCATGCAGAGCTGTTGCCAAGTCTAGCCTCAAACTACTGGGCTCAAGCAATGCTGAGTAGCTGGAACTACAGACATGCACCACCACACCCAGCTAATTTTTAAAATTGTTTCACTCTTCTGACTCCAACTTAGTGGTTCTCAGCCCTGAATAATTTTGCCCCCAGGAGATATTTAGCAATGTCTAGAGACATTTTTGGTTATTACATCAGGGCAGGGCAGGGGTGGAGGGCTGAGGGGAGATGTTACTGGCATCTAGCACGTAAATACCAGGATTACTGCTAATAAACATCCTAGGCGGAAGATAGCATCCCACAACAGAAAATTGTCCACCCCTAATGACAATGCAAAGGTTAAGAAATCCTTTTTTAAGACTGCTCTCTTAGACACGTCTTTGGCATAGTTTTCTCCTCAACCCACCACCATGTATTCCTTCTAATCCCTAGGCTAGTATATGCTTATAATTACAAAGTAATAATTTTTGCAATTTTGTGGGGTTTTTATTGAGATAAAATATACATATAAAATTTACCATTCTTACCATTTTTAAGTGTACAATTAAGTGATAATGGCTCCATTTATATTCTTTTTTTCCCTTCAAACCCTTCTCCCTCCCACTCTTCCTGGCCTTTGGTAACCAACAATCTTCTATCTTCATGAGATCCACTCTTTTAGTTCTCACATATGAGTGAGAACATGTGATATTTGTCCTTCTGTGCTTGGCTTATTTCACTTAACATAATAGCCTCTAGTTCCAACCATGTTGCAAATGGCAGGATTTCATTGTTTGTTATGGCTGAATAATTATGTGTATATTCTACATTTTCTTTATTCATTCATCCATCCATTGGCACTTAGGTTGATTCCATATTTTGGCTATTGTGAATAGTGCTGCAATTAATGTGGGAATGCAGATATCTCTTTGATATATTGATCTCCTTTTTCTTGTATATATACTCAGTATTAGAATTGCTGGTAGTTCTGTTTTTAGTTTTTGCGGAAGCTCCATACTGTTGTCTATATTGGCTGTACTAGTTTACATTCCCACCAAGAGTGTACAAGGGTTCCCCTTTCTCCACATCTTTACCAGCATTTGTTATTGCCTTTTTGATACAAACCATTTTAACTGGAATGAGATGATATTTCATTGTGATTTTGATTTGCATTTCTCTGATGATTAGTGATGATGTATTAATTCATTTTCACACTGCTGATAAAGACACACCCGAAACTGGAAACAAAAAGAGGTTTAATTAGACTTACAGTTCCACATGACTGGGGAGGCCTCAGAATCATGGCAGGAGGCAAAAGACACTTCTTACATGGTGGCAGCAAGAGAAAAATGAGGAAGAAAGAAAAGCAGAAACCCCTGATAAATCCATCAGATCTCGTGAGACTTATTGACTATCATGAGAATAGCATGGGAAAGACCAGCCCCCATGATTCAATTACCTCCCCCTGGGTCCCTCCCATAATGCGTGGAACTTCTGGGAGATACAATTCAAGTTGAGATTTTGGTGGGGACACAGCCAAACCATATCATTCCACCCCTGGCCTCTCCAAATCTCATGTCCTCACATTTCAAAACCAATCATGCCTTCTCAACAGTCCCCCAAAGTCTTAATTCATTTCAGCATTAACCCAAAAGTCCACAGTCCAAAGTCTCATCTGAGACAAGACAAGTCTCTTTCGCCTATGAGCCTATAAAATCAAAAGCAAGCTAGTTACTTCCTAGATACAATGGGGGTACAGGTATTGGTAAATATAGCCATACCAAATGGGAGAAATTGGCCAAAACAAGGGGTTCCAGGGCCCATGCGGGGAAGTCAAATCCAGCAGGCAGTCAAATTTTAAAGGTGCAAAATGATCTCCTTTGACTAGGTCTCACATCCTAGTCAAGCTGATGCAAGAAGTGGGTTCCCGTGGTCTTGGGCAGCTCCACCCCTGTGGCTTTGCAGGGTACAGCCTCCCTTCTGGCTGCTTTCATGGGATGGCGTCGAGTGTCTGTGGCTTTTCCAGGTGCATGGTGCATGCTGTCAGTGGATCTACCATTCTGGGACCTGGAGGATGGTGGCCCTCTTCCCACAGCTCCACTAGTCAGTGCCCCAGTAGGGACTCTGTGTGAGGACCCCAACCCCACATTTCCCTTCCACACTGACCTAGCAGAGGTTCTCCATGAGGGCCCTGCCCCTGCAGCAAACTTTTGCCTGGGCATCCAGACATTTCCATACATCTTCTGAAATCTAGGCAGAGGTTCCCAAACCTCAATTCTTGACTTCTCTGCACCCACAGGCTCAACATCATGTGGAGGCTGCCAAGGCTTGGGACTTCCACCCTCTGAACCCACAGCCCAAGCTGTACATTGGCCTCTTTCAGCCATGACTAGAGCAGCGGAGACACAGGGCACCAAGTCTCTAGGCTGCACACAGCTTGGCAGCCCTGGGCCCAGCCCACAAAAACACTTCTTTCTCCTAGGCTTCTGGGCCTGTGATGGGAGAGGCTGCCATGAAGGTCTGTGACATGACCTGGAGACGTTTTCCCCATGGTCTTGGGGATTAGCATTAGGCTCCTTGCTACTTATGCAAATTTCTGTAGCTGGCTTGAATTTCTCTCCAGAAAATGGGTTTTTCTTTTCTATCACATTGTCAGGCTGGAAATTTTCCAAACTTCTATGCTCTGTTTCCCTTTCAAAACTGAATGCTTTTAACAGCGCCCAAGTCACATCTTGAATGCTTTGCTGCTTAGACATTTTTTCCGCCAGATACCCTAAATCATCTTTCTCAAGTTCAAAGTTCCACAAATCTTTAGGGCAGGGGCAAAACCCTGCCAGTCTCTTTGCTAAAACATAACAGGAGTCACCTTGGCTCCAGTTCCCAACAAGTTCCTCATCTCCATCTGAGACAACCTCAGCCTGGACCTTATTTTTCGTGTCACTATCAGCATTTTCATCAAAACCATTCAGCAAGTCTCTAGGAAGTTCCAAACTTTCCCACATTTTCCTGTCTTTTTCTGAGCCCTCCAAACTGTTCCAACCTCTGCTTGTTACCCAGTTCCTAAGTCGCTTCCACATTTTTGGGTATCTTTTCAGCAACGCCCCACTCTACTGGTACCAATTTACCATATTAGTTCATTTTCATGCTGCTGATAAAGACATACCCAAAACTGGAAACAAAAAGAGGTTTAATTGGACTTACAGTTCCACATGGCTGGGAGGCCTCAGAATCATGGCAGGAGGCAAAAGGCACTTTTTACATAGTGGCAGCAAGAGAAAAATGAAGAAGCAAAAGTAGAAACCCCTGATAAACCCATTAGTTCTCACAAGACTTATTCACTATCATGAGAATAGCATGGGAAAGACCAGCCCCCATGATTCAATTACCTCCCCCTGGGTATTTTGGGTCTCTCCCACAACACGTAGGACTTCTGGGAGATACAATTCAAGTTGAGATTTTGGTGGGGACACAGCCAAACCATATCAAATGCTGAATATTTTTTCATGTAACTGTTGGCCATTTGTATGTCTTCTTTTGAGAAATGTTAATACCAATCTTTTGCCCATTTTTAATTAATTTTTTTGCTATTAAATAGTTTGAGCTTCTTATATGTTCTGGTTATTAATACCTTCTCAGATGGATAGTGTGCAAATATTTTCTCCCATTCTGTAAGTTGTCTCTTCACTTTGTTGATTGTTTCCTCTGCTGTGCAGAAGCCTTGTAGCTTGATGTAATCCCATTTGTCTATTTTTGCTTTGGTTACTTGTGCTTTTGAGATCTTACAGAGTAAACCTTTGCCCAGGCCAGTGTCCTGGAGATTTTCCCCCAATGTTTCTTTCTAGTAGTTTCATGGTTTTAGGTCTTAGATTTAAGTGTTTAATCCATATTGACTGAATTTTTGCATATAGTGAGAGATAGAGGTCTAGTTTAATTCTTCTGCATATGGATATCCAGTTTTCTAGCACTACTTACTGAAAAGACTGTCCCTTCTCCATTTTATTTCTTGGTGCCTTTATCAAAGATGAGTTGGCTGTAAATGTGTGTATCTATATCTGGATTCTCTATTCTGTTCCGTTGTTGTATGTATCTATTTTTATGTGAGTACCATGATGTTTTTGTTACTATAAATTTATAGTAAGCTTTGAAATCAGGTAGTGTGATACCTTCAGTTTTGTTCTTTTTGCTCAGTATTACCTTGGCTATTGAGGGTCTTTTGTGGTTCCAGATACATTATAGAATTTTTTTTTCTGTCTCTGTGAAGAATGTCATTGGTATTTTGATATGGATTGCATTGAATCTGTGCATTGCTTTGGGTATTATTGTCAATTTAACAATATTAATTATTATATTAATTTCATTTCTTTTCAGAATTTTATAGTTTTCCTTGTATTGACCTTGCACTTCTTTGGTTAGATTGATTCCTAGGTATTTGATATTTTTGTAGCTATTGTAAATGCAATTACCTTCCTAATATCTTTTTCAGATTGTTTACTATTTGTATATATAAATGCTGCTGATTTTTATATGTTAATTTTGTATCCTGCAAATTTACTGATTTTTTTTTTTTTTTTTTTTTGCCTAGTCATTCCAGTCAAGACTTCCAGTGTTATGTTGAAAAAAAGTGGTGAAAGTGGGCATCCTTGTGTTTGTTCCATTCCTTAGAGGAAAGGCCTTCAATGTTTCTCCATTCAGTACAATGTTAGCCATGGGTTTGTCATATATGGCCTTTATTATTTTAAGGTGTGTTCCTTTTATACCCATTCTGATGAGGATTTTCATCATAAAGAATGCTGAATTTTATCACATGCTTTTTTGGCATCTATTGAAATAACCATACGGTTTTTGTTCTTGATTCTGTGAATGTGATGTGTCACACTTATTAGTTTGCATATGTTGAGCCATCCTTGCATCCCTAGAATAATCCCACTTGATCAAGATGAATGATCTTTTTGATTGTTGTTGAAATTGTTTTGCTAGTATTTTGTTCAGGATTTTGTGCATTTATGTTCATCAGTGATATTGGCCTGTAATTTTATTTTTTTCTTCTTGTGTACTTGTCTGGTTTTGGTTTCAGCATAATGCTGGCCTCATAGAATGAGTCTGGAAGTGTTCCTTCCTCTTCAGTTTTTTTGAAGAGTTTGAGTAGAATTGGTGTTAGTTTATTATCTTTAAATGTTTGGCAAAATTCAGCAGTGAAGCCATCAGGTCTTGAAATTTTTATTGATGAGAGGTTTTTTATTATGCCTTTGATCTCATTACTCAATACTGGTTTGTTGAGGTTTTCTATTTCTTCGTAGTTCAATATTCATCAATTGTACATGTCCAGATATTTGTCCATTTCTTCTGGGTTTTCCAATTTGTTGGTATATAGTTGTTCATAATACTGTCCACAGATTCTTTGTATTTCTGAAGTCTCATTTATTATGTCTCCTTTTTCATTACTGAATTTATTTATTTAGGTCTTCTTTTTTTCTCAGTCTAGCTAAAGGTTAGTCAATTTCCTTTTCAAAAAACTAACTTCTTGTTTCATCTATCTTCTGTAAATTTTGTCTCAATTTTATTTATTTTGGCTCTGATCTTCATTATTTATTTCCTTCTACTGATTTTGGGCTTGGTTTCTTCTTGCTTTTCCAGTTTCTTCAGGTGCACTGTTAGGTTGTGTATTTGAAGACTTCCTACTTTTTGATAAATGTATTTATCGCCATAAACTTCTCCCTTAGGACTGTTTTTGATGTATCCCACAGATTTTGATATGTTGTATTTCCATTTTTATTGGCTTTGAGAAATTTAAAAAATTTCCTTCTTAATTTCCTCATTGACCCATTGGTTTTTCAGGAGCATGTTGTTTAATTTTCATGTGTTTTTGTATTTTCTGAGGTCCCTCTTGCTACTGATTTCTAGTTTTATTTCATTATGGTCAGAAAAAAACACTTGATACAATTTACATATTTTTTAATTTGTTCAGACTTGCGTTGTGTCCTAACATATGGTCTATCCTGGAGGATGTGCCATGTGCTGATGAGAAGAATGTGTATTCTGTAGCAGTTGGGTGAAATGTTCTATAAATTTCAGTCAGGCCTATTTGATCTGGTATATAGTTTAACCATGGTGCTTCTTTGTTGATTTTCTGTCTGGATGATCTGTCCATTACTGAGAGTGAGATGTTAAATATCCTATTATTATTATACAGCAGTGTATCTCTTCCTTTAGATCTATTAATATCTGCTTTATATACTTGGAAGCTCTGATGTTAGGTGCATAGATATTTATAATTTTTATATCCTCTTGCCAAATTGACTCCTTTATCATTATATAGTGAACTTCTTCGTGATTTTTTATAACCTTAGCTTTTTACTCTAGTTTATCTGTTATAAGTGTAGCTACTTTTGCTTTTTATTGGTTTCCAGTTGCATGGAATATTTTTTCCACCCCTTCACTTTCAGCTTATGTGTGCCTTTATAGGTGAAGTGAGTTTCTTGAAGGCAGCATATAGTTGGGTCTTGTTTCTTTATCAATTCAGTCACTTTATGACTTTTAATTGGAGAATTGAGACCATTTATAGTCAGTGTTATTGATAAGTAAGGACTTACTACTGCCATTTTATTGCCTATTTTCTGGTTGTTTTGAGACTACTGTCTTCCTTTCTCAGTCTTTTTTTTTTTCCATGTTTAAGTGATTTTCCCTGGTAGTATGTTTTAATTTCTTCATTTTTATTTTTGGTGAATCTATTATAGGTTTTTGCATGGTTACCATGAGGCTTACAAAAAAAAACCATAGATATCACAAGTTATTTTAAACAGATGACATTTACCTTAGATCACACAATAAAGACCAGAAATAAAGGCAAAAAACACACATACGAAAAAATCTACACTTTAACTCTATCACCCTCATATTTTGAGTTTTAGTTGTCTCAATTTACATTTTTTACATTCCATATCTTTTAATAAGTTGCTGTAGCTATTATTGTTTTTGACAGATTTGTCTTTTGGGCTTTATTATCAGAGTTGTGAGTAGATTGCACACCACCATTATAGGAATAGAGTATTCTTGGTTTGTCTACGTACTTAATTCTACCAGTGGGTTTTACACCTTGAAAAGTTTTCTTTTTGTGCATTATTTTTTTTTCTATTTCAGACTGAAGATCTCCCTTCAGCATTTCTTGTAAGACAGATCTGCTGGTGGTGAATTCTCTCAACTTTTGCTTGTCTGGGAAAGACTTTATCTCTCTTTCATAGTTGAAGAATAATTTGGCTGGGCACAATATTCTTGGATGGCAGATTTTCTTTTCTTTGAACACTTTGAAAATGTCATTCCATTCCCTCCTGGATACATCTATGCCTTTGTATTGAAGGATTAATTATTTTTTCAAATTTCCTCTGACAGGCTTGTTTTGTTTTTTTAGTGGATATATTTGCCTAGAAAATCTTTACCACTATGTTGCAGCCTTCTTTTTGGCCCTAGGTGTGTCTTAAGTCCAGGTTCACCTTGGCTTTGGTAAATGATCAGAGTGATGTCCGTTTTGAATGGGTGAGGTCCTAAAGGGACCTGGCACTGTTAGAAGGCTAGCTAGGAGTTTACACCCAAGGAAACTATGAAACGTACCTTCTATGGTGTGATGCTCCTGAACAACCATTCTGATTTGATGTCTTCTTTTGCCAAGTTGCAGAGCAGAGTTTCCAGGGCTGGGGGTGGTAGTTCCACTTCCCTCCTTTGTCTTCACCTGTCCTCTGTGAAGTTTCTCCCTTCAGGCAGCCACAGTGCTTCCCTTGGGTTAAGACAATAACAGGTCTCCTCCCAAGATATCCAAGATGGTAGAAAAGCTGGTTGGCCATCTCAATCTCACTCCTTCCCTTGTAGAAACCATGAGTTGGAGAAGATTTTCCAGGTGCTAGTTGCCAGGCAGAATGGGGGGATGGGGTGTCATGGATGTGAAAGTCTGATTCTCCCACCATCTGCTCAAAGTACTCTCATTTCTCTGTGTCCCCAGGATCTGTCTCATCCTCATATTTGATTCTGGGTTGTTGCTGTATATTTGTTTTTGGTTTTCTGGCAAGGAGGTGGGGTAGTAAGACCAGCTTGCTTCTATGCCACCATTTAAACTGAAAGTCTAAGATCACTTTGTCTCAGACAAATACTAATCTTCTTAAAATGGTGTATAATGTGTGAGAATGGAGTATTTTGTCAAAGGAAAACAAATGTAAATCTCTATCTCCTACAGAAATGAGTTTATTTTCTCACTTTTAGCCTTCCATTGAAAAAAAGCAGTGTGTCAAAGCCAGCCTACTTATTATTCCGCACCCTTAAAACATATTTCAGTGATGAATCTGACAAGCTATACTCAGATTTTTTTCAGCTATTATAACTGTGCTATTATAAAAATGAAGCCTGTAAGAATCTTTCAAAAGGTAGAAGTCAATCATGTAACTCATTAATTCTACATGAAAAAGTCACATCAAAGACAGACTTTTTTTTATGATTAAAAAAAGTCTTATAAAAAAAGGAAAAAAGGCCAGGCATGGTGACTCATGCCTGTAATCCCAGCACTTCAGGAGGCTAAAGCAGGTGGATTGCTTGAGCTCAAGAGTTCAAGACCACCCTGGGTAATATGACAAAACCCTGTCTCTATAAAAAAAAATACAAAAAATACTATCTGGGTGTGGTAACATGTGCCTGTAGTCCCAGCTATTTGGGAGGCTGAGGTGGGAGGGAGGTGGAGGTTGTAGTGAGCCATGATTATGCCACTGCACTCCAACCTGAGCAACAGAGTGAGACCCTGTCTCCAAAAGAGGAAAAAGAAAAACCAAACCAGATAATGACATTGTTAATAGCACGGATTATTATTTAAAATAACAGTAGCTTCAAATATAGTGATATTGGTAGCTCTGTCCTTTCATTTAAAGGAGCATATATTCATTTAAATTATATCAAAATCTTTGAATATTTTAGTTTAAAATACTTATACACTGTCTATATAGAAAACCAAGCAATAGTTACTTAGGAAATTTCTACTTTGAAATCAATGTGAATTTCTGACAGCAGGCTCATTCCCTCACTCACTCCACTCCTTCCATGCTGGCCTCTTTGCTTTTGCTTGCCTTCCAGGGAATCTCCTGTCTCAGAGCCTTTGCATTTTCTCCTCCCTCTCCTGGACACTTCTCCCCTAAAGACTCACATGGTTCGTCCTCTCACCTTCTTCAGATATTCACATAAATATCACCTTCTGAAGGAGGTCTTCTTTGACTCTGCTATGGTTTGGATACTTGACCTCTCTAAACCTCATGTTGAAATATAATCCCCAATGTTCAGGGTGGGGCCTAGTGGGAGGGGTTTGAGTCATGGAGGTGGATCCATCATGAATGGCTTGGTGCCATCCTTGAGGTAATGAGTGAGTTCTAGGTAATGAGTGAGTTCTCGCTCTATTAGTTCCTACAACAGCTGGTTGTTAAAAAGAGCCTGACACCTCCTTCTTTCTCTCTCACTTTTTTTCTCACCATGTGATCTCTGTACATGCCAGCTCCACTTCTCCTTCTGCCACAAGTGGAAGTAGTCTGAAACTCTCACCAAAAGTAAATGCTGACATCATGCTTCTTGTACAACCTGCAGAACCATGAGCCAAATAAACCTCTTTTTTAAATATATAAATTATCAAGCCTCGGGTATTCCTTTATAGCAACACGAACAGACTAAGGCCGATGCTGTCAATTTTCTGTAATCCCATTTCCTACACTACTTTTCGTCATTGCATTTATCCCTTTCTAATGTATTACGTTTATCTCTTTCTAATGTATTACATATTTTACTTCTTTACTACAATTCAGTAAATATGTATTGCATTAATCAGTAAATAAAAGGAAGGAAAGTAGGGATGCCAGTGACATACATTTTGCTTGAATGGATTTGTATGCACCATGTGACTCTGAGTCTATAATGCTGGTGGCAGCTTCTTACTCCAGTTCATAGCTAAGGTGGTCTGACGCTGGAATCAAGAGTTTGGGATAGTGTCTTCCTGACTCCCCAGCTTTCTGAAGGTTGCAGAGGTAGCCCTTTCTTTGGTGAGCTGGTTCTTGGTTGACATTCTGGAAGTCAATCCCAGAGACATAGCCTAAAACCAGCTCTTCCCCATGATTAACCTCTTTCTTTTCTGATTATCCTAATGTTTCCTGTCACCTACAACTGAGCCCCAACTAATAAAGTATTGTATCCCCATTTCACAACAAGAAAACAAAGTATCAGGAAAATAAAATGACAACAATAAGTCAAGCCCAAGTTTATATGATCCCACAAACAAAATGAACTGTAAGATATTACAAAAGATATGGATGAATAGCCAGACAGAGTACATTCATAGGGCAATGTATGTGGAAAGGAAAGTGAAATTTCCATGCCCTCTGTGGGCATATCACCCTCCAGACACCTCCACGTGTTCAGCAATCCAGAAGCCTTTCTGAACACTATTCTTTTGGGTTTTTATGGAGGCTTCATTACATAGGCATGATTGATTACATTATTAGCCATTGGTGATCAACTTAACCTTCAGCCTTTCTCTGCTGCTTGCAGGGATTGGGGAGTAGGGTTGGGGAGGCTGAAACTCCCAACTCTCTAATCATGCCTTGGTCTTTCCAGTGACCCCCATCCTGAAACTACCTAGGTGCTCTTAGCCACTGTTATCTCAGTAACATACAAAGAAAAAAAACTCTTATCACTCAGGAGATTCCAAGGATTTTAGGAGCTGTACTCCAGGAAATGGAATGAAGATCAAATATGTATTTCACAACATCACAGAACAATCCTAGCTCCCTCTGCCAATGGCTCAGAATATTTAAAACCTACTCAGTCCAAGAAATTCCTCTTCTAATCCTAAGAAACATAGATTTATGGAACTAATGATAAATGTGTTCTTTCCAGTCCAGCTCTGTTTCTGGAATTCTTTGCATTTCCTACCAATGCCTGTTAAGAGTGTTCCCAAAAACAATAAAATCTTGCCGCTCAATAGTTGAGTGTTTGGCATAATGTATAATGTATGATATTTTAGGAATTTTCAAGAAACATTGCAGTGGAAAACTCAAATTCAGTCACAAAAGTGACTCTTTGCTTATAAAACAGTCATTGTGGGTTTACAATCTGTATTAGAATCAAATCTTCTTTCATCTGCAACTGGCTTGTTTTCCTTTTCTGGTTAGTCAGTTGATGACGTGTGATTTGGGACAATCAGGGGCTGAGAATCTGGCGGTTACTTCTAGTCTTTTGCACAATCTAAGGCAACTAAACCTCTTTCCATGTTTAGTTATTTTTTGTGTATTTGTGGAGTTTGCTTTTGAAATGGAAATTTTTTTGAGAAAACCATCTCAGAAAAAACATGGACAGGGAAAATTCTATCCATTATTTACATAACATCAAACAGACAAGCCAAGGACAGGCTGCTTCTCTGAAGAACTAAATCTGGAAACAGGAGATTTCACAATGTAGAAAGCAAATGAAGTTGGAGAGAGCAGAGGATGAATAGGCCCGATATGTTTTCTTTCAGAAATATTTGAAAGTTAGCAATGCAAAGTTATTAAACAATACATGGGTTAATTTTTTGTACTTTTATCACACTGTTTCATTGTGAGTGCAATCTCAGCTCACTATAGCCTCTGCCTCCCAGGCTCAAGCAATCCTTCCACCTCAGCCTCCTGAGTAGCTGGGACCACAGGCATGCACCACCACAACCGGCTATTTGTTTGTTCATTTTGTATTTTTGGTGGAGATGGGGTTTTGCCACATTGCCCAGGCTGGTCTCGATCTCCTGAGCTTAAGTGATCCACCAGCCTCAGCCTCAGCCTTTCAAAGTGCTGGGATTACAGGCATGAGCCACTGCACTTGACCCTGTGTTTTTTCTATTTATTTAAAGAGTTATTTCATAAGTTTTTAAAAAGTGGTCCAAAAAAGTACAGAAGGAATGAATAGTCCCTTCAAAGTTATAAATTAGATAATGAGAAATTGTATAAAAGTTAATAAAAGAGAGATTCTCTCTTTGCAATTGCAACATTAAATCTTCCACTGCTCAAATGGAAATCAGATCCTAACAACAAAGAGACTGCCCTTTAAGAACTGCAGTTTCCTATTATTTAATCATTTATTAGATTTAGCAGAGAGGGAGACTAGAGAAAGAGAATAAAATCTTTGTTACCAATATATATTATGTTTTTAAGGATTTTATATTAGAGAATTATGGCACCAGAAAAAAATCTGTTACATAAAATGTCATCCTCAATATATTATGTAGTAAGTATAAATAAGTAGGATAACTCCCAGAATGCACCAGGAAGATTCAGAGCAGAAGAATTGCTATGAGTGTGCAGGGGTTGGGGAATGACCCTCTGTGTAATCAGGCATGTATAAGGTGAAAAAGAAATTTCTAGGACGAAGTCTCATGTTTGGATCTGTAAGATTTGCTAAAGGGCCAAAATTGTACATGCTTTGACTAATTATTAAATTCCACAGCCAGACACACTGCCCCCCCACACACACACACACATGATTGTTCAATTAATATCTGTCAAACAGCTTGATACTCATAAATGCAGATGCACATATTAACTCCTTTCTTCCTTCTTCTTGTCTAAATGGTGAAAGAACGAGAAACACCAAGTTCTGTCCATGAAGCAACAAGACAGTAGTCTAAGGATACTGGAGCAGAAAGATGCAAAAGAGGTGGGTCTTTGAAGAAATCAAGGAACTGCTTCCTCTGGATCATTTGTTATATGAGATTATTAACTGTTTTTAGTCCACGCAGTGGCTCACACCTGTAATCCCAGCACTTTGGGAGGCCAAGGCAGCAGATCATCT
This sequence comes from Homo sapiens, assembly GCF_000001405.40. NCBI lineage: Eukaryota > Metazoa > Chordata > Mammalia > Primates > Hominidae > Homo > Homo sapiens. Next base: position 116,888,694 of record NC_000008.11, on the reverse strand, counting down.
GAGGTCAGGAGTTCAAGATAAGCCTGGCCAATATGGCAAAACCCTGTCTCTACTAAAAATACGAAAATTAGCCGGGTGTGGTGGTGTGCACCTATAGTCCCAGCTACTGGGAAGGCTGAGGCAGGAGAATCACTTGAACCCATAAGTTGGAGGCTGCAGTGAGCCAAGATCATGCCACTGCACTCTAGCCTGGGCAACACAGTGAGACTCCATCTCAAAAGAAAAAAAAAAGTGTTTATTCTTTATTTCTGAAATCTCTGTTATTCAGGTCATTTATTACACACAGCAAAAAGCATTCCTAACAGATGTATTTCTTTTTCTCTTCTTTTCTTTTTTTAGTAATAGCAGTGAATGCAGCACCTAACTTATGTACTTCTATTGATGTACTTCTAAAAGGAGGAATTTTTATTTTTTCAAGATCCTCAAAAATATACCCACTCTGATTTGATGGCTCCTTCACCACAGCAGCCCAAAACAAAACAAGCAAATAAAGTCACTTGCTTGCTTATATCTGCAATTCGTCATTTCATAGAACAACTTACCTAGGACATGTGGTATCAATTCTCACTTGATAGTATAGGACCTACCTTTGACCTTGTCTTTGGGATCTGCTTTAAGAGAATTCTCTGCTTTGGAGATTTTTTGGCTCATAGATTCAGATTATCCTCAACATATCTGTTTATCTGTTTTTTATTTTAATTAGATCATTGAAATTAAAATAATTTTAATTGTTTAATTTAAACCAGGTTTTCTGGTTTAGCCATTATTAAGCTTTTGTCTTCTAAGTAATCACACTGCTACCCTGTGTAAATAACCACTTCTGAAACTTTCCTCATAAACCATCTTTTTGCTGGATTATTCCCTCAAAGAATCACAAATCACTATCTGTGCCACTTATCAATTTATAGCATCCCAGTTCCAGATTAACCTTTGTCTTGCTTTGTGATACAGGAGCTGGACTACGTAAAGGTTTCTCTTTTGTCAGAGGGTGCAATGTTAGGCTTTGTCAACAGAGGGCAGAAGAGGGACATTGCAGGAGGAAGGGACTTTTCCTGATTTTTGTGTGCCTTTTTGCTCCCATAGCACTTGACAGCTAGCAGTGTGTGGAACACCCAGTGGCATTCATGCTCCAGCAAGTTTTGCCAGCACCCCTGTAAAGTCTTGTTAGCTCCTTAGAGGGTGGCTTTCCAGTGAGTTTCACCAGCATTCCAGAGGCCTGATTCCCAGTTAGTTCACTGGTAACCCCAACAGGCAGTTTCCAGCCACCCCTGACCTTTGGGACCTCAGCAAATTTATCTGCCATGAACTGGGCCACACCATCTCCATATAGGAGTTTAGATCTCAATGTTGGCCTCCTTGGAAGTCTTTTCCCTCAATGGGTACTTGGCCTCAGCTACAGAGGTAATAGTTACTTCCAATATCTGCTACTATTGTATTCTGTAGCGTTCTCCTTATTGCTTCTTAGTTAATCCTATTATTAATTAATTCTTAGTTCATTATAATAATTCTTTATATTTGAAATATTCCATTCAAGTTACTGAGTAGTTTCTATCTCCTGACTGTACCCTGACTGACACAACATTTCTAGGAGGTTCATAGGAATTCTGCATGGGGTTTCTTTTTTGTCACAAATGTCAGGAGCTTACTGCATTCTAAACTAAATTAACTTATATGGTGGAATGTCAGGCATGTAAGGCCAAATAATCTAGCACATTAATTAATTATCATATATTATTTTGCAAAGATCCAAAAATCAGAAAAGTCTCAAAGAAATTGAACTTCTATTAGGGTAGACTTCCTTAAACCAATTAACATGTATTTTAATTGTGTCTCCAAGACATGATTTTGAAGATCAGCCTGAGAATTAAATTGTACATCTAAATGCTTTAATGTTTGGGGAAGTGTTTGGATACCAGAAGTAGACTCCACTGTTGCTTACAGCTCAAGAGTTTGAAATATTTTTTACTTCTACTAACAGTGAGCATATAGACAAACTACTCTTTTAACCTATATACTTTCAACCCACACAATTGAATTCAGAATATTTAAATTTTTTAAGTTTGTGCTATTCTTTCTCAAGAATGACTAATAGTGGAGAAAATATTTGCAAATAATATATTTGATAAGGAATCTGATAGGGGTCTAACATTTTAAACATATTAAAAACTCATACATCTCAATAATAAAATGACTAACAACCCAATTAAAAATGGGCAAAGGACTTGCATAGACATATTTCTATAGAAGACATACAAACGGCCAATAAGCACATGAAAAGATGCTCAACATTATTCAGTCATTTGGAAAATGCACACTAAAACCACAATGAGATACCATTTTACATCCACTGAGATGGATATTATATATATATATATATATATATTTTTTTTTTTTTTGAGATGGAGTCTCACTCTGTCATCCAGGCTGGAGTGCAGTGGCTCAATCTCAGCTGGCTGCAACCTCCGCCTCCCGGGTTCAAGTGATTCTCCTGCCTCAGCCTCCCAAATAGCTGGGACTACAGGCTGTGTCACCATGCCCGGCTAATTTTTGTATTTTTAGTAGAGACAGGGTTTCACCATGTGGGCCAGGCTGGTCTCAAACTCCAGACCTCAGGTGATCTACCCACCTCGGCCTCCCAAAGTGCTGGGATTACAGGCGTGAGCCACCGCACCTGGCCTGAGATGGATTTAATTTTAAAGAACAGAAAGTAATAAAAGTTGGTGAGCATGTGAAAAACTGGAGCCCTGATACATTATTAATGGAATGTAAAATGGTTCAGCGCTATAGAAAAGAGTTTGGCTGTTCTGCAATAAGTTAAACATAAAATTGGCATATGATACAGCAATTTTACTCCCAGATATATACCAAAAAGAACTGAAAACAGATAGTCAAACAAAAATTTTTGTACACAAATGTTCCTAGCAACACTATTCATAGTAGATAAAAAGTAGAAACAACGCAAATGTCCATGAATTAATGAATGCATAAACAAAATGTGGTAGATCCATTTAATGGAATATTATTCAGCCATGAAAAAACAATGCTTCAGTGTGGATGAAACTAAAATGTTACATATTTTAGAGCAGCATGCTGCACATGCTGCAATGTGGATGAATCTAAAAAACATTACACTAAGTGTATTAGTCCACTCTTGCATTGCTATAAAGAAATACCCTGAAACTGGGTAATTAATAAAGAAAAGAAGATTAGCTCACGGTTCTGCAGGCTGTACAGGAAGCATGGCAGCATCTACTTGGCTACTTGGCTTCTGGGGAGGCCTTGGGAAACTTTCAGTCATGGCGGAAGGTGATGGGGAAGCAGGCACATCTTACGTGGCTGGAGCAGGAGGAAGAGAGCAAAGGGTGAGGTGCTACACATTTTTAAACAACCAGATATCATGAGAATTCACTCACTATCATGAGAACAACAAGGGGGAAATGCACCCTCACAATCCAATCACCCCCCAGCAGGCCCCTCCTCTAACACTGGGGATTACAATTTGACATGGGATTTGGGCAGGGACACTGATCCAAACCATATCACCAAGTGAAAGAATTCAGACACAGAAAACCACATGCTGTATGATTCGATTTATATGAAATATACTCAGTAGATCAATCCATAGAAAAGTAGTCACCAGGGGCTACAGGGAGGAGGAAATGGGAAGGGACTGCTTAATGGGTAGAGGGTTCCCTTTTGGGGTAATGAACATGTGCTGGAACTAGATGCTGGTGACTGTAACACAAAGTTGTAAATGTATTAAGCGCCCCTGAATTGTACAATTTAAAACAGTTAAAATGGTGATCTTTATACTATGTGTTTTGTACTGTAATAAAAAAGATAGATTATGAAAGGGAAGGAATTAGAGAGGGAAAACATGGACATTTCTTTCAGAACTTTTGCTGTAAGGGGGAGTTGATAAATGGTGCAGTGGATATGGAGCAAAGGGAAAGGTTTTAAAATATTGAAGATAGGTGCATTTTATAATTATTAAGTAGATGCTGTAGAATGAATGAATAAATGAGGTATGGCTACCAAACAGGCATAGGGAGTGTCAGAGTTCACCTCAGGATGAATAGATGAAGACTGACATTGAATCTTTAGAGCCATAACAGATATCATGACCCACTTTTTCCACTGACACTCATGGCCTCACTATGCTAAAGAAATGAATTATGGCACTAGGAAAGCAATATAAAATATAGATGACCATAGAAAATAACCGATGCATTGCTTAGAAAAGCAATTAGATTTCACCCCGATTTGTCTTCCCCTAGTGAGTTAGTGGATAAACTCACTCATGTGTGCTAATAGCTGGTTGTATGAATGAGAAATCGTATTCCTATTGATACATTGTTGGTGAATATATCAGATGAATAACTCATAGAACTGGATGGTTGCATATAAATATGCACTGATAAACTCCAAATGCGGATTGAAAATATTCTATGAATCATTAGAAATCTGCTTATTGAAGATTCCCATTATTAAATTATTAAAATTAGTATTCATATCTCCATCTAATTATCTTACTTTTCTAAATCCTTTTTTTATGGAAATACAAAGGTAAAGAGAGATATATACAAAGGTAGAAAGAGGATTAAAATGACCCTCCATATATGTATCACCCAAGTTCAACAACTATCAACCCACAGCCAATCTTGTTTTGAACTACATCCACTCCTTTTTCTACTTCTTGGGGATTATTTTGAAGTAAATCCCAGATAATGTACCATTTTACCTGTAACTATGTTAGTATGTATCTTTTAAGCATAAGGCCATTCTTTAAAAACAAAACCACCATGCCATTTTCATATAAAAAATAAATAATAATTGCTAAATATCATCCCTTTTAACCTGACCTTCCACTATCTAGTTGACAAAGAGTTCATCCAGTGCAAAAACTTATATTCTGCAACTTAAAATTCTATCAGTGGTTGAAGTAACACTGACATAAATTGAATCCAGTTAATTTCAGACAAGAAGTGCACAGTTCATAAGAAAAAAGTTTTATAACAGATGCAACTTAGCCAATGAGGAGTGATTGATTCTGGAACATTCAGAGAAAAAGGCTATAGTTACCTATACTCAATAGTGTATCAAAGAGGAAAGGTGCTAGCTAGAAAATTCTATCCACCCACCACATATCCTGATCATTTTATTGAGATGTTCAACAACTGCCCTGTATGGACTTGACATGGTCAAAGAGAGATGCTTTTTGGTTTTAAGGGCAGCATCTTGGAGAGAGATAATAGAGAGTTTTCCAGGATTCATTAAATTTATCAAAGACTAACCATTTCAGATAAAATGAAATGCTGCCTTTAGAGGAAATGCATACTGTCAGGAAGCCAAAAGTCTCCAGATGTTAGGGAACTGCAAGTTTTGAGATTAAACACGTAAATTCAGTTTTTCAACTGTGAAGGTACTGACTCTGAAAATAAAAGACATTAGATAAACTGGCCATACAAATATTGATTTACAGATCCTGATTCTCTTCCCCATAGTTTATGTTTTTAAGAGGAATGGAATGTGTGATTAGACTTGGAAGAACACATTTTGTGGGAGACTTACCAGAGTGATCAAAATAAAAGAATAATAAGGGAGGAAGAGCATTTGGAAGTGAAGTTTATAGGAGGGAAAATTCTCTCAAAAAAGTTATAAAATAGTACTCTGTGAAAGACAACTGATATGACATAGAAGGTTGAACTACTCGCCAGGAGAGATCAGACATTAACTTTTGTGCCCCCTGTATTTCATCTTTCTTTGAACCAGGTAAGTGCTTGTATCAGTGAGGATTAGAGTAAGCTACATATAACAGGAAAAAAAATCAAGACAGGACTTTATTTCTCATTTACATAAAATAAGTCTGGAGGTAGCCAGTTGCGGGTTTATGAGACAGCTTTACAAAGTTGTTATGTACTCAGATTTGTCCATATCACTGATTTACTATCCTTAGCTTATCCTTTGTCTTCATTGCCCAAAATGCTGCTGGAGCACCAGCCATTTTATCTATATTCCAAGCAGCAAAATAAAGAATGAGAAGAAAGGTTGCTCCATTTTGTAGATATATTCTAGTAATGCCCACATAAAATTTGAGTAAAACATATTCTCTTGGCCACACCTATATGCAAGAGACACTGGAAAATGTAATCATTTAGCTGGGTGCCATGTGCAAAACTAAAAAAAAAACAAAGATGTTGGGAAACAATTCTCAGCTTTTGCCATAGAACTCAGCATAGAATAAAGATCGATTCAGAAAAGAGAGAATAAGTACATTTCAGGAGGAAAAAAATAGTAAATATGTTGAGGCAAATGAGTGTGTGATTAGAGCTGGGCATGGTGGCTCACACCTACAATCCCAGCACCTTGGGAGGCAGAGGTAGGAGGGTTGCTTGAGCTCAGGAGTTTGAGACCAGCCTGGGCAACGTGGTGAGACCTTGTCTCTACGAAAAATTAGCCAGGCATGGTGGTGCATGCCTGTAGTCCCAGCTACTTGGGAGGCTGAGACAAGAGGATCACTCGAGACAGGAGGTCGAGGCTAGAGTAAGCTGTGATTGCTACTGCACTCCAGCCTGGGCAAAAGAGTGATGCTCTTTAACCATTATTTACTGAGATCACATAACATGCTAAACACTATGCTAGATGCTTTATATACATCATTGCATGACATAAACAACACAGCACTGAGGTGGTAGATACAATTAACCTGATTTTACAAATAAGAAAACTCAGCCTTAGAGAGGTTGGGCAACTTGCTGAAGGTTACACAGCTACTAGATAGAAGAGCCATGATGCAAACCAAGTTCTACTTGATTCCAAAGTCTATTTTTCAAAAATCCTCTTCATCTACGAGGGTTAGAGAACAATACAAAATAAAAATAAAGAAATTAATATAAAATAAATAAAAGAAAATAAAAATAAATTAAACATGATTTAAAATTAAATCAAAGAAAAATCCTCAGTGTGGTCCCCATAGTGGCAGCCTTGGAATTACCTGAAGCTGTTAAAAAAGCAGACTCCCCAGCCCCACCCCAAACTACTAAATTTTAACCTGATTTAGCCAAGACCCCAAGGTAAATAGCCCATTATAAGTGGAGAAATATCACTCTCTACCACCCTACCATAAATATATCAGATCTCACTGATAATAAAACCCCAAATTTAGTCTTAGGTACTAAGTTGCAGTGTGAGTTTCTATAATAACACTAATTCCTCATATGTCATTAACAAATAGGGGAATGATTTCCAAACGGCATGGAAGTTACCTTTGTAACTTTGTGTTTCCCAGCACATTAATTTTTTGATCCCATCAAGTTCATGTAAAACACATTAACACAGCTGAGCATCTAGCCACAGAGAACAAAGGACTGCACATAGTGCCCATTCACTTCAAGTTAGCTTTTGGCTCACTTTATCTCCATGTTGTGTCTTTGGACTGCTTACTGCAGCAAGCACTTAATCTCTGCATTTGACTCTTTTCTCATAACTCAGTAACTTCTACCTTTTGTTACACCCTTCTCTCCAAGCACTTTCACCTTCTTTGTGGTAAAAGTACTATATTTGCTATATTATTTCCTTGATTGGTGGCAATTTAACATATATTTAATAATTTTTATTAGGATTGTTAGCACTTTTGTTAGTTGCATTGGTTTTAAGAAATCTATCTCAACCCTATTTTTCCTGAGTTTTCCCAATAATTTTTCCAAGCAATTTCACAGAATCAAAGGAACAATGTATATTGTATTAAAACAAAAATGTCTGCATTCTGGAATGGCGAGGGGATTTCAGAATAAACACTAACCTTCTGCTTTTAGAAAGCAACTATTATTTTTTCTTTCTGTTTTTGGAGCTGGGGGTCTGCTATGTTGCCCAGGCTGGACTTGAACTCCTGGGCTCAAGCCATCCTCCTGAGTAGTTGGGACTACAGGTGCACACTACCTATCCAGCTAGCACTCATTATTCTCAAAGATGCGGCACAATTGTGGAAGATATGATGGGCTTTAAAATAGAGGAAATGCATCAAAATACTCACTGAGAAAAATTCCCAGCTAGAGTTAAAAATGCTCCCAGTATTGAAATATTAGCATAATGAAATTTTCTGAGAGAAGTCCAAGTGATTAACATAAGACCTTGACCCAGCTTCTGCCTCTGAGGCTTCCCCTCATCTCCACTTCGGTCCTTGATAAACTCACATTTCCATCTGGCCCAGAGACTACCCCCTATTATCCCTGGGCCCACTCCTGGCCCCTGGTGATTTTCCACTGCTGATACATACCTGCGTGAGCAGACCCTTAGCCCAGCCATAATAGGGATGCTTGCAGCCGCTTTCTGGAGTCCTGCCTCAAACCCCAAACCTCAGCTCAAACGTTAAAACTCAAACCTCAGCTTCTGCTTGAAGTTGAGGATGTGACTGTGAATGAAACCTATGTTTTCTAAGGCTTACAAAACTCTTTCTCTCGGTTTCTCTCTCTCTTTCTTTTTCTCTCTCTCTCACACACATGCACACACTATTATCACTAATTTAATTAATATCTAGTGAATTAGGAATTGTTTCAAATAATGACATTTTGTCCTTAATTCCCCTACATCTCATATAATGTTTATGTCTGATTATGACATTTCTTCCTTGAATTTTGTCCTTAAAATGCATTCCCTTTTTGACCAAAACCCCTTGTAAGGATACTGTTGGCACTAGAAGGAAAGCCAGAATCTACAGTTTTTAAAGTCACTTTCAGTCCATTTTTCTTTGCTTAGCCCAAAACCTTAAAAAGGCTATTCACTCTTTCTGAACTTTTCTTTGATCATCATATTTTATACTTTGATTTTTATTTAAATAAAAATTTTTAAAAACCTGGTGCACCACATGTTTAATACCCATCCTCCCGAACATTGAAATATCTATTTTCTTGTCTTATTCTTCTCTTCACCTAATTCCTCCTACTTACTATAATAATAATAATACTTTTTTTTTTTGAGACTCGAGTCTCCCTCTGTCGCCAGGCTGGAGTGCATGACCTCAGCTCACTGCAACCTCTGCCTCCCAGGTTCAAGCAATTCTCCTGCCTCAGCCTCCCTAGTAGCTGGGACTACAGGCATGTGCCACGACTCCCAGCTAATTTTTGTATTTTTAGTAGAGACGGGGTTTCACCATGTTGGCCAGGATGGTCTCGCTCTCTTGACCTTGTGATCCACCCACCTCGGCCTCCCAAAGTGCTGGGATTCTATAATTATTTTAATGTTATAGAGAATCCTGTTTTAAAAGTTTGCCAGTTCAGAGGAGCAAGTCTACAACAGTATATGTAAATCTTAAACAAATCTGCTACTGTAAGTTTTATCATCTTTTTCTATAACAGTATATTTTCTCTCTTTTTTTGCCATAACAGTTTTTATCTCACAAAAAAAACTCTCAGTTGTGTGTGTGGGGGGGGTGTCATCATAAAATAACGTGATATAGACAGAACGCAGCTGTTTTTATAGATATACTCAAGACAGTGGCAACACCCAGTTTCTCAGTGATTTCCCCAAATCATACAAGTCATCAACTGACTAATCAGAAAAGGAAAGCATACCATTTGCAACTGAAGAAAGACAAAATCTGTAACTGAAATCTGTCCTCTCATGGTTTTAGTCAAACAAATTCACAATTACTAATTTTGACAAATGCACATTCATCAGATAAGTATTTCCAGGGAGAAGAGATACTGCAGCTAACTCCTGCAATAAGAAATTTAACTTGACATTTTAATACAAGGAGGTGGATGGGTATGTTGATAAGAGGAGACTCCAAGCCAGAATAAAACATACAACTTGTTCAAAGAATCAAATCCAGCCATTTAGGGGATTAGGACTGTATGTGAAGAAACTATATTAAAATCTACAAATGGGAAGGCGGGCTCAGAGTTGGGAGCTCTGAGTAAGAATAAATAGTTCAAGAGAAAAGAAATGTAGTACTTTGGGAGGTAACTTGGGGTAGGAGAACAGCATGTAAGAGAAAGATGGAGAGAGACAGAGAAGAGAGAGAGAAGACAGAGAGAGAGAGGAGAGAGAAGACAGAGAGAGAGAGAGAATAATTTTCAAATATAAACATAAAACAGGATATAGTCAGAATGGGGCAGAGTATCCCGGTGTTTACTGATGTTCTTATAAATTGAATATCTGATAAATATTTCCCATACCTTGCTTGATATCTTATTATTCAGAAAGCAGATAAAACTAGAGTAATACCTGCCATTTATTAATTACTCAGTTCCAAGCACTATACTAAGCACTTTGTGTATGTGATCCTATTGAATTATTTCAAACATCATGACAAGTATTACCCTCATTTTATTAATAAAGAAATCAAAGCTCAGACATTAATTGTACATGTTAAAACAGCTGGGAGGTAGAAGAGAAGAATTTGAACCCAAAGCCCATGTTCATAACCATCCCCCAAAAGTAGAAAAATAAATGTCTTAAGAAAAAGGTAAGCCTGTTGATTTAAATATTAGAATCAGACTTGCTGCTAGAAATGAGGAAAAGAGAATTGTTTTTATTCAAATACAGATGAAAAATATATGGTTCCATGAACAAAAACTCTAAAAGCTAATGTAATATAAGAGAGACAAGAAGTGGCAATGCATATTCACCTGGCCATAGTTTGAAGCTGGGATTGATTTAAACTGAAATTTAATATGAACGACAACGTCTTCACCATGCAACATGGTTGTGTGATTCTTAACCTGACAGGAGACTTTTCCCACATGATTAGTTTTGAGGTCATTTAGCAGCTGATACACCGAAATTATTTTGAAGTGAAGAATTAAATTGTTCACTGGCAGAAATCTAATTTCTGTTGCAAGGAGTTTAATTGTTAATGAGCTTGTATTTTTTTTTTTTTTGAGATGATGCAACAACTGCCACTGTTGAGTTTGCTTAAAGCCACACCAGCAGGAAGGATTTAAGTGCTTTGAGCATCTAATCTATATTGGTCGAGGGAAAGCATGCTTAAAATGTTAAAAGTGCTTGTACTCCTTCACTCCCCAGCTTGGGATTTTAACAACTATCCTTAATGCCAATTTCTTAAAGTCTCCATTAAAAACAAACCAAAAGAACATAAAATATTTGGCTAACTACAACAGAAATTCACTTGATAAAGCTTTGAGCTGTGGCCAGTATGGCCACTTAGCTAATGGACTCCAGCCAGTGAGACGAACCTTGCCCCAACCCAAAAACAGTGGACCCACAGTGAGTGGAGCACAAGACTGTCCACTTTCTTATCCATCTCCTATATCAGCATAAGAAGGGTAAAAGTGAGGTGTTCTGTGTGTCATTAAAATCCTGGAAGTGTCCAGAAGTAGTGGTTGCTGACAATGAGGAGTATATGGACTTAAATGTCTGCTTTTCCTGTGTGTTTTACTTTAAAATGAAAATACATTCAGAAACTGGACACAAAATTTCTTTTTAAAATACGTTTTTATTATTATGGATTCATAATAGTTGTACACAATTATAAGGTACGTCTGACATTTCAATACAAGCATACAATGTGTAACAAACCATGGTAATTGGGGTATCCATCACCTCAAGTATTTATCATTTCTTTGTGTTAGAAACATTCCAATTCCACTCTTTTAGTTATTTTGAAATATATAGTAAGTTATTAACTATAGTTTCCCTATTGTGCTACCAAACACTAGACTTTATTCCTTCTTTCTAATTGTATTTTTGTACCAAATCTGAGGGGGCAGATTTTGTACTCATCTGCCCCCTCCCCACTACCTTTCCCAGGCTCTGGTAACCATCATTCTACCTTCTATCTCAATGAGTTCTTTTTTTTTTTTTTAAGCTCCCACATATTAGTGTGAACATTCACACTAATGTCTTTCTGTGCCTGGTTTATTTCACTTAATGTCTTCCAGTTCTATCCATGTTGCAGCAAATGAAAGGACTTTTTTTCTTTTTTATGGCTGAAAAATATTATCTTGTGTATGTGTACCACATTTTCTTTACCCATCTATCCACTGATGGACACTTACGTTGATACCATATCTTGACAATTGTGAATCTTGCTGCAATAAATGTGAGAGGGCAGATACCACTCTGATGTACTGATTTCCTTTTTTTTTGGGGGGGGGTATTTACTCAGGAGTGGGATTGCTGGCTCATATGGTGGCTCTATATTTAGGTTTTTAAGGAATCTCTATACTGTTCTTCACAGTGCTGTACTAACATACATTCCTACCAACAGTGTACGAGTGTTTCTCTTTCTCCACATCTTTATCAGCATTCATTATTGCCTGTATTTTGGATAAAAGCCATTTCAACTGGGATGAGATTATACCTCATCCTAGTTTTGATATGCATTTCTCTGATGATTAGTGATGTTAAGCATTTTTTCATATCCCTGTTGGCCATTTGTATGTCTTTTTTGAGAAATAACCATTCAGGTCTTTTGCTCAATTTTAATTGGATTATTTTCCTATTATATTGTTTGAGCTCCTTATATATTATGGCTATTAATTCTGTGATAGATGAGTAGTTTGCAAGTATTTTCCCCCACTTGATGGGTTGTCTCTTCACTTTGTTGTTTGCTTTGCAGAAGGTTCTTAGCTTGGCATGATCCCATTTGTCCATTTTTGCTTTGCTTGCCTATGCTTTTAAGGTCTTACTAAGAAATATTTGGTTCTGGAGCATTTCCCTAACGTTTTCTTCTAGTAGTTTCAATAGTTTCAAATCTTAGATTCCAGTCTTCAAGCCATTTTGTTTTGATTTTTTTAATATGGCAAAAGATAGTGATCTGTTTCATTCTTCTACATATAGTTATCTAGTTTTTCCAGAACAATTTTTGGAAGAGACCATCCTTTTCCCAACGTATGTTCTTGGCAGCTTTGTCAGAAATTAGTTGACTGTATATGTATTGATTTATTTATAGGTCCTCTATTCTGTTCCGTTAGTCTATGTGTCTGTTTTTATGCCAGCACCATGCTGTTTTGTTTACTATCACTTTGTAGTATAATTTGAAGTCAGGTAATGTGATGCCTCCAGCTTTATTCTTTTGCTCAGGATTGCTTTGGCTATTCTTGGTCTTATTGTGGTTCCATATAAATTTTAGGATTTTTTTCCTCTTTCTGTGAAGAATGTCATTGATATTTTGATAGGGATTACATTGAATCTGTAGATTGCTCTGGGTAGTATGGAAATTTTAACAATATTGATTCTTCCAATCCATGAACATGGAATATATTTCCATTTTTGTGTGTCCTCTTCAATTTCTTTCATCACTGGAAAGATCTCTACAATAAAAACAAAAGTAAATTTCTTCGTGGTACAAGTAAGTCTTTTAAGATAAGAAATTTTAAGATTCCTCCCAAGCAATACTGAAAATTTCCAAAAGGCAGTTATTATCTCTGTTATATTAATCATTATATCCAGAGCCCAACGTGTAGCAAACAGAAGACCCTCTATAATATAGGTTGACTGAATAAATGAACCTCTATATTTTATGGAATTAGTTTGAGGTTTTTATGTTACTTTCATCCCTATAGAGCCATAAAATGAATTTTTTGGTGGGGGCACACAAAATTGCACCACGACAGCTTTTTTCTTTAAAACAAGCACAAGAATAAAGCTAAACGCAAATATTCACCGCACTGGAAAGCACTGCGCGTGCGCTATCTTACGCTATTGGCTAACACCGCAACTCTCAAAGACCCTCGCAAGAGAATCACCTTTGCGCTTGCTCAGTTGTGGACTCCACAAACAGAGGGCGGGTTCCAAAGAAAAGGAAATAGTCATTGCGCCTGCGCCGCTCCTTCTGGGGGGAGGGGGGGGCTTGGGCTGGCTGCGCAGGCGCACAGGTACCATTTTGACCGTAAACATCCTGCCGATTTGAACCGAGGATTTGGGCGGCAGGAAGAGCCGCGGCGTAACGGCAGCCATCTTGTTTGTTTGAGTGAATCGGAAAGGAGGCGCCGGCTGTGGCGGCGGCGGGAGCTGCTCGGAAGCTACACCTCGCAAGGGCTCCCCCCTTTCCCCACCCCCTCCCCCGACCCTTTTCCCCTCCCCGGGCCACCCAGCCCGCCCAACTCCCAGCGGAGAGCAAGGTAAGAGACTCGGCCGACCCCTTCTTTTCCTCCAGCTCCCTCCCCCCACCCTTTCCCCGCCGCTCTGCCGTCGGGGAGCCGGACTCCTGGGGGCGGGAGGGCGAGGGAGAAGGCAGCCCTCGCCGCGCCCACGCGTGCTGCCACCCTCCCGGCGCCCAAGCGGCGGCGCCACCCGCCCAGCCCCCTTCGCCCCGGGCCCGCCCTCGGCCCGGACCCATGCAGCTTGGGCCCGCATCATCGCTTGTTCGGTAACAAATGATTCTGATCCATTCTGAGATCTACAAAGGCTGTTACCCTGCAGGTCCATCTCACGTCCCCCAGGAGGCCGGGGAAACCCTGGGCTGCGGAGGGAGGGGAGGAGGTTTGAACGAGCCCGCTCTGGGGACCGGGCCGCCTACTCCGCGGGTAAAAATGGCTGTCTGGGAGGAGGCGGTGGCGGGCCCGGCGCCCGCGGTGCCAGCCCCGGGAGCAGCAACCTTCCGCCGAACTCGGGTGCGGGGCTCAAGAAAGTGCGGAGCTGGTGGGGCTGGGCGGGGTGGGGCGGGGGGTCGGCGGGTGCCCCTCGGCCAGTGACTGCTGCTGCCCTCCCGTTTTAAAAAGATAATTTTTACGTTGGGAATGCTGAATATTTCACAGACGCGTGGAAAAAGAGACGGAGGGAAGTTGCTTCTTTTTCCAAGGATATTTGCATAATTGGTTTTCCCCTGAACTTTTCTGATCATTCTTTAAAGTGATTAAGGATATCGGGTGTTGTAGAGACGCTCTGGGGGAGGTGTGTGTTTCTGATAAATGCTTGATGCCCTTTTCGTCGCTGAAAAAGGCTTTTTGCGAATGATCCGCTTTGATAGTGTGGGGTGACACTGTCGGGTTGTGCTGCCAGACTTAGCGGCCTTCTTCAAATTTGTAAGAGGGAAACCCTGGGGGATTTACTTGGTCACTCTGATTTGTTAGTGTCTTCAGCGTGAAAAAAAAAACAGCGTTTGTGCGAAGAGTTTCTGGGAAAGGCTTGTGTTTATCGGCTTCTTTTTGCAAGGGAAAGTTAATCTTTGTTGTCATTATACTGGTTAGAAGAGTAATTGGTTTTCAGGCAAAAATTTCTATTTTCTTAAATTGGGTGTAAATGCCAGCGGGCAGTGCGAGTCTATAGAATTTTGGAGACAGGCAGGAGAAGGTTTCTCAAATCGTGAAGTCATTAAATACCTTTGTTAATGTCGGAGGCAACTAATTATTTTTGGAAAGGCATTGATGAGGACATACGCCATATCTGATCTTCAAATAAGTTAACAGTTTGTATAGTTGAGGTGACAGCAGTGCATAACTAATAGACATAGTGCTTTTTTTTATACACAAGTCAGAATTACAAAAGAATTTCTGGTGAATTATTTTGTGAAACATACAAATTCTAAGAAACGCTTTTACAGTTTGGTACAGAATGGAAATTTTCTAATTCTTGAGAAATAAGGTTGTGTTTTTAGTTTAAATGTCAAACCAGAGTTGTTAGGCATGATTATACTGGCTGGTTAATGTTTTGCTGCAAGATTGTCTTCAGAGTTACTTTTCGCATCAGCAGTGGCACTATGTTAGGTGTGCCCTTGTATTTAATTTTCATAATCTTTTTTGATGAATATTATCCCAGTTTATAGTTGAGAAGTAACTTATTCACCGTTACAAAACAACTGAGCAAAGAGGGAGCTTAATTTGAACCTACGACTGTCTGATTGTAAAACTCTTGGTCAAAGGATGTTAGAACCAAAACAGAGGAGATTTCTAGTGTGCAGGGTTAGAAATATCTTCAGAGATCCTTCCCCCTACTCCCCTGAAGAGGTAGCTCCGTTCTGATCTGAGTTAGGTATTGACGTTTTCAAAGGTTAGGTAAACCACCAGATTTCAACCTTTCAGGTTTTCATAGTAGGGAAACTGAACTGCATAAAGGTTAGGCAGCTTAACTGCTAGTTAATGACAATAGCAGGATTATGTCTTTACTTCTGAGATAGTAGTTTTTACTTTGAATAGGTGGTGTACATTTATGTCCCGAGTTAAAATATGTGTGTGTGTGTGTGTGTGTGTGTGTATGTATATATATATATCAAACAGTACAAAAAGGTAGGCCTCACTTGCCCTGCATACCTACTTTCCAGAGGTAACCAGTATCACCAGTTTCATGTGTACGCCACAGGTATTTTAAGCTTATTCAAGAACTCGTAAATATATAGAGAAAGAGCATTCTTTTTTAAAACTCCAACTTTTTTGCACTTAACCTGGAGATTTTCCATGTTAGTACAAATGTTGTATTCTTGTTTAAAGTTGTACTGTACAATTGTCCCTTGATATTAAAGGGGAATTGGTTCCAGAACCAAAACCACGAATGCTCAAGTCGCTTATATGAAATAGTGTAGTATTTGCATATAACCTACTAACATCCCATATACTTCAAATCATCTCCATTTATGATATTACAATGTAAATGCTATGTTAATAGTTAATATAGTTGTTATAGTTTTTTATTAGTAGTATTTTTTATTATTGTGTTTTTTTGTCCCCCCCTCCAACAATTTTTGATCCTGGGTTGGTTTAGTCCATGGATGCAAGAAGCCATGGATAAGGAGGACCGACTATATTCCGTTGTTTGGGTTTATTAATTTTTCATATCACTTATTGATGGCCAAGTAGGTTATTTCGAATGTTCTGTTCTGCTCTGGCAAGGCAGCATAGTGTTGTAGTTAGAAGTGTGGATTCTGAAGTTCAAGTTCCACTTCCATTAAATACTAGTGACATTTACTTATCTTCATCTGTTTTCTCCATCTCTAAAATGGGCCAGTAATTTACTTCTGTAGGACAGTCATGAAGAGGTTGGATACATAAAACACGTAGTGCTTAGTAAGTTTTCTTAGGATTTTTTCGTGTTTGGTTTTTTGGTTTTGTCTTTAGTAATATGCATCTCCAAGTATATCTTTTGTATTGATTACTGAAAGTGCAAGTTCTGGCTAGAAAGTGTAAGTGAAATTTTTATAAAATGTTGTCATATTGTCCTTCAGAGAGGACAGTACCAATTTACACAACCGCAGTCCTGCCATGCTTTCTAATGAGTGAAATATTGGTAATGACTGATACTATCCTAGAAGCATGAGCCTCAGTTTGATTCTTTGAAACAGTCTTAAATTGCCATTTTTTGTATTCTTGAATATGTTCTAAAATAGCAATCTTTCTGCTGTTTCACATCAGACTTTAATTTTTTAGGGTCAATTGAAAAAAACTGCTTGCCGCTTTAGAAAAAAATGATTCTCAAATCATGAAATGCTAAGTTGTGCTCTGGTATCAAATGCAGATTTTCTGCACAGGGTTTTCATAAAGGATTTAGCAGAATATAGAATCTTCAAAATCTAAACAGATTAATCGACTTTTTTAAAGATTGGATGAAGTTTGGTATTATCAAGGAAAAAAAAATAGGCTTAAAAGGCAATTATAATTACACTTTCTCCTTATTCAGATATACACCAGGAGTCGATCCACCACTGCTCCTTTGGCTTCCTTTAGTTATTAGAGTGATTTCCTCTTGCTAATTGTTTCCCACATTAATTTTAGCATCACTCTGCCTTCCTTAGCCCCATCCTATGCCAAACAGGCTTCTGTTTAGGAATCTCTGCCTCTGCATAGCTGGGATATTTTAGGCACGGTGCTCTGACCAGCAGCTGAAGTGCTGGCCAGGAGCTACTGACACCTGTTGAAAAATGCCAGTAGTTTTAATTTTTAAAACGTCTAAAATTTTTTACATATGCCAATTATGAGATCACTTGGTGGATCTTACTTACTTATTCATTAAGCACATATTTAGTAATTGTCATGCCACAGATAGTATTCTAGAAGCTTAATATTAAGGAGTTTTTTGTTTAGGATACAGTTGCTTGCTTCCATAGTGGAACTTGGGGCTTGTCCTGTACAACAGCGATTATATTTCTCAGAACATGCTGCTATGTTGGATTTCTGTAAAGTTCTCTAGATTTTATTTATAACATAGTAGGAGCAGCTTAAGTTTTGTGATAACATTTTAAGGCTTGAAGTAGGCACTGATTTGAAACATAGGAGGCTCTCTTCCGGTATGGGAAGCATGTTTTAATCTATAAAATAACAAATGGCAAATAAAGCACCTTTGAGGTGTTATTTAATGCTCGTACCTTAAGAATATTTTGTCTGAGTTCTTAGTATAGAATATAGTATTTCTTCATTCTTTAATTTCTTTTTTTTAAAAAATAAACACGGGGTCTTGCTATATTGACCAGGGTGGTCTGGAACTCCTGCCCTCAAGCATTCCTCTTACCTTGGCCTCCCAAAGGGCTGGGATGGCAGGCGTGAGCCACCACCGCTAGCCAATTTCTTCCTTCCTTAACTCCAAATTTGGGAGGAAGAGTTTACAACATTAGACAGTTGACAAAGCCTGGTTTTTTTTCTTTTGAGGAAAAGTTTTTTTAGTATGAATTAATAATCCTTTGGGAACATTAGATTCAGAGAATGAGAATTTCAAGACTCTTTACTCTTAAGTGATGGAAATGGAGATAAAGCAAACCTGACTGCAGTAGTCTTGCACCACAGCCCCCCACCCTCCAAAATATTTTTGACATGTAAGAAATCTGTTGCTTGTGATACGCGTAACTAAAATATATTTTCTCTACATCATGGGAAAGAATTGGCACATTTTTAATTGAAAGTACAGTAAGCAAAATTCTTTAAGATTTACAGACTGTGAAAAAATGAAAAATAATTACTCTGTATCTTTTAGAGAAAAGCTAATTCAAGAGATTTTAGTCCCACCTGCAGTGTAAGAGATCCAGCTTCTCTGTGTCTTTCAGCATTTGATGTTGCCACTATTTTTTAATTTAGCTCTTATATTAAGTGTGTGGTGATAATGTTTTTGGCCTTAATTTGTATTTCTCAAATGCCTAGGATAATTGAACATCTCATGTTCTTATTTGTCATCAGTAAACCTCTTCTGTGAAATTTCTCTTCTTTGGCTCACTTTTTTTTTTCTTTTTATACAGAGTCTTGCTGTGTCACCCAGGCTAGAATGCAGTGTCGCGATCTCAGCTCGCTGCAACCTCCACAGCCTGGGTTCAAGCAATCCTCCTGCCTCAGCCACCTGAGTAGCTGGGATTACGGGCACATGCCACCACACGTAGCAGTTTCTGTGTTTTTTAGTAGAGACAGGGTTTTGCCAAATTGTCCTGACTGGTCTTGAACTCCTGGCCTCAAGTGATCTGCCTGTCTTGGCCTGCCAAAGTGCTGGGTTTACAGGCATGAGCCAGCCTGCCTGGCCTCTTTTGCTTACTTTCTAATTGGAGTTTTTTTTTCTTCTTACCCCTGAAGTTTTAAGAATTCTTTACATATTCTATATCTGAGTTCTAGTCAGATGTGTGGTTTACAAATATTTTTTCCCCAGTCTATAGCTTGTCTTTGCATTTCTTTCGTAGAGCAAAAGTTTAATTTGATAAAGGCGAGTTTATTGAGCAAGAACTTTTCCTTCATGGGTTGTGTTTTTGATGTGTCAAAATTTTTACCAAGCTTTAGGTACTGAAGGTTCCCCTCTGCCATTTTTTAAAAGTTTTGTCTATTTTGAATTTTTATATAATGTGTGAGATTTAGGTGGAGGGTTTTTTCCTTGCCTTTTTTGTTTTGTGGGGGGTGTGTGCGTGCGTGCGTGCATGTTTTCTGGTCTTCAGATCGTATTTAATCACTCCAGCACCATTTGTTGAAAAATGTATCATTTCTCCATTAGATAGCTTTTGCATCTTTGTAAAAAAAAAAAAAAATTAGTTGAACTTAGTTGTGCGGGCTATTTCTGGGTTCTCAGTTCTGTTACATTGACTGTGTTTCCTCTGCTAATACCAATCTTGAGTATTATAGCTATATAGTAAGTCTTGAAATCAAATAGACTAATTTTTCTCACTATTTTTCAAAATAGTTTTAGCTTTTTTAGTTTATTTGCTTTTCTATATAAATTTGATAATCTTGCCTATAAATATAAAAAAACTCATTTTGATAATTGTATTAAAGATTCTTTAAAAACTAAACATATACTTAACAATACTTGTCAGCAGTCACATTCGGGACAGTTGTCCTAGAGAAATGAAAACTTAATGTTCACCAAAAGTCTGTACATGAATATTTATAGCAGGTTTATTTGTAATAGCCAAAAACTGGAAGCAACTAAATGTCCTTCTATAGGTGAATGTCCAAGCATATGGTGGTATATGAATCTCACGGAATGCTGTCCAACAGTAAAAGGGAATATACTATTGATAAACGTAACAACTTGGATCACAGAAGCATTGTGCTAGATCCAAAAAGCCATTTCAAGAAGTCACATACCATATGATTCATTTATATAATTTTCTCAAAACAACAAAATTAAGTCCAGTGTGGTGACTCAATGCCTGTAGTTCCAACTACTTGAGAGGCTGAGGGAGGAGGATTGCTTGAGCCTAGGAGTTCAAGGCTGCAGTGAGCTGTGATCACATCACTGCACTTCAGCCTGGGAGACAGAATGAGACCCCATCTCTTAAAAGAAAAAAAGTGACAAAATTAGAAATGTAGAACAGGTGGTGTTTGTCAAGACTTAGAAATGGCAGAGAGAGAGGGATGAATGTGATGAGTTTTGTAGTGATGGAATAGCTGTGTATCTTTTTGCAGTGGTGATTATACACATCTGCATATGTGACAAAATGGTATAAAAGTCTGTAGACACATTGAATCAATGTCAGTGCCCTGGTTTTGATACTATATTGTAGTTATTTAAGATGTCACCATTGGGAGAAACTAGGTTTAAAAAAGTACATGGGACCTGCTATCTATGACTCCCTGTGACTCTATTTCAAATTAAAATTTTATGTATTGTACATGCACTTGATTTTATTTCTGTAAAGCAAGGCATATATCATTTTCTAGTCGTGGACATTTTAGAAAAAAATCAGAACAATAGATTTGTTTTAAATCTGGAAATTCATTCTCTGAAGTAGATTTCTTTTAAATCCGTGAAAGAGGGGAATTAAATGATATAAAGGAAATATCCTGCAGTTAATGTACTCTTCTGAACTGGGGTTTTCAAGCGGCCTTTCTTAATACATTAGAGTGCTGAAGGAAAGTAGAATGTCAGTAACATATTTGTGATTCCAAGACTTTCAGTCATAAGATAAATCTGCTGTACCATTGTCCCTGATTTAATATTTAAATTATAAGTAGATAAATGCTTTGTAAGTTCTTAAGTTAAGAAAACTATATATATAATTCTTTACCTTTTTTGAACTTCGATTTTTCTAAACTACCCACCTGTAAAATGGGGCCAGCCCATCTGCTTAGCTTTGCTTGGTGGAATATGAAATGCTTAGTACAGTACTTTTCGTGTAGTAGCAATTTTACAGATAATTTATCCCAGAATCGCGATTTTTAATGGCATTCTAAAAATGGAAATTTCCACAGATTTTTATCTGTGCCTGAGTATCTTTCTTCATAGATTTTCTTTTCTTGCCATGAAAAATATATTCTCTAGCTCTTGGCCAGTAAACAGACTATTTCTACTGTCAATCAAGATAGAAATGAAACAAGGCATGAAAGCAATTTGACTCTTGTCCCTTTTACTTTCAGCTCTTAGTATTTTGGGGTCTATTTTTTTTTCCTCTCTCAAAATTAAAACAATAGATTTGTTTTAAATCTGTTGTTTTTAAAATACATATTAAACATTTACTCAAGCATTTTATAGTTTTCATATTAAAGAGAGAAGAAAAATTTTAAATTTCTTATGTCTTGATAAGTATTTAAATTGTCAGATGATGTTTACATTAACTTTTTTTTCCCCTCTTAGGTTTTCTTCTGTTTTCATAGCCAGCCAGAACAATGTTCTACGCACATTTTGTTCTCAGTAAAAGAGGGCCTCTGGCCAAAATTTGGCTAGCGGCCCATTGGGATAAGAAGCTAACCAAAGCCCATGTGTTCGAGTGTAATTTAGAGAGCAGCGTGGAGAGTATCATCTCACCAAAGGTATGTTTGATGTTGACATTTTTATTCACTTTGTTGATTGTTTATTGATATGTGAAATAGAACTTCTAAAACAGTTTTTTTAGGTAGGGGCATTGGAGTGCAAGGAAAATCCTTAGAAATGTTTCTTTATTATGTGAAGTCCTTATCACCTCTAGATAGACTTGATATGATTACAGATTAGATTTTAAAAAAAATCTCTAAGTGCATATATTTTGATTTGCCTATTTTTAATGGCAAATAAGCATCAGTCAGGGCAATGCCCAAATATTGTTTACTGATCTGTTCCTCAGAGGAGCTTTTATTTGAGACCCTGTCTCAAAAAAAAAAAAAACCGACGTGGAAGTGCTGTAAATGCGTATTACTTAGTATAATAAGCCAATCTAAAAAGGCTACATATTATATGATTGCAGCTATAGGACACTCTGGAAAAGCCAAAACTATACAAATGAGACAGTAAAAAGATGGTAGGTTGGGGAGAGAATGGAGGGTTGAGTAGGCAGAGCACAGACTATTCTTTTTAGAGCAGTAAAACTGTTTTGCATGATAGTATAATAGTTAAATGCCATTTACATTTGTACAAACTAATAAAATGTATAACACCACGTGTGAACCCTGATGTAAACTACGGACTTTTGGTAATGATGTGTTAATATAAGTTTATCGATTTTAATAAATGAAACACCGATGGGAGGTGTCAATTGTGGGGAAGATTATCTGTGTGTGAGGAAGGGGGTGTTTATAAGAAATCTGTGCCTTTTCGTAAGTTTTGCTCTATTTCCTGGATGCAGCCTTCTAACAATCATTGTGTTAGTTTTTATGTATATACACAAAGAAAACTTGTGTACATGTACACAGGAAAGCCTAGAAGGCATACCAAAAGATTATTACAGATTTCTGTAGATGGTAGGATTACAGGTTGTTTTATTTTCTTTTTAAAGACTAGCCATTTAGTAAACATTTCTTGTTAAATGTTTGTTCACGCCCTTAAGTGTTTCTTAAGATTTATTTTTAGGATTATAATTGATAGGCCAAGTGATGGACATGTTTTTGAGATTTGTGATATGCACTAACAGTTTGTTCTGGTGAGATCATACCAGTTTGCACTGCTGGTCAAATTGTATGAGAACATTGGTATTTTCAATTTTTTTTATAGGTATGCTTACTGGGATAAGTTAATGGAAAACGTAGAAATCGTACTCCTTTCTGGAAAGTATATGTGTGGCTAATCTTTAACATCCGTAAGCAAATATTGAGTGGCTTAAAAGGATAACAGATTTTTTTCATGATATGTACCGAGTACTTTGTGCCACTTTAGGGACACTACAAACGAGTATGAGACAATCTGATAATTGAACATATACACGAACAGCCACAAAGGAAAGCAGACAGTTCAGGAATAATGTAAAAGATTGTAATGTGTTTATGAGAGAAAGTGATTTCTCTTCAAATTTTTTAAACCATTTCTAACTGAGCTTTTATCTATTTGGTAACAGGATGTAAAGATATTTCCACAGAGTGAACGGGCCTGAAATTTCTAATGTTTGCTTTGGTGTGCAGTTCTTGTTGTGAAAATGTCAGTTTAGTTGTTTAGCATAAGTGTCACACGTGGCTCATTTGCAACTGCAAGCTTGCATACTTTTTCTCTTCTCTCTTCCACTCCCCCACTGGAAGAACCACTGGCCCTATTTGCAGAGCTTTCCCAGAATATGTAGCCTGGAATCTTTATTATATTTATGTTTACACTTTAACACACACTAGCTCAAAAACATATGCCATACCTCATTTTACCTACTCCTAGGCTAAACTCTGAACCAGACTAATCCAGAAAGAAAGCTTTTGCCCAAACACCACTTTTTGAAAGTTGCTAGTTCTAGATAAGATAATAGCAGAGGTTTTTTTTCCCTCCTTTGTTCTTAGGTGAAGGTTCAATCAATATTAATTTTAAATTTTATAACACCACATAAAAATAGATTCTGTTTTTCCATTAGGAGCAACATTTTACTTTGAATTTTTTTAAAATTAGGGATTCATTGTCTGATAAATTCTGAATTTGATCACAAATTTGGTATAATTTTGGATGTCTAAAAATGTATGGCCATATACATCATCATTTATGCTGTAAGTCACATAAAATGCTCATAAATACAGAACCTGAGAGTCATAAGTAGGGTCCTAGAGTGCTGTAGAAAATACACATAAAATTTAAAATACAACATTTTCTTTTACAAATAACAATATACTAATCATAATTTAAACATTAAGCAAATGTTTAAAAGCTTTTTTTGTTACCTTAGAACTTGTTGTGCTTTATGGCGTGGTTTGGGAAAGTATCTGGGGATGTTTGAGTTCATATTGCCTTGTTCTTTCAGTAAATTTTCCTTATGGCTAGAGGAATTTTGAATACTTGTGTTTAGATGGAGTCTTATCTCATTGTTTTATCAACTACTGCTTTTCCACATACTGTATCCCATGTTAATGTTGATCAAGATCTGCCTCGAAAAAAGGTTGGGAGTATATTTTCTGGTGAAAAAAAGCTATGGATACTATTGTTCTTTATCAATTAGTATGCTTTCCAAACTTTTTTTTTTAAATCGGTATGCTTTCCAATTAATGGAAACTTAGTTAAAAAGTAGCTTAAACAATAAGGGAAATAACAGGCTTAATTAACTAAAATTTTGGAAACAGGGAGATCTGAGATTGGTCCAGCAGCTTGATTATGTCATCCAAGAACTCTCCATCCTTAGTGTGTTAGCTTCCTGTCCTCATACTTTAGCATTGTGGTTTACAGGGTGACTGCATGAAGCACCAAGCAAGCCCTACCTATTCACAAAGCAGGAAAGAGGGAAGGAAGAGAGGCGTTGTTCTTTTGGGGGGGAAATCTTTCTCAGAAACTCTCTGGCATACTTCACCTATTACTCAATTGGCTGAACTGTGTTTCATGCCCACTGAAGAACAGGTATTAGCAGAGAGGAATGAGACATCTGTCAATGTGGGGGACATTTGCTTCTCAAACAAAATCAGAATTGACTTAGCAAGAAACAATGGCCCTGGATTGGCAACCAAAAGTGTTACGTGCTCCTTAATGTGCTAATGACACAATTCATGGAATGGTTTAGTGCTTGCTTCCTAGCTTCCTTCATGTTTGTGTTAATTCGTGAATTTCCAGTCACTCTGTCTTTTCAGGATATTCGATATTCAGGGAATTTATAGGTAAGGACAGAGAAATGTATGTGATTATAAGGCAACTTTAAAGGAAAAAGATAAAAAGAAGACTATGAATGGCACGAAATGCAGGTTTTGGAATATGATTAATGTTTTATTCATAGGTGAAAATGGCATTACGGACATCAGGACATCTCTTACTGGGAGTAGTTCGAATCTATCACAGGAAAGCCAAATACCTTCTTGCAGACTGTAATGAAGCATTCATTAAGATAAAGATGGCTTTTCGGCCAGGTATTGTTAAACTTGTTTGGTTTTTGTTGTTGTTGTTTACTTTGGAGTTTCTCATGTTTTTTGTGTTACTGTAGCTAAACACATTTTCTAAATCTACATGCTTTGTTTTAATTGAAATACGAGGAACCCTTCAAAGATAGAGCAAGGCTTGGGGAGGCAGTGCTTCAAGGGAGGAAACCTACTTGCGTCTGTTCTCCCTGTGAAGTAATGGAGCTCACCCCCATTTGTTCTTCCTTTGGAGCTGCCTTTTTAATACTTTTTTCAGCAGCTTACATAGACTTGAGTCATCAAGAGGTTAAAATGTTGGAAACTAATTGTTATGTGATGATTTTTTAAAATATAGCTCAGAAAAGACAATTTTAGGATTTTAAACTTTTTTTCCTAAGTAAATATTCTTCGTAGTTTTTTGTTATTTTGTTTTAGGTAATGATTGGTTATAAAACTGGAGTCTGCCAACCACACCACCATCTAAGAAGATAATTAATATTTAAATTCACATATCTTTCTATAATTTTTAAAAGCATTGATGAAATTTTTATTCTAATTAAAATAATGTGTATTTTATTAAGAAATGCCTTAAACAGTTTCTACTGAGGATACATTCTAGTACTTCAGTTTATGTCAGTATGTGAACAGTAAAATGTCTGAGATCTAAGATTTTATTTAAAAGTAAAATATTTAGAAAAAGACTACAATACTTAAATTAACATGTGACCAATAAGCACATTTTATCTAAATAACATGCTTTTTTTTGTCTTTCAAAGTAAGGCATATTTATTATAGACAACTTGAAAAATATAGGAAAAAGATAAAGAAAATTAAAATTGTGTAATTCTTTCTCCAAAATAACCAGCTCCTTTTAACATTTAAGGTACTCTTCTGCAGTTATTCTTTTTCCCCCTCATAAATATCATGTTTAATTAGGAAACTATTACTAGTTATTTGTTGATATGTCCGTTTAAACATTTATGAGCTTAATGCATAATTAGTGCTTTGACTTTTTCCTAAAGCAAGGAATACAATTTATGAGCATGGAAAAAGAGAAGTACTTGTGCTTCAAGGTATTTTGCATATGTTATCAACCTTTCTATGAGAATATAAACTTAGGAAGTTATACCTACTTATCTCCCTCTGATCCCTAGATAATTTATGGGTAGCTAGATATTTAAGCTTAGCATTTCTTTTCTAGGTGTGGTTGACCTGCCTGAGGAAAATCGGGAAGCAGCTTATAATGCCATTACTTTACCTGAAGAATTTCATGACTTTGATCAGCCACTGCCTGACTTAGAGTATGTGTCTTCTTTTAAAAAAAATTGTTGACTTGGTCTGCAATAAGCAGTAGTATTAGCTTCCAAATGTATAGTTTTCCTTGGAATGTTTTACATTAACAGCTAAAATGCATATATATATTTATATAGGATAGTATATAAATATGGAACATAAAACCTAGAAAGTTGTTCTTCTGTAAGAAAATCATGTGGATGTCAGCTTTAACACAGCTAAGATGTGAGAGTTTTGACAAGCTTAGGCCAAAGCTTACGTAAACTGAAACAGATACGCTTGTTATATAATGATAGCAGGGAATGTAAACTGTTGCTTCATGATATTTTTCAGAGTTATATATTAAAGTCAGCTACTGGATTGGCCAGGCTATACTCAGAGCCATAATTCTGTTCTGGTTTGTTTTTATTTTTGTTTTAAATGAACATACGAGATAACTTTTTATGAAGAGCAACAAAGGGTCATTGTCATGACACACATTTGAGAGGAGAGAGTTACACAGAGATGGCTGTTATAGCAGAGTACTGTAGTTATGTTTCCCTTTTCTCAAGCCCTTACGATCCAGCTATCATGCCATGATGTTGGAACGTGACTGTAGCTTTCCAAGTGACTTATTAGCATAACTGACAACCAAGAAACTCTACACCATTACAGATTTCTCTGCTTTTTGAAATGATCTGTGGCTTCTAATTAGAGTAAGTTATGACCTATTTTGTTACTGCATGTGTGTTGATTAGTTCTAGGCTCTATCTAGCTATTTTACTTTTTTCTCTCTTTTTGACATTTTATTTGAAAATTTTTTATTATGGAAATTTTTAAACATAGCTAATAACTAGAGAAATTAGGATTATGAACCTTATATGTCAGTTATTCAGCTTTTTAAGTTACAAGTATATTGCCAGTCTTATTACATCTGTTTCCCCAGCTTACCTCACAACCCCCACCAGATTATTTTAAATCAAGTAACAATAATCTTATTTCATCTGTAATAGTTCGATATTTGTCTCTTAGAGGTAAAGAATTTTTAAAGCCTCCATGACCCATCACACCTTTAAAAAAATTATCAGTTATTCCTTAATATAGACATACCTTGGAGATACTGTGGGTTTGGTTCCACCACAGTAAAGCAAGTTACACAAATTTTTGGGTTTCACAGTGCCTATAAAAGTTATGTTCACACTGTACTGTAGTCTATTAAGTGTGCAGTAATAGCATTATGTTTAAAAAAGCAGTGAGCTTATCTTAAAAATACTGCAAAAAAATGCTAGTGATCATCTGAGCCTTCAGCAAGTTGCAGTTTTTTTGCTGGTGGAGGATTTGCCTCCATGTTGATGGCTGCTGACTGATACAGGTGGTGGTTGCTGAAGTTTGAGGTAACTGCGGCAATTTCTTAAAATAAGACAACAGTGAAGTTTGCTGCATCAATTGACTCTTTCATGGGAGATTTCTTTGTAGCGTACAATGCTACCCGATAGCGTTTTACCCGCAGTAGAACTTCTTTCAAAATTAGAGCTAATCGTCTGAAACCCTACCACTGCTTTATCAACCAAGTTTATGGAATATTCTAAACCCTTTGTAGTTGTTTCAGCAATATTCACAGTATCTTCACTAGGAGTAGATTCCATCTCAAGAAACCACTTTCTTTGCTCATCCATAAGAAGTAACTCCTCATTTGTTAAAGTTTTATTCCAAGATTGCATCAATTTAGTTACACCTTCAGGCTCCACTTCTAATTCTAGTTCTCTTGCTTTTTCCACCATATCTGCAGTTACTGCCTCCACTGAAGTCTTGAACCCCTCAAAGTCATGCATCAGGGTTAATGTTAATTTCTTCCAAACTTTCTGTCTATACCACTGAAACTTTCTCCATATGAACAATAAGGTAGTTTTGTTTTCTTATTCATGTTCACTAGAGTAGCATTTTTCATTTCCTTCAAGAACTTTTCCTTTGCATTCAAAACTTGGCTGTTTGGTGCAAGAGGCCTAGCTTTTAGCCTAAATCAGCTTAGGCATGCCTTCTTCACCAAGCTTATTCATTTCTAGCTTTTGATTTAAAGTGAGATACATGTGACTCTTCATTTTACTTGAACAAATAGTAGCCATTGTAGGGTTATTAATTGGCCTTATTTCAATGTAGTTGTGTCTCAAGGAACAGGGAGGCCCAAGAAGAGGGAGAAACATTGCGGGGGTGGGGGAGGGCAGGAGCAGTCAGAACACACAGAACATTTCTTGATTAAGTTTGCCCATATTATTTGGGCATCCTTTGTGGCACTCCAAAATAATTAAAATACTAGCATCAAAGATCACTGGGCCAGGTATAGTGGTTCACACCTATGATCCCAGTGCTTTGGGAGGCTTAGGTGGGAGAATCACTTGAGGCCAGGGGTTTGAGACTAGCCTGGGCAATATAGTAAGATCCCGCCCCCCCATGTCTACTAAAAAATAAGGAAAAAAATTTTAAAGATCACTAATCAAGATCACCATAACAAATATAATAATGAAAAATTTTTAAATAGCATGAGAATTACCAAAATGTGACACAGAGGCATGAAGTAAGCTTGTGCTGTTGGAAAATGGCACCAACAGACTTGCTTAAGGCACTGTTACCACAAACCTTTGGTTTGTTAAAAACTCAGCATCTGCGAAACTCAGTAAAACAAAGTGCAGTAAAACAAGGTATGCCTATATGATAGCCAGTCAGCATTCAAATGTCCCCAGTTGACATGTCGGCTTTTTTTTTTTTTTTTTTCTCCCAGTTCGAGTTGAGGCTAAACAAAGTCTACAAACTGCATCTGGTTGATATAGCTTATGGGTCTCCTGAGAATCTATTACAGCTTTGCCGCCTCCTATTTTTTTTTTCCTTGCCATCTATTTTTTGTACAGACTTGGTCAGTTGTTTTGAGGTATTAATGTTCTGGATATGGCTGATAGTGTTTAGATTGGTGTTTAGCATTACATACTTTTTATTTTTTATTTAGTATTTTTAAACTATATGAGAGATTATTCTTTATTAGAGAAAGAAACTGAGTCTCAGGGAAGTCAGGGAACTTTAGAGTTTACACCGCCTGTAAGTTGCAGGGTCCTAATGAAAACCCATGCCTATCTAGCCCATGATTTCTAATTTTTTCCTCTGTACTTGATTTAGTGACTTCTGCATATTACATTGTATTTGCTGATTATTGATGCTTTTCAAATTTAAATACAAGTTAATTTCCAAATCACTTACATTCTTGGATTGTACTGGAATGTGTGAAAGTATTAAATATTAAGGCTTCTAAAACTTGGTGGGTTATACATATATATTTTTTTAATTTTTCTTATAGAGAGAATTGGGATTTGTTTTTCTTATACATAGACTTGAAACTAAAATGTATTTGACCTTCTTTTAAAGTGACATCGATGTGGCCCAGCAGTTCAGCTTGAATCAGAGTAGAGTGGAAGAGATAACCATGAGAGAAGAAGTTGGGAACATCAGTATTTTACAAGAAAATGATTTTGGTAAAAGAGAAACAAATTATTAGCCATTAATTATAATGTTATATTGTGTTGCTAATAGCAATTTCAAAAGAAAACCAGACTATAGACAGAAAGACTTAAAATTTCATGTAATGCATTTTCATCAAGAAAAGAATTTGGCTTTCTACCAGTAGATTAAGCATTATTTTCATACTTGGAGCTAATTGTTTACCTACTTCTCTCCCTATATGCAATCATAGAACCTATATATTGATTTCTGCGAGGAGTCCCAACATTGAAGTGGTGATCACGTTTAAACCAACCATTTTGGAACAGTTAGTTTCCCTGTTATACTTGCTATTCAAAAACAGGTATTCAAAACTAGTTAGCAAGGCATATTGTTTTTTAAGAGGCGGGGTCTCTGCTGTGTTATCCATGCTGGAGTGCCGTGGCTCTTCACAGGCTGGATTATAGCACACTACAGCCTCGAACTCTTGGATTCAAGTGATCCTCCCACTTCAGCCTCAAGTAGCTGGGACTACAGGCACATGCCACTGTGCCCAGAACCAGATTCTTTTCTTGATGAAACACATTATAACGGGAAAGTTTCAGCTGTGACTGTTAATGTAACTTAACATACATACATATTTAGAGTTTATCAAACATATTTTAGGATCATTTAAATCTAGATCTAAGTTTGAATTTGCTAGTCATGCCCCAGTGTTGTAACTGTGTGTAATTGAGTCATTTTAAAAAATTCAGATGCTAAAGAATTAAAGTTTAAACTAGATATTTTAACATTTGAAGTAAGACTTCAGTAAGCAAATGTGACATAATTAGAATAAATCATTAGCAGTTTTCTTTTATCACAGTGCTATTTCTAATCTTTCTAAACTAATGACAAATTAAAATTTGTTTAGGTGATTTTGGAATGGATGATCGTGAGATAATGAGAGAAGGCAGTGCTTTTGAGGATGACGACATGTTAGTAAGCACTACTACTTCTAACCTCCTATTAGAGTCTGAACAGAGCACCAGCAATCTGAATGAGAAAATTAACCATTTAGAATATGAAGATCAATATAAGGATGATAATTTTGGAGAAGGAAATGATGGTGGAATATTAGGTATGTGGGAATGATGGTTATTCCAGCATAAACAGAATTTCTTTATTAAGTTGTAAAGTTTTGGAAACAGTTGCTAATTCTGAGTCTTGAACAGCTTTTAGATATATATGAGTGAATTGTGATCAGTTGGTTCAATAGGACATTTCGGTAAAACTAGCCTCTTAAAATGTTGTAACAAAACCTAAATATGCTTATCTCAGAATGCTAAATTTTATTAGTACTTAAAACTGTTCTGTTTGTGTTTGATAGCTGTGTTAAGTAAAATATTTTTTAAAATAGATAAATAAACTAGAAAATACAAATGAAGAATGAGAATTTTTTTTTATATACCAAGTGTTTTATACTTTTATAAACTACCTGGAGGAGAAACAGATAAAAGTTGAGTATACGTTTAAATTTTATCCCTTTTAACATAATTTTGTTTTTCCATTGATTGGCTGTTGTGGTTTGGCATTTCTTTTTCAAATTATAACTAACTTACATTCCCTATTTCAGATGACAAACTTATTAGTAATAATGATGGCGGTATCTTTGATGATCCCCCTGCCCTCTCTGAGGCAGGGGTGATGTTGCCAGAGCAGCCTGCACATGACGATATGGATGAGGATGATAATGTATCAAGTAAGCATTTCATGTTCAGTGATTCTGGGGATGATTGTATGGCATCCAGAAAGATACTTACCATAGAAGATGACAAACTAAAAGTTGTAGTTTTTAGTGAATTATAAATATCTTTAAGTACAGTGCTTATGATTACTGGTTCTGATTCTATGTTTAATCTTGCACCCCTCCCCATTTTTTTGGCCAATTGGGTTCAAGTCTGGCGGGGCTTTCCCATTAACTAGAAAAATATTTTTTCTTAGTAATAACAGGATTTCTTTCCATTTCATGAAGAGATTTTTCTCCTCCCCATTTGTGGGATATATGTTATATACCAAAGCTTTTTGTGACTTTTTTTTTTTTTTTTTTTTTTTACAGTGGGTGGGCCTGATAGTCCTGATTCAGTGGATCCCGTTGAACCAATGCCAACCATGACTGATCAAACAACACTTGTTCCAAATGAGGAAGAAGCATTTGCATTGGAGCCTATTGATATAACTGGTAAGCATATGAACCTTTAGATTTATACAGCATACAACATAAGGTCCTATTTCTGGTTTTTGCCTGTCTACTGATCTGCTACTGTTGTATTAGATAACTAGGCTTCTTGCTTTTTTCTGTTTTTTTGGCCTGTCTACTGATCTGCTACTGTTGCTTTAGTTAACTAGCTTCTTGCTTTTATGTCACAGTCATCTGTCATAGAGTCTTTCTTCTATCCAATTATAATTTTGAGTATTTTGTAGAATGTCTGTGCAAGTTGCTGTGAAATACAAAAGTATAGAACAAGCTTTCTGATAATGCATATCTTAGTCTCCTGGGGTTCCCAGAAAGTTAGCAGCTTACTTGTGTAACAACTGGAAAACATTGGAAAGCTTTTTTCAATAAAGTACAATTCTAAATGCTGTGCAGTTGGTCTACGAGCTGGAAAAAACTAAAAGTATTCTTTTTAAAAAAAAAACAAAACTAGAGGCTGGTGTGGTGGCTCACACTTGTAATCCAGTACTTTGGGAGGCCCAAGCAGGAAAACCACTTGAGGCCAGGAGTTTGAGACCAGCTTGGGCAGTAAATATAGTAAGACCTGTCTCTTCAAGAAGAAATTTTTTTAAAAATTTTATGCACTCTTAGAATTTGCCTTTTTCCACACATT
The DNA here is from genome assembly GCF_000001405.40 of Homo sapiens. Classification (NCBI taxonomy): domain Eukaryota; kingdom Metazoa; phylum Chordata; class Mammalia; order Primates; family Hominidae; genus Homo; species Homo sapiens. Next base: position 116,855,519 of record NC_000008.11, on the reverse strand, counting down.
CTGAAAAAAGAAATTTTTTTAAATTTAAAAACTGGAAATGTCAAAATTTCTAGAATAATCTTTTTCTTGTAGTTTTTTTAAGTAACATTGCAAGACACATTATTTAATTTGAGGAAGGCTGCTTCTGAATGACAGACAATTTGAGATAATGGGGATATAAAACCTAACAATTTCTAGATGGTTTATGAGGACAGTAGGATAGAATACTTGAAATTGATTACAGTGTAATTTAGACATAGTTTTTACCTTTAAGTAGAGCAAGATTACCCTTTTGGGTTTCCCATTGATGAGGGAAATGGGCAATTAAGTAAAATATATACTGTATTAGATGGTGAGATTAGAGAGAGACTCTCACTGTGTAACATCTTTTTGTATTTTTTTTTTAAGTGTTGAACCAAAAACCTTTGGGGTATGTCTGACAGGGTGAAATCTTGAGGATTTTATTTAACCCCATGCGCTTTTCTGCATTTTAAAAAAGTGAGGCAATACAACCTACTTGTAAGTTGTAAGGATTAGAAATGACTCTTAAAATGTCTAGGATGGAGTTAACAGGTCTATCTGACTGGGCTTGGGCTTGTTTCATTCTATCAAGCAGCTTCCACAACTGCCATATGTGAATTACAACTTTTCTAATAAAAATAACAGTATTTACAATCATTAAAGAAAACTCAATCTGTGAGTTTGAGTGATGGGCCCTGTTTCAAATGAGAAAATGAGCCCAACTCTGAAGAGTGTGATATGTTCATTGTTTACAGTATAAAACTACATAGGCAAAAATGTGTTGGCCCTTGCGTCATTTTGCTTATTTTGTGCTAAAAGTCTATACATACTCATTCAGCAAATTTTTGTTGAATGCCCGTTGTGTTCCAGCCTCTCTTCTGAATGGTGGTTGGAAAACATGAGTTAAAACGTTCTATCCTCATGAAGTTTAACTTCTCTGCTAGAGTCTGTGTGTAGAAAAGCAGGGGAATATAGTCAGTCCAGATCTTGTAGCTGTGTGTTCCATGCTGGCCTCTCAGGAAAATGATCTTATTTTTTATTATCATTCCAGTTAAAGAAACAAAAGCCAAGAGGAAGAGGAAGCTAATTGTTGACAGTGTCAAAGAGTTGGATAGCAAGACAATTAGAGCCCAACTTAGTGATTATTCAGATATTGTTACTACTTTGGATCTGGCACCGCCCACCAAGAAATTGATGATGTGGAAAGAGACAGGAGGAGTAGAAAAACTGTTTTCTTTACCTGCTCAGCCTTTGTGGAATAACAGACTACTGAAGGTAATATAGTTTGCAGAATTTTTACTTCATATACATTTTGAGCATCTAAAAAAAAAAGATTCTAAAACCTTTGAATCATTTTTGATCAAGTATTTTGCAACTGTATGGCACATTTTCTTTTTTCTCCCTTAAATCACAGTGTACTGGGCATAACTTCATCTGAAATATATGGATAAGTGAGACCTGCATTTCTAAAAGATGTAAAATGAATTTTCCTTACATTAAAAAGCCACTGACGTGTTTAATAATACTTCTCTCTGTAATAAATTATTAGTTATATCGTCTTAGTGTGTTTTACATCTGAATTCTTGAAATGTTTTCTGAATGAAACATGAGTGGTTCTCCTTTTTCCACAGTAAAGAATTCTGGCTTCAGGAGGTTTTTTGTTGTTTTGTTTTTTTGTTTGTTTGTTTGTTTTTCCATTTATAGGCTCTTTTCTGCTCACATTCCACAGTATTCCAAAATAAGACTCACAGGTGTCTGGTGAATGAAGCAGTGCTGTTAGGCTACTATTCTGTCTGAAGTTGAGATATGCACAGAACCTATTGATTTTACCGTGTATTTAGAATATAGTAATATATTCTAAATCTAAAGTATCCCAGAGCAACAACATTGTGCTCTTTATTGTAAGCCCTATCATATAATTATTTTTAAGAAGGTCCTTAAACTATTTATTCTTTGACTCAGTAATTTCATTATTAGAAATTTTTCCTAAGGAAGTAATTCAAAGTGTGGAAAAGCTATCTCTGTGAAAATGTTGATTACATTGTTCTTTACAGTTTAAAAAGAGAGAAGCCTGAAATTTTAAAAGTAGAGGAATGGTTCAAAATGAAATATTATGTAGCCATTAAAAGTAGTTTAAATGAGACCAGAAGCAGTCGCTCATGCCTGTAATCCCAGCACTTTGGGAGGCTGAGGCGAGTGGATCACTTGAGGTCAGGAGTTTGAGACCAGCTTGGCTAACATGGTAAAATCCCGTCTGTACTAATAATATAAAAATTAGCCGTGTGTGGTGGTACACACCTGTAATCCCAGCTACTCAGGAGGCTGAGGCACAAGAATCACTTGAACCGGGGGCGCGGAGGTTGCAATGAGCTGAGATTGTGCCACTGCACTCCAGCCTGGGCGACAGAGTGAGACTCCATCTCAAAAAAAAAATAGTTTAAATGATAGCTAATAAGGTTACCATATGTAAGGGAAGAAAACACAATTTAAAGCTATTTTGTATGAGACCAGTTAGGATGAGTTTTAATTGATGAATATGAAAATAAACTGCAGGCAGATAAATAGAAAAGCCCTTAAGGTTGTGAGATAATGGATACAGTTTTTTTAGTTTATCTAAAATGTCTGCAGTTATAATTTGAAAACTCATTTAAAATCATTTTCAGATGGAATGAAATGTGAATATGATAAAAGCCATGCTAAATTATACACTTATATTTATTAGAACATACCTTTGGAAGATAGAAATCAGTGGTGACTTTTTAATTAGATTTATTTTATAATTGAAATTTTTCTTTTTTTTTTTTTTAATAGCTCTTTACACGCTGTCTTACACCGCTTGTACCAGAAGACCTTAGAAAAAGGAGGAAAGGAGGAGAGGCAGATAATTTGGATGAATTCCTCAAAGAATTTGAAAATCCAGAGGTTCCTAGAGAGGACCAGCAACAGCAGCATCAGCAGCGTGATGTTATCGGTTTGTTCTGTTGGAATAGTTCCTTGATGAAGTTCACATGAGTATTTGGCTTAAAATTTACCTTTATACTGTCAGAGTGAAAGAAATGAGGAATCAAAGATATACTCAAATGTTTGGGCAGGGAAATGCATTGGATCTGATTGCCTTATTTAAGTATGAAGCCTCCTGTCTTTCCAGAGTTTTAAGGTTCAGAACTGGCAGGGTAGATAGTCTGCTAAAGAATTGTCCTACATTGTACTGAGGGTAGGACTTGTCCTTTTAAGATCCCCTTTCCCCTTTACGTATATTGCTAAAAATTGAGTAAATCTTTATGGAGCTAAAATTTTATCTGGCCTTCTTCATTAAAGAAAGCATTATGTATGTCTTAGTGTACTAGTTTAAAAAATAAATGGTTCTATAATACTGTTCAAAACTGTATGACCTATGTTTTCTCTTCATATGACCAATTGCAGATGAGCCCATTATTGAAGAGCCAAGCCGCCTCCAGGAGTCAGTGATGGAGGCCAGCAGAACAAACATAGATGAGTCAGCTATGCCTCCACCACCACCTCAGGGAGTTAAGCGAAAAGCTGGACAAATTGACCCAGAGCCTGTGATGCCTGTAAGTAAGCAAATCTATCCATTAAGTCATTTGAAGGTATTCATACAGTCAGTAGCAAGTGGTATTTAGGGAGGCCTTTTAAAGTATCTTGGTTTTGACAGAAAATGGTAAGGAATGAGTCCAGAGGAAGAAGAGCAACAGGATATAGACAGTCCACTCGGAGTGAGAGAATATGTTCTGGGAGTCGGTGCAGTCTTTCCTGACTCTTTTTGAATAGTATTGCTTTAGAGTGCTCCAGAGTGAGCATCCTTGACTCTGAAGTTGGTTCTGATTTATTATTTGGCAAACATTCCTGCACACCTTCAGTACTAGGCAGTTTTAGGTCATCTTATTAAGTAATCAGAATAAACTTCAAATACCTGAGAAAATGTAAAGCAGTATCTGTCTGCTTCATTCAAACTTTGACTACCATTGAGTTCAGCTAGGATAGGAAAGCTAAGCAAGTATGAAGGAGGAAATAGTAGGGTTTGGTTTAGGGCTTTCCAATCTTAAGTCCATAGAATAAATGAATTTGTGCAAAGGGAGGCTTTTAGATAACCTTAGGCTTCTTGTTCAGCCTCCATCAAGAATACTCTGCCAATTTTAAGAACTAGTTTTCTGTGCCCTCTGGTGGTAAGAGTTGTCAATAAGAGCATTTTTCTGTATGAGCTCAGGAATAGGAACACAGTAATGAGTAGGTGACTTTCATAACCACCCTCCTTCTGGTAATTCTTTAGTTTCTTTTAAAGACTTTGGTTTTAATGTTCTTAACTCTTTCTGTAAAGCCTGAGAGAAGATATAGGAAGTGGACCCAGAAAAGCAATGTCCTCACTCCTATTATTTGCTGCCGTGAGACATTCAAGACTCTCAGAGAGAAAGCTTATGATTTATAAGTTACAATATAATAACCTTACAGAAGCTTTAGTAGTTAAAAAGCATTTGACTCCTAAAAAGTAAGTATGAAAATGAAACATGGTTTAGGATAAGCAGTCAGTTTCTTTTGTAAGCTACTTCAATGTAGTTTTATAAAAAATCAAAAAAGATATATACTGTAATAAATTTTTCCTTGTGGGGAAGTATAGAGATATAATCTCAGTATTTCTTTTTGACTAGAAAACTTCAGCCACTGTGTATTTTCATATTTAAAATAAGCTACTTTAAAAGCATATATCTTAAATTGTCTTATTTGTATTGCTTTAAGCCTCAGCAGGTAGAGCAGATGGAAATACCACCTGTAGAGCTTCCCCCAGAAGAACCTCCAAATATCTGTCAGCTAATACCAGAGTTAGAACTTCTGCCAGAAAAAGAGAAGGAGAAAGAGAAGGAAAAAGAAGATGATGAAGAGGAAGAGGTAAACTAATTAATAATTTTCATTCCAGATTTAGCAAAAACCTCCAACCAGCTTTATTTTTCATATTGGGGCTAACTTAATTGATGCTGAGCATCAGAGTTATTTAAAAATGTTAGAATATAAGCAAAATTTTACCATATTCTTCGTGGTATTGATCATCATTAGGAACATCAAATTTTATGCTTCGCTGTAACTCATTGGCTCTCTTGTGGGGTTTTGAAGGACATGGAATTGTCCTTACACTGATTTCTTGCTTGGCTTCTAAATTGCGTGTAGCTGCTTTTACTATCTTGTGGTCAGTGGACGATTCTTACTGCTGTTATTGTCTGCTTCTGATATAACCTTTTCTGTATCTGTGGTGGCCTGGAAATCAGATAACCATATGTTTTCCACTTGTCTGGGTTTTGTTTTTGTTTTTCTTTTACTTGGACCAGGGTAAAGCATAACTTTGCTAAAACACTTAGACTGAGTGAAGGCTTAAATGACTTTTTCTTTTTACAAAGTAAGAGGTGTTTTAGGAATCAATTTCTTTTTCCTGGGGCATGTTTACACTGTTGAAGGTCTTTTTTCTTCTTTTTCTTCCTAATTTCTGGATCATTGAGGTTGTTGTTTAAGACTTAGAATTTATTCTTCTGTTTGATACTCTATCGGATATGTTACTTAAACCTTTAAATTTAAAATAAGGTGTCCTTTAGGTAGCATTGAAGCTGTTTAAATTTCTTCAAGACCAAAAAAGGTTATGGATTGGATAAATTTTCAGTAGCATCTGTTCTTAATTCTAATAATAGTGCTTATCTTTAATATGAATATCTTATTTTAAAGCCAAAATTAGTTTCAGAGCCACTTCTACCTATGTGTGAGGATGTGCCATTATCTCAGACTTAGTTGTGAATGAGTATTAAAATAGTTGTGGTTTCTGTTATGGCTGGTATATAGTTTCACCATAGCCTGGGAACATCACAACTGCTGCCTTGCACCCACCTTGGACTTTAAAAAGTCATTTAGGCAGCATGTGGCTGAGAACTAGGTTGCTCAAGTGAAATATATAATAAGGAGTATAGCCCATTCATTTTAAAACACCATATAAATCAACTTAGGTAGTCTGCAGGCTCTTTGGTACTGCTCCACAATGAGATTAAGAGTCTGCCAGAACATTAGTCATCTAGAAAATCATGTTGCAATATTTATGTATGTATATTTAGTTGAAATAAACAGTATATTTAGTGGTACAGTTGATTTATATCCTGAAGTTCTTTAAGAGGGGCCAGTAACCAAAACCTCCATGATCAGCAGCAGTCCACAGACCACATAGTGTGTGTAGATAGCATCCTTATAGCGCAATATAGAAGCATACTTTCAGCCAAATGTTTGCTTGCACATAGAGGACTTTGCCTTGTAATTTAAGAAAAACAGACTCTTCAGTTTGTACTCTAAATGCTAAGTGATTGCTCAGCAGCATTAAGTACAGTTTTCTATTAGTTCAAAATACACAATCTCAAGGTAATTTAGGAGCTTTTAGGAGATGTAGAAATACTTCATTTTTCATTGGACTTGTTTTGTCAGCTTTTTGGGGGTCATTTTTATTCAGGATGAAGATGCATCAGGGGGCGATCAAGATCAGGAAGAAAGAAGATGGAACAAAAGGACTCAGCAGATGCTTCATGGTCTTCAGGTATTGCCGCTGTTGTCTCAGAGGAAAATGCTTCATCAAAGGCTTTTGCCATTGTTCCCTGAAAAAAAAAAAGTTAGATGCTGGAAACAGAAAGCATACCTTTGTCAAACTTTTTCCAAAACTACATTTTTATTTATTTATTTATTTTTTCTGGAGGGAGAGTTTTCTTTTCTTTTTTTTTTTTATTATAGTTTAAGTTTTAATTAAATACATAAACTGTTAGGCCAAGAGTAAGCCGGAAAAGCATGGAGGAGAATGCTTGTGGTTTTCCTGAAAAGCAGAACCATGGTGACATACCACACAACTCCTTTGTATGCCTGCACCTTCTTGTTTTTTGTTGAGTAAATTTAATGTGCTGAATCATTAAATTTATTGGGTCATTGTGTAGCATCAGACGTTACTTTTCCTTGTGCTTTAATGTCCTAGACATAGACAGGATATCTTGAATGTCTGCAAAATGCCAAGCAAGTTGCTCAAGGTTTCTTAAAATAGGACAGTTGACATGTGTTTATTAATTTTTTACTTTAAAAACTATAAGTGCTAGATTTTACTACTATATTACATTAGCTGTCTAAAGAAATTGGTTATTTTAATAATACATGTCAGAACAATTTTGCTGGTTTCTTGGACTTTCTTATTTGGATTTTAGATGTACCATAACATACTTTGGCCTTTTACCCTCTTGATTAACATGAGAATCACATACTATTTAAAAAAGTGCAATCTTTGTCCTAAGCAGAATATATAGTTTGTTTTTTCCAGTAACCAAAATTAGCATCTGTGTTAGTCTGTTTTGTGTTGCTCTAAAGGAATACCTGAGTCTGGGTAATTTATAAAGAAGTTTATTTGGCTCACAGTTCTGCAGACTATACAAGAAGCAAAGCACCAGCATCTGCTTCTGGTGAGGCCTCAGAAAGCTTATAGTCATGGTGGAAGGCAAAGGGGGAGCAGGTGTGTCACATGGCAAGAGAGGGCATGAGAGAGATGGCTAGGCGCTTTTAAACAAGCAGCTCTTGTGTTAACTAACGAGCAAGAATTCACTGATTGCCACAGGGAGTGATTGATAAGGGATCCACCACCACCCCCATCCCCACCCCATGACACAAACACCTCACTAGGCTCCATCTCTAACACTGGGAAATTACGTTTCAGCATGAGATTTGGAGGGGACAAATATTCAAACTGTATCAGCATCCTCACTGAATTACTACTTTATTATACAGATTAAGTTACCCTTTTTTGGTTTTATTTCAGCGTGCTCTTGCTAAAACTGGAGCTGAATCTATCAGTTTGCTTGAGTTATGTCGAAATACGAACAGAAAACAAGCTGCCGCAAAGTTCTACAGCTTCTTGGTTCTTAAAAAGCAGCAAGCTATTGAGCTGACACAGGAAGAACCGTACAGTGACATCATCGCAACACCTGGACCAAGGTTCCATATTATATAAGGAGCTAGAAGCATTATAGCTAGTGTTTGATTCACTAGTGCTTACAAATTGCCCCCATGTGTAGGGGACACAGAACCCTTTGAGAAAACTTAGATTTTTGTCTGTACAAAGTCTTTGCCTTTTTCCTTCTTCATTTTTTTCCAGTACATTAAATTTGTCAATTTCATCTTTGAGGGAAACTGATTAGATGGGTTGTGTTTGTGTTCTGATGGAGAAAACAGCACCCCAAGGACTCAGAAGATGATTTTAACAGTTCAGAACAGATGTGTGCAATATTGGTGCATGTAATAATGTTGAGTGGCAGTCAAAAGTCATGATTTTTATCTTAGTTCTTCATTACTGCATTGAAAAGGAAAACCTGTCTGAGAAAATGCCTGACAGTTTAATTTAAAACTATGGTGTAAGTCTTTGACAAGAAAAAAAAACAAACAAACACTTCTTTCCATCAGTAACACTGGCAATCTTCCTGTTAACCACTCTCCTTAGGGATGGTATCTGAAACAACAATGGTCACCCTCTTGAGATTCGTTTTAAGTGTAATTCCATAATGAGCAGAGGTGTACGCGAAATTGTGTTATGACTGATAGCCTTCAGCTACAAAAAGATAGGACTGACCTGGTTTAAAGTGTTCTATTTTGTAAATCATTCCATTTGAGTCTTTCTGATGAACTTGGCTATACTGAAATCTGTTATTTTAGTGAGGCTCCAAAATGAGCAAAGCTAGGCCTGATTAGAGTAGAGTGACTATTAAAAAACATAACTTTCTAGGAGCTATAAATCAAAGTTTTAAAAAGATGTTTGGATATATTTGAGTATTCCGATCATGAAAACAGAAATTGCCCTGCCTACTACAAGGACAGACTGATGGGAAATTATGCACCTGGTCAACTTAGCTTTTAAGCAGACGATGCTGTAAAAACTAACGGCTTCTCTGATATTTATTGTAAGTTTTAGTACTGATCTCCTTTTCCAGTGCTGCACACTCCTGGTTTGGAACTTTAATAGCGTTGCAACGAAATCCTATATCCAGTTTCCTGTAATTTAATTGAAGAAAAATACATCCAAATAAAGACTTTATTATTAACAGACCAGATAGCATCAGAAATCATGTGACTGTTATGATTATCAGAATGTCTTAACTTTTTAGGGCAAAGTTAACACTGAAAGTTCTAGCTTAAGTGTTGAAACTTTTGTGGGAAAAAAAAATCACTTTTGAAACTCAGACTTCAGTGTATACCCAATAATTTAAAATTATGTGAAATGTTTTAAATTTGTGAACTCGTAATTACTGTTTTAATGATTCAGTTTCTTCAGAGTGGTAATTGTATAAAATTGCTATTGCAGCTTTACATTCAATATGATGTGCCTGTAAACCAAGGAGTTTTCCCCGTTTGTAAAAAGACATTGTAGATAATTGAATGTTTGATTTTAGAAAGGTCATTAGTTTCTTGTTACACATTTTGTTAGTCTGGTTTTTGTTGCTTATCGGGTTTAATATTGTTCTTGAAAATAGTTGATGCTATGTTATGTATAACTTTTCTAATAAAAGTTGTGTTATAAGCTGTACTTTTTTGAGTATTCATTATTCAGTTGGTGGTGGTCCCCAAGGGAAAGTTGGCTGAAAAAGTTAATAGAGCCAAACACTTCGTTTGTTTGCCTTATCTAGAATAGTTATCCATACAAACCAAATGAATTTTTCAAAAGAAAGAGGTCTTAGACTAAAAAATGGAAGACAGACTAGCTTGTCTCCAACCTTCTTTGTTAACAGAACTAGGTGATCTGAAATTTTAATAAATATATAATTGTTATGTGTGAAGGTATTAAGATTAAAAATGAAACCAACAAATGGCTGGTACAGAGGAAGCTTTGGGGCATAAATATATCTCTGTAACTGCTAAGTACATACAAACTGACATGCTATGTGTGTACATCCTTGGTGCTCCAAACAAGCTAGGTGGGTAGGCAGGTGCTAGAAATATCCTAGGTCAATCTGAGAAGCCAAACTCAAAACCAGGACGTTCAGTAACCTGACATGTACCCACTTTTACATTCTAGCCTCTGACTAGGCCTGTTGCCCCTGCCCCCGCTCCGGCCCCCACTGTGAGCTTTAAAGCCCTGCGATTTTATGGTTTAAACCCTGATTTGAGTGTAAATTTGTTGCTGTTTTTAAAAGAAAAAAATCAGATTTTACTAAGCATCAATTATCCTGAAACCCAAAGCAGCTTGAATTTGGGGCTCACTGCCATAGATGCCTCTAGTAAAGAATTATGATTAATGTGAAAGTGCTGAGAGCCTAGAATACAGCATGCCACAGTACCTGGGGGAAGTTCAGAAATAAAAGATTCTCAGATGATAAAAAGCTTTTGCTAAAATTGAAAAGATGGCTTGGCATAGTGAGTAAAGTGAAATGATGTTTAGCTAGAGCAGAACCATGCGTGTTTGAATTCAAAGGCCTAGGTGTAGACAGTAGAATCCAGTCTCTTGACTGTCCTGAAACTTGGAGTTACCAGAGTGGTACAGTGGGAAGAGCAATGGGCCAGAGGCCTAGGCCCCAGGCTGTAATCTTAATTTGATTATAGAACCTGAAACTTCATAAGTGTCATTCTGTATCTGGGTCTAAAAGTGAAAGTCGAGTCCCACCGATTTCCAAGAGTTGTGAAAACCCTATGAGCTAATTAAAAGCAGTTTGAAAAGCAGCTAACATTTGTATGATGAAGATAACATTGGCTTTCATTCAGGCCGCTTAGGTGCACGCACTTGGGCAAGGTTTTAAACTTGGATTCTAATTCTAAAGTACGTCGTGAGGTGGACATCTCTACTTGGAGGAACTACATACACTTTAACTTAGTTTCTCTAAAACTGAATTAATTCTACTTTACTACTTTAGACCTTCCTAATGCTTCATCTTTGGTGAGTGGCTCCTTCACCTTCGATGTCCTCTCGACCTGGTGCTTCAGTGTTCTATATTTCAAATAACCATTCCTGTGCTCACACTATTGAAGACTTGCAGAGATGACTTCAACAGCTCCAGCTACTCAAAATTTAGACTGTTACCTCCAAATACATTAGAGTCAACTGGCAAGTCAGCAGAGGGACTTTTAAACAGGTAGGACAGGAAGGTTTTTATTTCAAGACCATGCCCTAGCAGCCATCTGCCCTGCTTTCTGTATTCCCCCAGCTGTCTTCCCAGCTGTGCTCTAGGTCATGTGTGCAAACGCTTAGTGGCCAGGCAGGTCATGGAAATGAGTGAAGCAGCCAGGTGACTAGCAGTGGAGGGTGAGGAGGAACAGTGCTGAACTGGATGAAACGGCAGGGGCTCCCTTTGAGCTGAGCACAGTGTCTGCTCAAATGTCACTAACTGCTGGTTCAGAAAAGGAGACAGAATATTGCCTCATTGCCTCAGGAAAGGCCAGAGGTCCAGATTCTTCTCACTCCTGATTTTAAAACGTGATAAATGATTCAAAACTGTTTCAATACCATGCGGGCCACCCATACCTTGGCAGACAGATCCAGCTCATAAACCTCAGGTTTGTGGCTTCTGTTGAGCTGACTTTGAGGACCACAAGGAAAGCAAGTTGTGCCACTTAAAGAAGCAAGGCTTTCTGGGCTCTTTCCTGTCACTGCTTCAAAGGCCACAGGCTGGCTGATTCCTCTTAAAGAATGCTGTCCAATTTTTTTAAGGCCCTATTTGATGTTCCATGCCCATAGGCAGTATCCTCACCTGACTTTATACTTCATGTGCGCCCTGCTAACTTTGTGTGACAGCTGTTGTATAACATTCCCAACCTAGTGGAAATGTCTTCTGAAAAGCAGGACTCGAAAAATGTAAACCTAAAGACAAAAGTCTAATTTCTTCATATCTTCCAAAGCCAAACAATGCAGGGATTCTCAGATGTTAGTTAGCTCAAGAGTCAGATGGAAGATTGTAAACCTGTAGGCTTGACATTTAGCCAGGGAATTCTCATACAATTCAAGAGAATGAAGCTCTCCAACTTGAGCAAACCGGTACACTGTTATTTCTAGAAGGCATCTGGCCAAAGGGGTTCTCAGGTCCTGTTCTAATTACCCCAGCTGTGACAGTCTCCTATTTGCTATGAAAATGAGTTAAGGGCACCAATGGGTGGCCAGTAATCATACCAGCAATGATCATCAAAACAGCAACACAGCTTCTCTAATTAATGGAGTGAGTTTGGTCCAGTGGTTGAGAACATGGGTTGGAATCCAAGAGAGGTGAGTTCAGGATTAGGTCTGCCTCTAACTAGGAACTGTGGTGACCATCTTAACTTCTTTAACTCTTGGTTCTCTCCTGAGGAAGCTCGTAAGGCTCCTGTGAGGATTAAATAACATAATGCAAGGAAAGCACACAGTGCCTGGCCAGTGGTCGCCGCTATATATTAGCTGTTTTTCAGGCCAAAATACTTACTGAATGCTTTGCTCTGAACAAGGAATGATACTACAACTAAGTGTACTGATGTGAACAAAACACAGAGTTGCTGTAAGTTTTGGTAAGTTTTTGGTAAGTTCAAGAAAGGACATCTCCAAAGAAGTAAACCTTCCTTCAATTCCCCTAGAGAAACTATTCCCCCATCTTCTCTATTTCCATGATATTTTATTCATAACTGATAAAACTTTTCACAATATGTCATACTTTACCTGTCTACTTCTCTTGACTAGCTGACTATGGATTTTTGGAAGACTTGTCTATAATTCCAGAACTACCTAATCCAGTGTGTGACTCTGAGTTAGGGTGCAATCAGTCTTACTGGCTTCAGCATGACCATCGTAAAGGATGAAAATAAAATAACTCCTATGAAGCCAATTTCTGTGAAAATTGGTTTTGAGAATAGAATATGAATTCTTAGAGTTTCTAAACATACAGTTCCTGTAAACTTTGGTAAGTGTGTGTTATTTTGCTTAGAAAACAAAGGGGCCGGGCACAGTGTCTCACGCCTGTAATCCCAGCACTTTGGGAGACGAAGGCTGGCGGGTTGCCTGAGGTCAGGAGTTTGAGATCAGCCTGGACAACATACTGAAACCCCATCTCTACTAAAAATACAAAAAAATTAGCCGGGCATGGTGGCACGTGCTTGTAATCCCAGCTACTTGGGAGGCCGAGGCAGGGGAACCGCTTGAACCCGGGAGGCGGAGGTTGCAGTCAGCCGAAATCACGCCACTGCACTCCAGCCGGGGTGACAGAGCTAGACTCCTTCCCCTCAAACCCCCTGCAAAAAAAAAAAAAAAAAAAAAAAAAACGGGAGAATAATTTATCTACCGCCTTCCATCTCCCACCAGTCAAAGATTTGCTCTTGGAACATTAGTTACCCATTTCTTCCAGGGCCACCAAGCTAACCCCTACCTCACCTATCAAAAGGCTCTTATGGGTATGTCCTTTTGAAATTGATTCAGAGCCCTGCTAGCCGACGTGGCTGGATCAGAACAAATGGCTAATGGCCCCGGATTCAGTTGCTACATTGACCAGTTTGGAAGCAAGCACCTCAGAGTTTAAATATGTGGTAAAATACAGGAGAATACTTGATTTGGGATTCCAAATCCCTACAATAATTCTTGGGTATGAAACCTTGCTTTCCAGAAAACAACAGTGTCATTTTCTTCATGCTGTTTGGGAGGTTATAGCAGCTGGTAAATTCTGAGTTTCTTTCCCCCAAGCCATCCAAAATTTGTTTAGATTGACTCTGCTGAAATAACAGAGACTGCCAGATTCCCTTGATTATAGGAGTTGTGTACGCAATGTCATCCTCTGCTCTACCAAGCCCCATGATCACAATGAGTGCTAAACAAGATAATGTATGCACATATACTTTGCAATCGGGAAAGCTCCATAAAGGTAGTTGCTATAATAACAAGGTAGCTTCCTTGGGAAGAAGAGTCCTCATATGAGATGAAGCTAACATTATGCCTTCATTTGAAAATCAATTTCAGCAAGGTAAGAGGATACAAGATAGTTCGGGTTGATTTCTTGGGGGAACCACTGCAAGTGTTACAAGCTTAAACTTCTCAGGGAATTTCAGCACTTAAGGCTTTTCTTGAAGGGACTCTGGGGCAGAAGCAGCTTTCCCCAAATTTCTTGAAACTTTGTCCCCGTTGATAGTCTCCATAAACATAACACTAAGGGATAAAATTAATGAAGAAAAGGGGGATTTCAACTCAACATTTATTGAACACCAGACACCATGCTAGGTGCTAATAGCATACAAAGACATAATCCTTGTGATTATACCTTGAAAGATTAGAAGGAAACAATGAGTGGCATTTAAACTACACCTTGAAGAATTAGTGGGATTTATTCAACAGGTGGCGTGCAAGGGACAGGAAGAAAGGGTGTTCCAGGAAGAAAGAATAGCACAGGCAAAGGCATGGAGGTAGAAAGGAATGGCACTGATTTGGAAGACCAAATGTAAGCAAGCAAAGCCAACGTAGCAGTCAGAGGACAGAAATCACTCTCAGGCTAAGCAGCTTGGCTAAATTTGCTACCAATTATTAGGCTCAAAGACCACCTTGACTTCAGATAGTCTGCTGTGCATTTGTATGTTTATAAGAAGTGTGGCCTCTCCTACAACAGCCTTTTTGGCTTTTAATCAGATCCTGTAGGTTTGTTTTCGTTCTCTCTCTTTTTTTTTTTTTTTAACCTCCACAAACCAAACAGAATAGAAAGTTGAAAAACATTTCCAGACAAGAGTGTGCTTGAGGAGTGGAACCATTTTTATAATTCCTTCTGGTTCCAGTTTTGTTTGCATATGAGCCTTACTGCCAGGAAACCTGAGTGGGCCCATCATGACTCTGGAGGCCACAGGGGTGTCTCACACTGACAGCCTGGGAGCATCAGGGGAACACTGAGCCCTGGAAAATCATGTAGGAGAAGAAAGAGCTGGAGGCTTCCAATGTCCTCAGACCCTTCCCTGGGTTGCTGACAGGGGCAGTCATGGCCAGGATTGGCAGAAGGGGTAGGACCAAAGGTAGAGGGGGGAAGGGCATACAGTTCAACAACAAGCTTTCCTGGAACAAGCTTTTCTTCTTCCTTGAGCAGAGTGTACAGCAGAATGCCTTCAGGATGGCTCAACAGGTTAAGAGCTTAGGCACAAATGGTTAAGAGCTTAGGCACAGTCACTTTTGCTCTTAGAAGAATTACATAGTGATAATAATGCTACAACTTATTTCCCACTTAATAATAATAATAATAATAATATACTTATTATGGCTAGAATTTGTGAAATACTTTCTATGAGCCAGCACAATGTTAATCATGTCACATGCATTCATCTTCCCAACATCTCTATGAGGTAAATCATACTATTATTATCATAACTTTATCAACAGATGTGGAAACTCAATATGGCCTAGACTATAATTGTCATTGAAGATTCCATTTGTTCCTCTATATTTCGCAGCTCAGCTAAAGTTAGGCGAGGTCACATGACAAGTTCTGGCCAATGGGCTCTGAGAAGAAGTGAAGCACAGCTCTGAATTAAGGCAGTGAAAGCCCATGTGCACGTCTCCTCCATCTCTTCCTTTCCTGGACCCCTGGTGGTTAAGGAGGGTAGAAATGCCACAGAAACTACTAGGTGATGGAACCTCCATCAGGCTGGGTCCCTGAGTGACCAGAGGGAACAGAGCCTTTTCGCAGACCTGGAATAGATACACACGAGGACCAAGAGATAAGCCTTTGTTGTGTGAAGCCACTGAGAGGTCATTGTTAATTTATTATTGCTACGTAACCTAGTGTATCCAGGTAATACACTGAGGCCTCAAGAAGTTTAGTAACTATAGATTGAGTTAAGTGATTATGCTGGAACTAGAACCGCAATTTCCTGGTTCCCAGACAAGTCTTTTTTTCTACTACACAAATCCGAATCTGTGATAAGGGCCATAGCTTCCATTGCACCATCCACTCTGGTGTGTAGGAATGACTTCGGAACCTATCCATGAAAGACCCAACACATTTGGGATGACTCTTCATGGCAGCTAATCTATGAGCTCTGACAGGGAAGGCTGGTTAGAGGCAGATGTGCAGACTGAATTTCAAAGTAGACCCTGCTTGTGACAAAGCTTAACTGTCACTAAAGCTATTTTACAAGCACAGTGGTCGCCAAATAGCCTCACAAAGTAACAGAAATTTACCATGGTTCAGACCCTAAGGCTTGCCCAATTTGCTTTTTTTTTTTTTTTTTCCTTCAGACAGGGTCTCACTCTGTCATCCAGGCTATAGCGCAGTGGTGCAATCATGGCTCACTGTAGCCTCAACTTCCTGGGCTCAAGCAAATCTCCCATCTCAGCAGCCCAAAGTGCTGAGATTACAGGCGTGAGCCACTGCACCAGCCTGGGGCTTACCCAATTGGCTAAGGAAACTCCAAGCAGATTCTTTGCTCTGAATGCTCCAACTTGGAGTATCCAGATCATAGGAGACTTAAATCAGAAATCCAATTTATTGACTGGGACTGGAGATCAGTGATATCCAAGACACCATTCCTGCCCTATCACAGTGTCTTAGGAGACACAGATGAATAAGAATGCAATTGAAACAATTTTATAGATGCCGGATTGGGCTATGCAGCAGGTATTAGGGACTCGGATTGGGGAGTCAGGAAACATTTCTGGACGAAGTGACAAATACTGAGCCTTGAAGGATGCCCAAGAGTTAGGAAAGGAGAGTGGCAAGCAGAGTTCTGGTTTAAAGGGACAGTATGGGTGATGGTTCAGGGGGTGAACAAGCTTGCTGAGCTGTTTCCCTCCACAGAGTGCAGAAAAATAGGGCCTTTCTGGAAGCAAGAGAAAGGCTGTCTATTACCTGGGCTTCTAGGTGAGTAGCCAGGAAGGGGAGAAACGGCTTGAGATTCTGTTTGCTCTCAATCTTTGTCCATCCCAAAATGCAGAACACTAAGTCTAGTGGCCTGGGACACATTTTAGTTTGTCTTTTGATCCTTGACAGTATTTAAGACATGTTGAGGGTGGGCACAACGGCTCATACCTGTAAATCACAGCACTTTGGGAGGCTGAGGCGGGAGGGTCACTTGAGCCCAGAAGTTCAAGACCAGCCCGGAAAACATAGTGGGATCCCTTCTCTACAAAAAAAAAAAAAAAAAAAAAAAAAAAAAAAAAAAAAAAAAAAAAAGGCCAGGCCAGGTGGCACACGCCTGTGTCCCAGCTACTTGGAAGGCTGAGGTAGGAGAATTGCTTGAGCCAGGGAGTTTAAGGCTGCAGTGAGCCATAATGATGCCAATGCACTCCAGCCTGGAAGACAGAGCAAGACTCTGTCTCTAAAACATAAATGAATAAATTCAAGTTATTAATTTACAATAAGAAATATAGTTGTCACATGGCTCACAATGATTTTGTTGGCCTGACTAATCAGCACATTCTCACAGTTAATGCAATTGATCACTAGTTCATCCCCGAGACTAATTCTTGACCTGGCTTCTGCAATATCTCACTCTTAATCTCTTTGATGTTTGTTTTTCCTGCTTCACTGGAAGCTTATTCTTAAATTCCTTCTTAAATTCCTTTGTTGATTCCTCTTCATCTCCCAGTTCTTAATACTGAAATACCCCAAGGCTTAGTCCATGACTTCTCTTTTCCGTCTTTACATTCCCATAGTAATTTCTTCCACTCTCAGGACTTTAAATACCATCTACATGCTGATGACTTTTAACTTGATGTTTCCCTCCAGCTGTGACTTTTCTCTTGAACTCTTGGCTGACTGATTGATATCTTCCCTGGGATATCTAACAGACATCTCAAATTTACCATCTCCAGAGCTGACCTCCTCATCTTCACCCACAAATGAGCTCTTCTGCTCCTTCACCATCATAATTAGTCGAACTGTCCTATCAGTTGCTCAGACCCACAACCTTGGAATAGCCCTTGACTCATCAGTTTCTCTCACACGCACCACTTCATGCCCTCCGACAAATCCCACTGCTCTAGCTTCAAAAAATAGCTAGAACTTGACCACTTTTTACCACCTTTATTGCTACTATCCAAGTTCAAATCACCATCCTCTCTTTCCCTAGATCATTGCAGCAGCCTCCCAACTGGGGTTCCTTTCCATTAGCATACTCCCCTCCCTCAAACTCTTCCCAACACAGAAGTCAGAGTGATTATGTTTGTCAGATCACGTCATCCCTCTGTTCAAAACCTCCCGATGGCTTCCCATCTCTCGGAGTAAACGACAGTCATTACAATGGACAATAAGGTCCCATGCAACTTCTGTAGGTCCTGGTTCCTATAGTAATTCCTTTTCCCCCTGCCCCATGCCATTATCTCTCTGATCGCATTTTCTACCACTATCCCCCCTGCTCACTCCACTCCTTGTTATGTCTAGAACAAGCCTCCTTGTTATGTCTAGAACAAGCCAAACCCATCCCACTTCAACATATTTCTACTGGCTACTTCCTTTGCCCAGAACGGTCTTCCCTCAGATGGCTACATGGCTCATTTCCTCGCCTTCTTCAAGTCTTTGTTTAAATTGATCTTCTCAAAGAGGGTTTGCCTGACCAACATAACAAAAATGGAAACACCCCTAGCAATTCCAATACCTCTCCTCTGCTTTAGTTTTCTCCATGGCCCACAATTAAAGTACTATGTAGTGTGTGTGCGTGCGTGTGTGTGTGTGTGTGTGTGCATGTGTGTGTGCGTGCCCGTACATGCATGGATCTCCGTTAGAATAAATGATAAATGTAAACTTCATGAGGGCTGGGGGTTTTGTTTTATTAATTCACCCCTGTATCTTCAAGACCTAAACAAAAATCCCTAAAGCATAGAAGATTTTTGATACCTGTTTTAGATAAATAATTATTCTACAGCTTATACATATAGCAAACTATGTGTAGAATATTGCCTGGTGAGCATGGATTTGAACAGGGACAGTATCTGATGAGCTAAATATTTTAATGGCATCATTTTAGAATGCAGATGTACCTGTCATAGTGACCAAAGTATTCCAGTCTGTTTGGCCACTGATTTTCCACTGCCAATGTTATCTTTCAGGAATGAAGTAATTCCCCTGAAAAATTGATCTATTTGTTTTCTTCAAACATATTGTTATCATCAACCTGGTGATAGTTGAAGCTTACTTTGGTTAAGGAACCATTCTCTATCTTCTGTAGAGTTACATTGTGTCCATTATGTGCTGATTGTTAATTTGACTCTCAAAGAACAGCTCCATTTGAAGTCCCCTGTTCCCAAGTTCTTGAGAGCACTGCCCCTTTATGGGGAGTTCATTCTCACATTTTTCTCCTAGGTTCTGTTCAGCTGAATTAAGTTCTTCCTTACCACAACATCTGGCAAAGATGGCAATGGGTGTTTAGGTAGGTGAGCACGCACTCTTGTGTAGCATCATTTTATCTTTGGCATCAAATAGATGCTTGTACAAATTTCAACCAGCAGGGGATCCTGTAGTCTGATTGTCCTTTTCTATCCCTGTATGCTTTCCTAAGATGTGGGGTAAAACTTCATGATCAATGATGATGGGAGAAACCCTCTCATTGTCTCACACACACAGGATTACGCTAACCAATTATAGATTGGTTTCTACCTTCAGCACTAATTGATACTACTGGTCAATTCCTTCACCAGTGCCTGTACTTTTAATGATTAATTTAAAAGACTCTCCCCAAATCTGCTCACACTCCCTCCCTCGGCCTCCTTAAATTTAGCAGACAACTTGCTACGTGCTTTAAGGAAACATTCAGGCACTCACTCTTGTATTTGTGGTCAGCTGGTGGTCCATAGTCTCCCTCACGTGTCTGGTATTCGGTGGCTGTGTTCAAGGACGATGGACATAACTAGACAATGTGCCACATACAATCTAGCAGGCTAACCCAGGCTTAAGAGGGTTTTCAAGAGCAGCAAGTGAGAACAAGCCCCAATGCACAAACGTGGTTCAAAGCTCAGCTTTTTATCATGTTTGTTATTGTCCAAATAGCCTAAATAGCCAAAGCAAATCAATTTTTTTTTTTGAGATGGAGTCTCGCTCTGTTGCCCAGGCTGGAGGGCAGTGGCAAGATCTTGGCTCGCTGCAACCTCCGCCTCCCAGGTTCAAGTGATTCTCCTGCCTCAGCCTCCTGAGTAGCTGGGATTACAGGCGCGTACCACCACGCCCGGCTAATTTTTATATCTTTAGTAGAGCCATGTTGGCCAGGCTGGTCTCAAACTCCTGACCTCAAGTGATCTGCCCACCTGAGCCTCCTAAAGTGCTGGGATTACATGTGTGGGCCACCGTACCTGACCACAAATCAAATTTCTAAGCCCAGACTCAGTATGAGAGGGTGGTACTCAAGCAGTGTGGATTCGGGGAAGGGGATTATTATTGTGGACATTTGAAAAAATAATCTAACATGATGTTGTTGTTGTTGTTTTAAACTATTTGGGAGCCCTCTGTACTATAATTCTCCTGAAAGCAATTTTTAAAATTTGAATAATTCAGGGTAACACCAGAAAAAAAAAAAAAAAAACTTCTTCCCTGTACACTGTTGCAGGAAAACAAATTATTTGAAAATGCATTGTTTTAATTCTGCAGGGTTTATGCATTGTTTTTTGTCTCCCTAGCATCCTTTCCTTTGAAGAACCACTTGTCTCCATACAGTGATTCTAGTGAGGTTGTCAGTCACGGTGCTTTATCCTAATCCTTTCCATCCCACCTCCTGACTCGGGTCTGGCTAAGCCTCAGAGGCTGGTCGAGGAAGAGAACACATGACCAGGCAGAACCAATCACATGCTTTCCCTGGGAGTGATAGGTTGGGGTGGGGTAGAGGGAACCCTCTGTCTGCTGGAGGGTATGAATCTGGAGCTAAAAGTCAGCCGCCATATTTCCCAGCATATAGAGAAATCCTGTCTGCAGAGTGGAACAAATCAGCAAAACAGGGAGGAGAAATTGGAGGCAGTGACCCAGGGGCATTGAATTCTGGTTCTGGTTTAAGAGGTCCTGGTTCCTACAGTAATTCCTTCCATTCTGCTTTACCAAAATACCCTTTTCTGATGAGTGACCCAACACACTCCCTTCTCCCTAAGCCAGCTTGAGCTGAGTTTTCATCACGTGCAGCCAAGAGCCCTGACTGATTTGAAACCCTGTAATAGCTATTAAATCAGCTCATCCTCTCATTCCAACCCAATCACCGTCTTCAGCCGTCAGCTCCTGAATGCTTTAAAACTTCACTAGAGAAAGTGCTGTCATGAAGGGGGCATGGAGGGCAAGGAAAAGCAGCCTGAAGGAAATGAATGGACCATTGGGATAAGGAAACAGACAGGATGAAAAATTACCTCTCAGACAGCACAGAGGGGAGACAGATAAATGGGAGACTTTTGGCAGCCAAGAAAGTAAATGAAAGGATAAGAAAGATGACATGGAATGCTAAGAACAGTATTACCTGAAACACTCACAGAAGTAAGAGCTCGGAACAATGGCTCTGGGGTTGTCAGTGGTTGTTTTTTGGGAAAAAAAATACACTTAGGATGGTCATGAAAAAGAAAAGAGAAAGAGCAATGAGTGAGCCACCCCACTGCACATTGAAATGAAAAATGGGTTGTGAAGAGAATTACTTCTTGAAGGAAGCACAGCCCTGTTACTTTTAAATTTTGGTATTCTATCAAAATTCCATTAAAATGATATAGGCTTATCCTCACATACAGAAGCCAGATTATGTGCAGCTTTCCCAAAGGATCATATTGTAACGTGTGATCTAGGGTAGTTATGTTCCAACATTCTGTTCCTTTGGCATAAAACTAAATCCTTTTCAGCTCCCTACCTTGTTTTCTCATACCACCTTAACGCTTTTTTTCCCTGCAACTTTTACATTTGTTTGCCAGGGTCTCCCAAGGTCTCCCAAGATCTCAACACCCTCACATTCATCCCCCAAGGGCCACCCCAGGTTTTTCAAAAGTAACACTCTTGGTCTCACCCAGAAACCATTTCTATAATGATGCACACATAATGTAAGTATTCCACTGAACTATGTTCAGGAATTGGCCTAGCATCTGTGTGGTTTGTTTGCAGTCCTTTGATTGGAGATGAAAGGGCTCCTGAGAGGCTAAAGGAAGGATGACTCACGGTAGCTGTCAACAGTATCTGACCCGCTCTAAGTACAGAATCTCTGCTATGCTACTGGATTTAATTGAGCATCCAATAACATTATATATGTGGAAATGCTTTAAAAAGTAACTTCGAAATGTACTGATAATTTTAATTATATTTTCGTATTTCCTACCTTTATCCCTTCACTCAATTCACTCAGACTATGGTCTGTTTCTGAGTTATATGGAAATGTTGCTTGACTTGTGACCCACTAGATTTATGATGTGATGACCCTGTCTCACCTGTCCTCAAGAGGTAAATCCTGACATTGTGGAGATGTGTCCAGCTCCCCTGCCTCAGAGCAGCAGCCTCCCTGTGGCTGTTCCTGGAGGTGCCCTGGCATCCAGAGCTTAGCCCTTCCTGTTCCACCCTCCACCCGCCCTGTGCACCCTACCCACGCACTGACTGGCTCCAGCCTCTGGAGACCTGTTCTGGACAGGATATTTATCAAATAAAGTAGAGAAATTAATATTAAGAAATGTTATTAGGGCCAGGCACAGTGGCTAACATCTGTCATCCCAGCACTCTGGAAAGCCGAGGCAGGAGGATCACTTGAGGTAAGGAGTTTGAGACCAGCCTGGCCAATATGGTGAAAAGTCTACAAATAATATAAAAATTAGCCAGGCATGGTGGTGCATGCCTGTAGTCTCAGCTACTCAGGAGGCTGAAGCAGAAGAATCGCTTGAACCCAGGAGGCAGAGGTTGCAGTGAGGCGAGATTGTGCCACTGCACTCCAGCCTGGGCAATGGTGCGAGACTCTGTCTCAACAACAACAACAACAACAACAAAATAGAAAAGAAAAGAAGGGTTATTAGAACCAAAGGCAGAATGGAGGCCAGCATAGGACCAAAGGGAAAGACAAAACAGAGCCCTGAGAAACAGCGGTCCCATAGGTTTGAGAATCAGAAGATGAGATTCAAATTTTAAACTTCACCACTTACATACTCTGTGCCATGTAGCTGCCCAATAAATAGTAAGCAGTTACTTTCAGAGCTTCAATTCCAACTCCTTATATGTAAAATATGGAAGCAAATACTTACTGCAGAGGGTTGTTGTAAAGAGTGAATAAGATAATGTATAAAAAGTGAAGAGAGGAGTTCTTGCCACAGAATTAGTGATCAATAAAAGGTATCTACAACTACTACTACCATTATTATTGTTCTAAAAAGCCTGAAAGAAAACACGTCTCTGATTCCCTTAAATAGTTGGCCCAGACAACAGGGTATTCAACATTATAACAAATTTGTTTTTGGTGTAAGAAAACTGGTAGCAAATAAATTACAAGAAAGTGCCAATTTTTCATTTTTGCCTTAAGGTATATGTGTTTATATCCAACCTAGGCCATCCTGATTTGGTTTAAAAAAAAATTCTCAGAGAAAAAGTCCAGTTCTATGAAATGAAGTCCATATTGGAAGAATCATGTTTAGGACTTAGGAAACCAGTGTTCAAGCCCTGATTTAGTCTCTGTTTCTTCTTACACTTTTATTAATATTTTTCATATTTAGAAGCTGGAGACAGGGAAGGGAAGTAACTTCTCAGAAATGCTGAATGATTTTAGGTCTCTGTCTTAGTCCATCTGGTGCTACTCTAACAGAATACCACAGACTGGGTAATTTACAAAGAAGAGAAATTTATTTATCTCAGTTCCGGAGGCTGGGAAGTCCAAGATCCAGGCACTGGAAGGTTCAATCTTGGGTTTCAAGAAGGACTCTTGTTGCTGTCATCCTCTGGAAGGGAAATATACTGTGTCCTCACATGGCATGGGGTAGAAGGGGTCAAACTCACTCTCAGAAGCCCTTTTATAATTGGCATTAATCCATTCATGAGAGCAGAGCCCTCATGACCTAAACACCTCCCATTAGGCCCCTCCCAACACCACTGCATTAAGGATTGTTTCCAACACATGAATTTTGGAAAACACATTCAAACCACAGCAGTTCCTTTCAGCGTGAATCAGGATATTGTTCTGTGATTAGCCAAGGGGTGGGAATCGGCGCTGATGTGATCTCCTGATGCCTTTTTTGTTGGTGACCTTATAGGCCAAACCAGTGACTCAACTGATGTTCCATGTATTACAAACTCCAAATGGGTTGTTTCCACCTGGCTGCCTTCAGCTAACCATCAGTTTCTGGCGTACTTGGGTTTCCTAGCACAGGGTTGTTAAAAGAGCCTCAGAGAAAGTGGCATCTCTTTTCCATCAGAGTATATCCCAAAAAAAGGGATCATAAGAGTTAAATCAGTGGTTTCCCAATAAGAATAATCTGGGGAGTTTTAAAAATTACAGATTCCTAGGGCCCACTCCTGCAGATTCTGATTCAATGGGTCTGTTGTGTAGCCCAGAGATCTGTATTTTTTCAAAGCTTCCCAAATGATTACAATGGACCCAGGCAATTCAGTCTAAAAATAAACAAAAAGTTATCTAGGTTCATATTTTATTTCTCCACTTTTGAGATGGAAGTGAGTTTCAGAACTATTTTCCTTCCTTTTTTAAATCCACTATATGAAAAACAACAGCACAAAGACAATAATAAATGTCTTCGTAACTGATAGTCGTAATATTGAGATGATAGTTAGTGATGTACTCCACAGTATCTGGAAAATTCACATCCCATCTAAAAGGAGCACCACTACTCAGATCAAGCTAATGGTTGCCTTGGGGTAATGTGGGTCCTATATGGCCATATCTTTTAATTCATTTGAAGGGGGAAAAGATCAGGAATATAGATTTTGGTTTGTCATTTTTTTGTTCTTTTTTTGAGACAGAGTTTCACTCTTGTTGCCCAGGCTGGAGTGCTATGGAGCTATCTGGGCTCAATGCAACCTCTGCCTCCGGGGTTCAAGCGATTCGCCTGCCTCAGCCTCCCAAGTAGCTGGGATTAAAGGCATGCGTCACCACGCCCAGCTAATTTTGTATTTTTAGTAGAGAAGGGGTTTCACCATGTTGGTCAGGCTGGTCTTGAACTCTTGACCTCAGGTGATCCACCTGCCTCGGCCTACCAAAGTGCTGGGATTACAGGCGTGAGCCACTGCTCTTGGCCAGGATTATAGATTTTGATGTGAAATTTACAAATTTTTAAATGTTGGAAACTCATACGAATTCTTATAAAACATTGTTTGAATGAAACAAAACCAATGTGCACAACACAAAGAGCAGACAAGCCAGCAAACTGAGGTCTCATGTGTCAGCACATTTTCCTTTTCCTATAGCAGGAAGTACAGGGCCGTGGAACTAGCATTGCCTCTGGAGGCAGGAATCCTAGGTTAGCTCTTCATTCTAGTGCATTTATAGAGCTAGCCTTGAACCCTTCTGGGCTCATATATCTCATTTGTGAAATGCAAGCAAGTACACAATTGCTCTAAGAATCAAATGAAATCATTCCTAAGAAAGCACTTTATCATGCTCATAACTCTTTCAGCTCTGTATGGGATTCCCAAAGTGAACCTCATGTGTACTCAATGAACTCGGCACTCTCGGGTTCCATGCAGCACCCTTCATTTTCCTTGAGCTCCACTTACTGAGGTGAAGATTGCTGCAAAGGGGCCCCTGCTCCTGTAAAGCTGGTCCCCCTGCTGTGCCTATTCTAAGGAATGGCCATTGCTGATGAAGCTTGCTGGTCTTTGCCCAGGTGTGGTTTCCTGTTGCTGCAGAAACCACTGGCTGGTAATATGCTCATGAGGGTCCACAGACCCTCAAGTATAGAAATTTGCCATCCTTGAGTGTGACAGGCATTTTAATGGAACGCTCTTTCAGCATATCTCCCTATCATTCAGGTATGCATTTCAGGGGCCAGGCTGGAGGGTGATCTAAGTGACAAGCATGGTACAATGATACATTTTGCCCATTCCCTCAACACTGATCCTCTACTCTTAGACCATACCAAAGTGGCTATTAAAAATTAATATATGATAATAGTAGTACCTGTATATGGGGTACACATGATATATGGATACATGCATATAATGGGTAATGATCAAACCAGGGTATTTAGGATATGTACCACCACCTCAAACACTTATTATTTCTTTGTGTTGGTAACATCCCAAATATTCTTTTCTATCCCTTTTGAAATACACAATACATTGTTGTTAACTATAGTCACCCTACTGTCCTATCTATCATTAGAACTTATTCCTTCTAGCTAACTGTATGTTTGTAGCCATTAGCCAATCTCTCTTTATCCCCCATCCCAGCCCTCCGCAGACACACATCCTTCCCAGCCTCGGGTAGCCATCATTATACTCTCTAGACCTGCGTGAGATCAAATTTCTTAGTTCCCACATGAGTGAGAACATGCAGTACTTGTCTTTTGGTGCCTGGCTTATTTTTAACATAATGTTCTCCAGGCTCATCCATGTTGCTGAAATGGCAGAATTTCATTATTTTTACATCTGTTCTGTTAATTAGTATGCCTTCTTACAACTTAGATTTAACCAGAGGCCCTTCTACATACAGTTGGAATTTTATATGTCCACATTTAAAGAGAGTTACCTTGGGATTGATAACACACTTCTTTTGCTCCTAAGTAAAAATTTTTATTTCTATAAAATATTTCACAAGTGTATCAAAAATACAATTAAAACTACGCTCTGATCAACAACAACAAAAAAAGGAAGCACTTTATAAACTGTAAAATGTTCATTTTCATTACTACAGTTAAGCTAGAAAATGAGATGTGTGCAGTAAAAACGTTTTCAGGTAAAAGAGACTGAAAAGTTTTGTCATTGAGTTAATCTTAGAAAAAGAGAGTTCTGGGTCAGCAAGTTTTGTGGTCAAAGAATGACAAGATCAGAGATGTAACTCCACATGGCCTTTGCTTTTGGCTCAATTTTGTTTCTGCTCTCTTTTTGTCAAATAGTGCAAGCTGATAGCTTGTCTCAGCAGGGGCCTGCAAGGCTTGGATGCTGGAATCCTCCAGTATCGTGGCATCATCTCTGACACTGCTGGAGGGAGTGTGGACAGAGGAGAAGGAGTATAGGGAGGGCAGAGGCAGCGTTAGAGGGAAGTGAGATGACACAGGCCCTGTGCCCTGAATGCAATGGATTCCAAGACAGAGGATGAAATTGGTGCTGATTAAATGAAAGGAGGCCGCAAGCTCAGAATGTCAGATTTAAAGCTCTTCCATTGATGTGGAAAGTCATCTTGGCACCAGCTCACAAGGAAAGAAGAGAGGGAAATCTGTCATCAGCTAAGGCTTGCAGAGAAGTTTCAGCCCCAAAAACCTGGTGAGCCCTGCTCCTGGTGGAAGCTATTACATCCGATGTATAAACTGCCGGGTTCCTACAGTGTACTGAGCCTGCAGTGAGTGCAGAAGGTCGGACTCTCTCAGAGTTAGGTTACATCCTCAAATTTCCAGCTGGGGAGGAGCTGGAAATGAAAAGCTAGGAACTGCTTTTTGCTGCCTCTTCTCTTTTTGAGGTGACTCCAGCTAGGAATTATACGACGCATAACTAAAATAAGGGCTCCTAGTCTATTTTATCCTTTCAGCTATCTCCCAAAGCCAATTCTTGTCAGAATAATGTTTATATATGCACAAAATAAAATATCTGATTACAAAGAAAACTCATTATACTGAAATATAGTTGCCAAAAGATTTTAAAAACATATTTGTGGCTGGGTGTGGTGGCTCACGCGTGTAATCCCAGCACTTTGGGAGGCTGAGGCGGGCAGATCACTTGAGGCCAGGAGTTCAAGGCCAGCCTGGCCAACATGGTGAAACCCGATCTCTACAAAAAAAATACAAAAATTAGCCTGGCACAGTTGTGCGTGCCTGTAATTCCAGCTACTCAGGAGGCTGAGGCGGGAGAATTGCTTGAGCCAGACAGGCAGAGATTGTAGTGAGCCAAGATCACACCACTGCACTTCATCCTGGGTGACAGAGCAAGAAAGACTGTCTCAAAAAACAAAACAAAATAAAAATGTGTTTGTGATAAAATTGTAATAGTGCTTCATATTAATGAATTAAATAACAATAACTGGTACTAAGCCTAAAAGCTACCATAATTTTGAAGTAGCAATGAATAGTAATTAAAATAAATGATACTTGCATATGTCTGCAGTAATTGTACTGTGATATAAAAATGTGTATGCTTTCATATTGTTGATAAAGTCACAGGTATTATTAATACTCTTGTGATTTGTTGTCGACATTTATAATTGAAGGAAGTGCTACATTTCAGATTGAAGTTGGTCAAGATGCAATCTTTTTGCTTTCAAGTTCAAAGATCCCTTAGGAGTCTGTGGACTTCAGTTTTGTTTGTTTGTTTTTTCTTAGAGACAGGGTCTCACTCTGATGCCCAGGCTGGAGTGCAGTGGAGTGATCCTAGCTCACTGTAACTTCAAGCTACGGGGCTCAAGCAATCCTCCTGCCTTAACCTCCTGAGTAGCTGGGACTACAGGCACACACCACCACATCCAGCTAATTTAAAAAAGAAAAAAAATTTTGTAGAGATAGGGTTTCACTAAGTTGCCCAAGCTGGTCTGAAACTCCTGGCCTCAAGCAATCCCTCTGCCTCAGCCTCCCAAAATGTTGAGATTACAGGTGTGAGTCACCTTACCTGGCTGGAGTCTGTGGGCTTCACATGAAAAGCCTTATTATAAGGTAATGGAAACTAATTCAGTTGACTGCTTTTCCCAACAGAGAGGCAAATGATGTAACTCTTCAAATTGCTTACTTTGCAGAGCAACAAATTTGTTAACCACTTGTCAAAATATTTGTAAAGGGGGGATCTCGTCTAAATATTAAGATGTCTTTATTTTCTATAAACTGACTTAATTTCAAGTTCAAGCCTCCATACAATCAAGCTAATTAGAAACCTCATGCCGGTCAGTTTTGGTGTCTTTCCCCACCAGCTATAGGAATTTGTCATAATTCCAGGGTCTTCCCCAGTCTAACAGTATTCAGGAAGGGCCTACATGCTGATTGTGCATACAGGGTACCATTGTGATGTCCCCTGTCCTTCTCTTAGAGCTACTTTCAGTGCAATGGTTCTGCGTTTCTTGGGACACAGACATTTTTCTTTATGTCTGCCTAGCGCCTTTCTTCATACAGATATCATACAGCCATTCCACTCCGGAGCCCTCAATCTCCCCATGATAGCTCTGCACATATGTCCTCCAAGGCAACTAAGTATAGGACAGACCACCTGCTTAAATGTGGGAAAGGGAAAAGAGGAATAACAGGAGGGAAGGAATGTTTAAACCTATTATCCAATTGTACATTTCTAAAATTCCACTTTAGGCTGGGCGCAGTGGCTCATGCCTATAATCCCAGCACTTTGGGAGGCCAAGGCTCGCAGATGACTTGAGGCCAGGAGTTCGAGACCAGCCTAGCCAATGGTGAAACCCCATCTCTACTAAAAATACAAAAAAAAAAAAAAATTAGCCAGACGTGGTGGTGGGTGCCTGTAATCCCAGCTACTCAGGAGGCTGAGGCACGAGAACCACTTGAACCTGGGAGGCGGAGGCTGTGGTGAGCCAAGATCACACCACTGCACTCTAGCCTGGGCGACAGAAGGAGATCCTGTCTCAAAAAAATAAAATAAATAAAATAAAATAAAATTCCACTTTGGAACCAACTTCAGAACAAATGTATGCATTTGATATTAAAATCAGTCTCTTAACTATAAAAAAAACTTCGTGATTTACTCAAAATTATCATTACTCAATTTGTTGTCTCACCTTATTCACTAGACTTTATTCCAAATAATTTTAGCCTATTGGTAAAAATCAAACATATTCTCAACAAACAAAGAATTACACCTCATACAGGACAATATGCATCTTTAACATATCACAATCTACTTAGAGTAATACTGTACTATTTCAATAAAGGTCAAATATAAAATCTTGGCTACAAAAACCCAAGTTCAATAAAAGAAAATATTAGCAAATTTGAGTACATAAAAATGGAAACAATGTACATAAATTAGAAATTACATAAGCAAAGTAAAAACACAAATTAGAGACGGGAAAATTTACCCAAAAAAAAGGGAACTAATCTCTATAATATATTATGAGCTTCTAGAAATGAAGAAGAAAATGACCAACAATTCAATGAGACAAAAAGGGAAAAACAAAGAACATAAAGAAAGGCAAAAGAAATAAAAATAGCCCTTAAATATAATACCGGGTTCTTAATCTCACACATAATAGAGAAATACACATTTTAAAACATCTCTGAGAGATACCTTCTTTCAGTCAATATGGAGCACAGGGATTGGGTTTATCCTCCTATACAAAGCTAACAAACAAACAAAACATATGATACAGTGGTTTTCAGACATTGATCATCAGGTAGCTTAGGACAGCAGTGCCCAAGAGAAAGAAAAGAGATGAGCCCCCTGATTTCCCAAGCTTACCACCTAGAGACAACTTCCAGGTTGCAGTGAAGAAAGGAGAAACCAAAATAGAGCTGGACAGTATTCCTGAGTTGAGGGGATGAAGCTGGGAGTCCAACAAGGTCAAGACAACTAGAATTCAGAGGGTCACCTTCAAGAAGAGAAGCGTAAAAAGAAAAAACTTCAGCTTTTTGAAGAGGGTCCACCTTGTGTCTTCAGCTGAATACTAATCAGTGCATGCATGTGAGCAAGCTGCCCAAGCCTTGGGAAAGCATCACACAAAGAGAACAGGGGGTCAATACCAACAGATCACACGAACATGGGAAGAATTTGTATTCCATCATCCATAGTGGTGAATCTTGTAATCAGGGGAGATTGGGTAGAGTCCTCAGAAGATTATTGCCTCAGCAGGAGAATTGCTCGAACCCAAGAGGTGGAGGTTACAGTAAGCTGAGATCACACCACTGCACTCCAGCTTGGGCGATAGAGCAAGACTCCGTCCCAAAAAAGAAAAAAGAAGATATTGCCTCAGTAGTAGGGAAAAGTTAGTCTGAGGCTAAAGATTGTTCTGCATCTGCCTAACAAAGCTCAAAAGCAAGACTTGAAAGAAGCAAATGGTTTCTAAGGAATGTAACTACACCCCATAAAAGAAGCTCAAGAATATAGGAATATGAAAATATCCAACAAGGTTAAATTCACAGGTTTTGTTCTGTGAGTCACAAAAATCCTAGACATGCCTAAAAGGAGGAAGATGCAATACATAATGTGCCAGAAATGACATAGATTATAGAATTAGTGGACAAAGATAATAAAACGGTTATTATAACTATATTCCATATGTTGAAGAAGGTAAAGATTGAACATGTTAAGTTCAATCAAGTTAAAGACAAGTAAAATCTTTGTGTATATATATATATATTTTTTTTAAATTTTAATTTACTTTGGTAGCCATCCTGTAAAATCTTTTTTAAAAGATCAAAATTAAACTTCTGAAAATGAAAAAAATACAATGATTGAAATTAAAAATGTGCTAGATGGCATTAACAGACTATTATACATTGCAAAAAAAATTAGTGAACTTGAAGACATAGCTATAGAAACTATCCAAAATGAAACACACAGAGAAAAAAGATTTTTAAAAGTTGAACACAGCACGGTGAGCTCTGGGGAAAATTCAGGCAGCCTACTGTATAAATAGAGTCCCTGAAAAATGTGGAGGGGGATGGAAAATATTTAAGAAAATAATGGTCAAAATTTCCCCAAATTTGACAAAAAAATTATAAAGAAGCTAACAAGCCCCCAGTACAATAAACATGAAGAATCCTACACTAAGGTACATCATAGTAAACTGTTAAAAATCATTGACTGATAAAAAATCTTACAAGCAGCCAAAGAATAAAGACAGACTATGCAGAAAGAAATCAAGATAAAAATAACAAGAGAATTCCAACAAGAAACACTGCAAGCCAAATTTCTTGCAACCTACAGAAGTCCATTTTTACTATAAAGATACAAGTAGATTAAAAATAAAAGAAAGGAAAGAGACATAACATGCAAACACTAAAAGAAAACTGGGGCCAGGTGCAGTGGCTCACGCCTGTAATCCCAGCACTTTGGTAGGCCGAGGCGGGTGGATCACCTGAGGTCGGGAGTGCGAGACCAGCTTGACCAACGTGGAGAAACCCCGTCTCTAGTAAAACAAAATTAGCTGGGCGTGGTGGTGCACGCCTGTAATCCCAGCTACTCAGGAGGCTAAGGCAGGAGAATCACTTGAACCCAGGAGGTGGAGGTTGCAGTGAGCCGAGATCGCGCCATTTGCACTCCAGCCTGGGCAACAAGAGCAAAACTCCATCTCACAAAAAAAAGAAAACTGGAGTGACGATATTAGTAGCAGACAATGTAGATTTAAGAGCAAACAATATTACCAGGGATATTACCACGATCATTTCATAATGATAAAGGGGTCAATTCATCAAGAAGATATAAAATCCTAAATATTTATGCACCTAATAACAGAACTTAAAAATATAAGAAGTAAATCTGATAGAGCTCAAAAAGAAATAGGCAAATTCAGGCCAGTGCAGTGGATCACACCTGTAATCCCAGCACTTTGGGAGACCAAGGCAGGCAGATCACTTGAGGCCAGGAGTTCGAGACCAGCCTGAGCAACCTGGTGAAATTCCGTCTCTACTAAAAATACAAAAATTAGCCGGGTGTGGTGGTGGGCACCTGTAGTCCCAGCTACTCAGGAGGCTGAGGCAGGAGAATCACTTGAACCTGTGAGGCAGAGGTTGCAGTGAGCTGTAATCACACCACTGCACTCCAGCCTGGATGACAGAATGAGACTCTAATACAAAAAAAAAAAAGAGAGAGAGAGAAAAAAGCAAAAAGAAATAGGCAAATTTATAATTAGAGTTGGAGATTTCATTGCCCCTTTTATAAAAATTGTGAGAAAAAGTAGACAATCAGTAAGGATATGAACAACCTGAACAAGACTATTAATCAGCTTGACTTAAATGGCATTTACAAAGCTCTCTTACCAACAACAGCAGAATACACTTTCTTTACAAATGTACATGAAACATTTAACAGGACAGACCATATACTGGGCCACAAAACAAGATTCAAAAAAATTAAAAGGGTTAAAAGCAAACGAAATATATCCTCTAATCACAATTAAATGAAATTAAAAATTAACAAAAAGATGTGCTGAAAACTCCTAAAGCTAAATAACAGACCTTTAAATAATCCAAGGATCAAAGAAGAAATCAAAAGGAAAATTATAAATTGTTTTAAACTGGTAAAAATAAAAACACAAACTATTAAAATCTATGAAATTCAGCTAAAGAAGTACATAGAACAGCATTTATAGTACTGAAGCATATATGTCTGATCACTTTTAGAAACTAGGAAGAGACGAGCCAATTAAACCCAACGTAAGCATAGGAAAGGAAATAATAAAGATAAAATTTTAAAAAGTGAAATCGGCAAGAGAAAAATCATAGAGGAAACATTAACAAAAAAGCAAACTACGCACCAATAACTCTCATAAACATAGATGCAAAAATTCTCAACAAAATTTTAGCAAATTGAATCCAACAATATAAAAAGGTATAATACACAGTTACCAAGTGGGGTTTATCCCAGGAATTCAAGGTTGTTTAAATATTGAAAATTAAGCAATGTCGTTTACCATTTTAACAGACTAAAATTCCAAAAAGCATATGATTGTCTCAATAGATGCATAAAAAGTATTTATTTGACAAAAAATCCACTTCTGATCAAAATTATCAGCAAACTTTCTCAGCCTAGTAAAGGGCATCTACAAAAACCCTACAGCTATATTCAGAGGCAACATTGACTATTTAAGTACAAAATTCTAGGACATGTATTTTTAAATGCTTTAGGCAAGGATGCAAGACAAAGAACTTCTCACTGTTAAAATGTCACTATCTCCAAGCTGATCTACAGGTTTATTTTATTTTTTAATTTTATTTTATTATTATTATTATTATTATTGTTGAGACACCGTCTCACTTTGTCGCCCAGGCTGGAGTGTAGTGGCGCAATCTTGGTTCACTGCAACCTCCGCCTCCCGGGTTCAAGGGATTCTCCTGCCTCAGCCTCCCGAGTAGCTGGGATTACAGGCACCTGTCACCACGCCTGGCTAATTTTTGTATTTTTAGTAGAGACAGGGTTTCACTATGTTGGCTAGGCTGGTCTCAAATTCCTGACCGTAATTGATCCGCCTGCCTTGCCTCCCAAAGTGCTGGGAGGTCTATAGGTTTAATGGAATCTCAGTCAAAAGCCCAGCAAGCTATGGAAATGCAAAGAACCAGGTATAAGTTGAGTATCCCTTATTCAAAATGCTTGGGTCCAGAAATGTTTTGAAGTTTGGATATTTTCAGATTTGGGGATATTTGCATAACAGAATGGAATATCGTGGGGATGGCACTCAAGTCTTAAACACAAAATTCATTTATGTTTCACATATACCTTATACACATAGCATGAAGGTAATTTTATACAATATTTTAAATAATTTTGTGCATGAAGCAAAGTTTGTGTGCATTGAACCATTAGAAAGCAAAGGTGTCACTATTCAGTCACTGATGTGGCATCATGTTGTTGCTCAAAAAGTTTCAGATTTTTGGAGCATTTTGAATATTGAATCTTCATTTTAGGAATGCTCAACCTGTAAACAACTTGAAAAAGAATACCAAAGTTGAAGGAGTTATACTATTTGGTTTCAAGGTTTATTATAAGGTCATAATAGTCAATGCAATTTCATTTTTGGCATCAGGAGAGATAAATAAATCAAGACGATAGAATAGTGAGTCCAGAAATAGACCAAGACATAAATGGTCAACTGATTTTTGACAAAGGTACCAGAACAGTTCAGTGGAGGAAAGAATACTCTTTTTAATAAATGGTGCTGGAGTAATTGGCTATACATGTAGAAAAAATGAATCTTAACTATTACCTCACACCATACACAAAAACTAACTTAAAATGGATCGTAGATCTAAGTATACAAGCTAAAACTGTACAACTCAAGAAGAAAACAAAGGAGAAAGTTATAAAGACCTTGGGTTTGGCAAAGATTCCTTGAATACAAAAAGCATAAACTCTAAAAGAAAAAATATCAACAATTGGACTTCACTGATATCATAAACTTTTGCTCTTCAAGAGTCACTGTTAAGAAAATAAAATACTGCATGTTCTCACTTCTAAGTGGGAGCTAGCATGGGCAAGCATGGACATGAAAATGGGAACAATAGACACTGAGGACTAACAGGGAGGGGAGAAAGGGAAGGAGCCAAGTGCTGAAAAACTACCTGTTGGGCACTGTGCTCACTGTCTGAGTGAGGGCATCATTCATACCCCACACCTCAGCATCATACAATATATCCATGTAACCAACCTCAACATGGACCTCTTGAATCTAAAGTAAAAGTTGATATTACAAAAAAAAAAAAAAAAAAAGAATCACTGTTAAAATGAAAAGGCAAACCATAGACTAGGAGAATATACTTTATATATACAGCAATGGACTTGTATCTAGAATGTATAAAGAACACATACAACTCAATAATAAGACAAACAACCCAATGAAAATAAAAATGGACAAAAGTTCAAATAGACACCAAATTCAAATCCACCAGACAAAGGATGTGGAGAGCAAATTATGGCCATAAAAAAATTGTTCCACATTAGTCATTAGGGAAGGGCAAATTAAAACTACAATGAAATGCCACAACATGTAACTTGTAAAATGGCTAAAATTCAAAGTTTTACCATATTTAATAGTTGGTAAAGATATGCAGCAAGTGGAAATTCTATTCACCATTGATGGGAATGCAAAATGGTACAACCACATTTTAGAAAACAGTTTAGCAATTTCTTAAAAAGGTAGATAGATACTTGACATATGTCTAAGTCTTTCCACTCCTAAGTATTTACCCAATGGAAAAATAAATCATATGTCCTATGTAGACTTTTACATAGAAGGTTAATTAACAATGGCCCTAAATTGGAACAAATCCCATAATGTTCACCAACAGGTGAACTTATTCCTCCTAGCTGAAATTTCTTATTCCTTGACCAATATCTCCCCAGTCCCCCTCTCTCTCCAGCCCCTGGTAACCAACATTCTACTCTCTGCTTCTCTAGGTTCAGTTTGTTTGTTTAGATTCCACATGTAAGTGAGATCAGCCACATTTATTTAAAGTCACTTCTCCCTGAGGGTGTGGAAGTCTTTTCAGCCATGTGCTTCCACTGCAGAGTCAGACTTCAGAATCTCAACATCCGATTTTATCCATCAAATTTCAAGTTCAATAATTTAATGTAGGGTCTGACTCCATTTTTGATGTTTGACTGTTAACAGCTTTCAGGCCCCATGACTTCCCTTTCCCTTTTAGCCCCACATCTGGAAAAGTTGATGAGAAAGCCTATACATGATCTTCATTGGCTCTAACAGGCAAGAACACAAGCCCCAGGCCCCACACAGAAACCGTCCTGTGAGCCCCAGGTCCTAATCAACATAAAACCCTATGCCAGTCTTCTTTCCTTGCTCTCTCAGGCTGTTTTTGGACCAACTTGGGAGCCAGCTCATTATCCTCTTGGTGCATGTGTAGTGGCATCAGTTTCAGCATGTCAAACAAATTTGGGAACAAGGGAGGGGAGAGTCCATCCCATCTATACAGAATGACTATGGCAATTGGGTTCAAGAAGGTATCTGGGCATGGTTCCTTTTACTCACTACTTTCAGGAAAATAAATTGCTAGCATAGGATGGGGGAAGCAACGAATGTGAATACGGTAGGCAGTTTCTAAGGTGGTCCTCAAGATTTTCCCCTCCTGACATTCATACATTTCCCTCCACTTGAGCGTGGGCTGGAACTGGGACTTGCTTCGAATGAGTAGAACATGGCAAAAGTGATGAGATGTCACTTCCGAGATTTGGTTACAAAAATACCCTGACTTTCATTTTGCTCGCCTTCACTTGCTCACTCTAAGGGAAGCCAGCTACTAAGCTGTGAGCTTCCATATGGGCGAGGCCTAACTTGGAACTTGATTTTCCCCATTGGAGTCTTCAGAGGAGATGGTAGCTCAAGCCAAAACCCTGATTGCAGTATTATGAGTACCCATGAGCCAGAGGCACCAACAAGCCTGCTCTCAAACTCCTGACACAGCACAGATAATAAATGTTTGTTGTCTTAAACCACTGAGTCTAGGGATAATTTTGTTACTCAGCAACAGATAACCAATACGAAGAGTGAGTTCCTGAGTAGGAGGATTTCTGGAGAATGAAAATAATTATCATTAAAGGAAAAAAGAGGGAAGATTCATGCCTTGGAGGATATTGGGAAGAGAAAGA
This sequence comes from Homo sapiens, assembly GCF_000001405.40. Lineage (NCBI taxonomy): Eukaryota > Metazoa > Chordata > Mammalia > Primates > Hominidae > Homo > Homo sapiens. Next base: position 116,818,200 of record NC_000008.11, on the reverse strand, counting down.
AAGGGGCATAAGCAAGTTTCAAGGAATAAGCTGGAAGCAGGTCTCACATTGACTAGACGAATGTAGCCAGAGATCTAAGTGGAGCAAATGACTGCCACCAGTAACCAGGAATCACTGGTGTCCCCTCAGACTGAGAAATCCAGTGACCACATCACTTTGGGAGGAAAGCTATCTGTTTTGTCCACTGGCATGAATCTTTGGTTGATCCTGTGGGAACACTAAGACATGAAGCAATTGCTCTGTTTCTACACGAGTGGAGTCCATGAAAACAGCTTAAGCCAGTGCCCCTTCATCATCCACAATCTCCTTTTACTAACAGTTTCACAGAGAGCAATTTCACATTAATTGCAGCCTGGTCTTGATTTCCTGTCACTGTTGCTTATTGCCTATAAGAAATTTATGTCTTAAATGAGGTGAAGTTCAGTCCCCTGTTCCCTGTTTCAGTCCTAGCAAACCATCATTTTATCTGACAACATTTTTTTAAAGCAGAATTTTCCTCACCATCATCTGTAGAGGGCTTCACCTTGCTATTACCCTGGGAAGAGCAAGGGCATGCAATAGGAGCTCTCTCAATTTCTTTCCTTCAGATCTCTCTTCATAATTGTCAATCATTGCCTCCCTTTGCCCTGTTTCAGAAAGCAGCTCTCCTTTGTTGCAAGGTTGGCCCTTCCACTACAGCTCTTAGGCCAATTCCTCGCTCTCTTTGCTAAGACATCAGTCACCTCCACTCAGATCTTCCTCTCCACTTGCTCCTTCCTCTTAGGCTGTAAACCTTTTCACCCATAGATATATTCCCCCACCACAGACGCCTCTTCCAGCTACATCCTATATCTTTCTTCCCTTCATCTGAATTACTTCTTGACTTCTCATCCGCTCTTTGACCCACAGCAATTTGTTTTATATACCTACCATTCTACTAAATTGGATTCAAAATCACCACTGCAAGCAGGATGGATCCTGAGTAGCTGTCAGTTCTAATAAGCTTACAGATATGCCCATGATTCCATCATTCTCCCATTGATCTTTTCACTGCCTGCTATGTTCCAGGTGCCATCCTACATTTATCATAAATGTGCCATAGTTCATAGATGTGCCAGGAAGTATAACTATTCCAAGAAAACATCAGTAAACAAGAAAGACAGATCTCTGCCCTCTTGTAGCTTACAATCTAGTGTGAGGAGACACACAAAAAGAAACAAACAAACATCATCAAGCAAGTATAAAGTATGTCAGCTATGAGAAGTGTCACAGTAAAAATGAAGTAGGAAAGAGAATTAGACAATGCAGTGGAAGTGGAAAAATCATGAGGCAGAATTTTAGAGAGAGCCTCTAGACACAATGGTTAGGAGAGAACATTGCGGAGCCAGAGGAACAAGGTTTTTTATCCCATGTCTCTCATTTTTTAACCTTGTGCCCTTAGGCAAGTCATTTAACCTCTTGATGCCTTCATTTCCTCATCTGTGGAATGAGAAGGAGGTAAGAACCTATCACATAGAGCTGTTGTAAGGATTAAATGAATTTAATGCTGGTAAAGTATTTAGAACCACGTCTGAGTTCACTGCAAGAGCCCAGTGAGTGTTAGCTATGACTCTGCAAAAGCCTGTTTTGAATCAAAAACTCCTGTGTGACCCTGGACAAATGATTTCACCTCCTAGAGCCTGAGTTTTCTCATGGGCAAGATGAACACAATTAGTTTTAGTTCACAAGTTTCATGCAAAGGTGAAATGAGATAATATCTATAAAGCACTTTGCAAATCATTCACCCCATAATAAGCACCCAGGAAAATGGAAGCTTTAAAAGAAAACAAGACAAAGGGACACACCTCCCTCTGTTCTTTCCATTTGTCTGCAACTTGGTGAATATTTGTATGAAGCCTCCAATTCACCTTCAGACTCAGGAGACAGCACCGTCCATATATCAATGTGTACAGAAATGAAATATGGGAACCACACCTGCATCCATAAGAATGAATTCCTCCCAAACCGATAATTTGGTAAATTTCTCATTTTCTTGTAATGCCTATAGTGCCAAAAGACCACATTTAAAAATGATTGATATAGGGTTTATCTTTTTCCTTTTTTGAGATTTGTACTCAAGCCCTGCTAACCAAGGATTTCGAAACAATACTGACAATTGTGGATATGGTTTAGTTGTGTCCCTACCCAAATCTCATCTTGAATTGCTATCCTCATAATCCCCACGTGTCTAGGGAGAGACCTAGTGGGAGGTGATTGGATCATGGGGGCAGTTTCCCCCATGCTGTTCTCATGATAGTGAATGAGTTCTCACGAGATCTGTTGGTTTTATAAGGGGCTCTTCCCCCTTCACTCCTCACTCTTCTCTATCCTGCTGCCATGTAAGAAGATCCTTGCTTTCCTTTTGCCTTTTGCCATGATTGTAAGTTTCCTGAGGCCTCCTCAGCCATGTGGAACTGTGAGTCAATTAAACCTCTTTCTTTGATAAATTACCCAGTCTCGGGTGTTTCTTTATAGCAGTGTGAAAACAGACTAATACAACAGTGCTTGACTCAAAATATAAGCTCTTGAAAAGCTTTTGTGTAAATTAGGTTTTGTACATCATCTTAAAGGTACAATGGTGGTTTCAATATAAAGAATATTGAGAGTGAATCCTTAAGAAAAGCAATGCATTGTTGCTAGTTTGACCCAGTTTATATATTTTATCTGCTTTCAATGTGTAGATGTTCAAATATCCAGCTGAGATAAAGTGGTTATCTCTCTTGGGTGAAAGCCAGATTTCTTTCTCCAGGAGAGTATAACATGAGAGACTGGTAAGAGTGGTGTTTCTCAGAGAGTGGGAAAATGCATTTGTTTTTAGCAGCAGATGCAAAGCTTAGGAAATTCAATTTCCACAACCTCATGAAAGCTGTTTGTGGAAGACTTTTTTGGCTGAAATAGTTCCTAAGAAATATGAGTCTGCACTGAGCTAATAAACAGTGACCTGGGATGGCACAAAGTTCTCAGACTTCAGCACCCTGGCAATAACCCACATCAATAACTTAGTCCTAAATTCCCCCTTACTGTCTCAGCTTGCAATTGGAAATGACAATGTGACTGGTAATATTTGACACTTGTATCAAAGGATCTATGATCTTTTTGCATCAGAGAAAGCTTCATGAAAAATGGCAACTCACTGGTCAGAACTGTCAGCAACATGTACAGAAACCTGATTGAGAGGCAAAATGAAAGATGAGACCTGATATTTACCAAGTTCCAACAAGACATGAAGATAATGATGTGGAAATGGATGAACTGGGCACACAGGTAATGTGTATTCAAAGTATATTCTCCAAGTAGCTTTTATGACTCACATAAAAGCTACTTAAGCACAGCTGAGGCAACTACCATTTAAAATGATCTTTTCCAGATCACATTGCTACAATTTTTTTTTTTTTTGGCTGGACCAACGTGGCAAGATCTCAGCTCACTGTAACCTTTGCCTCCAGGGTTCAAGTGATCCTCCAACCTCAGCCTCCCAAGTAGCTGGGACCAAGCACTACTATGCCTGGCTAGTTTTTGTGTTTTTTGGTAGAAATGGGTTTTACCTTGTTGGCCAGGCTGGTCTCGAACTTCTGACCTCAAGTGATCTGCCCGCCTCGGCCTCCCAAAGTGCTGGGATTACAGGTGTGAGCCACCGCATCCAGCCTTACAATGTTTTGCTACCTGTTAAATTGGGTCTTTTGTTTCAAGGCTTCTATAAGCAGATCTAAATCCTTAAAAGAAAATAAGGAGGTAGGGGAACTTAATTGTGTTTGGCTGGATGGCTGGAGAGATAAAAAGAAAAAGCCCAATTTCTTTTTAACTAGTGAATGACACCACTTAGGTTGCACTTCATCACCATTTGCGGTGCTGGAGTAGGCTCCTGAACTCAGAGAACCAAGGTGGCTCTTGATGTTGGAATAATGAGGCCCTTCCTACCAGTGTCCTGCTGGAAATAGCTGGCTGCACTGGCTGCCCTAGCAACAGCCCAGATTATGTCCAGGGACATTAGAGTAAGGCAGTCCTGGGTTTGGATCCTGGTTCTTCTACTTGCTAGTGGTGTGATTCAGGCAAGTTGCTTAGCATCTCCAATCTCTATGTCTTTACCGGTAACACTGGGATCATGATGCCCTACTCAGGACCAGAGAGCTCTGTGGTGACAACTGAAGGAGGTAATACATGCAGACCCCCAGGGTAGAGTCTGGCCTAGAGCTAGGGCTCTGCAGGTCAGCAACAGGTAAACATGCCACTCAAGCAGGATCAGGGACACTTGAAGGATTTTTCCAATGGAGACATTCTTGCTGTGATAATAAGAGATAACAGTTACACAGCACTTACTATGTACCAGGCAGGCCATGTTCTAAGTGAATTACCGTGAATTAACTGATTTAATCCTCACAACTTCCCTATGAGACAGGTATAATTGTTATGATGGCTTTATAGGGGGAGGAGACTCAGGGAGGAAATAGTTATATTACTCACGCCAGGTTACTCTGCAAGTGAGGGATGGAGACAGGGTTTCTGCCTAGGCAGTCTGGCTCCAGAGCCCATGCACGTAACCTCAGCACTGTACTGCTGCATTAACATGGCATTCAAAATAGAGCAAAGAGATAGTCATAAACACATGGGTGATCTCTTAGCCAAGTGGAGATCAGTACATATGTCGAATTTACATACACATGCACACATGCATTTATACATGTAAAAAGTATAAAACTGCATTCCTAGATTAAAAGGACTTGTACAAGTCAACAAGCTGTCTGCACCATGGACAGTGGTGCCTTATTTACATGGCAACCTGAAAATTAGCAAACGAACACCCAGGATGATTTTCTATGCTCCCTGCAGCATCAGCATGTGACAACCACTTAGGTCACTAAAATCAGAAACCTAGAAGTCCCTCTGAATTCCACTCTTTTTTTTTTAAACACTGCCAAGTCTCAGGAATTACCATGAATTAAGTAATTTAATCATAAAATTAGGATTTAGAATCCTAAAATGTAATCCTTAATTTTTTTTTTTTTTTTTTTTTTTTAGGCATGCGGTCTTGCTCTGTCGCCCAGGTGATGTGCAGTGGTGCGATCATAGCTCACTGCAGCCTCATGAGCTATCCTCCTGCCTCAGCCTTCTGAGTAGCTGGAACCAGAGGTGTGAGCCACCATGCCAGCCTCATTTTTTTTATTTTTTGTAGAGACTGGGTCTTGCTATGTTGTTCAGGCTGGTCTCGAACTCCTGGTCTCAAAAGATCCTCCTGCCTCAGCCTCCCAAGTGCTAGGATTACAGGCTTGAGCCACCATGTCAGGCCTCCACGTCTTCTAATGCTCCTCATCTCATGCCACAGTTCACATTCTATAGATCTGTAGACTCTATCTCCTACGTTTCTCTTGAATCTATCCCTTCTCCGTTCTCAACACCACTGTTTTTAGTTCAAGCACTGATTTCCTTTTAGACAACTGGACTTGACTCCTAACCTTTCTCCCTGACAATACTACTGCCCACCACATCCCCCAAAAATCCATTTGCCATATTGCCATTGAAAACCCTTTCTAAAACACAAACCTTACAATGCTGAGCCTTTGCATAAAGTCCAACATCTTTGAAGTTCAAATTCCTTTTTTAAAGTACGTATGTTCCTTTGTAATCTGACCTTTTCATCTCTGTCCACTCCCAGAATGTAACCACACCTGCACTGGCAGATGCTGTTTTTTCTGGAAAACAGCTGGAAATCCCTTTCTTTGCTCCATATCCTCCCCCTTAGCTTCCACCTCCTGTAGCTTTCATTCAGAAAACCCCTACTCAATTGTTAAGGCTCAGCTCAAACATCATCTCTTCCAGGAAGTCTTCTGTGATTCCCCAGATGAAGTTAGATGCCCTCACCTCTATGCCTATAACAGCCAAATCATAACTTCCCCCTTATACTAGTGTGTATATATATATATATACACACACAGAAATATATATATATACACAGAAATATATATACACAGAAATATATATGTATATATATACACAGAAATATATATATGTATATGTACACACAGAAATATATATATACATATATATAATATATATATATATACATATATATATAATATATATATACATATATATAATATATATACGTATATATATAATATATATATACGTATATATATATTATATATATACACATATATATATATATAATATATATATATATATACACACACACACAGAAATATATTTGAGATGGAGTTTTGCTCTTGTTGCCCAGGCTGGAGTGCAATGGCGCGATCTCGGCTCACCACAACCTTCGCCTCCTGGGTTCAAGCAATTCTCCTGCCACGCCCAGTCAGGAATGTGAGCTCTTACGAGTCAAAGACAGTCTCTTTTGTTTCTGTATCCCAACACCTGTCACAGAGCCTGGCAAAACGTGAGTGCACAATGTTTGTTAAATGTATTAATGCACAGGCAAATAAATGCATAAACCACACAGGTCTCCAGAGTTTCCTTTCCAATCAGCATAACCTAAGCCTGCTGTTAGAGGGAGCGCTCACCTGATGCAAATCAAGTCTAGCTGGAAGATGCCAATAGAAACAAACCAGATCCCAAGAGACCAAGAGGTGCATTGCTTGCATGTGTCATCAACATAAATAAAAATATTAATATGTGGCCGGGCGCAGTGTCTCACGCCTGTAATCCCAGCACTTGGGAGGCCGAGGCAGGTGGATCACGAGGTCAGGAGATCAAGACCATCCTGGCCAACATGGTGAAACCCCGTCTCTACTAAAAATACAAAAATTAGCTGGGCGTGATGGTGGGCGCCTGTAATCCCAGCTGAGGCAAGAGAATCACTTGAATGAAGGAGTCAGAAGTTGCACTGAGCAGAGATGGCATCACTGCACTCCAGCCTGGTGACAGAGTGAGACTTCGTCTCAAAAAAAAAAAAAAAAAAAAAAAAAAAAGTGAACTCCCAATTTTAATTTGGGAAAAAAGAGCTTCTTTTTTTTTTTTTTTTTGCAGGATGCCTATTTAGTCCTATTTCTTCATCAACGGGAACTTGGAAAAGCTGTGATTTTATGTGTGGCCTAAAAAGGGCAGAAATTCCACTCAGTTGAGGGTTTATAGAGAATTTATTTTCACAACCGCTCCCAGAACTTTCACGTTCACTACATCAACACCTGTGGGGTGGGTATTAGGCTCATCACCAGGATAAGGAAATGAAGGCATGGAGGGCTTCAACAAATCCATGATGGAGCAGACCCTGTGGTCTTATATTATTAGGTCAGTGTGATACTGGGCCAGACATGTCCAGTTATGTCACTAAAGCTCCAGAATGACAGGCTGTCTCATGCAAAAAATACCCCGAGATGGGACCTCATTTCCTGAAAGACTCCTCGGTACCTCTGCCAAATACACTCTCACTCACTTTAACACTTGAGCAGGCTGTGGAAACGGCTGAGTTGTTCCATCCCATTCACCTCATTGAACACTTAGTGTGTTCCCTGAGAGCCTGCTGTGCACAGGGCATAATGTGATTTCTGTAAACAGAGAAGAGTGTGGTGGACCCTGACAGACATAGATGATGCACCAAAGACCATGAAAAATTCCTGGTAACATTGCTGGACTCAGTAGAGATGGTGTTCTTGAGGAGATATTTAAGGATAAGGGAAATTTTAAGAATTAAAAAACGAGGATGTTTATAGTGCTTTGATGATCATATTAGAAGTAAAATAAAAAAGTTTTTAAAATAAAAATGTTTTGGCCAGGTGCAATGGGTCATGCCTGTAATCCCAACACTCTGGGAGGCCAAGACAGGCAGATCACTGGAACTCAGGCATTCAAGACCAGCCTGGGCAACATGGCAAAATCCCATTTGTATAAACAATACAAAAATTAGCTGGGTGTGGTGGCACGCCCCTGTGGTCCCACCTACTCGGGAGGCTGAGGTGAGAGGATTGCTTGAACCTGGAAAATCAAGGCTGCAGTGAGCCATAATCACACCACTGCACTGCAGCCTAAGCGACAGAGCAAGATCCTGTCATTAAAAAAAAAAAAAAATCAAATTAAAATGAAAGAAACTAAAGTTTGTATTAGAAGTAAAAAGCTACTAAGGGTTAAAATGTTCCTGGAAGTGGGAAGCAGAGAAATCAAACATACGCATTTCGTGTTTGTAATGTTTTTCTCTCCTTTGCTTTCCTACCAGGACCACCCAGACTCATCCATCCTTAAAATGTGGGATTTCAACTTCCAAGACAAATCAACCAAGTTTCGTGGTTGATTTTAAAAACAATATTTCCTGAATTGCTACTTCACCAATGTGGTGTATTAAATCATAATCACTGTCAATGGCCAGAACCCCAAGCCTGGAATAGCAATGCCAGCTCCAGCCTGGGAGCACTGCCTTTGAAGGATTTTAGGTTCTCAGGAGATTTGGTTTCCCTGCAGTGTGGTGTTGGCTTCCAAACCAGGAGGCAGCTGGCAGTGCCACTGCTGCCCAGGAACTAGAAATCCACCATGAAATCTGAGGGACTCTGCGGCAGAGGGTTTTATTCTTTATGGTGTCTTAATATTGATCAAAAAACCCACTTCTTTTTGACATGATAAAGAAAACCCATCCTTCCAGCAAAAGGGCTGAGTAGTAGAAGAAACAGATCAAAAGACACGGTAAAAGGCAACTTCAGTTCTGTCCTCCCAGAGAGCCAGGGACCTGCTCTGAGCACCAAAATCCTTCATTTATTCATTCAATAAAATTTGTTGAGCAAGCTGGGTGCAGTGGCATGCACCTGTAGTCCCAGTTATTTGGTATGCTAAGGCGAGAAGATGGTTTAAGCCCAGGAGTTTGAGTTCAGCCTGGGCAACATAGCAAGAACTCATCTCTTTACAAAAAATAAAATAAAATAAAACATGTTTAAGCCTCTGCAACAACTTGGGCCCTGTACTAAGTCTTGGAAACACAAAGGTGTCTAAAACATGGTGAGTGCCCTGAAGACTCACAGCCTATGAGTGAAGAAAGATTGGAAAGAGATTGAGTACAATATAATCTGCAGGGTGTGACAGCAGAGGACTGAACCAAAGTGATGGAGACAAAGAGGGGGAAGTGACTTATTATTAGCTGCCATTGTTACCAGGTTTGAGACAGCAGGACTGTCTCTACTTTCCTGAAACCACCTGTGAAGACAGGATTTTGAGACAGCAGGACTGTCTCTACCCTCCCGAGGCTACCCGTGAAGACAGGATAATGAGCAGTTAGATCTCACAGTTCACACTAACTCAGAAAACAAGCCAGTCAGAATTAGCAAGAAGTTTGCATTGAGAATATTTCCTAGGCAATTTCTTTTTCTAACTCGTGAATACGTACAATGATTCAAACAACTTGCCAGAACTGATTTTCAGCAGAAATTGTTTCGGTACAACGTTTGATGGGCACAGGAGGTTCTGGGAATGGTGAAAATTTCTCACTATATTATTATATCTAGTTTTAGTTATCATATCAGCTTCTTAATCTCAGCACTGAGTAACCCGATGTTCCTCAACCAGTCCAGCATGTGACTATATGCTGGGTTAACCTGAGTCTCTTTTAGATAATACAATACTGATTGATGTTCAGGCTATATCCAGACCATTTGGATCAGAATCTCTGGAGAATGGATAGGCATTGATCATATTTTAAAAGTTCCCCCAAGTTATTCTAATCTGCAGCCAGGGTTGAGAACATACATGCAATTTTCATTCATTAATGTATTTATTTTTGAGATAGGGTCTTGCTGTTGCCCAGGCTGGAGAGCAGTGGCATGATCATAGCTCATTGCAGCCTCAATCTCCAGGGATCAAGTGATCCTTCTGCCTCAGTAGCTGGGCCTCCAGGCAGGTGCCACCATGCCTGGTTAATTTTTAAAAACTTTTTTGTAGAGATGGGGTCTTCCTATGTTGTCTAGGCTGGTCTCGAACTTCTTGCCTCAAACAATCCTCCCACCTCGGCCTCGTAGGTGTGAGCCACTGCACCTGGTGCAGTTTTTAACAATTCATATGTAGTAATCCTTTGCAAATGTTTACTTCTTGGATTGTTGGTGTATTGTAGATTGAATATGACCCAGGATCATATAAGTTTCTTGGTGAATAGTCAAAAGTTTCTAACTGCTTGTCATCAGCTCTGATCGATTTAACACTGATACTGAGAAGCCCAAAATAATATCTTTAGTTTACTATATTATGAAAATTTATAAGCATCACACATGTAAATGTCACAGAAACCCAAAGTACAAATTGTAGCTGTAAGTTTGGCTCCCAAAGGAGGAAGAAGGAAGTTCATATTTATTGGCCTTTTTTTGTGAGCTAAGCACTTTATGTATAATATCTTTTTTAATGGGCAGATTAATCTACCATAGCATTTTTGAAATATTAAGTTATGAAACCACTTTAATGGGTCACAACCAGTATTTCTAAATAAAATGTGATGGAAAAAGAAGCATTAAAAAATATAAGTGCATCAAATTCAGCTATGGGACACACTACTTTATAAAAGCTTTGTTTCAGTTATATAAGTGTGGTTGTATGTATCTAGCATATTACATTGTAATATTAGATATTTCTTAGCTTGCTGCTAAAATATTTGAAAACTACCACCTATAGATACAGTTATTACTAAATCCAATTTATAGATGGATAAACTGAGGCTCAGAGATCTTAAATAATCTACTCAGTGAGCAAATGACAGAACCCCTTTTATTTACCATTTTAATATACCACATTCTCTCCTGGAGAAGGCAAGCCTTACTGATGAATAAATTAAAGACATCTGCAGAGAGGAGACACACACAAATTAATTATTACTGTTTTTTAATAACGCTACTTTTTTGTTTTTTGTTTTTGTTTTTGAGACAGTCTCACTCTGTTGCCCAGGCTGGAGTGCAGTGGCGCACTCTCGCCTCACTGCAACCTCCGTCTCCCGGGTTCAAATGATTTCCCTGCCTCAGCCTCCCAAGTAGCTGGGACCACAGGCATGCACCGCCATGCCCAGCTAATTTTTTATAGATGGGGTTTCACCATGTTGCCCAGGCTGGTCTTGAACTCCTGAGCTCAAATGATCCTCCCACCTCGACCTCCCAAAGTGCTGGGATTACAGATGTGAGCCACCACGCCCGGCCAATAACACTAGTTTAATGACAGTATTGCAACTTCCTAATTTTATTGTTGAGACAACATTTTCCAGACTCACTGATTTATTAACTGTCATAACCCTAGCCACAGTTTGAACTCCAGCTTAAGTTTTCTTTTCACTTTCATCACTTCTCAGCTTGGTAGGAACTCATATGCTGTGGGTTCCCTTCATTGTGATTTCTTCCCTTTGTTATTCCAGACACATCATTTCACAAAGAGGAGCCAGGCCCCCTTCTTGGCTCCCGCCAGCTCCGTGCAAGGTGCAGCCTCCCCAGGGCTAAACCGGCCAGCCCAGGACTCACCTGACTGTCTTGACAGACCCTTATGGCAGAGTGGCTGAGTGGACAGATTTGCACACAAGCATTGCACCTGGACAAACAGGACTCAAACTTGTCTGCTCCAAGGGCAATATTGCTCCACAGGATCATTTTACTGGCTGCATCCTCAGCCATCCAACAGAGAAATTCCTTCTCAACTCAGTGTCTGTAAACCCCAAGAATGCCTCTTGTGAGCAAGACAGACCACAGTGGTTTTGACAATTTGGAAAGACCATTAAAGTGAAAGGTTAGTGATTTTATGTGTGTTTTGTCTTAAGCCTCCTGTTTCTTCAAGACCAACTTTTTTTTTTTAAACTGTGGCTGAGCAGAGCTCTAATCCTGTCCACAAAATCTTTTCTGTCTAATGAGAAACGATCAAGCAAAAGCACCCAAACCCACAAAGTTGGAGGGAAAACCCTCCACCCATATACTCACAGGCCAACAAAGTTTTCATGTGAGAGTAGTTATTGTGGTGGGATCTGAGGAGACTCTTCGAATGAATGAGGAGGTGCACAAAAAGAAGGGGCTATGGTAGAACAGCTCTGCGAGCAGAACTCCCTCTAATTGAGTTGAACTAACAGCCCTGGCTGCTGGGATACTGGGGAGAAGTCCCATTGTCCTCTACTCTGAAGAGGAGCTAGTGACTATCAGTCTTGCCCTCTCTGGGGAAACACTGACTTTGATTAAGGGGAGACAGGACCAGCTACATAATTGTGGGCCAGCACCAAAAAGAAAAAAGAAAAAAAATGTGTGGCCTCTTGTTGAAAAGTGGTGACGGCATGTGATGGTTAATATTGTCAACTTGATCGGATTGAAGGATGCAAAGTATTGTTTTTAGGTGTGTCTGTGAGGGTGTTGCCAGAGGAGATTAACATTTGAGTCAGTGGACTGGGAGAGAAAGACCCACCCTCAATGTGGGTGGGCACCATCCAATCGGCTACTAGCGCTGCTAGAAAAGGCAGGTGGAAGAAGGTGGAATAAGCTGGCTTGTGAGTCTTCTGGCCTTTATCTTTCTCCCATGCTGGATGCTTCCTGCCCTTAACATCAGACACCAGGGCAGGAGTCTTAGACTTACACCAGTGGTTTGCCAGGGGTTCTCTGGCCTTCAGCCACAGACTGAAGGCTGTAATGTCAGCTTCCTCGATTTCAAGGCTTTTGAACTCAGACTAAGCCCCTACTGGCTTCCTTGCTCCCCAGCTTGCAGAGAGCCTATCGTGGGACTTCACCTTGTGATTGTGTGAGTCAATTCTCCTTAACAAACTCCCTTCCATATATACACACGTCGTATTAATCCCTAATACATAGCAGAACATAAAACCCAGCATGTGACCCTGTAAGCCTGCACAAGCCACACACCCATGAAGCCTGCCCCGAGAGGACACAGCATTTTTAGGACCCACACGGGCCCTGTCACCTGGAAGTAGAGTCATTAAACAAAATGAACGCTCCTTCTAATCCCATCCCCTGTAACCATGTGTGCACATTTTTACATAGACACTCTGATTACCGTGTTCCGATATGGTTATATAACTAACATTTAACTAGAATTTACTATATACCAGGCCCTGGACTAATTATTTTACATGCGTTATCTCATTTAATCTTGACAAAAACCCTAGGAAGTGAGAACTCCCGTCATTCCCATTTTGCAGATGAGGAATTTGAGGCTAGGGAGGATACCTTATTTGCCCCATATTTATTTGCTAGAACGAGGCACTCAGCCTGAGTAGGGATGAAATTGAGAGGAGGCAGGAGAGGAACTAGCCATGGGAGAAAAATTTAAGAAGCTGCAAAAAAAAAAAAAAAAACCCTCAGTAATTAAGATAGATACTACTTCAGCGCAATGCTTTAATTAAACAATTTACTTTGAGATTATTGTAGATTCACATGCAATTGTGAGAAATAATACTCCAGGCACCCTTTATGCAGTTTCTTCCAGTAGTAACATACCATATAGTACAATATCACAACTAGGTCATTTGTATTAGTACAGTCAAGATACAGAACATTTCCATCCCATCCACACAAAGATCCCTCATGTTGCCCTTTTATAAATACCCCCAACATTGCTCCCCATACCGCACTTCCCTTCCACCTATGGTCCAAAAGATCCCTAGAGCTCTACCTCCTATCTGGTGTATTAGAAGGTGTAGTCGTCCATTTTCACACTGCTATAAAGAACTGCCTGAGACTGGATAATTTAGGTAGAAAGAAAAAGGTTTAATTGACTCACAGTTCTGCTTGGCTGGAGAGGCCTCAGGAAACTTACAATTGTGGCAGAAGGCAAAGGGGAAGTAAGGACCTTCTTCACGTGGAGGCAAGACAGCGAGCAATGAGGTGAACTGCCAAACACTTTTAAACCATCAGATCTCGTGAGAACTCAGTCACTATCATGAGAACAGCATGAGGGAAACCGCCCCCATGATCTAATCACCTCCTACCAGGTCCCTCCCTCAACACGTGGGGATTACAATTAGAGATGAGATTTAGGTGAGGACAAAGAGCCAAGCCATATCAGAAGGAAAATGCGATGATTTCCATTCTCTGAAACATATCATTGTACCTCTAATGTTATTTCTACTTCTGGTAATGAGACTTATATTTGTTTTACAAGAAAAGCCATTGGAAAACGTTTTGTTAATATGTCAGAGTGACTGTCGCTGTTCCTTAAATCCTTCTCTAGCACCACAGAACCCAGATATAGAGGAATCTATGCCCTTTTTTACTCTGTGACAGTAAGACATATCTGATACCAAGGTCCGTATTTCCTAGTCATATACATGTTACCAATTATTTTATCTGAAGAATATTTTAAAATCATTCTTCTGCAAATTTGCTTAGTGTTTCCTCTACGTGTTACTCAAGGTTGTTTCCCTGGCTAGCAACAGTGTGAAAACTACGTGCTTCTTAAGAGGATGGGAGGGCTGGACACGGTGGCTCACGCCTGTAATCCCAGCACTTTGGGAGGTCGAGGCAGGTGGATCACCTGAGGTCAGGAGTTCAAGAACAGCCTGGCCAACATGGTGAAACCCTGCCTCTACTAAAAATACGAAAAAAAAATCAGCCGGGCTTTCTGGCGGGCACCTGTAATTCCAGCTACTTGGGCGGCTGAGGCAGGAGAATTGCTTGAACCCGGGAGGCAGACGTTGCAGTGAGCCAAGATCGTGCCATTGCACTCCAGCCTGGGTAACAGAGCAAGACTCTGTCTCAACAACAACAACAACAACAAAAAGGTAGGAATCACAACAGTCCCAGATGTAAGTCCCTGCAGGTGATGTTTGTAGAATGGAAAAGAAGCCTCATAGGTAATCAACAAAATGATACCAGATTGTGCTGGCTTCACCCTTGTCCACCCATTTAATTGCAAACACATGGAAGGACAAATCAGCTGACTCTCTGGGGTGAACCAGGCAGGGACAGAGCCTAAACCAGAGAGATACCAGATTTACTTGGCAAGACCATATTTTCCTGAGGTGCTTCAGACAACTTACAGATGACACAGCTGCAGGTCTTGGCTATTCAGATTTAGCTGCCTCATGGTGCAAGAAACTGCTGTGCAGAGGCAATGATCATTTTTATGAGTATGGTTCTCAAAAATCTGTGAAACTATTTGTTTTTGCTCTGTCTTGCTAAACCGCCCTTACCTGTTCCTCTCCTACAACTATAAACCTTGATTGCTGGTCAGTCAACACAGGCTTTGTCCACATCCACAAAAATCTAAAGACAGAACTAAGGCAATTACTAGAACGGTGCTTCACAAACATCCATGGGCATTCAAGCTGCCTGGGATATTGTTACGATGCAGGCTGTGATTCACTATGTCCTGAGTGGAGCCTGAGTTCCGCATTTCTAACAAGCTGCCAGGCATTGCTGATAGGGACAAGGACCCAGCTCACCAAGACCTGCAATTGAACTCCCTGAGATTAGATTCAGGCCATGATGAAAGAAACTGGGGTTTTTCTTTCTTTCTTTTTTTTTTAAGGGGCTTGGATTGACTTAGTTAAACAAAGGGCTTGTGGTCAGCTAGTGCCTCTCTAGTGGATGAGATCATAACATGTGAGAGGGCATGAAAAGGACATGAAGATGAAGTTTGTCCTGGCACTATTAGAATCCATGGTTGCAGTGGCCCCTGAAGCCCTGCTGAATCCCATGGAGTCTGGTTGTTAACAGTGCATTGGATTGCCAGAGCCAATAACTTCCTTGCTTTGCTTAAGCAGGTTGAATTGGACTCTATCTCTTAGAACCATGATTGCTCCAACGATTGCGTCCAAATTGTGATGCAATGACTTCATAAATTATCATATATCCCTACAGAAGAATTATACAGCTGTCAAAAAGTATTATTTCAAAAAACTTATTCGGATGGACAAATAATACAAGGGTAAATGACAAAGGCATAACATCAATGTATCTATACAGAATAATCTGAATTATATAAATTCGAGAAGAATATTAAGTAAATGCTCCAAAACATAGACAGTAGTTAAGGTCGACTGAATAACCCCCTCCAATATCTCCATATCCTAATCCCTTGAACATATGAATTTTATTTTATATGGCAAAAGAGACTTTGCTGATGTCATTAAATTAAGGACGTTGAGATGGAGAGATTATCCTGGATTACCTGGGTTGGCCCAATATGATCAGACTGGTCTTTATAATAACTCAGGAGAAGGCTCAAGCCTGTAATCCCAGCATTTTGGGAGGCTGAGGCGGGCGGATCATGAGGTCAGGAGATCAAGACCATCCTGGCTAACACAGTGAAACCCCGTTTCTACTAAAAATACAAGAAAAATTAGCCAGGCATGGTGGCAGGCACCTGTAGTCCCAGCTGCTCGGGAGGCTGAGGCAGGAGAATGGCTGAACCCGGGAGGTGGAGCTTGCAGTGAGCCGAGACTGCGCCACTGCACTCTAGCCTGGGCGACAGAGCAAGACTCCGTCTCAAAAAACAAAAAAAAAAAAGAAAACTCAGGAGAAGGCAGAGTTAGAGGAAAAGGGGATATGATGCCAGAAGCAAAATTGAAGATGAGGGAAGGAGGTTACAAAGAAATGTGGGTAGCCCCCAGCAACAAAAAGGCAAGGAAACAGGTTTTCCCTAGGGCCTCTAAAAGGAATGAGCCCTGCCCACACCTTGACTTCAGCCTGGGAAAGTCAATTCAGAATTCTGATCTCCAGAAGAATAAACTTGTGTTATTTAAAGCCATTAAATTTGTGTTAATTTGTTATAGCAGCAATAGGAAACTAACACAATAATTGGCTCTGTACTTCCACTTAATCAACATATGCTACTTTTATAAGAAAAAGGCAACTTAATTTAAAGGAAGGAATAAGTATAGCTTGCTATAAGAGGTATTATGAATAACACTTTTAACAGTTGAATGTAGCTTGGTTGCTGTTGTTTTCTAGGACTGTAGGATATAATCACAGTGTAGTCTAATTTCAACACAGCAAGAGAATGTCACCCTTTAATAATAGAATTCTGATCTCATCACTCCCTTGGGTAAACTCTTGGCTTCTGCTATTAATATCCAACAGGTGACTTAGCAATGTGTATTCACAAGATCAACACCTTTTGATAATTAAAAGGCCCAGTGGCACACTCAAATCACAGAGCACACTGAAGGCAGAACAAGCTCCTGACTCTATTTTGAATTCTCCTTTCTCCTCTCAGTATATTCCCAGCATGGTGGCTTTGGAATCACCAAAAACAAAAGGAAAGTGACATGACTGCTATTTGCCCTAGGAAGTCTAGTGTAATACTAAAAATCTTAAAACTCTAAATGCTGCTCATGAAGCAAACACACAAGGCTGCAGAATCCTGTTGTAACATTCCCAACCCCAGATGGGGTTCCCTGGCCCCACCTCTGAACCCTCAGAGTTGTCTGTGTACATTTTTATCCCATCCTATCATAATTATTTGTTTATGCACCCACTTTCCCAGCTAGACCTTTGGTTTCCTCTAGCGTAGGGGCTGTGTCTTATTCTTCTTTGATTTTCCACCCTAAAACAGTGTCTGGCATAGAGAAGGCATTTAATAAATGTTTGTTGAATTAAATTCAATTGACTCCTGGCCTTAGCAACAGAACTTTAGAGCTCTTACCCAACATAATAAGAATTCAACTTTCTTGATTTTATCTTCAAAGTACTTTGCTAAAGTGGAACGACATGACGTCTTGACCAACTCTTCCCCCAGGCTTTCGGCAAACATGAGATTTCTTCTCGGAAAGACCTGTCAATCTCTGTTCAACTTGGGTTTAGATTTCAAAGGTTAAAATTCGGACAGTGCCCTGGAACTCCAAAAGCATCTACGATGAGTGAGAGCCCCATTCAAGTCCCCTAGTTTCTCTTCCCTAGGTTTGATTCAATCCAGGCCAATATTGGTTAATGCCAGCTCTATCCCTTCCTCCTTAGGATGTTTTGCTAAATGTGTGTGGAGATGTAAAAATGCTATGGAATTCTTGATTCCTTAGGATCTTCTCAAGAAGCTTCTAAAGTGGCTGTATAGAGTTCCTTTAGCATGCCATACTATATAAGCATTTTGGCTTTGAAGTCATATTGATCTGGGTTTAAATTCCAACTGTAACTTTGGTAGCTATGAGACATGTGGTGTGTTATTTTATCTATCTGAACTTCAGTTCCCTTATTTAAAAACTGATGATAAAGTATCTACCTATTGAGATTGTTGTATACTTATATAAATTTGTGTAACATAGAAGGATTCCTGTACATAGAAAGTGCTCAAGAAGTAATGGCTGTTACTATTATGAATAATAATAATTATCCCACACAAGAGTCTCCAGAGAGAATAAGGCCCAATGCTGTATATGCCAAACTACCCTAGATTTAGATTTGGAAGACAGATCGTCCCTGGTATTTTTGCTTTTATATAGCCCCATCTACAGTGAGACCATAAGGAAAAATATGCTCTTCTTAGTCAATAGAACTTCCACCACCAAAGAGAGAAGACTCATCACTAATAAACAAATAACTCAAATATTCCCATTTGGACTAACCTTGTACATATCCATGCAGTTTTTCCTCTTCTTTGGAAATTAACCCATGATTGACCTCTTACCTCCACCCATTCATTTCCAAATATCACTAATATTTTAGGATTGAAGTCTCAAAACACCACAGTTGAGAAACTTCTGTTTTTAACCAAGATGGAATAACAGGGACTAGATTTACTCACCCAGCTGAAATAACAGCAGTATATATAAAATAAGGGTTTTCAAGATATTGAACATCAGCAACAAAGATATGTTTCCTGAGAAGTAAAAAGAAATGAAATGACTTCTACAGTTGCTGTAACTTTCTGCCTAGAGAGAGTTTCCAGGCTACAGAGCATGGAAGGGGAGCCCATCAAACTTCCTGAGACAAAGTTGGAAGTCCAGAGAGATAAGCTGGCTCGTGTTCCCAGGACAGAGTACCAGAGATGAGTGAGCTGCGGAGAGAGAGAACTTGGGAGATCTGCAGAGGGTGCCTGAGTTTTCAGCTGAGTACTGATCAGCTTATATGTAAGGAAACTACCTAAGGATAGGAAAAGAACCATTTGAAAGCATTATAAGGGGCAACACTTGGAATTCAAACAGAGCCCCCCCCACCAAAAAAAATTCCTGTTCCTACCAGCCAGAATGAAGAATATCACAATTTACAGAATGTTGGGTAGGTGCTCCAAAAAAGTGAGGCAGAATTAGCCTCAGACTTAACACAACTGTGATCTCACCTAATAACGTTTAACAGCAAACCTAAAATGATATTGTTTCCAAGTAACTTAACTGCCTAAAAAAATCTCAATATCTATAGGAATAGAAAAGTGTAGCCACCCTACAAGGTACAATTTTCAATGTCTGGCATTTAATTAAAACTTCTAGTCATGCAAATAAACAGGAAAATATAATGAGGAGAAAAACCAGTCGATGGAAACAGACCCATAAATGACACAGATATAGAATTAGTAGAGAAAAACACAAAAACACTTATTGTAATGTATTCCATTGTTCAAGAGCCAGAGAAAAGATGGAGCACATTCAATAAAGACAATGCAAAATTTTTAAAGACCCCAATCAATCATCTAGAAATGAAAACTATAATGTCTGAAATAAAAAAACACAAAGACAAACAATTGAATAAAATTAATAGCTAACTGAACATTGCAAAAGACAAGATTAATAAACTTGAAGGTATAGCAACAGAAATGATCCAAAATGAAACACAAATAGAAAAAACACTGAAAAAAAATAGAGCATCATTGAGCTGTGGGACAATTTCAGGAAACCCAATGTATGTGCCACTGGAGTCCAGCAAAGAAAGGACAGAAGCAGAAAAAAACACGTGAAGAAATAATAGTGGAAAACTTTTCTAATTTGATGAAAACTATAAACTCACAAACCCTAGGCTCAACTAATTCCAAGCTTAAGAAACATGAACAAAACTATACAAGGGTACATTATAATCAAATTGCATCTAACCAGTAATAAAGAAAAAAAAAACCTTAAAAGCATCCAGATGAACAAGACACATTAAATATAGAGGAACAAAAAAAAGAAGACAGAGGTTACATATTGGAAACAATACAAAGCTAGAAGAACGTGAAGCAAAATCTTTAAAATCCTAAAAGATAAAAACTATCACCCTAGAATTCTATACCTAATAAAAATTTGTTTAAAAAATGAAGGGGAACTAGAAATCAGTAACAGGAGAAATGTAGGAAAAATTGAAACTAAAATTAAACAACATGCTCCTGAACAAACAATGGGTCAAAAGAAAAATGAAAAGGAAAAATTTTAAATATCTTTAGAGAAACAAGAATGGAAACAAAACACACCAGAACTTATGGAATATAGCAAAAGCAGTTTTGAGGGGAAATTTATAGCAATAAATGACTTATTAAAAAAAAGAAGAAAGATCTCAAATAAACAGACTAAGGTTACCTCAAGAAACCAGAAAAAGAAAAGCCAGCTAAGCCCAAAGTTAGTAGAAGGAAGAAAATAACAAAGATCAGAGCAGAAATAAACAAAATAGAGACTAGAAAAAAATAGATCAATTTAACTAATAGTTGGTTTTTTGAAAAGAGAAACAAAATGGATAAATCTTTAGCTAGGCTAACTAAAAAAGAGAGAACTCAAGTAACTAAAATTAGAAGTGAAAGAGGGACATTACAACTGATACTGCAGAAAAACAAAAGATCATAAGAAACTACTGTGAACAATTATAAGTCAAAAGACTGGATAGCCTAGAATAAATTGTTAAATTCCCAGAGACATTCAACTTACCAAGACTAAATCATAAAGAAATAGAAAATCTGAATAGATCAATCATGAGTAAGGAGATTTAATCAGTTATATAAAATTTCCCATCACAGATGAGCCCAGGACCAGACGGTTTCATGGCTGAATTCTACAAAACATTTAAAGAATGACTAATACCAGCTGGGCATGGAGGTTCATGTCAGTAATCCCAGGACTTTGGGAGGCCGAGGCCGGTGGATTACCTGAGGTCAGGAGTTCGTGACCAGTCTTACCATCATGGTGAAACCTTGTCTCTACTAAAAATACAGAATTAGCCAGGCATGGTGGCACATGTCTGTAATCCCAGCTACTTGGGAGGCTGAGGCAGGAGAATCACTTTAACCCGGGAGGTGGAGGTTGCCAAGATCATGCCATTGCACCCCAGGCTGGGCAACAGAGTGAAACTCCATCTTGAAAAAAAAAAAAAAAAAAAAAGAATAACTAATACCAATCCTTCTCAAACTCTTTCAAGAAAACTGAAGAAGAAGGAATACTTTCAGATTTCAGACTAATTTTACAAGGCCAGCATTACCCTGATACAAAAGCCAGATAAGAACACTATAAGAAAAGAAAATTATAGGCAAACATCTCTGATGAATATAGATGCAAAAGTTTTCAATGAAATATTGGCAAGTTGACTCAACAGCACTTTAAAAAGATTATTTACCATGATCAAGAGAGATTTATCTCTGGGATATAACTATGGTTCCACATATACAAATCAATAAATGTGATAAATCACATTACTAAAATGGAGGATAAATGCCATATGATCATCTCAATAGATGCAGAAAAATCATTTGACCACGTACAATATCCTTTCATGATAAAAGCTCTCAACAAATTAAACATAGAAGAAATGTACCTCAACACATTAAAGGCAATCTATGACAAGTCCAAAATTAATATCATATTCAATGGTGAAAAGGTGAAAGCTTTTCCTCCAAGATCAGGAAAAAGATGAGGATGCTTACTCTCACAACTTCTATTGAACATAGTCCTAGAAGTTCTCGCCAGAGAAATTAGGTAAGGGAAAGAAAGAAAAGGTGTCCGAATCAGAGAGAAGTTAAATTGCATCTGTTTACAGATGACATAATCTTATATATAAAAAATCCTAAAGACTCAACCAAAAAACTGTTAGAAATAATAAATTCAGTAAAGTTGCAGGATATAAAATCAATATACAAAAATCAACAGTATTTTAATACACTACTAACAACCTATCCAAAAAAGAAATCAAGCAAACAATCCCATTTATGATAGCATAATAAAGCTACAGTAATAAAAAAAAAGAAAGTATAGTACTGGTATCAAGATAGACAAATAGATCAATGAAGCAGAACAAACAGCCCCAAAATTGACCAACACATTTATTTTCAACTGATTTTTTTACAAAGGTGCAAAGGTAACTTGAAGGAGAAAGGATAGTTTTTTCCCAAATGATGCTAGGCAAATTGTATATCAACATGCAAAGCACCACTGTTGATAGATATCGTCATTGAAGTCTTTTCAGTGACAGTTCCATGACTGCTTTTTGGACATTAAGATTGCTGTCTGCCACACCTGCTGGGTCATATATCCACCACCACTGGGGTACCATGAAAGCTTCTAGTTCTCTGCCAAGTGAAGGATTGCCAGTCTTCCTCAGGATTTCCGAAAGAAGCCAAGGGAAGATACAACCACTATAGAAGAGGTTAAAAACTCTAAGCCAAATTTACAGTTAAAAAAACTAACAACCCCATTAAAAAGTAGGCAAAGGATATGAACAGGCACTTCTCAAAAAAAGAGATGCATGCGGCCAACAAACATATGAAATAAAAGCTCAATATCTCTGATAGAGAAATGAAAATCAAAACCACAATGAGATACCATCTCAAGCCAGTCAGAATGGTGATTATTAAAAAGTCAAGAAACAACAGGTGCTGGCAAGGTTGCGGAGAAATAGGAACGCTTTTACACTATTGCTTGGGATGTAAAGTAGTTGAGCCATTGTGGAAGACAATGTGACAATTGCTCAAAGATTTAGAACCAGAAATACCATTTGACCCAGCAATCTCATTTCTGGGTATATACCCAAAGGAACACAAATCATTCTGCTATAAAGATACATGCACACGTATGTTCATTGCAGCATTATTCATAATAGCAAAGACATGGAACCAACCCAAATGCCCATCAATGATAGACTGGATAAAGAAAATGTGGTACATATACACCATGGAAAACTATGCAGCCATAAAAAGGAACAAGATCATGTACTTTGCAGAGACATGGATGAAGCTTCCAGTTGTTCCAGGAAAGGAACAACCAGTACCAGCCACTGCAAGGTTGAGCCATTATCCTCAGCAAATTAATGCAGGAACAGAAAACCAAACACCGCATGTTCTCACTTATAAGTGGGAGCTGGACAATAAGAACACATGGACACAGGGACGGGAACCACATACACTGGGGCCTGTTTTGGGAGTGCAGTGGAGAAGAGCATTAGGGAAAAGAGCTAATGCATGCTGGTCTTAATACCTAGGTGATGGGTTGATAGGTGCAGAAAACCACCATGGCACACATTTACCTATGTAACAAACCTGCACATCCTGCACACGTACCCTGGAACTTAAAAAAACAAAATAAAATAAAGTGGGTATAAATACCACTGCCGAACTGCCTCTGGGCTGCTATTTTGGGTCCAGTGCCTATGGCATGGCCCTGCTCTGCAAGGAACAGTACCTGTGCTACTGCTGTATACTGTCACTTCAATAAAACTTGCTGTTAAAAAACAAAAACAAAAACTTAAGTGAAACCAATAAGTGAGACAAACATGGAGGGAACAAACTGGCAAGTTCCTGCCCTTTGTAAAAGACTGTTGAGGCCCAATTATCAAGTATTTCAAAAAAGGCTGAAAATCTGTATTTTTATGTAAAATCCCACAATGTTTAAGTGTTGGCAAACAAGTCAACATGTTTTAAATACTGTCCAGGATTAGTGGACAAACTACAAGTGTGTCTTGGGAAACCAACCTTCCTGGTCTGCATTTTGAGACAGGAGAAGATTAAGAGCAAATAAAATCCCAAGCCATTTCTCCCTTTCCTGGCTCTCACCTAGATATTCCATGTGACAAACAGACTTTGTCTTGCCTCCAGAAAGGCACAGCCCAAGTATTTCTCTCTAAGAGGAGGGAAACAGCTCAGCTTGCTTGCCCACCCCCACTGAGCCATCACCCTTACTGTACCCTTATTAAACCAGAACTGTTTCTCATTCTCATTTCCTAACTCTTGCACATCCTTCAGGGTTCAGTTTATGTCACTTATTCCAGAAATGTTGCCTGCATCCCCAAATCCAAGTCCCTAATACCTCCTATATATCCGAATACTAACACCTATCAAACTGTTTCCATTGTGTTTTTATTCACTGGTCTCCCCCAGGATCCTGTAATAGTGCAGGGATGGTGTCTTGGATACCACTGATCTCCATTACCTAATCCAGTGTCTGGCAAAGAAATTTTTATGGAGTGAGTGAATGAACACGTGTATCCCAGCTCTTCATTTCCACCTAGCTAGGCTCCTTCCCTGGGCATTCCCTTCAAAGGTGGAGATGCAGCCTTGGCCAGGCACGGTGGCTCATGCATGTAATCCTAGCACTTCGGGAGGCCAAGGTGGGAGAATGGTTGTGCCACGGGTTCAAGACCAACCTGGGCAACATAACAAAGCCCCGTTTCTATAAAAAATACAAAAAATTACGCGGTGGTGCATGCCTATAGTTCCAGCTACCTGGGAGGCTGAGGTGGGGGAAACACCCCAGGAAGTTGAGGCTGGTGTGAGCTGTGATCACGCTACTGCACTCCAGCCTGGGTGACAGAGACCCTTTCTCAAAAAAAAAAAAAAGCAAAAGATACAGCCTTCAAGATAGTCTCCCACATGGAACTTTCAGTTAAGAAAAAACTGTAGCTTTTTTTTTTTTTAAAATACATGTCTTGGCCGGGCGTGGTGGCTCACGCCTGTAATCCCAGCACTTTGGGAGGCTGAGGTGGGAGGATCACGCGGTCAGGAAATCTAGACCATCCTGGCTAACACGGTGAAAACCCGTCTCTACTAAAACATACAAAAAATTAGCCAGGCGTGGTGGCATGCGCCTGTAGTCCCAGCTACTCAGGAGACTGAGGCAGGAGAATGGCATGAACCCGGGAGGCAGAGCTTGCAGTGAGCGGATATTTTGACACTGCACTCCAGCCTGGGCGACAGAGCGAGACTCTGTCTCAAAAAAAAAAAATTGAAAAATTAAAAAATTGCATGTCTTTTAAAACTATGTTTCCAGCTACTCTGGGCACACGGCCTATGGGGTAGCTCTGCTCGACAAGGAGCAGGAAAAAAAAGATAAAATACATTTCTATAGAAAAATAATTGTTTAGAAAAAGAAGCAAATGGAACAAAACATGAAAGTCCCATATTAATTCATCTCATTTTCCACTCCATTGTCAACAGTTTGGTGAGCAATTTTTCCTTCTATTTGCTATATACATTTCTATACTTTATATACATATATATACATATATTCACATGCATCTTCTTGTTTTAAACATACATGAGATCATACTATAGTATGTTCTGCCTCTTGTTTATTTACCTTCCTTGGTAAAGCTCTTCCTGTAGTCATACATGTATCTTTTTTTTTTTTTTGAGGCAGAGTCTTCCTCTGTCCCCCAGGCTGGAGTGCAGTGGTGCCATCTCAGCTCACTGCAACCTCCAACTCGCGGGTTCAAGCAATTCTCCCTGCCTCAGCCTCCTGAGTAGCTGGGATTACAGGCGCCCACCACCATGCCCAGCTAATTTTTGTAGTTTTAGTAGAGATGGGGTTTCACCATGTTGGCCAGGCTGGTCTCAAACTCCTGACCTCAGGTATTCCGCCCGCCTTGGCCTCCCAAAGAGCTGAGATTACAAGCATGAGCCACCGCGCCTGGTCAATACGTGTATCTAATCTTTTTAATGGCTATATAGAATTCTATAAAAGACAGATGTGCCCCATTTCATTTAACCACTCCTCTATTGAGGGTATTTAAGCCATTGACTTTCATTTTCCAATTCACATTTCTGTGTTTTAATTTTTCCTATAAATATGTAATACTTTTTATGCCAAAAAAAAAAAAAAAAAAAAGAAAGAGAGAGAAAAGCTTCAAAACAAGCAAAAATACCATCTCTCAAGAGCTGGCAGCGTGGTCTCCCTCACGCATTGGAGGTGCCACTATCTTTGGCCCTCAGGATTTCAGCCATGTCCTCTGTACCTCTTCCTCTGCAGGCAAGTCATTCAGAATTATCGCTTAACACCCCTCAAATTAGACTCTCCAGTTGTAAAGGCCTAGAGCTACATGTGAATTTTGAGAGCACTCAGTCCCTTGTACTCCAACTTGTCATTAGTAAACAAGTTAATAATAATCGCGCCAGTGGATTGTTACGTGAGAAGAAGGCTGAAGTCCAGGGTGGTCCCTAGGAGGGGACTACATATAATCAGTCATTTCCCAAGAAAACTAGAAACCACAGAAAAAAAGTAAGAATCTCCTTTGTTTTTTCTCTCTTCACAGATTTTTAACTTCAGGGTATGCAAGAATCATAGTCACCTGGTGTTTGTTAAAGATACATTTTAGGAAAGAAGTCATTATACAAAAAAATACTTGCACACGCATGTTTATAGCAGCACAATCGCAATTGCAAAAATATAGAACAAGCCCAAAATGCCCATCAACCAACAAGTGGATAAAGAAACTGTAGTGTGTATGTGATGGAATATTACTCAGCCATAAAAAGGAATGAATTAATGGCATTCCCAGAAACCTGGATGGGATTGGAGACTATTATTCTAAGTGAAGTAACTCAGGAATGGAAAACCAAACCTCATATGTTCTCATTCATAAGTGGGAGCTAAGCTATGAGGATGCAAAGGCATAAGAATGATACGACGGACTTTGGGGACTCTGGGGGAAAGGGTGGGAAGGGGGTGAGGGATAAAAGGCTTCAAATTGGGTTGTGTGTACACTGCTTAGGTGATGGGTACACCAAAATCTCACAAATCACCACTAAAGAACATACTCATGTAACGAAATACCACCTGTTCCCCAAAAACCTATGAAAAATAAAGATACATTATAGGTCTCATCTACAAAGGTTTCTATTTTATTGGTTTAAGTGGGGCCCAGGAATCTGCATGTTAAGCAAGCAATGGTCCAAGTAACGCTGAGGCAGGGGTCCATGCACCACTCTGGAGAAACACTGGCCCCCCTGGAACTGCAGAGCTGGCCACAGCAGAGCAGTTCTGCCTACTGTAGTGATGCCCGCACATCACTGGTGGGAAGGAGGAAAAGTAGGTTCAGTTTGGTGGCTCCCACCTGTAATCCCAGCACTTTGGGAGGCCAAGGCAAGAGGATCACTTAAGCCCTGGAGTTGGAGACCAGCCCAAGTGACACAGCGAGATACCATCTCTGAAAAAAAAAAAAAAAAAAGCCAAGCATGGCAGTGTGTGCCTGTAGTCCCAGCTACTGGGGAGACTGAGATAGGAGGATCACTTTGAGACCAGGAGCTCAAGGTTGCAGTGAGCCATGACTGCACCATTGGACTCCAGTATGGGTGACATAGCAAGAGCCTGTCAAAAAAAAAAAAAAAAAAAAAACGAGGAAAAGTGGGGTCCAGCTCTTGCTTTGTTCCCATCCTTGTGACTTCACAAGGGAGTGCCTAAATATATTCAGAAACATAACACTGAAAGACAGTTAATCTTGAGCAAATACAGAATATGCAACCTAGGAAAGAATAAAGACCCTGAAAGCTGTGGCCTAATGCTAGGAAGATCTCAGGGCTGGTTTAATGAAACAGCTGAGACAAGAAATCAGGCTGCTGCACATTGATTGTACCTGTCAAAGCTTTAGTGTTGAGCAACATAAATTTATTTGGCCTATATTTGGTTATGTTACATTTTTTATTCATTCAGTTAGCCAACTCTGCCAACTATATAAGACGACTTCAAAAGGGCTTTTTCTACCAGAATGGACATAATTTAAATAGGACGGTCAGCTTTTAGACAGGCACAACACTATATATACAGATCTCAAGAAAAACTGGTGCTTCCTTATGTCGTTGGTTCATTTAAGAAATATTTATTGAATACCTCTTTGTCTCTGGTGCACATTTTTATAAAATTACCTTGAGCCCTAGATCAAATGTCACCTCCCTGTCAAGCTTTTCCCAAAGCTCTCAGGCAGAATGACTCTTTGAAAACTATATGTAAATAAATGTATTTATTTACCCATCTATAGTTTATCTTGCCTGGTGTCAAAAAAAAAAGAATTTAGACTGATGTTACATATTATACAATCCAGTGATTTTACGGCTGGAAGGAGTTTTATTATACCACTAATCTCTACATAATAAAAGTCACTATTTACCTACCTGCCTCCCCAAGTGGATCACAAACTTCATGAGGGAAGACTGTATCTTATTCATCACTGAATCCCAGCACATGTAGGTGTTCAGGAAATGAATACAGACACACATATATGAGCAAACACCAAGCAAATGTTATCTTTCAAAGTAGTACCTCGGGAAAGAGTGCATTTTTCAATAATGCTGACACTGCATAAAATTCCTTCCAAATTTGAAATTATCTTCAGAACAAGTTTCAAAAGCACACAAGAGAACAAGAAATATTATTTTGACTTGCTGTTTCATTTTTCCCCAAAACACTTTATTCTCCAGAATTGATTATAAATTTATTTAGGCTGTTTCCAAAAGTCAAATTCCTTCTCAAAGGATGGTGAATCGCCAGAGTGAAGGTACAAATCTCACTGTAGATGACATCTAAATATTTTAGTCTCATCCTGTCATAGCGATTCCATCCCTGTCCCTTACCCAGACCCCCCAAATTACTTAGATTTAAAGATTTCAGTTCAAGCCCCAGCTCTGTCACTTGTTATTGGTTTAAATGTGGGCAAACATTTGAGCTGTCTGAGCCTTAGTTTTCTCATCTGTGATACAGAGAAAATAAGAACCAATATATTTTGATCATTGTGCTATTTTTTAATTAATTAATTTTCAACTGAAAATTAAAATTTTTATTAGTAATATTATTTTTCATTGACATATCATAATTACATACAGTTATGGGATACAATGCGATGTTTCAATATATGTACATTTTGTGGAATGATAAATCATGCCAAATAACATATCCATCACCTCACTTACCTATCATTTTTATGGTGATACATTTGAAATTTACTCAGTTATTTTGAAATATAGAATACATTATTATTGACTATAATCAATAGTGCAATAGATCTCAAAACCTATTCCTCCTGTCTGTCGAAATTTTGTATTTTTTCTTTTTTTTTTTTTTTGTTCAAACTTTGTATTTTGTGATCAACATCTCCCAATTTCCTCCTTCTCCACCTCCCTAGCCTCTGGTAATCAGCATTCTAGTTTCTACTTTTGTGAGTTTGACTTTTTTAGATTCCACATATAAGTGAGGTCAGAGGTATTTGTCTTTCTGTACCTGGCTTATTTCGCTTAGCATAATGTCCTCCAGATTTATCCACGTTATCACAAATGACAGAATTTCTCCCTGTTTAGGTGGAATAGTATTCTATTGTTCATATATACCACATTTTCTTCATCCATCTCTGTTGATGAACACAGGTTGATTGTATATTTGGGATTCTGAAGAATGTTGTAATGAACGTGAGAGCACAGATATCCATTCAACATATTGATTTCAGTGATCCACACTCACTGGATTGATCCACGCTCCTACAAACATGCCCATGAAACGTTTTTGACCTTAACAGTTTCTTCTCAATTCTCTTTTAATGTAGCGTAAGAAAACCCTGGAGGAGAGTGCTGAGGATGAGATTTATAGAGGAGGCTAGCGCTCCCTCTAGGGGCCAAAACAAAGTATCCTCCACAATGTAGAACTGGCAGTGAAGGCAAATTTTTCTTTCTTTCTTTTTTTAAAAATAGAGACCGAGTCTTGCTCTGCCACCCAGGCTGGAGTGCAGTGGCACAATCATACTCCCTGCAACCTCAAACTCCTGGGAATAGCTAGGACTAAAGGCACACACCACCATGACTAGCTAATTTTTTAATTTTTTTGGTAGAGATGGTGTCTCACTGTGTTGCCCAGGCTGGTGTCGAACTCTTGGCCTCAAGCAATTCTCCCACTTCAGCCTCCCAAAATGTTGGGATTACAGGTGTGAGCCAATGCACCTGAAAATTTCATTTTTAAGAAAACATTTGTTGATGTTATAAGATATGGCAACATCACCAGAAGGACCTCAGAGTGACAGATGTAACAACACTCCTTTGATCACACTGTCATTCAGCAAACATTAAGCAACTATTACATACCAGGCACTGTGTAAAGTATAGGATACTTGGATGTTGAAGTTGATGTTGCTTTTTTAAAAATCAGTCTTAGGGTGTACAGTGTGTAGTTGCTGTCCTTCTCTACATATTGTACATTAAATTTTAACGGGATGTTAGAATTAAATTGAACCTCAAAAGGCATCTAGTTCTGCCGCCAAGATATTTCTGAAATTCTCCAATTACATAAATCTTTCTAATGATCAAGATCATGACAGAATTTGGGGGGTTTTGTTATTAAATTTTTAAATACATACATGTTTAAAGTTTTTTTGCAATCTACTTTCTAAGGTAGTCTTAAGAGGCCGGGCACGGTGGCTCACACCTGTAATCCCAGCACTTTGGGAGGCCGAGACAGGAGGATCACGAGGTCAGGAGATCGAGACCGTCCTGGCTAACACAGTGAAACTCCATCTCTACTGAAAATACAAAAAAATTAGCCAGGCGTGGTGGCAGGCGCCTGTAGTACCAGCTACTCGGGAGGCTGAGGCAGGAGAATGGCATGAACCCGGGAGGCGGAGCTTGCAGTGAGCCGAGATCGCGCCACTGCACTCTAGCCTGGGTGACAGAGCGAGACTCCACCTCAAAAAAAAAAAAAAAAAAAAAAGGTAGTCGTAGGAGAAAGTGAATTTTCAAATTTTTTAGGATGTAATTCTATAGAAAAAGCAAATGCATTTGTCATAGGATACCTCAATTTATGCCCATTTTCTGTTCATTTTACCTGGAGACCAAAGTCAGATGAAAGAAATAAGAGGGATGAGCAGCAGCAAATGAAGATAAATTATAAAGTTCTTTATTTGGATGTTGGGTATTGTCTGAGTCCATTTGGCTTGCCATTTAAAAATATCATAAACTGGGTGGCTTCCAAACAACAGAAATTTATTTCTCACAGTTCTGGAGGCTGCAAAGTGCAAGATCAAGATGCCCGCAGATTTGGTGTCTGGTGAGGGCTTGCTTCCTAGTTTATAGATGGCGTCTTCTCACTGTGTCCTTGCATGCTAGAAGGGGCAAGGCAGCTCTCTGGGGCCTTTTTTACAAGGGTACTAGTCCCATTCATGAGGGTTCTGCCCTCGTGACCTAATCACTTCCCACTGGTCTCACCTCCTAATACCAGCACAATGATGGTTAGGTTTCAACATGTGAATTTGAAGGGGACACAAACATTCAGACCATAACAGATATTGTCTTCATATGATGATGACAGTAAAAGACCAGTTAAGCATGCTGAGAGCTGACAGTAAGTTTTACCATAGTTTATACAAACTCTGATGAGTATGAAAACATAAAATAATTCAAGTAAAAATTTAATTCACCTCAAATGCCCACATATCAGTAGTGATCATTTGCTTCTTACACGCCAACTTTCACTCCTCCTTCTAATAGTGTTACAGTCTCCCTTGAGGAAACACATCTTACCCATTCTCTGTTGATGTGGTTTAAGTGGAATTAGCTCTACCACCAGAGCAGAGTTGGTCATGTGGTCCAGAGCTAGCCAATCAGAGCATCAATCACATACTGTTGTCCTCCATAATTGGTGCAGAATGTGTACATTCTTGGGATATACTGAGAGAAGAAAGAGAGAAATGAGAAATGAACTCTTTTCTGCATCTTGAAACTACAGCCTCTGGGAGGCTACCAGATGGGAAACATGTACCTGAGGGTAAAACCAGAGCAAAGCAAAGCAGAAATGAAAAATGGATTTGGAGAGTGGTCTGAATGAAATCAAACACCTAGATCCAGCTGAGACTGAAGCTAATGCTATCCCAGGACTTTTAGGTTATTATGTGGCCCAATAATTAATTGGTAAAAGCCAATTTTCTGTCATTTGCAACCATAAGTGTCCTGACTACTGCAATTCCCATTCTTCATCAGCTGTAAGTCTCTGGTTGCTCCTATTTCAGATCCCAGCCACCCTAAACCTAGCCCATTCTGTTTTCAACCTAAACTCAAATTATAACTAAGATAATGGTACATTCCTAAAGCACATAGATTTGTTTATAATAAGAGTAATATCTTTGAAAGTAAATTCAATTAGTAAGCTTTTAATTAGCTGAATAAACTTCACTTCTGCTAACTATGTGTTTTATGGGCAAAACAAATGACAGACTAATCCCACCTGAGATTTAATTTGACTTCTGAGTAAATGGTAGATACAGCATGATAAGATATATAAACTATTAATAGAATGATTGTCACATGTTGTGTGTTGTGGTGTGTGTATGTGTGTGTGTGTGATGAGAGAGAATTTGAAAGTTTGCAATGTAATCAAGATTACCCAAGAATAATTGGATTTGGGCTCAGAACAAGGTCATAAACAGATACCACAAAGACATCAGATTCCTTCTTTGATAATGTGAAAGACATCTAGACACTTTAAAGAGTTTTAGTTCTAGAAATAAGAAAACTAATAGTTGTAAAGATTTTGAAAATAGTCACAGAAGTTGGTTATCACTTTGTCTTTCTTCCTTTTTTCTTTCTTTCTGGTCTTTCTTCAACAAGCATTAATCTGTGTTTGCCACATGCTGGGGACAGCGCTTAGGCAATGGGGATTCAGCAGCGCACAGAACAGCAGAAACTTCTGACCTCCAAAAGCTCACAGGTCATAAATTCAAAAAATAAAAGTATTGTAATGAGATAATTGCATAATTTAATGGAAATATATTCAAAGGACATTGTGGGAGGTAGGAAGGAATGATCAACTCTGCTTTAGGGGATGAGAATTCACAGAAGGCTTTATAAGGGTTGGACTTGAAAGATTTTAGTGGAGATTTTTAGGAAAATCCACTATAAGGAGCTTTGGATCCTGCCACGCACACCCCAATACAACATCAAAGGTTTTCTTTCAACTAGAGATAGCAGATGGGATCAACAGACCACAATTACCTTGGAGTCTCTTAGAATTACCTACCATCACAAGTGCCTTTGAGTTGCGTATTTTAGTGGTTAAGGCCACGGGCTTTAGGTGGTGTCTTCCTTTCACCACTTGCTTGCTGAACAAGTTTGGGCAAGACACTGAAGACAGGTACTCTAAAGGTTGCTATGGTCTTTTCAAAAAGGTAAGTTGTGAGTCTTGAGGGAGGAGAACTTGTAACTCCCACAAGTCCTCTGCTTAAGGGTTTTTTGGTTAAAAAGCTTGCCTGCTTATTCATTTAAGGTACAGAGTTCTATAAATCAGAGTACTTGTCACTTTGCATCCCAAATAAGGTGGATGAAAAGAATAACTGGACATCTCCATGAACTTTTAGTTTCTGTCTAGGAAAGATACTAGCAGTAGTTAGAAGCTTCAACCATCGCCATCTCCAGGGTGCCTTGGAGATCTTGTAATTTAGTGACTGTTCCACTGACTCTAGGTTCAAATCCTGGCTCATCGTTTGCTAACTGAGAGATCTTGGGCAAGTCACTTAATCTTTCTGCTTAATTTCTTCATCTGTAAAATGCGGACCTTTTCCATGGGGTTGTAAGGATTAAGTAAGATAATACACATTATCATAGACCACTGCAAAGCAACATTGTAAACCCTCCAGAAAGGTCAGCCCTTATTGTTATTATAATTTGGTAGAACATCCAGCTGGTTAGCTGAATAGAGGTTTGACTGTGGACTGGAGCACACACCCCACTCCCCCTTCCCTGTACCTGCTCCTATCACAAAAAGCTCTATGTCAGCCCTGGGGCAGGAATGGGTGAACAAACGAAGAATCTCACCTTCTAAGCAGCAGATCTCTCCGCTTCTGATAAGGCATAAAGGGAGAGTGAATCTCTTTATTGCAATTGCAATTTAAAAAAAATGAAAGTATAGCCTAGCCCAGACAGATATGACATCTCTTATTTTGGCAGATTTCAAAATAGAATATTATCTTTTTAGGATGTCTGTCCACCCTGCTCTAACACCAGCCCGTTCCATACACATATACACAGGGTGGAAAACAGACACTTTTCCTCAACACCAGTGGATTTTAAGCTCCACTGAGAGTGGGGACTTTACTCTGCAATATCCATATAACCTATAAGAGCAAGAGGCTCACAGTAGGCTCTCAGTAAACATTTTTCTAATGAATGAACATGACCATGCCCCCCTGACACAGCTGATTAGACCATAAGTAAACAATTTCGGACGCTGGGCCAATCAGATTCCCTCTTGCAAAGATGTGAATTCAGGTTCTGGAGAGAATAGATTCCTGAGCCGTCAGCCCTGGCTTCCTAGAGTGATATAAACTCTGAGGCTAAGGGCGCCACTGGAGGATGGGGAGGCAGCATGAGCAGGCAGAAGAGGGGCAACTGCCCATCTGGGAGGGGAAAATGAAGCAAAAACACAAGGCAAATCAGATGCAGAGACAAGAGCCCTGGGAACCCAAGAGATGGGGCTGGAGAGGGCAGCTGCCTTGGGCCCTGTTTCCAGTTACTGGTCTTCATGAAGCCCAGCTTCTCTCCCCTCCCTGGCATTTTGGGAGATGCTCCAGTAGAGCCTTTCCTTTGTTTATGTCATTTTGAATAGATTTTAGTCTGTACAGTCAAATAATCCCTAGGACATTGGAAATATGACAAGGTGTTCAAAGAAAGATGAAACTCTCTGAAAATGATTCAAAGCTATGAACATTCAGTAACTTTCAACTGAAATATTATAATGACTTTGGCACCCACACATCAAATTTACATAATGAGCTAAGTGTTTACTTAGACTCATCCCCTAAGAGTCGTCTCTGCCTACTTAAAGAGTTCAGAAAGCTTTTATAGATTTTCAAAAAGAGTTTTTCCTCTTCAGTGCCGAAACTGTGTGCTAAAGGTAAATTTGCAAAAAAACAAAGGGGCGGGGGTGGGTCCTGACAAATATGAAATGCAATTTTTAAACTTCCCATTCATTTAAACAATTTAAGCTTTTATTCAGGAAACTGAATAACTGTTTTCTGAATATATATGAAT
Source organism: Homo sapiens (assembly GCF_000001405.40). Lineage (NCBI taxonomy): Eukaryota > Metazoa > Chordata > Mammalia > Primates > Hominidae > Homo > Homo sapiens. The sequence continues at coordinate 116,783,148 of NC_000008.11, read as the reverse complement.
TTCTTATGAGAGCAGTAGCTCTCAGAATTATTTTTGCCATAATCCACATACATTTACAAGAATGTAATTCTCCCCTCCCTTTTTAGTTGTGGAACAAGCAGCTGATTGTGTATGTAGTATGAGTTGAAATATTTTGGAAATGCTGATCTTCACCCCCAAAATGTGCTTTGTCTGCCGCCTTCTCCATTTTGGCTGATGGCAACTTTATCCTTCCAGTTGCTCAAGCCAAAACCCATCATTTTACCTCTTTTCTTTCCATTCTGTGGTGGGTTGAATCATGTTCCTTAAAGAGATTTGTTGAAGTTCTAACTGCCAGTACCTAGGAATGTGACATTATTTGAAAGTAGGGGCCGGGCGCAGTGGCTCAAGCCTGTAATCCCAGCACTTCGGGAGGCCAAGGCGGGTGCATCACCTGAGGTCAGGAGTTCGAGACCAGCCTGGCTAAAATGGTGAAACCCCGTTTCTACTAAAAATACAAAATTAGCCGGTCATGGTGGTGGGTGCCTGTAATCCCAGCTACTAGGGAGGCTGAGGAAGGAGAATCACTGAATCCAGGAGGTGGAGGTTGCTGTGAGCCGGGATGGTGCCACTGCACTCCAGCCTGGGGCAACAAAGTGAGACTCCATCTCAAAAAAAAAAAAAAAAAAAGAAAAGAAAGTAGGGTCGTTTCAGATGTAACTAAAGTTGGGAATGAGGTCACACTGGAGTAGGATGGGCCTGTAACCCAATATGACTGATGTCCTTATAAGAAGAGGAAAAGAAACTAAAAGGAAACTAAAAAGAAAATAAAAAACAACAAAATCCTTCTAGTAGGAGATAGCTAAAATAAATAAATAAATAAATATTTAAAGGAAAAAAAAGAGGAAAAGAGATGCAGAGACATAGACACAGGTGAGGACAGCGCCCTGTGACTGCAGACGTGGAGGTGGCAGTGCTGCAGCAGGAGGCCTTCCTTAAGGCTAAGGATTGCCAGCAACTGCCAGAAGCAAGGAAGGGGCAGAGAAGGATTGATTCTGCCCTGCAGGTTTCAGAGGGAACCTGGCTCTGCCAACACCTCGATTTCAGACTTCCAGCCTCCAGAACTGTGAGACAATACATCCCTTTTTTTGTTTTTTTGTTTGTTTTTGAGATGGAGTCTCAGTCTGTGGCCCAGGCTAGAGTGCAGTGGTGTGATCTCGGCTCACTTCAACCTCTGCCTCCCCGGTTCAGTGATTCTCCTGCCTCAGCCTCCCTAGTAGCTGGGATTACAGGCACCCACCACCACTCCCAGCTAATTTTGTATTTTTAGTAGAGACAGGGTTTCACCATTTTAGTCAGTCTGGTCTTGAACTCCTGACCTCAGGTGATCTACCCACCAAAAGTTTTAATGGCTGCATAGTAATCCACTTTAACCTGGAAACTATTTATTGACCATGTATCAGGTGACAGACACTATAATTATTTACACCCCTATCAACCCTAGTTTACCTATTAGAAAACTGAAAAGGAGAGGCCCAAGTTGATTATTTGAACCTGAAATTACCTGACTCTCAAACTCAAGTTCTTTCCTACACCAGAGATTCTCAACCAACCTGCACATTAGAAACACCTGGAGGACATTTACATTACACAAATGGCTGGACCCATCTCAGACTAAAGGGATCTAATTCTCTCAGGTTGGAGTTGGATATCTATTAGTTTTATTACTGTTCCCCATGATCCTGGTGCACAGTAAGAGCTGAGAATCGTTGTCTCACAGCATTCTGCTTCTCACACTGATTGTACATATACCTATTTCTGACTTCCTTTTTCTTTTTCAGATTTCTTTTTTTCAGAAGGTCCTGGGTATGTTTAGCCAGAGCATGGTAGGGACCAGATGCATAATGATAGGCCATTATTTCCAGAAAGGTTACAGTACTTCGTCATTGCAGTGAGAAATAATGGAGGATGGTTAGGTGTCTTCCAGGAAGCCAGTACAGAGTAGATGTCAGTACAAAGGATAATGACCCAGTAGGGAGGACACCGAGTCAGACACTGGTCAGATGATGGCTCTCTTATCATCAGCTTTTTTTGGTTGACGGAGAGAGAAATGAAAGAGTATGTCTCTGTCCTCTTGAAATTAGCAATGATCTCTGGGAAACAGCTTTAGGATTGCTAGAAGGTGAGGGGCAGCAGGCAGTCTTGCACTATTAATTACACTTGTTCTAAAAAATAATAGGTGTTTTATGTGCAACAGTGTGTACACACCCACACACATATTCAGAATACTCCCAATCAAAATAATCCATTAAAATAGAGTGATGAGGGCTGGGTGTGGTGGCTCACGCCTGTAATCCCAGCACTTTGGGAGGCCAAGGAGAGTGGATAGCTTGAGCTTAGGAGTTTGAGACCAGCCTGGGCAACATCCAAAACCCCGTCTCTATAAACACTACAAAAACTCGCTGGGTGTGGTGGCACCCACCTGTAGTCCCATAGTCCCAGCTACTCTGGAGGCTGAGGTGGGAGGATCACTTGAGCCTGGGAGGCTGAGGTTGCAGTGAGCTGAGATGGTGCCCCTGCACTCCAGCCTGGGTGACACAGTGAAACCCTGACTCAAAAAAAAAAAAAAAAAAAAAAAAAAAAAAATATATATATATATATAGTGATGAGAAAAGCAGTAAATAATTTTTAGAAGTAAGTTAGTAATATTTCAGTTAAGATACATATTTATAAAAAAAATACATATTTGCCAACAATAGATTTCTAACTATTTCTTCCTTTTGACCACAATGTAAGATTCTTTTCTCTAACTGCTGATTATTTCCAAATGTACAAGCATTCCAGGCATAAAGCTTTGAGCAATACCTGTGCTGTATTGACAAGAAAAGTTACATAGCTCCTGTTTTGTCATACATAAAAGAAAGAGTGAGAACATGTCTGTGATACTGACAGTCATGAATCAGGAAGGCTGGAGACCCTATGAAACAGGTGATAATAATATACTTTATTTACTTCAATTCAATTTGTTCATTTATTCATTTACTCATTTATTCAACATTTATTAAGCACTTAGGTGCCAGAAATGACATCAAGCACTACTGGAAAACAAGAGTGGAATAAAATAATGTCTTTGAACTTTAACCAAAGAAAATCCTAGTTACAGTTCTAAGTGTCAAAATGTACGGTTTCAGGGAATGATGATGAGAGAGAAAAACCCAGAGCTGTCGAAATCAGGGCTGCTGCCTACCTGACTAGCTACCTGGCTTTACCACCATTCTCAGGGGCCTCGGATGGGGAGAGCACATGCTAATAGCAAACATGGGTATTCTAAACTTCAATGACATTCCTTTCATGCCCTGCTCTTTCTGAATGCAGAAAACTAAGTAAGTCCCAGTATGAATGCTATTACTTCCGATAGCTAAACTGCACCATGTTCATGTTGCTCAGCACATAAAAGATTTGTTTGCTAATTCAATTTTGGAGATCAAAATATTTCATCACATAGGGATTATCATTTTCATATAAAGTTAAACAAAATATCATTGTAAAATAGTTGGGCAAAATGATGAGCATCTGGAAGATTTATCTTTTCAGCATTTAGTACCTGTGGGTAACCTGTGACACTTTGGCAGCTGAAGAGAACAGATGGCATCTTTCTGACTGCATGAGGTGGTGGACAGTGAGCATTAGTAAGCTAGCAGAGATCCACTTGAGATTAATTCATAGGAGAAAAAGAAATAAAATATTAGCACCCAAATAGCTTGTCAGTAAATTTTGTTTTTTTCCCCCTTTAAGGAAACTGGAAACAATTGGATATATTTGCTTTTCTTCTTTACCTACCACTAAATACACCTAAAGTGCAGAGGTATAATTTGTTCAATCCACTTGGTTTCTTGACTAATTCATGAATAAGAAGGTATTGTATGCTTACTGTGTGTACAACACTTTTTAAACAGCTTTATTGATAAATAATTTACCTAATACACAAATTCACCCATTTAAAGTATACCAATTCAATGGCTGCTAATATATTCACGTTGTTGGGCATCGATCATAACATTTGACTTTAGAATTTTTTCACTACCCTCCCAGAAAATCCCTATACCCCCCTCTTCATCACCATCTCCTCTAGCCCAAGGAATCCACTAATCTACTTTCTGTCTTATGTATTTACCTATTCTGGAATTTCATATAAATGGAATCATACTATATATGATCCTTCATGACTGGTTTCTTTCAGCATATTTTCAAGGTTCATTCATCTTGTAATGTGTAGCATTTCCTTTTCTGCTAAATAATATTCCATTGTACCACCTTTTGTTTATCCACTCATCAGTTGATGGACATTTGAGTTGTTTCCATTTTGGAGTATCATCAATAATGCTGCTGTGAATTTTCATGTACATGTATCTGTTTTAATTTTTCTTGGGTATATGTCTACAGGTAAAATTGCTGGATAATATGGTAATTCTATGTTTAACTACTTGAAAAACTGCCAGACTGTTTTCCAAACCAGTTGTACCGTTTTACATTCCCACCAGCAATATATGAGGATTTCAATGTCTCCATATCCTCTCTAGCAGTTATTTTCTGTTTGATTATAACCATCCTACTAGGTATGAAATGGCATTTCATAGTGGTTTTATTTGCATTTCCCTGATGGCTAGTGATGTTGAAAATCTTTTCCTCTGCTTATTAGCCATTTGTATATTCCTTTGGAGAAACGTTTATTCATATCCTATGCCCATTTTTTAATTGGGTTGTTTTTAAACTTTTATGTTGATATAATATTGGGTGTTTTAAATTATTGACTTGTAGTTACTCTATATTCTAGATACAAGTGTTTTGTTTTTGTTTTTTTGAGACGAAGTTTCACTCTTGTTGCCCAGGCTGGAGTGCAATGGCGTGATCTCGGCTCTCTGCAACCTCTGCCTCCCAGGTTCAAGCGATTCTTCTGCCCCAGCCTCCCAAGTAGCTGGGATTACAGGCAAGCATTAACACGCCCGGGTAATTTTTTTGTATTTTTAGCAGAGACAGGGTTTCTCCATGTGGTCAGGCTGATCTCGAACTCCTGACCTCAGGTGATCCACCTACCTCGGCCTTCCAACATGCTGGGATTACAGGCGTGAGCCACCATGCCTGGCCAAGTTTTTTAATCAAATATGTTAGCTGCAAAAATTTTCTTCCATTCTGGAGGTTGTCTTTTCAACTTCCCAAGTTTAAAGATAAACTTAGTGCTTAGATATGATTTTTTTCTGATACCTCCTTTCCTGTCTTGGTAATAGGACCTTATATTTTTGCTTTAGTAGACTATGCCTTATTCAATCTCAGTCTATCTAATTTAGGTAGAGGTGATCTCTTCCTCTAGCTCCAGAATGGACACAAGAAGCAAGGCTGGCCAAGCAAAATTATTGTAGTCCATCAGGGTCTAGTTAAGAGAAAAAACACAGCAGTAATGTAAACAGAGAACATTTAATATAAACAATATTAATTAGGTATAAAGTTATTAACCAGATAATTAAATAGCTAAAAAGTGAACTCAGGATTCTGGAGGTAGTAACTGGAGGAAGCAGTTTCTGTCCCTAAGTCAAGGGGGACAAAAGGAAAGGGTTAGAATTCTTAAAATTTAAAAGCTTGAAAAAGGATCCCTATGGAGCTGAAACCTCTGAGAAGCTAGGCTTTAATCCACAGGTGCTGATGTCTCTCAGCTTAGAGGCAGGGCCAAGTACCCAGACAAATCTCAGAAGAGTGGGCTCCAGCCAGCTAGTGCTGGTATCTGGTTCTCTGATGGGAGGGAGGTGGGTTGAAGCAATATAGCAGGTTCTGCAAATGTTGCAAACTTGATCTGAAGCCTACTTGGATGAGAAATTGCTGCTGCTAGAAGGGAAGAAATGATATTCACAAAAGCTAAAAGCAGTAAGCTCACAGGAAGCAACAGGAGGAATTCAGTCTTTTCCTCCCCCACTAACCTTCCAGATCCTGCCTCTAGAGCCCATTATTGGCAGAACCCAACAAAAAGTACCTGTCACTGGAAAATTGCACGTTGCAGAGTTCCAGCTCCAGCATCACAATGTAGAATATAGAAAGGTGAGCTTGGAACTGGCCCAACCCACCCCTTTGCCTACACTGCATCCATATGCACCCTTCTATACATATATTTAAACTTTCTATACATATATTTATATTTTTCTATACATATATTTAAACTTTCATACAACAATGAACAATCTGTTTCCTTCTTTTTTTTTAGGAGATGGGGACTCATTCTGTTGCCCAGGTTGGAGTGTAGTGGTGTCATCATAGCTCACTGTAGCCTCCAACTCCTGGTTTCAAGAGAACCTCCTGCCTCAGCCTCCTGACTAGCTAGGACTACAGGTGCATGCTACAGTGCCTGGCTAATTAAAAAAAAAATGTAGAGACAGGGTTTTTGCCATGTTACCCAGGCTGGTCTCAAACTCCTGGCCTCAAGTGATCTTCCTGCCTCAGCCTCCCAAAGTGCTAGGATTACAGGAGAGAGCCACTGCACCTGGCCCTCCCTCTTTCACCTAAGATGGTGCAACTATTTTTCATACAAATAAATCATTGTAGTGGGCCAATGTGATGTTGTGTAGAATGTCAAGATAATCGAGATCTCTTCAGACTATATTATGGCTGAGAGCCTATGAGCCAACATATGCATGATGCAAGACTGTGAAGGTGTACTATTAACCTTGTCAAGAAAAAACAAAGTTCTTTTCATTTATTTATTTATGTAATTTTTTGAGACAGAGTCTCACTCTTGTCACCCAGGCTGGAGTGAAATGGCATGATCTCAGCTCACTGCAACCTCTGCCTCCTGGGTTCAAGCGATTCTCCTGCCTCAGCCTCCTCAGTAGCTGGGATTACAGGTTCCCACCACCACGCCAAGCTAACTTTTGTATTTTTAGTAGAGACCGGGTTTCCCTATGTTGGCCAGGCTCGTCTTGAACTCCTGACCTCATGATCCACCCGCCTCAGCCTCCCAAAGTGCTGGGATTACAGGCGTGAGCTACTGCAGTCAGCCAAAAAACAAAGTTCTTTTAGTGGTCCTAGCACATTGATAAAGAGCAGGGTATGGGGAAGGGGCCAGGTGGGGTGGGGGTGGGGGGGGCGGTGCACATTTTTGTATCAGGTGTGAAGAGCTGTATTCATTGTTCCAGTGAAGACATTACATCTGAAAAAACTGCTGGAAATAAATCTTGCCTGATTAACATTAAAATAATCCACAGTCATTGGTTTTAAGATCATCTACCTTCTGCAGAGGCCCAATAGATGCATTAAATGGAGATGTAATAGGAATAAACACTTCTACCTCATTCTATCATTTGATGATAGTAGTGTTAATAATCTCTGCAATTCCCCCAGTGATGTCCTATCTTTTGGTTTATTATACAGCAGAAAAGAGAAATTCCAACAGCTTCTACTTGACCCTTCCTATCCTAACGACCCTTAGCCCATAAATGAGAGCCAATATGGGGACATGACCAGTTACCAAGTATGTCTTTAACGACTGTACTTTCTGAACTGGGAATAAACAGGATGGGCTCAAGTACCTACTGAGCTCACTGGACTCAAATTTGACCTAAAACTCAATTTTTCTGTCACTTCACCACCATAAACTCCTACTCTAAATGGTGGTCCAGTAGCATTTTGAGACCCTAGCAACTAGCATCAATTCAGAACCAGAAATATTCCCAAAGGTCTGAGTATTTCTATTCCCCAATTCACAGTCCCTCTAGAAAGTGGCCACAGGTCCCTTTGGGAAAGGGGACTTGAAGCACTGCTACAAGTATATACTGTAATTTTTATATACTGGATTCTTTCTCAAGAGAACCCAGCGTCCCCTTAAATTAAGGAGTTCTGGCCCTTGAACTATTTTAGTCTGGAAATTGGATGAGTCATGACTCTCCCTTCTGGTAGACCTGACGTTATTTCATTTACTTTTTTGTTGGTTTGTTGAGACAGGGTCTTGCTCTGTCGCCCAGGCTGTAGTGCAGTGACATGATCAAGACTCACTACAATGTCAACCTCCCAGGCTCAAGTGATCCTCCCACCTCACCCTCCCATGTAGTTAGGACCACAGGCACATGCCACCACACCTGGCAATTTTTCGATTATTTGTAGAGATGAGATCTCCCTATGTTGCCAAGGCTGGTCTCAAACTCCTGTGCTCAAGTGATCCTACTACCTTGGCCTACCAAAATGTTGGGATTACAGACATAAGCCACCACACTTGGCCTTCATTTTCATTCATTCAACAAATATGTATTGACACATTCTACTCAGTACAAATTCGTGTATTATACATTCTATATTCTTATATGGAATATATATTTTTATAGAATATATTAAATGGAATATATAGAATATATCCTTATATGGAATATATAGACTATATTCCTGTATGGAATATAGGTATGGGGATAGTATTCACAAAACAAAAACAAAAACAAAAAAAAACAAAAACTGAAGTACAAGGAGATGAGACTTTTGTTAAAATATCTTTTAATTTTACCGGCAAAATACATCAATGACTAATATATTCCCGTATGGAATATATTCTTATTGGAATATATTCTTATATAGAATATATAGACTATGTATATATACATATGTGTATATACCTATATACATATATATATCTTGGAGATATAAAACTAATTGGGAATAATGTCATATATATAGATAGTAAGCAAACATTTTTTAAAACATTTTAAAGACTCCAAACTATTCATTTCTATCCACCTATAAAAAACTAGCAATTAAACCTGTCAAATCACAGCCATCTTGCTTTACGCAGATTCAGAAACATGAGATCCTTTTACCTTTGAAACTCTAGTTTCAAAGCTGTTCTAAAGTGACTTGGTTTTAATTTATATACTTGCAGGGATAAGAAGTAGCTGTAGGGCCATAAAAATGTAAAGAATACAGTATCGTGCCCATACACAACTGCAAACACTTATTTTTAAGTGTTCGTAAAAGATAGTGGTCTTCAGAAACACCCCTTTTCAGATTGGCAAACTTTCAGAGTTCAAAAGTGCATGTATTACACTTTTATCCCCAACAAAGCTAGTAGCTACCCTCTAAAGCAGAGGTTAACATTTTCTTTTTCCAAACCACAGAATGGATTATGATCCCATGTGCATACTCCCATGGTTCCCTTCCCCAAGTTGTATGAAAAAATAAAGCAAATAATTCTGAGGTTTTAGGGGTAGTGGTATAGGGATAGTATTCACACACAAAAAAACTGAAGTACAAGGATATGAGACTTTTGTTAAAATATCTTTTAAAGTAATTTTACTGGCAAAATACATAAATGATTAACCAGTTTTAAAATAGTAAACTTATTTATTTATTTATTTTTGAGACGGGGTTTCACTCTCTCACCAGGCTGGAGTGCAGTGGCATGATCTTGGCTCACTGCAACCTCCGCCTCCTGGGTTCAAGCGATTCTCCTGCCTCAGCCTCCCGAGTAGCTGGGACTACAGGCGCACACCACCACACCCAGCTAATTTTTGTATTTTTAGTACAGACAGGGTTTCACCATGTTGGCCAGGATGGTCTTGATCTCTTAATTTTGTGATCTGCCAGCCTCGGCCTCCCAAAGTGCTGGGATTACAGGTGTGAGCCACCATGCCCTGTCAAAATATTAAACTTACTAATACATTGTAATTTTTAGTACTTCTATAATTACTGCTTCATAAAAAAGTGGATTTTTCCAGCTCTCCAGTTCAGATGCTATTAACAGGTAATCAGATAGCACTGACTAAGTAGAAATAGATTAAGAGTAATACCTAAATTTAATGTATTTTAGCATATTGAAATGAGTATCATCAGTGTATATTTCATTTATCACTTTGTCTACACTTTATTAGGTGGCCTTAATGCTTGTCATTGACAAATGTTAACTTTCCTCACAAAACCTACACTATTCACTTTTTTCCAGTATTTTTACCTTCCTTATTAAAAATGTTTCTACCATCAAGAATTTAAAATAGAATCATGACATTGCAATCCAAACACTACCTTGGCTTGCCAGATTAGTCTACGTGTCACTCCTTGGTGTAAAGCTATAATTCCAACTTCCAGCAAAGAAGTATCTCTGAATTCAAATGAGAATGACATTTCTATGGGAATAAATGTGAACTGTCTCACATTTAACCATTAAGAATTTACTCATACGTCATCATGATAACCTAATGTTAGACTGAGAATCACTGCTCTAGTGTGGCTCCAGAAGCTGTCAGTCAGGAACTACTGATACGATTTCACTTGTCCAATAATTTTATACTTCCATCTTGTAGTACAAAAACATTTTAATTTTGGCCTGATAAATGACTAAAACAATTGCCGGGGGAATTCAGAGAGACACGTTTCATTATTCAATTCCTAACTGAATTGACCCTCATTGATCCTCAGACTAATTTAGACACTTTTCAATAACATTCACAGTCAATCTCAAAGAGAATATTATTTTTGAATTCTTGCTATTGAAGTTAACATTTACATCTAAAAGAAAATCATCATCCTTATTGGACAAGTAGAACTCAAACAAACAAACAAAAAAACTCTAGTCATAATAATGAAAATACTGAGTTTCTGATGTACAAAGAGTAAAATATTCATATACTGGAAAAATGGTGCAGTATAAATGGGCAAAATTTCACTCTTTCTAGTAGGAAGTCAATAAATAATTGATGTATCAAAAAGTAGCGGTATAATCATACAATTTGGAAATATAAATTCTTCAACTACTAGAATTGAAAGAGGAAGTTTCTTCTGTCAATGTGAAAGAGGGACTGCCTCTTTTTTTGTCACAAGCCTTTTAGAACTGTAAGATTTTTTAAAACTGTTTGCATATAATGTTTGAAGGTGGGAATGGGACCAGAGAGGCGACAATTTTACCTGGAGAAACAACCTCCCGAAACCATTTAGTAAGTAAAGTGAATTCCATCACACCTACACCCATTCACTGTTTTTATTTTTTTTTTGAGACATGTTCTCACTCTGTTGCCCAGGCTGGAGTGAAGTGACACGAACTGGGCTCACTGCAATCTCTGCCTCCCAGGTTCAAGCGATTCTCATGCCTCAGCCTCCTGAGTAGCTGGAATTACAACTGTGCACCATCATGCCCAGCTAATTTTTGTATTTTAGTAGAGATGGGGTTTTGCCATGCTGGCTAGACTGGTCACTGTTTTTATTTTATAATTAATTTTAGCTAAAGCATATGGGTTCATTTACAAAAATAAGTTTGGTCTTTTATTATAAATACTTCTAGTTGTAAAAAATTCATTTTCACATTTGAATGTCCTTGAAAGTATCCAAAGGATTCATTCTCCTTCTGCATTCTGCTTCTCAGAAAGTACTTTTGGGTTAGATCTGTTCCGAATTCTTTTTCTTTTTCTTTTCTTTTCAGAAGCAGATGATTGTGTGTCCGGTGCCTTTTTCTTTTTCTTCAAACAACTAAGAGGATTGGGACCACTTATTTTCTTGCGCTTTTTTCTTCTACTCTGTTCAGTGTTTTTCACTAAACCCTGTTCCTCTTTGAGATGTTTGATACTTTCTTTCTCATGCACTGAGACAAGCTGACCTGACTCCACTGCTTTTACAAAGGCAATTGTTTTGGGAGAAGGTTTGTCCAAAACCATAGTGTTCTGAATAATAAACATGAGAGGAACTCCAGGCTTCTTTTTTACTTTCACAGACAAATTCTGATCCTATTTAAAAGAAAACAGAATTATTTAGTTCAAATGTCAATTAAGGTACCTTAAATAGGTTTTCAAGAACTGTATTAAAAATAAAAGAGATCACAGATTTTATTTTTCAAATGAGTAAGCCTCACTTATTCATTTGAGTAATGGGGGTATATTTCATGATAAAGGAAGAAAAACATAAAAACTGAGCACAGTGTTAGTAGCAGCTGTGTGAACCGGATTTATCGATACTCTAGAGCCACAAATTACAAACTAATGCAAAGGTAAATGTGTTAGGTGGGTTTCTCCTGTTTCCACTCTAAGATATTCTTTGGAAAGGGTCAAGAATGCTTAAAGAGGTTAAAGGAAAAGAAACTGGGTAGTAATTAGCTACTCAGATTCTAAATTCAGCTCTACCTCTGTGTAATTTTATAATTCTGATAATCAAATCTGTATGTATGTGAACTTAATATCACCCCCAAAAGTCTCTCTTCTCCTGCCTTCAAGAAGATGGGAATATTTTTCTTCAAAAGCCTGAAATATTTCATACTGTTGGTACAGTCTTAAGCAGTATGAACCATGACTTTGAGAAACAGTATGAAATACAGGAACATGAAAAAAATTAACAGAATACAGGCACTTTGCTCTACTTATCTTCCCTTCAAGAACCCTACAACAAATCATCACATCTCATGTCAACAATTTCTTGTTTTAAAAAAAGAAACTTCTGCCAGTGTCCAGCATGATGGCAAACACCTGTAATCCCAGGTACTCAGGAGCTGAGGTGGAAGGATCACTTTAGCCTAGGGGTTCGAGACCAGCCTAGGCAATATAGTGAGACCCTCAAGTCTCAAGAAACAAACAAAAAAAGCAAAACAAAGGAATCATTAAAAAAAACAAAACCCAACCTTCCACTACTAAAAAGAATATCAACATGCTTAAAGTTTTCCTCAAATTCTCAAATGACAATTGCTTTTACTGACTGCAAATTAACTTAGAAGCCTGTATTTTTAAAAGTCTAATCATTCTAACTTTTTTCTGATTATAAATAGCTCCATATGAAGTATAAATAGAAATGGTGAAAATTGCCTGTGGTTTTAAAAGTAGTATCACCTGTGTTGCCACAAAATAATGATGAGGATTTCCCTCTTCAACCATGGAAAGCAGACATTCTGATCCACTCACTGCATTCTTGAAATGAGGACAATTTCGAACTTGGCATTTTTGTGCAATCAGTTTTGCCCCATATAAGTCCTTTCCCAATGTTTCTAGCTCTTTTAACACACATCTGAAAAGAAAAATTATAGCAGATACATTTCACTTGTTTACATAAGGTGTAAAAAACAATAGTCGATTTTTTCTTAAAATAAAACTATGCTGTTACAATCTAAATTTGTCATCTGGTAACCATTTACTTTAAAAGATCACTTGAAAAATGCATTTACCAAGTAGGAAGAACAACAGTTAAAATTAACTGAGCACTTATTATGTTCCATGTAGTATGCAAATTGCTCTTTACATAAATTCTTGATTAATCTCAAAGTAACCCTATGAAGTTAGGTCGCTTACCTTGAAATTATCCTTATTTTAGAGCACCCCATTCTGAGATTTCAAGTAACATGCCAAAGTTCAAGTAACTAGCAAGTGGTACCGAGACTTGCAGTTTGACAACAGCTCCCTTGTCCCAACCATAGCGTAATAAGCTTCTGCTTCAAGTACAAATTGGTATACTTTCAAAACATTTTCAATTCAGAACAGTAAAACTTCTCACATCATCAAGTTGTTTTTAAAAAAACATTTAGTCATAAGAGTTCCTCAACCCTAGCCAGCATTTGCCAGATTCTTTCTTGCTTCATCTCCTTTATCATCTTTCTGTTTCAAGAAGATTTTGCTTGCTTTAGTCATTAGACTTGACCTCTATTTTGAGTACTGCCAGCCTGTGGATGTCCTGCTATCAACTCTTCAAATTCACCATGTCTAAGATCAAACCACTTTCCTGTATCCAAATTTATCCTCCAAGACTTGCTATCTCTTTGAAATTACTATTTTCCCAGACACCCTAGATAGAAATCAGAAATCACATTTGACCTTCCTGCCCTTCTTCACCCATACTCCTATGCCATCAGCTGCTCAACCTATCTATCTCAGTAACGTAGCGTTTCTTTGGAGAACCCTTGGGTTCCTGCCTTTCCTCTCCCAGGTTTAGGCTCCCCTTACTTCTTGATTAAACAACCGCAAAACAGATTCATGCCTTTGCTCTCTTGTTTCTCCAATTTACCCTTCACATCACTGCAGTTATCTTTTCTAAAATAAAACCCAGGCCTGATAACATTCTGCTGTTCTACTTCATCAATTAACTCCACACATCTTCAAACCTGAATATCAGTAAACTCTGTAGAGACCTAACTACTAGTGGCCAAGAAATATATTCCACTGAAAAACGAATGACCTGATTTCTTAAAAACATAAATTGCAAAATTTAAAGGGAGGGGAAACTGCCAAAATTTTTAAAAACTGCCTGGCATGGTGGCTCATGCCTGTAATCCCCATGCTTTGGGGGCCGAGGTGGGTGGATCACCTGCGGTCAGGAGTTCAAGACGAGCCTGGTCAACGTGGTGAAACATTGTCTCTGCTAAAAAATACAAAAATTAGTAGGACGTGGTGTCACACATCTGTAATCTCAGCTACTTGGGAGGCTGATGTAGGGAAATCACTTGAACCCGGGAGGCGGAGGCTGCAGTGAGCCATGATCGCACCACTGCACTCCAGCCTGGGCAATAAAGTGAGACTCCATCTCAAAAATAAATTTTTTTAAAAAACTTAAGTGACATATAAATCAAATGTAATATATGTATTTAGTTTGAATACTGATTTTTAAAAGCCTTCTTTATCTTTTCAAGATACATGCCAAAGAAGTGATAAATAATATGCTCCAAAGCAACCCATCAGTAAGGAGAGGTGAGGGATTCAACAAGATTGGCCATGTTAATAACTGCAAAAGCTGGAGAGAGGTTTCATTATATTATTCTACCTTTGAGTTGTCTGAAAAATTCCAGAGTTAAAATAAATTTGTTAGAAAAATTGCTGTAGAATATAATTTTATGTGGCACTTCTCAACCTTTTTAATATCATAGCACTATATTTAAAATGTTAATATTTCTATGGCACACAGGAGTATATGGACAAATTGCTTGTAGACAAAAGCAATCAATTCAGGAGCAAAGACTACTGAAGGATTTGTTAGACAGCCCTAAAGACTAAGGGGATCAAAACTTTGGGGGTATCTGTAACCCAGCCGAGACCCTGCTTGAGAAATTCTGAACAAATACAGATAGCTGTTCATTAAGTAATCGTATGTGAGGAAAAGGAGACTATTAACACAGTATACACAGAAAAAGCCCATACTTTGTTATGGCTGTAGTTAGAGATGGGGGTTTCCTACGTTGCTCAGGCTCACCTCAAACTCCTAGACTCAGGCAACCCTCCTGTCTCAGCCTCCTGTGTAGCTACTAGGATTACAAGTGTGAGCCACCTTGCCTGGCTTAAAAGTCCATTCTTGTGCTTGTGTGAGTGTGTATAAAGAACTGGATGGATGACACTGCACATGTTAACAGTGATTATTCGTGAGTAGTGGTATTATGAGTCATTTTAATTTTCTTTTTTTGCTTTTTAAAAGTAAATATTCTACAATGAAAAAACTACTAAATTTCTTAATAGTTCTTCATGGCCTAGCCTCAATTTGCCTTCTTCCTAGTTTCACTCCCAAATATATTCTGTGCTGCAACCTCTTTCCCAGGCATTTCATAACTCCATTTCGTGTGAAGAGGTCTCCACAACAAGAAGTGTCATTCTTTTCTGTCATTCAAAATAGTTCTTCCTCTCAGAACTGAACAAGTGAATGGGCTCAAATGTTATCTGAAATCTGTCACAATTCTCTCCTCTCTCCTCTTCATCCCGACAAGCTTCCATCCTAAGTGTTCCCACATTTCAATGAAGTGGGGAAACATCAGACCTAGAGTGAAAACACACACTGCAGACTGACTTATGCACTTTACTGGCCATGAGGGAGCAGTATGTGGCATATAGGAGGTACTTAATAAAGCGAGTTGAATAAACAAATGTGCTTGGGCAGATTCCTTAATCTCAAGTACTGACTTTTTGCCCTGGACATCAAAGATGGTAACTCACAGGTTCACTGTGAGGCTTGCAGAGTTTTGGTTTAAACTAAGAAAAGCTATGCAAATGACAGCAACCATTTGAAGACGGGTACACTTTGGATACCGAAAAATGCTCTAGTACACTATACTCGTTTGAGCTTACAGCAATCTTCTAAGCAGTTATCATCTTTATTTTACAAATGAGGAATCCGAGGCTCAGAGAGGCTAAATAACTTGACAGAAATCACAGAGCTGGTAGAACTGGGATCAAGATTCGAAGTCGGATCTCTCTGCTATAATGTGCTCTCATTCGCCAGGCTAACGACACGTGATATTCACAGGGCACTGTCCAATCTGCCTCTATTATAGGTATTCGCCTGACCACCTTCACCTCTCCACTTAACTGTCAACTCCACGTGGGCGGGGCGTTTTGCACCTCCTGAGCTCGCAATGAAGGTCTGTGAGCAACGGCCTCGCCTCTACAACACCCGACGGACCCTCTGTGCCTCCTCCCCAGCCCCCCGGGCCCACCTTGTGGTGCACAGCTGCGTCTCCCCCATGAGGTAGCGGGGCAGCTGCTCCCGCAGCTGGATGCGGCCCCGCAGCGCCGCCTGACAGAAGGTGCCGTCCAGCAGGATCTGGTACGGCTCGCGGACTCCGAAGTTGTTGCGGAAGAAGCCAAGATGCTTCTTGGCATGTTTCTGCCTTGTGATCTTCATGCCTGGCTTACCGGGACCGAGGCCACCGGACCAGGAAGCATCAGTAAACGCCTCACGCACGCCCCAGTACCCTCAATGCCAGTTTCACCCGGAAATGAAGCGCCTTTGGCCACGGAAGCAAACGCCTCTGTCTTCCGGGCCTGCCCATTGGTTTACGTCATGTCCAGACCAGCGCGCGCTTCCACCGCAGTGCCCGCGCTTAAAGGGGCGGTCCCTTAGGGCGGAACTTGTGCGTACGCTGGAAAACCGCTGGGGTGCGCGATTCCGCACGGGGGCGCACATGCGCAGTCTGGGGCCACGGTAAAAGAAAATTACGAGAATACATTTAGCGTGTTACCTACGTTTTAGAGGCGCGTAGCAAGAGCTTCTCTGAAAGACTGGCAGTATAGTAGTAGTCAGTGATAATATTGAGCCTTAATATGTTCCAGACACTGTCCTAAGTGATTTACCTTACATTATTCCCCTGAATGTTTATAATTCCCAAGTGAAAGAAGGAAATGATATATTGGATAGCTATGAGTGGGGAGGTTTGTACTGGCTGCTTTCCCATAAAGAAATTAAGCACGTTCACGAAGGGCACGTAGTTTGTTAGTGTCTGGAACCCAGTTTTCGTGCCTGAAGTTCAAATGTTCTTGCTACACCACCATAGAAACTAACGTCACTCAGGAACCATTTGTCAGGGCAAAGGGTGCCACCATTTTGCATTTCCTCCTGCCTTAGGACCATCCTAAATCACTCGCATGGAGTGTTTTGGAAGAACTCTCAAGAGCTTCGTTTGCCTAGAGTCAGAATTCCTAACCTTGAGTCCTGGTTTTGCCACAAACCCAAGCCGTTTGATCTTGGGCAACTCCCGAAGAAAGCTGGGTTCAACTTCCTCACTGTCAAACTGGTTGTAGGTCTAGATAAGTTTCAAGTACTCTTTTTATGTGCATGGTCTCTGACATAGGAAGACTACATACTGGGCCAGTAACAGGAAGGCACAAAGCTGACTGGAGGTTTAAAAATTACTTGGTCAATTTGATTAATGAGGAGAATGAATCAGAAAATTTCAAGTTCTCCCGTGGCTAACTGTCGAGTATCCACTTCAAGGTAAAATAATCAAAGAATGGGGAGTATGGAATTTTGCATTTTTGTCCTTGCCTGGAATCTGTCCCAGATCTAGTTTTGGCTAAAGATTGAAAGAACCAGCACAGAAAATGATTTACAACGTGATTGAATGCATTGTTTGCATTTGGGGTTTTATTTCAATATGTAGGTTTATGAAATTGGAATAAGATCTATAATGTTAGCCCTGATCTGAGTCCCAGCACATCACTTAGATGGTTGCTTTCATTTAAACTTAAAATGAATTTAGGAATTGGAAGCCATGAAAACTTTTGCAGGGTTGGATTCAAGGTCTTTGAGTGTAATTGCTCAGTACTTTTCAATTTGAATCCTCTTTTTATCCCTGTATGCCAACTCTCTACTCCAACTATGCGCCCACCACAGACAGAGAAACGAGATACCACCTGAGTCTTGCAAAACAGTTAAAACATTTTTTCTTAAATAGCCTCAGATTTATCTACCAGCTCCTTGGCCACTTTTCAGTACTAAGAAAAATGTGGTGCAGCACTAGGGATTTTAGTCTTATCTTAGTTTTTGTTGTCGTTTTTTAATTTACCAAGCTACAGCACATTTTTTCCCCAAGCTCTATGTATATGACAGTGCCAGTTTGCACCCTATCTTTATTATGAAAACATGAAGATGGTCTATAATGGTGATTATCAAGTTTAAAACAAAGTTTTCGGCCGGGCATGGTGGCTCATGCCTGTAATACCAGAACTTCGGGAGCCCGAGGCGGGAGGATCACTTGAGCCCAGGAGTTGGAAACCAGCCTGGGCAAAATAGGGAGCCCCTGTCTCTGCTAAATTAAAAGAAGACAAAAAGAGAAAAAAATAGAGTTTTCTATTACAGCAGTGTTTCTCAAAACAAGGTCCTGGGATATGCAGAAAAAGCTCTTAGTGTGCTTGTTTAAAATGCCCATTTCTGATTCAGAATAAGTATTGAGGGAGAGGGGTACTATTCAAAGAGGAAGTGACATTTATTACAATCTCCCCAAATCATTATTATGCTCATTAGTGTTCCTGAAGGACCTTTTTTGTAATAAAGCATCGTTTATCCAATAAGATATTTTTATTAATTGGTCCACTTAATACACTTTTGTTTAGATGCCAAATGATCTGTAATGGAAAATCAATATTTAGCCACAACCAAGGCAGAAGCCAAATACTGCCATTATTGAGTGAACCATTTGGATATAAATTTAAATCTGAAATTTTATTTTGAAAGTTATGTCATTATTAAAATATTTAATATTCATTGAAATTTTTTTGACCTTATACTGAAGGAACAATAATTTATAACAGCATTGCTAGTTTTTAGCTTTTTTCTCAGGTCAGTCCACTGGACATTTTCCATGCCAAATAGAAATCCACATTCAGCTGGAGTAAGTAGGCGATTAATTTATTTTTCTTTATTTTTTATGTTCTTCATTTTATTATGTCTGGATCAAATATAGTTTTATAATATTATGCTGTTGTACATGATTTTGAAGTTTTTTTCTTCATGAAATTTTGATGAAGCCAAGTTGACATGAGAATAATTTATTTTTGAAACGTATGACTAATTCCCAAATAGGACTTTCTCATGAAAGATTCATGGCCTAAATGGAATTAAAGAGGTAAACATTAAATATAATTCATAAAGGTTACTTTGTTGAATTTCATCAATGTTAGTATAATTTTGTTTAATTTCGTAAATGTTAGACAATTTAGCTAACATATCTATTGTGGTATTATTCTTCCTTATATTCATATCTAAATATTTATAAACATTTGTTAACATTCATTAGCTCAAAAACAATTTCTACCTAACATTATCTAACATACTGCCTAAATAAATAATTTAGCTAAATAAATATTTTACGACAACTTAGGTAAAGCACTTTGTATTGAGGTCCTATGAGGTTCTTCGCTAAGATCCCCTAGGATAGGCTCCATCATGGAATGCCTTACTGTGAAATTTCAAATATGTCAGAAGGTGTTACAAAGGTCAGATATGGAGGCTGTCACTTTTTAAAATAATCTTTAAAATAAAATAAAATAACAAAAACTTTATGTATTTCAAATTACAAAAATAACATATGCCTCTTAAAACAAGTGGAAGAACATGAAGATAGTAATTTCTTCTCCCCTTGCCCAGATAACACTTTGATGATGTATTATGTATCTCTTGGCAATGTTTCCATATTTACATATTGATATATCATATGCATATATATACAATTTAATATTTATGTAGAGATACTCTGTTATGCGAAATTGAATCATATTTAACAATTCTATACATTTTGCTTTTCTCACCTAACAATCCTGTAGAAATCCCTACACACATCTACCCAAAGTCAATTGGCAGAGTTCTCATTCATTATTTTTAATGGCTGCATGACATTTCTCACAAAACCACCAAATATAACATAATAGATATGACACAGACTATGAATTTTCACCCAATATCTCTTCTCTTCTTTGTAGGAATAGACTCCTGATTTTATTCTGGAGTGTAATGTGCCCAGATAAGCAAATCCATTCCCCAGAATTCTTTTTTTTTCCTTTTCTTTTTGAGACGGAGTCTCGCTCTGTTGCCTATGGTGGAGTGCAGTGGCACAATCTTGGCTCACTGCAGCCTCCACCTCCTGGGTTCAAGCGATTCTCCTGCCTCAGCCTTCTAAGTAGCTGGGATTACAGGCATAGGCCACCATGCCCGGCTAATTTTTGTATATTTAAGTAGGGACCGGGTTTCACTATGCTGGCCAGGCTGGCCAGGCTGGTCTCGAACTCCTGACCTCAAATGGTCCGCTCACCTTGGCCTCCCAAAGTGCTGGGATTACAGGCGTGAGCCACAGCAGCCAGCCCATTCCCCAGCATTCTGTGCAGTTAGGTAGAACCACAGGATTAAGTTCTAGCCAAAGATATGTAAGTGTAAGTGTTGCATGGAATTCTGGGAAGCCGGCTTAAAGGAAGTCAACTTAGCTTGGCAGTGGGCACTTTTGTGTTTTATATCTCCTTCCTTCCTACTCCCTGGAATTTGGATGTGATAGCTTTAACTCCAGCAACCGATTTTAGACCATGAGGTAATTTTGAGAATGGAGGTCATTCACTTAACACTGGCAAAGCAGATAAGAGGAGCTTGGATCGCTCGCAACTGTGAAAGTGTCTTTCCAAACATAGACTTTCTACTTCTGGATTTCTTTTACATGAGAAGAAAAATAAACTTCTACCTTGGTTTTAAAAAAAAGTTATCATAAGTTTATTTTATATGTAGCCAAACTCAATGCTAAATGATAGAGGAAGTTAAAACTACTTGCCAGAATTAGATAATTTTATATGAACAAATATGTTTGATGAGACCTTGATGTTAGCTGATGTCAGTCAATACAATTGCCCTTCCTTTGAACAGGTTCAAAATACTAGTTTATATGTTTCCTCTAAAAGGTGGAAAGTCTTCCAAGTTAAATAAACCAAATCTTTCTTTACATACTATAGAAACTGTCTTGACATTTGTTTCTCTTGAAAGTATAAACAATTTGATTTGAATTTGGTGTGTCAGTGGGATATATCTCCTGTTGAGAAAAGTTAGTTAAATATGAAGAGCCCCAGCTGCTTGGGTAAGGAACATCAAGGAAATGTTAGTGTCATCCAGTTGTCAGTTAAAGAAAGCAAGCGGAATTCATGTATATAGGTCCTGCCAGTATCAGTGAGCTCTTCTTTCAGGTCAAATGACAAAGGAGAAGCTGTCTCTTAGAAAAAGATTTCAAGAGATTTCTGTTTCTCGAGGATATTTCTAAACTAGACAGTAAACAGGAAGTGCCCATCATCAGTTATCAGATGACTATTGTCGGATCACTATAAAATTAGACTAGCAAGTTTGCTTTCTGTAATAATTTATTTGGATGAAATCATACTTAGAACAAATACTACCATGTTAGGTAAATTGAAAGAAATTTATTATTTCTCTAACAGATGTATGTATGTATGTATGTATTTATTTTTTTGAGACAGAGTCTCACTCTGTTGCCCAGGCTGGAGTGCAGTGGTGCAATCTCGCCTCACTGCAACCTCTGCCTCCCGGGTTCACGCGATTCTCTTGCCTCAGCCTCCTGAGTAGCTGGGATTACAGGTGCCCACCACCACGCCTGGCTGATTTTTGTATTTTTAGTAGAAACAGGTTTTCACCATGTTGTCCAGGCTGGTCTCAAACTCCTGACCTCAAGAGATCTGCCCACCTTGGCCTCCTAAAGTGCTGGGATTACAGGTGTGAGCCACCTCACCCAGCCCGTCTCTAACAGATTTAAATAGTGCTCTCCATTGGCATTTTACTACAAAATGTTTAATGGCATTAATTTAAATGGTGAAAATAAAAACTGGTAGAGCAGAGCAAAAAGTTAAGAAATAGTACCAGTGGCAAACATGTTTTACTGTAATGCAAAGCAAACTGCCATTTGAAATTTAATTATTATTCAAACTGATAGAGAAGTTCACACTAAATGGGTCTTTCATTTTAATCTATCAAAGCACTTTAGAAGATTAATGAATCTTTATAAAATTACTCTAGGTAACCAAATATTATTACTGTTACTTAAAGAAGTTTAAAGATTGGAAATTATGTCAGATTACAGCTTTAAAAGGATTTTCTAAAAAACACTATTTATATTTAACAAAATGTTGAAGCCAACTCTTTCACTCATGGTTTTGTATATATTTTTAAGCAGCAGGAGGACTCAGGGCAGAAACTGAACTCCTGGTGGCAAGAAATTAAACATGCTTTCAATAATCCAGTAGAATATTATTTCAAAGTCTAGTATTTATAATTGAATTACACCAATATGAAGTATTAATTACATGATATTATACAAAATAAAAGTCACTCTTACAATCCTCTCAAATTTTTTTTTACTGCAAGATTACTTTGTTTAAATATTAGTTGGTAAGTGATGAATCAAAATACTGGGATGAAAAGTCCAATGTCATTTTAAAAATTATTATTATTTTAGCAAACATACAGAAAATGACCACATGCTAATTCTTATGTGTAAATGAATATTATTTTCTTTTTATTGGCTCCAACTTTATACTCTCTGTAGTTTCTTTCATAACACTGAACAAATTACCTAGCTCTTCAAAGTATAACCTCCCATAGTCTTATTTCACATTTGTAGACAAAAGGAGGCCTATGACTTAAATTGATCTCAATGAGGCTAATGAGCAAGATCTTTTTTCTATGACTGGGGGAGAGGTTTCCTTAAAATAAACAAAACAAAAAGTGTATTGTTTCAATTGCTACTGTGAGCTTGAGATTATAGTGGTAGCCAGTCTTTGGTCAGAACCCAAACATGGCAGGAGACAGAGTCCAGAGAGTCATGAAGTAATGAAACTGTAGTCTTTATGCTGCTTCACTTGGAGTATGCCCTTCTCTAGACATCCAGATCCATGATAGCATATATTTCCCTCTTGTTTAAAATAATTTAAATTGGCAGGCTGAGCATGGTGGCTCGCACCCATAATCCTAGCCCTTTGGGAAACCAAGGTAGGAGGATCACTTGAGCCCAGGAGTTCGAGGCCAGCCTGAGCAACATTGTGGAACTGGTTATCTACAAAAAGTACAAAAATTATTCAAGTGTGGTGCTGTGTGCCTGGAGTCCCAGCTACTCGAGAGGCTGAGGTGGGAAGTTCACCTGAGCCTGGGGAGGTTGAGGCTGCTGTGAGCTGAGATCGTGCCATTACACTCCAGCCTGGGCAACAAAGTAAGACACGGCAAGCATGTGCGTGTGTGCGCGCGCACACGCACACACACACATACACAAACACACCCCACACATCTTTTGGCTCATCTGAATATAGAACGAGCCAGGTGAACCCCGAAATGTATACTCTCTGTTGTAAGTTAGCACTCTCTATCGTAATAAAATGACATTTAACAACATTTAGGGGCTCATCTTTGGTGTCCTGACTCATTTTACTGCATTGAAAGGGGTTTAAGTGTCTTAGCCAAGTGAGGGAAAGCAGCTCCAATACTGGGTAGTTCTGAGGCATGGAATGGTCACAGCCTGACTTTTACTGGGCAGTGTTTTTCTAGTGGGTAGAGTTATTATGCCACAAAAGCTGAACTAGTTAGACTGTTTATTTTTTATTTGCTCACTCAGGTGTGACAGGCTATCCTCTGCTTCCTGTCCCCAGGCAGTAATCACACATGGGCAGCGCCCACAGCTTAGTTTGGAAGGCCCTCATCAGCCTCTCTCTTTTTGCCTGTAACTAAATTAGAAATATTTCCAGCAATTGGAGAAGTATGCTAAAAACATTAGTTTCTGTGACAAAGAGAATGAAGAACATCTTGTTGCGAATACAAGATAAATTTATTTCATACAATAAATAAATATCCACAATGAAATTAATACCCACAATATTGAACTTCCTTATGGGAGGCCAGAAAGACAACTTAATGGTTGTGACCAACCATCTTTAAGTGATTAAATACATTCAGTTTCTGCTACAATCTGTTATTTACTTTCTTATGCATACTTCAGGTTTATTTTGTTCTTTTTTGTCTAGGATGTTAGAGAGCTTAGATGATGGATTTGACACATTTCCTTTTTCTAATGTAGGCAGTTAGCTATAAACTTCTTTCTCAGCACTGATGTATCTGTGCCCCACACATTTTAATATTTTATATTTTCATATTCATCTAGTTCAATTTGTGTGTATGTTTTAAAATTTTCCTGGAGACTTCCTCTTTGATCTGTGGATTAATATTATTAGAAGTATGTTGTTTAGTTTCCAAATATTCAGAAAATTTTGTTATCCTATGTTTTAATTCCTTCTTTAAATCTATTGTGATTTGAGAACATACTATGAATAATTTCAACTCAGAAATTATTTAATTTGTTGAGGTTTAAACTTGCTGAGGTTTGTTTATGGTTCAGGATATGACCTGTATATTCCATGGACACTTCAAAAAAGTGTGTATTTTCTACTTTGAGTGTTCCATAAATGCTGATTTGATCCTGTTGGTTGATGGTATTGTTGAGTTCCTTATATCCTATTGATTTTCTCCATAGTTGTTTTATCCATTGTTGAGAGAGGGAGTTGACATCTCCAACTATAATTATGGATTTGCCCATTTTTTCCTTTCAGCTCTATGAGATTTTTCTTCACATAGGTTCTGATTTCTGTTGGGGCATACACATTGAGAATTCTCATGTGTTCTTTGTGATTGATCATTTTATCATTATTTGATGTCTCCTTCTGTCTCTGATTATTTTCTTTTCTCTGAATTTTGCCTTATTTGATATTAATATAGCCACTCCTGCTTTCTTTTGATTAGTGGTTACATGATATATTTTTCCATCGTTTTACTTTCTTTGTACTTATATTACTATGTTTGAAGTGAGTTTCTTATAGATAGCCTATGGATAGATCATGTTTTTATCCGTTTATTCATTCATCCAATTGTTTTCCTTTAATTGGTATATTTAAAACATTTATATTGGCTAGGTGCGGTGGCTCACGCCTATAATCCCAGCACTTTGGGAAGCTGAGGCGGGCGGATCACCTGAGGTGAGGCGTTCGAAACCAGCCTGGCCAACATGGCAAAACCCCGTCTTTACTAAAAATACAAAAATTAGCTGGACAGGGTGGTGGGTGCCTGAAATCCTAGCTACTCAAGAGGCTGAGGCGAGAGAATCGCTTGAACCTGGGAGGCGGAGGTTGCAGTGAGCCAAGATCACACCATTGCACTCCAGCCTGGGTGACACAGGGAGACTCTGTCTCAAAAAAAAAAAAAAAATTAACATAACTATTAATATATTTGGGCTTAAGATTGCCATTTAAGTTATTTTTTATTCATTCTCTCTGTTTTCATTTCTCTCTTTTCTTTTTCTTCATTCTTCTGGGTTATTTGAACATTTTAAATAATATATTGATTTATTTACATTATTTTGAGTGTATCTCTTTGTAAAGCTTGGATGAGGTCACCATAAAAGAGAACAAAAATAGGGGAAAGAAGATGTTCAAAGTCTAAATTTGGTGCTCTTCAATATTTAAAGGTTGAAAAGGGGTAGAAAAATCAGCAATGGGAACTGAGAATAAAGGAGGTAGCCAGTGAGATAGGAATGAAATTAGGAACCGAAGTGACGGAAATGTCAATGCTTCTGGGCCCTTTCTTGTCAAGGTGATCATATTGATTTCTAATTCAAATTCTTCATATTCTCTGGCCCTCTCTCTCTCTCTCTCTCAGTTGTACCTCTTACATCTAGTGTATTTCATAAAGAGGGCCCACATGAACTGTCTCAGGACAGATGAAAATAACCCATTGTAGTATGTTTAGCACACGTGGCTGCAAAACCTTAGTTGGATATTTTCAAGGACAAAAAAATTGCAAAATATTTTAAACTTTACTTTGTAGTTTTACTGCTATGAGGATATTGGTATTGTAATTCTGAAACAAAACTGTGTTATGTATGTTGTAGGATAAAGCAATAAATAAATGTATTATTGTTTATAAGTAGCCTCACTGTTTTCTAATGCTCATCATTCCAGCTACCTAGTGGTAGGCAAAAACCTCCAGTCTGGTTCTTCCATGCGAGATTTTCTTTCTTCTTTTTGTGAATGTTCTGTTACCAATTTCTAGTGTAATTTTACCAGGATCAACCTTTAAAACCTCTAAATTTGTGGACTTTCTGTGTGACCTAGGGTTTGGTGTATTTTAATAAATATTTCATATACACTTGAAATGAGTGGATATTAACTTTTCATTTTGTAGTGTTAAGAATTTGTAACATGTAACTATTTCTCCTCCCAGATTGAAATATAACACCAGATCCCAATGACAAAACAACAAAAAACTTCAGGGCAGGATATGCCGTTTATTGATTTAATTATTTCATCAGTTCTGTATACATATTTATTGAATAAACATTTCAAAAATAAGGGATAGGAAAAAAGTCATTTGGAAGTAGAAAAGAATGTTTCAAATTACTTATCTAAAATGGCTTCTTACAGTTGTCATATATTCTTTTAAGGACTTGAGATGTGTATTTCAGAGTAATGTGTCATAAATCAGCGTGATTTTTAGAAAATATATTCTGTATCATCCTTCAACAATACCTCAGATAACTTCTTTGGTACTTTACTCAGGTAAATCTCTACATGAAGCTAATAGCAAAAGGCTACTATTTCTGGTAATTCTGATAAAAGTTTCTATGTCTTAATTTCTATATAATCTAAGTGGTTACAAGCAGCTATCTAAAATTACGTAAAACAAGCTGTGCAATACTGGCTCATCGCTAATTAACAGAATAATGTCGGACAAATCACTTATCAGTTTTCTAATATGCATAATGCGAGTTAGTACAGCACTTCATTGCAAGATCAGAAATGAAAGCATTTTTACATAAGAGACACTACAGAAATAATGCGAACTGTAATGCTATTATGACGGTTTGCCTAGTGGTGAATGATTAAACATTTAAAAAGTTTACTTTCATCTTAGATCATTCCATCGGAAAGAGGTCGAAAATGTACAGTAGGCATGCACAAAGGATACCGCCTGGAAAGAAGGTAAAACTGGAAAACAGGAGGGAGGCGGGGCCCAATTTTGGCTTCTCCTTCCGTCTCCGCCCCTCGAACGCCGGCCTGCGAGTGACGTCACGCGAGACTTGTACTTCCGCTTCCGGTAACTCACGTTTCTCTTTCTTCCTGTCTGCTTGGAAAGATGGCGTCCCGCAAGGAAGGTACCGGCTCTACTGCCACCTCTTCCAGCTCCACCGCCGGCGCAGCAGGGAAAGGCAAAGGCAAAGGCGGCTCGGGAGATTCAGCCGTGAAGCAAGTGCAGATAGATGGCCTTGTGAGTGCTGTTCTTTTTCCTCTGGCCCACGTGGGGAGCGCAGTTCCCAGCCCCGTCCCACCAGACGTACTTTCTAGCATTCTCCCCCTTGGGCTTGGTGTGGCTGGGCCAAAGTTTTTCCCTAGTACGTTTCTCTTTCATCTTCACTTTTTGTTCAGGAGCTTCGACAGCCTTCTCTTGTCTTCTAACGGGACAGTTGGGGCTTCAGGAAGGGGACTGAGAATAGGGGTGTGAGTGACAGGTTCCTGGGGTCTTGTTTTGAGATGACCGGTGGGGGGATTTGAAGAAAGACTCCTGGAGACCAGCAGCTAACGAAGGTGTCGAGAAGGATTTAGGGACCTAGTAGGGCTCTGGGAAGGAGAGAGTAAGGAAACTCCACTGATTCCCTGCTGGGATCTGACATCTATAACGTTCCAAGTGGAGATGTACTTTGTAGCCACTCTTTTGAGCCTGTACTTCGGCGCTTTATCTGAAACCGTATAATTTAGAATACTCTTTTGTAGTGTTCATTCTGAAAAACATAAAAGAATATCAAAGAGAAGGGCCTTAAATGTATTTAGTAGTTAAGGTTCATGAACTAGGACATCCAAGGAAATTCTTGATAAGGAAATGGACTTAGCTGGGAAGAGGAAAATCTAGAATGAGAAATTTTATTTCTGTTGTTTCGAAGCAAAATGCATTTATATGACGTTCTAGTTTTAAAAGTATCCTTCCTGCCCTCTTTTTAAAAAGCATCCTCTCTTCCTTTGATTTTTTTAAAGGTTATTTCCTATTAATGCAGATCTTAGATATTTGTAATAAGAAAGTACTTTTAAATTCATGTGAAAATTGTAATTGCAAGCAGGTATTTTTAAGTGGAAACTGTTGATAATTTAAACGCAGCATATAATTGAATCTGTTGAACTGACTTAGTTAAACTGGATACAAGAGTGTAGCCTGGTGGTTAAGAGCTCATTCAGTCTTCTAGGCTCTTCCACTTAACCAGCTCTGTGACTTTAAGGCAAGTTAGCCTTTCCAGGCTTTGCTTTCCTCATCTGTCAAGTGGGAATGAGAAGTATCTGTATCATAGAGTTGTTTGGATTAAATGAAAAAGTTTATGTGGTGACCTGTAGTACAGTGTAATCACTTAATGTTAATTATGATTATTATTATGAGTTTAATGTCTGTGGTTAGCAGAGTTTGAAAGATGCAGGCAAGAGATTAACTTTGGAATGTTTTGTTCTAAATGTCACTTGTGTAATACTTTGAAAATGCAGGCCGGGCGTGGTGGCTCACGGCTGTAATCCCAGCACTTTGGGAGGCCGAGGCGGGCGGATCAGGAGGTCAGGAGTTCGAGACCAGCCTGACCAACATGGTGAAACCCCGTCTCTACTAAAAACACAAAATTAGCCGGGCATGTTGGCACGCGCCTGTAATCTCAGCTACTCAGGAGGCTGAGGCGGGAGAATCGCTTGAACCTGGGAGGCGGAGGTTGCAGTGAGCCGAGATTGTGCCACTGCACTCCAGCCTGGGCAATAGAGCGAGCCTCCGTCCAAAAAAAAAAAAGAAAATGGAGTACTATCTGGCCTGTGTACTGGCACTGTGGCTTTCCCTGGCTCATGGGAGGCAGATGTGTGTTCAGGAATAAATGACGTATCTTTAGAGATTGCAAATCTCTAAAGTTAGTGGGTGGACTTAGATTACACTTGTTAAAATAAGTACCACTTATGCACTTGGGAAATGTTTATTTCTTAGAAACATATTTCTTATTAAATTTGCTATGTCACAACAGCACTCTTTGAATCACTTAGTTTCCAGAGTTGAAAAAGGCAACAGGTCGGTGGCATAAATCTATTTGGAGATCATTTATTTAGCAAATATTTTAGGACATTCTGTTAAGTGCCAAATACTATCTAACACAGGGCAGTGGTAAAAGCACTTCAGTAACAATGTCCTGGCAGCTTTAAGAGGGATTGTTGAATTAAACAGAGACCTGCAGGTGGAGATGGACTGGATCACTTCAGGTTTCACAAGGGTGCTTAGTCAAGAGACTGGTTCTCAATTTTTTGGACTCAGAAATTATTATTTTTTATCAGCTCTCTCAGAATTGATTAATGCTAAGGAACCAATTAGTCCTTCTCACAGGAGATTGGTTTATATACATGTAAATGTTGATTTACTCATTTACTGTGGAAGACATACCTTTTCAGTGGTGAAAACGCTCATATCTACCACCAAAAAGACCCTTTTGATTACCAAAGCACCTTGGAAATCGAATAAAAAAAATCAGAAGCTTACCAGTGACTCCAAAATCAATCATAATAAGAGCAGGTAAAGGATTATTTTACTTGAGAGTTATTTATATCCAGATTCTTGACGAACTTAGTGAATTATCTCTTATTCACGGTGGTGGGTACCTCTGTGCTTTTGTTCTCCATCGGTTGGGTAGATATTAACAAAATAAGTTCCTAACAACTTTCCCCCTTTTTGGACATCTGCCTTTCTGTCATTTATATGGTTTTAGGCAGCTAGATTATATTGCAGTTGCAAGGTTCTTTTATCTTGGTTGCTCATTTTTTAATGGTGAATGTTTTCCAGTTACCATAAATCATGTAGGGAACATTTAAATGGTATGTTCTTTATGCGTTTTACATTGTTAATACAGGGAATACTGGTTACTCTAAATTTTATTAATGGATTATTGCAGATGGAGTAACCAAGAATCATCCATCTTGAATACTATCTCCACATGGATGATAGGTATACCCACGTTTGCCCAGATACAATTTAAAAAAAACTCCTTCCTTAAACTCTTCTCTTCTCTCTCTCTTTTTTCTTTTCTTTTCTCTCTCTCTTTCCTTCCTTCCTTCCTTCCTTCCTTCCTTCCTTCCCTCCCTCCCTCCCTCCCTCCCTCCCTCCCTCCCTCCCTCCCTCTTTCTTTCTTTCTTTCTCTTCTTTCTTTCTTTCTTTCTTTCTTTCTTTCTTTCTTTCTTTCTTTCTTTCTTTCTTTCTTTCTTTCTTCATTTCTGTCTTGATGAACAGTGTTACTCTTAGGAAAGCAATATTACATACTAGCCAAGAGAATCTTGACGACAGACTTGGATTCAGATCCTTATTCCAGCAGTAAGCATGACCTTGGGGAAGTTATTAAATTTTCTAGGCCTCAGGTGTATCCTTTGTAAAATGGGGATGATGATAAAGTAGTAACTCATAAGGGTTGTGAGAATGAAATTCCGAGGTATTTAAAGTGTTTAGTATAGTACCTGTGTCATCGTAAACACTCAGATTACTGTGTCTTTACCACTCTCATCCTTATTAATGTTTCTCAAATCATTTCGAATGCTAACTTTGCTAATGTAGATTGGAATTGTAGAAAGAGCACTTCAGTGCTCCTGGTAATCAGGAGACATGCATTCCAGTCTGCATCCACCAGTAACTAACAACACTTCTATGATTGTTTTACTCCAAAGGTACATTTTCTCATCCACAAAATGATTGCCACTATCCCTATCAATTTTCATGGTTTATGGTTTCTTTCTTTTGCTTTCATACCTGAATCCTGAGGGTTCTTATTGGTGTGTGACCCCAGTCAATCACTATCCTTCCTTTTAGGCCACTTACTCCTTTCCTTTTATGTTTCTTCTCCATCTGTGCATATTGGAGTGCCTCATGGTTTAGGTTTTGGCTTTTCTTTTAGTCTCTGCTTGACATAGGTAGTGTAACGAAGTTGATAAAAGTACATGCTCTGGAGCCAGACTGCTTGGATTTGAATCCCAGCTCTGAAATTTGCTGCATGACATTGGGCAAGTCTTTGTGCCTCATTTTCCTCATCTGAATTGTTTTGAGACTTTAAATGGATTGAATATATGTCAATAACTAGAACAATGTCTGGGACAGAATAAGTCACCATTTAAGCTTTGCTGCTGCTTTATTTGCAGTAATTATAGTAGTATTCTTTAAGGTATTCTTATCTGTGCTCACGGCTTTAAATATTTATATTCTAATAAGTCCTAGATTTATATTTCTGCCAGTAATGGCTCTTGAATGCCTCTTTTGAATACCCATTGCCTGTTTGACGTCACTATTTGGATATCTCATAGGCATCTCATATTTAACATGTACAAAATAGAATTATAGACTTGTTCTTCTCCTTACTTTCCATCACAGCACCCTATATTTCTAGAATTTTCCACAGCCTGTAACTATCTTGTTTGTTTTCTTCTTTGTTTTCCTCATCAGAATGTATGCTACTGAGGGCAGGGACTATGCTTTTTCACCTGTTTTATCTCCAGTGCTGAACCTGTTAATTCACAAAGTAGGATAAATGAATGAGTATGTATTCCATTTTATTATTTATACTAATTTATGTTCTAATATCTTATGCAGGTTATTTTAATATTGTTTTCCCCTGCCTTCTTCAGTCTACCATTCATACTTTTATTTTATTTTATTTTATTTTATTTTATTTTTTTTTTGAGACGGAGTCTCGCTCTGTCGCCCAGGCTGGAGTGCAGTGGCGCAATCTCGGCTCACTGCAAGCTCCGCCTCCCGGGTTCACGCCATTCTCCTGCCTCAGCCTCCCAAGTAGCTGGGACTACAGGCGCCTGCCACTACGCCCGGCTAATTTTTTGTATTTTTAGTAGAGACGGGGTTTCACCGTTTTAGCCGGGATGGTCTCGATCTCCTGACCTCGTGATCCGCCCGCCTCGGCCTCCCAAAGTGCTGGGATTACAGGCGTGAGCCACCGTGCCCGGCCTCATACTTTTATTAAAACGTTTATTTAACGTGAACATTCAGATTTTAACTTCTTTCCTTAGATGTTTTCAGTGACTTTCCATTGAATTGAAGGACCAAAATGTTGTCCTTGTTTCTTGCATTTATGTTCAGGTTTATTTCCTTTCTTTCCAAGCTTTGTAGGAACTGTACATTCCAGCCCCTCAGACTACTTAGTTTTTTCTTTAATAAGTCATGCTAAAGGCCAGGTGTGGTGGCTCACGCCTGTAATCCCAGCACTTTGGGAGGCCAAGGCAGGCAGATCACACGAGGTCAGGAGATCAAGACCGTCCTGGCTAACATGGTGAAACCCTGTCTCTACTAAAAATACAAAAAATTAGTCGGGCGTGGTGGCGGGTGCCTGTAGTCCCAGCTACTCAGGAGGCTGAGGCAGGGGAATGGCATGAACCGGGGAGGCGGAGCTTGCAGTGAGCCGAGATTGCACCACTGCACTCCAGATTGGGCGACAGAGCGAGACTCCGTCTCAGAAAAAAAAAAAAAAAAAAAAAAGTCATGCTAAAGACAGACCTAGAGTCACATCCTTATTCAAAGCAGTAAGCATGACCTTGCTTTTGTTCATGAAGTTCTTTCTCTTTGAAATTGTTCTCTTTCATCATCACATATTGAATAAAAAATGTGACTTAATCGACTTACTCTGTTTTTTTAAAAATTCTCCATATAGTTTAACTTGAATCTGTATACTCCAGATGTATTCTGTTCTTCATTCATTTAACAAATATTTATTGATTGCCGACCACATGCCAGGTCTAGCCCTGCTACATGCTGGGGTATATTGCAGTAACCTATATAAGATATTATATAGGTGAGCAAGGTAGAACCCAGTCCCGACTCTCATGACCATTCTCAGTCATATATAGATGTAGATGAACCCAGAGATTAATCTCATCCTATGTTTAGCCTGATGTTTTAACACATTTGTTCCTTCCTGGCACATTGATAGTGGCCAAGACCAATTTTTCTTGTATTTTTGAACCCTTCCTTTCCTACCTTTAGACCTGTTTCATCACTTCCTCTGTATCTGTAATGTAGCAGTCCCTCCACAGGGCTTGTTTTCCAAAGAAAAGTAAGCCCTCCACAGGGCTTGTTTTCCAAAGAAAAGTATCATTTGGAGGAGCAAAGTTATAAGCCTACCTAAGCATGTCGTAAAGCTGTTCAAAAATAACTCAGAGCTAGTCTTGTGGATGGAAATGTAGTGCCTGAGTCACATTCTGCTTAAAGTTGTAACAAATACAGATGAGTTAAAAGAAAAAAAACAAAAATAAAGAAAGAATGGGTCTTCATTCTGTCAGGTGGTCTCATTGTTCCTAGACAAGATCAAGCTAATTCTTCCCGTTAAACTTTTCATGTTGAACCCACTTTGTTCCCTAGAACATTTGAATTTTACCTTTCTTATGTTCATTAGACCTTGCTATTCAAAGTATGATCCATGTCCAGTAAGATGAGCAATGTTGGCTACACTTGAGTTTGTTAGAAATGCAGACATACGTATCACAGAATCTCAGGCCCCTCTCCTGACCTACACAATCAGGTGATTTATAGCATTTTACTGTTTGAGAAGAAGCTTGCTCTCTTCCTTTCTCTGAGCTTTTTAATGACAGCTTGTATCATTCACCTTGGTATGTGATCCATACTGTTAGTGATTTACTGTTAATATATTTTCCCCTTCTCATTGAGATGATAACCCTTTTGAAGGCTGAAGTATAAAACATTTGTCTCCTCCATAATTCAGTGCTTGAAACCCATTGCTATTGAAATTTCTTACCTTTTAAATTTTGTTTTCCCCTTTAAGTTATCTTATTAGATACCTTATTCCCCTGGTTTTGTAAGTAAGGTAGAGTATGTTATTAATAAATAGAAAAGTATGAGTTACATATACAGTCAGCTCTCTATATCTTTGGATTCTGAATCCAGCAATCTCACATCCATGGATTCAACCAACCATGGATCGAAAATACTAGGAAAAAAACAACTAAAAATACAAATAAAAACCAATACAGTATAATAATTATTTACATAGCATTTACATTGTATTAAATGTTATATGCAATCTAGGGATGATATATAGGAAGATGTGCCTAGGTTATATGCAATAACTAATGCTACACCATTTTATATAAAGGACTTGAGCATCTGCGAATTTTGGTATCCAGTTTGGTCCTTGTTTCTGTCTGAAACTCTTTTTACTTGTTGCTTATTTCTTCACACTAGAATATCAGCTTCCTGAAAGTGGCACCCATGTCAGGTTTGTTCACTACAGTATTTCTAAGGGTCTAGAACAGTACCTCGTGTATAGAAGGCACTCAGATGTTGTGAATGAATGAATATACTCCTGTTGTGTGGAAATTTTCTTGAAAATCAATCATGAAGAAACTGGGTTAGTAAATGCTTGAGTGTTGGTGAGAAAAGAGCACACAGTTGAGGATAAGCTAGTTAGCTTTCTGGGCTTGTTCATATTTCTCCATCTTTTTATTTGTTGATTTCTTATCTGTTTGAAAAATCACTAATATTAATTGGACACCTATTATAAGACCCTGTACAGGGATGTTTGGTTAAATTTTGTGTTGTTTGGTTAAATTTTTTGTTAAATTTTAGATGTTGTGATCCTCACAACAGCTTTGGGGATAAATGTTATCACTACCTTACCTACCTGATGGTTATTCAAATCTAATGGAAAAATTTTGGTGGAAGTACTTTGTTTTTTATTTTGTTTTGTTTTGTTTTTGTTTTTTTTTTTGTTTTTGAGACAGAGTTTTGCTCTTGTTGCCCAGGCTGGAGTGCAATGGCATGATCTTGGCCCACTGCAACCTCTGCCTCCCAGGTTCAAGTGGATCTTGGCTCACTGCAACCTCCGCCTCCCAGGTTCAAGCGATTCTCGTGTCTCAGCCTCCCAAGTAGCTGGGATTACAGGCATGCGCCACCACGCCTGGCTAATTTTTTGTATTTATAGTAGAGACGGGGTTTCACCATGTTGGTCAGGATGGTCTCGAACTCCTGGTCTCAGGTGACCCACCCACCTTGGCCTCCCAAAATGTTGGGATTACAGGTGTGAGCCACCGCAGCAGGCTGGTGGGAATGCTTTGTGAGTTGAATCAAATACTTCGAATTTGTAATGCCAGGCTATCACATGTGTCACTGTAGATTTTTTGTGATACTCTTATGAATTTAAAGAGACTGGACAACAGCTTGTTTAAATTCCATTGAAATGGAAGCTCTTCTCTGAGATCCTGGTCTGAAGTATAATACAGTTTGGCCTTTTAATGTTTTAACAACAAAAAAAATTATATGACCCTTGGCCTCTTCTTCCAGTTTTCTGACTTGAGTGGTGCATACGTAAGTTGTTTGACATGTGAGATAATTTTTTCAGTCAGATAATTTGAAATCCTTTCAAGCACCAAAACTTGCACATTTTAGCTATTTTAATTATATGTGTTTCTGAAGTGTAATACATAATTTTCTGCTGCTTTAGTCAGAGAACATGGAACACAATCTAACCATGTTTTGATGGCATAGTATTATCATTAAGAACATGTTATTGGGCCGTGCTCCCGCCTGTAATCCCAGCACTTTGGCAGGCTGAGGTGGGCGGATCACCTGAGGTCAGGAGTTCGAGACCAACCTGGCCAACATGGCGAAACCCCATCTCTACTAAAAATACAAAAGAAATTAGCCGGGCATGATGGCGGATGCCTGTAATCCCAGTTACTCAGGAGGCTGAGGCAGGAGAACTGCTTGAACCTGGGAGGCAGAGGTTGCAGTGAGCCGAGATCACACCACTGCACTCCAACCTGGACGACAGGCAGAGACTCTGTCTCAAAAAAAACAAAAAAACAAAAAAACATGTTATTGAACCAGACAGGACAGTAGATCTGTCAAGAAATCCCTTCGGGTAGTCTGTTATTTCTATAATAAATGTCCCCTGTTGTTGAACTTTAGGTGCCTTGAGTGGTTTATGTTTCTAGTTGGTGCCTTTTTTGGTTGTTAAATTTATCTGTTTCTTATCCCCTTGCTTTTCAGGTTTTTTTTTGCTGTGAGTGAAAAACCAGTTATGCAGGATTATCTCTAACCTGAGTATTTGTGAGTGAGGATTAAATTCGTTATGCAGTCTGACATTTTGATTGCTTAGTTATATTTTTTGCTTAGGCAAGTAAGATGTTATTGCTTACAAATAGTAACTTTTTATAATAGAAAAATCATTTAGCGTACATTATTATATCTTGGTAGCTCCAGGAACTGGGCGGACTAGTATTATCTGGATTATACATGTGATTCTCCCACTCCAAGAAGCTGGGTGGCTTTTCAAAGACATAAAGTGAATATATCCTGGAGCTTGAATTCAGATCACATCTAGCCATCCTTGACTCATTTTCTTTTACATTTTATAGCAGCTTCATATACTTGAAGACCCCAGTAGTTATTCTGTGTTATGTGACAGGTACTGTTTTAAGTATTGTGTATTTATTATGGCATTGAAGCAATACAACAACTCTTTGATATAGGAACCATCATTATCCCTATTTTATCAATGGGGAGACGTGGGTACAAATAGTTTATGTGATTTGATTAATGTACAGATGGAGGAAATAGAAGTTAAGGTGTGTACAGAATAGTTAATCTAGTGCTTCTTGTTTGAGCATTGGGAAATATGTTTTTCAGAACTCAGGTGTCTTACAGACTTCTAACTTTAAAATGTATGAGAAAACATACATTAGAATCTTTACGTTTGATAATCAGTCATATTGTAGAAGATTTGTAGCTATAAGAAGTCAATTTAGTAAATATTCTGAAGTTTGGAAAAATGCAACCTTAAACTGCTGAGTTCACATATTAAGATACTGGGGATCAATAGTAAAGAAAATCAGCATATTAAGGAGCATTGGGAAGAGTACTGGTACGTGTCCCTAAGTAAGTTAGTTTACCTGCATTGGGTGGTAATTCTAAGTCCATCTGACTTTTCCTTTTTTTTTTTTCCTTTGAGACAGAGTCTTGCTCTGTCGACCGGGCTGGGGTGCAGTGGCCCGATCTTGGCTCACTGTGATCTCCACCTCCTAGGTTCAAGCGATTCTCGTGCCCCTCAGCCTCCCGAGTAGCTGTGTGCCACCATGCCCTGCTAATTTTTGTATTTTTAGTAGAGACGGGGTGTTGCCATGTTGGCCAGACTGGTCTTGAACTCCCGGCCTCAAGCAATCCACCCGCCCCAGCCTCCCAAAGTGCTGAGATTATAGGGATGAGACACCACACTGGGCCAGACTTTTCCGTTTTTATGTTCCTCCCAAGATTTGGATAAACCTGCAAACATCCTGGGCCATTGGTCCTTTCTGTTAAGGTCAGACACCTTATTGAAATTCATTGCCATTTGCTTTTTGACAGTGCTTACTGTGTTCGTGACATATATGCTAGTGATGACAATCTATCATTTGTTTCTTGTAGCTGTCTTCTTGGGTATTATTTAAGGCAGCATATGCAGTACTTCTCATGGAGGAGATGACTTAATAAATCAGTTATGATCTCTAGGCCTTAGTTTGATATGAAGATAGTGAATGGCCTTCCTACTGTAATAAAGAGAACCTGAATGGGTAATTTCTTACATTGTTGATATGATTTTTAGTAGTAGATATTGATTTTAATAGTTGGTAATAGTTACTGTTGGATTCCAAACTGGATGGTTTCCCAAGTAAATGGAATATGATCAAAATATTTTAACTTTAGTTGTTACAGCAAATCTGGCCTGGATTTATATGGTTAATGCCTCACATATCTATTTAACATTAAAAGGTGTGGGTGTACAATAAGCATTTTTTATCTTTTGCCTTCTTGTCACCTTTTGCTTCAACTGGTTTCTGTATATGATAAATTTGGATCTTTTGTTCAATATCTTGGACTTCATTGGTTTGGCTGAGCAACTCCAGGTATTTTAAGTCTTGGCAGCAATGCTCTGGACTTGCAGCTCAGTCCTAGCCCATACCTTGGAGAAAAAAGCCTCTACAAAGCATGAAGTTTGAAAAGAATCTTTGCAAGTTCTTATTTTTGTGTTTAGATTTTCTTTTACTTCATCAAGTCTACCATAGGTCGTTTCTTAGATAAAAGCTCCTAATTTTAGCACTTACAGAAAACTTAGTTGCATTTGCTTTCTTTTCAAAATTAGTTTATAATGTTTTTCGTAAAATATTTAATTTACGGTACTTGGATGTTATTTTATTTGGCAAGGTTTTAGATAATATCTTAAAGAGAATATGGCTTCGTTTTTTGTAAACTACTACTGGTAGGTAGATCATTCTTTAAAATGGCTATATGCAGTAAAGATTAGGTTTAATAGCAAAGTGTAGTGTAATTTACTTAGCTGTTTGATGACAAACTGTACTTGTTTCATCAAAACTGAAAGGGCTGAAGTGGATGCTTAAATATGCTGGAGTAATATGCCATATTCTTGTTAATGTTGGTACCATGCTC
Source organism: Homo sapiens (assembly GCF_000001405.40). Taxonomy (NCBI): domain Eukaryota; kingdom Metazoa; phylum Chordata; class Mammalia; order Primates; family Hominidae; genus Homo; species Homo sapiens. The sequence continues at coordinate 116,744,445 of NC_000008.11, read as the reverse complement.
AAGCATATAAGAGAAAAATTGGATTCAGGAAAAACAGTGATAACTCAGTATTAACTTAGTCAAAATATATATATTTTTAATCCTTTGAGTCTTTGACCCTTTAAACATCAGCTGCATTTTGGCATAAAATTTTAAGATTTTCTTTGCCTCCAAAATAGTACCTAAAGTGGTACTTAAGTGCCACAGATGTTTATTGTATCTTGAGGCTTACTGTTTGTTTTTTTTTTTTTTAATACTTTCTATGTTTCCACCTCTCCCTGTCGCCATCTGATTTTATTTCCTGTCCATTAGTGATAACCACTGTCTACCCAAGTCATGAAGGCTTCTGGTATCGTCTTTGACTATTTCTTGAGGTTTTTCCTAAGATCACTTACTTAGTTCTTTGAATTTATAACTACATTGTCTGTACTGTTCAGTTCTTGCACTCTTTCTCAACTATCACCAAAGCCTGTATAACTGGTCTTACAGACTTTATTTTGTACTTGGACAGTGCTGCTGACTAAGTTATCTTCTCAATGGACAGCTGTAGTCCTAAAACTCAACCCTTTGGAAAATCACTATTACACACAAAATAAAATCAAACTTTATTTCCCAACTTATTTATATATGTGTGTGTGTGTGTGTGTGTGTGTGTGTGTGTGTGTGTTTATATATATATATATATATATATATATATGTATGTATTTTTGAGACAGGGTATCGCTCTGTCGCCCAGGCTGGAGTGCAGTGGTGCGATCTCGGCTCGCTGCAGCCTCCACCTCTGGGGCTCAAGTGATCCTCCCACCTTAGCCTCCCTAGTAGCTGGGACCATAATGGGTGCATGTTACCACACCTAGCTAATTTTTGTTTTTGTTTTGTATTTTTAGTAGAGATGGGGTTTCGCCATGTTGACCAGGCTAGTCTTGAACTCCTGGCCTCAAGTGATCCGCCTGCCTCAGCCTCCCAAAGTACTGGGATTATAGGCATGAGCCACTGTGCCTGGCCTATTATTTTTTGAGACAGGATCTTGCTCTGTTGCCCAGGCTGGAGTGTAGTGGTGCAGTCATGGCTCACCACAGCTTCCCACTCCTGGGCTTGAGTGATCCTCCTCCTCAGCCTTCTAGTAGCTGGGACTATAGGTGTGTGCAACCTTGCCTGGCTAATTTTTTTATTTTTCTTTTGTAGAGATGGGGCCTCTATATTGACCAGGCTGGTTTTGAACTCCTGGCCTTAAGGTGATCCCCCTGCCTTGGCCTCCCAAAGCGCTAGTATTACAGGTGTGAGCCACCACCACCTGGCCTTGCCTGCCAGCTTTTGTTTTCATCCTCCAAACGAGGGCTTGTAGATGGTGTTTTCAAGTGTGGTTTACTGGTAGCCTTTAAAACAAAATAAAAAGTATTTCCTTTTGGAGAGAAGAAAACTCCCATTTTACATTTTACACAGAAATGCATCAGCTTTGGTTTCATTCTAAAGGACCTCTTGACTAGAAAGATGATGAATAACCACCTTGTGGACTTACTGTGGTGCGCTTTTTATACAGGAAAATGGGAACCCTTTTAATTTATTAAACCTGTTTAAACACAGCCATTACACTGGATAATACATGCATATGGCACACAAATCAAAGACAAAGTGAAAGTATATAGTGAAGAGAAACTCTCACTGTCATCCCTGTCTTCCAAGCACCCTCTTCCCAGAGGCAATCATAGTTGCTTTATACATGTTTCCTTCTGCACTTACCTTAGCAAGGAGGCAGAAACAAATTATAATGAGAGTGCCCCCAAATCACCTAAAGTCCTGCCTTCTATTTAAGCAGTGGCCAGTGCTCCTGAATCTAATAAACTTGAATGTAATAAACTTAGAATGTGTTAGAAGGTAGATCTTAACAATTCTGAAAAGTTTTTTGTTTTATGAGAAAGGAAATGAATTTTGTTCCAGCTAAGCTTTTTAATCACTCATATTATTTTAGAAAAATTACCAACCAGGTACATGTGGGAAAATTTGCAGGTTGGTTATATATATTGAATTGGTAAAGCAGAAACTTATAAATTAAACATCTTATCAGTTAATTCTTAATTATGATTATATATTTGTACATTTGATTGCATCATTATACTTACATGTGACTAATTTTTATAAGATTAGTACCATTCTTTTGAATTTCTTGAGGCTAAATCCTCTATCTTCTCTTTTTCCCAACAATTATTAGTTGATTTAACTTTAAAAATGTGGACCATCAGTGAGCATTAGATCCAAGAGAATAGCAATGAAATATGCCCTTTCAAACTGAAATATTATAGAGGTTGATATTGATTAAGTGTATTGGAGCATTGTAACTAATCCCATGTGTGTCAGGAGCAGAAAATCTTTTTTTTTTTTTTCCTATTGAAGTTACTTAAATTTCTTTCACATCAAACTTAACAGCAGTGATTTAAATCCCGTTTATTATTTGACTCAGCCAGTTATGAAATGGAACCCTATCCCACTTGAGCCATAAAATGTGTTAAATTTAAGACTAATGCAGCTTTCTGCTTTTTGAATTTACATTTTGGCAATAACTACCATCTTTGTTCAGTGTTAGAAAAAATTATCTAGGCTTAACCAAATAAGAAAACTGCCAAGTTCACAGACCAGTCAGTGAAAGAAGCCAGAATTAAATGAAAGTCTACAGAATTAAATGAAAGTCTAGATACTGACTTTGCAGAATATGCTAAAGGGAGATCTTACAGCATTACAGTTTCTTTGAGAATAAAAATCTTCTACAGTAATAGCTGTTCTTTGACGGTGATTGATGTGAGAAATTCAGGCTGTGGGCCTTACCTCCCAGAAGCTACAAAACTGTAATAAAGCCGAGTAGGAATTGTGCATCCTGCCTGACCTCTTCTTCAACTAGGCAGTGACTGGTATAGTTTGAGCTTTGTCTTTTTTATTTCAGACTTTTAAGAAACTTGTGGACTGTACTTTGTCTTTAATGATGTTTTAAGGGAAAATTACACATAAACACACATATGTATACAGAATATTTTGAGTAAATTTAATTGAACTCTTTTTAATGCAGATTCAAAACATCGTGTTGTAAAACTTTGTGGTATTGGTTGTTATGAGAGATAGTATGTCCAGCTGATTGATGCGTCTTAAAGAAAATGGAAGTTTGGCATCAGTTGGGTTAATAAGTTATAATTCACCTCTTATTAGGCTGAAAAAAAAATCTCTGAGGAATGAACTGAAAACATTCTGGGGAGACAAGTGTCTGTGCCATAAGGGTAACTAGGCATATTTTAGTCACTAAATATTCCTTGGATGGACAGATGGATAGATGAATGAATGAGAATAGGTGAAATATGACAATTCTAAAAAAAAGATAGAAAAAATTAAAAAAGAAATCAGACTTGATGATTCTAAAACATAAAAAGGAAAAAAGAGAAGAGGTGAAATGTTTGTTGTGATAGTTGTTATAATAGTAGCTAACATTTACTGAGGACTTACTAGTAATTGTGTGCTAGGTAGTTTGAGTGGGATTATTTTTTAATCTTTGCAACAGTGCTTGAGATTGGTACTGTCTTTATAGGAGGAAGGTATGGGTAGGGTAGATAAGGTAACCTGCCTAAGGCCGCAGGGCTGGCACTCAAACTTTGTTTTGGATTCTGGTTCCCAGCCCCTCAACCACTCTGCTGTAGGATTTTTCTGTTTGTGTAGACTACAGGGTTGGGGAGTTAGTCACATTGGTGTGTACATTCATAAGAATTCATGTTTAAGCTTTTACTAAAATTTTTTTCTTTTACTCAAACATTACATTTTTGCAAAGAAATAAAGATTTCTAGAATAACTGTGTACTAGACAACAAGTAGAAGACAGCAGTGAGAGGTTTGAATGTTGGGGTTTCATCTGGGCTTACTCACTGAATAAATAAATCACTGTCTTACAGAAGTTGTGATTCAAAGTGGGCCCTGCTGCTGAAAAAAGTTTGTTTTTACCATTCTTAAAAATACGATGTTCAGAATAGAATTAGAGCTAAGGGAGTCGTGATCTGACCTCAGTGGAGGAGTATGCCTGTCATCTCCTGTAGAAGCAGCAAGGAGTGGCAGAGAAAACTATTCATTTCTTGCTCTTCTCAACTACTGCCACAGTCTTATGCCACTGGGCTTACAGTTACATAAGTGCTTGGTAGCTACACAGTTTGGAGCTCATGTCTATTGTGGTCACGTATTTTGAGAGACTTCGTGACATAAATTAAGAAGTGTTTGCTTCTGTAGTCTAAATGCTCAGTTTTGGGAGTTGGGAAATAACTGTTTACGTGCTTAATGTTACTGATTCTGTAAACCAGTGCTATTCAAAGTATGAGGTATGGTTTGGGAACACTGGTCTGCACAGTATAAACACAGGGTTAAGATAGAGTGTTTAGAAACTTTTATTATAGTAGTTTGACACTGCTGTGATATCCAAGTGATATCCCTGGGCTTTGTGTGTGTGTGTGTTTTATTTTCATCTTTCTAGTGAGTAATTTTTATTGTATTTTACTAAAGTGTTGGTCTGTGATAGATTGGGGGAAAATGGGTTCTTTACCACTGATAACCTGAGAAGCATTGCTGTAAACTATTTTCATGTCTATTTTGGCTAATGGCATCTTCCTGTAACCAGAGTTGCCGAGACCAGCTCAGTCGGGGAGACCCTAACCCAGCGGCGCTAGAGGAATTAAAGACACACACAGAGAAACATGGAGTGTGGAGTGGGAAATCAGGGGTCTCACAGCCTTCAGAGCTGAGAGTCTCCAACAGAGATTTACCCACATATTTATTGATTGATTTATTTATTTTTCTGAGACGGAGTCTCGCTCTGTTGCCCAGGCTGGAGTGCAGTGGCACCATCTCGGCTCACTGCAAGCTCCGCCTCCCAGGTTCACACCATTCTCCTGCCTCAGCCTCCCGAGTAGCTGGGACTGCAGGCGCCCATCACCACGCCCGGCTAATTTTTTGTATGTTTAGTAGAGATGGGGTTTCACCGTTTTAGCCAGGATGGTCTCGATCTCCTGACCTCGTGATCTGCCCGCCGCGGCCTCCAAAAGTGCTGGGATTACAGGCGTGAGCCATGGCGCCCGGCCGCCACATATTTATTGACAGCAAGCCAGTGATAAGCATTGTTTCTGTAGGTTATAGATTAACTGAAAGTATTCCTTACGGGAAATAAAGGGATGGGCCTAAATAAAGGGATGGGTCTGGCTAGTTATCTGCAGCAGAAGCTAGTTAAGACTTGAGCATGTCCTTAAGAAGCAGGAACATGTCCTTAAGGCACGGATCGCTCATGCTGTTGTTTGTGGTTTGAGAACACCTTTAAGCGGTTTTCTGCCCTGGGTGGTCCAGGTGTTCCTTGCTCTTATTCCAGTAAACTGACTGCCTTCCAGTGTGGGTGTCAAGGCCATCAGGAGCATGTCACAGTGCTGCAGAGGTTTTGTTTATTGCCAGTTTTGGGGCCACTTTATGGCCGGATTTTGGGGCCTGTTCCCAACAAGAGTAATAATTTAATAATTTAATTGAACTGTATTTAAAATAGTATTGTGATCACTAAATACCATTACATTAGATTTACTTAACTTTTAAGTTAGTTTTAGTGGTAAAACATTTTAATAATTCAGTGTTTTTTAATACTGTGAAATGTTTAAAAAGATGAACAGGTTGTAACCTCGGCATTCCGTAGCTCAGCTTTATAAAGCAGGCTTAAAAATGATAGGTGGTATGGTTCTAACAGTTTAAAATTACTTCCGTCCCTAATTATTTTAGCAGGGCTTTTCAGCAGATCCTTATTGTGTCTGTTACAAAGATGATGGGAAACCTGCTTTTCCTGGTGAAGGTTTATTGTAGTAAGTTTGAACAAATTGTTCAATTGTTGAAGCATAAGTTAGGCTTCTCTTAAACGGCCTTTCTGCTTGTTGAAAACCAGGCCAGACGTTAGTTACCTCTTTATGTTGATGGTGTGTGTATATGTGCATATTTTCTGGCAATTTGTATATATGTGTGCAGTGATATTCACAGAGTTGAAGAGGAGTCAGGTTAACAAGAGATGAGAATTTAAAATCAGCAGATGCTTTGGCTTGTAGTGTGTGGGCTTCTTTTTCTCATCCTTTCAAGTCTTAACTGCTTCATTCAGCCCATATTTTACAAATGTAAAGGAACCTGCTAAAATCAAGATATATTATGTGTCCATCATTGTCAACTCAGTAGTACTGTCAGAAAAAATGAAACGTTAGTTTGTTCTATTTTGTGAAACTCCACATAGCAAATCAGTTACTGCTGTATTTTAAAAATCTTTTTCCTTAGTTTTTTTTGATGCTTTTTGAATTAAAAACAAACACATGCTCCATTCTAGTATAACTAAAATGCAGATGTATAAAGGAAGAAGTATGTCCGTCCATACCATTCTTTTTTTTTTTTTTTTTTTGAGATGGAGCCTCGCTGTGTCGCCCAGGCTGGAGTGCAATAGTGCGATCTCGGCTCATTGCAACCTCCGCTTCCTGGGTTCAAGCGATTCTCCTGCCTCAGCCTCCAGAGTAGCTGGGACTACTGTTGCACACCACCAGGCCTGGCTACTTTTTTGTATGTTAGTAGAGATGGGGTTTTACCATGTTGCCCAGGCTGGTCTCGAACTCCTGAGCTCAGGCAATCCGCCCAGTTGGGCCTCCCAAAGTGCTAGGATTACAGGTATGAGCCACCCGCACCTGGCCTCATTGTTCTTCATTCAAACACGTAACTGCATGTAGGTAATAAGTTTTTATTACTATTAATTTTTTTTAAAATTTTTTTATTTTTTATTTTTTTTGAGACAGAGTCTCACTCTGTTGCCCAGGCTGGAGTGCAGTGGTGGGATCTCAGCTCACTGCATCCTCCGCCTCCCAGGTTCAAGTGATTCTCCTGCATTCAGCCTCCCGAGTAGCTGGGGTTACAGGTGCCAGCCACCATATCTGGCCAATATTTTGTGTTTTTAGTAGAGATGGGTTTCACCATGTTGGCCAGAGTGGTCTCGAACTCCTGACCTCAGGTAATCGGTCTGCCTCAGCCTCCCAGAGTGCTGGGATTACAGGCACAAGCCACTGCGCCCAGCCCTATTAATTTTTAAAACTTTATTTTTGGGTTATGGGCTTTTTTGGGAATTTGAAGAATGACAAAGTCTTTTTTTTTTCTTCCCCAGGGAAATGCCTTCAAGTACGTAGATAGAAAATATTGCTGATGATTTTAAGAGGTTCGTAGATCTTTTCAAATGCCTACCTGTCCTTCAGGTTTGAATGTTTGTTTTTAGGGCTTGCACACTTTGAGAAGTATGCTTTTTGATATAGAATATTGGGTAGTGTGAATTTTTAAAAAAATCATGTCTTTTTGGGCAGGGAGATGGTAAATATTTTAACATTTTCCAATTTCTTTGAATTTGTTTTACGTAAACAGGCTTTTCTAGGAACAAATTATCTGTTGTCTAAATAATCTCATTAAATTCCAAAATACTGTAAACAGCAAAATTCTAAGCAGTATACTTTGTCTTCAACAATAATACAATTTAATTTATTTTTGGTGACCTAGGTTTATTAAAAACATGAGTCAATAGATATTTATTTTATATTATACATAATAGGTAGGGTTATAGTTGTGGTTCTTAGCTCTTTGGGTATTATAGCATCTCAGGGGACCTTTGAACTCTGAAATTGAGAGTAAAATTGGGAGTCAGCGCATGTATGAATTGTTTCTTCATCAGACTTTTAAAGTGTGTACAGTTTTGTTCAGTTAAGGTATTTATACAAAATAAATTCCACCTTTTTTTTTTGTGAGACGGAGTCTTGCTCTGTCGCCCAGGCTGGAGTGCAAAGGCGCGATCTCGGCTCCCTGCAAACTCTGCCTCCCCGGTTGAAACGGTTCCCCTGCCTCAGCCTCCCAAGTAGCTGGAACTATAGGCGCGTGCCACCACGCCCAGCTAATTTTTTTGTATTTTTAGTAGAGGTGGGGTTTCACCGTGTTAGTCAGGATGGTCTCAATCTCCTGACCCCGTGATCCGCTGGCCTCAGCCTCCTGAAGTGCTGGGATTACAGGTGTGAGCCACCGCGCCTGGCAATTCCACTCATTTTAAATGCACAGTTGGATGAACTTTAGTAACTATAAACAATTGTTTAACTGCTACCACAATCAAGATGTATTAATAGAATAGTTTCCCCACTTGGAGAGTTTCCTGGTATCCTTCTGCAGTCAGTATTTGCCTTCTCACCTTGGCCCTAGGCAACCACTTATCTATCAGCTTCCTGTTACTATTGTTTTGCCTTTTCTAGAATTTCATATAAATGAAATCATATGTGTCATACATAACATTTTGTTTAACTTCTTTCACTTTGCATGTTTTTGAGATTTCTCCTTGTTTTGTCTATTGGTATTTTACCTTTTTATTGTTGAGTATAATTCCATAGAATAGATATACAGGTTGAACATCCCTAATTGCAAAATCCAGAATTTGAAAAGTTCCAAAATGTGAAGCTTTTTCAGCGCTGATATGATGCCACATTGGAAAATTCCACACCTGACTTCATGTGATGGATTGTTGTCAAAACACAGTTGCACACCACACAGTTTATTCGGGGTCTCCAAGGGAAAAAAGACCCTCCCAGCCTCCTTTAGCTGTGTTACGTTTTTTTTTTTTTTCTGCATGCCCAAATCGCCTCCTGCAAGCATACCTGCAGAGCGTAATAAAGTGGGGGCTTGATACATCAACAGCAGATTCCCCACGATGATCCACATGGGGCCAAGACGACCTATTTGCATTACTCATTATGTGGTGGTGGTGGTGGTGTTTTGGCTTATTCTCTGCTCTGTGGCGTAAAGATAGGGTTGAAAATGCAACTATTCCAAACTCTAAAACACTTGTCGTCCCAAGCATTTTGGATAAGGGATACTCAACCTGTGCTGCAGTTTATTCATCTGCATTTGGTGGTTTGGGTTGATTCCGGTTTTTAGCTGTTATGAATAATGCTACCATGAACATTTGTAGACATGTCTTTGTGTGGATGTTTTTATTTCTCTTGGGTAGATTCCTGGGACTAGGTATAGTCATTTGGTGCGTTTATGTTTAGCTTATAAGATACTGTAGTTACTGTTTTCTGCTTTCGCACTAGCAATTTTCATAGAGTTGAAGCTTTTTAGAAAGGTCTCAGTTTCTACTTTCGTGGCTCAGCCAAGTTCAAAACTCCATATCCTGACCCAAGAACAGAGATTGGATTATTACTTAGCTCCTAGGTTTTGCAGATTATGTCTATGTCTGATGTATTTTGGGGCATGGCTGCATTAACTTGCAGGTCCTGAAAGTCCAATGTGTTTCTTGAATAGTTTTCTTTTTACCTCTGAACTTTATTGGAGTTGCAACCTATATTGGAGGAATTCTGGTGTTAGCTTCATAGACATGCCTACTAGGTAAAGATTGACCCTGACCCTGGCATTAGGAATACGCATATTGCTAATTAAAAGCTATGGTAACTTTTCCTGAAAGGATTTTACTAGTATATTGTGTTTTATAATTCATTAACAAAAAATAAATGAAATTGGTAGTTTTGAATTACTTAATGTTATTTTAAGATATAACTGTTCCTGCTTGGCATGGTGGCTCACGCCTGTAATCCTAGCACTTTTGGAGGCCCCGGGTGGGTAGATCACTTGAGGCCAGGAGTGTGAGACCAGCCTGGCCAACATGGTGAAACCCTGTCTCCACTAGAAATACAGAACAAACTTAGCCGGGTGTGGTGGCGTGCACCTGTAATTCCAGCTACTAGGGAGGCTGAGGCAGGAGAATCACTTGAACCTGGGAGGCAGAGGTTGCAGTGAGTTGGGATCATGCCACTGCACTCCAGCCTGTGTGACAGAGCGAGATCCTGTCTCAAAAACAAACAACTTTCTGCCAGTAGGTGGGGTTATTATTTATCTACCAGTTCTTTTAGTAAAAACGTGAACGTGTATCACTCCCACCCTAGTGCTTATCCATCTAGAGGCCTTTTTCTTCCCCTAAAATACAACTTGTGTGATTTATGAAATGTAAATATTAGCATTTTTATTAAAAGATTAAAAATCCATAGTCGTCAAGTATTCTCTTCTCCCAAGTTTTCATAGGGCTGATGGCTTGTTCTTCAGTTCTCTGGTCAGGTATCCTCTCAGAAGCCCTTCCTGGATCCCCCTAAGGTAAGGCTGCTTCCCTGCCCCTCCTTGTTACATTTCCCCTTTTCTTAGCAATTTCCGCAATCTGTAATCACATTAATTTTCCTAATTGTCATTCTAGAATAGTGGCTCCTAAAGTGTGAGGATCTTGGACACCCTTTTAGAGAGTCTCCAAGGTCAAAACTTATTTTCATAATAATACATAATTTGCCATTTTTACTCTCATTCTTTCACGACTGTTTAATGGAGGTTTCCAGATGCTACATGATTAGTGTGATATCATAAAGGATTGACTGCAAGAACAGATACGATTATCCATCTGTTTTCTATTAAACCAGATATTAAAAAGATTTACAAAAATGTAAAACTATGTTTCTCCTCTCCTGGATTAAATTTTTTTTGAAAATGTAGATTTTTTACAAAAATGTGAAACATTGTCATTCTAATATTCTGATAAAATTACCTTGTTTTATAAAATATTTTTCATTAAAACATAGTTTATATTAGCATGTAATGCATTTATTTTTAATTTTTTTCAAAGCTTGCAATAGAGGTTATTTTTAAGAGAAATAAATATTTCAGACATTTCTTGGTTTGAATTTCTGATATGCAGATATCAATGTATAAGATTTTTGGGGGTCCATGAAAATTTTAGGGATTTTTAAAATTTTTTAAGAGTTTGTTTTTTTTTTAAATTTTAAAGGGCCTTGAAATACATGAAATATCTTTAGTCTTTGTTCTTGGTTTCTGTCACACTGTTCCCCAAACCTTTAGGATTTCCTGAGTGATAGGACTGTCTTTTATTCATAATGCTTTTTCTTTGATCACACCTGAGTTAATGCTAATGAGGTGATTTAGGTCAGGCCCCTCAGGATGGAGCAGGTCACCCAAAAGAGCAAGTGATTAGAAGGTTGGAACCTTCAGCCCCACTGACCTCTGGGAAAGAGGGTAGGTGGGCTGGAGATGAAGCTCCGTTAAGCTCTGTAAAAACTCTTGTGCAAGATTTGATGAGCTTTTGGGTTTCCAAACACTTGGAGGAGCTGGGAGGATGCAGGCCCAGAGAAGCTCTGCCCCCTAACCTCCAATACTTTCTCCTGTGCATCTCTTCATCTGGCTTTTCATTTGTGTCCTTTGTCATGTCCTTTATAATAAAGTGATAAATGTAAGTAAAGTGTTTCTCTGGATTCTGTGAGTCATTCTAGCAAATTACTGAATCTGAGGAGGGTTTTGTGGGAACTCCTGATTTATAACTGGTTGGTCAGAAGTACTGGAGGCCTGGATTTGGGATTGGCATCTGAAGTGAGGGCAGTCTTGTAGGACTGTGTCCTTAACTTTGGGAATCTGACACTAACTCCAGGAAGATAGTGTCAAAAATTGAATTAAATTGTAAGATACCCAGCTGGTGTTGGGCGAATTGAAGAATTACGTGGTATAGAAAGAACCCACACATCTGGTGTCAGCAGTGTTGTGTGAGAATAAAGAGAAACAGTGTGTTTGAGACTTGCTGTTCTAAAAATATGAGCCCCATGAAAGTAAGACCTATGTGTTTGATTTAGTTTCATATTCCCAGGGCCTGGCAGAGGTGACTGATCTGAAAAGTCACTCAGTAAATATCTAAGTGAATGAATGAATGAATGAATGAATGAGGGAATGAAAGAAGTCAAAATAACAGAAGCCTAGTGATTCTATGCAGAAAGATTTCAAATCTTTCTGTAGTTACTGGTCTATGCAGACATTATGTTTGATAGGAAATTATTCTAGTTCATCAGAAAGCTTTAATATTTATTTTGGTCAAATTTGAACTGTTCCCTGTCATGGAACTGAGTCTTTGATATGATTTTGATAGGGAGGTCTTAGAGATTCTGTTAAATCTTTCCCTTTAGGAAGGATGAGAGATTTTACCTGCCATCCTTAACTCTTCTAAATTTTAGATTTATTGACTTATAATGTTATTTATTTGGCTATTTTAGATTGGTATTTATATTTTACCCTATAATACAGAGAATACTTGTCATAGAAGTTAAATCCGTTCTTGCTTTTAGATTTTTGGGCAAAGATAGGTTTTAATTTTTTTTTTTTAAAGCCAGACACTTTAAAAAGTAGCATTGTGTTCATTAGAGATGGCGTATAGTCTGCTTTGCTTTTTCAAATAGTTTGCACTGAATAATGAACAATAGTAGAAAACTGTTCCCTGCAGGGTAATTTCAGCAGACAGGACATCTGTTTACTATCTTGCAGGTTGGGATTCCTTGAAGATCTGCCCAACTTGAGACTGTGTAAACTTCAGAAATCTGGGAAACAGTTTGAGAGACAACTGACCTAATCAGAGAACAATACTTACTGTTTAGGGCACATAGAGTAGTTTAAGCATTTACACCCAGAACATGACAAAGTTTCAGAAGGTGTAGAAGAATTTGCTAAGTTGGGTTTCTACTGGCAAGTTTGCTTCTGTCCCTTGAGGCATAATTCATGGAAGAATCCTCATTTACCCACTAATTTATAGGGTAAACAAATCTAGTCAGCATCGGTTCTTAACAGTCTTAGATAACGGGGTCAGATGCTAAGGTGTAAGTCTTACTGTGCTGCAGAAAACATGAATGTTTCAAGATGGGTTGCTGGTATTACCTTCCCTCTTGTTTATATGCTGTAGAGATTGTTCCAACTAGGGCTTGAATTCCTCTTATTAGGGTGATATTTATGCTTTTATAAACAACATGTTCACTTTTGGGTCTGTATTTCTCAGTGCCTTCACTTTTCAGCAACCCACGAAGTCTTAAAACAGAGGAAAGGAAATTGGGGTTTGACCAGCAGTGTATTGTAGTCACCTGAGGAGTTACAACAAAACAAAAACAAAGGAAAGCTAGGCCATACAACTTCATTAGAAATTAGAACTAAATAGGATGTTAGAGTAAGTTGGAGAACTAAAAACAGACACCACCTACCAAACCCAGTATAGGAACCCAGCCGGTATCAGTTAGCTGAATTTCAGGAGTGTGCTCACGCATTAGTATACTTTAAAGCTCCCCAGATGGCTCTAATGTGTATCCAGAATGAGGACCCCTCTTCATTTATCTAAAAAAAGCTCTTTAGGTGATTTTGCTCAGCTGGGAATGAGTAAATAGGGCTCCTGAGTGTATATGTATCACAAATGTGGGGTCATTTGTGATACATATAAGCAAAATATAACAGGAGAGTGTTTTTGTTTTGAAGAATGGTTAAGCTTTCCATGTGTCTTTTTCAGCCTTGCTGTTATCAACATATTTGGTGCACTCAGTTTGGTATCACTCATTTATTGTGAAGTAATTAGAAGTGCTTTGGACTCAGAAGTCAGATCTCACTTCCCTGGCTAAATTCCCTGTCAGCTTATCTTTGTTTCCTTATGTAAAATGGGAAAATAATATAACTGACTTCACAGGGTGGTTGTAAGGATTAAATGAGTCCTTGCACGTAAGACGGTGGAGTGCTTGACATATCATAAGTGATAAGTGTTTGCCATTCATTCCTTCAGCAAAATATATTTTGAGTATCTTTTATGTGCCAGTATCTGTGTTAGGTGTTGAAGATGTGGTGAGTAAATCATCCTTTCATTTTTATGGGAACATTCACGAGGGGAAACAATGAGCACAACATGGATTCTGTCTCTATTAAAAGATACTTCGAATCTATGAAACTTTGAAATATATATACATGGCAAATTCTTGGTTATCTATGTAGAATAGCAGAAGTATGTATGTCATTTAGTTATATTTAATCAGGAATTTCCTTTCCTTTTAACATTTAAATCAGTGTCTGCAACCTTTCTGGCACCAGGGACTGGTTTCGTGAAAGACAGTTTTTCCACGTGGGGGGTTGCGGGGATGTGAGAGGATGGTTTCTGGATGACACTGTTCCACTTCAGATTGTCAGGCATTAGATTCTTCAAAGGAGCATGCAACCTAGCTCCCTTGTATGTGCAGTTCACAGTAAAGGTTTGTGCTCCTATGAGAATCAGTGCCACTGGTCACCTGACAGGAGACAGAGCTTAGGCAGTTTACCTCCTGCTGTGCAGCCAGGTTGCTATCAGGCCACAGAGCAGTTCCCGAGCAGTACCTGTCCGTGGCCTTGGGGTTGGGAACCCCTGCTCCAAATGAATCCTACTGTAAGGCATTTCCATGACATTACTTCTTGAACTAAAGAACTGAGGTTTTAGTGTGTATGTAGGAAATAGGACGATCATAAAATGTCACAATGAAGAATGAGCTAGCTTAGTTTTGATAATAGTGATTTTTTCCTGAGTACTTTATCAGATTATATTAAAATGACAAGATCATAAATATTAAAGTTGGAAATTATTTTAGTGATTGAGTCTTTCCTGAATGCTTTCTTTTTTGGACAGCCTTCAGTACTAGAGAGAATTTATCCTTAGAGTTGAAATCTTCTTTCCAGAAACTGTCACCTGTGGTTCTTAGGTTTTGCCTTCAAAGTAAGACTAATCCTCTAAGCAGCCAAAGAACTCTTCAGTATTTGGAAAGTGCTTTTTTTGAGTGTCCCTTGCCTAGAGAGAGATTTGCATTAATTTTACTGGTTCTCATCACAGGATTTTAAGCTTTCTCTCTTGTAATTACCCTTTTCTGTGGATTCTTACTCATACTGATTGTTTTTTGTGCTTTTCTCATTTCTTAGTTTGGTACTGTTACTGGTAAATTTTCTCTTGGGTCATTGTAAAGAACTGAGGATAACAGTTCAGTGATGTCGAAAGAGCGAGATAATTATTTCTTTTACTTGGAGCGCTGTATTCTATTGATACTACATAAAATTGCATTGGCTGTTTGGCAAGCATGTCAAGCCTGGTGTGCTGTTTGGTTACATTATCCTTACTGATCCCTTTAGAATTCACTTTTGTTAGAGTTAAGACAGTTTTCAATATAGTTTGAACTGTAATAACTTGTTTTAAAATATATTAATTTTTTTATTGCTATTTTCTTCATAACTGGAAATGAGGTTATTTTCATCTGGCTTCTTTATGAAACTGTGCTGGTCCTAGTCACCAGTATTCCCTTTTGCATATGTAGGAATCAGCTGTTTAGGAATCACTTCTAGAATTTGTCTGAAGAACTATGTTAAGCTCATATATCTTCTAATATCTCTTGTTTACTTTGATTTCAGTAGTGGTTTAGCAATCTCATTAGTAGGGGTAAGTATAAAGGAATCTAGGTAACCTAGGTGAATTGGTAGTTGTGTTTGTAATAACTCTTTATCAGTTTAGTTTATCCCGTCTTGATCACCTGTATTTGTTCTATTTTTTAAGTGTAGAAATAATTTTTCTTGGCAGAGAGGTATGTTGAATAAGCATTAAATAGTTATTGACAAATATCAACAATATTGGTCATTTATTGAGCACTTACTATGTGGCAGACTCTGTGCAGAGAACTCTATACTGTGTCATTTTTAGTAGTGTCAGTAATGCTATGAAATAGTGCTATTTTGCAAATTAGAATCTAAGGCTTGAGAAGATTAAATAGCTTTCTCAAGGTCACAGCTAGTAAATGCTGGAGCTGGAACTCATACCCATACTTGTATGACTCATCAAGTCCATTTTTGTGCCTTTCAAGAAGTGGAGAGGTCTTTCATACAGGAATGTGTAGGTTGTGCACTTTCATTTCGTAGTATTGAAGGTCTGCCAATCTTATTAGTTGGTGTTACTCCATTTTGAGCTCTTTTCCCTGCTGACTGCTTGCTCTCCTTTGGAGTTCTGTATCTTACTGGTGTAGTCTTTTTGGGTCTATTCATAACACAGTTTTTACTGCATATCTGTTGTCTATTACTACCTGGTTATTTTAACTATCAATTTAGTTACTAATATGAAAATCATCTCCCAGGTTTAAAAACTAGGTTTAAAAACCTACTTTTAAACCTAAAACTAGGTTTAAACTAGGTTTAAATCTTGGCTCTACTACTTCCTAGATGTGTGACCTTTAGCCATTTACTTAATTTCTCTCTGCCTCAGTTTTCTTATCTATAAAATGAGTATTAACAGTACCTTTCTCCTAAGGTGGTTGTGAGAATTACATGATAGGGTAATACATGTGAAATAATTAGATTATTGCCTGTCATACAATGTTTAGTAAATGTAATGTGCTGTTATTAACTGGTCATTAGTTTCTTTTTTTCTTTCATAATTGGTTTATTGGTCGTGTTGATGATCAGTACACAGACATTTCAATTTGTACACAATTCTTAACATATATACTGAAAATCTAAAAAGCCATGTGTTGTAATTTTTAAAAAGTTATTTCAGTGACTTTCCAGCTTAAAATTGGGAAGCAAATTTTCCATAAGAGGCTATCAAGTACCAGTATCTTCACATGTTAGTAAGCTGTTACATAGATCTCACCAATTCACAGTATAATACCATATAGACTACATACTCAAATTTTCAATCTTCCACAGCACATTAACAAAGTTCATTAGAAAAGCAGGACTACCACGACCAAAGATGTTACAGTGCACAGAATTATGACAGGGAGAGCCATGATCAAAGAGTGTTTTTCTTTAGGAAACAATTCTACTAAAAAATAATGTGGGAATGAAAGTAATTTAAAATGTTCAAGACATTAAATGCAGGACTGCAACTCCATATTGCCATTTAGTATGCTTTGTATTACAGGATATAAAAACTAACCCCCCAACTATGGAATGTTAAGCTGACACTCAGGACAGTCAAACCCTCCCATAATTCAGTATCTCACACAAACCTGTGTTTACAAAATAGTTGGTAACAGTATTCCTCTGGGTTGTACAAGATGGGAAATAGGGACCACTGATAAGATACAGTGTGTTATGATATCAGTCAAACTTGGCTTCTTTATCTCTGGCGTCATCAGAGGCTGGACTCTTCTCAGTTTTAGTTTCTTCGTTTTGTGCAGGTAAATTTCTTTAGTTTCCTGGTTAGCCACTTTGGCCTGTTTTCCCTTTGCTCCCTTTTTCCCTTTGTTTGCACTTTTTTGTCTGAAGATTTATCCTTTCCTGCTGCCTTTTTTTAGCTTCGTTTCCACTTTGGCGGGAGCAGGTTTAGCTGACAACCGCATTGATTCTCTCTTAGGCTGTTTCTTCACCATCCGTGTGGCTGAGCTGACCTGTGGGCTCAGGCTGCACACAGAAGTAGCTGCTCACCCTGTGTGTGCCTGGCCCACCCATTACTTCGTTTCTAACAATAATATATTTGTTTTAAATGAAACACTAATAACGTACAAATAAATTGTCATTTTCTTGTTAGAATTATTTTTCCTCTGAGAACTTTACATTACAATTTTGAATGTGTTGCCTTTTGGGTCTTCAGGCCATGGGCTCATATTAAATATTAATGCTATTATTATTAATATGTGCCAGGCACTATAAAACACTTTACATATATTAACGCCATGTTGTAGGAATTATTAATGATTATGATTATTGCAGACTTTAATTTCTTGTCCACCTGTGCACGGTGTTACCTCTTATCTTTATGGGAATATTAAAGGAGAGAGTAGTAGAAGACCTGGTTATTCCATTAGAGGTTGCTTAGTGAATCCTTCTGGTTGAGGAAAACTAGATCATGCTGGAGACTATACCAACCAGATTGTTGTTGGATATGTGTGGGTACGTGTTCCCGTTGTTGCATCCTCTGACTATGGAGATGATCTGTTGAGAAAGGCAAAATGAGAATTTATCAGAAGGCTCTGCTTTCAGGTGTCCCGATAATTGAGACCTTTATCTCTGTGTCTTATTGATAGTTTTGTCATTTATGTGTCTATTAACAGGATCACTTTCTCAATAATAGCCTCAGGTTGAGGGGGTATTCTTTGATTTGGCTGAAGGAACTCCTGGATGCCAGACCATGGGGAAGCTTTGATTTAAGAGCATAACTGCTGTAGATGGACGTTTTTGACATGTAATCAAACTCCTGGAGTTTCAGATCTGCGTTTAGATTATGTGAGCTTTATTATTTATGTAAGGGTAAAGGAAAGGATTTGTAAGACATTTATTTATTCCTCTTATTTAATTTGTGGTTTTGCAAACCTAGTACAGTTTCTTTTGTTTTTTCTTAGAAATAAAGGAAATAATAAACTAGGATGGTTGTTAAGCTCCCTTCTGTGTGTGTATGTTTTAGGTGGTATTAAAGATAATCAAACATTATCAAGAAGAAGGACAAGGAACTGAAGTTGTTCAAGGAGTGCTTTTGGGTCTGGTTGTAGAAGATCGGCTTGAAATTACCAACTGCTTTCCTTTCCCTCAGCACACAGAGGATGATGCTGACTTTGATGAAGGTAAGGGTGTTCATCACAAGTGTGTCTTTGCAGTGCATACAAATGGATATTGACACAGGTCTCACCATAACTTTTGATAATGTGTGAATTGGGAATCTGTCAGGCTAGCCTACTTCACTTGATGTCTGATACTTTGGGAAAATTATATAAATTCTGGGAAATGAGGGTTTATACTATAGACATCATTAGTTTGGCCTTTACTTATTTGGAATTTGTGATTCTGATTTGTCATAGATTGGATAGGAACTGTGCTGATGTTGACTTTGTCAACATGAAATCAGCTTGCTAAATAAAGTTTTGAGGGACAAAGATCATCCTTATGTGTCTGTTATCCATTCCCTTCTATCCTCTTTTGAATAAGTCAGTGTTTAGAAAGAGATGGAGTTCAATTTTCTGCTTCAGAAAGAAGATACTCCTCAAGCATTTCAGAAATTTTATTTTTGTACTATAGGTGTAGTTCCTTTGTTAGCAAAGGCTGAGAGTAGTTAAAAGCTCACATCAAAGGCTAAAATCAGCATCTAGAAGATTTTTTAAAAATCAAGTTGAAAATAACTTCTCACTTGTTTGAAATCCCTGGTTTCATTTTCTGTGTAACTTTTTATTGTAAAAAGCACATAAAAATTTTAAGTATACATTACAGTAGTGTTAAGTGTATGCATATTGTGCAGTAGGTTTCTAGAACTATTTCATCTTGCAAAGCTCAAACTCTGTATCCATCGAACAATCCCTTTTTCCACCTCTTTCATCCCCGCAACCACCATTCTACTTTGTGTTTCCAAGAGTCTGACTACAGATACCTCATGTTAGTGGAATCATGTGGCATTTATTATTTTGTGAGTGACTTATGTTATTTAGCATAATGTCCTAAAAGTTCATCCATGTTGTAGCAATGACAGGATTTTCTTCTTTTTTCTTAAGGCTGAATAATAATTCATCATCTGTATATACCACATTTTCCTTATCCAGCCATCTGGCGATGGAAGTTTAGGTTGCTCCCACCTGTTGGCTATTGTGAATAATGCTGCAGTGAACATGGGTGTGCAAATATCTCTTCAAAATCCTGTTTCCATTTTCTTTTGGATATGTACCCAGAAGTGGTATTACATGGTAATTCTATTTTTAATTTTTTGAGGAACTTCTGTATGTTTTTTTTAATAGCAGCTGCACCATTTTACATTTCCAACCTTGCACAAGGGTTCCAATTTCTTAATATGCTTGTCAACACTTGTTATTTTCTGTGTGTTTGATAATGGCCATTTTAACAGATGTGAGGTGATCATCTCATTGTGGTTTTGAATTGCACTTCTGATGATTACTGATGTTGAGCATCTTTTCATATGCTTGTTGGTGATTTGTATATCTTTGAAAAAATGTCTATTCAAGTCCTTTGCTTATTTTAAAATTGGAGGCTTTTTTTTTCCTGTTGAGTTGAAGGAGTTATGGATATTAACCTCTTATCAGATATGGGGTTTGCAATATGTATTTTCTCCCATTTTGTAAGTTGCCTTTTTACTAGGTTGATTGTTTCCTTTGCTGGGCAGGAGTTTTTACATTTGATATACTCCCATTTGTCTGTTCTTGCTTTTGTTGCCTGTGCTTTTGGTATTGTATTGAAGATATCAGTGCCAAATCCAATGTCATGAAGCTTTTTTCCTCTGTTTTTTGGTAGGAAGTTTCAGGTCTTATGTTTAGGTCTTTAATCCATTTTGAATTAATCTTTGTGCTGTATACAAGGTAAGGGTCCAGCTTCGTTCTTTGGCATGTGGATATCCAGTTTTCCTAGCACCATCTGTTGAAGAGACTGTCCTTTCCCATTGAGGGTCCCATCTTGGCACCCTCGTTAAAGATCACTTGACACCATATATGCCAGGGTTTATTTCTGGGCTCTTTGTTTTATTCCACTGGTCTGTATGTCTGTCTTAATGTCAGAAGTACACTTTTTGGATTACTCCAGCTTTGTAATAGGTTTTGAAGTCAGAAATTTTGTTCATCTCATTTGAGATTGTTTTGCCTATTCAGGGTCCTTTGAGATTCCATATGAATTTTAGAATAGATTTTTCTATTTCTACAAAAAATGTCATTGTGATTTTGATAGGTATTGCATTGAATCTGTCTTTGAGTAGTATTGACAACATAATAAGATGAAGTCTAACCTCTGAACATGGCTTTTCTTTCCATTTATATACATCATCTTTTAGCAGCGTTTTGTAGTTTCAGTTTACGAGTGTTTTGCCTCTTTGGTTAAGTGTATTCCTAAGTATTTTATTCTTTGTGATGCTATTGTAAATTGGATTTTTCTTAATTTCCTTTTTGTCATTTTTGATATGACTTTTAACTGATCACATTAACTTTGATAGAATGTTACTTGCTTCATTTGACTTACACACCTTCATAGTACCTTGAGCATATAATAAACACAAAGTATATGCTTGCTAAAGTGAAATACCTTGCAGTTTGTCTGCAAAGCAGGTTTTCATTAAAGTAATTCCTCTAGAAACTAACCAGGGCTACTTTTGTTCTAGGCACCTGAACACTAGCATACTTGGATTTTTTTAAACCCTTATGCAGTGTGCATCTTTTTTTTTTAACCTGGCTATGCTCTCCCTATTTCATTTGAATTACCTCCCACAGAATTAAGGTTGAGATTTCTCTGTAGTTCTTTCTGGCAGTATTAGAATACCTCTGTTTCTCTATACATGCACATATGTGGGGGTACTTAATTATATTTAAATAATCACTAGTTTAGGTCTGGAAAAGAAGAGATTGTTAATGCAGTTTCTTTGGTTTACAAGTGAGGAGCTTGAGAGGTTTAAGTTTTTTGTTTGGTTACTGGGTTGGTGGCACAGTTGGAAGTAGAATCTATTCCAGAACAGTTAACACTGTCACACAGTTTTCTCAGGTAATTAATTTTTTAAATCATATTCTTGGTTTAGAATATGAAGAAATAATATTCATTGCAATTATGGTAGGCGAACGAAACAAAATATATTACTAATTCTAGATCATTGGAAGCTAACTTCTTTTACGAGCTTGAAGTACTTGAATTGACCAATGTTTTATTTCACGAACATGTACTTTATTTTTTAAATTTCTACAAGCTCTTTATTTTCAAAGTTTTAAAAGAATGTTTATTTCAAAAGTTTCACATGGAATAAGAAGCACAGATTATTATCCTAATTTTACAGATTGGAAAACTGAGAACAGAAGAATAACTGTGTGTTTGGATTTACATAGGTAGACTTCGCGAGAGTAGATTTTTTAAAAAAAATGATCATTTAGGACCTTTAACTGATAAGAAAAACAAAACCTCAATTCTTTGGTTTTCCTGCCAGTTTTCTCTGCTTCTTCACTTGGGTTAGAGAAAAAGCAAGCTGCAGAATAAGCACTACATGCTGCTATTTGTGTGAAATTTAAAAAAATATAATACTACATACTGATAAAAGATACATACATATGTAGTAAGAGTATAAACATGCATGAGAATAATAAACACCAAATTCAGGGTAATAGTTACGTCTGGAAGGGGAGGTATAGAGGGGACACAGAAGACTTCAGCTTTATTGGTAAAATTAAGTTAGCTAGCAAGGACACAAGTGTATGTTATTTGTGTTAGTCCATTTTCATGCTGCTGATAAAGACATACCCCACACTGGCTAACTTACAAAGAAAAAGGTTTAATGGATTCACAGTTCCACATGGCTGGGAAGGCCTCACAATCATGGTGGAAGGTGAAAGGCACGTCTTACTTGGTGGCAGGCAAGAAAGAAAATGAGAACCAAGTGAAGGGGGTTTCCCCTTATAAAATCATCAGATCTCGTGAGGCTTATTAATTACCACAAGAACAGTATGGGGGCAACTGCTCCCGTGATTCAGTTATCTTCCACTGAGTCCCTCCCACAACATGTGGGAATTATGGGAGCCACAATTCAAGATGAGATTTGGGTGGCAACACAGCCAAACCATATCATTCCACCCTGGCTCTTCCCAAATCTCATGTCCCCACATTTCAAAACCAATCATGCCTTCCCAACTGTGCCCCGAAGTCTTAACTCAGTTCAGCATTAACTCAAAAGTCCACAGTCAAAAGTCTCATCTGAAACAAGGCAAGTTCCTTCTACCTGTGATCGTGTAAAATCAAAAGCAAGTTAGTTACTTCCTAGATATGATGGGGGTACAGGCATTGGATAAATCCACCTATTTCAAATGGGAGAATGAGCCAAAATGAAGGGGCTGAAGGCCCCAGGCAAGTCTTGAAATCCAGTGGGGCAGTCAGATCTTAAAACTCCAAAAGTGATCTCCTTTGACTCCATGTCTCACATTCAGGTCAAGCTAATGCAAGAAGTGGGCAGCTCTGTCCCTGTGGCTTTGGGCAGCTCTGCCCCTGTGGCATTGCAGGGTACAACCTCCCTCCTGGCTGCTTTCATGGGCTGGCATTGAGTGTCTGCGGCTTTTCCAGGTGCATGGTGCAAGCTGTTGGTGGATCTACCATTCTGGGGTCTGGAGGACGGTGGCCGTCTTCTCACAGCTCCACTAGGCAGTGCCCCAGTGGGGACTCTGTGTGGGGGCTTCAACCCCACATTTCCCTTCTGCACTGCCCTAGCAGAGGTTCTACATGAGGGCCCTGCCCCTGCAGCAAACTTCTGCCTGATGTGCAGGCATTTCCGTACATCCTCTGAAATTTAGGCGGAGGTTCCCAAACCTCAATTCTTGACTTCTGGGCACCAGCAGGCTCAACACCACGTGGAAGCTGCCAAGGCTTGGGACTTGCGCCCTCTGAAACCACAGCCCAAGCTGTATCTTGGCTCCTTTTAGCCATGGCTAGAGTGGCTAGGAGGTAGGCCACCAAGTCCCTAGGCTACACACAGCAGAAGGGCCCACAAAACCATTTTTTCCTCCTAGGCCTCTAGGCCTGTGGTGGGAGCTGCTGCTGTGAAGGTCTCCGACGTGCCCTGGAGACATTTTTCCCATTGTCTTGGAGATGCACATTTGGCTCCTCATTATGCAAATTTCTGCTTGAATTTCTCCTCAGAAAATGGGCTTTTCTTTTCTATCGCATTGTTAGGCTGCAAATTTTCCAAACTTTTATACTCTGTTTCCCTTTTAAAACTGAATGATTTTAACAGCACCCAAGTCACCTCTTGAATGCTGTGCTGCTTAGAAATTTTTTCCACCAGATACCCTAAATCATCTCTCTCAAGTTCAGAGTTCCACAAATCATTTAGCAGTCTCTTTGCTAAAACATAGCAAGAGTCATTTTTATTACAGTTCCCAACAAGTTCCTCTGAGATCACCTCAGCCTGGATTTTCGTTATGCATTTTGGTCAAAACCATTCAACAAGTCTCTGGGAAGTTCCAAACTTTCCTACAGTTTTTCTGTCTTCTGAGCCCTCCCAACTGTTTCAGCCTCTGCCTGTTATCCACTTCCAAAGTCACTTCCACATTTTCGGGTATTTACAGCAGCACCCAACTCTTGGTACCAATTTACTGTATTAGTCCATTTTCACGCCACTGATAAAGACATACCTGAGACATGGCAATTTTTGAAGAAAAAGAGATTTAATGGATTCACAGTTCTACGTGGATGGGGAGGCTTCACAGTCATGGCAGAAGGCAAAAGACATGTCTTAGATGGTGGCAGGCAAGAGAGAAAATGAGCATGAACATGCATGTTAAACATTTAAATGAAAACATTTAATATTTTTTCAATGTAAAAATTTAAATTTAAAAACATTACAACAATTGAAGTTTTTAAAATTTCAATTTAAAAAAATTTTAAATTTAAATCAAACAATTGTAAATATTAAAATATATTTTAACAGTCCTGAGATAGAGACTTAAGTTTAGCATTAAATAATAAAAATAGGCATTGTATTCTGTGTACTTATATAAATTGCCTATGATTAGTTGTTAATCTGCACAGTTGAAGGTCTTTTCAGTCTCATTTTCCAGAATTAGGATACTGATGTTTAGTGACATAAATAACTTATCAGAAATCATTTAACTAGGAATTGGTAATACAGGGACTGAAACTGGTAGCTGGCTGGATTCCAAATACCATGGTTTTTCTACTATAATAGACTCTTAGACTCTTAGTGAAGTGTATGCCAGAGGTTAAAGGATGTTGAGTGTAGGTCATTATTCCGTATCTGAAATCCGCTTTTTGTGTAAAACAAGTAAATAAGTTTTTCTTGGTCTGCCTTTAGAAATTAATCGGAATTGTCATTTTCTTATACATGTGAAAAATCTAAGACAACAGTCTTCTTTAGTTTTTCATAACCTCATGTGATAGATTTAAATTTTAGGTTCTTTCACCTAACCCATATATTCTTTTTTTAAAAATATTTGCATTGATCTCTCCATTTTATTTTTCATGAGAATTTTAAAAATATTCATAAATTTTCTGACAACCATTTACTCCTCAACCCTTTAGAATGACTGTGTTCTTGGTGATGGTAACATTCCCTCTTTTTTATTTGTGTGCTGTCCTCTATCTGGCCTTTTTCCTGGATGACTATGCTTTCCATTCAAACATTTTCCCATATTACATTCTCTCCATTTAAGTTTCCCTACTTCTATCCTTTCCACTCTTTCTTTTTCATCTCAGATTATTCATTCCCTATAAACATTTACTTTTTCTGTCTTCCAGAGCCTTGCCATAGTTTCTCTAAGAAGTTGGTGAGATGACAGGCTTGATGGTGATAGCCACAGTTTCCATTCTAACTGTAGCTCTGAAAAAATGCAAAGTTAGTAACTGTCTTTTATTCAGAATTAAAGGGCCCATTATTATGCAGTTGATATTTCACCCAACTCTGATTTGAGAGAAGATTACAAACTTGCCAAGTGCTGTTTCTCAATCCGTTGTCCTCACAAAGACAGTGAATTGTGATGTGATCCAATGGTCAGTTATTAAACTAAGGCTCATTCCTCCTGGCCTCGAATGTACTATTCACGTATTTCTAGATATACAGATACTGGACATAATTATTTCTGTCTTCATTTTCTTTCCCACCGTAGTAATTTTTCTTTATTCTTTTGTGTTTTTATCACAATTAGCATTTTCAATACAATGTAACACCTAACTTTTTCTTTTTTGGGGGAAGCAGGTTTTATTATTAATTTTAATATATATATATTTTATTTCAATAGGTTTTTGGGGAACAGGTGGTGTTTGGTTACATGAATGAGTTTTTTAGTGGTGATTTCTGAGATTTTGGTTCACCCATCACCTGAGCAGTGTACACTGTATGCAGTGTGTAGTCTTTCAACCCTTAACCACCCCGCCCCCGACCCTTTCTCCAATTCCTCAAAGCCCATTGTATCGGTCTTATGCCTTTGCATCCTCATAGCTTCACTCCCACTTATGAATGAGAACATATGATGTTCGGTTTTCCATTCCCGAGTTACTTCACTTAGAATAATGATTTCTAATTCCATCCAGGTTGCTGCAAATGCCATTATTTTGTTACTTTTTATGGCTGAATAATATTCCATAATATATATATATATGCAACACATTTTCTTTATCCACTGATTGATTGATGAGCATTTGGGCTGGTTCCATATTTTTGCAATTGCAAATTGTGCTGCTATAAACATACATGTACAAGTATCTTTGTTGTATAGTGACTTCTTTTCTTCTTGGTAGATACCCAGGAATGGAATTGCTGGATCAAATGGTAGATCTACTTTTAATTCTTTAAGCAGTCACCACACACTGTTTTCCATAGTCATTCTACTAGTTTACATTCCCACCAAAAGTGTTTTCTTTTCACCCCATCCAGGCCAACATCTATAATTTTTTTTTTATTATTATGGACGTTTTAGCTAGGAGTAAGGTGGTATTGCATTGTGGTTTTGATTTGCATTTCCCTGATAATTAGTGATGTTGAGCATTTTTTCATATGTTTGTTGGCCATTTGTATATCCTCTTTCATGTCCTTAGCCCACTTTTTGATGCAATTGTTTTTTTCTTGCTGACTTGTTTGAGTTCGTTGTAGATTCTGGATATTAGTCCTTTGTCGGTTATATAGATTGTGAAGATTTTCTCCCACTCTGGGTTGTCTGTTTACTCTGCTGATTATTTCTTTTGCTGTGCAGAAGCTTTTTAGTTTAATTAAGTCCCATCAATTTATCTTGGTTTTGTTGCATTTTCTTTTGGGTTCTTGTCGTGAAATATGCCTAAGCCACTGTATTGAAGGGCTTCTCCAATGTTAGCTTCTAGAATTTTTATGGTTTCAGGTTTTAGATTTAAGTCTCTGATCCATCTTGAGTTGATTTTTGTATAAGGTGAGAGATGAGGATCCAGTTTCATTCTTCTGCATGTGGATTGCCAATTATCTCAGCACCATTTGTTGAATAGGGTGTCATTTCCCCACTTTGTGTTTTTGTTGGCTTTGTCGAAGTCAGTTAACTCTAAGTATTTGGCATTATTTCTGGGTTCTCTATTCTGTTCCATTGGTCTATATTCATGTTTTTATACCAGTACCATACTGTTTTGGTGACTATGGCCTCACAGTAGTTTGAAGTCAGGTAATGTGATTCCTCCAGGTTTGTTATTTTTGCTTTAGTCTTCTTTTGGCCATGAAGGCTCTTTTTTGGTTCCATATGAATTTTAGGATTGTTTTTTCTAGTTCTGTGAAGAATGATGGTGGTATTTTGATGGGGATTGCATTGAATTTGTAGATTGCTTTTGGCAGTATGGTCATTTTCACAATATTGATTCTACCCATACATGAGCATGGCATGTGTTTCCATTTGTTTGTGTAGTCTATGTTTTCTTTGAGCAGTGTTTTGTAGTTTTCCTCGTAGAGGTTTTTCACCTCCTTGCTAACCCATATACTCTATATTAATGGGCATTAAAATGTAGTCACCAGTAGATTTTTATTAAACTTAGATAAAAACTATAATTTTCTGTTATATGGATATATATTAGAATAGTCCTGTATGTTGATTTTTAAAAATCATGGTAAAGACCCATTGCATTTCTTACTGCTTTTCTATTGTTTTGTGCTCTCTAAAACTAGCAGTTATTCAGAGGAAGATCTTTTTTTGTGCCATCCACCTCGGGGAGGTAATATACCAAATATTTCATAATTTTAATGAGTATATATTTCAGGTGTTTTGTTTGTTTGTTTTGGTGCCTCATGTAAAGAGGAGATTTTTAATCTGTTGTCCAAAAGTGAAATGTTAATAAATGGTTTAAATCAGAGATGGACAAACAATGATCTGATTTGTAAATAAAGTTTTGTAGGGACACGGTGATGCCCATTCACATATTTTTTAATGGCTTCATTCCCGCTACAGTGGCACAGTTGAGTAGTTGTGGCTGAGACCATATGGGTCCTAAGCCT
Source organism: Homo sapiens (assembly GCF_000001405.40). NCBI lineage: Eukaryota > Metazoa > Chordata > Mammalia > Primates > Hominidae > Homo > Homo sapiens. The sequence continues at coordinate 116,716,665 of NC_000008.11, read as the reverse complement.
GAAATATTTACTGTCTGACCCTTAAAGAAATTTTGACCACCTGTGATTTATGTAACTTCATGTCTTATTGTTCTCCCTCTCCTGTAAAGTTAAAGAATAAGGCAGTAAATCCTCTCTTTCATCATAAATTGATAATTTTTTGTGCGATATTTGTTCTTGATGTTACCTTTAATCTTGACGGAGCTCAGAATATATTTTGAGCACTGAAACGAAAATACACTATAGGATGTTTGTTTCACTGGCACACCTAGGAAGTATCAGAATAGGTAGTTTTTGCTTTAGTTTTAGTGCCTTTTTCATTTAAAAAGAAAACACATATTAAGTTGTAATTCATGGTTGCTGACCTGTGACTAGGCATTGTGGAAAGATAATGGTATGAGGCCAAAAAACCTGGGTGGAAATCTCAGCTTTATACTTTGGAGCTGTGCAACATAGAATAACTTCTGAACCAATTTTTTCTGACTCTAGTATCTTTTTAATTGCTCACTTGAGTACTAGAAACAACGAGAATGATAATTTCCTTATGAGATTAATGTTTTGTATTGTTCTGTGTTAGATTATGCTAGTGGATGATTCAAAACCTAGAAAACTGTTATTATAAGTTTTCTGTTGCTTGTCTCTCTCTTAATTCACAATTTGTTTTTGCACATGTGGTAACTCCTTTGAGTGGATTCAGTCTTCATAAACTTTTATATTACAGAATTTACCTTCTAGTTGAAAGTGAAATAATTTGATCATATTAGAGAATATATGCTTTTTCAAACAAAAAAGAGTAGAAAAACTCATACTAAAATTCCCATTAGGGGGCACTGTTATCAAGCTTAGCAGAACTGGAGACTAATTTGTTTTCTCAAACGTGCAACCCAAGGCTTGCTAAAAGGGAGAAATATTTTCATCTTATAAGATTCAGATACTGTTTTATACAACTGAATTCCTTAAATATGTTATAAAGTGCACTGAATTAAACACAGATTCAATAACTCACTGCCTTGCTTTTCAGCAGGCTAAATTGATTTACTATTTCAGGTGATATAGGAAGCTTACTTTATTTTGCGTCAGAGCCAAATCCATAATTTTCATATTTGGAGTGGCCAATTTTTAATTTTGCTTACTACAACACAAAGGATGATCCTTAGCCTTCAAAATAGGTTGATTTCAAAACGAAGCATGAAGACTGCCTTGTACTCCTAAAATTCAGTTAGGGGAATTAAAATAATATCTTTTTACTCAGACAGTATTCATGTGTGCACCATGTATAATTATTAAAGTGATAGTTCACAATGTAGTGATAAATAAAACACATAGCTTTTATCTGTTTTTTTTTCATTTTCAGTAGGAGAAAATTGTTACTTGAAAATTATTTGTTTTTGTATTAATCAAATTTGGTGTTGGAGTAAGAGATACTAGTGTCGACTGTTAACATATTTTGTTTAAGTTTTGAAAAGAAAAGCAGAGTTGTAGAATCAATCCTTTCAGAGGCTAAAATATGAATTGACAAAACTGTAATTAAAATATTGATGTATTTAGAGTAGTTTTTCCCAGCATAGGGTTATTTTTGTGTGACTGAGGTTGGAGAGAATAAGTTTGTATGGTGATGTTATTTGCAGTGCTCTCTGTGCAAGTTAGTCATGTTTTACATTGGAGAAAATCTCTGCTTAGTTACTTGCTTCCTCAAATCTCACCTTCCTTCTCAGCTTTCCTGCAGCCCACACCTAGGGTAAAACTGCTGGAAACCTAGTCTGTGGTTACTATTTTGCCTTTGTATTGCTTTAGAGCTCAGAGAAGAGTTGAATTTGGACAGAGAAAGCTTTTAATATTTTTTAGACAGATGGGGACATTTTGTGAATAGACATGTGTTTACTTATTATTTTGTCTTACCCCCTATCTGTATGACTAGTCAGTGATCGTTGTGGTCTGTTTGACAGATTTTTTCAAAACTCTCTTTCTTTTGTTGCATTTTTAAAAATGATATATTTTTGGTAGAACTGTTAGAAATAATATGTAGACAGTTTGGGGGCATGTTTTGAAATTTACTGCAGAAAAATAGCATGTTTACCTAGTGACCTCATATCGTTGTGGTCAAGTGTGGAGGTATAATAAAATGTTTCAAATATCCAGAAAAAAAAATTAGTCCACTGTAATTCACTTCAGCATTTAGCCAGCAAATTACTTGAGTGGGAAGTAAAAAAGATACAAAGACACCAAATCCTGCTTACTGCCTCAGAAGATTTTAAGTGGGAGAGACAAGTGTGTACATAAAAAAATTGTAAAACAGAATTGATATAAGTCCAGACTACGGAAGGAAAAAATGATGCGAACACTCAGCTATCAGCCACTAATTCCTTTCGGGGATGACTTCACAGGAGAGGTGAAGTTTGATTCTATAGATAGATGTCAGTTGCAATTTTAAGAAACTGTTAAACAAGAAAGTTGTGTCTTTTGAATGTGTTCTGATTATTTGTATGTTTGGGTCCTCATAAGTGGCACACACACCTCTAGAAATCAAGAACAAACTAATATGTATATATTTTTTATTTGACATCTTTATTGTTCAGATTCCTTGAAAATACTTTTCAGATATTGCTGTTGCTTTAGTATCCAGGTAGAGAAGTTGTTTTTGACGTTTGTTTTTATACATGAAAGTTCTCCTGATAATGATGTTAGTGTCATGTTTATAGAACCTCGGGGCCCATATTGCAGTTGGTTCTATTTAAAATATTTAGTAAAATACTTAATAGATACTTGGTTTTAGAAGCATTATGTATGCAGGTAACTAGAGAGAATCTGTACACTGAATTATGATATAATTCCCCTTGATACTCATCTTTTTGTTACGTAGTATTTTGAAAATGTTAAAACTGTTCACATTTAGTGATTTACTGCTAAATAATCAGGGCAATGAACTTTAGATTATTGCTCACTTACATTTTTTTGGATAACTCAGAAAAGCCTGGTTTGTGATGTAAAACTTTAACTTAAAAACCTAAATTTACTTTATGTGTTTGGTTTTTGGTTTATTAAGGTGATTAGAATATACGAGAAGCAAAATCTGAATAGGAAGCATCAGTTCTCGTATTTTCATGGCTTTTTGGTTCTTTCAGTTTGAGTGTCTCAAGATTTTAAATACAATAGTAGGAACAAAGTCTAGCTTCATTTTGAAAGCTTGAAAAATATTTTTGCATTTACTTCATGTTTTACAATTTAGTTCTTTTTCTTTTTTAAAAATGAGTTGAGAAACTCTTGTGCATGAAAGGATATACTTTTGAAAATGTGGTCAAGGTAAAAGATTTTTCTGCTTAAAGAAATTAAAGTGCTTTACGCTATACTCTCCCTTAGTCCCCAAAGCATAAGTGCTATGGTTTGGAAAGAAGCCAAGTAAAACCTGTTCAAATTTTGTGCAGACTTAAAGTAATACCGTAAGATTTGAAAATTACAGGTGGATACAGTGCTTAAATAGTATTTAAAATTCCTAAGTTTCCCCAAGTCTAAAAATGTAATCCTTAAATTACTGTTCCCAGTGGTTTAAATTTTAATTAAATAAAAACTGTCTTACTTTTGACCCACAACAACTTTACGTAAAGATATTTGAATTTCTTACTAAACTTTAAGGTAATAGCCATTAAAATGAACTGTTTTAGTACTAATTAAAATGTCAAAAAGTCACAATTACAGTATGTAACCAAAGATCCTTGCTATTTCTTTTTTTCAAGTTCAGACTTGCTTCCTATCTTGCCCAGGAGAAATGGTACTCAGTTTCGTTCCCCCAATTAGATATATTACCTAAAGTATGTTTTACAGATCGATAATTAATTATAATTACATTTGATGTTTTGGTGCTAATACTGAGTTTTCCAAACTGCTCTTCATCCTAAAAGAGTGCTATCTTAGTTATGCCAGTAAAGTGTTCTGTTTGCTTTATATTCATCTCTCTTCAGGTGAAATTTTGATAGTTTGGGACTTTATCTGTTTTGAGATTGTTCTTATATCTGTTTGAGATTATTCTTCGTGGCTTACCTATTAGCAGTTTCAGAATTGTGTTTTCATACCGTTAACACTTCTCCACCATGAGTATTATTTAATGCTTTTTTCTACCAGTAATTTTTACTCAGTACATTTTAGATGCTTTCTGATATAGTTGAAAACAAAGGCAGTATTTATTTTGACTTTAAGTAATAATGTAATGGTGTAGGTTTATAATGAAACCCCACGTCTCCCTCTTTCCTTACCCTTATATACATATTTACTGTTTTTTTTGCCCTCTAACATCTAACCTACAGACATTGTCTTTTGATAGACAGCCCTTCTTTCCTGTGACCGATGAGAGGGCCATACAATTATTCTAGTGGTCTTTGCAGAATTGTACTCATCTTTTTTCTGGTGTATAGAATTGGATGGGTGACTCCCTTATGGAGACATATTTTGGTGGTAGGCTACTAACCTCACAACCAGCATCTGTGGTAGAAGGAGTTTGGCAGCAGAGCCCTCGATGGGGCTCCCTAGACTTGTGGCATGCTGTTATCCTCAGCAGACAGCAATGACAGCAGCAGCAGCGGCGGCGGCGGCAGCAGCAGTCCTACAAATTCCAGTTGTTCTCAAGTCACTATAGATTCCAAGCTCATCTGCTCTCACTTTAGTGTCTCCTTTTTGCTTTTCTTTCTTTCTTCTTTTGTTGTTTATTCATCAAACCAATATTTGAGTGGAAACTGTGTGCTGGGCACTTTGGCCTTTGCTTACCTACATTTCTGCTACACATATTTTTTGAAATGTTTGTTATTTATAGAACTTAGTGGTTTTAAGCAGTGTATTTGACTTGAACATGAGAAGCATGAGGAGGACTTGTTTTAGTGCATTATGTTAGTGAATCAGATTATTGAAAGGTGAATGTTACATTAATATGCAGGTAAATGTGTCTGGAATATATTTTTGTTTACCTGGAGAATGTATTGGGGTTATAAACACATATTTACGTAACTGTGTATCTCCAAGTTTGTAATTCAAAGTCATTCTGAATGTATTTGTTTCATAAGATACTTTTGTTCTTGAAAATTTGTAAGTTGACCATCTTTTTTTCTTTGTCATATTAGAAGTATTTTATTTTCATTTTTGATTCATTGTCATTTGGTAGCAACTCCCAATACTTTAAATGTACTCAGTTTTTAAAAAAGTCTATTACCAGGATTATTGGTAATGTGGATTGTTTCTTCTTAATATTTTAATTTCTCTTCTTCCTCCAACTACCAGCATCACCAACCCCATGAAAAAAGATAAAATAAAACATTAAAAAGATTCAGTACTAGAAGAGGATGAGGAGTTGTATAAAGGATGATGATAAAATACCTTGATGGGTATGAGCTATTTTCTCTGTTGATAAAATGGGGAATAGGGTGGTATAGAAGTTATATGCAGTGTTAAGATCATTGTAAGCCATATCTGGTTTGCCTCCCTGCCCCTTTCAGAGATACTTGATGTGACCGACAGTGAGACTCTGATGTTTTTTTCAGAATCCAGATTTACATTTCTGTCTAAATTGTCTCCTCATCTTCTGGGCAACCTGAAAAGATGCTAGTATCCAATTATGGAAGCAATGTGTGTACACATATACCATTATAGTTCTTAGTTAAGAAAATTTCTAAAATAGAATATATTTCTAAAATGTATGTATAGCAAATATATATATTTCTTATGTATGGCAAACTTTCAGATAGGCATAACAGGAAATCTACATTGAGTTCTGGCTACTGATGATTTTGGCTTTACTGCTAATTGGAGTCTTGAGTCTCTACAGCCTTACTTTTCATGTTTACAAAGAGAATCACAGGAGGAACTTTTGTAATTATTTTAGCAGATGGGAAACTAAGTCCCAGAGATGCCCAAGTTTAAAATTAATGGCAAATGCAGAACCAGAAAACCCAGTATGCCCATCTAATATATAATCCATCACAATTTAGGGAGGTGGCAGTAATTCCAGTATGTTTTCAGAAGCACAGTGAGTGATGCAGTTGCCTGCAGTTGTGACTTGTAGACATATTGTATTTACTTAAAAGGCTGCTTCTTGGCATTACTATTTACTATCAGCACAACTGAAATCAAATGATATTAAATTTAACACCAGATTTTTAGAAAGTTAAGTTTGTGGGTGTACACTAGGTATTATATTAAATAAAAATGAAGGTCAACAGAAAATTAGCGGTGGTTGAATGTATACAGACACTAAACCCATTTCACTGCTGAAAGTCAGCACAGCCTCTACTATTTTGCTACATGGAATGGAGAAACTAACTGAAAATACAGATCAAGCTGGGTAGGGTAGGGGAAGAAAAATGTGTTCTTATTAAATATCACTGAATGCCATTACAAATAATAGTTTGAATAGATGGTTTAATTTGACTTAGGAAATCAGTGCCTGACTGATGACACAGGAAGACTTTCTAGAATACATTGCTTTGCAGATGACTTAAACAGACAATACTGATAAAGCCTGTCATGTGAATTTCCTTCTTTACTGAGTACACAGTATGGTTAAGTAGTATGTTGTGCAGTGCTTCCAATCTGCCGTGACTGCCATCTGGGCAAGCAGAATGAGAAAAGAGCATGGAAAGGAAATGGATCAGTTAGCTGTAAGGAATCTGTGTGAACGCTGGGTGCCACTCATGAAACACTGAGCAGTTAGTGACTCCTTTGTAACCAGTCCAACTAGCTCTTTGTAAAAAATGAAGGTGTGCACCGTGAACAACTCTCACAATTCATCTTTTCAATGTCCTGGTACCTATGGCTGAGACAGACCAGTAAATCCAGTGACAGTAATCATGATCACGCTACCCTTTTCTTATTTATCTCTTCGTATTTTTTGATTTAATTTTTTGCTGCTTCAGTGTTTGGCACAATGTTGAGGTAGATTTAATAATCCTAGCATTTTTACTTTGCCTAAATGGAGTCTTTTTGGAAACAAATTATGTGTAAAAGCAAGTTCCTAAGAAACATTTAACTACTTAAAGACAAGAGCTATAGCTTCAAAATCTTACAAGTTGTAACCCAACAAGGATATACATGAGTGATGAAGTTGTGTATGGATAAGAGGACTGGCTAGCAGAATCTAACCTGTATACCTTTGTCAGTGGATACATCTCTTACTTGAATTTCAAAAATTTGTACAATAGTTCTTTTTGCATACGTGCATATGGTTACCTTTTTGATAAAACATGTGATCCCTTACAAAATTGTGTTAACCATGAGTCATCTGTTATCTCCATAGAAATTAACATACCCTTATATAGATGGCTAATAATACAAAGCCACGATGGTTTCTGTGGTTTTACTAACTGTGGTTCCATTTCTAAAACATTTAAAATAAGACCTGCTCCTTTTTAAAAAATTTTTTGGGCAAAGGGTTGTCTTATCAGAAAGTGCAATAATTTAAGCAGATCCATAACTGGGAGGAATTAATAACAGAAAGTTTTTGTTGACACCAGGAAGTAGATTAAATAGTGCAATTGTGGTAATGAGTACCATATATGATAAGCCTGAGCCAGCTGGGTTATATTAGGCTGCTTGATACTTTGATCACAGTATTATTTCAAGGCTTGTCTATTTAAATTGCTAAGGTTTCTTGTCATCTTTGCGATTTAGACCATAATTTCTTTTATTGCAAAAAAAAATTTTTTTTTTTTTTTAAAGAAAGGCCCTGGCTAAACCAAAATTGTTAAGGAGGTACAAGTTCAACAGCTAGGCAAACCTTAGAACTAGAAAACCTGTTCAACATAAAAAAATGGAAAGCTTAGAAGTACAGCAGTTGAATATTAAGTTCATCTGACCTTGCTTTTCTTTAGTTTTTTGCTTGGATCATAATTATCATATGGTAGTGAGTACCATAAGGATGTTTGGTATAATTCAATTAGTTACTGTTTGATATAAATATGTGCATTTAAAATATATATTTCATGTTTTAAGAATAAAGTACTGCTCTCAGTTTCCCTTCAGCTGGTATTAAGTGGTTTTGATGAACATCTTTGAGAATTCGGAAAGATTTTTAACTACTTTACCCATAGTGAATGAATTACACTAATCACAGAATTTAATTTGCTTGATAAATTATCTCACTTGGCCTTTGAACTTGAAATCTTTAAATTTTAATTAGCCTAATATAATTGAATGAAATTTATAGTCATCAATATCAGCACTTTTACTAATTTTCTATACTGTGGAATAGTCTTTTACAGGTATTTATTGGTATCTTTGTTATGTATTTAAGTGACTGCTTTGTCTTGGAAAAATATTCATTTTGATTAGTAAAGGGAAGACTATGAAGGTTTATAATTTTAAGATACTGTTGTCCTTAGCATAGTAATAATAAATAATAATAATAATAATGAGGTGACATTTTGAAAATTTACAATAAGTTGCTTTGTACTTTTATTCATGTGCCCATTATTTTTTGCTGTTTTGATTTTTGAGTACTCTGTTATATTGTTGTAATTTGGCTTGAAGTTTCCAAATTCCGGTGTAACTTAAAGACACCTAAGAATGTTACCGTCTTTTTGGAAGTGACAATCAACAGCCTTTTTGTTTTTCCTGATAAAGGAGAAAAGTATTTTAAAAAGGAAAAGATTTGAATAATGCAAATACTGCTTACCAAGAGTTTGTAATATTATTTTTTTGAGAGTAGGACTGTACTTAAAGTTTTAGAAATTCGTGACTGACTGAATCAGGAAACATGAATTTATATAACAGACAAAGGCATAGAATTAGAAACAAGCATGTATTATGAGCATAGAAAAATGAGATTAGTTAGATCAGAGACTTAGTTCGGGGAATGGTCTGAATAATAATAGGGTCAGATTATGGAAAACTTTGAACTCTTCAAAATGAAGCTTAGATTTGAAGTAGTTGTGAATCATTCTGGGTTTTCTGGCAGAGGTGTGTTGATATAAAACCAATATTTTGTGGCTGAAGGTGGGGAAAACAGATAATGAGGGCTTTACTGATATGTGAACAGTAGCAATGAGAATGAAAAGATGAACACTAGAGAGAGGTAGAAATGACAAAAGATTGAGTAAAAGAGTACACTCATGTTTTAGGGGCTTGACTGAATATTATCAAATAAGTATCTCACGTATGAGATATTTGACTGAATATTATCAAATAACTTTAATACCTCACACATACAGAATTAAATTCCTGTTTGCCTTCCCTTCTATCTTGAATACTTTGTAAAAAGCACCTGTTCTGTGATGATAGTATGTATTACAGAGCAGATGAATAAATGTAAGCTGCTGATAACCAGTGGGGGAATTCCTGTACTTATAACAATATCAACTTCACTAAAATATGAAATATTTAAGGTTTTTCAATTCAGAAATTATAGATATCCTTTTGGACCATTTAAAAAGTACATTCATTATGTGGAGTAGTGAGTCAGTGTAATACGTATGTGGACTGATATTTTTTAGGCCTGTTTTCTGGAGAGAGGATTAATCTTTACTGTCAAGCTCCAAAAGACAGAACTAAGATTACTAAAAGAGAAATAAGATACTTTTTCAACGCAATATTCCATTTATAGGATGGGATTCCGTGGATAATTCTGCCTTGTCTCTGGAATAACATGTTGAAAACGTAGAGGAGAGAGACATTAGTTAACCAAATAAAATACAAGTGCTCCTCAACTTATGATGGGGTCACGTCCCGATAAACCCAGCATTTAATACACCTAACCTACCAAACGTCATAGCTTAGCCTGTCCCACTTTAAATGTATTCAGAACACTTATATTAGCCTACAGTTGTGCAAAATCATCTGACACAGAGCTTGTTTTATAGTAAAATGTTGGCCGGGTGCTGTGGCTCATGCCTGTATTCCCAGCACTTCGGGAGGCTGAGGCGGGCAGATAACATGAGGCCAGGAGTTCAAGATCAGCCTGACCAACATGTCAAAACCCTTGGTGAAACTCCATCTTTTAAAAATACAAAAATTAGCCAGGTGTGGTGGCATTCGCCTGTAGTCTCAGCTACTCGTGAGGCTGAGGCACAAGAATCTCTTGAAACCGGGAAATGGAGGTTGCAGTGAGCTGAGATGGTGCCACTGCACTCCAGCCTGGGTGACAGAGTGAGACCCAGTCTCTAAATAAATAAAATAAATAAATAAATAAATAAAGTGTTAAATATCTCACATAATTTATTGAATGCTGTATTGAAACATGAAAAACAGAGTGGTTATATGGAGTGTTTGGAGAGTCCCTGGAATGGAGATATGCTCAGCTGACACTTGAAAGATAAGAAGTAACTAGCTGTGTGAAGAGAGACAGACGAGGAAAACCAAGTGCTAAAGGCCCTGAGGTGGGAATGAGCTTGACATTGTTCAGGAACTTTCAGAAGGTTAATCTGTCTGAATAAATCCTGCTGAATGAAAACCAAGGGGCTGTGTTCTTCAGAGCTTACAGAAGTTTAGGTTTTATTCTGTAAACTGTAAGAGACTACTAAAAGGTTTTAAGCTATCTGTAGTAATCTAGTTGAATTGATGACTCATCAGCTGTCATCAATGTCTTTATAATTCTGTGACTTAATCTAGGACTTTTCATTTGACATTTGAAATATTTATGGGAACTCAGCTTGGTGATTGGATTTATCGGTGGTAGTGTTTACTCCAAGAAAGTTTATCCATGGCTGCTAGATAACCTTTGTAAACAAGTGTGTCTGGAGTTTTTTTTTTTTTTAAATAAACTTTTTGTTTTGGAATAATTTTAGATTTTACTGAAACGTTGCAAAGATAGTACAGAGTTCCCCTATATCCTTCAACCAGTTTTCCCTTAATATTCCCATCTTATATTACTGAGATACATTAGTTTAAGAAACCAACATTGACATCTTACTGTTAACTTTATCTGGATTTCACCAGTTTTTCTGGTGACGTCCTTTTCTAGGATCCAGTCTAGAATACCACGTTGCGCTGGTTATGTCTCCTTAGGCCCCTCTGGTCTGTGACTGTCTCAGTCTTTTCTTGTTTCCCACCATCTAGGCAGTTTTAAAGAGTGCTGCTTAAGTATTTTGTAAAATGTTCCTCAGTTTGGATATGTTGGATGTATTTTCATGATTAAACTGGAGTTACAGATTTTTGAGAAGAAATCTCAGTGTTGAAGTGCCCCTGTCATTGCATTCTCCTGGGGTGTTGGTGGTGGGGGGGGGTGTAACATGTTACCCACATGGCATCACTGGTGATGCTAACCTTGGTCACTTGGTGAAGGTAGTGTCTAATGTCTTTCTGAGTTACCTTACTATCTTGTGAATCTTTATAACCTAAGGAAGCATTAGGGCATGAATCTTTTGGTTAAGAAATTAGAAATTCATTTCTCTTGGATAAAACAACTTGAACAGCTTTTCTCCTTATATTGATTCTTGCTAATATTTTCATAGTCTGAACAACATGGGTAAATGTATAAATATATTCTGTGCCTTTATCTATAACTTTTTACAAATATCATATGAAAATATGTATATAGGTATCTTGGTCATACTGTTGATTATCTAAATTCATATGGGTGCATTAGGATCCATCTCTGACCGAGTATGAATTAGATGTTGAAGAACATTCTTTGTAGATAATAAGCACTACAGCATCAGGAATGTTTGATACAGCAGTTAGTGTTTCCTGTGGGCAGTGCTACAAAGTGTTATTGGCATAGTTGGTTTCCACTGGAAAGTACCTTTTGTACAGAGGAACTCTCTAGACCTTTACATTTGGTATAATGTACCTTTGGCCACTATCACAGAGTACACTGTCAACGTGAGAGCTACACATTGCATACAATCTATGAAATTATTTAAATAGTTGAAGAAAAAAAAATGCTTGAAATAATTTGCTTTAAAATAGCCGTAAGTAGTTTGTGTTGTAGATACTTGAAATGTATTAGCTTGACCTCTTTTAAACTGTTGAAGTTAAAAATAATAGGAAAAGAAACAGTAAAATTTTAGGGCTATTCCTTTGTTTTCCCTTTTATGCAGTTGTTCTTCAACGTTTATCTGATTATTGACGCCGAGGATATCTTCCTGTTTGTCGATTAACCTTACTCTTCTGTATGTGGAATAAAACAACAACTGTACATGAAGATTTTACTTTTAGTAAAATAGATATTTTTACTAGCTTTTAGGGAGAACACAGCAACAAGAAATTTTTCCCCTCTATCTTTTAAGCTAGAGAAGGTCATTAAAAAGTGAGACTTAGAAGTGAGCAGAGTGGCAAGGCAGTACTCTTGAATGGTATCATCATCCTCGCCATTATTGTACTGGTAATGATAACATTACAGTCACAGTTGTAATTGCTAACATTCGTTGAGCACGTGTCATGTGCCAAACATTGATTGTGTTGAAGACTTGCATGCATTGAATCCATATGGCTCTTTTAAGAGTTGAGTACTGTTACTGTTCCCATTTTACTGAGGGCTAGAGAAGCTAAGTACTTTGTCCAAGAGCCTTTGCTACAATGTATGGAATCAGGATTCAAAGCCTGGGTTCTTAACCACTTTATAGGACACCCTTTTGTTGATTGTTAATTGTCAGGAGGTAGAATGGAGCAGAGTATCAGAATGATAGGCAGAAATGATGTTATGTGGAACGGTTTTTATCTTCTTAGTCTTTAAGTCCCCTAAGGCAGGAGTCCCCAGCCCCCAGGCCACGGACCAGTACTGATCTGTTAAGAACCACGAGTGCTGCCTCCTGTCAGAAAAGCTGTGGCATTAGATTCTCATAGGAGCACTAATGTAGGGTCCAGCCCTACTGGGCCTGTGGGTTTTTCTCTTCGTGTGCAGAGACGAGAGATGGTAGAAATAAAGACACAAGACAAAGAGACAGAAGAAAAGACAGCTGGGCCTGGGGGACCACTACCACCTAGATGTGGAGACCGGTAGTGGCCCCAAATGCCTGGGTGTGCTGTTATTTATTGTGTACAAGACAAGGGGGCAGGGTAAGGAGTGTGAGCCATCTCCAATGATAGGTAAGGTCACACAAGCCATGTGTCCACCGGACAGGGGCCCTTCCCTGTTTGGTAGCCGAGGCGGAGAGAGAGAGAGGACAGCTTACATCATTATTTCTTCTACACATTTTAAAGACTTTAGTACTCTCACTAATTCTGCTACTGCTATCCAGAAGGCGGAGCCAGGTGTACAGAGTGGAACATGAAAGTGGACCGGGAGCGTGACCGCTGAAGCACAGCATCACAGGGAGATGGTCAGGCCTCCGGATGGCTGCGGGCAGGCCTGACATTGCCTTCCACAAGAGGTGGTGGAGCAGATTCTTCTCTAACTCCCCCGGGGAAAGGGAGACTCCCTTTCCCGGTCTGCTAAGTAATGGGTGCTTCCCAGGCATTGGCATTACCACTAGACCAGGGAGCCCTCTAGTGGCCCTGTCCCGGTCTTCTGGTCACTTCTCACCGTGTCCCTTCAGCTCCTATCTCTGTATGCCCTCGTTTTTCCTAGGTTATAATGGTAGAAGAAAGATTATTATTTTGGAATAAAGAATAATACCATAAACTAATAATTAGTAGTATTCATATATAATCATATCTACATTCTACATCTAATACAACTATTCTTATTTTAAGTATCTTCTTTATTATACTGGAACAGCTTTTGCCTTCAGTCTCTTGCCTTGGCACCTGGGTGGCTTGCCGCCCACACGCTAACCCTGTTGTGAGCTGCGCATGTGAGGGATCTAGGCTGCACATTCCTTATGAGAATCTAATGCCTGATGATCTGAGGTGGAACAGTTTTATTCCAAGATCACTGCCACCCCCCACAATCCCCACAACCTTCTATGGAAAAATTGTCCTCCAGGAAACTGGTCACTGGTGCCATGAAGGTTGGGTACCACTGCCCTAAAATGATTTCTAAGGTTTTTAATATGTTGTCCTTTGTTATTCGTACTTGATTTTGGAAATATCTGTACTGTTGTTCTCTGTGCACCCTCCCCCTCCCCAGTGAATCAGCTTATGATGATTAAAATCAGCTTCTCATTGATACCATATTCTTCAGATTAATTCTGATGACCAGTTTATATTATATATTGCTCATCCACTGAGTCCCTACTATGCTAGACACTGTCTAAGGCATGATATAAGGTAGAAACCAGTAAGGTAAATTTCAGGGAGTATGTGAAGCTTGGTTCCTGCTATCTCACTCTGTGGAGTAAGATTTAAATTGGGAAAATTAAAATAATAGGACAAACTTATCACAAGGCAGTACGTGGTTATGGCTAAATGACTGGTATAGGAAATGATTTCAGGAGATGAAGTCACTTCAGCCCTAGGTTGATATGATATATGTGGGATTTGAGGCTGGATCTCCAAGACAAGTAATTCCTGCTTTTCTCTCTGACCTTATTTCTTGACACTACTTCCATTTCTTCTCCCGTTATGCCAGCCATGCTGAATGAACCATTTGTTAACTACACAAACCAAAAATCTGCCTTGTTCCTGGATAGTGGATTATTCTGTTTTCTCTACCCCCTTCCCCATTCCAGCTGATCAACTCCTTCCCATATTTCAAGAGTAAGTTGAGACATTATTCCCAGACTTCACACACGTAACCCCTGGTGCTGACCCTGGCTGCATGTCTCATAGATCATATGCTTATCTCATGATGATTCTTACCAGACTGTATATATTTAAATCTTTTATTTAAAAAAAAAATTTAGATTTACAGAACTTGCAAAGACCATTAACATGTAACCATGATATTTGTCAAAAGTAAGAAATTAGAATTGGTACAGTACCATTAACTAAAATGCAGAATTTATTCAGATTTCTCCAGTTTTCTTACTCATGTTCTTTTTCTGTTGATGTAGGATGCAGTCCGGGATGCCATGTTGGATTTCATTGTATCTCTTTAGTATGTTCCAGTCTGTTTCTTTTCCTAGTTTTTCCTGGCCATGACACTTTTAAAGAGTGCTTGTCAGCTGTTTTATACATTATCTATCAATTTGGGCTTATCTGATGTTTTCTCATGATTGTAGGGAAGAATAATCCCCATGATTTGGGGAATTATACAAGTGAATTGGCCCTTTCATTGCATCATCTCAACATGTCTTAATGATGATGATGTTAACCTTGGTTACTTAGTTTAGGTGGTGACTGCCAGGTTTCTTCACTGAAAAGTTACTTTTTATTCCTTCCCCTACTCTATTACTTAGAATTGAGTCACTAAGTCCAGCCCATAATTAAGAGGAGGGGAATTAAATTCTGTCGCTTGGTGGGAAGGAACATCAAAGAATTTTTGGAGGTATATGAAAAACACCCTACTAATTAATATTATGGGGACTATCACACTATATCTTATCAATTATTATTCACTTCTGCTAGACTGGATACTCACTGAGCTCAGGGGCTGAGATTTATTTATCCCCAATATTTATTGTTAGAATAGTGGAATATAATACATGCCCAATAAAATATTTGTTGAATGGATTAAATGGAGATTGTGAATTGCATACGAAGCTAAAGTAGCTAAATTTAATCCTGTAGGTATAGAACAATATTAACTGAATGATGTGAACCCTCCAGCCCCCCAAAAATTACTGTGTCAGTTTCCTTTGTTTTAAATTTGTTTGAAATTGAGGAATATATTCTTTCCTAAATTTAACACAATATTTAGAAAGTAATTTTTCTTTCTGGCTTTGGAGAACTGATTAGAATAAAGTAATTTAACAATATAAATTTAGACCAGAAGTCTTACTTTATGATTAAAGATAGCTAGTTCAATGTTTTGAGTATACCCTATATTTAGAAGGGTGGACTGACTTGGGAAAGCATATAATTTGTAAGTAAATTAGCAGTGATAGAAAAATTCTTTCCCATTTCTCAAAAAAGGTGTTTAAAAGCATCAATTTATTATGTTTACCCTAACTTTTGCATTACAAATGGACTCCCTGAACCCCAACCATGCTAAATTTAACTTTCATAGTAGTTGCCAGTTTTACTTATGGATGTCTTCCGGCCTCCCTGATCAAACTATATAAATCTTTTTCTTTTCTTTATGTTGCTTGACTCACTAGAAACAGGAACAGTAAGCCATACTTGCATTTGATCTTTGTCTTTTTTTGCTAAATAGTTGGTAAAAAGTAGAGAGGATTTTCCCTTAATAACTTGAAGACTTTAGGACAGAGACGTTCCATCTTTTGGCTCCCCTAGGCCACACTGGAAGAAGAAGAATTGTCTTGGGACACACATAAAATACACTAACACTAGTGGTAGTTGATGAGCTTAAAAAAAAAAGAAAAGAAAAGAAAAAAATCTTATAATGTTTGAAGAAAGTTTACGAATTTGTGTTTGGCTGCATTCAAAGCTGTCCTGGGCCGCAGGTTGTACAAACTTGCTTTAGGAGATGGATTTTAATATTTTGTTTCAGCTGCTATTGCCACCATCCCAAGAAGGTTGAGTTTTCTCTACCTCCATTTTTCCCTAGGCAATTAATTTAGGGAGCTCTTGCTCCAGTGCCAGACTTCTAAGTGGCAACTTGGCACTGTTAAAAATACTGTCTTCTATTTTATTGTTTCCATTAAAAAATAAAAATAAAAAACCTACGGCCGGGCACGGTGGCTCACGCCTGTAATCCCAACACTTTGGGAGGCCAAGGCAGGAGGATCACCTGAGGCCTGGAGTTTGAGACCATCCTGACCAACATGGAGAAACACTGTCTCTACTAAAAAATGCAAAATTAGCCATGGTGGTGCATGCCTGTAATCCCAGCTCTCGGAAGGCTGAGGCACGGGAGTCTCTTGAACCCAGGAGGCAGAGGTTGCAGTGAGCTGAGATCGCACTATTGCACTTCAGCCTGGGCAACAAGAGCGAAACTCCATCTCAAACAAACAAACAAACAAAAAAAACCAAAAAACCTGCACTGTCATTTGCCATTAAGACCCTCACCTTTAGAAGAGAATAATTAGGGCGCCTATGCATTCATTTATATGTATTTATTTTTATAATTTCAATTTCTAGATTCACAGGGTAAATGTACAGATTTGCCACGTGAGTATATTGCATGATGCCAAGGTTTGGGATACAGATGATCCTGCTACCCATGTAGCTGGCATAGTACCCAATGGTTTTTCAACTCTTGTACCCCTCCCTCCCTACCCACTCTAGTAGTTCCTAGTGTCTTCTATTCTCATCTTTATGTCCATAAGTACCCATTTTTTAGCTCCCACTTACAAGTGAGAACATGCAGTATTTGTTTTTCTGTCCCTAGGTTAATTTGCTTAGGATAATGGCATGCATCAGTGTTCATGTAGATTACCTGTTTTAGCAAGATTTAAAGAAAAAGTTTGTTGAATTTAGAGTCAAATGTCTAAAATTTGACAAAAGTTGTTGGGAAATTGAACTCTGAAATGGATGAAAATTGAAGTGTATGTCATGATATCAGTATTTTTTTGTAATTCATATGATACAGTTGAGTAGTTTAAGAATGGTGGACCTATATATAACTCAGTGGATTTAGGCATGTACACCCAAGTAAATATGTGGGTATGTGTGTATTCAATTTTTTTTTTTTTTTTGAGACAGGTTCCAGCTCTGTTGCTGGGGCATGGTCTCAGCATGCTGCAACCTCCGCCTCCCGGGCTCAAGCCATTCTCCCACCTCAGCCTTCAGAGTAGCTGGGACTGCAGGCACATGCCACTACGCCCAGCTAATTTTTGTATTTTTTTTGTAGAGACGGGGATTTGCCATGTTGCCCAAGCTGGTCTCAAACTCCTGAGCTCAAAGATCTGCCTGTCTTGGCCTCCCAAAGTGCTGGGACTACAGATGTCAGCCACTGCACTCTGCCTATATATAAATTTTTAACAGCTCCACCTCTGTTTCTTGCTCTAATGAGCCATTGGTATACAGTGATTTATGTCTCAGTAGAAAAAAAAATCATCTTAAACAATGAAAGTTGGTAGTTGGCAACATTAAGTTGCAGAAAGAGATTGGTAGTGGCAAGAGGTTTTGAAATAGAGGCTATGGCATGGGCAAGGATGCCGAGAGATGCAGGTTATATTAAAATTTAGTCTTTCAGCTTCAGTTTCCTCATCTGTAAAACAGAGACAATTGATATCTACAGCATAACATGTATTAATTGTGATCATTTTGGTCAGGAGTTTGGCTTTTATACTATTGATAGTGGGCAACCATGAAGGCTTTTTGTAAGTATCATGACATTATTTAGATCTGTTTTAAGAAAAAAATAATAGTTGAATGCAAGAAGACTAGTTAGTGGTGGCGGGAATGAAGATGGGGTAGATAGGAGAATGTGGTGTCTACTGAGGAGAGGGGTAATTTTCATTCATGAGTGACATCTAACTTGTCACTCATGACTTGTGGGCCAGGCTCATGAGTATCTGGAAAATTGTACCTTATGCCCCTTTTGAATGAAATGTGTATGGTTTACTTCTTTGAGTATTCCATCTTGTGAAATTTATTTTACATCATATTGATCAACTTGTTAAAGCCATGGTTAAAAAAAAAACTGCTTTTATAATTACTTTGCCTGTGAAATTGTAGCTACCTAGTAGCCATGATAATGGCCCTCGGGTATAATGATCAAGACATAGTCTCTGGAGTTAAACAGACTTGGTGCATTTGAATCCAGTCTGATCCTGAGCATGATAATTCTGCCTACCCTTAAGAGTTGTTCTGAAGTTTAAGAAGGAATGCATAGAATACATTAAGGCAGTGCCTGCCTTTTAGTAAGCACTTAATGTGTAGTAGATATTGTTATTTTTCACAAAAGTCTTGGTACAATTATTAGTTCATTGTGTGTCTGGAAGTATTTGAAGTATATAGGGTATGCCCCCCACTAAAGCATAATTTAACTTAATCAATTGAGATGCTCATCAAATTTCAAGACCAATCTTTATTCAGTAGACTAATTTGCATTGCATAATTCAAAGTAATCAGGGCCAGTTGAAATTTAGAAGCTTTTAAAAGAGAATAATATTTAATAAGAACAAATAAAAGTTTAGGCCCTCAGGGAAGAAACATAAACCATTACTCAGTGTGAAGAGGACAAGCTCAGCTAGAGGTTTCTGGTAAGGGGGGTAAACATAAATTTGTAACATAATGCAGTGGGAATCTCACCTCTTTATAGTGGCTTTAAGGAATATAGGGATAGCGGCTTGAGTACAGAGTAGGTTGTGGTCATCCCTACAATTTCAGTGTAATTCAAAAGCTGACTGGTGAAAGGACTGGACTTCTTTGTTCCCAGTCATTAAGAAGATGTAGGTAGTAAAACAGTGGAGGAAAGCAAGCAAGTTTGTCAGCACCTGACACTGACCAGCAATTGGGTTGGTGAAAGCAGCAATAGTTCTTCAGTATCCCATATGTTTGCAAGCAGGCATGCAATTTTTTTCTTTTTACACTTTAAGAAAACCCCTAAAAATCTATTCTTTTTTTGTTTCTTCTGATTTCATCTAGGCCCAGTATTTCCTTTGGGGTGATCTGTCAACCCCTGGAAAAAGGGACAAGCACACACAGGAGAAGAGGCACAGGTTTGGGAGGGAAGGGAAGCAGAATTTGGTTGGACACTAAGAGAGTGAGATTCACCAGGGACAGCTGGGTGGTGATGGAGGCCTCTCAGGAGAGAGATCCCAGCTGGAGAGGTGAGCCAGGGCTGTCCACAGTGAGACTACTGTTATCTCTGTGCCCTAATTGTATTAACATGTAATATGGAGAGGGTTGGTGTCCTAGCTTTTTTTGTTTGTGTACATGTTCTGCCTTAACTGTTGGTTTTGTGTTTTCTTTTACAAAAGTTTTGTCACCTGTGCTTTTGACTTTTTTGTGTGTGCAGGGCTGTTCTGCCTCATATGTTTTGTAGTCAAACTTGTACTTTATCATTTTGCCCTTACAAATTATTTAGATTTTATTCCTCGAGAAGACTAAGCATGATACAGGGAATAAATAAATGAGTACTCAGTAGAGATTCAATATCATGCTAACAACAACAAAAAAAAACCCCCACTATTTTGTAAGTATTCTGAAGCCTTAGTCATTGAACTCTGTATTTTAGGCAGAAATAAATTATTTCAAAAACAGTATGTTTAGTGCATTGGAATCTGATCCTTGATGCAGTCATGAAGTATGCCTATCTTCTTTCAAACCTCAATCATTATTCCTAATTATTAGTTGTATTATAGAGCTAGTAAACTTTAAATAGTCTCAGGAAAGAACCATTCCC
The DNA here is from genome assembly GCF_000001405.40 of Homo sapiens. Classification (NCBI taxonomy): domain Eukaryota; kingdom Metazoa; phylum Chordata; class Mammalia; order Primates; family Hominidae; genus Homo; species Homo sapiens. Next base: position 116,696,477 of record NC_000008.11, on the reverse strand, counting down.
AAGTATTTTATGGGGAACTTTGTAACTATTCTCTTTTAAGAAATTTTCAATTTAGTCATGTATCTATATAATTTTCAATTTAGTCATGTAGCTGTATAAACTTATGGTTTCCTGTTTTATTCAGTGGGCTATTAACAAGTTACTGTCATTATTTAATTTTCAGTTTATCCCCAGTTTGATCAGTGGAATCCCATTCAAGGTAGCTTGTGCCCTTTTGCAATGTTTCCATCAATTATTTGAGCATTTCTCACTCTTTGGCATAATGTAATGTTCCAGGCTCATTTTGTACCTTCCCTGTCCCATCTCTGGATTCAGTCATTTCTAAGGAGCCCTAGATCGTCCAAGAGAAGAATGGTATTTAGATGCCAAGAACACCCTGAGCATGCTCATTGCTCTTGGGATATTACTACTTGAAGGGCTTTTGAGCTGACTGAGCATGTATTTGAATATACAAATAACACACAGATAAACACATTTACATCTGTATTTCTGTATTTATTTATATTGAAAACCATGAGTTTACACTGATAGCTCCAACTCCAGTTCATTACAACTGAGTTTATTCTACTTTTCTCCCTTTTCATATTTGTAATTCCCTTCTCTGATAGTGAAACACTTGTTCATATTATTCTTAATACATTTATTTATTTGGTTAATTTCCTTTTTATGTAACTAATTTATTTCTGCTCCCAAGCCTTTTCCTGTTCAGATGCCCTCCCCACCTTGCTCAGTCTCTGACTCCACATACCATCCCACTTGGGCTTTGAAGACCCATGCCAGGCCTCATGCATGGGTTGCCCTGCCTTCCTTACCCTGCTCAGATGCTGACTCCTTGTGCTATTCCTCCTCCTATCCCCAATACCTTCCTCACTTTACTGAGTCTCTGAATCCCCATGACAACCACTATCTTATGAGTATTCCTTTCTTGCATGGTCTAGTCTCTGACACTGTAAAGTGGACAGGCCTCCTACTTTGATACCCTACTTACCTGGTTGGGCTGCAACACTGCTCTGAGCCATTGCATTTTCTTCTCCCACCAAGCTGTAGACCTTTTCTTCAGAAAAAAATGTACCTGTGTGCCAAGTTATGCATAAGAATTCAGGAGCAGTGGGCGTGGTGGCTCTGCAATCCCAGCACTTTGGGAGGCCAAGGTGGGCGGATCCTTTGAGGCCAGGAGATCCAGGAGTTCGAGACTAGCCTGGCCAACATGGTGAAACCCCATCTCTACTAAGAAATACAAAAATTAGCCGGGCGTGATGGGGCATGCCTGTAAACCCAGCTACTTGGGTGGCTGAGGCACGAGAATTGGTTGAACATGGTGGTGGAGGTTGTAGTGAGCCTAGATTGCTCCACCACACTCCAGCCTGGGCGACAGGGTGAGACTCTGTCTCAAAAAAAAAAAAAAAAAAAGAATTAGGAAGTTTACCTTAGTTTTTTTTGCACTACATCATTTTGTTGCTGCTGCTTTGTTTCACTTTCTTTTTAAAGACAGCGGGCAGGACCATGGGATAAACAGAGGAAGTATGGAGATACATTTTTATTTTCTTATTCTCTGTTACTATGTTGGAATACAGCTATACAAGTCAGTTCTGTCTCATTCTTCCTTCTTTAAGGGATTACACTATCTGCCTTGCTAGTATATGTCTTCATCTCCTGTAGTATGTATCTCCATCTCTCCTGAAGATAATTTAGTGTTAAGAAAACTTCTTTTGGTAGAAGTTATAGATCTTTTCAAAAATAATTTACATGTAGGTCAGACATTTCAACATAAAACAAAAAAATTGTGAAACAGTTAAAGGAAAACATGAATGATTTCACCGCAGTGTGAGACTAGATATGACCTTTCTATGTATGACACAGAACCCAGAAGGCACAAAATAAATGGTCTATACCTAAAACAAATAAAAGTAAAACAAATCTGTATGGCAAAATGAAAGAGAATTATCGCAATTTAGCACTGGCAAAAGGCTAAATTTTTAATATATGAATGATTTTTTTACTAATCAAATTGAGAAGGAAAACAAACAAACAGACCAGTGGCCACAGCAGGCCAAAGATGGTTTAGACAGTTCACAAGAAAAGATACAAATGGCACTTACATGTGTAAAATGATGCCCAACCTTATTCATAATGAAAGAAATGCAATTTCAAATTATAACAAAACATGACATTTCACACTTTAGATTTGCAAAGATTAAAAGTTTTATAGCATGATGAATTTGACAGACACTGGAGGGAAACAAGACACACTCATGTACTGCTGATTGCTGATGGGAGTTTAAATTGGTACAAACTATGTGAAGAGAAGTTTGGCAATGTAAAAAAAAAAAAAAGGTTTGCTCATAATTCTTGACCTTGCAGTTTCTCTGAAAGGAATTTGACTTACTCATATTCATATACATATGTAAAGTGATATACATACAAGAGTATTATAGGAATGTTTAATATCAGAAGATTGAAAAAATCTTAACGCTCACCAGTAGGAGAATGATTGAAATATGATACATCTGGCCAGGTGTGACAGCTCATGCCTGTCATCCTAGCACTTTGGGGGAGACCAAGGCAGAAGGATCTCTTGAGGCCAAAAGCTCAAGGCCGGCCTGGGTAACACAGAGTGACCCCGACTCTACACAAAATAGCCACGTGGTGGTGCACTCCTGTAGTCCCAGCTCTTTGGGAGGCTGAGGCGGGAGGATCCCTTAAGGAATTCAGAGCTGCAGTGAGCTATGACCATGTCACTGTATTCCAGCCTGGGAGACAGAGCAAGACCCTGTCTCTTAAAAAAAAAAAGAAATGTACATAAACTGGAAAGAGTGGTTACCTCTGTATGAGAGAGATACCAGTGGGAGGGAGACCTAGTTTTCAGTCTGTACTGAATTTTGAAACATAGGTTTCCATTTAAAGTGCCACAGTGGACTGTTGACATTAACAGATTTATCATTCTTACTTCCAGCATGGTGACAGAATATATAATCATTTGGTGAAATTAGCTTAGCATGCCACCCAGTTCAACATTTAACTTCTACTTATCAATGCAGCAGTGTGTTTCTCTATTTGTTACCACGTAGGTGGTGCCATTTTAAAAGTGATTGAAACTTTATTTCTGGAAAAAAAAATGGCCCTGAAGAGTAGCACTCCTCACTCTTAAGGAGCTCACTCTGTTGAGCTAACAAGCAGTTGCTAAAATTTTCTGATGTCAAATGATACTTAGTTATAAAATTAAGAATGTAGTTTCCTAAAAATTGAATGTTCTTTATATTTCAGTTATACTTTAGGTCTATTTGATTATTTAACATAACTGAATTTAGTACTTTGACTTCCAAATATATTCCTGCCTTATTGTCACTGAAAGGGAAAAACTTACTTAGGGTTCAGGAAGGATAACATTTTTATTTAATTATATGCTTTTCAGGATATGAACTTTGAGTATTTAAAGATTTGGGTTATAAAAAATCTTCTCTACAAAGTAAGTTACTTTGGCATATATAAATTAATTCCATTTTATTCCCAAGTGGAAAGATCAGGAAGTATGGTATTGATACAAAGATAAAATTAATTTATATTGATACAAAGATAAAATTAAGCTTTGTGCCAGTTAGAAGAACTTGGGGCTTATTAAGAAAATAGCTTCTCAACAGATTGTGAAAACCAGCTGAAGGCTTGTTGTTTTCTTAGTGTCTCAAATTTGATATTAAACTACTATTTTAATATTTTAGTTTGGAGAATAAACTCATTAAACATTACGAATACAGTCTTTTAAAATAAATGTCTGAGTGCCACAATATAAAGTGAAAATATAATCTGAGTGGAAGGAAAGGGGTTTGTTTTCTGTAGGACAAACTGTACTTTTCCTGAGTGTTCTTTAATTGTGCTGTGAAATCCTGTCTTAATTAAGTAAGTCTCAGTCATTTATCGTATGAAAGCACTCTCTAAATGTTTTGCTCAAGTTCCAGTTAGGTTAGATTTTAAAACAATATTTACCTTTATTCAGAGTTAATAAGCTAGGTGGTCTTTTCTCTAAATTAGAAGATTTAATTGGTCTTTATCATATTGATGCTTTTTTTTAATATAATCAAGGCCCTAGAAAAATATGTAGCTTGTATTTTTGTAAATATATAATCTTTTAAATGTGCTGAGAATTTTCTATTGAGAGGAATCTTGGGAAGGTCTTTATAAAGTGAATGGTAATGGTTCTTTTCTCCCAGTTTCTTCTGGGTTATTTCATATTATTGAAATTGTGGAATTATTGGAGTTAGGGAGTCTTTCAGAGTGCCTGCAGAGTTGCATGTGTATCTGTCTATGCTTACCCCTGTAGTCTGTTAGATTTAGTTCAGTCCAATAAGTAAAAGAAGGTAGTGCCAGAGTGGGATCCTAGGAAGGATTTCTTGGGAGATTGGTAATCTAGAAAGCTGTACTACTTAAACTGACAACAATGTGAAACAGTGAGCATTTGGGAAGAGGGAAGTTTGTATTAGTGTTTGCACAAGCTATCAGAAAACTTCTGTTCCAGGAGGAATAACATAAAAGGTAATTGTGTCTAACCCAGAAAACCTTAACATTCAAAATAGAAACTTTAAATGTTGTACCTCCTCTTTTTTTTTTTTTTTTGAGACAGTCTTTCTCTGTCACCCAGGCTGCAGTGCAGTGGCGTGATCTCTGCTTGCTGCATCCTCCGCCTCCTGGGTTCAAGCAATTCTGCTTCAGCCTCCCAGGTAGCTGGAATTACAAGCGTGCACAACTACACCCAGCTAATTTTTGTATTTTTAGTAGAGACGGGCTTTCGCCATGTTGTCCAGGCTGGTCTCGAACTCCTGGCCTAAAGTGATCCTCCTGCCTTGTCCTTCTAAAGTGCTGGGATTACAGGTGTGAACCATTGTGCCTGGCCTAAAAGGGCATTTCTTTTATAGGCTTTTTTTTTTTTCCTATTAAAATAGAGCTTCCTGTTGGTGGTATTTTGAGGCAAAATTTAGATGACTGAAGAACATGGTATGTCAGGCAGAAAATGCATGGGGATTATGTAGTACATATTAACTGACCAAAGGAAACAACACTTGAGAGTCCATATATTTGGGATGTCTTGGGGCTTTTTAGACAGAGTAATACCCAGCACCTCCCCCCACTCCTCTTCCCCCAGGTTTGTAGGAGCTTGGGGAGTGAGTCAAAACCAAAAGGTGGCATTTGGTCTTGAACTGCAGTCAGCTGTTAGTACTGCTGGCAACATTTCTTTCAAAGTGTGGTATATGTGTGTTTCTTGTGGATGCAGTCTGCAAATGGATTGTTATTTATGAATGGTAAATTAAAGTTGTTTTTACATTTCCTAACTAAGTAGTTTAACCAATGTTTGCTCTCATTGGGAGTTGCCATCAAACTTAGTAACGTAGTAAACTGTGTTTGAGCTAGGGTTATAAAATGCCCCTTTGATCTAAGAATACTGAGGGGCAACAGAGTTGACTGAACAGTAAGCATTAGGGTTGAATGTATTCCCAGAGACAGAGCAGTATCACTGATTTTGGTGAAAATTAGTATGGACTTAGCCATGATACATTTTCATTTTGCTTATCAGAGCCTTTAATGTGTTGAGAATAATGGGTTTCTGATTCATTTGCTTAATTTAACAGAGGAAAAGTATTTTCTACCTGTTTTTACTTTTTATTTAAAATGAGTGCAGAGAGCAGAGATAATCTTTGAATATTTGCTGTGTGTGATTATAGTAAGCATTTTTTCTTCTACATACTGAGAATTATAAGAAAAATACATTATAATTAGATCCTAATGTCAATCACACCTGGAAGTGGCAGTTAGGATCAAAGTAATGTTATAGCAGTCTACAAGGATTAGTACATTCTGTGCCCCTTTTCCTAGGCTTAAATGTCTGCTATTACAGCCTTTTCAGTAAGTGCCTTAGCTCAGTTAGAACTTCTTTTCAAATTGTTTTGTTTTGTTTATTTAGAGATGAGGTCTCACTGTGTTGCCCCAGCTGGTCATGATCTCCTGGGCTCAAGCAGTCCTCCTTCCTCAGCCTGCCAAAGTGCTGGGATTACAAGTGTGAGCCGCTCTGTCCAGCCCATTCTTTTCAAACTTTATGGGTTTTTTTTTTTCTAGTTTATTTCCAATAACCATTATTACTGGTGGGGTTGAGGGGTAAAGGAAGAGAGGACCTGTTTTTCTTTTGAATTGTATTAGCCCTTCAATCTGATAGTTTTATATTGCTGTATTTTCTGTAATAGAGCATGTGACTCTAGTAGTTTCTGCTGTGTGGTCCATCAGAGGTTTGTCATCTCTGAGATCTATGCTAGCTCTTTGCTTTCACTTAACACAAAATAGTAGAATAGTAGGAAACAGAAAAGAATGAGCGGAGAGCCAGTATGGAGAAGGACCTGAGACGTGGTATCCTCTGAAAAAACAGATATGACTGACTTTTAGAAATAATTCTAAATGTGGAAATTATTTTAAGCAGGTATTAAACTGATAGGGATTATTATAGATACGAATATGTTATTATATATGGGAGGGGTAGATATGGCATTATCAAGCCACCAGCTCTCAAACCTCTTGCATCTTTTGGGTTGTGTTCATATGATATATACTTTTCCTATTGTGCCATTCATTTTACTCATACTAGTTAACTAAAATTCAGGAAATCTGACCTTTCAATGTGATAGAGCCTCTGACTACATTTGAGTTTTTAATAAATATAAACATGGTTTCCAGCGTTCTTGATGATTTTGTAATAGCAATGCATTGGTTTTAGTACTTTGATTAATGAACTTGTATACAACCCATATTACTGAGCTCTTTTATATTACACTTATTTTCTTTGGCTTTAGTTTTTCTTGGTTCTTAAAAATAGTCAATTGTAATTAATTGTTAGATGAAAAGAATGAAACCTGTTTCTGCATTCTGCTCATGGATGCTTTTTATATACTTAATTCAGAAATCTATAGTTATTAAAATATATAATTTGAATCTGCATTATTATTTCTAAACAGTTGGGGGTAAAACATTACCCTCACTTGTATTGAAATATTTTACACATTATTTTTTGACAGTTTTATTGAGGTGTAATTATTATACTCTATAGTTCACCCGTTTAAAGTGTACAATTCTGTAGCTTTTAGTATATTCACAGATAAGTGCATCCATCGCTAGCGTCAATTCTAGAGTATTTTCAGCAGCTTAAAGAGAAACCCCATCACCCTTCCTTCCCAGTCTCTGGTATCCTCAAATCTACATTCTGTCTTTATGAGTTTGCCCTTTCTAGATAACTCATGTAAGTGGAATTATACAATATTTGTCCTTTTGTCTCTGACTTATTTCACTAAAATGATCTTTTCAAGGTTCATTCATAGTGCAGCATACATCAGAACTTCGTTCCTTGTTATTGCTGAGTAGTATTCCATTAAATGTATGTAAGTAATACGTTTTTGTTATTCATCTGAACATTTGCCTATTATGAATAATGCTGCTGTAAATCTGTGTGTACAAAATTGTGTGGACATTGCTTTCATTTCTCTCGGGTATATTCCTAGGAGGGAATTGCTGGGTCATATGGTAACTCTACATACAATCCCTTTAGGAAGTGCGAAGCTGTTTTCCAAAGCAGTTGCACCATTTACACGTTTCTATTATTTTTTAAATCAAGATACTACCCATTAGTTTTTATTACTTCTCGTATTCTATTTAAAAACTTTTTGTTGCAAAAGATATTTACAAGAGAAGTGCATCAAACAGATGCACAACTTAATAATTATGAAGCAAATATCTATGTAACCATTACTTTGGTCAAGAAATAGAACATAGGTAGCACCATGGATTCTCCCTGAGTGTTCCTGTTGCTCCCCCTTATTTTCAGGTAGCCAGTATATTGACTTTCATGAAACTCAGTTTTCTGTAGTTCTTGCAGCAGTGTTTACATGCATTATGAATTTAATTTTGTTGGTTTTTAAACTTTATAAATGTAATGACAGTATATCTTTTATGTCTTGCTTCTTTTACTCAGCATTGTTTGTGGGTTCATTTTCTGTAGTTCATTTTTCATTGCTATATCCTTTGTTATGAATATATCACATTTTATTTTTTCATTCTACTGTCAATAGGGATTTTGGCTGTTCCCATTTTTTATGTAAAATTTCTAGATTCTTTTAAAGCCCTGTATATGTCAGAACATTTGTATGCTGAAATTGTCCTATAGAGCTAGCCATTTCACAGCCCTTATCTAAGGTCTGAATACCAGAGAGATAAGACAACATTCTGTGTTTCAAGCATATTGCATATTCTGTAGAAGGTATTTCACTACTGTCTAGCTTGTGGTAAGCTTGTCAGTAGTGGCTTGTTGCAAAATTTTTGGAATGTTTCCCTTAGAATTCAGGTATGTTTCTACAATTTTCCCCAATAATGTATCTTACATAAGTGAAGGAAATTATGAGTTAAATTGGACTGTTCAATATGATTTTTATCTTCAGATTGTTTCTTTGCATTGGTAGTAACACTTTATTGTTTTGAACTTAAGCTGTGGTCAATATTTAGAAGGCCGGGACCTTCTAAAGTACTTTATTTTTTTACAAATATTCTTAGCTTGTGTCATTAAGGATATGCTGACAGTAGTCAGAACTGATTCATTCTAGATGGGTATCTTGGACATTTCAGGTTGCTTATTTAAATGAATGATTGCTTTCATGATGCTGTTTCTAAGTATCTTTAAAAGGAATCATGGAGTACACAAATAACTTAGCAACCCTCATTGTTAGAGATTTTTTTTCTTTAAATTTAGATGGTTTACCATAGATTTGAAAATTATTTCAGAAATGAAAGCAGCATTGGAAATGATGCAGTTTTAAAATCCTATAAAAATGCCCCAAATTAAACAAATGTTTCCTGACCCTTCATAAAGCACAAACAGACAAATCAATTTTTTGTGAATTCCTACTTTTGTCTTTATGTGATACAGTAATGAAACAATGTAATCATAAATTGTAGCAGTTATTTAAAAATTTGGAGATTACACTGTTGATTTGTGAATTTAGTGCCATCAATTTGTGATTTGCTTTTCTTTTGCTGAAGCTCCAAAAGTTTCAGCAAGTAAGATGGAGATTTTTAGTCATTTTTGTGAATGTGTAAACTTTGTTGATTCTTAATAATTGAATTTGTTTTGCAATATTCCTTTAGTACTGTATCTGGCCTAAAATTCTTCCTGGAATTTTGATGTTTTCTTGTTGATGCACTTTTCCATGAGCCCCTTTTAAAGGTAACACATACAGTTCTTGCTTATATTCCAGTTTTCATGCTAACTGCCTATTCACATTTCCTAACTCCAGGCTTTCATTATCATCTTGTGCATGAATTACTGCAGTGGCCTCTTACTGGGTTTCCTCATCCAAGTCTTTTCCTTTTTAGTCCATCCTCTGTTCCTAGGTAATGTCTTACAGCAGAAGTTTGAGTGTCACTCTTCAACTAAACCCTTGTCTGACACCTTCTTGCCAGTTCAGTAAAGTCTAAGTTTCCCTGGCCTGTGGCCCTTTGAGATAATGGCTCAGGCCTGCCTTCCCAGCTTTATTTTTTATTCTTTCTCCTATATATAGTATAAGATTGTTTGAAGATTACCCTAAAAATTTATCCACATTTTTATCCCTTTGCACAGTGGTTTCCTCTGGCTGAAATACTGCTTTCACTTTTTATTTTTTATTTTTTTGGCCTGGCAAACTCTTGCCCATCCCGCAAAACCTAGCAGAGGTATCATTTCCTCTGCAAAGCCTTTCCTAATTCCCCTGTCCCCACAGTCATCCCCTTTGCATTAATTCTGTACCCTACAACCTGTTGATCAGCTGGTATTGTTTATGTGGCTTTTTTTTTTTTTAAACATACTCTGAACTGCTCAGAGGCAAGGAATGTGTCTTAATTTAGCTGGCTGTGTCAGCTTTTACCATAGATCCTAGAAACAGAGCTAAGTGCTCAGGAAATACTGGCAGAAATCAAGAACTGGAGTTGGGACTGACTCTGTAATGACTGATGACTATCTTTCCACAACCTTTTTATTTTTATTGTAATATGGATGACTCGAGCACGTTTGGTCTCCAGGGTTTGTAGATTGTATTATTCTTTCTGATAAGTAGGTAGTCAGGATATCCACAGACACACAAAACTCATTCCATGGAGCTTATCATTGACTTTGAACTTGATGTAAAATCAACTCCTGATGAGATGCTTTTATATTTGAAGTAATAATGTTTTGATTCAGAATATAGAGCCCAAAATAAGCTTCATGAGTAGCGTTTGTAAACTGTTGTGTAAGGCTTTTGTGATTAGTATAGTCCAGTAGGGAAGGGATAGAAGTATTCTTTCTCTTCATTGATGACTTCCTATGTTTAATAATAGGATTAGTTTGTAATTGTATTCTCTTTTCTACTGTCAGTAAAGTTTATTGTATTAAAATGCTGGGTAAAATCCAGTGTCTTTTTCATGGGTACTAATGGAAGTAGCTGATAGTGTGAGGTGATGGAAACATTTTATTTCTAAACACTTTTCAGTTTGCCGTTGATTTCTATTACTGTAGGAGACTGATCCTTCACAGCTGTCAGAAAATCCAAGTAGGTTCTTCTCCTGCTGTGCAGATCTTTCCTTGTTTGGGAACCTTTCATGACACAGTAGGGGCTTTTAAAAATGTCACAAATGTAAGGCAATTTATACTGAAGTAAGCGTAGAATTTGGTTGTTGCTGTTTATGGTCGAAAATTGAAAGTTAAAAACAAATGGAGGAGCAAGGCTGCTGAGCATTGTGTGCCTTTTGAGTTAATAATGCCATCTCTCCTGGTCACCTGGACTTGCTCAGTTTTTCTTTCCTATTTCTTCTGCTCCAAATTCTTTTACTGGTGGGTTGAAAAATAAAAGCAGAATAGATTGATGAATCACAGACAAGCAACAGCATACATCCTGTCTTGATGAATGCCTAGGTTAGTATATTTGGGGAAGGGATGTAATCAGCAGTCATATGGGAGAAGCAGTCTATTGAACAGCTACGTGTTCTGAACCGAAGTATACTTATTATAAAACTGTTTCTCCAAATACTGTGTGAGGCTCAGTGTTAACACATTGCTGAGAAGAAAGTATTCTGTGGCTGAAGAACAGGCTTCTTGCTACCTAGTTCTTTCTTATGCTTTTACTGTTTAACACGGAGATTGCAGCTCTCACATTGCACACTAACCTTAGTAGCAGACATAATCCTGAGGCATGTTACACGTTTCACCAGATGTTCTGTTTCTCTGTAGGGTATCCTCCTGGTTAGTTTCTTACATCAAACATCATAAGAAATCAGAATTTGAAGTTTGTTTTACACACATAAGAGAGGGAGAACACACAGTCTTGTATAACCTAAAGACGGAGTGATTTGCATAATATCAATATCAAATAAGTTGTGCTACAGCTACATTTTATAAATATTTTTCTGATTCATATTGCATCTATACTCTGTATGAAAACATTGGGGAAAAATACCTTTTAAGAAGTATCCCTTACGAATAAATAGTAAATTAGTATTCTTTCTTGACTGTACAGCAAATATTTATGATTTACATACTCCTTCCAAAAAAGCATTTGAAGCAGATATGAGTTTCTTGTTAATATGACAATTTAAAACATTTTATAATTGAACAAATTGTGGATATTCCTAATGATAACATCTGCAGGATGTTGATTTATAAACACTGTAAAATGCTGTGTTGTTTTGATGCTATGCATATTTCCTGTAGTGTATGTGTACAGTTCAAAAGAATTATTTTCTTATCTATTTCCTTCAATCTTTGAATTTTAGCCCTGGTCATAATTCTGAGTCTGGAAAAGATTTCATGATATTCCAGATTTCTGTGTTTTTCCTTCCCATCAATAATTGTCTAGCAGTTTTATGTAACATTAAGGACTGTTGCTTTAAAAAAAAAATAGCAGTAGTAGTTAAGGAGAAATGCATCATCTTGTTTCTTTGGAATAATAGGAATAGAATAGCTGCAAGGTAATTTTAAAGTTTATATTAATTGAAGAAAGGGAAGAATCACCGTGTCTTTTGGAAACTGCTTTAAAACTGTGTTCATTCTAGATCTTCACTTTAGGGGGGATCCATAAAGAACAGTTTTACAGTGGATATATTTTAGAAAATTCACTCTCTGTTTTTTCTACTTTCAATCAAATACTTTGGAAAAAGCCCTCACATCTGCAGGACTTCCATCTGGGAAGAACTTGATCCTTTCTGCCCAGTTTCATCTTGGCCCTCTCCAGTGGTTGTATAAGAGCATCTCTTTGAGATTAAAACATAGAACAAAGACAGGCTCCTTTTATTAATAGTCCAATGAAAGGCTACAGATTTTTGACTAGTTCTTTTTGCAGAAATGGAATTATTAGTGACATATCTTATTTTTCTCTTTTCTAAACTCTGTATTTTAAAGTTGTACTACTGCAGGGGACAGTGCTTAGACTTCCTCACCTGTCAAATGGGGGCAGAAACAGTAGTCTTATTGTTGAACTGTTGGGAAGATTAACATGAATACATGCTAAGTGGCTACTGTGTAGTAAACTGTGAATAAATATGGGCTACTATTAATCATGCCCGTGGCTTCAGAAAAAAATAAGGATAGCTAGAATTAGAAAGAATTCAACATATGTAACCTGCCTGGATTATATAAATCACCAAGTATTAATGTGACCTTTAGCATTTATAAAATAGCATCTTCGTAACCAGAGATTGTTTTTTGCTTTACCCAACTTTGGTATTATTTTCTTATATAGTCTTTTTTGTGAATATTGATATCAACCATTTCTTATTACAAAATTTACGGTTTAAATAAAAACTTTTAATTTATGTCATCCATCCCCATGCACACGTACCATCACCAAATTGAGAAAGTTAAATAAGAGTTGTTAAGGGCTGAATGTCTAACATTCCTCTAAAATTCTTACGTCAAATTTCTAACCCTCAGTGTGATGATAGCTGGAGGTGGGCCTTTGGGGAGGTACTTAGGGTTAGATGAGGTAATGAGAGCAGGGCTCATGTCCTTATAAGAAGAGGCACAAGAGAGCGTGACTCTTCCTTCTGCCACCTGAGGACACAGTGAGAAAATGGCCGGCCATCTGCAAGCCAGGAAGGGTCTCTTACAAGGAGTATAATTGGCTGGCAGCTTTGATCTTAGACTTCCCAGCCTCTAGAAATTGTAAGAAAATACAATCCTGTTATTTAAGCCACCTTGTCTATGTTGTTTTGTAATGGCAGCCAGAGCAGAGCAATACACAAGTGAAATTGAAAATTGGAGCAAATATGTATGAAGCAGCCTGATCTCTATCTATACTAAGGAGATAAATTCATTACATAGAACATGAAATAATGAAAAGGCATTCTGCTTAATGTGTGGGGTATAGCTTTATCTGCCTTTATTCCTGATAGAAGGGATGTCTATTGAAATTTTTGTTTTATGATGCCATCTGTAAAATGTTATTGTTTAGTAGGTGGTAGGTAGCCTGAGATGTTTTGACCTTTAACATTCATGGAAATTTAATTGATCTTCTCTGGACAGGCACTTAATGTAGTAGTCATAATTCAGTGTCAGATGATTATCATCTAAGCATAGTTCTCTATGGAAAAGTTCATGGGTCACAACCGTAGCAAACCACATGTTACAGCATTTCATTTTATATATTCTCTTGATTAGGTTGTTGAATAGAAGTAACAGGCAATTGGAAAGTAAGACTTTTACCCCTCAATAAACCAAACATTCTCAGCTTAAGTAGCTACATACTACTCTGTATAACCTTAATTCCATTTTAATTTTGGAGGGAAGGTAAATTTAATAGGTACAGATCGCTTGGAATAATTTTTACTTTTTACCTATTGTGAGTAATTTAACCAGAGTATTCATCTTTTATCCTCTTGAAAGGTGATATAGACCTAGGAAGTGTTTTGTGACGGCATTTGAACTGTGCTGCCTCTGGAGACAGGAATATCTTAAGGAGTTTTTCATCTGGTTTTGAGAGGTTTTTGGAGGGAGTGCCTACAACATTGTCTACAACATTGCCTGTGTAAAAGTAAAGCAAGAGAGAGATGCTTGGAAAGGAAGGCATGATGGTGGCAGCAAAAGCAAGTAAAATGGATCTATACCAATCACTGTTAGTAACTTTTTAAAGCTTCAATTGAGACTTTATTGACTTAAATTATGCTTTTGACCTCTATGTATTGCCCCGATTGCCAAGCTTCCATTTACCAGTGAAAAGTTTGAGGAAGCAATCTTCTCATCTTTCTAGTACTTTCTTAATCAACAGCCTTCAACTGATTTTAATTCTGGGTTTTGCTGAGAGCATAGAGTGGCCTGATCCTTTGAGTATAATGGACATTTCTGTAGTGGATGGACGCTGCTTTTATGCTCTTTGATCTGAGTACAGCTATTGACATTATGATTTTCTGTCTCCTGGATTCTATGATGCAGTTCCATAGGAACATCTGGTTTACCTCTTGAAATACTTCCGTTACTGAACTCCTTAAATTCTTGCATCTCTCATTTGCTTTTTCTCTCCCTATCTTATCTATATCTTTAAACTTAACTATCACTTTTGTGAGCATGTGAATTTTGTTATGAATTAGAGAACAGAATGTACTCTCTGTGAACTTTTAGCCCTTGGTAAGTTTTTGAATAATAAAATTATCAGAACAGTATTTTACAGAATTTAGAAAAGAATTGTTTATCTTGTGTCATCTTTAACACAGTAGTTATTAGGTTGGTATAATTCTTTCTAAACGTTTAAAACATGCTTTAAAATTTTAGATTTTTTTTTTTTTTTTTTTGAGATGGAGTTTCGCTCTTGTTGCCCAGGCTGGAGTGCAATGGCTCGATCTCGGCTCACTACAACCTCCACCTCCCGGGTTCAAGCGATTCTCCTGCCTCAGCCTCCTTAGTAGCTAGGATTACAGGCATGTGCCACCACGCCCAGCTAATTTTGTATTTTTAGTAGAGATGGGGTTTCTCCATGTTGGTCAGGCTGGTCTTGAACTCCCTACCTCAGGTGATCCGCCCGCCTCGACCTCCCAGGTGCTGAGATTGCAGGCATGAGCCACTGTGCCCGGTCATAGAGTGTTTGTACCTTTTCTTTTAGACAGAGTCTTGCTGTATTACGCAGGCTGGAGTGTAGTGGCCTGATCTCGGCTCACTACAACCTCTGCCTCCCAGTTCAAGTGATTCTCGTGCCTCAGCCTCCTGAATAGCTAGGACTACAGGCGTGCTCCACCACACCTGGCTAATTTTTGTATTTTTAGTAGAGACAGGGTTTTACCATGTTGTCCAGGCTGGTCTCGAACTCCTGATCTCAGGTGATCTGCCCACCTCAGCCTCCCAAAGTGCTGGGATTACAGGTGTGAGCCACCACGCCTGGCCAGTTTTTACCTTTTGTATGTGTTTCAGATTAAGTACATTTTTGTATTATTGAATAATCCTCATCACGATCATTATTTAAGCTGTACTGTAAACTCTTTTTTTTTTTTAATTTATAAATTCCACATCTTTATTACTCATCCCAATATTGTCAGCCCATCAACAGAGCACCCAGACATGCGCAATAAACATGAAATTTCATGATCTTTGACATTTTGCTAACTTTCTTTTTTTTTATTTATTTATTATTATTTTTTTTTATTGATCATTCTTGGGTGTTTCTCGCAGAGGGGGATTTGGCAGGGTCATAGGACAATAGTGGAGGGAAGGTCAGTAGATAAACAAGTGAACAAAGGTCTCTGGTTTTCCTAGGCAGAGGACCCTGCGGCCTTCCGCAGTGTTTGTGTCCCTGGGTACTTAAGATTAGGGAGTGGTGATGACTCTTAACGAGCATGCTGCCTTCAAGCATCTGTTTAACAAAGCACATCTTGCACCGCCCTTAATCCATTTAACCCTGAGTGGACACAGCACATGTTTCAGAGAGCACAGGGTTGGGGATAAGGTCACAGATCAACAGGATCCCAAGGCAGAAGAATTTTTCTTAGTACAGAACAAAATGAAAAGTCTCCCATGTCTACTTCTATCCACACAGACCCGGCAACCATCCGATTTCTCAATTTTTTCCCCACTCTTCCCGCCTTTCTATTCCACAAAACCGCCATTGTCATCATGGCCCATCCCCAATGAGCCGCTGGGCACACCTCCCAGACGGGGTCGTGGCCGGGCAGAGGGGCTCCTCACTTCCCAGTAGGGGCGGCCGGGCAGAAGCGCCCCTCACCTCCCGGATGGGGCGGCTGGCCGGGCGGGGGGCTGACCCCCCCCCCCACCCTCCCGGAAGGGGCGGCTGGCCAGGCAGAGGGGTCCTCACTTCCCAGTAGGGGCGGCCGGGCAGAGGCGCCCCTCACCTCCCAGACGGGGCGGCTGGCCAGGCGGGGGGCTGATCCCCCCACCTCCCTCCTGGACAGGGCGGCTGGCCGACCCCCCCCCCGCCTCCCTCCCGGACGGGGCGGCTGGCCGGGCAGAGGGGCTCCTCACTTCCCAGTAGGGGCGGCCGGGCAGAGGCGCCCCTCACCTCCCGGACGGGGCGGCTGGCCAGGGGGGGGGCTGATCCCCCCACCTCCCTCCCGGACGGGGCGGCTGACCGGGCGGGGGGCTGACCCCCCCCACCTCCCTCCCGGACGGGGCGGCTGGCCGGGCGGAGGGCTGACCCCCCCACCTCCCTCCCGGATGGGGCGGCTGGCCGGGCGGGGGGCTGACCCCCCCACCTCCCTCCCGGACGGGGCGGCTGGCCGGGCAGAGGGGCTCCTCACTTCCCAGTAGGGGCGGCTGGGCAGAGGCGCCCCTCACCTCCCGGACGGGGCGGCTGGCCAGGCGGGGGGCTGATCCCCCCACCTCCCTCCCGGACGGGGCGGCTGGCCGGGCGGGGGGCTGACCCCCCCACCTTCCTCCCGGATGGGGCGGCTGGCCGGGCGGGGGGCTGACCCCCCCACCTCCCTCCCGGACGGGGCGGCTGGCCGGGCAGAGGGGCTCCTCACTTCCCAGTAGGGGCGGCCGGGCAGAGGCGCCCCTCACCTCCCGGACGGGGCGGCTGGCCAGGCGGGGGGCTGATCCCCCCACCTCCCTCCCGGACGGGGCGGCTGGCCGGGCGGGGGGCTGACCGGGCGGGGGGCTGACCCCCCCACCTTCCTCCCGGATGGGGCGGCTGGCCGGGCGGGGGGCTGACCCCCCCACCTCCCTCCCGGACGGGGCGGCTGGCCGGGCAGAGGGGCTCCTCACTTCCCAGTAGGGGCGGCCGGGCAGAGGCGCCCCTCACCTCCCGGACGGGGCGGCTGGCCGGGCGGGGGGCTGACCCCCACCACCTCCCTCCCGGACGGGGCGGCTGGCCGGGCAGGGGGCTGACCCCCCCTCCCCCCTCCCGGACGGGGAGGCTGGCCGGGCAGAGGGACTCCTCACTTCCCAGTAGGGGCGGCCGGGCAGAGGCGCCCCTCACCTCCCGGACTGGGCGGCTGGCCGGGCGGGGGGCTGACCCCCCCACCTCCCTCCTGGACGGGGCGACTGGCCGGGCAGAGGGGCTCCTCACTTCCCAGTAGGGGCGGCCGGGCAGAGGAGCCCCTCACCTCCCGGACGGGGCGGCTGGCCGGGCGGGGGGCTGACCCCCCCCCACCTCCCTCCCGGTCGGGGTGGCTGCCGGGCGGAGACGCTCCTCACTTCCCAGACGGGGTGGCTGCCGGACGGAGGGGCTCCTCACTTCTCAGACGGGGCGGTTGCCAGGCAGAGGGTTTCCTCACTTCTCAGACGGGGCGGCCGAGCAGAGACGCTCCTCACCTCCCAGACAGGGTTGCGGCCCAGCAGAGGCGCTCCTCACATCCCAGACAGGGCGGCGGGGCAGAGGTGCTCCCCACATCTCAGACGATGGGCGGCCGGGCAGAGACGCTCCTCACTTCCTAGATGGGATGGCGGCTGGGAAGAGGCGCTCCTCGCTTCCTAGATGGGATGGCGGCCGGGCAGAGACGCTCCTCACTTTCCAGACTGGGCAGCCAGGCAGAGAGGCTCCTCATATCCCAGACGATGGGGGGCCAGGCAGAGACGCTCCTCACTTCCCAGACGGGGTGGCGGCTGGGCAGAGGCTGCAATCTCGGCACTTTGGGGGGCCAAGGCAGGCGGCTGGGAGGTGGAGGTTGTAGCGAGCCAAGATCACGCCACTGCACTCCAGCCTGGGCACCATTGAGCACTGAGTGAACGAGACTCCGTCTGCAATCCCGGCACCTCGGGAGGCCGAGGCTGGCGGATCACTCGCAGTTAGGAGCTGGAGACCAGCCCGGCCAACACAGCAAAACCCCGTCTCCACCAAAAAAAAAAAACGAAAACCAGTCAGGCGTGGCGGCGCGCGCCTGCAATCGCAGGCACTCGGCAGGCTGAGGCAGGAGAATCAGGCAGGGAGGTTGCAGTGAGCCGAGATGGCAGCAGTACCGTCCAGCTTTGGCTCGGCATCAGAGGGAGACCGTGGAAGGAGACCGTGGGAAGGGGGAGAGGGCTGTAAACTCTTGAAAGCATGAATATATTACATTTAACTTAACATTTCCTGTCATCAGACCTGTTAGGTAATTTCTGATTTTTTTATTAGTATACATAGTTTTTGGTAACCATTTAAAAACAAATATTTTTTCTTTCAAATTAGAATTGTAACCTTATTCTAGATTTCTATCAACAGAATCAAAGAATCACAGGACATAAACATTTTATGGTATATTGAAAGGAACATGAGCTTGGTAACTGAGAAAGTCTAGCCTTGAGCTGTAGTTGTCACTTATTATTATATGGGCAAGTTACACATGTGACGATTGGAAAAATGTACCTACCTTACGTGCAGTATGGAAACTGTCAGGTTTATTGATTGAAGTGTAATAGGTGCTCAGTAAATGGAAGCTATTATTGTTAGTGCCAGCATTTTTTCTTCAACGTTGTTGCTCTCAGTATATGAGAATGGCATTTAACTGTGACCATATAATTCACCATACAAACTGGAATGCCTTACTCCCAAGTAAATGCTAAATCATGGGGGACATTAGGACATGTAAAAATGGGGATCCAGCCACATTAGAACATATGCCCCTCTATGGTTAAAACACATCTTAACCATCATCGAACAGTTTTTTTTCAATTGCACATTTTTCAGGTGAAAATTACATGTTTTAGTTGAAAATGTATTTGATTGCAAAGTACGTTGATTTGTAAGCTGCTTATTTGGATAAGCCCAGTGGAGTAAAATTCTGGATTTAAACATCATCTAACATATTATCTTTATTTTTGCACAGAGTATTTTTCTGCAAAAGACGTAAGTAAAATTAGCTATATAATTTCAGTTCACCCCTTCTAAATATAGAGACCGTCATACACAGAGCTCATTGAGATTTGTAAAAATTTGGAGTCTTTACAGTGTTTTAGATTGCTATCAGGAATTTCTCCCCTTTCCTTGATATTCTTAATTATGCTGGATAAATTTGTGTATGTTATTTCTTTTACATACCATAAGGAGAGCTATCACAGTATTCATATGAATTTTTTTTTTTTATTTTAAAGCAAGGACTTAGTAAAGCACCCACTGGTGCCAATCATCTGCATGGTGCTGGGGACACAGTGGCTTATTTGGAAAATGTAGACAAAACAAGACAATTATAGCATAATTTAGGGCTAATCTTATGAAAGCAGAAATATAGTGCACCAAGTGAAGAAACTGAACCTGAATTTTGGGGAACTAAGTACGTTTCTAGAAAGAAGGGGCTTCTAAGCCAAGACTGAAGGATGAACATCGTATGTTTAACCTTTCTCTTCCTTGCCATTTACATTAGTAATACTGTCATACTAATTCAGGCTTGTGGTCTGATATGGTTAGGCTTTGTGACCCCATCCAGATCTCATCTTGAATTGTAATCCCCATAATCCCCACTTGTCAAGGGAGAGACCAGGTGGAGGTAATTGAATCATGGGGGGCGGTTTCCCCCATGCTGTTCTCATGAGAGTTAGTGAGTTCTCAGGAGATCTGATGGTTTTATAAGAGGCTCTTCCCCCCTTTGCTCAGCACTTCATCCTGCCATCTTGTGAAGAAGTTGTCTTGCTTCGCCTTTGCCTTCCTCCATGATTGTAAGTTTCCTGAGGGCTCCCCAGCCATGCTGAACTGTGAGTCAATTAAAAGTCCTTTCTAGATTACACAGCCTAGTCTCAGGCAGTTCTTTATAGCAGTATAAAAACAGACTACTACGTGTTCTTCCCCACTTTGTATTCTTTCTCTCATTAGTATTAGTAAATAGTATTGTAACAAGAGACAAGTTTTATGAGAAGTCCTAATTGCTGCAGTTGACAACCAACTTCAAGATCTTAATTGCGTATGTATCTGTTGTTAGTTTAATCTAACCTTTTAAAGGTTCCTGCATGTTCTGGGGCCTATATCACATTTCGATGGTAGTGAATTAGCTTAAATACTTATTACTTAAAATAGCAGCTAATTTTTTTTAACTTGGCCTTTACTTTCTAAAAGATCCTCATATTTTGATGTTTTTGGAGGATAAGGCATTGAAACAATCTTATTCATATACGTTTTACACATTGAAATGTAAGATTGGTTATGTGTTTTCTAGAATGCTTTTTTATGTTCTTAGTAATTATTAACTTTTTAAAGGTTGTATATGTACCATAAAGGATAGTAAGTTGGTTACCATGTGTCAGATAATATTCAATTAATAGGGTAGTTTGTTTTGGTTAACATTTTTACATCAATTACATATTTGTTGCATTCAGATGCTTCATTCTCCTTGTGTTATAATCCCCTCTCAAAAGTGGATCAGCAGTAGATTATCCAATCATAAAAATAGTAACATAGCACTGTTTTATTTGACTAAAATAAATTTGACATTTAAACAGAATTCCAGTGCTTAAATCAGTGTTCAGGGCTGGAGGGGTATTGGGGATTACTCCCCAGAGGACATCAGGAGGTGTTTGGAGACACTTTTGGTTGCCACAACTTGGGAAGAGGTGTGTGTGCGCTCATTACTGGCATATAGAGGATAGAGGCCGGGGCACTGTGAATGAAACATCTTACAATGCACAGGATAGTCCTCCACAACAAAAAATTAGCCTACCCAAAATGTCATCATTAGTGGCCAGGATGGGAAATTCTGGTTAAAATGGAATGTGGATCTGTATATACTGGGAATAAGAATCTAGGAGTTTGATGATTTACACAGGCAGTTGAAAAACAAGAGTGTAAATAGGAATTTCAGTGACATATGTCTGAAATAGGTTTTATTGGTTGCTTGAGTCATTCGCTCCTAGTTCCAAGAATCTTTGTGTATTTATGACTTTATCAAGTGGTAGCACAGTGCCATCAGGACATATGTGATTTAAAAATACAAAGAGATTTTTTTATAAATCAATAAAGTTTTTGAGGATAGATGTGAAATGAGATATTTTATATTTTCCAAAGGCTTATTTCCAAAAATAATGAATCTTGTCTTTAAAGATGGACAAGAGTTCCAACTACAGGAGCAGTGTTCAAAGTAGCACTTTGTTTAACACAAAAAAGCAGAAGTCTCACTGTAGTAGCAGAGAACCTTGTAAAAACATCTAAAAAAAAACAACTTTTTTTGCACCTGAACTCTATGAAATTGGGATGCATCTGTTAATCTATGATGTCTTAGAATTAAAATTGCCAGCTCTCTTTCCCTCTTCTACTCAGTAGAGTCTTGGGCTTTATGAGTTACTGACAAATATTATTTGGAGAGAAAGTATAGTAATTATATTTCCTTTACAAAATGACTGTTGGATAATACTGGTCAATATCAGTCACATACAATACACAAAAGCACTTATTTTAATTGTGCACATTACTAGATATTCAGGCTCGTAGTTGATCTGCTCAGGAGTATTCATTCTGAACATATGTGTTCTTGTATGGAGAGGTACTAGGTGTTTTCTTTTTTCGTTTGTAATGGAAAATCCCTGATTCAAGGGAAGAGACTTTCTATTTAACAATTGTGTTGAGTTATGACATAGACTGGAAAAAGTGGGATGGATAGAATGCGTATGATAGAATGCAGCTGTGCTTCAAGAAGAGGATATTGCTACCACAGTGCCTCCCCATCCACTACTTCGTTTGCTGGGAACAGCTTTATCTGCTTTAGAATCCCTTCCCCCCCACCCCCCCCCACCTCCACCCCCAGGCCTCTTTTTTTGCACCTGAACTCTATGAAATTGGGATGCATCTGTTAATATATGATGTCTTAGAATTAAAATTGCCAGCTCTCTTTCCTTCTTCTACTCAGCAGAGTCTTGGGCTTTATGAAATAATGTATTATACTTTCTAATCTTAATTCATTGTGGAAGGAAGTAGTCAAAATAATAAATTTAAAATTTCCACCTTTAAGTGTTCATCTTTTTTTTTTTTTTTTTTTTTTTTTTTTGAGACAGTCTTGCTGTGTTCCCCAGGCTGGAGTGCAGTGGCGAGATCTCGGCTCACTGCAAGCTCCGCCTCCCAGGTTCACGCCATTCTCCTGCCTCAGCCTCCCGGGTAGCTGGGACTACAGGCGCCCACCACCACGCCCAGCTAATTTTTTGTATTTTTAGTAGCGACGGGGTTTCACCATGTTAGCCAGGATGGTCTCCATCTCCTGACCTCTGATCCGCCCGCTTCGGCCTGCCAAAGTGCTCGGATTACAGGCATGCGTCACCATGCCCGGCCCAAGTATTCCTCTTTACAGTGTGCTGAATGAAAAACGTGTGGCATGAGCTTAAGTCTGACCCTGCTTTTCCATACTGCCTGTGAGGAGAAAGATGCTTGCATGAATCTTCGAAGTTAGAGACGAGATTACATTTTTACCCCTTATTTATGACACAGTTAATGCCAATAAAGCCATTTCTATTTTTATAAATAATTTGCCAAAGTGACATGCTTTGCTAAACATATAGTTTCCTGGGTAGCTTGACAGCATTATTTCTGAGCAAAAATATCACAGTTTTTTAACATTTAGGTTATCATACTGGAGTTAGTAAGATGTTTTTTCTTTACTAAACCTTGATAATTTTATTAGAGGAAGAAATTGATGAGATTACTGGGCATATTTTTGAAAACCGCATCTAAATACCACAGTATGATATGAATAGCTTCCAGAGCTTTAAAGGATCGGAATCAAATCCCCGTAATTGAAATATTAATTTTTAGATATAGTGTGTTTCTTAGACATTTAGGGTGGAGTCTTAATTTTGGAGTCTCTATTTTGTTTATATATCTAGGATCCTCCGGCAGTGACCAAATGCTTGCTGCTTTTGCTGATGTTTTAAAAGTCTGAGTAAAGAGCTTCTAATTTAGTAAAAATTGAGAAAATAAGCTTCCTAGACATGGAACCTATAGTGCAAGCCATTGCCTCCTGGCTGTGTATTGAAACCCTGGGGAGAGGTACAAATCATCTTTGTCCCTGTCATTGGCACACAGCAGTTTTTTGTGGTGTTTTTTTTTTTTTTTTGTAATTTTATTAAAACTTTAAGTTATATAATTAAGATTGGGATAACTTTTTAAAACTTGGACTCAGTGGATTTCATGAGTGCCATATGTCTTTTAAAGGGTCTGCAAATGGTAAATGTTTGAGAGAGGCGTTCTTGTTTGTCTGGAATAAAATTTAAAGTGTTGGGAGGAAGATCTGATGACAGATCTTGAGCTGCCTCCTCCTCCTTTTCAGATTATCTTGAGGCCGATTTTCTGTCAGGGAACCCACATAAGCTCTTTGGTGTCATCTTTAGACTAGAAATCTTGTCATTTCTTAAATTGTGATTCTTGTTGGTATTCTCCCTCTCCTGACCACTGACCACTGTTTCAAGTTTTTTTTTTCTTTTTTTCTTTTTTAAGAGATAGGGTTTCACTCTGTGGACTAGGCTGGAGTGCAGTGGCATGATCATAGCTCACTGCAGCCTCAAACTACTGGACCCAGGTGATCCTTCCACCTCGTTCTCCTGAATACCTCCTTCTCCTGAATAGCTAGGACTACAGCCACCATGCCTGGCTAATTTTTAAAATTTTTTTGTAAAGATGCTATGTCATCTGCGCTGGTCTCGAACTCATGGCTTCAAGCAGTCCTCCCGCCTTAGCCTTCCAAAGTGTTGGGATTACGGGCGTGAGCCACTGTACCTGGCCTGTTTTGAGTCTTATTTTTATTTTCTTTTCATTTCAGGTTATTAGGATTTCTAGACCATATTTTTAGTGAAACTATCTTTTTCCACTTATCTCTATGGAATACTAGTTTTTGAACACACAGTAGAGATAATTGATTCTAATACCAAAACTTAGCAAAGAAATACATGGAATTTTATTCACGGCAGATTTTTATCTGTCTCTGCTTTAACTCTTTTAAAATGTCAGCTTTCTCTATCTAACAAGGATACTCATTGCTGTTTTACTATTTTGCCTCCATACCATTGTAATAAACATTAAACCAGACAATTTTTTCATTTGGAATAAATTAAAAATTAGGTTATTTTTAAACTATTTTTAAGGGCATTTAGGTTTTGCGGAGGTTTTTCTCTGCTTTGATTTATTATTTGTAATGGCAGAGCCAAAATTGCAGTTCAGATCTTCTGTTTTCTCAGCCTGCAACTATTCTTCTACACTGTATTATTTTACAAGGTATGAAGCTGGGCCTTTGACTTCCAAGCTCAATTTTTTGGTGGTTCTTGACAGAGATAGTTTGTTTAATTTAAAGGTGTGGAGAACTCTGTGGGATTACCCAGATATTTTCTTTAGGGAACAAACGTTAAGCATTTGAGTAGACCCTAGAATGCTGACTGTCAGTCTGTGTGCCCTGTCTGCTCCTCTACACTACTATGTCAGCTGCAGGAGCTTTCTCTGTCTTTACTGCCCTATGCTGGACAGCGCCTAGAAGGTCTGGCACAGTTAGAACACAGAATAAATAATTGTCATGGGAATGAATGCATGAATTCATTCTTTCTGATTTTTGTCCCCCAAAATATAAGGAGAAAGCCATTTAACGCGTTGGTCTAACTGAGCCTCATAATCTTTTCTGCAAGGAAAAGATGTATATTCTTCAGGGGAAAAGGAAGATTTTGTTGTTGTTAAGATGATATTACCTGGTTTGAGATGCTTTGAAACATTGCAGATACTCTGATTAAACCTAGCTCCCTATGCAGATATTGTTTGGTCTGCCTTTGACACATTCTCAAAAGCCTTGGGATACACTGCTAGCTTAGTATCAGTGGATACTACATTGAACGACAATTTTTGTGCTGCGTTAGGGGATGACAAACAAGCTGAAGCAAGTTTAGGGAAAGTAAAACAAAGATAGTCCTTCCCTAGACAGTTATTTATGCTTTCCTAGATGTTTATTTATTTATAGTCGTACAGTTTATTTCTATCAGTATAGCCCATAGAAGTTAATTCTATTTTAAACATCTGGCAGGAGCCTGTTTGCCAATTGCAGAAGATAATTATTTGATCTGTTTTGTAGCCTTCGGACATCTTTCTGTAGTAATGTTTTTGCCGTCCAATATTTTTTACTTCCGCCTCATATACTGTATTTCACCTTCCTCTAATCCTAGTGGCCCTCCATAGGAAAGTATCTTCATGAGCTTCAGATTACCTAATGGCAGCTGATAAGGCTAATCTCAGTAATGACTTCAAGAGATCTGTGTGTAAAAACTGCAAAAAGTAACAGGATTGTTGGTTGCTTGAAGTTAGTCCCTAGTATGTGACAGTAGAGCTATTTATATCTAAGGTACATTTCTAACATAGGATAAAATTTGTCCTGAGAGTATCAAAAATGTGATAATGTGATATTTTTGCTAGAGACTAACTTTCCCCCAAATTATAAACACGTATTCTTCTCAAATGTAGAAGTCTCTGGTCATATCACCTTGCGGGTAAGGGCATGCACAGCTTTTTCTCTTTCTCCACCCTGGAAAGTAATAGTCTGGATCACAGAGTAGTTAGGTGAAGCCTCCATCCAGCTTCCCTCATCATGCACTTTGTGTTTTTGGTAGGAGAAGGGTAAGGGTAAAAGTCACATTCTATTGGCTGTCCTGCTGAAAGCTGGAGATTTCTCTGAACCCTTGGTCTGTCATTTGTACTTGTCCTGATAGTGTATCTTTGGTGATCTCAGTACTGATCTGTGCTACTTTGTAGCTGCCCCGGAACTGGATTGATAACTGCCTCACACCTAGCCTCACCTCCGCATTCTCCCCACATACTTGTGAGGCAGTGGGAGTTCCAGGAGCACATTTGGTTTGTTCTCCATTGCATCTCAGTACTTGTGACCCTTTTAGATCTTGAGCCCCTTTGAGAATTTGGTGAAAGCTTTGGACTATCTCCATAGTAGTGCGTATGCATATGATTATAGGAAATTCACACATTCCTTGAAATCCCAGGATAAGGATTCCTGGGTTAGATATTGTCATAACAGGAAATGTAACATGGCCCCATTTAAAAATAAACCATAGGTTCCTAACCTCAGATTTGTCGTTTATCATGGGCTGCCATGAAGGTTTCTGCTTGATCATTTTTCTTAGCTTGGAATGCTGTATTTCCTATCCTACGAAAAGTGTTTGGTAGAAGCAGAGTGTGTAGGGAAAGAGGTGAGGAAGTGAGGACAAGAAAGGATGGGTGGAGTGTGTGGTTATAAAAACTTCTATTTTTCTGGTTTAACTAAACCATAGGAAATTGTTTGCTCTTCCTAACCTTTTCTATAACTGCTGTCACTTTCCATTCTTGCCATCTTCCACTTCTTTAGGTTACAGTTAAGGATAGTCTTCAAAAATTATATTCCTCAGGCTTTCTTTTATAATATCTTTGATACTATTTTTTAAAATCCAAATCATCCTGATGTTTGAAGGTAAAGGAAGCTTATCTTTGGGCAGCTGAGGTTGCTGGAGTGGGCCCTTCTCCTAAGCAATACATGGTGTATGATAAAGCTGTTTGCTATATTTAACCTACTTTAGCTATTCACTTGGGTGGGCAGTTTTTTCAGATAGCCTTGTCCCAGTCCCCTGAGTAAGCTGGCATTACTGCTCACTCCTCTTTCCCATCCCCACTGCTCTTCTCAGTGTTTTCCTTTTTTAAAAAAGTCACCTGTTGGGGATAGGGGCAGGAAGCTTATTTCCTCTCTTTGGAAGAGTTATTAATGGAATCAGGAGATAGAAACTTATATGGTACAATGCAATTATATTGTTATATGCACAGTAATAATGGAACACCCAAGATTACCTTTTCTTGAAATCTAATTTCTGTAGCTTGTCTCTTTCTTTATTGAATCTGTTCTTTATTGTACTGAATATAATTAGCTTAGTGTTTTTAGTATCTTAGAAGTATTTTTTTCTCATGGTAGATTGTTTTTTGATCATATTCCTATTTGTACATATGAATTCTGTTTCATGACATGAATGTTAGAAATGCATAGACTTTGATTTTTGTAGTGACACATACAATCTCCAGTCCCCCTCCCCATTTTCCTGATTTCCCCCGTCGCCAATATGGAGATGAGAAAAGGGGAGCTTGCGTAACACTCCATGGAGGCCAAGTTAATCCAATCCAATTCTACACAAACATTTCCTTCTGACCCAGATGAGTATCATAGTACCTGGGTTCTAAGGAACACTTCTGAATAATAGGTGATGGTGGTAAGGGTTTGAGCTCTTCCTGAGGTTTCCAGTGCACCAAGCTTTTGATGCAAATGATTTTGTTCAATCTTAACTGCCTTATGAAGTAGATAGTATTGTGCCCACCCCCCGCTGCCCAGCCCCTACGACCCCCACATTCCCCATGTTTTCTTTTTTGGCAACAGAGGAGGCCAGTCTAGTTAATTTGTCGCCGGTCACACAATTAATGTGTGGTAAAGATGTTATTCAGACCAGGTTAGGTGCTTCAGATTCAGAGTAGTCTGGTACCCTATCCTGCTGCTCCCACAGTTTAGGAGCACTAGTAACCAGGTTATAGGTGACTATGGGAAAATCAGCAAATTGGCAAGCAACAGAAAACTTTTGTCACTATGTATGTATGTATATGTATGTACTTCTTTAACATTGTATGCATTGAATAATTCGTTTGCCAAAGAAACATGGGAAAATGATGATAAGAATAAATAAGAAAGCAAAAACCTTGTATGATCTCACTCTCTGGAGAACAATTCCGTTACCATTTTAGCATATTTCTTTCCAGTCTTTCTCCTTAGGAGGAGAGTGCAGTCCACACTGTTTACATACTGGCATTTATAGATGTTTTATAGTTTTATATTCTGCTTTTTTCTCTTAGCACCTCATGAGCATTTTCCTATGCCATTTAAAATTTTTAGAAATGTTCTAAATGATTTTTGCCTTGAGGAAAACAAAGTCTACTCAGAAGGTAGTTGACTATTATAACCCGAGTGTTGGAGAAGTAGTCACAATTGACGGCTCAAATCCTCTTAACTGAGGGAGAAAATATGGAAGTAGTAGAGTTTGAGGATGGGGTTAATAAACTCAGTCTATACCTTTATGGTGTGTGGTACCTATGGGACTTTTGAAAATGCTCATTAAACAAAAGAGCCCTTGGGCTTGTAGGAAGGTTTTTTAAATTGCCATCATCATGTGTTTGGAAGTTGAAACTATTATTTTCTAGGTGAGGAAATTAAGGCCTAGAGAGACAAATGTGTTGACTACCACCAGTTCATTGGGCAACCTTATTGAAGAGAGTATCTTTTAGAAGATGAGGTCACTATAGCATTATCAGGCTCCTAGTGCAAGCAGTGCCCAGTAAATGGTTTAGGAGCAAAGAAAGTTAAGTGATTCTGTGGGTCATTTATTATCACCACACTTTTGTGTGTACACTACAAACAGTACCTCCAAAAAGTGATCATTTGTTCTCCTTTGAATGTTTAGTGCTCACTTCTGATAGATCTCTTTCTGTTTTGTAAACAAGTGGAGTTTGAAATGTACAGATTGTTTCTGTAAATTTGATTACAGATTGTTTCTGTAAATAGAAGGAAACTATTAATTCATTTTGTTAGCCCCTTAATCTTTTTTTTTTTTTTGTGAAGTTGTACAAACAGTTTTCTGTGTTTAGAAAAGTACTCAGGTCGTTCTCTCCTTGATTTACATTAGAAACTGAGATTTATAGGAAAGGCAAATCAAGCATGATTTTTCTATAACAGAAATGTCTTCTTAAAATAGTTTTCATTGAAGCCCCACATGAAAATTTCATTTTAGGGTTAGGGTAATTTCATTCAGGGTTAAGTACTAGGAAGTGTTTCACCTACTTTAAGATCTGATATTTGTCTCCCTTTGGATATGAATGACCATGTTTTCCTTTTTGCTTTGATTTGGCTTGGAGCCAAATTGTATGTTTTAATCAGAATATCCATGGCCTGATTCACTTTGTTCAAGTCTCTGCCTCTCCTTCAGTTTCTAGTTTCTATATTCTAATTAAGATGTTTTGTAGTTCTGATATTACTTATCACCTTGTATGGTTTAATGCAAGCTACCTCAAGTCCTTTGTGAATGGGGCAGAGCGTGTACACATGCACACAGGTGTATGCACACACACTTATACTTTCCCAGTAGTTGTGACTTTTTTCAAGTATGTTAACAACAATCACGTTTTTTAAATATTCCATTCTTTGGAAATATTTTCAGCACCTCTCTGCTAACATTAATCTAATACCTGGAAATATGACAAGAGGTGTTACTTGTCCTCATGAAAGAGCCTATTACATAGTGTAATTTTTTTTTTTTTTTTTTTTTTTGCCTAACACTAAAGATTCTCATTTGGTCTTCTAACATACCATGCTCTTAATTGTAGCAAGAGGTAGCATTGGTCAGTAAGCTATTCTTTATATGAGAGTTCTTCATGGTGAGCCCTTCCAGGTAAATTCAGTTTGTTTGTATAAACACATCTCAAATGACATAGAATTAACTTCCTGATGGCTCTCTATCTTCCACTATGTGTATGTGTTTTCATGACCAACGCCATAAATGTATATATGTATTTCAGATTGTTATAACCTCAAAGAAATAAGATCTCATGGTTTTATTTCATGATTTGGTTAAGAAGATAATATAAATTTGTTACAGGATGTAAGTGTTATTTTGTGTGAAGAATCCAATTTATTTCATAGAAGACTTCTTGAGACACAGTAAAACCTCAGAATACCTGATTTCTAATAATTGTCAAAGTTCGTACTAGTTTTAAAGATAAAATAGGGCGACAATGCCTGCCCCCACCCTATTCCCATTCCATTATTCCCCAGCTTGGCATTCAAAAAAATATTTTTTCAGAATTCATAAACACTTTAAAGAAGACATTAAACCACCCATTATTTTAAAAAATATTTCTGTAAGATTAAGAAAGGCAGTATTTTTGTTACTTCTTTTACAATACAACAGATTAGTGTCTAGGTAGAATAGAACTTATATTGGACACTTCATTGTGAAAAATTGAACTGTTACTAAAATTTTTAAGCAGTCACAGGGTGGTATTAATAACAGATGTATTAATTGAAACGAGAGGAATATGTGGTACAGATTGGATGCAGAGAATATGGACGTTTTAAGAAACTTGTGTACTCCATAATTCTTTCCACCCAAAGTAGACTCTTATTTAATTCTTTTTTCAAATGCACATTCTGTTTGCCTAAGTCTACATCTGCTAGTAGCTTTGAACATTGCCTGAAACGTATGTGCAGCTTGGCAAAAAGTCTGATATGAAGAGGAAAGCACAGAATAAAGTTTGTCTTGTTAAATAATGGCACAGAGCCTTCACTGTTCACAGCCTAGTGCTCACTGGTGTCCCATGTTGCAGCTGGGAAGGAGGCCTATAATTTTATTCTTAAAAGTCCTACTTTGGTTAGCTCCCATGCCAGAACAGATAGGAGATTTTTATGCATTCCACCTCCCTGTCGTATTTGTTGAAATCATTGGTTTGTTTCTGGGAAATTGTGGGGTTTTGTTTGTTTGCTTGCTTTTTAAGCTATTTGCATCTCCTGATTGAGCTTTGTGGGTTTTTTTTGCTGCAAAGAACATGTACTAGATCTGATCTCTGTTCCATCTATATACCTGTATAGGTCATCTTTGATCTAAGCCAGTATTTAGTTACAAAGTAGTCATGGCACAAGCCTCAAATAGTAACATAGAATGCAGCATTTTAGGGGCTTGATTATGTATTTGTGATAATTATCAACTGTAGTATTTAAAAATCTTTGGTGGTTTTATCACTTAAAATTTTACAGGCATTTATTGGTTTATTATTGGTTAATTTAATGTCAAATATAGACAAGATGTGGTTTCTGGAAACCTAGAAATTTGTTGTGTATTTCTCTTGTATTTGTGCTGTGCTTCAATGATTCAGAAATAATTTACTGTATACTTCACCAATAAGAAGTAATGAGGCTCTCAAAATGGGTGGCTGGCTAGCCTTTGGAGTCAGAGTCTGAAGTAATAGCTGTGGTAAACAGCTTTTCTAAAAGGATTTCAATAATCATGATTAGCTCATTAGAGTTATTGTGAGGAATATAAAGTTAGATAACATATGTGGAACACTTAGCAGGAAGTCTGACATAATAAGTGCTCACTAAGTGGTAATTTCTTTCTCTGTGCCTAGCTCTACTCTTTCCCTACAGGCTGTGTTTATTTTAGAAATAATTTTATTGTATTTTTAAATAATTTGGATTTATTTGATAAAATATTAAGTCATTAAATATTAGATGGTAGATTCTTAAATTGTTTTTAATTTTTAGAATTTAAATGACTTTGTTAATTAAGAGTTCCCTAATAACACATCTGCAAAACACTTCTTTTTTCTTGATCTACTGAACATATCTTGAGTTTTCGAGTTTGAATAAGCTCCATTTTTACTTTTCTACTTTCTCCTCATCCCAGCCTATCCATTGGTGGCAATTCTTTGTTCCTGTTTTTCAGTGAGAAATTGTATTTCACAAGGGCTCACTTAACACAATCAAAAAGATGATTTTTTAAAAATGAGGATGAAGAATTGAAGGTGAGAAGAATGCTGTTTCGTTATTCTGCTGAACTGAAAAGCTTCTACTCTGTTGTCCTTTCCAGTGATCTTCAGGAGCTCTTGAATCTCATACTGTTGTTTGGTTGGTTGCCATTGCAACTTCAGATATATATAACATTTAAATGTAAGACAGCATATTATTTTCAGTGTTTTCATATGTGACAGTAAAACAAGAGAAAGCCCAACAAATGTGGCTGATGTTTGAAAGGGATAGTTGTTGGACAGTCCACCTCAGTGAAGACAGATTTAGCTCTAGGTGCTTTAAAATGGACTGTTTTGCAAAGAGGATATCTGGAAAAACTGAATATGAATATACTGGTGCCAAACTTCAGGCAGTTATTCAGTGTTGTAAAGCAGGCTTTCCTTTGCTTGGGACATGCTTACCAATTAAAACAATTGCAGAAGTTGAAGAGATTTATAAAACTTCTCGTTTTTATAATCCTTCCAAATTTTGCGGCACGAGCTCAACTGCATCCAAGTGTGGCTTTTTGTATTAGTAGTTTGAGTTGGCCTAATAGTAACGACCAGTTTGTCTTTTTTTTTTTTTTTTTTTGAGACTGAGTCTCGCTCTGTCTCCCAGGCTGGAGTGCAGTGGTGTGATCTCAGTTCACTGCAACATCTGCCTCACGGGCTCAAACAATTCTTGCGCCTCAGCCTCTCAAGTAGCTAGGATTACAGGCGCCTGCCACCACGCCTGGCTAATTTTTGTATTTTTAGTAGAGACGAGGTTTCACCATGTCGGCCAGGCTGGTTTCGAACTCCTGACCTCAAGTGATCCACCTGCCTCAGCCTCCCAAAGTGCTGGGATTACAGGCGAGAGCCACGGCGTGCAGCTGACCAGTTTGTCTTTGAAATTTATGTGTTGCATACTACTTTTCCTCAGTGGGGATGTTTGCTTTTTTGTACTAAGAATGCCTAAAAGGTTCTTTTCTACTAAGTCCTTCTCTTAAACATTATGAATTTTAAAATAGTTCTCCCTCCCAAGAGGATTATCCTCTTGCCATTCATCTTTGGGAAATTTCTCCAGGAATATTTAGACATTAACTTAGAAGAGAATGTCATTAGTTGAAATTGCTGTTTTGACTTCCCTTAAATATGAGAACAAAAATTGAAGCTTGTCTAACCCTGGACCAACTCTGCAAAGTTGCCAATCAGTGCCTGTTTCTTCATTGATCTGCATTAACACAGTAGTAGGCAGCTGGCACTTCGAGTCAAGGAGCCTCTTTTTTTCTTTTCCTCCTCCTTTTTCCTTTTGTTTCTTTGAGATGATTCTCTTCCTTCTGAGGTGTGAGCCACTCCTGAGCCTTATTTCTCGAGAGTGAAATACCAAAACTCCAGCCAGAAAAGTGAGGACTGGTTGCATATGAGGAGGCAAATAGCAGGACCTCATAGTCACCAGAGCCTGTGGGCTATGACATGGCATCTTCATCACAAACCAATTCCAGATATGCAGAGGCTTCTTCCCTCCCTCATTTACCTGTTTTGTAGCCAAACTGGGTCTCTTGTGCTCTCCTTACCTACCTACCCAATGTAACTCCTGAGAGAAACTAGCATAGCCACAAAAGCAAGGGTGTTCATCCAGGAGATTGGAATCTGGAAAGACAATTTCTTATTTTCTGTGTAAAACTTAACCAGCATGCCATAATTTCACGATTGTTCCCTTGTCCATAGGCCAAAGGGGTAAATACATGTCAGCTGGTGTGGCAGCTTAGCTCCCTTGATGGTGCCTGCCAGGAGCATGGTTTTCAGACAGGTCACTGGGACAGTTGCTTTTCATTTCGTATTCCTACTTAGGTTTACCAGGAAGCTTTTGCAGGAGTTGGCTTTCTACTTTTTGAAAATTTGGGTGGGAAGGGGAGGATAAACTGTGGGTGAAGGGAGATGGGATTCAAAGAATGGGGACACAGACCTGAAAGTCTACAGAGATAACGCAGTTCATGTGGCTGTTTGTGAGTTGTGTCTCTTGTTCCTTGGCTTATAATAAACAGAAACAGTATTACTTATTATTTTTTTACCTTATTACATCAAAGTGAGCTCTTTTCAAACACTGCATTTGTTGGCGCTTCATAGGAGCAGTCATGGTGAGAACTGGGCCTCTGTGCACTGTGGTTCATTTCGGAGCTCTAGCATCCCCAGCCCCACCTTTTAAGACTCACTTGCAGTTTGTTTAGGTCCTTTCTTTATATGATGCCTCTGAGAGGGCACTTAAAAAAAAAGTTTTGTTTTTAATTTTAAAATTGGGGTGGTAAGTCCAAACCAAGATAGAGAATCTCCTTCACTTTACATAGATTAGGCCCAACACATACATTGTTTATTAGTGAAATTCTAGTGCATTGTATATTTTTAAAGTGATTTTCTTAATTGACCAATCATTGCTCTTTAGCCTCTTTATTTTGATATTTAGGTGATATGAAAACTCTTATGACTTACAAATGTGTCCAAAATCTTGCAAAATCTTTTATGTCATATTCTAAACCATGGAAGAGGAAATGGAAATGCTCCCCTCATTTCCCCTAATAAAGAAGCTGATCTCTCTTTACTCCTCAGTCCCCAGAAATATGTTGGAGGAGTGGTATCTCCACACGGCTATAGGCTTTCTTGACTTTCTTCCCTAGTTTAGAGGAACGTTTCATTTTCATTCTTACCCTTATCAGAGGTGCTGTAGAATAGGTAAGACTCTGGATAAAGAAGAAATTTGGAAGTTTGCTATGGATCTTGGAGTTTTTTACCTTGTGTATCCTGAAATGCTGTTAGAGAATCTCTTGTATTCAGGCTATTTGAGGACAGACTTAGCAAGATTACAGAATATTTTTCAGAGGAATGTATTTTTATTTTAAATCATAATGCATGCTGGAGGCCCCTTTAGCTAATAGAAAATTCTTTATTTATAATTAGTATGTCCAGTGAACAATGTGGAATAATAGCGTTTTGACTGGGATTGGGTTCTCAGATCTCTTTGGAGATGGGAAAATTAAATATCAAAGAAGAATTATTAACTGTACAGCAAGATCCCCACAGGGGAAATCTCAGAGCTGGCATGAGAACCTCGACCTCTAGATTCCAAGTCTTTCTTTTCTGCTATTATAAGTTGGCAGACTCCAACCTCTTCTTATATTGTAGCTAAATTTTATACTAATACGTTGCATAAGTTTTGATTTAAAAATAATGTTTTTTAAAATCTTACTCGTTCTGTCAGTTGCTTAATCTCTCCTCTTCCCTTTCCCTTTAAAATAAATAGCAAATTCAGTTTCAGCTCCCATTTTACTTATAATACTGGGACTTTTCACTCATAAATTAAATTTGATTAAAATTTATTAGCCAAATCAGTGATTTTACTTTGATTTAAAAGAATTATGGAATTTCGAAACAGAAGGAGATCATAGCAGTGATTCTATCCCACTTGCCAAATTTATGTGGTTGATGTGAATCTGTTAAACTAGCTGGGGGGAGGTGAGGTTCCTCTTACATGCTAGAGAAATAAAATATGAAGATAAAAAATAATTGGTGTAAGATTATCATATTTCATACTGCTTTTTCGGCTGTCATATTGTGTATAAAATAGGTTTCTAAGGTAGTGATGTTTTTAATGGTGGTTTAGAGTATAGCATAGGTTATATGACTTTGATTTTGTATTTTATTCATAAATATACAGAAACACTGGTTTGGTATACAAAGTGTCTGGTGTCTGGTATCTGGTGTCTGGTGTCTGGTATCACCTTCTCCCCCATACCCTTAGTAGCCTAACTTCCTCTATATTAACACTTTTTTTCCTTTTTATGAATAAATGAGCCCACTTTCAAAACAGGCACTTAAACTGTACATCTTTACAGTAGTGCAGTTTCCAGCTCTGTTGCAACATTGCCGTAGGCTTAAGAAAGTCTCTTCAGATAGTGGCAAAATAACTTTGGTTGTTTTTGTTTGTTTGTTTAGCTTTTCTACATAGCAAAAAAAAAATCTCAAAAAACACGCAATTCTTGTGTAGTTGATGAGTTGGCTGCCATCTTTTAGCATGAGAACTGTAACCTTCCTTGGAATAAGCAGATTTATAACTTCTTCTCCTACAAGTAATGAAAAATCAGACTGTGTCCATCTGAGGAACACTCTTTTATACTTTATGATCCTGAGTCTTGTAGGCTTTGTAAAACCATAGTGGTATAACCAAAAGAATGACAGATATATAACTTTTCTTTTGCTAAAACCTGAGTAAGAATTTTGAAAATGAAACAGGTTTCAAGTTAAGCAAATACGTTTACTCAGCATGGTCATGTATTCATTATAATAGAAATAGTTTGGGGCTGGATGCAGTGGCTCATGCCTGCAATCCCAACACTTTGGGAGGCCGAGGTGGGTGGATTCTTTGATCCTAGGAGTACGAGACCAGGCTGGGCAACATGGTGAAACCCCATCTCTACAAAAAAACAATACAAAAATTAGCCGGGTGCGGTGGTTCACACCTGTAGTCCCAGCTACTTGGGAGGCTAAATCAAAAGAATCACTTGAGCCCGGGAGGCAGAGGTTGCAGTGAGCCAAGATCAGGCCATTGTACTCCAGCCTGGGCAATGGGAGTGAAACCCTGTGTCAATAATAATAATAATAAATAATAATAGAAATAGCATGGCTATTATGTTGACTATAAAGTTTTCTCCTGTATTATATATTTGCTGTGCATTATTGTGCTATATTGCTTTTTAAAATGTCGTTTATTATATTGCTAGTTTTAATCTGTTTTTCTGGTAATACTGCTTTAATATAGTATACATTATAGTCATTACTATACTTTGTAGTCATTAATTTGACAAAAGTAAAAGTCACTAAACCTTTTCATTCTATACATGGTCATTAAAATATAACTTTATTCTAAGGAAAACATAGTATCTGTTACTTAAAGGAACACACAGACAAGAAAAAATAATTCTTTAAAAAATTTAGCATATGCAGCAGGGGGCACCAGATGAAGGCAAAAATGTACTCTTACATTTTGAATCAGCTACAGCCTGTATCCTCTTCATATATAAGCAGTGTGGTTGGTAGTTGTTTCTCCTTAGTTTTCCTAATGGTTTTAGTTTCTCAGCTCTAAAAGCTGTGTTGAAGAAGAGATTGATAACTCTTCCTCTTTTATTAATTCAAATGAAACTTCTTACAACCAACCAATTTAGTAATTACACAAATTTTTCTTAAACATTTACTATTTTGAGAGTTTCAAAAAGGGGAGTTAGACGCCACATTTAATAATTCTTTGGTTAGAACAAGGTATTAATATTGTGTGTAATACATTTTCTACAAAATATTTTTTCATTAAAGAATAAAAGGAAACCCCTGATGATTTAAAAGCCTAATTTTGTTTTGCTTTATATGTGAACTGAATGAATTTTAAATCTGGAATCCTGTTCCCTATTGCTAATAAATTGTTATGTAGACATTTGTTTCCAAAACGGCTTGTTTTTGATGTTGGTAACATCATTAAAAAGTTTTTTCTTTTAATTTCCTCTTCCCCATCATCCAGTCCAATATCAGATGGAAATGATGCGGAGCCTTCGCCATGTAAACATTGATCATCTTCACGTGGGCTGGTATCAGTCCACATACTATGGCTCATTCGTTACCCGGGCACTCCTGGACTCTCAGTTTAGTTACCAGCATGCCATTGAAGAATCTGTCGTTCTCATTTATGGTTAGTAGGAGGTTTATTATTCTTTTTTCCCTTAATATTATTACTACTATTTTTGCTTTCTGTCCTTTTTGCCTCTAAGAGCAGTCTGGCAGGCCTTCTCAAGTAAATACCAACCCTGTTTCTGCAGCAGCCTCAGCAGCAGCTCAGTCTAGACAGGGTTTCCTTCTTTCTGTTTATTTTTCTTGCTATCAGAGCCCTGATGTGTACATTTTGGAATGCTGGAGTAGCTGCTTCATTTCTATTCCTCCATCTCCCCTCCCTCATTGAAGGGGCTGGTGGAACTAGACCAGATGTCTAACAAACCCCGATTGCTAGAGTGTCTGGCTCTGTACGTGACTGACCAATCATAATACGGTGTGCCAAGTTTTTTTTATACCTCTGACAACAGCGTACAAAACCTGGACTGTTTCTTAGCACAAAGATTTTTTTCTTTTCGGCCTATTTAATGGTGTTTCCTCAAGCTCTCCAGACCAGATGTTCTGTGCTGTATCAGAACTGTAGGCAATTTAACAGCTTTATAGCCTTCCCCCTCCCCAAACACTCACAGTTTGCCATATCTGGCAGACTTGCATATAGTTTCCAGCTGAGAAGTAAATGTAACGTCCTGAGTATCTGTCAGAAAAAATACTAATGAATACGATCAATCTTATGAGCTGCCCCAAAATTGTTTCAGTATGTTAACAATTGGATTACAGTAAAGAACAAGTTGTTAAAGTATACTTATATTGGCTGGAAACATTGCATCATCAGACCTTGATGAATTTTCCACTTGTTT
The DNA here is from genome assembly GCF_000001405.40 of Homo sapiens. NCBI lineage: Eukaryota > Metazoa > Chordata > Mammalia > Primates > Hominidae > Homo > Homo sapiens. The sequence goes on along the minus strand of NC_000008.11, from coordinate 116,658,037 downwards.
CAATCTATTTTGGTTTTCATTTTATCACCTATTGCTAAAAGTTTCACTGTGTTAAGTTTCAGACAACATGAATGTTAACACAGGTTTTAGGCGAATATTGGCATGCCAGAGCCGTTATCATGCAGCAAGTGCTAAGCTCCCTTACTCATGGAGTGTTTCAGCGGTTAGCTTTGACAAAATTAGTTTCTCCAAAACCAGAAAGACACTTTTGTGATAGCAGTTTGACTTGAATGGTTTTGTTTTTACAATCTGTTTTAACGAAGAAATGTGAACAGTGATTATTAGGATTGATAAATTTTGTGTGCGGGGCTATTCATTTTAAGTTGAATGAGGAGCTACCCAAGTACATGCAGTGAATTTTCATGTTTAATATTTATCAGTGATTTCCTAATTATACAATATGTCTAGAACATATGATACATTTAATTTTCAGCAAGGTTACTAGTTCTTGCTGAGGAATGAATTTGAAAATAACTCTTTTGCATCTTTAGTTTTTGACAGAGGAAATTACTCTATTGTAAGTAGGATAGAGGTATTCCTGCATTTTCAAGTGCTATTTGCAATAGTGCTTTGAGTCTGCTTCAAGTTGTGTTCTGGTTGTTTATTTTGATCTTTATTTTGCAAAGATTGTGCGATATGTAACAGAATGTGCCTAGAACCAATGCCATTCAAGCCTGGCAGTGACAAAATTCTTAGTAATTTATTTCTCTTTCCTTGTTTGAGATCCCATAAAAACTGCCCAAGGATCTCTCTCACTAAAGGCATACAGACTGACTCCTAAACTGATGGAAGTTTGTAAAGAAAAGGATTTTTCCCCTGAAGCGTAAGTGTTTGGGGGCATCTGGTAAAGGGTTGGGTATTTTTCTGTTAAGATTTTTCTTTGCCACATCTCTTGAATCCTTGGTTGTGGTGTGGTAATGCTTTTGCCATGTGGACTGTAGAAGTTTTCTGCATGCCGAGTGCTGCTTGCTCTCTCCCTTTCCATGTTTAAATTATTCTTTAGGGAATATCTCATCTGTTGTTCTCACCAAGGGTGAATTCAGTTAGAATGGGAATTAATTAGCTACTGGATTCGAAGAAATAAATGATTGAATAAAGGGAGGTGGAAAGAGTGATCAGTGGCTGTCAGATTGTAAGCTCTGTGTCAGACTGGTTGTGAGCTGTGTGTCTTATTTTCCGAACCCTTGTTTAATGAGGGGGTGGGAAAGATATAAACATTTTAAGAATTTGGTAAAGAATGTGGCTTATTGGAAATTTTATGGGTGACAGTTATGCAGAGAATTAACTGATGGAGCTGTTTTGGGATCCTATTTAATGGCATTGTAATATTTACTTTAAATAAATTAAATACTTAGAATTCTTCCATTTTCTGTTAATTATAGAAATTTTTAGTTCTTATTGAATCAAAATTAATGGTTTTGACTTCATGTAGGACGGTTCTTCTCTAGTTTCCCATTTGGCTCCTAAAAAGTTAAGGTGCAGAGAATTTTAAAAGAAAAGCTAACTCATGAACAATTCCTGGATGTGGTGGTTATAACTAATCTATGAGAAACTGTGTTCTTGGCATGTTCTAACTATTGTATCTGGAGTCTCCTTGTGTTCTGCTACTTGTTAAACTCTAATTCAAGAGGCTTTTTAAATGAACTTTTCAAGAAATAGAGTATTTCTCATTTCTAGCTATTTTAAATTAAGTTGTAGGTGTAGGTTGTGTAGCATAACTTACTGTGACATTTACATTTTAGTATCAGTGAAATTTTAAAGATACCTGATAACAAAGAATGAGTAGTTTCTTCTGCCAAGAATCTCATTTTCTGGGCTTTAGCTCAAATTCGCATCATTTTCAAAGTTACTCAAATCACTCAACTTATGCTTGACTCTGTAAAACTCCAGTTTCTCTACTTTTTTTTTTTTTAAGAGTGCTAATGAAACAAAGATCTTGGATAGGGCCTGTAATTAGGTAAATTTTATGAAGTAGTCAGTTTAGCACTTACTTTTGACCATCAGACTAAAGTATTTTTAACATGCTTCACAGATTGAAAAAAGCAAATATCACCTTTGAGTACATGTTTGAAGAAGTGCCGATTGTAATTAAAAATTCACATCTGATCAATGTCCTAATGTGGGAACTTGAAAAGAAGTCAGCTGTTGCAGATAAACATGAATTGCTCAGCCTTGCCAGCAGGTAAGTGGCCCTGCCTAATGAAAAGCCCATGTTTTAGAACTTTTTGCAAAAGATTCTTTCACATAAACTTTACCTGTGAAACAAGAAAACAGTTACTTAAGAACGTTTATAGGTTCTTAAAACATGTATAACATGGAGTAATAGTCTGGCCCTGTTAGGATGTCAGGGAAAAACGCCAAACTGATAACATGAAACAACACATTATTTGAATACTAATTGCTCATATTAGAAGAACCCTCTGCTGCCTTCTTTGCTGTATCATTTGTGCTTTGATAAGGTCAGTGCCCAAGAGGGAGGGCTTTTTTATATGGCTCAGCTTTATTTCTTGTACACGATCCTAAGAGGCTTAGGGTATTAGGTCTGGATATTTAATAATGCTCAGGAAAAGAACAGAAATGCTTTTTTCTTTTACTGGTTGTACTTACCCTTGTTCAGATGCAGACTCTTGCAGTTGTAAAATTACAGTTGTTTGAGTTTTCAACTAAAATTTGAATTTTCTGAACCTGACATTGGCTTCACCTATTTTAGTTGGTGATAACGATTTCCTCCACCGTGACTGCCTTAGCTATCTAGTTGCTGAGATAATGTTTATTATATTTGTAAAATGCAGATTGAGGTTTCCAAAAGGAAGTATTGTTCCCTTTGTTAAATTAATGTTTATTTCCCCCTCATCTATTACTCTTAACAGAAATGTGAATAGAGCCACATGTATAGCTCCTCTTAAATGCCCTTTGAGCGTTATGTTAGTGATTATTTTGTCTGTGGTGGAAGGAGGCTAGCAGCAGACTTGTGGAATGAAATTAAATGGTCAGAGTAGGTAAAGAATCAATATATGCTTGTTGGCTGAAAGAAACAAGGTGTGTTTTCTTAAGCAACCAGTTTGGAGCAGACTAAATTATTTATCAGATTTCTAGTTATCTTAGATAGAGACTTGTTAAAAAAAAAAAAGTGTACAGACTTTGTACTTCCTCGATATAAGGCAAGTGGGATGAACCCAGAAGGGCCAGAGACATCAATGTTCTTCTCTATGCTCTGGCACGGGTAGGACTGTGGTTGAAGCGCCGCCTTCCATTGCGTTAATTGATCACAAAGGCCACTAGAAAGTCTTAACGGGGCAGGGAGATGGACGATGAATGTAAATGGAGTGCTCAGTAACACAGCCAGGTTGCAAGGCTAATTTGGCACCAAAAAGCATACTGTTTGACTGCAAACATATATTCATAATAGTCCTTTAATTTGTCTGTTTTAGAAGGTCATATTTTTCTTTATTGCTTTTACAAACACATTGGGCACACCTGTATTTAAAGCATTTAGCTAAGAACCTTTTTCAGCATACAAGGTTACAATTTGATGTATTAAGTATATAGTTATATAATACTTTTAAATTTACTGCATGAAAGCTTTTGCTTACATAATTCATGTCTTCACCTTTTCCCAGGCTGCCTTTATTGAGCATACAAAAGAAATACATCCCTGATGGTGCTTTAACATTACCAATGAGCTGGTCTATAATGTCCATTTGTCCAAAGCAGCATTTATAATAGCCAAGAAAATGTTCTCAGTTTGCCCTAGCAACTGAGACCTAGACAAATATTTTATTATAGTTTTTGTCTTCTGTATTTTTACGTAAATGAGGAAAAAGAGGTCCCATTTCTTTGCTTTCCATATGAAGTTATTTAAAGTGTAAATTGGTGTTCCTGTTAGGAGGAAAAAAAATGAAGCAACTTTGAAGCAGTGCTTTTTTGCTAGTAGACACTTACATTGAACCAAATCGACCATACTATTTTAAAAGACAGAAAGATAAGTTTTGTACATCTCAATTTTTAATTTCTGACAGTAATTGTGTGATGATGGCTCAGGCCAGTTGCCATAAAAGTTTGTATAAGAAACCCCATCAGAAATAATTCTTATGCAGGTGCTTAAACTTGGTCTTTCCTTTCACAGCCTATAGACATGGGCACCAGTTTCTTTGATGTGCCTGATAAGTTTGTTCTCTGCGACGACTAAAACATACTGTATTTGCTTTTGTTGAAAAATTCAAATTTTTTTATTTTAATTTTATTAGATGGAAGTTCTAGTAATAGTTATTCCATAACAGCCTTTATTAGTTTTTAAAAATGTGTATCACAGGCGTTCAGCTTTTCACACATGTAAAACAATTCTGTTTTTATTTCCTCTTTTAAAAAAAGTAAACTAAGGGTGGGCATCATACATTAAGGATTATAAGCATAAATTGATACTGTAGCCAGAGCAGACTTAACACTTCATGTCCTGGTTCACATCTGTTTATCTGTTTTCAGTTCTTTATTTGCTTGGCAATAAAAGAAAAGGCAATGTTACTGAAACTCCTAACAATAAGTCCCTGTTTCAGCATCCTAGTTAAACTGGTACTGAAAAGATTCCCACAAAATTGGTCTTGGTAGTGGTCTGATTTTCTGTCATTGTTAATTTCTGATGCCCTTTTAAGGCCTGTAGTACACAGATTGTGTGTGTGTGTGTGTGTGTGTTTCTGATTGTTTTTTTTCTGAAGAGCATTATCATAATATAAAAGTTATGAAATGCTTAAAGTCCACATATTTGTGCTTGTAGCAGTGTTCTTTCACAATAACTTCATATACTTGCAGCAGATAATATTAGTACTTTATATTAAAGACTTTTCTGGTAGAAACAGTGGGTCTGTTTTAGTAGTGCCTTTCTCATTACTGTAAACAACCTCCAAGATTTAAGGTCTAGGTGTATTTTCTCTGCATATGGCAGTACCTCTCCTGTGCTGTTATTTTTTCCCTACTGTCACTGCTTTCCCCTTAACCTCCCAGCCACAGCATTGGTGATGATCTTTTCTTTCTCTGATTTCCTTTTGCAATTAATGACATAAATGACTTAACAACTAATCATGTAGCTAACGACATTTCCTATACTTAGTATAGCCCTTTGGGCTTCAGGTTGCTCACTGGTAAAAATGAAAGGATCAGAAACCTGAAGCTAGTGCCTCCTGTCTTCTTGCCTTCTCAGGACCTCATTAGGTTGATCTACTCCTTCCTTCTTCATAGATTTTCAGTTTCTTTCTATACTAGTTTTTTTTTTTCAATCTTTATAGGCTCATTTTTCCAATTAAAAATTTATGTTTAAATTTTCAACTCTTTAGACAATTTGAAAGAAAAATACAGTGAACATCCATCCATAAACCTTTCATTTAGATTCACCAATTGTATATCATGCCACATTTGCACTCTATCTACGTACGTAAACACTTTTTCTTTCTGAACCATCTGAAAGTAAATTGTAGACATGACTTTTAACCCCTAAATACTTCTAAAATGCGTGCATCTCCTAAAAACAAAGACATTTAAACTTGTTTACATCCCCCCATCTCAAAAGAAAAACTTATGAAAAGAATACCTTTTAATCTCATGCCTTTAGTATCCATCTCCTTTTGTCTTCTGCTAAATTTTTCTATTTGTTTCATAATCAAACTTCTCGATAGAATTTTGATGTCACTGTTTCCTCATTTCCCACTGATTTCCCAGTGATTGTCAACAGTTTGTGGTGTTCCACCCATTATATGTAGTAAGACCTCCCTCCAAAGTCACAGAAGACTTTGATGTCACTATGTCACTGAGTATTTTAGACTCTTCAGCATGTAATATGTTGATAAGGCCTTCTTCCTGAGATCCTTTCCTAGGAGCCTGTGAAACTATAGCTCTTCTGGGTTTCCTCTCATTCTCCACAGTGAACCCCCTCTTGTGCTCATCTCTGTCCGTGTTCCTCAGGGTCTGTCTTCTCACACATGTACTCGTGGGGCGATTTTGTCTTACTCCTGTGACTTACTGCCTTAGTCTAGGACCTTATTTCTCTTCCTCATTACTTTCACAGCTTCCTCACTTCCTGTTTTTTGACCTTTTCCTCTTTCAAAATTGTAATGATCTTGCTAAATGCAAATTAGATGCTCATATTACTCCTTTGCTTAAAATCTTTAGCTGGTTTCCCACTGTCCTTAGGACAGATTCCAGACTTGTAGTATGTTTTTAAGTCATTGCACTTTGACCGTTGTCTGCCTCTCTTTTCCTCAGTCTTGCCCAATTCTAATACTTAAGTCGGAGTGAATTTAAATCAACTATTTAGAAATTAGGGTAAAACAGAAGCAAATACATTGTATCCAGAGAAGAAGAAATGTTTTGAAGTTAAAAGTGATTTAAAAAATTACAACACAACAAAATAAATATGAAAGAAGCACTTGATTCCTCAGCAGGTGAAGTCATCAGACCATGTTACTGGACCAAGGTTATCTAGGTAGTGCCAGGCTGGGATTAAAAGATAAATTTACTCACATACACCTTAGTTCTATGCTCCTTCCATTATTTGAGAAAGAGCCAAAACTTCCTGATTTTCTTGAGGTTACTGATAGAATCCATATTTTAGTTGGATTTATTTTTATTCATTCTCAATATTCCCAACCTGTTTCCTTCTCAGTCTTTCCCTTCTCTGTAAATGTAGTAACCAGCTGCCAGAAGACTGGGAGTCACCCTCCATTCCTCTCTGATGCCTCCTATCAAATAAAGATTGCCTGCTCTGCCTCCAGAATCTCTCTCATTTCTGCTCACTTTTCTCTATGCTCTGCCACCATCCTAGTTCAAGTCACCACAATTTCTCTCTGTAATATCACGATAGATTATTTGCTGGAGGTGCAGTTTTTAATATAGAGAAAAAATTGACCATTTAAACCCTTTTCAGATGTACACTTTAGTCATTTTTAGTATATTCACAATGTTTTACAACCATTACTAGCTCTAGAACATTCTCATCACCCTGAACGGGAACCCAAACCCATTAAGCTGTCATTCCTATTCCCCTAACCCCTGGCAGCCTCTAGTCACTTTCTATCTCTACAGATTTGCCTATTCTGGATATTTTATAAAATGGAGTCCTGGCCAGGAACAGTGGCTCATGGCTGTAATCCCAACACTTTGGGAAGCCGAGGTGGGAGGATCTCTTGAGGTCAGGAGTTCTGGCAAAACCCTGTCTCTATTGAAAATACAAAAAATCCAGCCAGGTGTGGTGGCGCATGCCTGTAGTCCCAGCTACTCGAGAGGCTGAGGCACAAGAATTGCTTGAACCCGGGAGGTGGAGGTCGCCCCACTGCACCAGCCTGGATGATGAGTGAAACTCTGTCTCAAAAAAAAGAAAAGAGTCCTACAATAAGCAGCCTTTTGTGTCTACCTTCTTTCCCTTAGCAAATGTTTTCAAGGTTCATCCATGTTGTGGGGTATATCAGAACTTTATTCATGTTTAAGGCCAAATAACATTCTACTGTATGGATATATAATATTTTATTTATCTATTCATCATTTGATGGAATTTTAGATTGTTTTTAGTTTTTGGCTATTAAGAATAATGTAGCTATTAACATACATGTATGAGTTTTTGTGTGAGTATATATTTTTAATTCCCTAGGGTATAAACATATTCATAGGGTATATTCATAAGAGTGGAATTGCTGGGTTATATGGTAATTTGGTTTAGCTTTTTGAGGAACCACCAAACTGTTTTCCACAGCAGCTGTATCACTTTACCTTCCCTCCCAGTGTATGAGTGTTTTCATTTTTCCACATCCTCGCCAACACCCCACAGTAGACTTTTAACTAACCTCCTGGTTTCTCCTCTCCAGTCTATTTGCATAGCAGCAGAATGATCATTTTAAAATTTAAGCAAAATGTGTCATAAACATGCACAACTCCAGGATATCATTCACATTGCAGTTGTGAGGTCTCATTCACAACAAACTACATTGCTGGGGAGTTGTATGGTGCTAGTGAGCTTCCTACATGTGCTTGTCTGGTCTGCCTGACCTAATCCCTGTGCTCTAGCCATGCCAGGCCTCTTGTGTCATCAAATCTGCCTAATTCTTGCCCATCTCAGGCATTCAGTACTTGTATTTTCTTTTGCCTACAATATTTTTGGCATAGCTGACTCATCTTTCACTTTCAGTCTGTCATCTCCTCAAAGAGATACTCTGATCATGCTATCTAAAGTAAGTGTCTCTTCACCTCCCCCTTCTCTTTCTCCTCCATCCCTAATCAGTTATAAGATCAATGAAGATATAGAACATGTATGTCTTATTCACTGTTGTCTCCCTGTTTTCTAGTACTAAGGCTGGCACATAATAGGAGTTTAGTAAATACCTGTTTGCAGTTAATGAATGGGTACTACTCTTTAGAAGCTTGCTATTTTAAAAATATATATATGTATAGTAGCTGTCCAGGCGTTACCATGGTAGGAGATAAGTTGCAGGCAGAAATCAGTGAATATGGTGGTCATTGTGCCAGTCATTACATCACTTTATAAAGCGATGTTGGTAACTGAGCTGCAATAGAAATTTCGGGAGAGAATAAGAAATATGAAAGACTGTACTACAGATTCTAGGAAAGGTAAGAGGAAAGGAGCCTCTTCATCATGTTTTGTAGAATAAATGTTACCATTGTTCATTTAAAACCTAGATAGAGAAATCATGTGCCAGATGTCATAATCTGTGTGGTTCTTTCCTGTGATTACTGATAAAAATGTTATGGAATGCATTTGGGCAGGAGTAAGTTAATGAAAAGAATTTGGGAATACTGAACTTGGTATAAAAAATATGTATTATAGATGTCTCACTAGGTATGTTTAACAGTTCCTACCCTAACATACCTGTGCTCTCACAATAAGAAACTCAGCTATTTCAGGTATCCCTGAGATTATAGTTGGAAGTTCGGTATGGAAAGTTTAGTAACAAGTTGACTCAGATTTTTTCCTCTGCTCTTGCTTTTATGCATATGTGTGCTCTCATTCTTTTAGCAAAAGCCAGTTCAAGTTCATATCTTAAAACTGTTTAGAGCAGTAGCAAAGCTATAATTTAAAGTAAGACTTGTCAGTATATTTACTTTACATTTCAGCAATCATTTGGGGAAGAATCTACAGTTGCTGATGGACAGAGTGGATGAAATGAGCCAAGATATAGTTAAATACAACACATACATGAGGAATACTAGTAAACAACAGCAGCAGAAACATCAGGTTGGTATTGTGGAAAAATTCAACAAACAGCTATTTCTAAGTTTCATGTATTTCAAGAGTCATGTTCAAAATGACCTAAATTATCTTTGGTAAATTATTGACCGTTAGCTACTCTATATTATATTTTTAAAAGATTATTATTTTTATGGCATGTTTGTAACATATTATTTACAGGTTATACTTAAAAATACCTGTGTTAAAGAGAGCTGTTAAGCTCAGATTGTAATGCCAAGGTTATGCAAATAAGAGATACATTTATTGAGAAAATCAGAAGCAAAGAGATTCCAGAATGTCACAGCTCATTTCTTTACTAACTATAATTGGTTTGGCAGTGGCTCATTGTGGCATAGTTAGCAATCTTCAGTTCATTTAAAAAACGGAGCAATTGTGATTAAGAGCAAGCAATGTTGATAGGAAATAATAGACCAACTGCTGTGAAGTAGATAGTATAATACAGACAAAAACCCTAGAATTATCCGAATATTCTCATATGCACACATCTACGGCTGTGACCATATAACCTTTTCTTTATTCATGTTGCCTGCAGGCCACATGGTTTTCACAGTTCCTGGAATATTGTATTTGGACTATACTGCTCTAAAGTGTTCTTAGCATTTGATTCATAGATTAGTTGATTCCAGAATGTTTATCTGTGAAAGTAGTATTTATATATGACTACTCTGTTCATTAAAATGTACTTTAAACAGAGCTTTGTTAAATATAGAATTCTAAGCACAACTGAGTGGTTTCTAAGAATGTTGTATTTAAATTTTCTCTTAATATCAGAGTTCATTTTCAGTATATAGTGAAATTTAAAGTACTTTGTTTCTACCAGCTTAGAATTGAGAAAACATATGTAAATCAGTATTTTTTTTTTTTAACTAAAAAGATGGGAGTGGTTACAAATGTCTGATAAACTGAGGGGGAAAAAAGTCATCTCAGCTGGATTTCATTTTCATGCTGGTTTTTCCTGTAGGTGAAGGACTCATCCAGGGTATCAAATTGAATATTTGTTTCCTATGAGTACCCCATAATGAATACAGGAATCTTTACAAAGCAAGTTACGTTCCTTCACTAGAAAGAATTGTTGTTTCCCTTGATTTTCTTAGGAATCCAAAGACTAAATTTTTACTAGCCCAGCTTGGTTTCTCATTACCTGACATTTTAAGGTTGTGTATGGGATATTACGTGCTTCACTGTTGGGAGCAGTCATAGCTGTTAGCTCTTATTGTAGTTGATCTATAAGTTTATAGTTAAAGTTTATATATATCCCTGCTTTCTCTTCAGCGAATCATAGGAATCCAGAGTTTGAAAGTATTTGAAGCATTATCTGAGCTATTAATATTATCCATCTTTAGTTATAGAGCTAAGGTACAGACAATTATCTGTTAAGAATAGTAACAATAGGCCAGGAGTGGTGGCTCTCGCCTGTAATCCCAGCACTTGGGGAGGCCGAGGCGGGTGGATCACGAGGTCAGGGGTTTGAGACCAGCCTGGCCAACGTGGTAAAATCCTGTCTGTACTAAAAATACAAAAATTAGCCGGGTGTGGTGGTGGGCGCCTGTAACCCCAACTACTCGGGAGGCTGAGGCAGGAGAATTGCTTGAACTGGGGAGGCGGGGAGGCGGAGAGGCGGAGGCTGCAGTGAGCCAAGATTGTGCCACTGCACTCCAGCCTGGGTGACAGAATGAGACTCTGTGTCAAAAAAAAGAAAAGAAAAGAAAAAAAGCCGTAACAGTAGTGAACATAGCAGTAATAACATCATCTGTATTGTTATTTTAGGTCAATAGGAGTAAAGGTGAAAGAATTTCCAGTGTGGTAGTTCATTACTTAGTCATTAAAATTAGGATGAATCATTTATTACCTCATTGTCATGAATGGTAAAGGAACTCCCTTTACCTTACTAGTCATGAGCTTCTTTCCCTTTAAGCCCCCTGTTACTTACATAACTAGTTTTGTTTTCTGAATCATTAGTTATAGACTCTTAGAGCTAGAGTGACACTAGAGTTTTCAACAAAGGAATTTTCTTCTGCTATTGGCGTATTTAGCTTCTTAGACGCAAGTTACCAAATGTTGCCAATGATAAAAACTGAGGTTGGAATTCAGAGCAGTGGGGTTCTGCTGGTTGTGTAGGGGAAGGACATCTTTTTTTCCTCCTCAGATGGAGAAAAATAACCAAACCATTTTCCCTTTGAATTTTAGTATCAGCAGCGTCGCCAGCAGGAGAATATGCAGCGCCAGAGCCGAGGAGAACCCCCGCTCCCTGAGGAGGACCTGTCCAAACTCTTCAAACCACCACAGCCGCCTGCCAGGATGGACTCGCTGCTCATTGCAGGTATTGTTGCCCAGTGCAAAACCTGGCTGGTTTTGTTCGTTTCTTAGGAAGCAGAAGACAGTGAGAAATTTACAAACAGAAAAGCATGCCGTAAAAGCTAGTATGTTTGAAATAGTTGCAGGATGAATTTGAATCTAGCACCTGTAATATCTGAAATCTAAGAACTTGTAAGAGTTTGTTCTTTTGTCCAGGTCCTTTCAGTGCTTCACTCTGTGTTTCTAAACATTTTTGAGATGGCATAAACTTTCTAAAATGAGTCCTTTTTCATGGAAACCCAGAAAAATTGTTTACAGTCTTAATGCAGAAGACCACTTAGCTCAGGCCTCTTACTCTTCCTTTTCCAGCACAGCACTGTACAGTGGGTACTTGACTTGAATTTAGGAAATTATTTCCCTTACTTGGACTTAAATTGTGGCAGCACAAATGTATTTCCGGATAAACTTTTTCTGGTTATACTTAATGTTTAATACCACCTTTAAGCAGGAGAGGTCCTGTGTCCTGTACTAGGACTTGATTTTGAATATATGACATTCATGCCCTTATTTGGCTATAATCTTATAGAAATGTTAAATGCCATCTGATTCAGTCAGATCCTTACCTGTGAGAAGATTTTATCAAAGTGAAAATCCTACTCAAAAGCTGATTGGCAATTTCTCAAATTATATTGATACATTTGTAATGTGGGAGGAAATTCCAAATTCCTTAACATTTTCTAGTGTACATACAAATTAAATTTGGAAATGAGACACAATTCCTTCCCAAAGGTCCAATTCAAACAGAATTGAGATCCTTATATTTTGAAGAAGTATGTAACTGATGTAACTGTTGCATGGGATTAGATCATTAAAGACATAAAAAGCAATGATGGAGCCCTTTCTTCAAGTGAACTCTTTACTCTTACTCTGTCTGGCTCGTAGGAGAAAACTCCTTAACGTTCCCAAAGCACAAACTGAAAACCTACCGTACTTGTTCACATCTGGGTCCAGTGGGTCTGGCTGGTTTGCAGCTCTGTGATTTATTGTTAGTATCTCCTTTCTACCTGTGAAGGCTAGTCAGCGCTGTTTTCTCAGTTGTACAGCATTGGTTTGATCTATTTAGTCAGTCCTTTTGACTGACAGCTATTATGTCCTTAGGGCTGATAAGCTTTTGAGGAGTAGTTTTTCTTTATTCTCCATGTAATTGAGAGTGGACAGTAGCTTATTTTCAAAAGAACTTGTATTTCTTATCCCTTATGGAAAAATAAACTCTGGATTCAAAACAATAAACAGGTGATTCTGTTTTATGCTGATTTTTCTGTTTGACTAGCTTTCTGGATCATTTTACAATTTGTGGAACATTATGGCTCTATCTCTTTCTCAAATGCACAGGCCAGATAAACACTTACTGCCAGAACATCAAGGAGTTCACTGCCCAAAACTTAGGCAAGCTCTTCATGGCCCAGGCTCTTCAAGAATACAACAACTAAGAAAAGGAAGTTTCCAGAAAAGAAGTTAACATGAACTCTTGAAGTCACACCAGGGCAACTCTTGGAAGAAATATATTTGCATATTGAAAAGCACAGAGGATTTCTTTAGTGTCATTGCCGATTTTGGCTATAACAGTGTCTTTCTAGCCATAATAAAATAAAACAAAATCTTGACTGCTTGCTCATTTGATTTTAGATGTATTTTCTCTGGCTTACTTTTGTTTGCTTATACTTGTTTATTTCTAAAAGCTAAAACAAGCCCTGACCGGAAGTTTCACCAGGCAGAAACCTATAGGCTCCACCACTTTTGCTGCCTCTCAGGTGCCACCTTTCAACCCACTTCTCCCAACTACTTATCCCAGCTCCTGACCCCGAGGCCCTGGCATCTACTGTGAATATTTTTTTTTTGAATTTTTATACTTCGCTGCTCCCAAATGAGCACCCCGAGAGAAGTCCAGGCTTCATGTACTTGCCCAGGAATTCCTTGTCCCCGGACCCGGAATCACTTGGCCTAATTCCGGTCAGTCTGCCTTTTCATTTCTGCAGGTGATGGTCAACCAGTCCCCGTACTCATAGGCCATGGGACACAAGATTATTATTATCATCATTATTTTTAAAGACAGAGTCTCACTTTGTTGCCCAGGCTGGAGTGTAGTGGCACAATCTCAGCTCGCTGCAACCTCCACCTTCTGAGTTCAAGCGATTCTCCCACCTCAGCCTCCCAAGTAGCTGGGACTACAGGCGTGTGCCATCACGCCTGGCTAATTTTTGTATTTTTAGTAGAGATGGGGTTTCACCATGTTGGCCAGGCTGGTCTGCATCTCCTGACCTCAAGTGATTCACCTGCTTCTGTCTCCCAAAGTGCTGGGAATACAGGCATGAGCCACCACTCCTGGACAGGCCACAGAAATTTTAAAGAAAAGAATCATGCCACCACAAGTAAACTTCATTTTGTTTATATTATTTAGGACTTCACATTTGTCTTCCGAAACCATGAAGTATAATTCTGCTAACAGCAAGTGTTGTGAATGAGGAATTAGGAATTAGGAGAATGGTAGTACATTGGGAAAAACATATTTTAGTAATTTTTATATTTTAAAGATAATCACAGATTTTGCTGTTTGTGCATCACCAAAATCAGTGAGATCTGCCAGCTGGTGGGGGTGTGCCTATGAGAATTTTTGATTATGATCCCCTAGGAGGGTTATCAAAAAAGGAGATGGGTGAAAGATCAGGAGAGTCGAGAAATTCATTTTTTGGACAACATTGTTTTGAAGGCACTACTGGGGCTCTGGGATCAGGCAGCCAGATTGAAACCTGGCTCCTCCTTTTCCTAAGTTATTTAACCTCCCTGTGCCTCACTTTTTGTCAACCAGATAAGATAAGAAATGAGAGCAGGTCTGTTACCTCACAAGGTGGCTGTGAGTGTTGAAGACGTTTGTTGGGGGTTTGGGTGAAGCATGCAAACTCTGGTTGGTATGTGGCAGCCACTCAGCCTGTATTTATGATGAGGGAGGCATTCTAGGCACCCCTTCCAGGATGTTGGGTTGTTGGCTGGGTTTTACTTTAAAAAGCTCAGGGCCTAGAACATTCTAGAATCCAAGTACTTGCTCACATATATAATTATTTCTTTAGGATAATCTTTGATATAGACTTACGAGTCAAAGGGTATGTAAAATGTCAGCCCTTTTACCTGTATTGCCAAATTGCCTTCAAAAGTTTCTGCTGTTTTGCCCTCCTACCCATAGTGATAACCTTAAATTGGAGTCAACACAAATTTGAGTGTGACTGTGTTAGACAGAAGGGATATATTAACAGGTAAAACTGGCCATGGCCCCTGCCCTTGTGGAGTATATGCTCTGTTGGTTCATTTCCTCTGCATTCTAATTTTCTAGACTTGGGATCTTATTGTGGAGTTAAACAAAGCACCCTTAAAGTAGCAAGCGAGCAAAATAAAAGCAAGGAAAATCAGTTGGAACATAACTTATGTATTTTTTAGGATTAAGAGTAATTTAACTGAGTCAATTCAATATGTTTTTAAAGGTGTGATTCTTAAATTCTTTATGATTGTTTAGATTTCTATATCTTGGTAACATGAATACACACTTAATGAAAGATTTCAGTAATTTTTGATTTGGGAATTAATCATAGTGGGAAAAACTGTTTAGGAAAACATGTCAGTGGAAATTAACTCGCCACAGTATGTAGTGTTAGGGAATAGCTTCTGTTCGGCATTTGATTTGAGTGCTGTATTCTGACATTTTTCAGGAACAAATACATGTGATTCATCTTCTATAAATATTTGCAGTTTCTTCAAGTTGAAATGAGAAAAGCTCGTAAATTGAGCACCAGGTCTAATAAATCATTCACTTACCCAAGAACAGAAAGACAGGAAAAGCTAGCATGTTAATCTAATGAAAAAATCGAATGTTAAAAAACCAAGAAAGTAGAAGATATTTGACATTAACTTTCTAATCATTGATAATAATCTAATAATCATAACATTATTCTTAAAACCTGAAAGAATGGATTCCTGCTCCCAATGTGTTTTTAATATCAACTTAAACTAAAATAATTTTTTTACCTATTTTTGGAAGCTTGGAAATTGAGATGTAGTTGTCTAATGTTAACCTAATTAAGAGAGCTTGGTGTGATTTCTCATATACAGCATCTAAATATTTAAGTTTTAATGTCTTCTAAAATATTATTACATTCTTCATACTATAGTTTTTTAACATCCTTTAGAAAACTTGTATCAGCTTCACTTTCAAACCATGCTGGCATCGAACTCAGGTGTAGTGGTATCAGAATGTTATGAAATAATTTTTTATTTTCATTATAAACTCCATTTTTACAATAAACACTTCTCAACCAAATTAAGTATGTAATACACTGTCATTTTAAAAAAAAATCTCACTGGGCATCTTTTTCTATGCTAGCTCTGTATTTTTAAAAATTCTCTCTTTTTTTTTTCTAATTTAAGAAGTATTTATCAGATACCTACTATGTCAAGCACTCTTGATGTTCCAAAGCAGACAGGACACAGATTCTGCCTCTGAGCTTATTAATCAGCATATGACCCAAGAAGGGAACATGAAGTCCTACAAGCTGATAGAGTATGAAGTCATAAGTGCCTTGGAGAGTGCTTTGGGCCATGTTAACAGAGGATCCTTCTGCAATTGGGTTGTACAGAAGGGGTGACAGTGGTTAATAGTCATTGTGGTAAAAGGATAAAGATCTGAGTCTATTATTGAAAAGTGGTGACTCCCAAGTTGGAGTCAGAACCTCTTTGGATGGATTGGAAGAGGGGTTCATTTGACTCCAAATTACTGGAGACAGGGAGTGAGAAATAGGAAGCCAGAACTATTGGGAAATTACAGTTTGCTGGAGCAAACTGCTGTGGCCTAGTACTTACTGCCTTGAGACTTCATTTTATATAAATAGACACTTCCCTATAATGCACCTTGAGCCTGTTTGGCTCCACAGCTACTGGCAGAACCTGAAATGGCTTTGCATAAGCCTCAATGGTGATTTTAGGGATATAGTCCGGGTATGCAAGGAATGGTTTCCAAGTGCTATACCCCTGCTCCAATGTGGGGAGTTTGGGCCATTCTGTAGGAGTTCGGTGTTTCCCAGACATTTCTTTGTCTGAGTACTTGCATTCTTATTCTTACAGGCTGTTAAGCCCTCGCGTAGTTGCCATGTGATGAGTTTATTAAAGTCAAAATTTGATTTCTACACCATAGAATACCACTCTGCCATAAAAAAGAATGAAATAATGACTTTTACAACAACTCGGATGGATCTGGAGGCCATTATTCTAAGTGAAGCTGTGGGCACACAGAGTATAATGAACTTTGGAGACTCAGAAGGGAAGAGAGTAAGAGGGGCATGAGGGATAAAAACTGAATATTGGGTATAATGTACACTACTCAGGTGAAGGATGCACTAAGATGTCAGACTTCACTATACAGATTATCCATGTCACTAAAAACCCCTTGTACCCCCAAAAGCTATTGACATTTTTTTTTAAAGGCTAGCCTGGGTAGCATAGTGAAGACTCCATCTCTATACTTTTTTTTTTTTTTTTGAGAAAGAGTCTCACTCGGTCACCCAGGCTGGAGTGTAGTGGGCACAATTACCGCTCACTGCAGCCTCAACCTCCCGGGCTCAGGTGATCCACCTCTGCCTCCCGAATAGCTGGAACCCTAGGCACATACCATCACACCTGGCTAATTTTTTTTGTAGAAACGGAGTTTAGCCTTGTTGTCCTGGCTGGTTTGGCTCCTGTCTTGGCTTCCTAAGGAGCTGGGATTACAGATGTGAGCCACTGCACCTGTCCTTAAAAAATGTTTGATTCCATGAGATTAGATGTTGAGGCCATTTGCATTTTTTTATGAGTTAGGCAACCAATTTTCAATCTTCATTGACTCAATGGCAAGCAGTCTGCTACAGATTGAATACATCCTCAGAGTCTTACTAACTTGAGTATTCCCTGGAACCATCATGAGTTGAGAGGATAGGAGATGGAGTGCTGAATTCATGCTTATTCTAGGACTTGCTTGAAGTCTTTTTAATAGGATTCAGGTACATGTTTGCTTGCTTTTCCTGAGCATTCTCCACCCTCTCCACCCACCTAACCCCCAAAATAGGTCTCATTGTCTGATGTTGTCTTGTAAAGAAAATATATTCTTCTTTAATCCACAGATTACTGTTTTTACATTTGAACAAAAGTGAAGGACTGTGCCACTTCTTCCTCAGACCCTTAACAATGCAGAATGGCCAATTTCCAAGTGTCCTTGTTTAAAGTTTATTGCAGCAGGAAAATACTACTTCTGGCATTTATGTCAACCTCAAGACAAACTCAGGTGTCACTTTTATTTCCTTGAGTAATATTTTATTTCATTGACCCTTCTTCAGGGCACAGCCATTTCTGGCATCTTCCATCTTCCTTTGTGGACATGGAAGCAAAGGATTTGTTTAACTTTCAGCAGTGTTTACCGTTTCTGACAGTAAATGGTCCTTGCCGTCTCTTCTTGGACTGTAGTCTCTCTTGCCAGTGTCTTAACTATGTGTGTATTGGAAACAGTTCTTATTTTGTCAAATCCCCTGGGTGATCTTTCTCTACCTTTGTTTATCTTGTCATTTGGCTTTCACTTACTTAACTCATTCCTAATTTCAATCTGCCTATGATTCTTTAGTGTTGATTCTTGACCTCCATTTTGAGGTTTTAAAATTGCATTTTATTTATTAAAACAGTCACAGATTTTAATTTTTCCATGATATAATCATGCATCTCTGAATGTCATAATTCTCCAGTCAGGCAAGCAAGTGTCCCAATAACCTCATCTCCTAGATCACAATGGAGAAGGTCTATTTTTCCTTTTGATGCATGCAGCTCCCATTATTGCTAATGAAAGGTCTTCATGTGCATTAAGGGGAAACTAGACCTCTAATGAGATACAGAGAGGAATTGCAGCTGATGATTTCCACTTCTAGCCCACTGTACTATAACAAATGCATACTCAGGAGGCAATGGGCCAAAGAAACCAAAATGCATGTGCTGCTTATATAAAATATCTTGCCTAGTCTTAATGTAGGTATTGTTTTGGCTTGTAGTGTCTGATGTTCCATACCTGCTGAAGGGGGCCCTCATTATGGAGGCAAAAGACCTAGGTACTTGGAGAAGAAAATGAATAGACAAATTATATTTCAAGTAGCTTTTTAAGAGCAATCTCCAAATTAATATTTTACAGTTCACAAAGTACTTGCTCATGTATCTTCTCATTTGGAATGTGAGAAGAGTACAAAATGCATTATGAAGCCAATGCACTTGATACAGAAAATACTAGGTTTGAAACACAGTAATGGCCTAGTAATGATGAAACCAAACTTCAAAAAGGTTGTGATTGACTAAAGCTAACCCACCCCTAGGTGGCAGGACCGGGACTGGAGCTCAAGTCTTGGGTGTCAGTGCCATCGTACTCGTACCAATATGTGGCACAACCTCCCTTCTCAACAGGACTGGAAAAATAGTTCTTGTTTCAAGATATTATGCAATATCATCTCTTCTGTGGTGAGCCACTCTCTCTCCTTCCCCCACCGATTTCTGGGAACTGTTTCACCTCCTAATTCACCCTGATCCCAAGATTCACAGGATCCCAGTGGTGAGCTCCCAGTGTCTGTGTTTATAACTGGACCAAGGTGGATATCTTAATCAGTTACCCTTTTCAGATAAACAACAATTAAGGGATGCTAGTGTCCATCCAGGCTCATTCCTTGAGTAGAGGTGGTCTAATCTCTTGACTACTTTGTAATTCAGGGCTGAGTAGCAGAGCACAGGGGAAGGAAGAATCAGCTGGAGCAAGAATAAAAGAATGTTGCCTGGGTTCCTAACACTGGCATTTTCTGTTTCCAGTCTCTTTCTGAGACCTGTTTAGATTCTTGCCTTTGAATCTCACAAAAACACATTTGAATCTTCTTAATAACACTGCCTTTTTTTTTTCTTCAGCAAGTATGAATTGGTTTCTGTTGCTTTCAACCTGAAAAAAAAAAAAAAAAAAAAAAAAAAAAAACCTAACCCAACTCATGTATATGCCAAGGCTTATTTGCTATCAGGCCTCAAAAGATTTTAGAAGGTGCAGCCTTAAGTGGGAATTGGAGAATAAAAGCTATTGTATTTTGCAAATATGTTAACAGAACTTTAGAACGAGAGGAACTAGCCCTGTCTCTCTATGACCACTAACACCCCCATTCACAGATGTGGAAGGAGGTACCAAGAGCTTTAAGTATTGTTTCCAAAATAGCCTATTCACCATTCTTTTGTATTGTTCTGTGCCTCAACATTTTCTGCAGAATGTCGTCCCTTACATGACTGAGGCTTTCTGTTTGCAAAGATGTTCCCTGATGTACTCTGGAGTTGAAGTGTGTAGCATTTGGAGCTCAAGGGTAGCACATTTTCTCAGAAATGAACAAGGAGTTGGAGGCTAATTTAAAACATCTTACAACTCCCATCACCTTGACTGTTCCAGCTGGGAAGTGAATCGAAGAGGTGAGCTTTTGCTGCTTTGCTGGAGACTGGTGTCAACAGGTGGTGGGGTATTCTAAATTTGGTCTGAGATGAAAACATTTCAAGCAAACAAAATTAAGCTAGATTCTTTTGACAGTGAAGTATTTCTTTAGAGATGCAGATGTCAGTTTATAAAAGTACAAATCAGCATTGGAAAAATAATATTTGAGGTTGTGTGTGTTTAAAAGCTATCCCTGACAAAAAAAAAAAAAAACTTTGGGAAACTATAATTCACCTTTGCCTCTGGCTTCTAAACGTATGGTGATTTTGAAATGGTAATGTGAAGTCCCTTCCCTCCCACTCCCAGACTTACGGAAGAAGGGAAAACTGGAGTAATTTGTTAGGAAAAAAGACATTTGCATTTGTAATGTTCATGTCATTTTGTTCATGCTTCTGTGAATTCACAAATGTACAGAAATTCAGAAATCATCTGGAGTAGGAGAGAGAGAAAGGGAAGGTGTTGATTTTGCATTTTGATGAATCCCTGATGTGGCAAGTCTCAGATGACAATCTCCCATCTTGTATTGACGGACTGTAGCAATTTTAGGGTACTCTGCTGAGAAGTGATTAGAGGCTGGCAATGCAAAGCCTCCATGAATTCCAAATATATTCGGTGTTAGCAGTAAATCATTGCTCCTGATTTAAAGCACACTTGGACAAAAAGATGATCCTCTGCTGATGCTCTTATGTACTAGATGCTTGCGTTTCATTGCCTCTAGGAAAAAAATACTAACCAGCCAACCAACAAGAGTGGCACTTTTCCATCTAAAGAAGTGAGTGTTGCTTACCTTGTCAGTTCAGCTCTTCTGAGTCTCTATCTGTAATTTGGTGAGTGGGTTTTAGCTTTGCAAATGGAGTACACTGTAGGGGAAAGTAGAATTGCGAACTTACACTTTCAGAATGGTGATTGTTGTGGTGGGTCTTCTTCTGTAGTGTTAGAGCACCTTTTGGTGTTCATTCAACAAATGTGCCAAACACTGCTCAACACAGGATGAAAAGGCAGTCAGTCCTGGCCCACATGGGACTTAACCAAGAGCAGTGGTTCCCAAAGTATGGCCCCTGGGTAAAAATCACCTGCAAACTTGTTAGAAATGCAAATTTTCAGGCCTCAACCCAGACTTAACTGAATCAAGAGCTTTGAGGATGAAGCTTAACCAAGCACCTGTCTTCACCAGCACCCCAGGTGACTATTGCTTGGTGAAGTTTGCTCTAGTACAGATGCTCCTTGACATGAAGTGCAGTTACATCCAGACAAATGCATTGTAAGTTGAAAATATTGTAAGTTGAAAATGCATTGAATACACCTAACCTATACCATAGCATAACCTAGCCTACCTTAAACGTGCTCAGAACACTTACATTAGCCTACAGTTGGGCAAAATAACACAAAGCCTATTTTGTTATAAAGTGGTAAATATCTCATGTGATTTGCTGAATACAATACACTGTATCTGTTGTTTGCCTTGTGATTGGGTGGCTGACTGGGAGCTGCAACTTGCTGCTACTGCCAGCATCATGAAAAAGTATCATACTGTCTATCACTAGCCCAGAAAAAGATCAAAATTGAAAATTCAGACTGGGTGCCGTGGCTCACACCTCTAATCACGGCACTTTGGGAGGCCAAGGCAGGAGGATTGCTTGAGCCCAGGAGTTTGAGATCAACCTGAACCTGGGAAACAGTGAGACCTGCTTCTACAAAAAACAAAAAGGCAATCACAAAACAAAATTCTACTGAATGTGCATTGTTTTGCACCATCGTAAAGTTGAAAAATTGTAAGTTAAGCCATCCTAAGTCAGGAGGTGTCCATACTGTTGTTCCTGAATCTGGCTGTGTTGCCAAGGAAGTTTTGTTGTTGTTGTTGTTGTTTGTTTGAGATGGAGTCTCTGTCAACCAGGCTGGAGTGCAGTGGTGTGATCTCAGCTCACTGCAACCTCCGCTTCCTGGGTTCAGTGATTCTCCTGCCTCAGCCTCCTGAGTAGCTGGGATTACAGGTGCACACCACCACACCCAGCTAATTTTTTAATATTTAGTAAGACTGGGTTTTACCATGTTGGCCAGGCTGGTCTCGCATTCCTGACCTCAGGTGATCCCCCGCCTCTGCCTCCCAAAGTGCTGGGATTATAGGTGTGAGCCACCGCGACCAGCCAAGATTTTTCTTTTAAACTAAAGGCTTCAATAAGGCCTGGACTTTTTTTTTTTTTTTATTTTTAAAGTTACCAGATGATATTGGGAAGACATAATTTAATAACTCACTATAGAATAGCCACCTCTCTGGAGAGGTTAAGAGTAATAGTTATGTTGGACTGTGCAGGAAGAGGACAAGGACAGGGAAGAGGAGGAGGAGGAGGGACACAGAAGGCTGGAAGGATCCAGGTCTAGAGAGCCTCGTATGCCATAAGCCTGAGATGATAGTGGCGCATTGTTTACATGGCTGTGCTGATTGCAGCAGCCACTGTGCAGGAGCAGTGTAGATACCGCATCCAAAAGAACAGCAAGTGTGTTCCACTTCAGAACCTTGCACTGAAAAAAGCCTCAGTGACGTAAGTTCTATTTTGAAATCTATGTTGAATCCTGGCAGTCAGAGGGACAAATTGTGACAGTCGGCCTCCTACCCTCACCCTCAGTGCCCCCTAATTAGGATCAAGGAATCGTATGAAAAATGAAAACAGACAAGATTAGAAAATGTGTTATTTTTCTAGCAAAAATATAATTTCTAAGCACAAGCCTCATAATTTAAGGTGAAAAGCATGTTGATGTTGGAAAAAAAATAATTACACTGTTCTCCGCCTTGCTGTTCAATTGGAACCATGTGCAATTTTGTTTGAATTGGTATCTCCAAAATATGACCTATTAAGGCTTTTGAGAGATTTCTTGTGTATTTGAACACCATTGATAGAGTGGTACAACAGAGAATATTTAACATTTGGTGAAGGAATTTCTTCTGGGGCACCTTTACAAGATTGCAGGGAAAAGTGCATTTTTAGCAAACTGCAAAGTCTCAGCACTAAGAGCCTATGTAGAATGGAGAATACTTGGATCACTTAGGGGTCAGCATATCTTCACACCTTAAGGCAAATGAAACAAATCATTGGAGGCATTGAGAATAAAGTCCTCTGTCTTGCCACCATTATCCCTTTTTTCCTCTCAATGACTTTTTTTTTTTTGCAGTATTTTCTGAAAGTCTTTTATTTTTTTAAAAGAGAATATAGAAATTTAGATTTAATTTGTTACAGCTTGCATTTAAGTCTCTGGAAAAATGAGAAGTAATTGGAAGATAACAGTAGCAGCTGCCTAACCAGTTGTTTCAAAATATGGCAGTAAAATATTAAATACGAGACTTGCTATTTTTGTGCACAGATGTCTGCCATTGGTTGTGATAGATTTCCAACCTCCCTACCAAGTTAATATTTTAGGAGGGGGTAGGGAGGATGATTATGACAAATTACGGACTTACATTACTCCTAAGGAAAACAGAAATCAATGGAACCCTGATGGTAAACTTTATATATATAAGCAATTTTTTCTCTCTTTAAAAAAAGCAAAGCACAGTTAAACATATATTATGTTGCTTAATTGACCTGGGCTAGAGGGCAGCCTCAGATTTTGGACACTACTGCTGAGAAAGAGTCTACAACTGATTTGGCACATAAATTGAAAGAACATGAGCTTAGAGGGAGAGCAAGCAGTTTTGATGGAACATGCAGTTTATTTGCATCACAAATGGGAGGTATGGGATGGGTCAAGTGTATGAAATTGACATCCGAGGCCACACAAGGATGGAGCTTCATTATTCCTGTACATGGAATTAGCCTTCAGCAGTAGCATGGACTATTCAGGTTATTTCAGTGAAAATGGAGTTTCACTTGCCAGTGGAGCAAGGTACAGTGTGTTTTCAAATTGGGCATGCCCAATGCAGTTGCGTGGGTGTTCTGGGGAGGCAGGAGATGACTGCAGCTAGGGGGACAGAGGTGGCAGCATCTATGAAATGCTGCGGGAAATTTGATGCGGATGAAGGAAGAGGAGGTATTTCCCAAAGTTTGTTGGTTTTTTTTCTGAGACAGAGTCGGAGTCTCGTTCTCTTGCCCAGGCTGGAATGCAATGGCACGTGATCTTGGCTCACTGCAACCTCCACCTTCCAGGTTCAAGCGATTCTCCTGCCTCAGCCTCCCGAGTAGCTGGGATTACAGGCGCATGCCACTAGGCCCAGCTAAGTTTTTGTATTTTTAGTAGAGATGAGGTTTCACCATGTTAGCCCGGCGTCGTGGCTCACACCTGTAATCCCAGCACTTTAGGAGGCCAAGGCGGGTGAATCATGAGGTCAGGAGATCGAGACCATCCTGGCTAACACGGTGAAACCCCAAAGTCTATTCTAAGGAACTGTAGTTTTGTGGAATATTCATAGGTACTACTTGGTGATAAAAAGACAAACAGAAAATTTTCTAAAATAAATTTTGGGAAAGGCTTGCTTAAGCATCATTGGACTGAGTGTTTTGCTTCAAAATTAGCAAAACTTTGAATAAATAAAGTGGAGTGTAAAGTTTTAAGAAGAAAAAGCATTCTTTCATTTATTAACTGTGTGCCAATGCACCACTTTCTCCTGTTTTCTCAGCTCTAAAACAGATAGTGGTATTCTCTTCATCTACATGAAATTGCCACTATTCAATCGACAAAAAAAAAAATTGGCAATTTCATACGGTTCAGGCCAATTCTATTATCACATTATGCATGCATGTAATAATGCATATCTCATAGGGTTATTGGGAGAATTAAATAAGATGATGTGGTAAAGCTTTTTGATCTCACAATAGCAAGCACTCATTAGTGGTTTCTGATTGTGGGGCTGTGTGACCAAAACAGTGTAATCATAGAGCCCTTGTTTTGCTTTCCTTTCTTTTCTTTTCTTTTTTTTTTTTGAGATGGAGTCTCTCTCTGTTGCCTAGGCTGAAGTGTGATGGCACGATCTCTGCTCACTGCAACCTCTGCCTTCCGGGTTCAAGCGATTTTCCTGCCTCAGCCTCCTGAGTAGCTGGCATTACAGGCGCGCACCACCATGCCCAGATAATTTTTGTATTTTTAGTAGAGATGGGGTTTCACCATGTTGGTCAGGATGGTCTCAAACTCCTGACCTCGTGATCCGCCCGCCTCAGCCTCCCAAAGTGCTGGGGTTACAAGCGTGAGCCGCCGCACCCGGCCCGTAGAGCCCTTGTTTCTAAAGACTGATATGGGATTGATATGGGACTGATATGGGATTCTAGGGGAAGGAGGATATAGAGCAGGCACCAGCTAACTTTTTCCTGTAAGGGGCCAGGTAGTAAATATTTTCAGTTTTGTGGGCCATATGCTCTCTATGGCAACTACTCAACTCTACCACTGTAGTGGAAAGGTAGCCATAGACAGTCTGTGAATGAATGGGTGTGGCTGTGTTCTGAAAACTTTATTAATCAGGTATTGGTCTGGATTCGGCTTTCAGGGCTGTAGTTTTCTGGCCCTAACTAGAGATAAAGGGAAGCAGTGAGTTGTTAAGGTGAGAAGACAGAATTGAGTGTTTGGAGACCTAGCTTTTGGTTCCAGTTCTGCCACTCACTGTCAAGGCTCAATCTGAGGCTTAATTCACTAGTTTACCAAGTTGCTTAGTATTTTCTGCTCTAATAAACTCATATATTGAGGAGAGCATGGAAGGAGTTGCTATAAAGCAACTATGCAAACATATAATATTTTTTTCTAGAGCTATTATTGCTTTTATTCATTCATTCAATTAATTTATTTTTAGCATGAATCAGTACTGTGCTGAACTCTGAGGATATGGTGGTGAATAAGACAGATATTGGCTTTGTCTGGATGAAGCATACATTCTCCTGGGGGTATTTATTTTTGGAGTATTGTTATATGATTTAAATGAAAAGTGATGCTGTAAGAACTATTGATTCCTTTACTTTTGACAGAAACCCCTTTGTCCTGAGTAGAACAGAGCAACGTAAAGGAGAAGGTGAGTTCTCCAAATAGAACCTAGACTAGAGGAGAAGAGGTTGGCTTTTTCCCAGATACCCACTGCGCAGGACTTAGGATGAAGTCAGGCTTAGTATTTGAGCTTTAGCTACAGTCGTGTGTATAAGAATACCATATTCTGTTTATACAGTAGATTTGCCTCCAGCCACAGATGTTTCCGGCACCTGGTTAATTTATTCAGGAAAGGCCAATGCTCATTAAGACTCCCAAGTCCCAGAGCTAAGTTTTATGGGTGGGGAAACGGAGGTACTGAAACGGTTATGGAATTGACTCAGATCACAGCTTGCTGGATATAGGACTCAGGCCAATGTGACAAGCCCTAGGATTGGGCTGAAGGCCTCTCTCCCTGGGACTGCCTTACTCTCCAGGGCAGTTGAGACTTCTCCGACCCACTACTCCAATTAAACCTAAGAAGCGTTAGAGGGACTCGAGGTCCTGCTGGGAGGGAACCCGTTTTTTGACTTTGACGAAGGAGAGGCTCTAATCAGGAAACCAGATGCTGCTTCAGGGCGAAAGAACTTTGGCAGCCTTGGAGCTGTGAGTCAGGAGGCTGCATCTGTCAGAGACGAGCGGCACAGTGCAGAAGAGGCCTCTCTCTTTCCTTTCGTGGGTGGGTCGCTTCTGTCCCATGAGTGGCCTGTAGTAAGATTGTGTCTCGGTGGAGAAGGGTCCTGGTACCAAAATGGATTCCTGCTGAGATGGTTGGGATCATCTGCCACTTTCAATTTTTCTGAGCCCGTCCAGTGTTGGAGCAAAATGTCTCAGCCCTTCACCCCCATCCATGGCAGAGGTTACCAACAAGGAGAGCGTATCAGAATCTCCAAAAGTGGGGACAAGGTTGGGGGACTGGGAGTGTTAGGTACAGTTTGAATACGTTTATTTAATGTTATAGTTTAACTTTGTATTTTGGAAATGAGAGAGAGAGAAAAAAAAAGAGAACCTGTTGGTTTTGTAATTTGCCTACTTTGGCATTTGCCAAAAGTGAACTACCAACAGTGGAACTCAGTCACATTTTCCTGGCCACTTGGGATAACCAGTGATTCTAAACATTGTCGGAAGGATGGAAGATTTTAATGTTTATGAAAAGGAAACATGGATTTAAAAACAAAAAAGAGGAGGAAAGAAATAAAACTAGACTCTTTTCTAGTTGCCTGGCTGATACAACAAGCCCAGAGCAAGGAATTCTGGACACTGTCATGGAGATAAGGTAAAGACTGAAAATAACAAAATGTCACGTCTGTAAAAGGGCTGAGTGCCAGCTCTCATCAGGGACAAGAATGGGTCAGCAGTTGTGCTTTGCATGGCGCTAGGAAAGCCAACTGATTTGGATTTGCCAGATCTAATGAGAGAAGGGAGTTTCAGCACAAGAACAAATCTATAGACATGACCTCAGGTCCCTGAATCTCAACTCCAGCAAATATGAAATATGTCATAGGTGTTCCTGAGTGAAGTCAGGCCTGAGCCAGCCAGGGCCTCACCTTCTCTGGATTTGGGGGTCCAGCTTTATACCTTGTGTGTTCAGAAGCCTTATTAGCTTCTGTCTTTGGAAAATGAGAAGGACAATGCAGGCTGTCCAGAACAGAATTCAGATTTACAGATGAGAGTCTTAAGCCACAAAGATTTTTTTTTTTGTCACCATGGGAAAACTTAAACTATTCGAATCAGACAAATTAATACCTGTAAATTTTTTTTGTATTTTTAGTAAAGACAAGGTTTCGTCATTTTGGCCAGTCTGGTCTCGAACTCCTGGCCTCAAGTGACATGCCCACCTCGGCCTTCTAAAACGCTGGGATTACAGGCATGAGCCACCATGCGCGGCCTGCAGTTGTTTCCTTTAGGTGTGCTCATTCATATAACACAAAGGCCCTGAGGAATAGGGCACTGTTATTGATTCTGTAGGGAATGCCATTGGAGGAGTTTCCCAGAGACTGAGTCATGTTTGCCCTGATTGGTCCATCCTCTCTCAACTGGTTTCCCCCATGTTTGTGAGCATTTATGCATTTCACACATCTTAATTGAGCACCTCTTATATACCAGGCCTTGTGCCAGGCCCTGAGGAAACAGAGGGTAATAAGGGGAAACTGCTGCTTGCAACAGGCAAATCCTACAGGTCCTCAAGAAAGGGAGCCAGAGGAAGTGGCGCAAGCCATTGAATGACCTTGCAAGTCTGCCCCTGTGAAGGAGGCAGGACGGGAAGGAGTGGTGGGGAAGAAGAGTCTCAGGCTGAAGCCCCATGCTGGGAAGGTTTTGGTTAGGTGACTACCGAGCCCTCGATGTAAGGTAGCTTGTCAGAGGAGTCCCAGAGGCCAGAAGGGACTGCATTCAGTGCTGGGCTCAGCCAGTGGCTGGGAGTAGCCCTTGGGAAGCGTGGTGTGGGCACAATGCAGTGGTGGGTTCAGAGCAGAGCAGCTGGGGCCATTTGTTCACTTATCCTCCCTACAGCAGGAGACCTGAGTGGCACATTTTTAGGGCTCTCATACTGCCTGCATGGAGTTCACAGTCAGGGAGGGGAGACAGGCATTAAACAAATAATGACGTCAACCATCAGTGATTTGCAGCTGTGACTGGCACCACGGAGGAGTGCAGGAGGCCATGAGATAGTATCATAGAGGGTTGTATTAGTAAAGGTAGGGACTTCCCTGAGGAAGGGACTCCTCAGGGATGAGGTTTGGAAGATGAGCTGGAGTTGGCCAGGTGAAGAGGGGAGGGAAAAGTATATCAGAGAGAGTGACAGGCTGGAACAGAGAGAGACAGAGACAGACAGGGTGAGAACACGCAGGCACAGTTGATGTGTGACAAATTGTCATAAAGTTCTAGGGGCTTAAAGAAGGATCATTTTTGTTGTTAATGTTTTAATGTTCTTTTCCTTGGAATTCAATGGTTGCGTATTTTTTCAGAAAAAAAGGGTTTCCACCCACCCTAAAGCATACACTCTAAGGAGATCCAATTGAGACCTTGTACATAAAATATCAAAGGAATCAGGATTTATCTGCTCCTTGGGGGACACTGGGACATGCTGATCTTACAGATGAAGACTTTCTTCATCAAGTCGTTAATTCCAAGGCCATCTCAGAGTTGAAGAGAAGTCCCAGTCATCTCCACTGTATTAAAAAATGATGAAATGCTGAAACAGGTTATAAAACTAGTCCTGCAAGTGTATCTCAAGGACCCCATATGTCACCTTAATGTTCCCAGATTAGCCACAAGAGCCTAAGTGGAAGGCTGATGGCGTCCTGTCCACCCCACCCCACGCTGCTTCCCAGCCATAGGCCCTGTGTAGTGGTTCTGTGTAGGTGGCTGTGAAGATGACAGAGGATCACTTGCACACACCGATGAACAGAGGTGAGTCTAGGTTGATGATGAGTGAGAGATGCCAGGAGAGAAATAGATCTTCTGAATTTCCTCATGAGCCTTTTCCTGAAATCCATGGCATTTCTCAAGCACTAGGAAATATTTGCTGTTTTGTAAAAGAAGCCAGTGTTCTTAAAACCTGTCTCCCCTCCCCTAACTGCCCTAACCAGACCCTCTGACCTGGAGAATTAAGGATACCTGTCATAGGAGCATCTCTCATGATTCCTGGCCTCTTGGGACAGGAAGCCTCACCTTGAGCTCTGACACTGTCTGTTTCCATTTAGTTCCAGCACCACTGTTTGGGGACTGCTGTCTTTCCCTCTTCAGCTTTAAATATATTAGCAATATGTATGAATCTCAGCGACCTCTTGGAGAATTACATTCCTATGATTACTTAAAAGAAATCAGTTCTGCATGATGAAGCGTTTACTTCTGTTTTCTGCCCGTCTGTGCACCTGAAGAATGATTCTTATTAGATTAGAATTTGTCTAAGGCTGTATTCGCATTGAGTGTTTTCTCTGCTCTTTCTCGTGAGAGGAGTGCTCCCTCCCACGCACCGTCCACAGCTCATTTCCAAGTCTGCATATCTCATTGTGCATCTGCTGCTGCTCTGCTCAGGCCTGAGTAGCCGCTGACAGTGATTGGCAGAAAAGGGTTTCCAAGAATATTAAAAAAAAAAAAAAAAAGAAAAAGAAAAGGAAGGGAAAAAGGGAGAAAGGCAAACCAACTAAAAGAAGGGAGAGAGAAGTTTTGCTGAAGAATGACAAAGAACAATTAGGCTTCTCCTAGCTTCGTGTGACTAATCATACAGACCAAACTCCTGGCCCTTTCAATTATAGCTACCAGCTGGCATTCCCCATATGACACCCTTACTTGGAATTGATAAATCCTATATGCAAAGTGCTGCCTGGGGTGTTTCTTGTTTGCATTTTCTCAGCCTCTACTCTTCTTTGCTTTTATTTATTTATTTATTTATTTAAAGACGAAGTCTCAATCTGTCACCCAGGCTGGAGTGCAGTGGTGCTATCTCCACTCACTGCAACCTCTGCCTCCCCAATTCAAGTGTTTCTACCACCTGAGCCTCCCAAGTAGTGGGGACTACAGGCGCATGCCACCACACCTGGCTAACTTTTGTATTTTTAGTAGAGATGGGTTTTCACCATGTTGGCCAGGCTGGTCTTGAACTCCTGACCTCAAGTGATCTGCCCACCTTGGCCTCCCAAAGTGCTGGGATAACAGTCATGAACCACTGTGCCTGACCCCTTCTTCCCTTTTAAATTCAAGAGTCTGGGGTTTGTAAAGGGAATGAGTGTGAGTGGGGACACTGTTGCTTCAGTAGTGGGCCCCCCCAAATTGTGGTTTGCACACAATTTAGGAGCTAGACATAATTTAGAAGCCAGAAGGCCTAGCTCTAGGGAAGGTGCAAGGCCAGCTCTCACCTTCTATTCTTTGTTGTTTCTCTGTTCTCTGTCCACTATCATTTCTTTTGGGGAAAAAAGTCTTGGGCTATGTTTACACAGCATTAGAGAAACCACGTGGAAAATATAGGCCGCAAAGAATTATTCTCCAGGCGCTGCTGGTAGATGCTCATTGTGACTTGATCTTTCTAAAATGGAGCCCTAAACATGTCCCTCCACCTGCTGAAAAGCCTGCAGGGATGGCTCCTCATTGGTCTCTAGATATGATTCCAACTCTGCAGTTAGATGGGCAAGGAGTCTGGTGAACTGGCCTCTGCATGCCCTTGAACCTGCTCTGGTGCTGCCTTCCCCTCAGGCACCTTATGCTCCATAGAAGGTGTCAGGCAGGGTGCAGCAAGGAACACAGGAATCAGTGTGAGTTCTTGATACAGAGGGGAATGAATGAAGGGAATTGGTCACATAGGTCACGAAGGGCTGAGAAGCCAGCAAGGGAAGTTGTGGCCACCCAGAGGTTAGCAGGCAGCAAGACACAGTTGTCAGGACATCGTCCGAAGATTGAAGATTGGGCCTCAGTCACCTGGCAGGAACAGGAGCCACGTGGGCCTCTCGTCCTGGGGGAAGCGGGAATGCTGCTAGAGTCAAGGAAGAAGGGAGGGGGATATCCTGGCTCTTTCCTTCTCTTCCTGGATTTGTCAGCTTGCCCCTCCATAATAGAATACCACACAGTGGCTGGTGTAAACAACAGACATTTGTTTTCTCAGTTCTGGAGATAGGTCGAAGATCAGGGTGTCAGCAGGGTTGGTTCCCGGTGAGGGCCCTCCTCCTGGCTTGTTGATGGCCACTTGCTCCCTGTGTCCTCATGTGGCCTTTCCTTTGTGTGTATGCAGAGCGAGAGGGCTCTGGGGTCTCTTTCTCTTCTTACAAGGACATCTGTCCTATCAGGTTAGGGCCCCACCCTTACACCCTCACTGAACCTTAATTCATCCTTTAAGGTCCTGTCTCCAAATACAACAGTGGAGGTAGGGGCTCAATGTGTGAATTTTGGGGGGACACAGTTCAGTCCATAGCACCTCCTATCTCTAATCAGCACCTCCCTTGGGTCAAACCGGTGGCTGCCATGGGAACCTAGGAAATACATCCTACCGGGACCAGCGTTTGTATGATAACAACGCGTGGGGCGGACTCTGCTGGGTGATGTGGGGCGTGTGTATATGGGGGTGGTGGGCATATGTTCAAAATTGGGGATCTATTAGAAGAGGAGTGGGTGGATGGATTCTGGCCAGGCAACCAACAGTGAGCACCACTGACTAATACCAAATGTCTTTCTGTTTCTGGAACTAACCACACCTTCTTGTTTTGTTCATGTTTTCTCTTTATCTGGGGCCCTCTTCACGCCTTTTTCTCTGCTACTCCTTTGCCTGGCTGAGTTTTCATCAATGCCATCTCACCTATGGGCTGAATGTTTTCATTTATTTAACAGATATGAATGAACACTTAAGTGTCAGGCTCTGTTCTGGGCTTTGGTGCTGTAAGAGTGGACAAAGGACATTCTTTGCCTTCCTGGAGCTTACGTTCCAATGGAGTCGAGGGAGGAAATAAATAAATAATAAATGAGCAGATACCTGGTATTTCTGATGGGAATCAATAAAATGGAGAAAAACTGAGCAGGGTAAGGAAGACAGAGTGCCAGAGGCATGGCTGTGTATCTCTTTTATGCTAGATTGACCGAGAATGCCTTACAGATGAAGAGTGACTGGGCACAGTGGCTCACATCTGTAATCCTAGCACTTTGGGAGGCTTAGGGGGGCTGATCACTTGAGGTCGGGAGTTCAAAACCAGCCTGGCCGATATGATGAAACACCATCTCTACTAAAAACACAAAGAAGTTAGCCAGGCATGGTGGCAGGCACCTGTAATCCCAGCTACTTGGGAGGTTGAGGCAGGAGAATTGCTTGAACCTGAGAGGCGGAGATTGCAGTGAGCCCAGATTGCACCACTTCACTCTGGCCTGGGCAACAGAGCCAGACTCCATCTCAAAAGAAAGAAAGAAAGAATTTAAGGACAGGCATCCTGAGGGTTGAGGTAAGCTGAATAGTGACCCCCCATGAATATATCCACATCCCAATGCCCAGACCTGTGAATATGTTACTTTACCTCGTAAAACAGACTTTGTAGATGTGACGAAAGATTTGAGATGGGGAGATTATTCCGTATTTTCTTGGTGGACCCAATGTCTTCACTTACTTATAAGAGGGAGGCAAGAGGGTCAGAGTCGGTAGTAAGAGATGGGATGACTGAAGTGAGAGGTTGGAGTGAGGCAAGGAAGGGGCCAGGAACTAAGGAATGCAGGAGGACTCTAGGAGCTGGAAAAGGTGAGGAAGCAAATGCTCCTCTGCAACTTCCAGAAGGAATGCAGCCCTGCTGATGCCTTGATCTTAGATTTCAGACTCCAGAACTGCAGGAGAATAGATTTGTGTTGTTTGAAGCCTCTAAGTCTGTGGTAATTTATTACAGCAGCAGCAGGAAATTCATACAAAGGTATTCGGGGGAAAAATGTTCCAGACAGTGCTGGTGAATTCAGGTGGGCTAAAAAAAATAACTAAAAATTAAAAAATTTTTTTTTTTTTAAAAAGAATGTTCCAGACAAGAAGAGCAAGTACAAATATTCTGGGGTAGGAAGGTGCCTGGTGTATTGTTGATTCAATTTATTGATCACTTTTACAATAAACAAATTCATTTAAGTATCGATTGTGCACCTGTCATATGATACGCATTTTTTCATCACTCCCTCACTCCCAGAACCCTAAGCTTTTCTGTTAGAACTGCTAGTTTATTCGCATTTCAGTCACTTTGACTGTAAACTCCTTGAGTGTAGGTGCTTAGATTTTTTTCACTGCTTAGCCCCCAATGCCTGTATAGAGTAAGCACTTAAAATCCTGCATTTTCAAAATTGAAGACTTTTCAAGAAATTTCCCTCAGTGCAGATAAACCCATGGGACCACAGAGTGGCCTGCAGAGTGGCCTCCTGGAGTATTTATCTGCCCATCCGTTGTCTGGATTTGTGGACAGGTAAAGAAAGAGACGGTAGGGGGCACAGATGGACTGTTCTCACGGTTTTCACAACCCTGAGCTGAGGTCATGACATATGTGATTGGCTGTCCCCTTCATCTTCGGGGCGGTACAGACTGTCCTCTGTGTGAGGGGTGTTAGTGAGTCCCTCATTAGCAGAGATGGGGATTGAGGGGCCACTGTTGCCGGTGAGGGGAGACCTAGGCTCTTGGGGTCACCACTTCATTAAAGATTTTGCTGCCTAGTTCCTGTGTAATCCTTTGTGAGCCCAGCTGCCATGGTAACTGGGGTAGTTATCAAAATCCTTCTGCAGGTCTGAGGACACACTCTTCCCACTGTGCATCTCCCTGGGGTGGTCTCTGACTCTTGTCTGCTTCTGGCTGAAGCACAAGCCTTGCCAGCTGGGGAGAGAAAGCCACTATCATCAGACTCCTTGGAAGCTGTTCAGGGGGCCTGTTTGCTGATTTTCAGCTGGTCTGCTCACCAGCGTCTTCATTACTTCACACTCCAAATACTTGAAACTGCCACTGGGTCACCCTCAGCTCCCTGCAATTAACCATTGGCTTAGAAAATCCAGCTGTGCTCAACATTTCACTGACGATTACAGATGCAGGGAAGGAGGTCGAGACTCTCAAGTGAGGCAGTTGTAGTAGCTGAAGGCAGGAGGAAGGGAAAGCATCAGAAGGAAGATGAAGATCTGAGTGTGCATGCAGGGGACAGCCGGGTTCTGGGAAGAGAGAAGGGCAACAGAAGGGAAAGTGCAGAAGTGTGGAGACAGGCAGGAGGTGGCCTGAACACACATCCTTAAGGATGGGACAGGGCTCACAGGGAATGGAGAAAGGGGGTGAGAACTGGGAGAAGATAGAGAAAGGTTGAGGTGTGCTTATGGAGTACTGGAAACAGATTGAGGGCCTTGGCATCTCATTTCCGTTCCACCTCAAATATGGAGTGGGAGAGAAGTGTATGTGTGTGTATTAGTCTGTTCTCACGCTGCTAATAAAGATATACCCAGGACTGAGTAATTTATAAAGAAAAAAAGGTTTAATGGACTCACAGTTCTATATGGCTGGGGAGGCCTCACAATCATGGCAGAAGACAAAGGAAGAGCAAAGGGACTTCTTACGTGGCAGTGGGTAAGAGAGAACTTGTGCAGAACTTTATAAACTTCTGCAGTTTATAAAGATTTATAAACTTCTGCAGTTTATAAGGATTTATAAACTTCTGCAGTTTATAAGGATTTATAAACTTCTGCAGTTTATAAGGATTTATAAACTTCTCTTTATAAATCCATCAGATCTCATGAGACTTACTCACTATCATAAGAACAGCACAGGAAAGACCCGCCCCCATGATCCAATTACCTCCCATTGGGTTCCTCCCACAGCACATGGAATCGTGGGAGCTACAATTCAAGATGAGACTTGGGTGGAGACACAGCCAAACCATATCAGAGTGGTAGGCATTATTATTTTTATTTTTATTGATGGGGAAATGAAGATGCAGAAAGATGGCACAAGATGGCTTATTTTCAGGTTGTAAATGGCAAGGTCAGGATTCAAACCCAACTTGTTCTTTCCCCACTCTGGTATTTGTCATAAATTTAAAAAGATACAAACATCTGGCAGTGGATGTGCCCCTTGGGGCTTCAGAACCCTGAACCCCAGCTAGGTCACACTGCAGTGATGAAGGACCCCATCTCAGTGACCTACCAGTCTAAGGTTTTATCTTGCACTCACGATTCATATCCATGGTGGGGGTTTCACTCCACAACCCAGGCTGGTGGAACAGCCTCTACCTTGAATGACACGCTGCTTGTAGTGAAAGGAAAAGAGAACATGGAGAGCTCTGAGCTGGCTTTTAAAGCCTCTGCTTGGAAATAGCTCACTTGTTTCTGTTCATGTTTCTATGGCAAAATCAAGATGTCCAACCAAGGCTGCTGCTGATAGGGAGAGAACAAATCTTTCCCTAAGAAGGGCATTGCATGCTTTTGAATATCAACATGGTCAACCACAGACAGCTAGCACATATTCTCAAGGCTTCACCATTCCCTGAGACAATTTTGGCTTTGGGCATGGCTGGCCTATGACTGGCCCATGCCAGGTCTGTGCTGGAACAGGAGCGCACAGTAGGAAGACAGCCTGCAAGAGTCTGTTAGGACCTTGCTTCTGCCATGAAGCAACTATGTTACCCTGGGCTTACTCGTGTATTAGTCAGGGTTCTCTAGAGGGACAGAACTAATAGGATAGGTGTATATATGAAGGGAAATTTATTAGGAGAATTGACTCACACGATCACAAGGTGAAGTCCCACAATAGGCTGTCTGCAAGCTGAGGAGCCAGGAAGCCAAAACCTGGTTTTGTGTCCCAAAAACCTCAAAAGTAGGGAAGCTGATAGGCAGCCTTCACTCTGTGGCCAAAGGCTCGAGAGCCCCTGACAAATCACTGATGTAGGTCCAAGAATCCAAAAGCTGAAGAAAGTGGTGTCTGATGTTCGAGGGCAGGAAGCATCCAGCACGGGAGAAAGATGGAGGCCAGAAGACTTAGCCAGTCTAGTCTTTCCGCGTTCTACTGCTCTGGTTGTGCTGGCAGCTGATTAGATTGTGCCCACCCAGATTTAGGGTGGGTCTGCATTTCCCAGTTCACTGACTCAAATGTTAATCTTCTTTGGCAACTCCTTCACAGACACACCCAGGAACAATACTTTGCATCCTTCAATGCAATCAAGTTGACACTCAATATTAACGATTACATTCAGCCTCTGAGATCTTGTTTCTTCATTGATAAAATGGGAGTAATGATTTCTTCCTCTCAAAGGAGATTGTAGATAGAGAGCTGAACCTATTAATCAGTCAATAAATGTTACTTTGCTTCCCCTCTTTCCGAATGTGAGTTATATTTTTCTTACTTTTCAGAATATGTATTAAGTTTGCATAAAACAGTTAAGAGAAATGATGTGTGTTGATCATTTTGGTAAGTGGTGAAAGTAGTGATGTTGCAGAGCTGGTTGTGTGTGGCTTCTTCTGAAAGGTTCATTAGAATTGAATCATAGCACATCTGCATGCATTTGTAGAGATCGACCTCCATGGAACACCTGTGAATGAACAATGGGTGACTGGTGTGAAAAATAGGTGCAAGATAGAGTCGTCTTTGTAATTATCACTTTTGCTTGACAATCTTGAAACAGAAATAAAGCCCAAGAGAAAATGGGAACTTGCCGATTAGTCCCTCACTCATAGGAGAGCCCCATAATTGACTTTATTTTGCACTACAGTGAATAATCCCAGCATCAGAGCAGCTCATCATGGCAGTTTAATGGAGCTTCTTTTTAAAAAAGCACAGAATCCAAATGAACTCTGGAGCTACTTACAGACTGTTGGTGTTTCACAAGCTGTAGTTGTTGATGTATTTCCGTTAGCCAGCAAGATTTCCTGGCATATGTTGTCCAAGAGTTTTGAATAAGTAGCATCACTCTGTCACCCCTCATGGCCCTCGAAGATGTTATCACCACGAGGCCTTCCTACCATCCACTTTGTGCTCTCTTTTTCTTGAGGCTGTAAAGCAGTTTTTCTGGACATTTCTGAGGGTGACGTTGAGAAAACTCCCTACCTTCTTTTTATCTTATTTCTTCATTTACGAAATGCACATAATTGATAGTACCTAGGGTTGTTGTAAGGATCAAATGAGATCACCTTTTTTTATTTTTAATTTTTGTGGGTACATAGTAGGTGTATATATTTATGGGTTCCAAGAGATATTTTGATACAGGCATGCGATGCATAATAATCACATCACGGTAAGTGGGGTATCTATCACCTCAGCCATTGATCTTTTGTGTTTTCAACAATCCAGTTAGACTCTTTAATCATTTAAAAACGAACAATTCAATTATTGTTTACTATAGTCAAGATTATCTTTAAGTTCTTTTCACAATATCTGCATGTAGTAAGCCCTCAATAACTACTTTCTTCTCTCCCACTCCATACTTCCACCTCTTCCTTTTTCTCTTCCTCCTCCTCTTCTTTTTCTTCCTTTCCTCTCCTTATCTCTCTCTCTCCTCTCCTTTTGTTTGTCTCCCTCTGCTTCCTCTCTCCCCTCTTCCTTTTCCTCTTAGTTATTGTTTGCTATTAAAGAGAGTCAGTCAATATCATGCTATATTAAATCTCTTTGTGGTTTGTTCTAATATTCTCCATTCTAAACATGACACGTTTCAGTCACAGTCTCAACAAGAAGCAGGTGACATAATTGAATTGGATATACTGAAGAGTCTTTAATAAAGGAACCATTCATAAAGGTTTGGGAAGGGAGTAGAGAACCCACAAGGCGTATAGCAGAACACTGTGCCTAGTAGCAGTAGATGTCAGAGGTACCCCTAGGTCTGAAGAGGCACTGGGTGGGAGTGCATCTGTTGACTTTTTTTTTTTTTTTGAGACGGAGTCTAGCTCTGTCACCCAGGCTGGAGTGCAGTGCGGTATCTCGGTTCACTGCAAGCTCTGCTTCCCGGGTTCACGCCATTCTCTTGCCTCAGCCTCCCGAGTAGCTGGGACTACAGGCGCCCGCCACCACGCCCAGCTAATTTTTTTATTTTTAGTAGAGACGGGGTTTCACCGTGTTAGCCAGGATGGTCTCCATCTCCTGATCTTGTGATCCACCCGCCTCGGCCTCCCAAAGTGCTGGGATTACAGGCCTGAGCCACTGCACCCGGCCGCATCTGTTGACTTTTGCAGTGATAACCAACAACCTCGGTATCTCAGTGGCTTATGATAACAAACATCATTTCTCGTGCATGTTGCATGAGGGCTGTAGTTTGGCTGTGGTTCTGCTGGACTCTGCTGGGCTTGGCTGGGCCCGACATGGCCTTCTCATTTGAGAGTGCAGGCTCACGGTGGTCTCACGTTGGGACCTACTCTTCTCATGATGGAGGTCAGAAGCACGAGGGGCAGAGCCACATCATCCAAGAGCACATTAAAGCTTCTTGCTTCCGTGAGATGGACGACGCGCCCGCTTACATTCCATGGACCAATGCAAATCAAATGGCCAAGCCAAAATAAGTGGGGTGGGCCCTGAGAGAGAGAATGAATATTGTGAACAAATGTACACTCTGTCACTGGGACGGAATGGTTACTGGAACTTGGAGGCAGAGAGCGTTGTGAGAAGGCTGCCTGACAGGAGCTGAGACCTTGCCAAGGTGCAGCCAGCCGTGGAGCATGCAGAAAGGATCTGGGGAAACAAACAGCCCAAGCCCGTCTCTTCCCTTCTGCCAATCTCTGGTCATTCCCCCTTGTGGCTGTGCCCATCTGAAAGCCAAAGGCAAGAGACTTCGTTATGTGGCTCTTAAAGGCCAGCTTCCTGGGACAGAGAACAGGGTGGGTGGCAAAGGGCAGAGGGTATATCTGGAGAGGCACATGAGATGATTTGATCATAATCGAATTCATAAGAAAGACACTAAAGTTGCAGAAAATGTGCCACAAAGCATTTCTTAAGAACCGGCAGCTCCTCATTCCTAAATGACTTAGGAGGAATTCCAGGCTGACTGTTCGTAAAGTTAAAATTGGGGAAAAAATTAAGACGGCAATAAATCTTCCATGAGTTTGTGCTATAAATCTAGGGGAAAACCCTTTTGGGTGACATAAGGCATAACCTTTAACAGCTAATAGTCTTGAAACTGTTTGCGTCTGACCGTTCTGAGTCCCTAAGTAGTTTCCATTCCAACATTGTCATTTATCTTGTGATATTTACTTTATTGTGGTAAGTTGCAATGTTTTTTTTTTTTTTCTCAGTGAGTCTGTGATGAAATAAACTCACCAGAGTAACATGAATGCCAACTTATTAACAAACCTCTCTTAGAAAGGAATGGAGCTATGCTGGCCCAGCAAGAGGTGAGAGAGTTTTGCCTTCTTCAGCCTCAATCTATAGGAGACGGTCACCTATGCGTTTATGAGCTATTACAGCTAAGTTCATATAAGATCTCTAAATTTTGGGCCGGGCACAGTGGCTCACACCTGTAATCCAGCACTTTGGGAGGCCAAGGTGGGCAGATCACCTGAGGTCAGGAGTTCAAGACCAGCCTTGCCAAGATGGTGAAACCTCATCTCTACTAAAAATACAAAAAAAAAAAAAAAAAAAATTAGCTGGAAGTGGTGGTGCACACCTGTAGTTCCAGATAACTGGGGAGGCTGAGGCAGGAGAATCGCTTGAACCTGGGAGACAGTGGATGCAGTGAGTGGAGATCGCACCACTGCACTTCAGCCTGGGCGACAGAGTGAGATTCCATCTCAAAAAAAAAAAAAAATCTCTAAATTCAGAAAGACTTTTGAGAAAACAGCGAAAGAGGGCATAAGATCTCTCTAATGTCTTGCATCTTTCTTTTAGCCTTTCTTTCCTCGAATTCTTTCCTAATTCTTCTAAGACATGGTCCCCCCCATGTTTTCCTGATTGTCCAGACACCCTAGATTCTAGGACCCTCAATTCCGCATCAGGCCAGCTTTCTGTAGTGGGAGGGGAATGTTCAGGATCTTCTCTCTGTATTCTCACTTCTGCCTAATGGAGGTGAAGAATTTTCCATCCTTTCTCTTCCTTCCTTCCTTCCTTCCCCTCCCTCCCTCCCTCTCTCTCTCTTTCTCTTTCTTTCTTCAGAGTTTCACTTTTGTTGCCCAGGCTGGAGTGCAATGGCAGGATCTTGGCTCAATGCAACCTCTGCCTCCCGGGTTCAAACGATTCTCCTGCCTCAGCCTCCTGAGTAGCTGGGATTACAGGCGCCTACCACAAAGCCTGGCTAATTTTTTGTATTTTTAGTAGACACAGGGTTTCACCATGTTGGCCAGGCTGGTCTCAAACTCCTGACCTCAGGTGATCCGCCTGCCTCAACCTCCCAAAGTGCTGGGATTATAGGCGTGAGCCACTGTGCTCAGCTTCTCACCCCCCCATTTCTTAGCTTCATCCCAATACAAGAGAAAGTGCCTCCAATCTGGGTAGTCAGAGGCTGAAGCCTTGATGGAACCTATCCCCTCTCCTCTCTCTGCCTGCTTCCTAAGTCTCCTACTTTAAGCCCTCTGCCTCCAGGGCAGTAACCATCCCCGACGGTCCCTGTTACAGGTTGGTCAGCCTCATCTATTTGACTGCTTACGTCAGAAGCGTGAGGTCTGCTGTACAGATCTTACCATCTCTGTTCGAGTGGGAGAAAGGCCAAACTTCATGCACCTCTGCAGATCATGTAGATCATCTGCATCATGGGAGTGTCAGGGGCTTGTGCTGCTTGTAAAATGAGAATATTTTTCTTATTATTTGATGTTTGTTCCTTCTGTGACTGCTTCCTTAGTCAATAACTCTGGAGGAGAGGAGGACCTTGGGAGTAAGATTTGGGCACAAACTTCATCCCAAACCTAAGCCCCTTCCTTAGGTTTAATATCATCCTCTTTTTCCATTCCTTCACAAATGCAGCTGAGGGGACACCAAACCCCACCGAGGACTCAATGTTCGAAGAACGGGGTTTCAGTTCCAGCCTTGCCATTAATTCGACTCTAATTTAGAGAGGAGACTTGGGTGCATCATTTGATGACCCTCATATCTGTTTTTCTATTACCCGACAGGGTTTAGTTGCAGCCAACAGAAACAACTCTAGCAATTTTTAATCAGGAAGGGAATTAGGCACTCAAAAAATCCTGGGAGGGCTGGAGGAGTGGGCTGGGTCTTCCAGAGTGACTTCCAGAACAGTGCCACAGCATCAGCCCACTTGGGGAGCTGCCGCTGCTGCCACAGTCCCGAAGCGGGAAAATCAGGAAGCAGACATGGCAAATGGTACATCCAGGAATACAACGTCCCTGCTGTGATCCATGGGTTGGGAGAAGGCCACGGCAGCT
Source organism: Homo sapiens (assembly GCF_000001405.40). NCBI lineage: Eukaryota > Metazoa > Chordata > Mammalia > Primates > Hominidae > Homo > Homo sapiens. The sequence continues at coordinate 116,616,236 of NC_000008.11, read as the reverse complement.
ATTGCCTCCAGAAGAGTGCTGCACCTGCCAGGTCCACTTTCGCAGAACACAGACCCCCTACCATGAAATCAGCAACTGGACACTGGGACCTCTGCCACTGTTACTGCAGGAAAACCCAGGGCCCCCGTGAACCAGCCGGTCAACAGCAGCATTGGACAGACCCAAGTTGAGACCTTTACCTTCGACACACTTTCTGAATCTCATGCAACTGTTTATGTTTGGCCAACCTAAATCCTATTTGCATTTTAACTGCAAGAGATTATGGGAAATACCTCTTTAAGTTTTTCAGTCTTTCAGTTTGGGAAGGCACTCTAGGGTAATGGGCAGGCTAGGATAGTGGGGGTTTGCCAGCAACCAATAAACATACATTTAAATCAAAAGCCAGATTGTCTGTGTGTGTGTATGTGTGTGTGTGCATGCACATGTATGCATGGTTTTACGATGTTTTACAAAACTATATTAACTTTACTAGTGTAATGCACTCTAGCCTGTTCTATTCTATTCTATTCTATTCTATTCTATTCTATTCTATTCTATTCTATTCTATTCTATTCTATTCTATTTTCTATTCTATTCTATTCTATTCTATTCTATTCTATTCTATTCTATTCTATTCTATTCTATTCTATTCTATTCTATTCTATTCTATTCTATTCTAATTCTTTCATCCATTCATTGGGTTCCATTCTGTCCCATTCCATTTTATTTCATGTTTTTAAAAAGCTTGTTGTGATAATAGACTTTTAAGATCTACTAAGTATTTGTAACTTCAAGTTTGACAAACCCTGTATTAGAAGAAGGGTGGTTTCTGGGCCCCAGTGCACCATATTCATTGCACATGAGCTGCCCTGGAAAGGTTTTTGTACACTGCAGAGGTTTAGCTCTGTAAGAAGTCACTGACCTGGGTCCTATTTCCCAGAGAAACTCCCCGCTTCTCACAAGTTGCTGTGATAATTTAATATGACAAATTACTGGATGAGTTAATTAGTTGGTCTGCCATTCTTCTCAAGCAGTGTATAGGAATTTTCACAGGTCTCCTCCCATTAATTCCTTACTCCAATTCAGTGTTCTTAACTGGGGGGCTTAATGGAAATGGAAGGGCATTTCTGATCCTGTTGATCTCATTCTGGAGGAGTTCACCTACGATGTCTGTGTCGAGGACTCTTCTTCCTTGCCACCAGGTAGTTGCTGAAGCTGGGCTTCTATATGGATCTCTGATACCTGCAATTGGAAGATGTTTTACTTGTGAATCTTTTTACGACATGGGACTTCTCACTCTACCAGCAAATGCTCAGGCCACACATATAATAATGCAGCCCTCATGGTGTTTCCTAGTGAGGGGCAAACTGCCTTCAGCATCACTAACCTGGCTTTGGAGATATATATATATATGTGTATGTGTGTGTGTGTGTGTATGTATGTGTATATATATTTTTATATATATATATATATATATAGAGAGAGAGAGAGAGAGAGAGAGAGAGAGAGAGAGAGAGAGAGAGGCCATAATTCTGATGTCCGTACTGTTCTAAATCTAAATATCTCTTTATTATAAGATTTATTTCTCTTCATCTGCTGATTCACACATTAACCAAACTTTTCCTCCTGCTTATTCATGATTTCTAGGTATAATATTTAAAATTAGTAACTAATCTTTCCCTCCATCTAGTAAACTCCTATTCATCCCTCAAAACACCAACTCAAATTTCACATCGTCTGTAAAGCTCTGATTCTCCTGGGCATAGCTGGCCCCTCCTGCCGGCATCAGTAACTACACATCTTCACTGTAGTTCTTATTGCATCTTATAATTTGTTCTGTCCTCCTCTTACATTAATTATCTTGAATACAGAACTATGTGATTTTCATTTTCGTGTCTTCAGTGCTTGGTCCTCAAATAAATGTTGAATAAGTGAACACACAAATAACTATTCTGATAGTCTCTGTTTTCATACCTGTTTGAATTTTGTTAAAATAATTTATTTCTGCATATAGCATTACAAATGTTAAATAGAAAACAACTAGGCTTTTTAATCACAAAACCATTTTTTGAAATCCCATAATTCAATCAATTTTAAAAAAAGGAGGAGATGCAAAAAGGAAGAAGACAGATTCTTCTTCTCTGGAAACCTGCTAGCAGTGGAGACCACAAATAACCATAGACTTTATTGAGCATTTATCATGAACCAGACTCTAGACTGGATGCTTTTCAGGCTTTACTTTTCATTCTGATGATCGCCTGTCTTGGTAGGCATTACTGTCTTCATTTGGCAGGTGAAAAACATGAGCACCAGAGAATCTGAGTGCCAACAGCATCATACTTCCTGGCGAAAGTGGTAGGGAGGCATGGGCTACTTTTAAAAACATAGATCTATCCCAATTCGTGCCACAACTTTAAATCTTGACTCTCAGAGAAAGCATTTAAAAAATGTGTCTGAATCATCAGCCTGGCCAACATGGTGAAACCCCATCTCTACTAAAAATACAAAAATCAGCAGGGCGTGGTGGCAGGCACCTGTAATCCCAGCTACTCTGGAGGCTGAGGCACAAGAATTGCTTGAACCAGGGAGGCGGAGGTTGCAGTGAGCCGAGATCGTGCACTGCACTCCAGCCTGAGTGACAGAGCGAGACTCTGTCTCACACACACACACACACACACACACACACACAAAAGTGTCTGAATCATAACAGCAAAAAATAATATGGGACTTGAGTTAGCTACACAGGTGGTACAATATAAGTCATGTGTGTATTTATTCTTAGATAGGGTTAAATATTGCCAATTTTTTGTTTTTATTTTTGGTTATGATAAAAATTTGAGGCATATGCACACTATGACCCCACGGATGGTGAGAGACCCATCTTCTCCATGCCTGATTCATTCCCCTTCTGTGTGAGCCCTCTGTCTTCACTCCCTGCCAGGTTTGTTTTTCCCGTTAGTCTCTGATGGAAACAACTAGTTACCTCCTCATATTCAGCTCCCCTTCTTTCTTGACCATAAGGACCCCGATTTTCGGCTGAGCAGATTGCCATCAGCTAACAGACTACATTCTCCAGCCTTCCTTGTAGATGGGTAAAGCTACCTGACTATGTTTTGGCCAATAAGATAAAGTGGAAGTGTTGGTGAAAAATGTAGGAAATGTGTTTAAAGGAAGAAAGGAGGTCCCTTCTTCTGTCCTCTATCCTGTTGTTTGGAACATGGATGTGATGGCTGGAGCTCTAGCAGTCATCTTGAATCAAAAGATAGTGGAGTGGAAAGGTGAATGGAATCTAGGTCCTTGTTGACTTTGTGGAACCACTGTCTCAGCTCTGAACTGTCTACCTCTGGACTTCTTTCTTTCATGAGAGAATAAAATTGAGTGTCTTTAAGCCATTGTTAATTTGAGTTTCCTTCACAGGTGGCCATACCTAATCTTAACTGACGTAATTCTCAATGGCTCACCAGTGATTAGAACTTTCATGTGTCAGACTCCAAGGTGCTTGTTAGGTCCATGTGCTAAGTGCCTGGAGAAAGGTCTGACACAGAGTTGAGGGGGCTTAGAAGAGGGGACACTATCTCCTTCTGACGTGGCAGGACGTCTTCAAGCTTGCTAGCATACCTTGGCTCTGGTTTCAAGGTGAGCTCTTGGCCTTGAGGCTCTAATACTGCAACTTGGACTATAAAAGATGTGTTCCACTCACTCAGTTCTCTGTGGGGGCCTAGCCAGGGATGCCCTTACTCTACTTGCTCAGTTTTTGGCTACCTCACAGCTTTCTCTTGTCCAAGAGCAGTGTATGGAAATGTAACTCCTCACCTGAGACTCCGTAAGTAGAATAAGCCAATTGTGCTGAGAGACACTGTCTCCTAGGATGCTGGTAACCTGTGGTCATAAATGACAGAATGGGAGCTACAGAATCCAAGAGGTCGAAGCTAGAAGAGACTTTAGAGATACCTAATCCAGCTAATTCATTTGGCAGATGAGGAAATGAGGTTTTTAGAAGTAGCTTGACACAACTAGAAAGGGATGAAGCTGTGACAATTTTCCAGTTTGTTTTTCTTTCCCAAACATGGTACCTGATCCTGCCTGGTGTATTAGTCCAGATTTCCCAAGAAGCAGATGCCGAGACAGGATTAAGTGTGCGAGAATTTTCTTAGGGGAAAGGCCTGTGTTAGAAAAAATGGAGAGGGAGATGGAACATCTTGGGGCAGTTGGCAGACGATGAAACAAGTTTGCCCACAGGTGAAGGAGAGAGGGGAGGAAAGTCAGGTAGAAGCATCCTACGTAGTTGTGCAGCCTAAGGAAGGCCCATTACGGCTGCTGGTGAGTCTCTGAACCACAGTTGGCTATCACAGGAGTTCGGTGTTGCCAAGAAATAGATTGGCCGTGGTATTCCTGATACCAGAACAGCCCGTGAGAAGCATGGTCTCTACACAAATGCAGCAGTGGATTTCAGAGTTGGGTCCCTTGGTCAATCACACTTCCCAGTTAGGGGTTGCATTTTTGGTAGTTGCCACACCTGACATTGATCCTCTGCCAACCCTTTTATGCCCTGGAATATATTTTATAATTGTATGCATCTAATTTAGTGTTTTGATAGACTAGTAGGCAGACAGGTATATGAGGAGTTTCTTAGTTATGAATGTTTACTTAGGCTACCTTTTTGTGTGAGGCCTGACATGGCTGAATCTTCCATTTCTTGGGACTTACAGTGGATTTTGAGCCATGCAGTTGAAGCAATCAAGGTGCCCTTTGATGGGGGAGAAGTCCACTCATCGAATCTGATAGACATGGACCCAAATGTGAACCATGAAATGAAAGCAATTGTGCATTACCTGTCTTTTCCACATTTGTTTGGGTGCAAGTCAACATAATTGCTGGTTAAACTCACCGACATTTTCTAGAAATTGTATTAAGACCTTATGCAAATTCCAACTGCAAGCATGTGGCTAACTTTTGACAAAGATTATTTGCTTGACCACACTTTAGTCAGGCTCCTGAGCTTCTGCTAGGTCCATCTGTGCACTTCCTTATAAAATCTAATTTTAGCAAGAACTCTGCTAAATCAGTTTAGCAAGAACTCTGCTAAATCAGTTTAGCAAGAACATTCATCCTTTTGATATCTGCTCACTCTTGATATCTGATCAGATTTTTCATCCTCCACCATCCCACAGGTAATGAAGGATCACCTTGGCCTGTCTTCAGAAAGAATTCTGGTAGGTCAGTTTAGCCAGAATCTTTCTTACCGCAGTGTTATCTCAGTAATTTTCCACCTACTGAAAAACTGGGTGCTCTTTGGCTATAAACTTCCACTTGCCCATGCTGTATTCAGAGTTGAGCCCAATCTCTCTCTCCCGCTGCAGAATCCTGTTGTATTGGTTCCAATACCTATTGCAATGGTCCTGAATAAAGTCTACCTTACTGTGCTTTAACAAGAATCATTGAATAATGTTTTACTTTAACACTTTTCATCATTGGATTTCCATATGTTTCTCTACTTGCTCCTTTAAGCCAGGATGCAAGGTAGATGGGAAATATAAACATGTGTTGTGTCCTGTGCCATCTGATCCTCGCATGGCATCCACAAAGTACTGCAGAACACCTGACAGAATGGGGAGACCCATGACTCTCAGGAGGCTGTGGGCATTTCTTCTGCTCAGCAGCTATCCAGCATTCTCCAGAACCAGAAATCATGTACGCTGAGCATGGCCACCCAGTGGAAATGATAAAGGCCTTTGCTTGGGACTGGGCCAGATGGGAAGAAGCAAATCCTGTAACAGCAGGACCTGCCCACCTAAGTCCCTGTGTTCTGTTCCCTCATGCTGGTGTTCATATTGCCAGTAGGAAGGATTCATTTACTTTATATTCAGTCAACATTTATAGCACACCACATCTGCGGGGCCATAGAGATGACTAGGACGTGGTTTTTATCCTCAGGTAGTTCACAATGTGCTGGGTTGATGGAGGCCTAAGCAGAGAAGTAAATTCAGTGTGCAGAGCAACGTGAGCAGAGAGAGTGCAAGAGCCATCAAGAAAGAGAATATGCTGCCATAAACTTGAGGAAGAGCACCTGAGTCAGACTGCAGGGCTCAGGAGAGACTTTCTGGAATAAGCCACATCTGAGTCTTAAAGGAAAAGCAGAAGTTCACCAGTGAAGGATGGGATGGGAAGGAGACTCACAGCCTTTAGAAAAACAGCCTTGTGTGTGCAGGAAATGACAGGAGGTAGTGTGGTCCTCGGACCATTAGGGGTCCCTGAGGTTTTCTCAGGGGGTTCACGAGGTCTCCTTCTCATTCTCTTCTGGGTTTACAGTGGAGTTTTCCAAGTGTGATATCGCAACAAATTAAACGCAGAAGCAGATCTGAGAATCTAGCTGTCTGTTATTTGGCCAAACATTTAAGAGATTTACAAAAATATAAAACAAAACTGCTCTTTTTAGTAATGTTTTCTTTTGGAAAATATAGCTGGTTTTCGTAAAATATATGTTAAAATTTAACATGTAATTGGTCTATTGCTATTAGTTTAAAATAGATAAAATACTTTTTTAATTTCTCAGTTTAAATTTCTAAAACGGTGATGAACCAATGGATATAACTTATATAAACAATAGTTCTTTACAATCCTCAGTAAGTTTTTGACAGTGTGAAGAGGTAACATTACATTGCAAAAAAGCCTTTGCATGTGTTCTATAGGGTCTTGAGATGGGGAGATTTTCTCGGATTCTACAGGCCCAGGGAGTCCCAAGATTCTTGTAAAAGGAAGGCAAGAGGGTCAAAGTCAGAGAAGGGATGGGACCATGGAAACAGGGATCTGAGTGATGTGCTTTGAAGATGGAGAAATAGGCCAAGAGGCAAGAAATACAAGCTGCCTCTAGAAGCTGGAAAAGGCAAGAAATGATTTCTCCCCCGGAGTCTCCCAAAAAAACGCAGCCTTGCTGCCATCTTGATTTTAGCCCATAAAACCCATTTCCAGACTTCTTTTTTTTTTTTTGAGATGGAGTCTCGCTCTCGCTCTCTTGCCCAGGCTGGAGTGCAATGGCGCAATCTCGGCTCACAGCAACCTACGCCTCCCAGGTTCAAGCGATTCTCCTACCTCAGCCTCCTGTGTAGCTGGGATTACAGGCACCAGCCACCATGCCCAGCTAATTTTTGTATTTTTGGTAGAGATGGGGTTTCGCCATGTTGGCCAGCCTGTTCTCGAACTCCTGCCCTCAGGTGATCCACCCACCTAATTCTTCCAAAGTGCTGGGATTGTAGCTGTGAGTTTGTGCTATTTTAAGCTATTAAAGGTTGCAGTAATTTGTTACAGTAGCAATAAGAAACTAACACACCTCTTCCCTAACTTGATCAACATCGAGTCCCTCAAATAATCCACTACTGGCAGGCTCACAATCAAGCTCAATTCCTCTCAAGTATGTCTCCTAGCCCATCTCTGCTTATAACTAGTTCCTTCTTCATGGATTCTGGTGGATGAGAGCTTTTGATGTTGCATGTGTATATTGCATGTGGTAACCAAACAAAGATAGGCAGTTTGGGGCCCTCTATACCCTCACATTTTACTCTACCACTCCCAGAGTTATTTACATTTCTATTTTGCACTTATTTCATTTTAATAATAAAGTTATAGTCGTTGAGAAATTTATAATTTATACATTTATTTAACAATTACTTATTGAGCCTCTACTATACTCTAGGCAGTGTTCTAGACACTGAGGATAGCATGATGAAGAAGACAGATATGGCCCTGCTGTCATGGGGTTACATTCTACTGGGCAAGAGAGACACTAAACCAGCAGGTCGATACACAGCCCACATCATAGCAGATTGTGATGAAGTTCTGGGAAGGAAATGAGTGTAATGAGGTAATTGAGGGTAAATCGGGATGTCCTTATGAACAAGTGGCCAGAGAAGGCCAGGGAAGGCAGGTAGAATTTAAGTCAAAACCTGAAGTCTTCAAAAGAATCAGTTACTTGAGGCGCTGGAGAGCTTTGGTATCAGTATTCCAGGCAGAGGGAATAGCAAGTACAAAAAGCTGCAAGCTGGAAAGAGCTTGAGGTGTTTGAAGAACCGAAAGGAGACCAATGTGGCTTCAGCTAGTGAGAAAGGAGGTGCATGATGGAGAGAGAGAAGCCCATGGCTGGTTGATGATGACCTTAGATGATGGAGGGGAAGAACAAGGAGTTTGGATTTTATTTTAAGTGCAATGGGAAGCCACTGAGATTTATTCACACTGGAGACAGAGATTATCTGAGTTTGTTTTAAAATATGACCATGGCTGGGCACAGTGGCTCATGCCTATAATCCCAGCACTTTGGGAGGCTGAGGTGGAAGGACTGCCTGAGGCTAAGAGTTTGAAACCAGCCTGGGTAACATAGTGAGACTCTGCATCTTCCCCTTGTCTCTCCCCCCGTCTCTCCCCTGCCACACAAATATGACCCTGGCTGGCTGCTTTGTGCAGAATGGATCATGGGAAAACAGGAGTGGCAGTAGGGAGACACATTCAGCTTGCTTCTAGTAGTCCAGGGAAAGATAATGGTGGTCGGATTAGGAGAGTGACCAGAGAGATGGATATAAATTATCCAGCTCATGACATCCTTTGGAGAATGTGCTTATGGGTCTAGGTGACAGATTGGATGTGTATATGGAAAGGTAGGGGGAGGGAGGGATTGAGCAAAAGGCAATGATTTAGGATGACTCCTAGGTTTTTGGATTCATGATGGTTTCTTTTACTGAGATGGAAGAGGGACAGATCTTGGAAGCAGAGCAGGAAATCATGAGTTTTCCATTGGAAACGCTGAATTTGTAGCTGCCTGCAAGAGACACAAGTGGAGATGTCAGGTAGTCAGTGGGATAAATGACTCTAGCTCAGAGTGGGAGGTCAGGGCTAAGAGTAAATTTGGGAGTCATAAAGACTTTGAGGCCATTTTGAGCCCAGCAGCCTGAATGAGATCACCAAGAAAGAGATGGTGGAGACTAAGAAGCGATGCAGAAACAGAGCTGAGTGTGCTACATTTAGAATTCGGACAGGTGTGTTGAAAACGTGCCAGGCTACGTGCTGGTGCTTGGAATGCATTATTTTACTCAACTATTTAGTTTCATCTTGTTCCACATTGTTATTGGTCATCTCTATGCTTTGCTTCTCAAACATGACCATAATTAGGTAATCTAGCCCACACTTCTTAAGTATTCCTGTTGGCTGAATTGTACAATGGAGGAGTGTCTTAAGACTGAATTTTCACACAAGAGAGCTACTCCCTGGGACTTACTGTGAAAAGAAAGAAACAAGACAGGTAGCTGGGGAAGAGAGTGAGGCATTTGACTGAGAGAAATCCTCCTCACCTCACTTGACAGGAATGTTTGGCAACGAACCCAGTTCCATGCAGAAGGAAAGCCAGTAGCTTAATTGTGACTGGAGACATTTGGGGCATGCTGCCTTCTTCTGAATATTTGGCTAATTCAGTTACTGACCTTAAACAAGTACAGAAACAAAGGATCAGTATGGTGTGTGTGACAGATCAAAAAGGAGGAATTTCTGCCTTTCCTTATCTCGCCTCCACTTTCTCCTCAATCAAGATGGCACCTATGAATATAACTATATAACTTTGCCCTCAAGTTAATCCCATAGATCAGAAATCATGGAACAAGTCTCCTTGGAATCCAAATTATAAGTGAAATTGGCAGTTTACCTTGCAAGGAAACCTATATAGTGATTAACTCAACACGTGAACTTTGCTGACATCTTGGTCCAGCCAGAAGTGTCATGTGCTGACATCCGTAAAAGGCAAGAGAATGGACATTGACATCCTTAATGGACATTGACAAACCTAAATGTGGATGGAGTGCTTCTGGTAATAAACACCGGACTTTCGCCACCCTTTCTTCCTTCCTATATAAAGCCTTTAAAATATTTATACTTGTGTGCCATCTTAATAGGAAGAAATACACGTTCTATATTACAGACCAGGACATTTCTGAATTCTGTATATTTTCCATTTTTTTCCTTCCAGCAAAGTCTGTTCTCATCCATAGCAGACCCATGTTTTAGCCTTTTTTTCTTGGTGGCTGATGACCTTGGGCAGGTCATTTAGGCTTGCTGGGCCTCAGTTTCTTCATCAGTTAAAAAAATGGGAGACCAAGAAGGATGATGTAAATGTTAGTGAATATTCCAGAACTCTGTGGAGATTCTGTAAAAATTGTCTACACAAGGCCAAGCACGTTGGCTCACGCCTGTAATACCAGCACTTTGGGAGGCCAAGGTGGGTGGATCATCTGAGGTCAGGAGTTCGAGACCAGCCTGGCCAACATGGTGAAACCCCGTCTCTACTAAAAATACAAAAATTAGCTGGGCATGGTGGTGGGTACCTGTAATCCCCAGCTACTCGGGAGGCTGAGGCAGAATTGCTTGAACCCGGGAGGCGGAGGTTGCAGTGAGCTGAGAGCATGTCACTGCACTCTAGCCTGGGGGACAAGAGTGAAACTCTGCCTCAAAAAAAAAAAAGTCTACACAAATGAATGGAGAGTCCTTATAAAGGATATGGAAAGCCACTTGGAGGTTCGAGAGATCAGGTTGTTCTGGATCATCAGACAAAATATTCTATCAGGAAGTTGGTTTAGTTTGCAAGCTCTATATTGTGTTTATAAACAGTAAATTAGAAAATGTCCTCCAAATCAATTCTTTTAATTGAAATGATAGAGAAATAGCAAAGTTTGCAAAAGGATGTGAATTATTTCTGTAGCCAAGTTAGAGTTAGCTATTTTCATGTATTCTTTGAGATGTCATATGGAATGACAAATTTGGAGCACTTATTCAATAAACATTTATTGAGCACTGACTATATGCCACTGGGCTAAGCACTGGAGATTTTAAAAAGCTGAAAAGTTAGACAAGTTCCCTGCCCTCACAGAGGTCACAGCCTGGTGGAAGATACAGACAAAAAGAGAGCCAATCATGAACAATCTGGGAAGTGCTTCTGGAGAGGAAATAAGAGAAGGGTGCCTGATACCAATGTGGAGGTGAGCATGTCTGCTGGGGCTGCCATCACAAATACTACAGACCGGGTGGCTTAAACAACAGACATTTATTTTCTCACAGTTCTGGAGGCTAGAAGTCTGAGATCAAGGTGCCAGCTGATTCTGTTCTTGGTGAGGACTCTATTCCTGGCTTGTAGGTGGTGCCTTCTCATCGTGCCCTCTCAGAGAGACAGAGTGCATGAGAGCTCTGGTGTCTCTTCTTATAAGGTCACTAATCCTATCATAAAGGCCATATCCAACCCTAATTATCTCCCAAAGGCCCCATCTCCAAATAACATGACATGGGGCTTTGAGCTCAACATATGAATCTGGGGGAACACAACTTAGTCCATAGCAAGAGGCTTCTGGAGGAAGTGAAGTATAAGCTCCAACCTCCTGAAGGAGTTTACTGGGGAGAGCGGATTAGTATGGGGAGAGGTTGGGGCAAGAAGCAAGAAATATTTCAGTTGAGCATCCTAGATGACTTACTGTTGTCCTACTTTCTGGGCTTTTAAGCAGGATGTTCTTACTACCTGGGAGAGCCCTGCTTCCCAGCCTCCGCCTGATGACTTCTGTGCCTCTGCACTCAGATCGCCTGCTCACTTCCATCAATGTGCCCCCATCCCCAGGCAGAGATCATCTCATTGTCCTCCATGCTCCCATAGTAAATTTTGGTGCCTCTCTGGAGAACTCATTTTGATCCATTGTATCTCATATTTTCTTACATACAACTGTTTCCATATCATCTCATGAAGGAGGTTAGGGTCTTAGTTTTTTGGTGCCACCCCAGTAGTGCCTAGCACTGTGACATCATACACTGATCATTTAGCTTTTGCCTAGCTAGCAACAAACCATCCCCCAGACTTACTGGCTTAAAACAACAAATCTTTTATATAGCTGAGGGGTCCATGGGTTGTCTGGGAGGTCCCTCTGGTTTAGGCAAGGGAAGGTGATCTTTGCTGGTCTCTTTTAAGTGTGTGTGTGGCTAGCAGGCAGGCAGGATAGTAGCCGTCAGTCAGCCTCATGCGCACGTCTGGCTGTTGGCAGTCTGTAAACGGGGGCACCTTGACTTTCCTCAGTGTGGACCTCTGTGATGCAGCCTCTGCTTATGTTTTCGATCCTTTGGCCATGAGCCTTCTGGACCAACCTTCCTCATTTGTCTATTTCCCCTCAGAGGGCAGGGACCACGTCTGGTTTTTCTGCTGTTTTGGTCAGTGTTGTTCGACTCTTATTGAATAAATAAATGAAGAGTCTTTGTGCAGCTGGCCAAAATAAGCAACCCTTGCTGACGGGGATAAGACTGAGAACTCCACGTGCCATTTCACACCTCTGGGACAAACGACCTGCTCCACGTGCCTCCACACCCCTAGTCCACCTCTTCCTTCAATGCTCAGTTCAGGGGTCATCTCTTTGGAAGCTTTTCCTTATTCCTTAGCCAAATTAATCAGGCTGTCTTCTGTGTTTCCACAGCACTTTGGACAAACCTCTATTTTAACAAGAGTCACATGATTCCGAATATTGTTTCTGGGTCTCATAACCCAACGACGAAGTCTTGGAGGTGGTATTTTAAGGTGGAAGCTCCTCTTAACATGCCAACTGCATGCCTGTGTCTGCATCCTCTGTTCAATCAGTTACTACCATCTGACTTTGGGTTTTCCTCTATAAAATTAAGTTCATTCAAAATATTTATGCTACAAGTACTTATCAAGTTCCTACTGTGTGCCAGACACTAAGTTGAAACTAGGGATGATGGGAAGCTTCTAATGCAGAGGACGAACAAATAGTGAAACACACACAAATAGGCATCTACTTACAAAACTGTAATATATGATGTAGAGAGAGTAACAGGGGACCCATTGAATAGGGTGGCCAGGAAGGCCTCTTCTGGGAGGTGACTTTTATTTGAGACCAAGGACAAAGAGAAGCCAATCATATGAAGGTTGGATAAAGTGTTTTAAGCAGCGGGGGTGGCATGTGAAGGGAAAGTTGAAGCTAAGGGAAAGAGCCAGTGATGGAAACTGCTGAAGGAAAGCTGATCTGGCAGAGAGACAAGGAGCAAGAGGGAGCCTTCTGGGATGGGTGTGGGGGAAGAGCTTTCTTGTGAATAGCTGTATCCTCTTTGCCTATGCAGGACATGCAATAGTTGTTCAATAAATACTTGTTGAATGAATGAATACATACTTGAAAGACTGAAATCAGTCCTGATCCTCAAAAAAGAGATGGGATGTAACAAGATAAGAAAGAATTTCCTGGGGTACATTTCTTTGTCTTCTTCACGGTGTTCAAGTTTTGGCCAACAGACTATGGCACTTGGGCCTATTCTCACGGGCTTGGCAACGTGGAACTCACCCCGTGAATGAGTTTGGTTGGTTCTTTTTATCCTTCTGCATGCCAGTTCCCTGTGTTGGGTGTTTGCTTCCGCAGGACACAGGGCTAGGACATCTTCTGGGAGCTACTGCATCACCAGACACCATCACTTTCGCCAATTTATCTCAATACCACTAATACTGCCGGCCTGGGCTGTCTCTCCAGTGACCTGGAGACTGCCACCACATGCTCTGTTCTGGATTTCACCTTACAACCCACCTCTACTGAGATACAAACTGGAGACAAATAGTGAGTGACAGAATCAAGTACTACACTCAGAAGTGCATCTGTTTCCCTGCTACTGAGGTTTTGTCACTGGGCCAAGCTGGTCTGCTGACCCTCTTTCCCTTAAGGTGAGAGCTTTCCCAGGAGGCTTCTCAGTCCCTTATGCAAATGTCCTGCTGGCAGCCCAGCCCACCAGCTCATTAAAGCTGTTTAGAGGTATTTGAGTCCCAGAGGTGGATACAGCTTAGGCTCAGACTGGGATGCCCAGTAGATCTGAGGCTACTTTCTGCTTTTCCTCCTCCTCCTTTTTTAAAAGCCTTATTTTATCTTCCCTCTCTGACGAAAAGTCTGGTAAAGGTGTTTGAGATATGGATTACCGATGCAACATAGTGTTTTACATCTGCAAGAGACAAATGTGTGAATTGAGGGATGAACTCCCTAAATATAGGAAGGGACATACATATTCTTGGATGCTCTTAAAACCATATGATACAGGCAACTCCATTTCACCCATGCTTAACTATTCTTTCATGGTACTGTGCTTGGTAGTGCTGAGGGAAGTGGAACTGAAGCAAACAGCAGCAGCTGTGCCAGGGAGAAAAACCTGGTAAGTCACTTTCAAGCCAAAAGGCACTTGGGTTGCTCTGTCCATGTCTCAGTAACAACCAAGTGTGCACAGTCTCTGGAGCCAGGCATGCTTGACGTGAAATCCCATCTGATCACTTACTAGGTTTATGAACCTAGAGGTCACATTGCCTCTCTGTGCCTCAGTTTCCTCATCTGTAGATGGGTAGAATAGTTAAGAGTGCTTGGCTTCTGAGTCAATTTCCCTCCCTTACGATCTCTGAGAATTTCAGCAAGTTCTTTCATCTTGTTGTACCTCAGTTTCCTCATCAAATGGTGACACTAATAATATACATATCTCATGGAGTTTTTGTGAGGATTATGTGAGTTGATACACAGGAAGCACTCAGAATGGTGGCTGTCACATAGTGAGCATTGCATGCCTATTTGCTATTATTGTTGACATTATTACTGCTAATGCCCACCATGTAGGTGGTTGTGAGAATGAATGGGATACAAAGCCCATAAAGAGCTGGCCTGGTGTCTGCTGAATTTCAGCCAGAGCTCCTATTCATCTAACAACGATGCTGTGTTCTGAGGATGGGAGGCTCCAGCACTAACTTCGATGTGAACTTCTTAAGCTGCAGTTTACAAGTTTAGGAAAGGGAGGGCTCTCATACTGGTTTTTTCACTTCCACAGACTCGCTCTCATGACCCAGTGTTCTCCAGGATCTTCAGTGAGGAATGTCAAAAGCTTTCATGTGTGTAGGAGCTGCCTTTAATCCCTGATAAGGGGAATAAAGAGAGGAACACAGCTGAGTGATATTAGAGCATGGTGGGTTTACAGTGTCATGTAAAGGGTGTTCTGATTTCTCTGCTCTATAAAACACCCTATATAAACTATAAAGTAAAATATTTGCAGTTTTACATACCCAGAAGTCCCGGGTGGGTAAGAGTGAAGCAATTTGGTAGATTTCCAAATCCACGAGGCTTTGGGGATTCTGGTTTTGCTTCACCTGATGCAAACCGATACTCTGGATTCTATGGAAAGCACATTTTTATGCTTGAGTTATTCCTAGTTGGGGGCTGGAGACCATGTTGGCTCTGGAGGAGCTTCAATAGAGGCTGCTGTGGCACTTTGAGGGAACAGTCGTTCAAGTTTCTGATAACTGGAATAGGAGAAATTTATAGAAATAAATTAAATGTTCTGTTTATATAAAAAGTAATTTTAAAGACACTTTTAGTGGGACTGTAAACTAGTTTAACCATTGTGGAAGTCAGTGTGGCGATTCCTCAGGGATCTAGAACTAGAAATACCATTTGACCCAGCAATCCCATTACTGGGTATATACCCAAATGATTATAAATCATGCTGCAGTAAAGACACATGCACATGTATGTTTATTGCGGCACTATTCACAATAGCAAAGACTTGGAACCAACCCAAATGTCCAACAATGATAGACTGGATTAAGAAAATGTGGCACATATATACCATGGAATACTATGAAGCCATAAAAAATGATGAGTTCATGTCCTTTGTAGGGACATGGATGAAGCTGGAAACCATCATTCTCAGCAAACTATCACAAGGACAGAAAACCAAACACCGCGTGTTCTCACTCATAGGTGGGAATTGAACAATGAGAACACATGGACACAGGAAGGGGAACATCACACACCGGGGCCTGTTGTGGGGTAGGGGGACGGGGGAGGGATAGCATTTGGAGATATACCTAATGTTAAAAGACGAGTTGCTGGGTGCAGCACACCAACTTGGTACATGTAAACATATGTAACTAACCTGCACGTTATGCACATGTACCCTAAAACTTAAAGTATAATAAAAAAATAAAAAATAATAATAAAAAAATAAAGACACATAGCTTCAAAAAATTTCTACTTTCAGCTGTTGGTATTCTGAGCCACTACGGAGACAGAGCAAACACTCTGTCAGAGTTTAATGATAAATTGATAGCTGAAGCTTGGAAAGGGTGGAAAGGTCTGATTTAATAAGACAATGGATAAGCCAAACACTCACCAATGGTGATTTACAGCTGCAAAGGGCAGGGTTTTAAACTCACCCTACACAAACAGTAACTTTTCAAAAGAAGACATACATGCAGCCAACAATCATATCAAAAAAAAGCTCAACATCACTGATGATTAGAGAATTGTAAATCAAAACCACAGTGAGATACCATCTCACACCAGTCAGAATGGCTATTATTAAAAAGTCAAAAAATAACAGATGCTGGTGAGGTTGTGGAGAAAAAGGAACGCTTATACACTGTTGGTGGGAGGGTAAATGAGTTCAGCCATTGTGGAAGACAGTGCAGAGATTCCTCAAAGACCTAAAGACAGAAATACCATTCAACCCAGCAGTCCCATTACTAGGTATATGCCCAAAGGAATATAAATCATTCTATTACAAAGACACATGAACACATATGTTCACTGCAGCACCATGCAAAATAGCAAAGACATGAAATCAATCTAAATGCCTATCAGTGATAGACTGGTTAAAGAAAATGTGGTACATATACATTGGAATACTGTATAGCCATAAAAAAGAACAAGATTATGTCCTTTGCAAGAACACGGATGAAGCTAGAGGCCATTATCCTTAGCAAAGTAATACAGGAACAGAAAACCAAATACTGCATGTTCTCACTTATAAGTGGGAGCTAAATGATGAGAACCACATGGACATATAGAGGGCAACAATGCTCACTGGGGCCTTTTGGAAGGTGGAGGGTGGGAGGAGGGAGAGGATCAGGAAAAGTAACTAATGGGTACTAGGCTTAATGCCTGGGTGATGAAATAATCGGTACAACAAACTCCCATGACACAAGTTTACCTATGTAACAAACCTGCACTCGTACTCTTGAACTTAAAATAAAAGTTAAAAAAAAAAACCTCATCCTAGTGAATTTTGTATCTAAAAAAGTAACTATCTGAAAAATTATGTTATTAGATAATACTTTAGACAATATATTTTGCTCATGTCACCCCAATAAGGTTACAAATCACCTGCTCCTTTGTCTTTTCTTTTTAAAAATGTTTGGCTCCAAATATGGTGTAGGAAACTTTTCCTTTCTACTTCTAATTTCCGAGATTCGCTGGTTGCCACCAGCTCTGGCTTCCTGGCTATGACTGAATGAAGTTCTGTTCAACTGCACATGCTCTATCACTCATCCTCACTGTCACCTCAAGGAGACATTTTGGGACATGGATTTCAGCTGCCCATGTGGGAGTTGAGTGGTTTTGGGGTTCTCTCTTCAGGTCTAGTTTCCCCTGTTGCCCTCTCCTGTCCACTCATTGGGCTATCACGTTGAAAGGAAAGCACAGTAATTTCTTGCTTATTCATTCACTTGGTGACCAGTGTTTCGCTGTAAGCCTCTGACGTGTGGAGTGCTAGGCTAGGCGGAAGGCCATGGTCCACGCAGGTGTGCCCTGCAGGAGGCCGCTGGCGGAGGCAGCTGGTGCTGCTCTTCCAGGTCGTGCCTCTACTTGGAGGAAAGGGCATCGTTGTGTAGCTTACACTGAGGAGCTCCATCGGCTAATGCAGGGCTCTGGTGAGAAGCACTGAGGGCCCATGGGAGAAGCTTAGTCTCAAGGAATATCTTAGTCTTGCTGCCATTTAGTCATCAAACACGATGGAAGTGGGATTTAGGGACTGAGGAGTTTTCTGCATTACTTTGGCCAAGCAGGGATTCTTTAGAACAACAACAGCCTCAGCGATGACAATGACAACAAACTGGCAAATTGTATTTTCCAAACTTGGCTGCAGCAATATCTTCATCCTGCACACTCTTCTCAAATGTGAACTTGCCACTCCCTCATCAGAAGGCAGAGTCCGTTTCTCTACTCACTTGGGTCCCATTATAGCTCTGACCAATAGAATACGGCAGATGTGGCACTGACACTTTCAGGCATATCCCTGACCTAGCCTGGCAGCCTCCGCTTTTAGCCACTGAGAGGTCAGTGGCCATGGAGGAAGCGAGACTCCACTGGGACATCTGTGTTCTGAGAGGCACAAGCCACGTGAGAAGGCTCTGGAGGATGAGATGCCATTTGAGAGGGGCCAGGAGATATGCCAAGGAGCATGGAAGGTGCAGACACCTGAGTGAAACAGCTCTCTCGGAGGGTCAGCCCTGGCATCGAGCCTTCAGAAGACTCCAGCCCTATCTAGACTCTGCCTCTATCCACACCAGAGCCCCAAAGCTGGAACTGCCCATCTGGAGCCTGTCAACCTACAGAGCCATGAGAGCTAATATATTGTTATTTCAAACCACCAAGTTTTGGGGGTGGTTTGTTATGCAGCAATGACACTGAAACACCCTCTCCCCTCCTGCCATTTCCTCTGAAAACAAAACTCCAGCTTAGTGCTCTTTTGCTTCTTGCAACTTTTTTTCCAGGAACTAGAGACATGGAGAAAGCAAGGAATATGAAGTGTGGTTGAAGTTTCAGTGTAATAGACTACTGGTAAGTGGTGTCCACATTTTTACACAAGCAGATTTTTGATCTCTACCTCTTTACTTCCTATTTCACCCCATTTCCACCTGTCTCACTCTTTGACACAAGATATGTGAGGGCATATGAACTCCATTCATTCATATATTTATGTGGTTGTTTTGTCAAAGGTGTGACAGTGACTAAGAGACTGGACACCTGGGAGTGAGGAATGAAAGACAAGGAAGCGCATCTTTACCCTTGTAAGACCCACCATTGCCCTGGAGACATGCATAGAGCAACAAATGATACCATAAGATACTGCCCCAGGAAAAGAATCTATAGAATACTTTTGAGGAAAGGATACTTTCAGAACCCCTCTCGAAGGCCACATGCAAAAGAAAACTCCAGGGGACCTTACTGGCTGAATCTACCCTGCCACATTCTGTGCCTGGGACACTCTCTGTTAGTGCTGCTTTGCAGTCTGTGAAGACGGGTATTATGGTCAACTGAGCACTGTCCACAGGTACAGTCTCGTGAGCAATGCTGAACTGGTGATGACTTCCACCCAGACCGTTTGCAGCCACTTCCCTTCCCAGTTTACCCGGACACCTCCAGGCTCAAGCTTCAGTGGCAGTTACAGTCTTACTTGATTTTCACTGCTTTGTATTGGTCACTAATTGTTTCATATAGACGCATGTCGTCTCCTTAATCAGGCTGCAAGCTTCTTGTGGGTGTTATTCTTCTCCTTTATTGAGTTCTAAGTGCTACTGGGCACTTAGAACTCAATAATTACTTAGCGGTTGGTTGAAGAATATGGAACTGAATTGGATGGATGACAGAAACTTATAAATCAAAAGGTTCAGATATTGAGAGAGTCTTAGAGATGTTTAGTCATTGGCAGAACTCTTAGTAGCCGTTAGGCATGAACTTCAATCCTTAACTACATAATCTTCACAACTCAATCAGCTGGATGACCTCATTCTTATTTTATAGCTGGGGAAACTGAGTTTTAGAGGGTGAATTACCCTGGTCAAGATCATGTAGCTATGTAAGATGTAGGACTGGATATTGAGTACTGCAATGTTCAATGACGTTGCAACTCTGAGGTCCATACTTCTACCATGACACTCTACTGCCTTAACTTTGGAGTCTTATGTGCCCATCAGATGGATCGTCTGTCAAATATATTGTGGTTTTTGTGTGTGTAGTCTTCCAATTTCCCCATGTTTCCCCATACTTTCCAAAGTTGTAAAGTGTATCTGCATGGACCTAACTTTAGCAATCTCTTATTTCCAGTCCCTAACTTCGTTTGGATGTCATATCCAAAACTTTGGATCCAATGTGTATATTTCTTGTGGAGGCAAAAAATGCAAGCCTTCCAGCATCTGTTATTTATAATTGCTCTGCATCAAATTACAATTTTGGATTTAAATTTGAAAAACTACATTTCAGTACCAAGGTTTTGATGTGGAAATGAACAAAGGTAAAAAGTAACTGATGCCCTTTATACTTTTTTTTAATAGAGGGAGATGTGTAAAAACATTCAAAATCAGAAGGTGTCCTGCTGCTTGTTCTGTCTTTGGAGGGGACTGTGGAATTTCATCATTGTGCTGCTCTTTAGGACTAGAATTTACACATGGCATCCTAAATCCAGACATTGAAACCTCAACATTTTACCTCAGGCACTGTCTGATCCATGTTCTCTGTCTTCAGTGGTTGCAGCAGTTCTCTGCTGCAGCTAGCTCAGCTCCTGGTTGGGAGACCAAGCGGAAGCCAATCCCATATGCCTTCATTTCCCTATCAAGTCCTTTGATCGGCATGTCTGTCCTTCTAAGTCAGATTAAGAAATCATTGGTTGAGGGAAGTTAATACAATAAGAAAAAGACTAGCTGGACAGAAACATGGATAAAAGATGTAATCAGGATGTGTTAGTCTGCTAGGACTGCCATAACAAAATACCA
This sequence comes from Homo sapiens, assembly GCF_000001405.40. Taxonomy (NCBI): domain Eukaryota; kingdom Metazoa; phylum Chordata; class Mammalia; order Primates; family Hominidae; genus Homo; species Homo sapiens. The sequence goes on along the minus strand of NC_000008.11, from coordinate 116,595,676 downwards.
CAGGCTGGGTGGCTTCAACAAGAGAGATTTATTTCTTACAGTCTGGAGGCTGGGAAATCCAAGATCAAGGTGCCAGCAAGGTAGGTTTCATTCTGAGGCTTTTTTTTTTTTTTTTTGCTTGTAGGCAGCTGCCATCTTGCTGTGTGCTCACATGAGCTCTTCCTTGAGCATGCACAGAAAGTGTGGTCTGATGACTTTTCTTTTCTTTTTCTTTTTTTTTAGAGACAAGATCCAGGCTGAAGTGCCATGGTGAGATCATAAGCCACTGTAATCTCAAACTCCTGACCTTAAGCAATCCTCCTACCCTCAGCCTCCAGAATAGCTGGGACTACAGGTGCATGCCACCATGCCTGGCTAATTCTTTGTTTATAGAGATAGGGGCTCATTATGTTGCCCAGCTGGTCTCAATTTCTTGGCTTCAAGTGATCCTCCTGTCTTGGCCTCCCAAAGTGCTAGGATTGCAAGTATGAGCCACTGCACCTGGCCTGATGTCTCTTCTTGTATGGATACTAATTTTGTTGGATCAGGGCTCCACACTTATGACCTCCTTTAACCTTAATTACTTCCTTAGAGTTCCTATCTCCAAATAGAGCTACACCGGGGGTTATGGATTCAACATATGAATTCTGAGTGGGACACAAACATTCAGTCTGTAACACAGGGCATTCACAGCAAGGGTAATACAAATTGTCAGTATACATGTATTATTATTTTAAACAATAACAACAATAATAGCCAACATTAATCTGGGGCTTACCATATTCCAAGGATTGTTCTAAGCACTTGGATTACTATCTATTTATTCATGTACTTCTTGTAGGACCCTTACGATGAGGTAGTTTCCATTGTTTTCCCATTTGACAGAGGAGGAGCCTGATGCACAGAGAAGTCAGACAACTTGTCCAGGATCACGCAGCTAGGAAAAGGCAGCATCTGGCCCTGAGCCTGTGCTCTCAACAACTCTCTAAGATACTTACGCTCAATCATAGGTACAAACCGGAAGAAGACACCAATGTTTTAGCTATTGGCTTGGTAAAAATTAAAAAGCTTGATATATCTAGTGCTGGCAAGGGAAAATGGCATTTAAAAATATTTTTAAATTTTTAATTTTTTTTGAGGCAGAGTCTTGCTCTGTCACCCAGGCTGGAGTGGTGTGGTATTATCACAGCTCACTGCAGTCTCAAACTCCTGGACTTAAGAGATCCTCCAACTTTAGCCTCCTGAGTAGCTGGGACTACAGGCATGTGCCACCACGCCTGGCCAATTCTTTTATTTTTTTGTAGAGTCTGGGTCTCACTATATTGCCTAGGCTGGTTTCTAACTCCTGGTCTCAAGTGAGCCTCCTACCTTGGCCTCCCAAAGTGCTGGGATTACAAGCATGAGCTACCGTGCTCAGCCTCAAAGAAAGTGGCATTTTTATGCACCTTTGTGGAAGTGGAAACTTTTGAAAGGCAGGTTGTCACTATCAATATCGAGTATGTATGCATTTATACTTTAAGCCAGCAATTCTCTTTCTGAGAATTTACTTTATTGATATACTTAACAGCAAACTACTTAAGGTAGTTTGCTGATGGCATCTCTGTGGGCAGTGTGGCCTCATTCACTTCTATTGATAACAAAATTATGCCAAGATATCAGTGCACAAATGTTTATTGCTGCATTGTTTGAATTAACAAACAAAACCCCAAAACCTGGAGTCAACATAAATGTCAATCGATAGGGCAAAGATGAAATCAATTATAATAATTTATATGATGAAATGAGGGGGGTTGGTCCATGAGCACTGACATGGATATATTACAAACACGTACTCATAGGTTGTGTTAGTTTGCTAGTGCTGCCATAACAGAGTAACACAGACAGGGTGGCTTAAATCACAGCCATCTATTTTCTCACAGCCATCTATTTTCTCACAGTCCTGGAGGCTGGAAGTCCAAGATCAAGGTGCTGGCAGTGTTAGTTTCCTCCCAGATCACTCTCATTGGCTTGCAGATGGCCATTCCCTGGCTGGCTCTTCACATGTCTCCCTCTGTGCAAACACACAGGGATCTCTTTGGGTATCCTAATTTCCTCTTCTAATAAGGACACAAGTTAGACTGGATTAGGGCCCACCTGATGGCCCCATTTTAATTACTTCTTTAAAGGCCCTATTTCCAAATAGAGTCTTTTTTTGCGGTACTGGGTGTTAGGACTTCAACATATAAATTTTAGGAGAGACACAATTCAGCCTATAATACAGATGAAAAAGAAGGCTGGATAACTTTGTGATTAGCATAATCTCTTATGTATAATTGTAAAAGATATGTAAAGACTGGTATAGGCATTGCAATTTTTTCTGCAATGCTCTCCAAGGAACTCTTAAAATTTTTTAAAAAAAGAATAGAGATAGAACCCTGCCATGCTCTACCCAGACTGGATTCAAACTCCTAGGCTCATGTGATCCTCCCGCCTCAGCCTCCTGAGTAGCTTGGGATTGCAGGCACACGCCACTGTGCCCAGCTCCTCTCCAAGGAACTCTAGGCTTACTTTTGGGGTAAAATAACAGAATGAGTTGGGAGTGTGGTTGAGGCTAAACTCCTATTTACTCTTATACCTTTCCGTAATTAATATTCTAATCATGTGGAAGCATTGCTTTTTATTTTATTGTTCAAATGTCAGCAAAGGCTACCTAGATAGCAGGATTATAGATTTAAAAAATGTTTGCCTTTAATTTTTCTGATGGAAAACTTCATTAATATTATTAAAATAAAAAGATATATTCTAAAAAAGCAATAATAAGATAATTGAGGGGAAATGGCAGCATGTATGCTGGGAGATTTGCTGGTTTATGGTGAACTCTCCTTGCTTTCAGTGTGCTGTTGGTAAACAAATGGTCTTTGAAAACCTTCTATCAAGTGTCATGATCCATGGTCCCAACCCCATTTTTTTCAGATATTATAAAATTTTCATGAAGGTTAAGCTATGTTAGGAAAATGTTGTGCCTTCTTTTTATTGGAAATAATCCAGAAAGAAAAAAAATTTCAGCAAACTTCTATCTACTTTCTATTGATCTGCTTTAGGGATTAAACATAGCAAATTATTAATCACTGCCCATCTTCTGTTACCAGCAGGCTCTTGGGTCACCTTCTCAGATCAACAGTTGTGCTCATCGAATGTCCAAGAATTTTAATATTTGTTCAAATGAATGGGATTAGGAGGAAAAATCTACTGCAAATGAGATGCTACACACCTTTCTCCAAAGTGAAATCTCTATCTTATCACTTGCTCCTTGGTTTTGACATATTTCTGCTTCCCTCTAATAGCAAAAAGTCCTTTAAATTGAAATGTTTTAAAACTTTGATCTAAGAAGAAATGAAAGAACTTATATTTATTGAGGGCCTACCAGGTACTGAATGCATTACATATATTCTCTCACTTGATCATCACAGTTACCCTAGGAAGTGAGTATTATTATTTCTCATTTGCAGATAAGAAACAGAATCAGAGAGATGGAGGAACACTTCCAAAGTCTAGCCACTGGGTATGTGTGGAAGTAAACTCATTACCAGGCCTTTGGATTCACAAGTGCATGTTCATCCCGGCTTCTGCCAACAGTTCACCAATAAGGTTTCTGAAGAGCCCTCCAGCTCCCAGACTTTGGGGCTTAGTGAGATGGGGCAGGACAGCAGCCCGAAGGCCTGGGTTTCCCTTGGAAACAGGAAAATAGAAAACTCTTCACTTGATCCAAGAGAGATATTGGTGAGAACCTATGAAACGATGAAAAAAATGAGGCCCAGAAAGGCTTTGTGAATTTTACTCTTATTTATTTCCCAATTTGTGTTTTTTTTTTTTGCAGATTTATGTTTTTATTATTTATTATTATTATTATTATTTGAGAAGGAGTTTCACTCTTGTCACCCAGGCTAGAGTGCAGTGGCACATGATCTCGGCTTACTGCAACTTCTGCCTCCGGGGTTCAAGCAATTCTCCTGTCTCAGCCTCCTGAGTAGCTGAGATTACAGGCACCCACCACCACTCCCAGCTAACTTTTGTATTTTTAGTAGAGACAGGTTTCACCATGTTGGCCAGGCTGGTCTCCAACTCCTGACGTCAGGTGATCCACCTGTCTCAGCCTCCCAAAGTGCTGTGATTACAGCCAAGCCCAGCCTCTTTTTGTCGATTTAAAGAATGAAGTAGCAAGCTCTGCAATGCAGGAAGGTAGTTTGCCGATGGCGTCTCTGTAGGGAGTGAGGCCTCATTCACTTCTGTTGATTGACTGCCTAGATATATGAGTACTTTAGTATCATCTTGTGTTTTTCTTTCAAGGTTTCATGGAGAAATTAAATTGTAAGAATCCTCATTTATTTTGTGTATGTTCTCATAGCAAAAAAGTAAAAACAAAATACAGAAATGTAAAACAGAAAATGAAATCCTAGTGTGTAGTAAGTAACTCCATCTTGTAAAAAGGCTCCATCTCACATTTCAAAAGGCATCGTGCCAACAGGGACCAGATGTTTGCCTAATCAACAGAGACAGAACCCAACCAGATAAAGAAACAACCAGGCAAACTCTTAGCTTTCAGTCCTCTCCAGAGGGCAATATGGTCATAAAAAGAGCAAGACTTATCAGCTTGTGATGGCCATCTTTATAGACCTTGTCTCGCTATCACTTATGATCAGCGCCCAGCATCTACCACCAAAGGCTCTGCCCAAATCAAAGACTTGCAAGACTCTGATGTTGGTCCAGATCAGGGCAGGACACTCTCCTTGTACAGGTCACTTGCCTTGGACTGGTTTGTTAACCCCTTTTTTCCTATCCCCTTTTCTCTTGAAGTTAAAGATTACTTTGTTTGATGGGGAATGTGTAATCTATGACATTTATATATTGATTAGGTATACTATTATATGGTACTATACTATATATATGTATATGATTTGCAATATTGACTGACCTATGGAGAGACTTGGGCCTGTGTGCCCATGGCTCTGACTACTGAGTGAATGAGTAACACTAAGGAGAACTGCCTCCTTGGGAACTCCAGGAAGTCCATGGGTTTTTGTTTTGTTTTGTTTTGTTTTGTTTTGAGACGGAGTTTCACTCTTGTTGCCCAGGCTGGAGTGCAATGGTGCGATCTCAGCTCACTGCAACCACCACCTCCTGGGTTCAAGCGATTCTCCTGCCTCAGACTCCCAAGTAGCTGGGATTACAGGAATGTGCCACCACACCCAGCTAATTTTGTATTTTTAGTAGAGATGGGTTTCACCATGTTGGTCAGGCTGGTCTCAAACTCCTGACCTCAAGTGATCCACCTGTCTCAGCCTCCCAACATGCTGGGATTATAGGTGTGAGCCACCGTGCCCGGCCAAGAGCATGGCTTTTATGATTGAAACAGCATCAGTAAAACTCTGACCTCGTGGAAAAACACAAATGAGCACGGATCTGGTTGTGTCTGACCTTGGTTGCTCACCACACCTAGGTAATGTCTCACTCCAAAAATAAAAGTTTGGGCTATAACCTGCCAAATATTTGCCTGTGATATAAAGGAATATACCCCATGCCAAGCCATACTGAAGCCTGAGGCAAAAGAAAAAAATCAGTAATACAGATCTTGTCTTTATTTAAAATTTTAATGTTTTGTTCATCATCAATTTTTTTGCATTACTTTTTAAAAACATTGCATTGGAATATTATTTATCTTGATTACTGAATTTTTTGGCATTTCTTAAATTTTATACCCGAGGTGAATTCTGTTATTGTCCCTCATTAATCTCACCCTAACCTTGACCCTGGAAAATACACCTTGTTATTAAAAAGGTTTTTTTTTTTTTTTGTGGGGGATGGGGTGGAGGCTTGTTTTACAAAATAAAGAATCATACTATAATTGGAGCAGTTTACACTTGGATAGCACTTACTATTTATTTATTTATTTATTTTTGAGACAAGGTCTCGCTCTGTAGTCCAGGCTGGAGTGCAGTGGTGTGATCTCTGCTCACTGCAACCTCCGCCTCCTGGGTTCAAGCAATTCTCCTGCCTCACCTCCAAAGTAGCTGGGACTACAGGCGTGTGCTAACTCCTGGCTAATTTTTGTATTTTCAGTAGAGATAGGGTTTCACCATGTTGGCCAGGCTGGTCTCAAACTCCTGACCTCAAGTGATGCATCTGTCTTGGCCTCCCAAGGCGCTGGGATTACAGGCGTGAGCCACCGCGTCTGGCCACTTACTATTTAATTCTATAGAATTACCATTTTTCTTGCTTTACCTTTGTTAACTCAATCCTCATAACAGTAACAGTTCTAGGAAATTGGTACTGTTTATATTGTTTCCATTTTGTAGATGGAGAAACTGAGGCATAGAGTTAAAGTGCCCAAGGCCACAGAGGAGGTAAAGAGCAGAGCTGGAATTTGAACCCAGGCAGCCTTGGCTCCTTCTAATCTACCAAGCAATTCTCTCTCTCTCTGTTTCTGTCTCTCTCTCTCTGTCTGTCTCTCTCTCTCTTTCTCTCTTTACACATACTGTCCCGTTATCTATATTTTTTCTTACTCTATCATGGACATCTTTCAATTTCAATACAGAAGACTCTACCCCATCCTTGGAGTCCCAGTATAAATGGAAATAGCAAGGGGGAAAACAAAAGTAAAACCTCAAACATCTCTCAATAGCACCTTGACAACCCCTCCAGTTTAGCCAGCATATTTCCTGGTCCCTGCCCTAGAAAGACTATTTCTCTCTAATGGACTTTTGACCATTGTGACTGTAGCTTCTCCTCTTTTCTGCCAGTGCTCTTATTTTGAAGATAATTGACTTAAGCCAGCAATTTGGCTGCTGTGTATGCAGAGCAAGCCACCTCTTCACAAGCTGAGGGAAAACATTTGGAGCACAGATTGCAAAGCACCTGAATTTGAAATGTTTATTTCTTGGCTGGCTTTTATTTCCTTCCAACTATCAAAGGAACTCTGGCTGAAGTTGATGAGTTAATCACTTGTCTAATTTCATTTCTTAAATCCTGGTTATTTTTAAATGATAAGTAACATGATTTACTGCCCTTTTTGATTTAGAAATCTGTTCAAAATTCAGAGGGGTGTCTACCTCTTTGTTAGAACAGTCTTTGGATGCTTTTTCTTTGGCCTTCTGTGATAATTAAATGCTTATGGTTCTTTCATCTGAAATGCAGGCTGATTATTGATATAGTTCATGCACTCTGGACCATTTAATTTAGATATTGGTTATTTCTACTAAACTGCAATATGCTTGGTGTCCCTAGGTAAGTAGGCTAAGAGGAGTTCCCTGACCTGTTCTATTTTGCAATATGCTCCCTTTCCATTTGTGAGTGGTTAGAAAATCTTGCTAACAAGGTCACCAATTCAATTCCTATACGGCTCAGTTCCAGGTCAAAGAATGGATGCTGAAGACCAATCACAAAGAATGTGTGTGCGTGTGTGTGTGTATGTGTGTATCAGCTCCAATCTTCCATGATTTCTTGTGGTATGAGTCGATAACAGAACAGTCAGAGTGAGGTCCCTTTAAGCACCAGGGAGTGAGAACAGAGCCTAGGTTTTTAGTGCATATGTCATTGTATGAGGGTGGTTGGAATGGAGATGTTTGGTAAATTAGGTGGTATCCTGGGCTGAATTGTGTCTTCCCTCCAAATTCGAGTTCACATTTTTAAATCGTAACCGCCTAATATCTCAGAATGTGACTGTATTTGGAGACAGAGCCTTTGAAGAGATGATTAAGTTAAAATAAAATCATTATGGTGAGGCTGCAATCTAATGTGACTGGCGTCCTTATAAAAAGAGGAGATTAGGATACAGACACCCGGGGTGACAACCATGTGAAGACAGAGGGAGAAGACAGCCATCTACCAGCCAAGGAGGGAGGCCTCAGAGGAAACCAACATTTAGCCTCTAGAACTATAAGAAAATAAATATCTGTTGCTGAAGTCACCAGTCTGCGGTACTTTGTCATGGCAGCCTCAGCAAACTCATACAGCTAAGAAGTGGATTCAACAGGATGGGCTTCTGAATTGAAGATATACATTTTTGTTAAGCTGGTCAAGTTGAGGATCTCACTAGTTTTACTGTCCCTGTAATTTACCTATCTGTAAATAGATTTTCTGTTTTTGAGTTCTTGTGATTTCCATGTAATGATGAAGTGGCTCTTGCAGCCTAAATAGACTAAGTATACTAAGTGGTTGGAAAATCCAGTGAATCACCTCTGAGGAATGGGCTGGAGAGGACTTAGGAGCTGAGCTGTCATTCTAAGGCCACTGCTAAAAGAGAGGGCACCACTCCCCTCTGCGTGGAAGAAGAGGAGGACCATTGCTCTCACATGTCAAGTACTGGGCTGTGAACTTTACAAACATCTCCTTTAAAAATTTTTTTTTTTTTGAGACAGAGTTTCACTCTTGTTGCCTGGGCTGGAGTGCAATGGTGTGATCTCGGCTCACTGCAACCACTGCCTCCTGGATTCAAGTGATTCTCCTGTCTCAGCCTCCTGAGTAGCTGGGATTACAGGTGCCTGCCACCATGCCTGGCTAATTTTTGTATTTAATAGAGACAAGGTTTCACCATGTTGGCCAGGCTGGTCTCAAACTCCTGACCTCAAGTGATCTGCCCGCTTTGCCTCCCAAAGACGTCCAGCCACAAACATCTTTTTAAATTTTTCCCACAAACTTGCATGATGTATTACATCATCCTTCTTTTATAGATGAGAAAACTATACAGATGATATGTATATTTTGTAAGAGAACACAGCAATTATAAGAGCTTGTGACTCAGATCTGCCTATGTCTAAGCTCAATATTGTTTTTATTACATTATGATCTCTCTAATTTCTTTTTAAAAAATGTTACTGCTTTGGTTTCTATGATGGCTATTTTTATATGTCAACTTGCCTGGGCTGTTGGGCCCAGCTGTTCAGTCAAACAACAGTCTAGGTGTTGCTGTGACAGGGATTTTTTTGTTTTTTAGATGTGATTAACATTTATTACAGTAGACTTTGAGTTAAGCCGATCACCCTCTGTAATGTGGGTGGGCCTCGTCTAGTCAGTTGAAGGCATTAAGAGCAAAGACTGAGGGTTAAGATGGAATTCTGTCTCAAGGCTGCAATGTAGATGAGAATTCCGTCTTAAGGCTGCCCGAGTTTCCAGCTGGCCTGCTCTGAGGATTTCAGACTTAAGAGTACAACATTGACTCTTACCTGAATTCCAGCCTACTGGCCTGCCCTATAGACTTCAGACTTGCAAACTCCCACAATCATGTGAACCAGTTCCTTAAAATAAGTCTGTTTGTCTCTCTCTCTCTCTCCCTCTCTCTCTCTCTCTCCTTCTCTCTCTCTCTCTCTCTCTCTCTGTCTCTGTCTCTCCCTCTCTCTCTCTCTCTCTATAAAATCCTATTGATTCTGTTTCCCTGGAGAACCTTGACTGATATAAGTCTTTGGCTTAGAAGTTTAGGGAGTCTCCCTATTCCATTAAAGTAGGTTACCTGTTGCAACAATCAGGTAAATAACCGCCAAATCTTAGTGGGTTAACACAGCAACATTTTTATTTTTTACTTACTTGATGGTCAGAATGTGACTGTATTTGGAGACAGAGCCTTTGAAGAGGTGATGAAGGTAAAATAAAATCATTATGGTGAGTCTGCAATCTAATCTGACTGGCGTTCTTATAAAAAGAGATTAGGATACAGACACCTAGGGTGACAACCATGTGAAGATGGTCCAGTAAACCATGGGAAGGTTGGCCTGCCCCATGGTGATGAGAGAACTAGGCCTCCACCCAGTGGGATCCACCCAGTGGGATTCTACCCAGGATCCTTTACATCTCGCTGGCAAGTGAAGAGGGAAGTGAGCGAGTGTAGAGGCTCTCATGAGAGGTGTCAGAGGTCAGGCCCGCAGGCAGCACGTGACTTTTTTCCATATTCCACTGTCCAGGGCTCAGCCACATGGGTGCACCTAGCTGCAAGGGCACTAGGACATGAAGTCTTCCTGGGAGAGCCCAGAAAGGAGAGGAGAAGCTTGTGTCCTGGAGAGGAATGGCTTTCTCTGACACACCCTTACACTGTCAACATGGCTGCAGACATGACCAGGAGTGCAGGAGGAAAAAAAAATCAACATAATACATGAATGCTGCTCTTGAATGGGAACATCCAATCTTTCAATATGTCTATTATTTTTAATCTGTAGATTCATAATTTATAGAGGCACGATTCTAATCAAAATAACTACAGGATTATTGCCCTGGAAATCTTCAAATTTTTTTTAAGATATTAATTTGGAAAAGTAATGGGGCATATGACCAAAGACCACCCCTAGAGGGAAGAGTTGTTAGGGTGGGAAACCTGTTTCCATCAGGTATCAGACAGGATCATAAAATAATGCATTGCACCTGACATACCATTAACACCAACAGGTCTTAAATTGACCTGGACAAATTAATAACTGCATACGCTTCTAGTGGCATTTCCATTTGGTACAATACTTTCAGAAAGCTTTGTGAGGAGATATATATATATAACACATAACAAGCAGGAATTCTTTCCTACCCTGTGACCCAATAATATTAATCCTAGAAGTCTATTTCAAGGAAGGAATTCAGCTTTTTAAGAACACCTGTTCTGTGAGGATATGTTCATTGCATTATTAGTTTTAATAGGAAAAAAAATTAGTGCTGTTTATAAATATCTAATAAATTATTTTTAATGAGGGCCTTATTTTTATTTACTTTTTTGAGACAAGGTCTCCCTCTGTTGCCCAGGCTGGAGTGTAGTGGCACAGTCACAGCTCATTGCATCCTCCACCTCCCAGACTCAAGTGATCCTCCCACCTCAGCCTCCCCAGTGGCTGGGACTATGGCCAGCTAATATTTTAATTGTTTATAGAGACTAGGGTCTTGCTATATTGCCTAGATTGGTCTTGAACTCCTGGCCTCAAGCGATCCTCCTAACTTGGCCTCCCAATGGGTTGGGATTATAGGCATGAGTCACACCGCACCTGCCAGGGCCTTCTTTTTATAAATACCCAACGCCTTACCAGAAACTGGTAAAGTAAGAATTGAAAAATAGAATTTTGCTTTAAATTGACTAGGAAAAGCTGCCGCAGAGCATGGCTACAATTAAGTATCTTCTCACCATAGTGGAATCATATCCTTTTTGTAGATATAAACATAAGTTTTTTTCTTCCTCTAGCCTAGAAAGTACACTATGGTGATTCTTAAGACAATTTTCCTAACCCTAAAAAGCCTTAATCCTGCTTGCCTTTGGAGCTTCTCATGGGGCAACAGAAAAAAAAAAAAAAGAAGATTAAAAAAAAATTAAGCCTCACTAATGTTTGCCACTGGCAAACAGAGGTGCCCCAGGAAGGAGACCTTGATGATTTTATAAATATACACCATGGTTTGTGTGTGTGGAGATGTCTCTTCCAGGGAACGAATAGCCTGGCTGCTTCTTGTAAGTCAGGGACATCTTTGTTGCTCTGTCCTTTGTTCTAAAATGTGTCAGGGGAATGCCTGGGCCCTTCAGCTGGGAGTGGAAAGGCACTCTGGCCCCCGTTCTGTCTTTCTTCTGATTTCTTGATTGAGCAGAAGCTGGTGTACAGTAGGTGGGGTTGGAGGCAGGTTCCCAGTGATTTGGACACACTCTTGGGTTGCAGGATGTTGGTAGTAGTAGGTCCACTGGGTGGCTGTACTTGAGCAAAAGGGGCAGGTTTGGGGGGTGGTGAAAGCCCACCTGAAGGCTTTGTTTTGCTAATAAATGCAAGTCTTCCCGAGAGGAATCTATCCTCCCTTCAGTTACTCTCCTCCTGAGCTACCACAGACTCTTTGAGAAGTCAACATAGCAGCCTGGCTATCAAATGTACACATATTTATATATTTAAAAGGACTCTCTGTAGAAGACACAGTGGGAACAGATTTACCAAGAGAAATGGCACCAGAGACAGAAATCATAACAGCAAACACAATAATTACAGGATTGCCAAAGACACAATAACAACTCTTTCCCAATGCCTCCCACTGTCCTGGCCAGACTCCCTGATTCCTGGCCCGGGGCCTGTGCCCATGACTACTGTGGTCCCTGCAGTAAGTACTGGGCCTGCTCCCTGGTGGTTCCAAAGACCTTGCCTGAAGTCCTGGGCACACCCCTCCCCCTCCCCCCAACCATGGTGGTGGAAGATTTAAATAAACACAGGCTAGGGGAAGAGGGAGAGAAATAAGAAGGCTGTGTTCTCATAGGGCACACAACAAGGCCACTTGTGGCTCCAGGACAGGGAGCTCCTCTTCCAGCTGTCCCAAACATTTTCTCTTCCAAGAAAGCACTTTACAAATGATACCTCAGACAACAGGCACAGTTTTGAGTCACCAGCCACACAGCAGGCCAGAGGTTTGTGAAAGTCCCTCCGTGCTGGGTTGAGGCAGGCGGCGACTTGGAGGCTGGAACACGATGTTCCTGTGGTCTCCAGGTGTGATCCAGATGTCACTTTCCCTCCTCTTCTCAGGAGGGTACTGGCTTGGGTGGTGGGTCCTCACTGCCCGGCCAGCCAGGGGTGTATGTGGATTTCTTTTCTTTTTTTTTGAGACGGAGTCTCGCTCTGTCACCCAGGCTGGAGCGCAGTGGCGTGATCTCAGCTCACTGCAAGCTCCACCTCCCGGGTTCACATCATTCTCCTGCCTCAGCCTCCCTAGTAGCTGGGACTATAGGTGCCCGCCACCACGCCCAGCTAATTTTTTGTATTTTTAGTAGAGACGGGGTTTCACCGTGTTAGCCAGGATGGTCTTGATCTCCTGACCTCGTGATCCACCCGCCTTGGCCTCCCAAAGTGCTGGGATTACAGGCGTGAGCCACTGCGCCCGGCCGTGGATTTCTTAGATTTGCCAGGCTAGCTGTGCCTTCTTCATACTCTCCCTTCTTTCCTATTCCTGATCTCTTTCTCTCCTTAGATGGTATTTTTATTTATTGAGCATTTACTATGTACACAATGCTGTGCTGGACATACAGGAGGCTGTGAAGAGGTAAAAGGCATGCTTTTGCCCTCCAAGGAGCTGAGAGCTTGGTATTGGAGACTGTTGCTTAGGCTAGGTGTAATCATTGGTTCTACAGCTTCTGTCACAGATCAGTGGTATGACCTTGGGCAAATCACTGAATATTTTTTGAGTTCAGTTTCCTTATCCATAAAATTGGAAGCCATACAAGGTTGTCCCACCCTTTTCTAAACTCTGTTGTTGTTTTTTTTTTTTCTTAGATACAGGGTCTTGCTATGTTGCCCAGGCTGGATTTGAACTCCTGGGCTCAAGCAATCCTCTTGTCTCAGCCTCCTGAGTAGCTGGGACTATATACATGTGTCACCATGCTTGGTTAATTAAAAAAAAATTTTTATAGAGGTTTGGGGGGTCTCACTGTGTTGCCCAGGCTGGTCTTGAACTCCTGGTTTCAAGCAGTTCTCCCACCTCAGTCTCCCAAAGGTCTGGGACTACAGGTGCCATCATGTCTGGCCTTTGTTGAATTTTGATGGTAAGTGTCAAATAAGTAGTTTGTTCACTTGGTGAGGAAAGGTAGCATTGTAGTGTTCTTAGAGGAGACTTTGTGGAAGAAATGGGACTTAAGTCCTGAAGGATGCATAGGGAATATTATAAAGAAACCAACATACAAATCTAAGAGACTAGACATGATAGGGAGGAGGAAGTGATGAGGAATTTCTGGGTTAGGAGGAGTGCAGGAGGAATTAAAAGGAAGAGGCAGATGAGGCAAATATTGTGAAAGATACGTCTTAGATATGGGGAAATATGAGAAAAGGTCGTACCAAATGGTTTCCTGATTTTAGGCACAAATACTGTCAATAATGCTGGCATCACTGATGAACTGGAAGCCAGAAAAAGTGTTGGTTCGATGGGGCAGATGCTGTCAAGTTTCAGATGTGCTGAATTTGAGATGGGAATAGGACATCCCTTGGAAATGTGCAGTGTGTGGTCGAAAGTGTGCAGTCAACCTTTAGGGGAAAGGGCATGAACGACCTGCAAAGATTGGAGTTTGCTGGGTTAGCAGTTCATACTGAAGTCATGAGACTGGATGACAGCTTTGACAAAATATGAGAAAAAGGAAGAGTAGAAAGTTAAGAGCATAGATTTGGATAGGAGTAAAACTAGGAGAATGAGGAAGGAACAGGATTTCCAGGCAGGTGGGGAAGGATCTGAAACTACTAAAAATTGGAGACCTGAGGAAATGCTGCTGGGTTTGGCAAACATGATCACCGGTGCACTTTCCTGATTTTGTTACTAGTTTTTCCTCTGTCCTGTGGAAAAGTCTGACAGGCATTCAGGGAAGTTTGGTAGAATTCGTTTCTCTAAGAGTCTTTTTGTTTTTCATTTATTTTTAGAGAAAACTGGAGGAAATGGAGTTGGAGTGTGGAAAACCCTTATTTTATAACATGACTACCAGATTTATAGTCAATTTAGTGTAGTGACTATTTCATTCACTCAATATTAATATCTAAGTTGAAATGGAAACACATACAGTGTCTTAACTTTTTGGGAGGGGGGATGTAATAGGCCAGTTTGGGTATCCGAATAGACTATGACTCTTCTCCCCAGAAAATACACACACACACAAAATAGCATACACATTTAGGGAACAGGTTTCCACAAGGCCCTATGGGGCCACGCACTTCAGTAAAGAGCTCTTAAATAGGGTCCCAGCTCCCTACAATATATAACCTCTCTGTGTCCATTTTCCTCACTTGTAAAATGAAGGCAGTCCCCAGGACAAGGAAGATTAAATGAACCACCACAAATGAAGTGCTTAGAAGAAAACATGGCACATGGTAGGTACTCAATCATTATCATTATCTTATGATTGTTGCATTATTAGATGACATTTCCTCCACTAAATGGGTGTTTTCTGAACAAAACCTTCTTTCTATGAATTATTCACTCACTCACTCATTTTCTTTCTCCCTCACCTTCTATTAATTTGTTCTAGGATCTAGGGAATCAAAGAAGATTAAAGCTGTAATCCCTTATCATCGAGAAACTCTCATCTTCATGATACATAAACAGATGATTACTTTCCCCCACAGCTTGCAAAGTTGAGTCTTCAAGTAAGACAAGTGCAAAGAAAGAAATTTGGAACAGCAGACTGTTTCTGTTGGTACGATTCTTAGGAGAAAATATGTGTCATACATTATATGCACTGAGATCTTATGTGTTTCGAATCCACTAATTTGGGGCTAATGGGAGTGGGATTTAATTTTAGTTAAATTGAATAGCAGCATCACTTTCAATTGTTCTTAAAAATAGGATTTATTAAACAAAATAATAATGCAAAGACCCAAGAGGACTGTCTGTTAAGTATTCTGGTAAGACTTCAATTTTACCTCTATTGCAACATTCTGAAGCTTATTGTTTTCATTTGCTTAAATTAGACTGTGCGATGCCAGAGGGTAGGGAGTGTATCTAATTCATTTTTGTGTCTAGTACAAATTAAATGGAGGTATAACTGTATTTAAGGGGACCAAGAGTTTTCTCATTCATTCTTTAAACCATTTTGGCAGAATGCATTTACATAGAACTAATTCAGGCACAATTACCAATCATTATCTGTTCATTAAGATGCCTAATGGCCAGACTCATGCATGTCATCCCAGTACTTTGGAAGACCCAGGTGGGAGGATCACTTGAGCCTCAGGTTCGAGACCAGCCTGGGCAATATAGTGAGACCTCATCTCTCCAAAAAATAAAATAAAATAAAATAAAATTGGTTGGGTGTGGTGGCTTATGCCTGTAGTCCCAGCTACTTGGGAGGCTGAGGTGGGAGAATCGCTTGAGCCTGAGAGGTTGAAGCTGCAGTGATCCGTGAGTGTGGCACTGCACACCAGCCTGGGTGACAGAATGAGACCCTGTCAACAACAACAACAACAACAACAGCAACAACAACAGATGCTTACCTGGCAAATTCTTTGCTAATCTATGATTTCATTGTTCTAGAAAGTATTAAGATAGCTTTAAACATATTGAATAATACTTAAGTTTCACTAACTCAGAATCACTTTACCTATTAGATTAGATTAGTGTGATGTTAACATTTACTTTTTTTTTTTTTTTTTTTTTTTGAGACCGGATCTCACTCTGTCGCCCAGACTGGAGTGCAGTGGCACGATCTGGGCTCCCTGCAACCTCCGCCTCCCAGGCTCAAGCGATTCTCCTGCGTCAGCCTCCAGAGTAGCTGGGATTACAGGCGCCTGCCACCACGCCTGGCTAATTTTTGTATTTTTAGTAGAGACTGGGTTTCACCATGTTGGCCAGGCTGGTCTCAAACTCCTGACCTCAAATGATCCTCCTGCCTTGGCCTCCCAAAGTGCTGGGATTACAGGCGTGAGCCACCATGCCCGGCCAACATTTACTTTTTAAGAAAAGCTTTTATCTTAAAAGAAGAAATATGGGAAAAAAAATCCTAATAATTCGCTTAACTTTCGGTGTCTCAGGGGTTAAAGGGGGCTTTGTTTTGAACAAAAAATTCCTTTGAAATAGTTTTATGTTCCACTTGAGTCCCATTATGTATTTTTTACATTAGGGCAGAACAAGCTCCTGAGTATAAAATCAAACTGGGATTTGCTCCTGAACAATGTGAAGGGAAAAGCAGATTTTTTTTTTCATGATTGTATTTGGGTTTATTGGAACAATGTACTTTGAGTTAAAACATTTTTCATAAGCACTGAAGATGAGGTGCTGCATTCTATTGAATAAGGTAAAGCATGGGACAAAACCTAAAGAGGTCTGGATTTTAAGGATACCCAGGGTCCAAACCCATACCCCTATGCCTCCCTAACATTCCACCCAGACACATTTGTTTACAGTTCTCCAAACTCAGGTGCTTTTTAGCCTGATACCCTTACCCATCATAGCCTACCTAACTTCTCCCCTAACACCAGGATTTAATGTTCAGATAAGATCTTGCCACCCTCTGGGAATCTTTCCCATCCCTCCCCAGGTCTCATTTGGAAATGACTCCCCTCCTCACATTTCTTTTTATTTCTTTTTGAGTTTTTTAATTAAATTTTTTTTTTGAGACGGAGTTTCGCTCTTGTTGCCCAGGCTGGATTGCAATGGCATGATCTTGGCTCACTGCAATCTCTTCTTCCTGGGTTCAAGCAATTCTCCTGCCTCAACCTCTTGAGTAGCTGGAGTTACAGGCTTGCACCACCACGCTTAGCTAATTTTGTATTTTTAGTAGAGACAGGGTTTCTCCATGTTGGCCAGGCTGGTCTGGAACTCCCGACCTCAGGTGATCTGCCCACCTCAGCCTCCCAAAGTGCTGGGATCACAGGCATGAGCCACTGTGCCAGCCCTTGCACTTCTTTTTAAATGAATGGTTATGAGTGATTACTCCATGCTAGCACTTAGCACAGGAGTTCCCTCTGGAACTCCTGGGCTCTAGCGATCCACCTGTCTTGACCTCCCAAAGTGTTGGGATTACAGGCGTGAGCCACCACACCCGGCTGGATTTCCTGAATCTTGAAGGTCAGACTTAGCCCACAATTTGGTTTTCTCTCCTCAGAGAGATCATGTACTAAATGATTATGTCCCTCCACAAATTCATTTGTTGAAGCCCTATTACCTAACGTGATGGTATTTGGAGATGGGGCTTTGGGAGGTAATTAGCGTTAGATGAGGTCATAAGGGCAAGGTTCCCATGATGGGATCAGGGGATTTATATGAAAAGGGAGAGAGAGAGAGATTTCTCTCTGCTGTGTGAGGACACAGTGAGAAGGTGGCCATCTGAACACAAGGAAGTGTTCCTTACCAGGAGCCATATTAAGCAGTACCCTGATCTTGGACTTCTTAGCCTCCAGAACTGGAATACTATGGTAGGCTGGCAGCACTCAGATGTTCACCTGAGGATGGGCTGCACTGAGACTAGGAGCAACTTAAGACTTAACATTATTGTAATGATGGGTAAAACGACTGAGAACTTGCTAGGCACTGTTCCTGGTTTACCTGCGTCATCTTATTTGATGACCTCGTGAAACTTATGAAAGAAGCACATCTGAAAGAACATCACACGTCAGGGCCTGTCAGGATGTCAGGGGGCAAGGGGAGGGAAAGCATTAGGACAAATACCTAATGCATGCGGGGCTTAAAACCTAGATGATGGGTTGATAGGTGCAGCAAACCACCATGGCACATGTATACCTATGTAACAAACCTGCATGTTCGGCACATGTATCCCAGAACTTAAAATAAAATAAAAAACAAAACAAAACAAACAAAAAAATTGAAAAAAAAAGAGGCATGTTGAAGAACTCCCATTTTACAGATAAGAAAATTGAGGCAGGGAGAGCATAAATTATGTGCCCAAGGTTATAGACAATAAACAGCAGGACCAGGAATTGAGTCCACCCAGACTGGATGTATGTAGGTGGGAAAATAAATGTCTGTTGTTAAAGCCACCCAGTCTATGGTATTTTGTGATAACAGCTGGAGCAGAGTAAGATAAGAAGTACATTAAACGTAAGAGGCCCTTAGAAAATTCATGGAGTGTGAGGATGAAAGGAAAACATCAAAGGGGCACCTAGGGAGAGAACGGCTGTGGAAGCCCTCATTGTGGGCACAGCCCCTACACAGTGGGTTTGCACTGGGAGCAGTCTGAGTGTGGCTGCCAGAAAAAATAAATTTGATATCTAACACTGACAAGCAATTAAAGTCTTTACTTCAGTCTCAAATAATCAGAAAAAGGAATCACAGTGCATTCTTGTCACCCATGTAGTTCTTTCAAAGTCCTATTGATCAGAGCAGGGCGGCCTCTCAAAACTTCTTGCCCACAAGCTCACGCTCGCCTCTGCTGGTTCTTCTCGTGCCCCCGGCCTCCTTGTCTCAGTCCATCTTCAGCTGGACATTTGAGGACTGCTAGCCTAGTGTGTGAACACAACATCTTATCTTCCTGAGAAGGTGGGAAGTCATCACTGTAGCAGAGAGAAATTACTCTGGAAATTGTAGTGAAAGCAGTTGAGGAAGATAGGGGAGGCAATTTAGTTTTCAGGCACTCTAATGAGTTGAAGATTGTTTGATTCTCCTATACCGGCTGTGAAAAATGATGTATGAGCCACATAATGATCTATGTGGTAAGCTGTAGTGGCAAGGATGAGAAGTGACAGGAGAGTGTTGCAAGACTTAACATTATGGTAATGATGGATAAAATGATTGAGCATTTGCTAGGCACTGTTCCTGGTTTACCTGCACCACCTTATTTGATTCCTTCATGAAACTTATGAAAAAAGCACTTTGAAGATCTCCCATTTGACAGATAAGAAAATTGAGGCAGGGAGAGAATAAATAATGTGCCCAAGGTTATAAACAGTAAATGACAGAACCAGGAATTGAGTCAACACAGACTGGGTGTATGTGTACTTTTAGCCAATCCTCTCTATAGCTTTAGGTTGGAGATAACATGATACAGACTCCTGGAACCGCTCCCCACTCCACCCTGAGCAGGGTCCAAAGTGGAAGAGTTACCAATTACTGGTGATTCACTATTTTCTAGGGATAGCTATTTTGGAAGCAGTAATTTTTGGGTCTCAAAAAATATCCATTTGGCACTGAATTTCCAGGTATATTTATATAGGGGGTCAATATAATTTTGAGTGCAAGCGTGACATAAAAGAAGGTAGTATGGCAAAAGTGAAAAAAATCTGGGGGTGGTGCCTCATGCCTGTAATCTCAGCATTTTTGGAGATCGAGACAGGAGGACCACTTGAGCCCAGGAGTTCGAGACCAGCCTGGGCAGCATAGCAAGCGTGAGACTTTATCTCTACCAAAAAATAAAAAATAAAATTAGCTGGGCATGGTGTCATGTGCCTGTAGGCCTAGCTACTTGGGAGGCTGTGGTGGGAGAATCACTTGAGCCTGGGAAGTCGAGGATGTAGTGAGCCATGATCGCACTACTGCACTCCAGCCTTGGTGACAAAAAAGAAAAAAAGAAAAGAAAAGAAAAATCCCAACATTAATTCTTATGGAGCCAGGATGGGCTGGGATATAGTACAATTACAAATAACCCCTCAATCTCTATAGCTTAACAGGATACACTGTATTTCTTATGCTACATGTGCAGTGTAGGTCAGAAGGGCACTCTACAATCACTCAGGTTTCAGAATGACACAGCTCTATGTTGATAAGTATAGTTGTCCCTCAGTTGCCTCCAGAGATTAGTTCCAGGATGTCCACAGACAGCAAAATCTGTAGATGCTCAAGTCCCTTATATGAAATGGCATAGTATTTGCATATAACACACATGCATCCTCCCATATACTTTAAATCATCTCTAGATTACTTATAATACCTAATACAATGTAAGTGCTATGTAAATAGTTGTCATTCCTAATTGTTTAGGGAGGAATGACAAGAAAAAAATGTCTGTACATGTTCAATACAGAGAGAATTATCTATTTTTTATTTTTCATATTTTCAATCCAACGCTGCTTGAATCTGTGGATGCAGAATCTGTGGATACGGAGGGCGGGCCAACTGTACTTACAAGATCACAGGAACAGGGAAATACAGAGAGGTAAATCTTGTACCAGCACTTGAAGCTTCCACTTCGAAGTGATTCACATCACTTCTGTTGATAATTCACTGGACAAAGTGAGTCAGACGGGCAAGCCTCATTTCCAGGGGGCAGAGAAGTACAGTCATCTGTCTGGGAGGAGAGGAATGAGAAAGAGTTGATGAACAGTACCGAAACTACTCCAATGCCTGAACAGGCTAAAGCAGAGTGTAGATCCTGATTCAGTGGGGGCATGGCCGTGAACTCATAATGCAGTTTGCAGACACAGCTGAGAGACACAAACAGAACTATCACATGCTTTCCCCACCAAGACTCGACTCATTCCAGTTGAGGAAGAGCATGCACTGAGAAGATGCCCAGAGAAACATCATCATTTACAAAAATTGTCATTACAAAGTATTTCCTACTCTTCAGATTATGTGAACCAAGAGCAATTATGTGATTGCATGGTATGGTGGAAACAAACTCCCCCTGTGTTTCTGTCCAGGCTTGGCATAACCAAACTTTAGGACCATTTTCATCTCCAGAAAAAAGTCTCCATGCAAGAATTCTTATTCTTAATCCACAGTTCATAAAATTTTATCAAGTGTCAACATTAAAACCCAATTTACTTATTTTCCCTGAAGTATCATTTTGTGTGTGTGTGTGTGTGTGTGTGTATGTGTGTGTGTGTGACTTCATAATTTGGGATAAGATCCCTCTTTAGATTGATAAGAAAGCCTGTGTTTTCTAATTTGATTAATGAGTGCTCTTTCAATTATGCTTCTTTAGAATTGGAAACAAGTGACTTTAGGCAGTTTCTGATGCTTTCTAGCTGTCATAAAAGTAAGAAGTTAGCAGATTTGAATCTTTTTTTTTTTTTTGAGATGGAGTCTCATTCACTCTGTTGCCCAGGTTGAATTGCAGTGGCGTGATCTTGGCTCACTGCAACCACCACCTCCCAGGTTTAAGTGATTCTCCTTCTTCAGCCTCCCGAGTAGCTGGGACTACAGGTGCGCCCCATTAATGTTTGTATTTTTAGTAGAGCCAGGGTTTCACCATGTTGGCCAAGCTGGTCTCGAACTCCTGACCTCAAATGATCCATCTGCTTTGACCTCCCAAAGTTCTGGGATTACAGGTGTGAGCCACCACACCCAGCCACAGATTTGAATTCTCTATCTGACCAACTCCTACTTATTCCTAAGGTCAAAGCCTAATATAATTTCCTTGGGGAACCCTTTTCCATTCCTGTGTACTTGTCTGTGTCTCTGGTGTGAACTCTTATGGTATTCAGCACTCTGTCTTCAGAACTCTAGTGAAAATGCATGTCTATGAGTATTTGTGGAATTATGTTTAACGTCTTTTCCTCCAGTAAAACTGCAGGCTCTGTGGAAGCAGGTGTCAGGACCCCCTTGCTCTCGGCTGTGGCTGCAGGTCCTAACACAACATGTTAGGCATGACAGGTGCTCATTAAAGACTTGGATATTGATTTAGTCAGCAATGCTCTTACTTTTTCCCATCTTATGTTTGGGTGACTTGGTAGCTGTTTTGGGGGTTGAGAGTTGCAGACCAATTCAGGTGGGAAGAAACTGAAAGCAGAGAACCCTTGTAAAAATGAGAACAGCAGCAACAAAAATACCTGCTCAACACCATTCTGCTTTCTCTCAGTGTTGATGTTTTGTGGATAGTGGTCAAGTGCCATTTTCAACCAATAGAAGCTTATTGCTCTTAAACTCTGAAGTTTAAAAGTGGCATTGATGGCGTGGTAAATGAGAGGAAAAGAGGGAGAAAAACCCATTTTTTCCACTAGTTACGTAAGGTCCTTTTCTGCTTGCCAGCATGTCTGATATGATAGACTGAAAGTACCATTTTCTTGGTAAAACAAACACAGATTTCTTTTTAAAAACACCTTTTGATACTTTATGAGTAGGGCTGGTGTATGTAACCGATCAAGACCAGCATATGGCTTATTATGACATTTAGCTGATTAAAATAGTCTAGACATAAACTTGAGATTTCAGAAATGTTTAAGTTAAGTAAGAAATACATTTTAATGTACAGTAGATGTGTACTTAGTCCTAGGCCACCTGTATCCCTACAGGAATTATGGAGCAGGAAGTACTTTTGACTCAAGAAGTGTGTCTGAAAATTAAGGTTGTAAATTAACAACAGCTTGTCTATTAGATTATTCCAGCCATAAAGGACTCAGTATGTTTCAAAATGCTCGTGATTTTCAATACATTTCCGTGGGTCGATTTAATAAAGAGTGATGCTGGGAATGCCTTTGGCTTGAAAATCTGCAAAAGCACGTTTTTAGAAAATCCCAGAGAATAAATAGTAGCTGCTAGTTAGGCTGTGGTAAAACACACCTGTGGCTAATGGAAAAGGAAAGGCTTGAGCCGCCCTTTGGCACTGGCCTCTGGGTCTGTACCAGGGGGATTGCTGTGGCTTCATGAGCTGTGTCCGGCCTCTGCCCCAGTGCCAGGAGGGCCACGGCTCTTCTCCTGCCTCTGAGCCTTGGGTATGGCAGTTATTTCTTCTGGCTTTGTTTTTGTGGTCTGTAACTTATGAATAATGAGGCCTAACTAACACACAGGGTGGCTGTGAGGATTAATTGGCTAAGGTTTGGGGCCAAGCACTTTGAATTGGCACATATTATGAGTAGTTGTTAGGGCAATCCTGAGATGCAGTTGAGGTTGTGAATTTTGATTCGTTCTTCTGTCAATTTGATTTTTCTGTGTAGGTAGGAGGTCAGTGAAGTCAGAAAAAAGATGTAGGAATGGGTTAGGGGGTCTCTGGCTTTTGAAAGAAACAGAGAGAGAGATTGAAGGAGAAGAAAGATTGATGAAGAGAAGAAGGGGGAGGGAGGAGAGGAGGAAAAAAGAAGAAAAGAGAAGAGACAGCAAGAGAGCGGACACTTCTGAGGCTCCAGGGGCCTAACTCCCAGGTGGTCTGTGTGATGGGGAAATACTGGAATTGACTGGGGCAGGACAGGAGTAGAACAGAATGTGGTATTTTTTCCTTTCTCCTGCAGCCAAATGATTGAACTGGCAGGAAGACATGGAGCACATGGTGACCTGAGCCTATTTGCCATATTGTTTAGCCAAGGTTTTAATTCTGTCTGTGTTTGTGAACAGTGTGTGAACTGTGTTAACCTTTTCCTTTCTGAAGCATTCAGTGCATGGCAGTCAGGAGAATTTGGCTCTTCTCTCAGTTTGATTGATTTACAGTGTGACTCTAAGTGGGGCACCTCCTTTATCTCGTTGGTTTCTTTAGTTGAAAAATGAGGAGGATGATATGAGCCTGAGTGTATGTGTTAGCTTTCGCTGCATGACAAACCACCCCAAAAACTTTGTGGTTCAAAACAGCAAACATTTATTTAGCTCACCATTCTGTGGCTTGGCATTTAGGACTAGATATCTATGGGTGGTTTTGCTGACCTCAGAGGGGCTTACTCATATGTCTCTGGTCAGCTGGTTTATGATGGCCATGTCTGGGTGATGGGATGACTGGAATCTTTCTTCACTAGTTTGCTTATTCTCCAGTAGGCTAACCCAGGGTGATTCACGTGCTGGTCAAAGGTTCTAAAAAAGTGAAAGATGCAAAGTCTCCAGTGGCCTAGGCTAAGAACTGGCACGATTGAGTCATGGACCAGCCCAGATTGGAGGTGGGGTGGAAAATGTACTACTTTTCTTCATGGGGGCAGCTGCAGAGTACTGTGGCCAATGCTTTCTTCAAATGACCTCTTCAAGGTACCTTTCAGTCCTAACAGACAATGAACACAAATTAAGATGAATAGGAGAACAGCATCTGCTTAAGGGGTTCAACGTTGAGGATCTGAGGTTACAAGTTCTGGCTGCTGTTTTGAATTCATCACATGGCTTTAAATAAGCTTTTCAACCTTTTTGTTGATTTTTCACTACTTTATTTACTAGGCTTCTTCTGTTCATCCGTTACTAAGAAAATGATCAAATAGTTAACAGCAAATTTGATAGAAAGGTTGACATATGCACAAAGCATGCTGAATAAGAGGCATTTGATAAATAATTATTGAATGCAAAAATGGATACATATATTAATACATACTTAGGTATTTGAAACTTTTTTGGCAACACAAATTTTTAATCACGGTAAAAATTTAGAAAAAGAATACATATAAAGAGGTGAAAATAGAAATCGGCTTTTACCGCAGGTAATAACATATAACTGTTAATATTTAGTAGTTCTATCAAGAATTTTTTTGAATGTCCATATGTGTGTCTGCTACAAACATGAGATCATAATGTAATGCTACTTTTATAATCTGTTCTCTCACTAGAATAAATACACATGTACTGTCTCATTTTTGATGACTGCACAGTATACTAGCACACACAAGCCACAATTTACTGCAGTCATCCGCTATTGTTGGACATTTAAATACTTTCTGGTTTCTGAAAATTATTTCAAAAAACAGAACATTTTAGTGCTAAATTCTTTGAAAACACTCTTAAATATTTCCTTAGGATATATTTCTAGAAGAAGTGCTGCTATGTCAAAGGGTAGGCATATTTTAAAGACTTTTGATTCATTCTAACAAATCTCAAGAGAAGTTCCACCATTTCCTCGCACATTACTTATTGATAAGAATGCCCACATTCTTTGGTCTACCATGTTCAATGCAAATTTATAAATGGTTCTGAATCCCTCTGTGATGACTATATATCTCATCAGGGGTTATAAAGCTTTCAAAATAAACACATTGCAGATCTGGAAAGAATCTCGAAGGTCATTAAGTCTAACCCCATAGGCAAAGCTCAAGTGCTAGCACCTTCTCACTGCATTCCCTTAGAAGTATTGAGTTTAAAGAAACACAACAGACCTAGCATTAAGGTGTATCTGACAAATATCAGCCCCACTTAAAGCTGTTGAGCGTGATTGAGTTTCTGCTCTTTCTAGGAGAAGGGAAGGAGGGAGAGCAGATTTCCAAATGGCCCTCGTTTCCAAAAAGGAGCAAAACGACTCCTCCTGCAGCTCAGTTGCTCATGTCTCTCAATGCTGCACATGAAAAACATCAGCAAAAACTCTGCTCAGTGCTGGGGTTTCGAGAGAAACTATCAATGTGGACTAGAGCATTTTTCTATGAGAAGGAAAAATGGTGAAAGCTAAATTAAAAACATCTGGAACAAGCATAAAAAATAAATTAATTGTGTCATCATTTTTCTGTCATTCTTTACAAATTTTAGAATCTAAGACAACTAGCACTTTTTAATTCCCCTCAGTGGTCAGGGTTCTAATCCTTGTCTTTTGGTTAGCATCAAGTCCAAGTTCAGAAGGAGGATTCATTAAATACATACCAACAAACAAGCATATAACCATCCTTCAGGCTTACTTTTTCCTGGACCCTACTCCTTCTTTCAAAGGGAAGATAGATTCCAAACTGGTGGTTGTGCTCGTTCACACTCCTATCAAAATATGAGATTGCCAATTTCCTGATCAAGTGCAGGTGATAGGCTAACACTTGGCAATTGCTCATTTCTTCCAATAACCAAAGCTTTTTTATTGGACCAGGTTTTGTCTGATGACTCCTTCTTCTCTTACAATAAATTCTCCCTTCCCTCCCCTCCCCTCCTCTTCTCTTCTCTCCTCTCCTCTCTCTTTTTCTTTGATTTTCTCTTTTCCTTTTTTTCTTTTTTTTTTTTTTGCGACAGGGTCTCACTCTGTTGCCCAGGCTGGAGGGCACTGGTGATGTCTGCTCACTGCAGCCTCTACCTCCCGGGCTCAAATGATCCTCCCACCTCAAACTCCCAAGTAACTGGGACTACAGGTGTATGTTACAAGATCAGGCTATTTTTTTTTTTTTTTTTTTGTAGAGATGGGGCTTCGCCATGTTGCCCAGGCTAGTCAAGCTCCTGGTCTCAAGTGATCCTCCTGACTTAGCCTCCCAAAGTGTTGTGATTCCAGGCATGAGCCACTGTACCTGGCCACAATAAGTTATTTTCTAGAAGATTCTAATTCAATGTATTTTCCTGATGGATCCACCCTTCTAGACCCACCAAAGTAGATCCAAACTGTGGCCCATGGACATGCCTTAGGCTCAAGCTAAGCTCTCAGATTCACACTTTTTGAAAAACACATTTACCAAATTCCCAGAGTTTTGATCCCACTTCTATTTTCCCCAGAAATCCCCAATGACATTCACCTAGGGGTTTTTTAAGTTTCGTTATAAAATTCATTGGGCATGGAGACCTGAATTACCTAGAACAGCCACTATTCACTTTGTGAATAGTCTCCCCATTTTTGTTCTACCATTTGTAATGGATTTTTTTTAGAGAAGATATAAGCAAAGCCATAACCCAGAGTTTCATGTTTCCTGTCACCTGTTGACACTGTTTCTCCCATTCATAGGCTGGTGTCTCCATCATTTCTCTTTTTTCCTTGAATGTAATTTTTTTAAAGGCTTTTTTTTTTTTTCCTGAACATTTATTTCTAAGTTTAGTTCACTGAGGCTATGTCCTCTGGCAGTGTTAATACAATATAACCAATCCCAACAAGACAGCAACACAATAATGGCTATTTCAGTGCTTTCAGTATCCTTATAGCTTATTAACATGGAGATCAGTTCTGCCAAAGAACTGTCAAAGTTGGCGGGAAATGTCTTCTGGGATTTCAGGATAGATTTAGAAGACATAGAAAAGAAACTTGGCAATATTGTGACTTAAAATTTTCTCAGGTGAGGGTAATTTTACTTATAAAAATGGCTGGGAATTTTTTTTTAGGGGAACTTAGAGAATACCTATCTTCTTTCAAAACCCTTCTTTCTACTCAAGGCCTCATGCAAACATCTTTTTGTTTGGGTGGTGTTCCCTGGCCCTTCTCTGAATGCTTTCTCTCTTCTCTGCCCCCCACTCCAAAAGCATGTTGTTGCATTTCTTGCATAGTAATAATCCCTCTTTACTTTGTTTTACGTTTTTTTTTTTTTTCCTGAACTTTTAGAAAACCTTGCTATGTTGTCAGTTCTTTGAGGCAGGAGTCTTGGCTCATCCTTCTTTCTATCCCAAGCTCCTGATGCAGGCCCTGAAACACCATAGGCACTCAATCAATGCTTGTTGAATGAAGGAATAAAACTGATAAGGGAAGACCACTTGCAAAGACAACTTACCTGGGGGCAAGCTCTCTAGAACATTAACAAGTGTGCAGAGGGGACAAATGAAAAGATGGCTCTATAAGGAGTTTAAGTTTTGAAAGTCTCAAATTTACACTTTACATTTTAGTTGTTTTTTAATCAATTCAGTTTGATTCAATCCAATGTCATGTATTAAGCATCCCTAGCGATCTGGCACTGTGTGAGAGATATCAAGGTAAATAAAACACTATATCTTCCCTAAAAGAACCCACAGTCTAGCACAGTGCACAAGTGTGAGAAAGATAATTACAGGACATCATAACAAACTCTACAGAAGATTTTGGAAGCTTAGAGGTAGTGTAGGAAGGCATGACTTGGGTAGGGAGAGGGGAGGGTCTAGAAAGTTCCACAGACTTATCCTCTTGGGTTTTCTGAGAGTATTCCAGATGGACAAGGGAATGTAGGTTATGTGGTTAAGTGTATAACTTGTTCCAGGAAGAGCTAACAGAGTAAAGGAAGGCACAGAATCTTAGAACAGCATGGAATGTTTGGAGATGTAAAAATCAATATTAAAACACAGAGTACAAGTTGAAGCATATCAAAAGATGAAGCTGGAGAGGAAAAGAGATGCCAAAAGACAAAGGCCCTTGTGTTGCCTTCATGAAGAGGTTTGACTAGTAGTTTTCACACTGTGCTTTCTCTAAAGTAGAAATTTAACTTTTTTAAAAAAAAATTTATTTTTTTATTTCAAAAGGTTTTTAGGGAGCAGGTGGTATTTGGTTACATGAATAAGTTCTTTAGTGATGATTTCTGAGATTTTGGTGTACCCATCACCCAAGCAGTGTACACTGTACCCAATGTGTAGTCTTTTATCCCTCACCCCCCTCCCACCCTTTCCCTTGAGTCCCCAAAGTTCATCGTATCATTCTTATGCCTTTGTGTCCTCACAGCTTAGCTCTCACTAATGAGCGAGAACATACAATGTTGGGTTTTCCATTTCCAAGTTACTTCACTTAGAATAGTAGTCTCCAATTCCATCCAGGTTTCTTCTATAAACATGCATGTGCAAGTATCTTTTTCACATAATGACTTCTTTTCCTCTGGGTAGATACCCAGTAGTAGATAGAAGTTAAATCCCTATTTTAGATCAAAATCAGCTATTTTGATTGCTGATTCAGCAATCAAATGGTAGATCTAAAACAGGGATTTAACTTCTATCTGATGATGCAGTCCACTGCATTCTTCACATATAATACTATAAGAAATTATTAAAAAATCAGTTTGTTCATCTTTTTTTAAGATAAACGTTTCCTGAGAGTAGGACCTTCTCCTGTAACACATGCTGTTATGTGAATGATGACCCTATTTAGTGCTTTTGTGCATGCAGAATAATTTTCCACTTTCTTCTTTGTGAGAGGACTGAACTTTCTCTAAATTTCATAGGGAAAGATGGCAACTGTGATGAAGACCGATTCAATGTTAAATAGAAAGAATGTAGGCTCCACAGCCAGGCAGAGTCTGTTTAAATCCTCTGTCAAATATTAGATATCCAACTCATGGCAGGTTATTTATTCTGGATTTCTGTTTCCTTGTTTGCAAAATATGGAGATAATAATATCTGGGGATAACAGTATCAGTTTTGCAGCCTTGATGCAAGGATTAAACAGGAAAACACTTATTAGCACATTTGGCTCTGTGGTGCTAAATTATAAGATATTTTAGAAAATGTCAGTTCCCTTTGAAAATGCTTTGTTCCATTCTGAGGGTGGTAGTAACTGCCAACCTTCTGAATCATTTTTTAAAAGTACTTGGCCGCTAAGAAGCGCTTAGCAGGTATAATACCAGGTATAATAAGCCTCTCCATTTCTGGAAGCGATTTTAAGTTAAATAGGCAATTCTAGGCATTTGTTTCTGGAACAAGTGCCATAGAGAGAAAAGTAGAAAATGAGGCAAATGATAAGAGGTAGAGTATAGAGAAAACTCTATTGACTTCCTCATCCATCCAGCCAGCCAGCACACCTGCACGTGCACAGAACTTTTTTTCTGATCTGTAGTCAGGCATATTATTCATCGCACTACTAGCCCCTCACACAACTTTTCTTCTTATCTTTCTTCAGTGGTAGTTTCTTCCTTGTGTTAGATGAGATTTTGAAAGGCTGAGAAAAAGGAGACTTTGAAAAGAGGAAGCTGGAGAGCTTTGGCAGCAACACAGAGCTGATTCTCTGCAGTCCAGGAGAAAGATTTTTTTGACAGTACTCGTGATGAGGCTTGCCCTGGCTTCCCACTTCTGCCTTTGAAACCCTGGATAAGTCACTTAAACTCTCTGAGCCTCTATCTTGCCATAAATCTGAATCTGAGTAATAAATCTATTTTGTAGTGCAGTAGGGAGGATTAACTGAGCTAACGTGTAGGCGGAGTCTACAGGAGAGAGTTTGACACAAAGAAGACACTTAACAAATGGTATGTGTGTATGTCTACATCTCTATGTCCATATATCTTCTGTATCTATCTATCCACCCATCTATCTATTGCTATGAGAGTCAAAGAAAATCTTTAAGTTTAGTCTCTTCAGACAATTATTTATCACCAAAATGTCCTAAGTACCAACATGAGTTTGGGGGTAATGTTTGCTTTAAGATGGTCATCCAATTTATCCAGAATATGCTTCTGTCAATTTTAACATTATTCTTGAAAGGAAAGCAAACAAAATTTAAAAGTTCTCAGTAGTTTTTTTTCTAATTAATGATTTTATTACTATTATTATTTAGTTTACTTCAAGCTGTGGGATACATGTACAGAACATGCAGGTTTGTTACATAGGTATCCATGTGCCATGGTGGTTTGCTGTACCTATCAACCCATCACCTAGGTTTTAACCCCTGCATGCATTAGGTATTTGTCCTAATGCTCTCCCTTCCTTTGTTCCCCACCCTGACAGACCATGGTGTGTGATGTTCCCCTCCCTGTGTCCATGTGCTCTCATTGTTCAATTCCCACCTATGAGTGAGAACATGTGGTGTTTGGTTTTCTGTTCCTGTGTCAGTTTGCTAAGGACGATGGCTTCCAGCTTCATCCATGTCCCTGCAAAGGACATGAACTCATTCTTTTTTATGGCTGCATAGTATTCCATGGTGTACATGTGCCACATTTTCTTTATCCAGTGTATCATTGATGGGCATTTAGATTGGTTCCAAATTTTTGTTATGTAAATAGTGCTGCAATAAACATACATGTGCATGTGTCTTTATGGTAGAATGATTTATAATCCTTTGGGTATATACCCAGTAATGGGAATGCTGGGTCAAATGGTATTTCTGATTCTAGATCCTTGAGGAATCACTACAGTGTCTTCTACAAATTCTCATTAGTTTTCAAAGGCCCCTGAAAATACATTCTATAGCCAATAAGGAGTCAGTGATTTGTACATAAGAATATTGAACCAAGTTATTTAAAATTCCTCTTTCAATACCAGGATGCTACCTTGTTTTTCCTCAAGGGGGGTAGGTGGTGGTGAAGGAAAAAACAAACAAACAAAAAGTTAATAGGAAAAGAGCTATACAAGCAATATGTGTTCACTGCAATATTTTTTATCTTGTTTAGATCCTAAGAAAATCCTCAGAGGAAGGAATAATTATCTTTGTGTCTTTTTTTTTTTTTTCTTTTTTTTTTTTTTTTTTTTTTTAAGAGATGGAGTCTTGCTCTGTCACCCAGGCTGGAGTGCAGTGGCGTGATCTCAGCTCATTGCAAGCTCCGCCTCGCCGGTTCACACCATTCTCCTGCCTCAGCCTCCCGAGTAGCTGGGACTACAGGCGCCTGCCACCATGCCCTGCTAATTTTTGTATTTTTAGTAGAGAGGGGGTTTCACCGTGTTAGCCAGGATGGTCTCAATCTCCTGATCTTGTGATCCGCCCACCTCGGCCTCCCAAAGTGCTGGGATTACAGGCATGAGCCACTGCGCCTGGCCATCTTTGTGTCTTAAAAATGGGGACACTGAGGTTTACATTAATTAAATGACTTGCCTTAGGCTAGGGCAAAAGAGCTTGTTTTTTTTTTTTTTTGAGATGGAGTCTCACTCGGTCACCCAGGCTGGAGTGCAGTGGTGTGATCTTGGCTCACTGCAACCTCTGCCTCCTGGGTTCAAGAGATTCTCCTGCCTCAACCTCCTGAGTAGCTGGGACTGCGGCCATATGCCACCACACCCGACTAATTTTTGTATTTTTAGTAGAGATGGGGTTTCGCCATGTTGGTCGGGCTGGTCTTGAGCTCCTGACCTCAGGTGATCTAACCGCCTTGGCCTCCCAAAGTGCTAGGATTACAGGCGTGAGCCACTGTGCCTGGCCAAGAGCTTATATTTTAACATAGACATATGATTGATCTATCTACAATTTCACTGTTGTATTTGAGAAAGAAAATTTCATTATGGTCACTGATTCATATATTCAAACAACAAGCATTATTGAGTGGCTACCACGGACAAGGCAAAAAATAGATATCCAGGAATACCACTGACTTTACATTCTAACTTCCACAATACAAAGGAAGTGAAGGCCTTTGGAACTGTGTGATGCATCACCACACAGAAACATTTTGCTTTTCTGAAATAAAAGGAAAGAATTGATTTATCATGCAGCAAGGACATGAGGAATCTTTGAAAGAGGTAGCAACTACTTTATCCAGTTCTGCCAAATCTTATCTATAAAAATACTATTTCCACAATGTCATTCTATAATGCCAAAGATGGTCATGGGATTGTCCTCTTGGCACCACTCTGTCCTTAAGGGAACAACACATTATTGTATTGGGGAACAGCTTCTACCATCTCCAATCCCAACAGGTTGTCCGAATGTGAAGGCAGCTACCATGTTCAGGTACCTGGCCATAAAAACTGCTCTAGGGAAGAAAGCTGGGTCAACCACAGTATGTCAGCTCCACTTCTGGCCATAAGGATTGGTCCAGGGGGTAGATATGTGATCCAAGCCCAACCAGAGTCCTTGTCTGGAATTTTGCAGCTTGAAATGAAGACAATAAGGCCCCTTTCTCTCTTATTACAGAGGAGGCAGATGTGAGCAGGTGCTGCTAGTGGACATGATTCCTACCCCTTGACAAAGCAGATTGAAGAAACCAAAGCCAACAGCAGAGAGGAGCAGCAAGATGAGGTGAAGGAAGGCCTGACTAGTTGAGGCTCCCAGGCCTCCAGAGATGCTTCTGTCCCTGCGTTCCCAAGCTTCAAGGTTGAAGGCTACCTGGCTTCCTTCCAACATATCATTTTGCAAAGTCTAGTTTGAGTTTTGCTACTTGCATCCAAAAGAATTTGGACTCCTGCCTATAATGTGTGGAAACTGGGAACAGCAAATCTAGGGTGTTTTGTAAGCCACATGACCCTCCACTTGCAGGACTGAATCAGTTCCAAGTATGGCAAGCCAGAGGGAGGAGAGAAAGCCTTGTCTCCAGGGGCCCTCTTCTTAGGTGCCCTGATAACATCTGTAAATGCAATGTGAAGGCTGTCCGGGATCTTTGAGAAACCTTCAGGAATAAGTTAGGGATAACTGAAGATCCAAGAAGACAAAATAAAGGACCACAGCAGTGCAGTCACTGGGCCTTTCACCTCTGGTCCCTTAGTTTCAGGTTTCTCTAGCATCAGCCTCAGCACTTCCTGTGCACCAAGCACTGTTCCAAGTTCTTTATGAGCCCAAAGAGACTGATATTGTATTTTACCTCATATTATAGACAAGGAAATTGAGGCACAAACAAGGAAACTGAGACACACGGGGATTAAGTAAATTATCCAAGGTGGGGTCAAATTTACATCTCAGGTAGTTCGACTCCAAAACCCGTGCTAATAACCCTGTTTAGCAAGCCTGGCCTCGTAGGCTGTTTTATTTTTCTATTTTTATTATTGGCATTTATTGCCAATATATTTAGTATGTGGTTGATACTACCACATACTTTATTTACCTTTTTGTTTGTTTTATATTCTCAACCTGAGACCAGGAATCCAGTGGCCATGACTTTTATCTTTTAGTGACCCTAGCCCCAGCACGAATGCTCAACACAAAGGTAGTAAGTGTTCGTGACATCAATTCTGTGCTCTTAAAAAACAGACAGCTCTATACATGAATACAGTAACCCTCATACAGCTTTTAGGGGAGAAGAAATGAAGAAGACATTGGTTTTCTCCCTTCCTTTCAGGTTTATTCTTAATATTCCCAAAACAAACTATGAAGAATTTTCATAACAACAGCTCTGCTCTTCCCTCCACCTCCCTTCTCTGTTTGTAGAATGTTTTTCTACAAAGAATGCTCAATTTTAAAAGTAGCATTGTTCTACAGTCAGCCTTCTCAGAATCCAATTAGGTAGGGCCTGCCTGGTCGGGGACATACTATGGATAATTTCACTGTATGGCCTTCTGTTTATTTGCACTTTGGGATCGGAAAATAAGCAGCTAAAAGATGTTTGCCCTTGAAAACATGTTAGAGAATTAACGGCTGGCTTGAGATGTTATCTGCCAAGTTTCAGTCCCAAACACATTTTATACCTGAGTTAAGTCTCTGAAAACAGGGATTTGGTAATTGAAGCGCTGACCTGATGTTATCTCTGAGAATATGCAGACAGGCCCAGTTCTTGGAGCAAAGAAAACTTACAGAGTACAGAGAAAGTACAGAGCACAAAAATACTGGAGAATTTTAAGAAGCATTCATTTAGGGATATCTCGTGTACACACCCTCAGTTGTATGAAGTAGTTGTGTGGACTAGTTTCCATTTTTTATCCTTCTCTGGGCTGGTACTTCTTTTAAAATCTTAATCTGAAAATTATACCATTCAAAATAAAATTCAGAAATCTATTCACCAAAACAGCAACACAGAGCTGTGATTGATGAGGAACCCAAAGGCCTATATTTCGGTTGCAAAATTTAATTCTAGGACTTTATTTTTGTTTTTTATAACTTGTGTTTTTACTTTTTTTCCTCTCATTGCTTCCCTGCGCCACCCCCCGCCCTGTCCCCTAAAACTAAATTATATCTTAGTCTTTTGAAATAGCTTCAAAGTGAAAGCCTGTCTTTTTAAAAATAACTTCCATCTCTCTGAAGGTGGGGTGTTTGAGTTTATTTCAGGTTTTGAGGTAGGACACACCTCTGGGCCACAACGAGGGAAAATGTCCAAACTGCCTTTGCAATTCTATCCCTTCCATTTGTCCTTTCACAGATTCTACTAGAACTCCAAACCCCACTCTCTGTCCCTATCATAAGAGTGTGTGTTACTTTTATATAAAAGGACTCCCAGCCAGAGTATGCCATTCCCTGCCTCTGCTTACTTTTATTAGCCTTGGTGTTTTTTGCCCTTTCAATGGACATCTCTATGACAGACACTTGCCTCTCCCCCGGGACAGCTTAGCAGGTTGGTAGGCTCCTGCCTCGCTCCCTGCCCCTAAGTGCTCCTCTTTTTCTTGCCTTTCTGGTGCCCACCGGAATGCATTTTGCAAGCCAGGCCAGCAGAAACTCCAGCCGGCACCTCAGGCCTGGCTGCTGGCCAGAGGAGCTGAGGCAGAGCATGGCAGACACCAGGTTTCTTGGCAGGAACTTCACACAGAGGGAAGGACGGTAACCACCAGCCTCCAAATGAGACCGTCCAAACAAACAAACAAATAAAAAAGGCCAAATACAAACACAAATGAAAGAAACCACATGCACTCAGAAAGACACAACGCGAAGACTCAGAAATGCTGTTGTCTGGGGCTCTCAACAGCCCTGCGCCTGGCGTCCCTGAGAGCCGATGGGGCGGCTGGGTGGTTTGGAGATTCCTGTGGTCTGAACACACACCCTCCTCATCACCAAGATGTGCCTGGAAAAAAATGGTCATGCTACAGGCCTCTGATTTATTTCCTGATAAAATAACCTTTACTCTAAGGCTAAGCTTGCTGTCCCAGCTTCCAGAGAACCAGTCTTTATTCCGTCCACCAAAGCCATGTGTGTATTAGGTCATTCATCTGTGGCCCTAGAGTCTCCCCGCCTGCCCTGCCAACACTACAGTGTTTCCTTCTGTGCATTTCCCAGGCTCCACCAAATGTCGACGTGGAGGGTGGTCACAGGCAAATCATAGAACTTCTCTAAGCAGAAGGAATTAGCTGTCATTCAGAGTCGCCCAGCCTTGTTCAACACTGGAAAATGATAGATTTCGATACGGCATCTCCTTCCTGTCCAGCTCCCCACCCGTTTTCATTTTCTTCCGTCCAACATCTCACATATAACTGGAAGCCTGTCCCAAACTATCCTGAAGCCTCAAAGGATGGCCTGAGTTGGCTGGATTCAAGATGCATTCCTCATCTCTCTGTCATGTCAACACTTCTCTTTAAATTAATGCTACGTACTTTCTCATTTTAGGCATATTCCACATCTCTCAGAGGGGCGGAGATGGAAATTCCACTTGGGCAGGCAATGAGAACATGGATAATATCTTTCTTTGTTGTGTTCACTTCACCAAGTGTAGGAATCTTAAGTGTTGCCATTGGCAAGATATATATAAAAACTCCAGCATGTTGCTGGTGCATAGTACGTGCTTGAAAATTCAAGTTTTTGCCTTCCTTCTCTAATTACTTAAGCTGTGGTCTATTCATCAGTGACAAGGAAAAAAATGCTGTTTATAATCTCCTATGACCTTCAAGGGAGAATAGATCTTGGTACTGGAGGGCTCTTTGTGTAGTAAGATAACAGTTGTTTAGAAAGTATTGGGTACAACTATATTGCTCTAGATGGGAAGCAAGCTATCTAGGACTGTGGTGGGGTCAGAAAAGTCATATATAACGCTGGGCATGGTGGCTTATGCTTGTACTCCCTGCACTCTGGGAGGCTGAGGCAGGAGTTGCAGACCAGGCTGGGCAGCATAGTAAGACGCTGTCTCTAAAAAATATTTTTAAAAAATTAGTTGAGCATGGTGGCCCATGCCTGTAGTCCTGGCTACTTGGGAGGCTGAGGTGGGAGGATTGCTTGAGCCTAGGAGTTTGAGGCTGCAGTGAGCTACGATAGTGTCACTGCACTCTAGCCTGGATGACAGAGCAAGACCATGCCTTTAAAAAAAGAAAAAGAAAATACATATATAATACAGTATAGCCAGAGAAAGAGACTTGGAGGACCAGGCATGTTGAACATACGAAGTTGTGGGCTGTGGAGTGTGTGATGTAAACCCCTCTACCCCCACCTCGCTCCTTGTTCCCTATGAATTCTGCAGCAAAATAGACATTATTCACAAGTATTTTTGGTGGGAGTGGGTTATTTGGTGGGATGTGAAGTCACAGCTGTGCATTTGTGCATGCAGGAGGAAGACAGGGTCAGCCCGAGCAGAGTTCACTTTCTCCTCTCTGCTGTCTGCTCTTGTTTGCTTGCTGCCCCTGCTCTTTCATCCCCTGTTCATCTCCTTCTCTTGCCCCCTCTCCTTTTGTCTTTGTTAACTTAGAGGTTCGGGTCATTGAGTGCTATTTCCTTCTTTGTGCCACATGCTTTCTAAAGACATATAGGATATACACTCAAGTATTGTGAATAACTGCAATGTATTTCTTAACAGGAGGGTGATAATTGAGAAGCAATGAGAGGTTTTACAGGAGAAATGTAAGAGTGTTTTGTTTGTTTCATTTTAAAACCACTTTAAACAAAAATAAAAAGACAGGGTCTCACTCTGTCCCCCAGGGTGGTGTGCAGGGATGCATTTATAGGTCACTGCAGCCTCAGACTCCTGGGTTCAAGCAACCCTCCCACCTCATCCTCCCAAGTAGCTGGGACCACAGGCACACACTGCCATGCCTAGCTAAAATTTATTGTAGAGTTGGGTTCTTGTTACGTTGCCCAGGCTGGTCTTGAACTCCTGGCCTCAAGCTATCCAACTGCCTTGGTCTCCCAAAGTGTTGGGATTGCAGGCATGAGCCATTGTGCCCAACCCTTAAACTCCTTTTGGAAGGAAATTGCCTATTGGGGAAGATGATCAAGTAAACAGTGATAGCATGTTTCTACTATAATGGAGTTAGTCATAGGTGAGCCAAGTGTTACTCTGCTGAAGTAGAAGAGGTGAGGACTTCAAACAAATGAGAGGAAGAGAGATTGATCCTTGACCCTATAGTGGCCTTCTGATGAGTCCTGGGCTCCATTTGGCACTCACTGCGTACTAGAGATGCCGCCTTGAGGGCTGAGCGAAGAAGAGGCTTTAATGGAACCCACCTGGGGCTTTGGGTAGTACCGGAGCAGAACCAAAGCATCAGGTACCCGGAAGCAAGGAGACAGGAAACTCAAAGAAAGAAAAAGATGACAGGAGACCATTGTACCTTATTTCAGCCTCAGTCATTGCTAGCCAACCTTAGTCCGGTGACTTGGGTGTTCTGTGTTTCAAGTGGAATAACAGCTAGACCAGCCTTGGGAAATCGGGGGTGAAAATCCCAGTGCTTTTTCTTACTTCCTGTGTGATCTTGGATTTAAACTTGGTTTAAACTTTTAGAGCTTTAGTTCCATTTCATGTACTTTCTCAGTGAATACTTTCCATGACATATTTCATGTAAATGTTGATGTTTCATGAATGAGCATAACTTATGCCACAGTAATATTATAGGCTTTAACTCTCTTGGTATGAAAGGGACTATATGATAACAAATTACTACTATAACTTTGTTACTAAAAATATCAATAAATAATTCTCAGAGCTTTATTAAAGCTGGAAACTCACAGGGTTTTTTTTTCTCATGAAGAAAGACTTATTGGCCAATGCTAGAAAATTGCCACCTCTGAAATTTTTTTAATAAAGCATATATTAAAGGGCCTGCTAATTACCATGTACTGCAACTCTGAATAACGCATACTTTGAATAAGAGAAATTGCTCACATCATTGCAGTAGCAAAGTCTTTTTTACTCAATATAAACAACTCCTGGCTTCAGAGCAGCATTTGGGCTGAATTGCTAAAAGCATCTTTGTTTATATTTCTCTATAGAGACATCATTAATGAACATGCTGAGAACTGGGGCTTCGACTGGGTCTGATGTTAACCCCGTGAAGCTAATCTTGTATTTAGTAGGTCATTCCTTTGGGTCTGAACCCTTGGGTATATGTTGGAATTGAAGGTATCAGTTTCAAAGCCATTTTTGGTACTCCCAGAAAATTGGCTAAGGGATGGGCTCAGCACTCCCTTAATGGGGGAATGGGGTGGATAGGAAGGTTGTGCCTCTTTTAGGACAGAATCATGAGTCCTGTTTGATCTTACAAATGGAATAATTTTTTTTTGGAGTGAATAAGCTGGTTTGGAGCTAAACTAGGCAGTTCGTTTCCCAGACTTGCCCTCATGTATTCCCTGTCTTCACTCCATATACTCTCTGTAAACCAACCCCTGGCTGTATGCTCCAAGTCCAAAGGCTGAATGCCTAACCATAGCATTCCAGGCCCACCATGTGTGTCCCTCATCCTTATTTTCTCTCTCCTATACCTCTCTGATTGGCCTCACAAGCCATGCTCCTAGCATACTAAATTATGTTTTTCTCCCTTAGAGGAAGCCATTTATATTTTTGCCTCCAGGCTTTGCTTATGCTGTGCTCACTGCTGGGGTGCCCTACCTTTCAACCCCACCTTAAATTCTACTCACCATTCAGGTGATCCTGCTGTAATGTCACCTCTTTTGAAGGCTTTACTGTATCTATGGTGAAGATTAGTTACTCTCTTCTATAGCCTTTCTTTTACATATCACAGTCCAATATCATCCAACAGTGAATTCATCCCTTCCCTCATGCATGATTAGATTGTGGGCTTTTTTTATTGAGACAGAGTCTCAGTCTATCACCAAGGCTGGAGTGCAGTGGTGCGATCTTGGTTCACTGCAACCTCTGTCTCCCAGGTTCAAGTGAATCTCCTGCATCAGCCTCCCAAGTAGCTGGGATTACAGGCGCCCACCACCACACCTGGCTAATTTTTGTGTTTTTATAGAGACGAGATTTCACCATGTTGGCCAGGCTGGTCTTGTACTTCTGACCTCAGGTGATCTGCCTACCTTGGCCTCCCAAAGTGCTGGGATTACAGGTGTGAGCCACTGCGCCTGGCCAGATTGTGGGCTTCTTAAGGACGGAGGTGTGAGGCCCACCTAGACTAAAAAAATGCAGCCAGGGGAGCATTTTGTTAAGGTACTCTCATCTAGGTTTGTTCATCTTGGGTGATATATATATATATAATATGTAACTTACATATTAAAATTTATACAAATCTTAAATGTATAGCTTAATTTTTACATATATATGCATATATACATCTGTCTGTCTGTACATCTATCTACCTGTCTATCCTGTCACCCAAAGTAAGATACACAGAACACTGTCAGAATCCCAAAAGTCTCCCTTGGAACTCTCCTGGTAAGTAATTCCCCTTCCCTACCCTGGGCATCCACTATTCTAACTTCTATCACCACAGATTATTTTTGCCTATTTTTGAACTTTATATAATAGAATTATACAGTACACACTTTATTGTGTCTTACTTTTGCACTTTACCTCATGTTGGTATGATTTATCTACACTGTTCCATCTATCAGTAGGGTTTGTGGCTTTTTATTGCTGAGCAGTATTCCACTGTATGAATACACCACAATTTATTTATTTCTACTTTTTATGGAATTTTAAATTGTTTCTAAGTTTTGGTTACAAATAAAGTGGCTGTGAACATCCTTGCATATGTATATGTTTTGGTGAATGGTATGGTTTGAATGTGTCCCCAAAAAGCATGTGTTGGAAACTTAATCTGCAACGCAACAGTGTTGGGAGATGGGGCTAAAGGGAAATGTTTAGGTCATGAGAGCTCTACCCTCATGAATGAATTAATGCCAATTATAAAAGGGCTTGAAGTTGCGAGTTTGATCTCTCGCTCTTTTGCCCTCTCTTTGCCTTCTGCCATAGGATGATGTAGCAGGAAGGTCTTAACCAGTTGCTGGCCCCTTGACCTTGGACTTCTCAGCCTTCATAACCACTAATCCAAGAAATTTCTGTTCATTACAAATTACCCAGTCTCAGGTATTCTGTTATAGCAGCACAAAATGAACTAAGAGAGTGGACATGTACACTCTTTTCTGTGGGAACTATACCCAGAAGAGAGTTATTGGATCACAGGACACAAGCATATTTAGCTTTAATAAACACTACAAAAAGTTTTCCAAAGTGATTGTACCAATTTACACTCCCATCCTCATGTAAGACAATTCTCGTTGTTTTGCATTCTTGCTGACCCTTGGTATGAGTGGTCTTTTACATGCTCACCATTCTGGTGAGTGTGTGATGGTATCTCATTATGGTGTTAATTAGCGCTTTTTTTTTTTCCTGATGACTGATGAAGTTGAGCATCTTTTCATATGTTGATTGGCTTTTTTGATATTCTCTTCTGAGACGTGACTGTTCAAGGGTTTTTGGGTTTTAAATTCTGAGCTGCAGTAGCCAGATAAAATCTATCTAGTTTGGAGATCTATCAATGACATTAATTGAAAGGCTTCTTTCATACAGGGTCCTATATAATGTAATAAAAATATATACAATTTGCTATATATTAATGCAAGCATCATTAGGTACAACAATTACAGTGAGGGCTTGATATAAGTTTTTCTCACTGTGAATCTGGTGAAAGCCCTTAGTCCCTAGGCAGTTCTTCTAAGACTTGTGTTTATTCTATTCTAAGTCTAGATTTGTTTTCTTTGGGATCCAA
The DNA here is from genome assembly GCF_000001405.40 of Homo sapiens. Classification (NCBI taxonomy): domain Eukaryota; kingdom Metazoa; phylum Chordata; class Mammalia; order Primates; family Hominidae; genus Homo; species Homo sapiens. Next base: position 116,554,369 of record NC_000008.11, on the reverse strand, counting down.
ATTCTACAGACCCCCTTCTGCATATTTTATGATATCTAGATCAGGCTTACTTTTTGTGTTGGTACCTTTGTAACTACTGGAAGTTAATTCTCAGTCTCTTGGTTTACTGTTGTTTAAAGTTGATATTTTAAGTGCAAGAGCTTTATCAAATCAATTCTGTTGAAAAGAAGCTTCTTTCCTCCAGTTTTCATTGCTTAATGCTTCCACTAATTATTTCTTTCCCAGCTGTGGCCTCTCCCTTGAGGCCCTGCAGTTTGTTGTCTCTCTCGGTGGGCTCTCTGCCTGCTGTCTCTATGCTCTTCATTGCATCTCATATTCTGCCTAAGCTACAGCTTTGGGAGGGAATCTTATTTTGCCTCTTATTTTGTCAGAATGTGTTAATGCTAATAATGGCATTTTCCCATTGTTTACAAACTCTAATTCTCTCATTTTTCCTGCAATATTGTTAAACAACCTCTTTGGATGTAGCTGATGAAAGCTTTTACTCTTTAGCTGCTTGACTTTCAATAGCATGTGGGCCATTGCTTTATAGGTAGTTGGTGTTCAATAATTGTTGACTTGCAGAACCCAGAACTGGGGTTTGAGTGATATGGGACATTATCTGTACTAACGTTTGCCTGGTAGGTCTGCCTTCATGACGCAATATTAGGGCAAGCCGCGTAACTTTGTGACTATGACTCAAGCACTAACGAAAGCTCCCTTGCTCTAAAGTATGTGTCCTTTCAGCTCCTAATTGTCCTAGAAGTTTTCTGCCATTAGAATGCAGCACTCTGAGTGAAGACATTGTCTTCAGATAGCCCTTATTAGATTTTTTAAATGTTATCTAGGTGGAGAAGAATGCAAACTCAGTGGTCTCCACTCACATTTTAGTAAGGATTCACTTAGTTATTTGGCTCAGAAAGAAGGACTCTAAGGAATGGGACAAAGAAGAAGTGAGTCTGGATGTGAAGGCAAGGTTTCACATTGGCAGAAATGCTGCTGGGGACAGATGCGTGAACTAGTCAGCCAGGTGCACCATGACCATGGGACTCCATTAATTCTTGGGGTCAGGGAAACTGTGTGCAAGTCAGAGGTTGCTTCTTTGCTATGCAACTTCAGATAAGTCACTTAACCTCTCTGTTACTTAGCTTTCTTATCTGTAAATGAAGATAGTATCTCCTCTGCTTACCTCACAGGGTAGCTGTCAGAACCAAATGAAAGTGACTTACATCATTTAAGGACTAACCAGACATGTTGTATTTATAATAATAATAATAATAATAATAATAATAATAGCTATTATTATTGGAGTGTGGTAAAAAATGGAAGCATGTTGGAGACAAATTACTCACTTTACAATTTTGTTCTGGGCTGCTGCTTGTAAGTACAAAGACAACCTGATAAGTCTTTATTTATATGGAGCATTTTATATAATTCTGCAAACAACAGCAGAAAGGTTAAAATGCATGTGCATGATGGGACAAATGGACCCATTAGTGAAAGATTATTTTTATTAAAAAACAATTTAGTGTATGAGCTAGCTTTATATCTAGGATGTTAAAAAATTTTGGGTGATGTTTACCCCCCATGGAATTGATAAAGCTCACCTATTTTGGCATGGAGTTAGCTCAGAACAAAGTATCCACACCTTAGGCTGGTGAATTAGATTGGCCTTGAGTTGTCTGCACTTTTCCACTTTATTCCACATAGATTTGGCTGAGACACTGTTGAAGTCTGAAAAACAGGGGCCCTATTGAAATAGGCCAGACCTGCATTGCTAGTCTGGTTCATTTTAAACCAATCAGATAAACTTTAATTGAATGAATGAAGAGTACAAATTTCAAATGAATACATCTATCTTTTTGATTATTTGAAAATGTATCTTGCTTTGTTAGGAAGAAAGATCTACACTGATTTCTCAAGTGCAGGCAGAGTCTTAGACTGTTTGAGTTGGAAGAGACTGTACAAATAATCTAGCACAACCCCCTCACTTTATATTTGGGGAAGCTGAGATATAAAAAGATTTAATAACTGGCTGAAGGTCACATTGCTAGTTGGTGGCAGAACTGAAACTGGAAGCCAGGTTTTCTGTCCTTGACCAGGGCACTTTCTCTGGCTGCTGCACAGAACGGTGGAAAAGTGAGAAATGTTTTTACTAAACGATTGCCACCTTTTAGACTTCCATTCCAAAAGATTATTTACTAGTTTTCTTCACAATGGCTTATGCTTTAAAAAAGACAAGTATCTCGTAAAACTTAATTCTTTGAGACTAGTCCCATTTGAGGCCTTTGGAGGGGAGGGAATGCATCATGTTCTCCTGGCGCAGTGCCTGGTCCTTAGCGGACACTCAATCAGAGCTTGCCGTTAAGTTCTTAGTCTATGACAATGCAGGCTGAGGGTGATGGCTGGACCACACAGTTTTATCAGAATCCCTAGGGCAGTGGTTAAAAATGCAGATCCTGGCTGGATGCGGTGGCTCACGTCTGTAATCCCAGCACTTTGGGAGGCCGAGACGAGTGGATCACATGAGGTTGGGAGTTCGAGACCAGCCTGGCCAACATGGTGAAACCCTGTCTCTACTAAAAAAAGAAATAAGAAATATTAGGCAGGCCTTGTGGCGTGCACCTATAATCCCAGCTACTGGGAAGGAGAATTGCTTGAACCAGGAGGCAGAGGTTGCAATGAGCCAAGATCATGCCACTGCACTCCAGCCTGGGCGCAACACAAGGAGACTCCATCTCAAAAAAAAAAAAAAAATGCAGATCCCTGTGACGTACCCCAGTTCTACTGACTCAGAATTTCAGTATCTCTATTCTAGAAATAGACATTATATTTTTAAATTTTTAAAAATTAATGCGTATTTGTACATGTTTATGGGGTATAATTTTTTTTCACAGGAATATACATTATTACAATTTTTAGGTGATTTTTTTGGTGTCCTAAAGTTTAAAATTATTGGTCTGTGATCTTCTTCCTTACAGGTTCCTCATGCTTAAGACCAGTGCATTCCAGATGGACATGTATAAAAGTATTTTTCAATTTCTGTTTACATTTTTTGATCTAAAAAATTAAGAGAAAAAGTGAACATTACTTACACTCAATACATAGGTTGGCTCTGCACACTTAGGTCATATAGTCACAGGTTACATGTGATGGTTATGGCATCTTGAATGAGAGTGGAAACTTCTCAACGCAGATGATTGACGACAACGGTGGCCTTAGTTGCTTCCAGAGGGTTGCCAAATGATGCATTTTAATTGCATGGATTTTATGAAAGTGTTTACATTTCTAAAATCACACACACACATTTATTTTTAAAAAGGGGCCAAGTGCAGTGGCTCACTGTAATCTCAGTGCTTTGGGAGGCCGAAGCATGAGGATCACTTGAGGCCAGGAGTTTTAGACTAGGCTAGGTAACATAGCGAGACCACACCTCTACAACAAACACAAAAATTAGTCGGGCATGGTGATGCACAATTGTAGTCCTAGCTGCTTGGGATGCTGAGGTGGGAGGATTGCTTGAGCCCAGGAGGCTGGGCTGCAGTGAGCCGTGGTCGTGCCACTGCACTCCAACCTGGGTGATGGAGCAAGAACCTGTCTCAAAAAAAAAAAAAAAAAGGAACTGGGTATTGTCGTGCACATCTGTAGTCCCAGCCACACATGAGGCTGAGATAGGAGGATTTGCTTAAGCCCAGGAGTTGGAGGTTGCAGTGAGATATGATTGCATCATTGCATTCCCACCTGGGTGACAGAGTGAGACTCTATCTCTAGATAAACAAAAAGTTAGGCCGGGCACGGTGGCTCACACCTGTAATCCCAGCACTTTGGGAGGCCGAGATGGGTGGATCACTTGATGTCAGGAGTTTGAGACCAGCCTGGCCAACATAGTGAAACCCCATCTCTACTAAAAATACAAAAATTAGTAGGGTGTGGTGACGGGCACCTGTAATCCCAGCTACTCGGGAGGCTGAGGCAGGAGAATTGCTTGAACCCGGGAGGCAGAGGTTGCAGTGAGCTGAGATCCCACCATTGCACTCCAGCCTGGGTGACAAGAGAGAAACTCTGTCTCAAAAAATAAATAAATAAATAACAAAATTTTTTTTTAAAAAGGACTTCTACACATGTGATGATTAATTTTATGTGTCAATTCAGCTATGATGCTCAGTTGTTTGGTCAAACACTGGTCTAGATAATAGTGCGAGGGTATGCTTTAGAGGTGATTAGTATTTAAATCAGTAGAATCTGAGTAAAACAGATTACCTTCCATGAGGTAGGTGGGTCTTATCCATTCAGTTAATGCCCATAAAGGTAAAGGCTGAGGTTTTCCAAAGGAAAAACTCTGCCTCAAGACTGTGACATAAAAATCCTACCTGAGCTTCCAACCTGCTGCCCTGTGGAATTCAGACTCAAGAGAGCAACATCAACCTTACCTAAATTTTCAGCCTGTTGTCCTGCTCTATGAGTTTTAGACGTGCCAGTCCCACAATTGTGTAAGCCAAAGCCTTAAATTATCTCTCTCTCTCTATTTCTCTGTATGTCTTACTGGTTTTGTTTCTCTGGAAAATATAACAGTATAGAAATTTAACATTTTGTATCGACATGGTGAGTGTTCATATTTTGTACTGCACAGGTCAGCCACGATCTTATTACAGATTTCTTGAGTTAGTAAACTTAAATTGCTGATTTTTAACTTTTTAAAATCAAAATACTCTGAATTGATATTGAGTGGCTCTCACTAGAATGCTACCCAAGAGAGTTTTTTTGGGAAAAAATGTATAATCTGTCTTAGTCCATTCATGCTGCTATAACAAATACCTTATACTAGGTAATTTATAAAGAACAGAAATTTATTTCTACAGTTGTGGAGACTGGAAGTCCAAGATAAAGGTGCTGAAAGGTTTGGTGTCTGGTGAAGGCCTGGTCTCCGCTTCCAAGATAGCGCCTGTTGCTGTGTCCTCTGAAGGGGAGGATGTTGCACTCTTACAGGGCAAGAGGTGGAAGGACAAAAAGGAGTGAACTCTCTCTGAAGGCTCTTTTATAAGAGCATTCATCCATTCATGAGAGTGAAGGTCTCAGGACTTAATCACTTTCCTGAATGTCTTACTTCTTAATACCACCACAAAAAGAATTAAGTTTCAATGGAAATTTTGGAGGGGGTACACACTTAAATCATAGCACTATCCCATCAGATAAATGCAGTGTTTGGAAAATAATTAAGAAATAGTGCATTTCAAAATAAATTCTTGCCATGAAGAAAGAACGTTAAAGATGCAACTTTAGAAACTAGGTTGTGCTTTTGTGTTTTTGTCTTCAAAAACAATTACATATTTGTCTACAGAGACTTTTTTCTATCTGCACATTAAAAAACAGAAAATCTAGAATCAAGCATCTTCCAGTTAGTTTGCAAGCAAAAATGAGTAGCATGTGGCAGATGGGAACTTACTTATCAGATGAATTTCAACCAACAGCATAGCATAATTTATGCTTAATACGTAAGCATAGCAATATAAATGCAGCCAGTGATGACTATCTTCCACTGGAAAGTACAATCTGTGGGAGTCATCCTTTTTAGTTCTGAAAAATGCATCATTGAATTGTGGCATCACCAAGGTTTTTAAGGTACTGCCAGATATTCTGTCACTTTGCACTAAAATATTATAATAATAATTTAATTATTTTGTTCTATTATTAAAATATAACATATTAAAAGAATATTTCTTATTTTAATTCCTATTTTTGGTCATATTTTTACAAAATTTTGCAACCTATTTGTATAGTATCAAAAAGGCATAGTTCATAAATACATGCATGTTGAAGGTGTATGCTCAAAATCTACTTAGGTTTGGGTAAGTAATCAAAGAAGTTTGGAGTACCATGCTTAGATTATTGAAGAGTAAATGACTGAAGTATGCCCTCATGTGGTTGTTGGGAGGGGAAGGTCACAGCCATGAGCCACATGCTTTAGGGCAACGCTTCCACTGCTTTAGAACAGGAAGTAAGGGACCAATCTGTCCAAAGGAAAACCCCAGGGGAGTAAAACAAGGCTGAGGGCAATTGTGCCAACTGGAATCTGTCCAGAAGGCTAATGCCCCTCTTCTTGTAGAAATACCAAGGGACTCAGAGAGGAGGAGGGAAGGAGAATAACTTGGAAGCCTATCAGGAAATACAGGAAATTTAATTTTAAAATTAGAAAATGTTTTCATTTAATGGGATTAAGAAGAGCATTGGGTAAGTACTGTTTAAACATGTAAAAATGAACACAGAGTGGCAGCCTGCCAGCAACCTAGAGTAATTCCCCCCCAACCCACCCAACTTATCTAGAATGGCTCTTTGTATTTTATTTATTTTTCCCCTGAAATATTAAACTGGTTGGCTAGTTGGTCCATTTTAGGGCATGCTTTCAGACGAAAGAGATAGAACATGATGGTGTGATTTTTTTTCTTTAGAATATAAATTTTGTTCAAACTATTGAGATCTGGCTTGGGGCTTGGGGTAAAAGATTCCCTTCCTTAGTTAGCCAGGGTGTTTAGTAAGGAAAAAAAAGAAACTTAGAGGCTCACACCAGATAGGAATGGAGCCAGTGTGTGTGTGTGTGTGTGTGTGTGTGTGTGTGTGTGTGTGTGTGTGTGTCTGTGTTTTTTTTTTTTTTAATTTCTCTTGCCAGAATAATTAGTGCCTATGAATAGGCTTGGTAAGGCAGATGCGTGCAATGTGTCTTTTAGAGAAACATGGAACGGGATAAAGTTTTCAAAGAGTATATTGTGTTTAGTTGCACAATTCTCTTCTTCCTCTTGGCAAATATTTGATTATTATGCAGGGGTGGAGATGGAGGAGACGAGGAGATTATGCAGGCAACACCAGATAGCAGAATTTCCCTTCAGAACCTCTGTGGGTTTGAATAAAAGCAATTGAAGACATAGGGTTGGCTTTTAATGCTTTGTTTACATTCAGCGAATGATATTTCTCAAGTCAAAGTTTGCACCTCTTCAAGGCTTTTTCCTCAAGTCTGTCTGTGCTCTCTCCTCAGTGGGGACTGGATGGAGGAGCGGGCAGATTTTGAATCCCAGAGGTGCATAGAAGGGGGCTGCCCCTGCCAACAGGCATGGCTTTTGCACTAGGAAGATGTATAGGAATGAACTCTAGTTATGTTCCAGAAGGGTGAGGTGGTTTGTGTGGAAATATCGAGTGTGGAAATACGCCTTTCTCTCACAGCCCATCAGCAAACACCTTACCTCTAGCTTCAGAATATATCTAGAACCCAACCATTTTTCAAACTTCCATTGTTATACCCAAATGATTTGGTTTGGCTCTATGTCTCCACCCAAATCTCTTCTTGAATTGTCATCCCCATGTGTCAAGAGAGGTACCTGGGTGGGAGATGATTGAATTTTAAGGGTGATTTTCCCTATGCTGTTCTTGTGATAGTGAGTTCTCACGAGAGCTGATGGTTTCAAAATGTGGCACTTCCCCTTTGGTCGCTCTCTGTCTCTCTCTGTTGCTGCACTTCCCCTTTGCTGGCTCTCTGTCTCTCTCTCTTGCCGCCATGTAAGACATTCCTTGCTTCCCCTTCACCTTCTGCCATGATTGTAAGTTTCCTGAGGCTTCCCCAGTCATGCAGAACTGTGAGTCAATTAAACCCCTTTCCTTTATATGTCACCCAGTCTCAGGTATTTCTCTATAGCCGGGCAAGAATGGACTAATACAGCCCACGTCTAAGCCACCATCATTTGCCCTCGGATTATTGTAATGTTCCTTAGGTGGTCACTGCTTCCACCCTTGCCCCAGGAGAGTCTGTTTTCAGCACAAAGTCAGGGACATCATTTGGTAAGTTAGGTCAGACCATGTCCCTCCATAATGGCTCACCATTTCACTTAAAATAAAAGCCAAATTCCTTCCAAAGGTCTTGAGAACTCTATGGCACCTGGCCCCATGTACTCATCCTCTCTTCCTTGATCACTTCATTCCAGCTACATGAGTCTCCTTGCTTTTTCTCAAATACGCCAAGCAAATGCTTTATTGATGCTGCACTTTCTGCTTGGAATGTTTTTCATCAAATATCCCTATGAATTGCTCTATGCCCCTTACCCCTTCACGCCTTTGCCTACCAGGTCACCAGGTATAATATCAAAATCCTCTGCTCTATTTTCTTTTAAAATACTTATTGCCACCTGAAATATGCTAGTATTTAGTTTTGTGTTGCACAAAGATGTGTATCAGAGAAGCTATCCATCGCATTCACTCCTGTTAGGACTGGTAGTGCTACCTCTCTTGATGACAGTTTGTTATTTGCTAGTTGATATGGTTTGGCTGTGTCCCCACCCAAATCACAAATTGTAGCTCCCATAATTCCCAAGTGTCATGGGAGGGTCCTGGTGGGAGGTAATTGAATCATGGGGGGCAAGTCTTTCCTTTGCTGTTCTTGTGATAGTAAGTAAGTCTCACGAGATCTGATGGTTTTATAAAGGGGAGTTCCCCTGCACACACTCTCTCTTGCCTGCCACTATGTAAGAGACATGATTTTGCTCCTCATTCACCTTCTGCCATGATTGTGAGGCCTCCCCAGCCAGGCTGAACTGCGAGTCAGTTAAACCTCTTTCTTTTATAAATTACCCAGTCTTATGTATGTCTTTATTAGCAGTGTGAGAACAGACTAATACACTAGTTTACATTAGAAATGTATTTAAATGTCATAAAACTGCATTTTATTTATTTTACTTTACTTAATAGAGATGGGGTCTCATTATGTGGCCCAGGCTGGTATTGAACTTCTAGCCTCAAACAATCCTCCCATCTCAGCTTTCTAAAGCACTGGGATTATAGGCATCTGACTGCTTTCTTTCTTTTTAAAAAGACTGTAACTATCCTTCTATCCATCCAAGGTGGATCTTTGGGCAGTTATATTGAATCAGTGAGGACTTTCTGTGTAGGTTCTTGGAGTGACAGTAGATGATGGGATTTGGCAGATCTTCAGGATACCAGCTGTTTGGACTGAATTGTACCCCTCAAAATGTATACGCTGAAGCCCAGTGTGATGGTATTTGGTGATAGGGCTTTTTGGACGTAATTAAGGTTACACGAGATTATAAGGGTGGAGTACTAATCCAGTAGGATTGGTGGCCTTATAAGCAGAGGGAAAAAGAGCTCTCTCTCTTTCTCCCCACGCACTCAGCCTGAAAGGCCAAATGAGGACACAGCTAGAAGGCGGCCATCTGCAAGGAATGAAGAGAGCCCCTACCAGGAACTGAACCAGCTAGGACCTTATCTTGGGATTCCCAGCCTGCAGAACTGTAAGAAATAAATTTCTACTAAGCCACCTAGCCTTTGGTATTTTGTTATACTAGCCTGAGCCGACTAAGACACCAGTCCAGCACAGCAATGCAAAATGGTCAGATTATCTTGAGAAATTTCTGGATGCCCTTTGGCTACCCAGTGCTAGTATTGCTAACAATGTCACTTTAAGGAGTAGACATTTCTTCAGGATTAAGGGAAGACAAGAGAAGAGGTGATGTGAGGAGATTTAATAGAGATGATTACTTTTTTTTCATAAAAGGTCTATATATGTATTTTAGAAAATTTAATACAGAGGAGAATAAAAAGGAAAGAAAAAATACTCATTATATAATTTCTCTGAGACAATCATTATTAATATTTTTTCTATTTCTTTTTTATTTTTTGAGACAGGGTCTTGCTCTGTTGCCTCAGGATGATCAGTGCAGTGGCATGATCATAGCTTACTGTAGCCTTGAACTCCTGGGCTCATGGGATCCTCCCATCTCAGTCTCCTGAGTAGCTGGGACTACAGGTGCATGCCACCATGCCTGGCTAATGTATTGTATTTTATTGTATTTTTTATTTTTATTTTTTGAGATGGAGTTTTGCTCTGTCATCCAGGCTGGAGTGCAGTGGCACGATCTCAGCCTCTGCCTCCTGGGTTCAAGCGATTCTCCTGTCTCAGCCTCCTGAGCAGCTGGGATTACAGGCACACACCACTACGTAAGACTAATTTTTGTATTTTCAGTAGAGACAGGGTTTCTCCATGTTGGCCAGGCTGGTGTTGAACACCTGACCTCAAGTGATCCGCCCACCTCAGTCTCCCAAAGTGCTGGGATTATAGGTACGAGCTGCCACACCCGGCCTAATTTTTTATTTTTGTAGAGATAGAGGTCTTGTTATGCTGCCAGGGCTATTCTCAAACTCCTGGCCTCAAGAGATCCTCCTGCCTCAGCCTCCCAAAGTGTTGGGATTACAGGTGTGAGCCACTGCATCTGGCTCATTTATTGCATTTCTTTCCAGTCTTTTTTCCATGCATACTTAGTGATCCTATGGTTCTTTAGTATTTCTGCTGTCTTCTCAGAGTCTTACCACACCATAACTACTCATTGAACATCCCACTTTCCTGTCATAGTTGCTTAGAGTTGTAGTTTTATGCCTTTTAAATATAAAACATAGTAATTATTGTTCACAGCTTGTAGTTAGTTTCATTGACTGATATTAACAAACCTTTTTGTCTGTTCACTGTGTTTTTCTTTAATCTCATTCCTCCCTATGGGTTTATCTTTCTTTTTGTTAAAGTGCATTCTTTAATAGTTCTTTTAGAAAATGTCTTTGGGTGTTAAAGTCTCTTGGTCTTTTATGTGTATAAAAATATTTATTTTGCTATCACATTTGAACCAGGGTTTAACTGGGTATAAAATTCTAGATAGATGCTTCTTTTTTTTCTTTTCTTTTTTTTTTGAGACGGAGTCTTGCTCTGTCACCCAGGCCAGAGTAGAATCGTGTGACTGTGGCTCACTGCAACCTCCTCCTCTCAAGTTCAAGTGATTCTCATGCCTTAGCCTCCCAGGTACTTGGCATTACAGGTGCATGCCACCACACCCAGCTAATATTTATATTTTTGGTGGAGATGGGTTTCACCGTGTTGGTTAGGCTGGTCTCGAACTCCTGACCTCAGGTGATCTGCCTGCCTCGGCCTCCCAAATTACTGGGAATACAGGCGTGAGCCACCAAGGCCTGGCTAGATGCTTATTTTCTCTCAGCACTCTGTGGTACCACTGCACTGATCTTTGCCATCTATGGCTGCAGCTTGGAAGTCCTCTCAAGGACTAGTTTTTGCTCATTCATGGGTAATCTGTGTCTTCTCTCTGGTCCTTTTTGAGGTTGTTTCCTTATCCTTTATGTCAGGGGTCCCTAAGCCCTAGCTGTGGACGGGTACCGGTCCGTGGCCTGTTAGGAACCCAGCCGCAGCATAGGAGGTGAGCAGCGGGCCAGCGAGCATTACCGCCTGAGCTCTGCTTCCTGTCAAATCAGCAGAGGCATTAGATTCTCATAGGAGAATTAGAATCTCATAGGATGAACTGAGGTGGAACAGTTTCATCCCAAAACCACCCCCTGCACTCCCCCAGTGAAAAAATTGTCTTCCGTGAAACCAGTCCCTGGTGCCAAAAACGTTAAAAACTGCTGCTTTATGTCCTGCCAATATGGATTTACTTTTATTTATCAGAAGGCATGATTGTTCTGAGAACTCACATTGCTCTTTCATTTTGAAATGCTCAGCAAGTATCATTTTAAATATTGCATCTTTGGTTGGGCATGGTGACTCAGTGATCCTAGCACTTTGGGAGGCCAAGGTGGGTGGATCTCTTGAGCCAGGAGTTCGAGGCCAGCCTGGGCAACATAGTGAGACCAGTCTCTACAAAAAAATGCAAAAATTAGCCAGGTATGGTGGCAAGCACCTGTAGTCCTACTACTCAGGAGGCTGAGGTGGGAGGTTCACCTGAACCTGGGGAGGTCGAGGCTGCAGTGATTTATGATTGCATCACTGGTCTCCAGCCTGGGTGACAGAGTGAGACCCTGTCTCAAAAAAAAAAAAAAAAAAAATTGCATCTTTACCAGTTCCTCCATTCTCTACTTTGTGGATGCTTTTTAATTAAATATTGGAGACTCTCATTCTCTTTTCCATGTGTCTTCACTGTCTTTCTAATTAAAAAACAATTGCTTTGTCTCTCTGTGTCTTATTCTGGGTGGCTTCATCAGGACTATCTTTTAGTTAATGAACTCTCTCTTTAACTAGGAACAGTCCAAAATTTTTCCTGTCATGTCACCTTTATATCAACATTTTTATTTTTCAGGATCCATTGGTCTTTTTCACAGCCTCTTGTTCTTGTTTGATTTCTTCCTGCTTAATGATTCCTTGTTCTTTTAAATCAACATTATGGCTTCTTTTATCCTCTTTATTGTATGTACTTCATTTTAAAGTCTTGGTCTGATATTTCTGTGAAATCAGTTTTACAATGGAGTGAATTTGTGTTCAAATTATCCATTTTTTGGCTTTCTTTTGTGGCTTTCTAGTTCCTCGCACAGTTTGAGATTCTTATTACATTTCTGCACACATTTTGAAATTCTTATTTCTGTGCTCATTTTGACTAAGGAGGATTTTAATTATTTTTCGTTTCTTTCTGGTGTTTTGTGGTTTCCTTCATCCATTTCTCTGAGTCCCCAGTCCAGAGCTGGGTCTGATAAAGGCAGTGATGGGGATTTCTGCTTCAGAGTGTGTTGTGGGTTGAACTGGGTCCCCAAGAAGATAAGTTGAAGTCCTAATCCTGGTACCTGTAAATGTGACCTTATTTGGAAATAAGGTCTTTGCAGACATAGTCAAATTAAGATGAGGTCACATTAGATTGGAGTAGCCCTAATCCAGTGGCTGATGTCTTTATAAGAGAAGAAAGAAGAGGGAGATTTAGATACAGAGACTCACTCACAGCAGAAGATGGTTATGTGAAGACCAAGGCAGAAATTGGAGTGATGCTGCCATAAACCAAGGAATGCCTGGGTCCACCAGAAGCTAAAAGAGGAAAAGAAAGATTGTTTCCCTAAAGCTTTTGATGAAGGTATGTCTCTTCAAACACCTTGAGTATGGGAATGTATCCTCCAGAAATGTGAGAGAATAAATTTTCATAGTTTTAAGCCACTTAGTTTGTGGTACTTTGTCATGTCAGCCTTAGAAAATTAATACAAGGTGATATTGGGAATACTACTGATCTATCACAGAGACAGAAGGTGGTTTGAATTGGTGCCTAGTTCCACCTGCCTTTTTGGACTTGCATCTACTGAAATGCACTTGTTTCAGACAGAGGGTGGCCTGCGCTATTTTTATTTTTGTGCCTCCTTTGGAGTGAAGGAGCTGAGAGAAGCTACTCCACCCCTTGGCTTCAAACACCGACTCTAGCTTGTGAACCGATCTAAATACCTACTTGTTTTGGGCCCTTTTGCTCGAAGCCTGCAGTCCTGAGACTTCAGTCCTACGTATCATTTTACATTATTGTCCCATCTTTACAAATGTATTTGTCTTGTTTTTGAACAAGCAATGTCATGTTGGTTTTCATTTTTTATATTTTATCAGTCGTTTTGTGCATTTAAAGCAGAGGGATGATTGAAGGGTGGATTTACTGAGGCATCCTGACCTGGAGGCTACAGTCTTTTTACACATGGCTTTTGTCACTAGTAAACTTGAAATAACTGCTTTGTTTCCATTTGACAAAAATAACATTGGTACTGTTGTTAGAAACTCTTTGTGAACATAATGTTTATTGGCTGTGTAATATTCCCTCAAATGGAATTGGGGTAGTTCTTTCAGGAAATACTTTATGGAGATAAAAGCCCTTGCCATGAAATATCTCAACTCATAGCTTGAAGAATCATTTTCAGCATACCGAAGGCAGAGGTATTTTTGTGTTTCAGTCTGGGTGGAGGCAATCAAGTTGAGTGAGTAACAAAAGAGAAGTGTTTCCACTTGTGTTTTAAATTCCTTGGGCGAGGGGAGATTACTTAAGAGAGGCTTCCCAATCTACTGAGCAATGTAAGTGGTTTCCATGGAATTTCATTTGGTTTCAGAATATAGCCTCAGGTTGTGTGTTATGAAGATAGTTTTGACATTTTAAATGATTGTAACTTGAAACAAAAAAACATTTTCCACTGGAGGTGGAAAACAAGCCACAAACAAACTGCCCTCTTCTAGAACAGCTAGGATTCAGTTTTTGATAATCAAGATCTTTCTCCTCAGATTCTAACAGGGAGCCCTTATGGGACTCTCTTGCTCCATCCTTCTTGAAACTGACACAGAAGTACTTGTCTGTGTTTTGGAGAGCAATGTGAGTTTCCTCTCATCTCATGATAATTTATGTCTTAGAAATGTGTGCGGCGAATGAACCAACGTTCTGAAGGAACTTCATGAAGAAACAACAGATAATTCAAGAAATGTTGTGCTAATAGGGGGTTTTATTGGGAACTGTACTTGCATCAGTTGGCTGTGAAGAACAGTTTGGTATCTCAGTTTTGCTGACTTAAGAAGTCAGCAGGGCCTTGGCTGTACTCAGACCAGCTCTTATTTGATTCAAGAATCACTTCTACTACATTCCCAAGAAGTAGTCATTACACTTCTGCTTGAGTATGCTCAATTACAGAAAATACATGACTTATAGTAGCAGCATATTCCATTGTTGGACAACCACAATTTTGGAAAGTTCTCGATATTGGGCAGAAGAGTGTTTTCCCATTTGTTCTAATATCCTGTCTGGAGCCACATAATAAATCTAGACTTTCTTCTAGATTTCGATTATCTAGGGGCCTTAGACATTTGATATGGGCTCCTTGGATCTTCTTTTCTCCAAGTAGTGTATCCCAGTTGTTTCAAACAATTTTCATATTTCTTTAACTGAAGAAATGATCCACGGTAGGGCTGGGACTGAGGCCAGAGACAGTGTCTTAAAACACAGTGGGAAGCCAGCCATGCAAGAGTTCTGCAGGAGCCAGTGGGTAGCAAAATAAAGTTCAAAAACAGAGGCCATTAATTAGGAAGGAGCTGGTGCCAGGGATAGAAGCACAGTAACAGCTGAAAAAGAATTCAGCAGAAGATTAGACTCTAATACTTTGGGTGGTGGAAAATGGTGGGGGTGAGTTCCAAAAAAAGTGACTGGTTTAGGAACAGGATGAGAGTTGGAGTTTAAGAGACCCCATAGAATCAGGATAGAGGAGAGCTTTCTGGAGTCTAGACAAGATATCACCAGTCAAGAAAACAACTCTACCTTTTGTTAGTTGTCTGGCCTGCTTCTTAATGGAAAACAGACGTGGCCTTTGATAATATGAAATGACTTTGTGGTTCCTCACCATGTTATTCTCTCTCCAAAGGACAGCCTTGAGTCGAAGTCACTTCAATTCACATCTAATGTATAGACTACAAAAGAGAAAACGTTCTCTTCTGCCAATAACTGCTGAGAAATCCTGTAACATAGACTTGCAGTTGATTGAAGCATAGCTAGATATCATTTTTATTGGCAGATTTATATCTACTAGCTCTTTCTACCCTTACCTATATCATAAATAAAGGACCTAGAGAGATGTGGCCTGAAGAAATCCAAAACGATTACCTTTCAATTTTAAATAAAATTTTCTCCTGGTTGAAGCCTCATTTCTTCCAATTCAGTTCAATTTCCTTCAGATTGAGGCCTATGGACTTAGGCTACAATTGGGACTCCTCTCAATATTCATTTTCTTGAGTTGAGTTTGCTCAGATCATGAGCCAAGGAGTGCATATGTGCAATTTTGTGGTGGTGAGCCTGACACGTTTGCTGCGAAGTCAGGTAGCTGTGGGCTAAAACTCTGGATGTGCTACTTTCAGCCAATGGACTGCTTTGGTCGAGTTCCCTAATCTTCTCTGAGTCTCAGTTTGCTCGTCTGCAAAATAGGGATAAGCATGACCTCTGTGATTTTAGTGAGATGGTGAGTCTTAGTCAGCTTGGGCTGCAAAAATAAATGACCACAGACTGGGTAGCTGAAACAATAGAAATGTATTTCTTACAGTTCTGGAGACTGGAAATCTGAGATAGGAGGCCAGTGTTGTAGGAAAAATCTGGGTTCCTGTCACACCACCAGGAAAGATTAGGCACGCAGACACTTTGAAGGGTGAGGGGTTACGGAATTTACTGGGTGAAAAGAAAAAAGAAAAAACAACACAGCAAAATGAGAGAGGTTCCTGTTAACAGGCTCCCATCTCACCAACTGAATCCCAGGTTACCACCCAGGAACAGGAGAGGCCAGGCTCCTCCCTGCTGCAAACATTGCGAACTTCTCGAGGCCCGCCTTCTCCTCCCAGTGTGTAGGCCATTTGGAGGTTCTCTGGGGAGCTCTTTTTACTTTGCTGTCTCACCAGAATGGTTGTGTTCTAGGAAAGGACCTCTTCTGGGTTGCAGGTTGCCAATTTCTCATTGCATCCTCACATGGAAAGAGAATGAGAGAGTTTTCTGGGCTCCTTTTTATAAAGACACTAATCCCATTCAGGAGGGCCCCACTCTCACAACCTAATTACCTCTAAAGGCCTCACCTCATAATAATATCACACTGGAAGTTAGTATTTTAACATAGGAATTTTAGGGGGACACAAACATTCAGTCCATTGCATGATGGATGTAATACACTTACCCAATACCTGGCACAGAATACATGATTTATACATCTAGATTTTACTAATTCCAGCCCAGTCACAATAGCTTGCACATAACAATGAATCTTTGTTAAATAATAAGTGAATAGATATCCTAGGTGGCTAGCACCCACTGAGGGACCAGTCAGTACATGTGAACTAATCTCTTTGTCTAATGTACTTGTTAATAATAGCACTATTAACTAAGGGAATTCGAAGTGATAGGAACTAGGTGAAATGCGTAAATGTTGTCTTCTTTAATTGTCACAGCAAACCTATGAGGCTGGTATGACTATCCTTCTTGAAGGAGGAAGAAGAAAGTAAGCTCAGTGAAGTTAAATAACTGCCCAGAGGATACTGGGCACTGTCTAGGATAGCTAGACAGTGGCTGACTTTGCATGTTAATCCAAGTCTATCTAACTTTGAAACCTCCTTTAAGCCCAATGAAGAGGGGCTGCGGGAAGGATTTGAGGCTTGTGCTTAGGCGAGTCCCTTGGAAAGTGGAGAATCCACTGGGGCATGGAACAATGGAACAATGTTGGGTTCCAGGGTAAGCAAACAGTGAGGGCCAGGGATGGATGGACATGTCTGGGAGGGACAGATAGGGGCCAGAGTTGTGTGGAATGACCTCAAGGCAGCTGGGAGAGAGGTTTTGAGTGTTTGGGGTTACCTTTTTACCCCAGTATGAAAAAAGAACCATCAGTCTTGGAGTCTAAAGGAACTGTTGTTGCTAAAGGATTTGAGCCCCTCACATGCAAACTCTATGAAAGTGCAGACTTTGTCTTGTTCATGCTATGAATGGTGCTTGGCCTATAGTGGATGCTCAAGAAACATTTGTCATATGAATGGATGGATGAATGGATGGATGGATGGATAAGACGGATGGTCTAAAATATTTACTCTAAGACCTTGACTCTGAAATGGAGAGAGGCCTCCATGCGTGCCCACAGAGGTAGGCACTGTGCTTAATACTGTTGAGGAAAATAAACAGGAAAGAAGTAGTGTCCAGTCTCTGGCTTCAAACAGAAACACAGTGTAACTACGATGTTTACTGTCTTCTTGAAGGCTTGGGTTTGTAAGGCAGACCCTTATAAGGTTGTTTGTTTCCTGTTGAATCCTTGGCCTTCACAGTAGAAAAACCAAAACCAAAAAGGAAACCTTAATACAATATACAAATTTAAATCTTTAAAACGGAGCAGAGTGTTCTTTGCCCAAGTTGGAAATGATTCCATCGAATTGGTGAAAAGAGGACACAAAACAGCTGACCCTGTTGAAATGCATTTCTTCAAGGAGGATTTCTCTGCTTATACAAAGTACAGTTTAGAAACCCAGATATTTCTAATTGCATTAAGAAGTGTCAAATATCATGTTAATTTCCAAGCCTCTCTCTTCCTCGTCTACTCGACATTGGCCACCATCTCTTAAACAGCATTTGTTTTTTGTGTCTCCTTGACCAGTCAATGTTTCTTATTTATGCACCAGTCTGGCGGCATTGAGATGGAGTGGGTAGGGAAATGGGAGATGAAGGGATAGAAAATATTGCTTTTGAATAGAAAACCTTATAGGATAGTGTTATGTCATCTTTTATCCTTTCACATTCAATGTGGGATCTTCTCTTTAACCTTGGATCAAATAGCTTCTTCATGGGTAGCACGTTAACTCTTTAAAATGAAATGTATATTTAAGTAGAATAAATCTTTCAAAATCTCTTTTGTTGTGTTCCTTAGTACAAAAACCTTTTCTTTACTTTTCCATGCTAAACACACAGTCAAAGGAACAGACAATGTAAGACTTAGAAAAAACTTGTCCCAGGACATCATAAGGTTGAGCAGCTTGTCACTGGTGTGCATTTAACTAGAATATTAATGAAGGAAAAAGCCTCAGTATTATTGTGGTTACTGCAGTTCTTTAAAACTTCACAGCAAAAAAAAACATGTTTTACATTACTGTTTACCTCCTCGAAGGAAACGGTTGTTTTAAGGGGACATCGTGAGACCAATCCCATTATGTGCCACCATGGCGGCTCACATATCTTCTAGAAATCTGAAATGCTTTAAACACATCCAAATATTTCCATGGTGAGGATTTTTGTGTGCAGTGCTGCCAATTGCTGTTTGAGACATGGCATGAAGTCAGTTATTTACCAGACGTCTTTGTTAATTACTAGAACAAATATATATCACCTTTTTTGGATAGGTATGACAATATGTAATTGTAGATATTGAACAACTTATTCTGATATCTGCAATTTTAGGTGTTTCTTTTTCATTTTCTATCAGTTGAAAAAGGGCCTAGGCTTTCTTTTCTTTTACTGACATCTCGGACCCTTGGCCCCATTCATTCGTAAGAGTAGGTAGGGTAGATTATATGATTTGGGTCTTGAACAGAATAGCAGATGCTGTCTGCCCTCTCCCCCAGCTATGGCATTCACCTTTATGCTGAGCTTACTGGGAACACTTATGGCTTTCTGTTGAGGATTTTTTTTTCCCCTGGCTGCAGAAATGCTCTTGATCTGTGGGGGCAAATTGGAAGTTCTAGGGAGTTGATGCTTTAGAAGCAGCCTCAACCAATGAAGGACACAGAATTGTTGGGTAAATACTGCAGCTTCCTTGCTCCTCAGTTAGGATAATTCTGAGGGGAGGATCCTTACTGTCTCCAGCGTTCCCCAGAGGCTTAGAGCTCCAGGTGCTAACTGGCTATACAAAGCACTCTCACTGTTCCTTACCCTTTCCTGCCTCCATTCCCAACTCCTTACCTATGCTCCTAGGGCCCACTTTCCAAGTACTCTCATTGCACTTGAATCTCATGATCTACTTATTTTACTTTTTATTAATTTTTGAAAACTTTAATAACTTTTGGGGTACAAGTGGTTTTTGGTTACATGGATGAATTATATAGTGGTGAAGTCTGAGATTTTAGTGCACTTGTCACCCAGGTAGTGTACATTGTACCCAATAGGTAGTGTTTTTTCTTTGTTTGTTTTTTTTGAGACAGAGTCTCTGTCACCCAGGCTGGAGTGCAGTGGCACAATCTCTGCTCACTGCAGCCTCCGCCTTCTGGGTTCAAGCAATTCTCCTGCCCCAGCCTCCCGAGCAACTGGGATTACAGGTGTGCACCAGCCCCATGTCCAGCTACCCAATAAGTAGGTTCTTTTTTTTTTTTTTTTTTGAGATGGAATCCCGCTCTGTCACCCAGGCTGGAGTGCAGTGGCATGATCTCAGCTCACTGCAACCTCTGCCTCCCGCGCTCAAGTGATTCTCCTACCTCAGCCTCCAGAGTAGCTGGGATTACAGGTGCCTGCCACCGCACCTGGCTAATTTTTGTATTTTCAGTAGAGACAGGGTTTCACCATGTTGGCTAGGCTGGTCTCGAACTCCTGAGCTCAAGTGATTTGCCCGCTGAGGCCTCCCAAAGTGCTGGGATTACAGGTGTCGGCCACCACACCTGGCCCCAATAAATAGTTTTTTTTTTTAATCCCTTACCTCCCTTCTTATAAATGAGAATATATGGCATCTGGTTTCTCATTCCTGAGTTACTTCACTTAGAATAATGGTCTCCAGCTAGATCCCAGTTGCTGCAAAAGACATTATTTCATTCTTTTTTATGGTTGAGTAATATTTTATGGTGTATATATACCACAATTTCTTTATCCAATCATTAGTCTATGGGCATTTAGGTTGGTTCCATATCTCTGCAATTGAGAGTTGTGCTGCAATAAACCTATGCATGCAGCTGCACTAATTTTGGGATTCAAGCAGAACGTGCCTGAGCTACATTGAACCAGCCCCAGCCTGTCATAAAGAAACTCTATGCCTTTTTCTTTCTGTTTTCAATGGATTTTGTTTTTTAGAACAGTTTTAGATTCACAGCAAAATTGTGCTGAGAGTACAGAGAATTTCCATATCCCTCCTCCTTCCACACAAGCAGGGTCTCCCCCACTGTCAGCATCTGGCATCAGAGTGGTACATTTGTTACAATAGAAGAGCCTACATTAGCCGGGCATGGTGGCACACACCTGCAGTCCCAGCTACTCAGGAGGCTGAGGCAGAAGAATCGCTTGAACTTGGGAGGCGGAGGTTGCCCTGAGCTGAGATCACACCATTGCACTCCAGCCTGGGTGACAGAGAGAGACTCTCAAAAAAAAAAAAAAAAAAAAAAGAAGAGCCTACATTGACACGTCATTATCACCCCAAATCTTTAGTTTATATTAGAACACTCTCCTCTGCATCAGGTTCTAGAATAACGTTGTTTTGTTCAATGTCATTTCATGATAACGTTATTGAGAAAAAAATCAGTTCCTGGTCAGAGCCACTGTCTGTGTGGAGTTTGCATGTTCTCCCCATGTCTGCAAGTGTTTTCTCCAGGTACTCAGGTTTCCTCCCACATCCCAACGACGTGCATATTCGGTTCATTGGCATGTCTACATGGGCCCAGTGTGAGGGAGTGTGGTTGTGGGTGTCCCGTCCAGGGCTGGTTCTGGCCTTGTGTCCTGAGCAGCCAGGACAGGCACCAGTCACCATGACCCTGAACTGGCATAATTGAGTAAATAACTATCTTACTCGTTTTTATTCATTTTTCTTAAATGTATTTATAGCTCACATTTATTTCAATGTTTGATATTAGAAGTATTTTGGCATTTATTTAGAACTATGGTGTTTTTGTGACCAGAAATAAGCTGTAGGAATGTAATTCTTACTGATATCAATTAGCCTATGTTAAAACTGGCTTTGTTATGTTTCACTTGAAGTTGTCAAAAGTCGCCATTTCCAAGAACCTATTGACAAACTTAAGTGAGGACTTCCTTTACTTTCTGTGGGTTTTGACAAATGTGTAAAAACATTGCTTTTTCCTAAGGATTGATTCTATGGGTTTTCAGAAAGCCTAAATTAATATTTAAATTTCATTCCTTTAGCTTTCCATCCTGAGCTGCTGCCAGGTTAGAGTGCCCGGCGATAATCTGCTGCATGTCATCTGCATTGTGTTGATGGGAAAGCCATCCCTCAGCAGGTTGTTGGGGGTGGCTATGTGCACCGAAATTTGTAGGTATTATCATATGTCTTTGGATCTTTAGTTGAAACAGGCTATGTAAATATTATCTATTATTATTACTAATAATTACCTGCAGCTGTAGCAGTGATAATGCTTGTGTGCTGAGTCCCAGATGTGAACCTCCTGGGCCTTGGCGTTCAACGGCGCTGTGAACTGCAGTGAACTTGTCTTGTCAGACTGCATCTCCATACAGAGAACCAAATCCCTGTTGCTCAGACATGGTGGCCTGTTGTGCTTTACTGCAATTCAATCCTCATTCGCACTTCCGAGAAGTTTTTTTTCTTCTTCTCCTTTTCTTTTTAAAAATGTAAAATGGAATAATCAGCCATAGTTCTTGGTGGGAAGTCCCTTGTGTTCTGCCCTAGATTTTCAAGCTGGCTGTCAGGCCAAGCCTGATTGTAAAGGGGGAAGGTTTTTTTGTTTTTTGGTTTTTTTTAATTTTAATTTTTTTAGTTAGAAATTTTGTCTCTTTTCTTTTTTTTTCCCTTTCCTTTTTCTGCTATTCTTTTTCATCCCCTCTAAATCACAGTGTTCACAGTTGCATAGCTTCAAAAAGTGTACTTCCTCCCTGCTGGGCTTCAAAAAGTGAATTATCTCCCTGGGAGCAGTGATAGTGTGTCCGGAGTTGGCGGGTTTTTTGTCTCACCGACTTCAAGAATGAAGCCGCGCACCCTTGCGGTGAGTGTTACAGCTCTTAAGGTGGCGC
This sequence comes from Homo sapiens, assembly GCF_000001405.40. Taxonomy (NCBI): domain Eukaryota; kingdom Metazoa; phylum Chordata; class Mammalia; order Primates; family Hominidae; genus Homo; species Homo sapiens. Next base: position 116,532,161 of record NC_000008.11, on the reverse strand, counting down.
GTCTGGAGTTGTTCGTTCCTTCTGATGTTCGGATGTGTTCCGAGTATCTTCCTTCTGGTGGGTTCGTGGTCTAGCTGGTTCAGAAGTGAAGCTGCAGACCTTCGCGGTAGTGTTACAGCTCTTAAGGCGGCGCGTCTGGAGTTGTTGGTTCCTCCCGGTGGGCTCGTGGTCTCGCTGGCTTCAGGAGTGAAGCTGCAGACCTTCGCGGTGAGTGTTCCAGCTCATAAAAGCAGTGTGGACCCAAAGAGTGAGGAGTAGCAAGATTTATTGCAAAGAGCAAAAGAACAAAGCTCCCACAGCGTGGAAGGGGACCGGAGCGGATTGCCACTGTTGGCTGGGGCAGCCTGCTTTTATTCTCTTATCTGGCCCCACCCACATCTTGCTGATTGGTAGAGCTGAGTGGTCTGTTTTGACAGGGCGCTGATTGGTGTGTTTACAATCCCTGAGCTAGACACAAAGGTTCTCCACGTCCCCACCAGATTAGCTAGATACAGAGTGTGGACACAAAGGTTCTCCAAGGCTCCACCAGAGTAGCTAGATACAGAGTGTCCATTGGTGCATTCACAAACCCTGAGCTAGACACAGGGTGCTGATTGGTGTATTTACAATCCCTGAGCTAGACATAAAGGTTCTCCACGTCCCCACCAGACTCAGGAGCCCAGCTGGCTTCACCCAGTGGATCCCGCACGGGGCCTGCAGGTGGAGCTGCTTGCCAGTCCCGCGCCGTGCGCCCGCACTCCTCAGCCCTTGGGTGGTCGATGGGACTGGGCACCATGGAGCAGGGGGCAGCACTCGTAGGGGAGGCTCCGGCTGCACAGGAGCCCACGGAGTGAGGGGGAGGCTTCGGCATGGCGGGCTGCAGGTCCCAAGCCCTGCCCCGCAGGAAGGCAGCTAAGGCCCGGCAAGAAATTGAGCACGGCAGCTGCTGGCCCAGGTGCTAAGCCCCTCACTGCCTGGGGCCGGTGGGGCCGGCTGGCAGCTCGGAGTGTGGAGTCCGCCGAGCCCACGCCCACCCGGAACTCGCGCTGGCCCGCAAGCACTGCGCACAGCCCCAGTTCCCGCCCGCGCCTCTCCCTCCACACCTCCCCGCAAGCTGAGGGAGCCGGCTCTGGCCTTGGCCAGCCCAGAAGGGGCTCCCACAGTGCAGTGGCGGGCTGAAGGGCTCCTCAAGTGCCGTCCAAGTGGGATCCCAGGCAGAGGAGGAGCCGAGAGCGAGCGAGGGCTGTGAGGACTGCCAGGACGCTGTCACCTCTCAATAGCATGGGACACAGGAGACCGAGATGGCTGTGTGGCTGAAAGCCCCTTGCTGAACTTCTCAGTGAGTTTTAGATTCCCGTTCTATATACTGTCTGTGAGTATTGGAAGCATTATGGAGTTACAGACATCTCTCTTATTCCTCCTTGAGATCCCTATTTGTTTAATTTAAAGCAATTTATATCTGGTAATGTTTTTGCTGGTTAATTCACCGTGTCCATTATCTGTCTCCTTTACTGACCATGAGAACCCCCACTGTCGACTCTGTGCCCAGCACTGTGCTTGGCTCTTAGGAAATGCTCAGGAAACCTTGGATGAATGAACAAGTGAATGAAAAGCTAAAAGGAATCCTCTAACCCATGGCCCACTTGTTCTCATTCTGCAGATGAGAAAAACTAAGGCTCAGTGGGGAAAATCATTTCTTCAAAGTTGCAGAGCTAAGATCCAATGGGAAATCATGAGGGTAGTGCTTGAAAACTGTCACGTGCCATGGAAATAGAAAAGTATGCCGTTTTTCTTCTAGTGGTGAGCTGGGCACAGTGTCAGTGTGCTGACGTGAGAACGGACTGTGGAAACCTAGACAAGTTACCCACCTAGAATGGTGCCTTGAGGAACCTCAGGGCCTGCAACAGTTTATACCAAGTCTGCGTAGGCAAACCAGGCTGCATAGGTCAGCTTCATGGGATTTTAATGAGCTCATTTCCAGAGCAGAAGGAAGGCATCTCCAATTTGTTTTTCAGCCCAGTTTCCCATTGTAAGTCCTTCCTACTCAGCTGCATGTTCCATCAGCTGTCTTTCAAACAACGGTGCCTTCAAATAGCTGCTGATTTCCAAGCAGTTTTATTTTTATTGACTGCCACCCTACCTGAAGTGGGGCTAATGAGTTCTACACAAATATTCGTTTCTATGAAATACGGTTGGAGGAGTGGTCACCCGTCTCTGGGGAAAGAACTACAGGGATAGAAGGATATTAAAAAAAAAGTCTGGGAGCTGGATGTATGCAAAATGGAGAAGTGATTTCAGTAAGGCCAGTTTATTGGAGTGAGGCTATGAGTGAGTCTTGTGATTTGAATTAAGGACCAGGTGCCAAGGCTTAGAATGCCAATTAGAGAAGGAAAAATGCAGTAGCTATTACTTCAGCTTGGCAGGCTCTAGACAGACACGTAATAACGACATTGCTGTACCCTTAAATCAGTTACATGCTGAGGAAGTTAGCTCAGTTTTGGGAATCTATCCTTCTTTCAAGGTGAATTTATTTCTTCTTCTGCAATGTTTCCCATCTATGAAATGTTTATACATGATTTTCTTTTAAACCCCCAATATCTGTGGTCAAATAAGTTTTGAAAAGGTAGTGTTCAATGATGTGAAGAAAGTTGAGTTAAGATGGGACATTTCAAAGTCAGCTTTAGTGATGTTCTTTGGGAATGTCCAAGAGTGGTTATTCTCTGTTGACTATTCTAAGCTTCTATGACCATGGAACACTTTTTGGCAGAGCATTTCGGAGGATTCCAGTTCTGAGAAACTTATCTTTGGAAACAATCTTTTGATGTCCTCCCAGGGTTCAACCATTTGTGATCTGAATGTCTCCTTGGCTCCCTTGGGTAAAATTCTCCTGCCCTGAGAATTGAAATTCTCATGGAAACTTTCCTACCAAGTTTGTCTTATTGCATTTATCAGAATGAACCATTCCATAATAGATATCAGTCAGCACAGTAGTTTTAGATAAATCCAAATGCTATTTGAAAGTTACAGAATTGAACATTCAGATAGGTCAAATAATTTACCCAAGATCACATCATTTTACTTTTGGCCATCCATGAATATAAGAGTTGCTCCATTAAAAGTCTTCCCAATTTCTTTCCTGAGGGCTTTCAGAGCATCCTAGTGGAGGTGCCTCTTTCCATTTTAAAACAGAGTAGGTCTGACCTGGAGGCCTGAGTGTTTTTGTGTAAACTCAACAAAAGTGATCCTCATTCTTGAGAACTTTTTGATCTTACAAAGGAGCTCTGAGGAGAAGGTGACTTTTTTGCTTGTTTTTTTTTTTTAACCTTTCTTGCTTTTGCATCTTGAATAATGCATAAACTGAAATGCCAAAGAGAAGAAGAAGAGAAATTGCAGGAAAGTTAGGCTCTTCTGAGTAATGAACCCACTTTTTCCCACAGCCCCATTGCTGGGACTTGTAGACCAGGGAAGATTTCACCTGTGTGATGGAAAATGTAAGTCTGAAAGAAGAGTTCTCTTTCACTCCTGGTCAGTGGGAGGCCCTTCCCATGTACCCTTCTTCTCTGGCAGAGAGAGGGAGAGCCGGAAACATGGCCTTTTAACATTGTTATCAGCAGTTGGGAGGCTACGGTGAGTTTTGGTTTGGTTTTCATATGAGTGATTACCATCTCTCTAAGAAGGTCAGAGAGAAAGCTGCTGGGGGTGGGGGAGGGACAGATTGGATATGCTGTCATTACCTCCCAAGAAGGCCCCAAAGAGCTTGGAAGTCCGTCAAAGTGGGAATTCCCAAAGTGCGTGGTCAGGACACTTTTGAGGACATTTTTTTTCTTTTTTTTCTTTTTTTTTAAAGAATTGGAATTTAAGATATCATTGACTGAACAGCAAGCCTCAGGTTGCCAGGAATCTATTATAGACAGGGTTATGGTGCATTGGAATGGCTTGTCAATGGCTTCTCCCAGTGTCCAGAAAAGTGAAATGTCTCAGATGCATAATATACAGTTTAGAAGTAGGCACCCATGTTTTGTGCATGTGCCTGACATGGTTAGTCTGTTCACTTTTGTAACCCCAGCATCCAGCACAGTGGCTTGCACGAGGAAGGGAATTAATAAATATTTGTTGAATGAAAAAATTAAGATCTGATGTTGCAACTTCCTGACTTAAGTCACCCTAAGGCCTTTCTGCCTCTCTTTTCCTTTTTACTTCTCCTGTCTCCTATTAAAAATCTGATAATTGACCGTCCTTTTGTTGTTCAATACAGAAATCTGGCGACCTTAACATCTTTGCAATTATAAAGATAAATTTGATGTTCCAGAGTTATTGAAAACAACAGTGAGGCCACAATGGCCTCTTCTGTGTGACAGAGCAACAACTCTAGGGAAGGACACTGTTAGCTGAACTTATAGCAACTGTTTGATAAACGAGTTACTGAAGACACTGCAGCCAGATGCCTGATGGAGAAACTCATCTGTGATGTGGTTTTGAGAACATTCTGGTTTTTCATGGCATTTCCTCCTGTGAATTCCAATAGCACTTTCTTTGTACTTTTCTTCTATCACCTTACTTGGGGAGAGAGCAAAGCGTTCAGGGCTAGAATTGTTGGATTTAACTCTGTTTGTTGCTCCCCTACTGATGATTATTCTGAGGAAAATCATTTGCCTGCGTGAGCTACAGGGCTCTCCCTGATGCAATGAGGATGATAATAATCTTCTTATCCCACAGCATATTTCTAATAATTAAACAAGATTATAAATGAGGAGATATTCATCAAATTACAAAGCAACTTGCAAATATTAATTATTATGGTATTATCTCATTTTATACTTAGTTTTAGATATCCTTGCTAGATTGTTCATTTTTTGAAAAAAAAAAGGCTTATAATTTTGTATTTTTTTATTTTTATTTTTTGAGATGGAGTCTTGCTCTGTTGCTCAGGCTGGAGTGCAGTGGCATGATCTCGGCTCACTGCAACCTCCGTCTTCTGGGTTCAAGTGATTTTCCTGCCTCAGTCTCCTGAGTAGCTAGGATTACAGGTATCCATCACCATGCCCGGCAAATTTTTGTATTTTTAGTAGAGATGGGATTTCACCATATTGGCTAGGCTGGTCTCAAACTCCTGACCTCAGGTGATCCACCCACCTCGGCCTCTCAAAGTGCTGGGATTACAGGTGTGAGCCACTGTGCCCAGCCCTTATAATGTTTTTAATGAGCACATTTAAGTAATGTGCTCATTAAATGTGCTCATTAAAAACCCAGATGGAAATTGAGAATGGTCTGTGATAATTTTTTTTTTTTTGGTGTTGCTCACAGCACCTAGCTGGGGGACTTACATAAAATAGTTGCTTACTGAATTGATACCCTGATAGAACTAACATATTAACAAGTCTTAAGCTTGGTACTGTCTTCCTTTGCCAGTTCTGAGGAAAAAAAATGGCAATAAGGAAGACACCTTAGGAGATTGGGGAAGTTGGGGACATGTAGTGAGGGAAAGAGTAGGAGGAAGTAAGTGAGATGAGAGGTTTAGTAAGGTATCTGTTGTTCCTTCTCATAGGGACAAATAGGAAAAGAATGGCAGGCCCAGTGGAGGGGCTCTTGGGCATATGAAGGCCTCCTTCTATGGTAACCAACTTTGCACTAATCTGGTTATGGACACAAGTACTGGTTCAGAAACCCCAGGCTTAAAAGCCAGCAGTGCCAAATAAGAAGAATAACCTAAATATTTGAGAATATCAAATTGTTTGTCTACCATGGAAGTCTTAAAAAGAACGATAGGTTCATTTGCTAAGGGCAGATGCTTGTATTCTGTTCAGCTAGTGATCTGGGACGTAGTGGGAGAGTTGAGAAAGCTACCTTTATGTGACTGAGTACCATTTACATTTTAGGATCACATGTGCATTTGGAAGATCTGGTGGCTATAGGAAACTGTTTGCAAAATTGTATAGATGGCTTTCCCGTTTTAATGAGGATCAACATTATCTATTGAAGAGGTGGTTGCATAAGTGTTCCTCCTATCTTGCAAAGCATCCCAGAGATGGTTTAATCTTGATGACAGTCACTCCCTGAAGCTCTGAACTGGGTGTTCCTCAGCCTTGTTAAAGATGGCACTGGCCCTGTCTGTCTGACCAGCTCTTTTCTTACTCTCTCTCTCGTCTTGTTTCTGTATCTGCTGCATTATCCTTTGTGTCTGGGGTTGGCACCTCTGCCTGGGAGTTCTCTCATTGTGGGTTTGGGTGTGGCTGCAAAGACAAAGATGAACATTCCTCCTGGCTGCCTCCCAGCTGCCTCTATTCTTCCAGTGGCAGCAGAAGAACACCTGTGGGAAAGTCATTGAAGACTAAACAGGACTGGGAGGGGGTAAGTCTGTCTCAACACCTCCCTGCTCAAGCTCTCACTCCCCTTTACACTGTTTGTTCTCAATTTTCTCACAAGATAATCACACTTGTTTATTGGACCCCAAGGCTCAACCTTTCCTTGACATTTGTTCATTTATGTTGTCGTGATTCGTTGGGTGGTTGTTGTGCTTTCTTTTGCGTGTCTGTTTAAGCTAACATCTTCTACTTTCAATTGCAAGCCCACAGCCACAGAGATCACCTTTGATTTGTTTGTTTCTGTTACAGTGAGCATCTTGAGGGCAGGGACAAAGACTTATTCATGATTGTACCCATGGTGCCTAGCAATGGAGTCACTGCTTTGATACTGCACATGGTTCTTGCTCAATCTCAATAAATATTTGGGGGATAGGAAATTGAATTATACCAGTCTTACATGTGTGCCAGAAAAGTCAAAAAATTGGGATTATTTATCACGAATGTGCTTAGTAAAGACCTAGATGGAAATTCAGAGTGGTCAATGAGTACAGGCCTACTGACTTGAGCTAAGATGAGTTACTGCTTGGCTTTTGACCCTCTTATATTTATCAGGACCCACATTTCAACAGATAGCACATGTAGGCTTGGGATCTACAAGTTCTTTTATGAAAGAAAATACCTGAGCAGCCCAAACCAGGTTTTGAATGCTTGTGTATTGTGGAGACCAAGAATCCTGTCTAGGAGTTGATGTGAAACCTTGAAATTGTGTTGGGCAATCTTTTCCATAGTTTCTTCTCTGGCTCAGTAATTCCCTCTTCAACTGTGTATTTCCCTCTAATAAATCTGCTCATTATGTTGTGTACGCATAGTTCTTTTTAATTTCTGACTGGCTCAATTACTCCTGAGAACATTATAACATTTCTATTGTGAATTGTTACTGCTTTGAGAGACAGACTGGAACTCATTTGTGTGCACTCTCTCTCCAAGCTGGTACCACCCTGACAATGCACCACAAATTCATGGCTGAAGTTTTTCTTTTTGTTAATGAATGAAGGTCATGATGCTGAGGTCAGCTTCACCTTATCGTGTGGACTATGCTCCTCTTATGCAAGAACTTAAGGAACACATTAGAGACCAAGCAAGATAAAGAGAGTCCTTCAAATCTTGACACCTCAGAGAGAGGTGTCAAGAGATGGTATTGATGGGGTGGACCAAAAAGTCGTGTTTCATAATGATGGCCAAAAATGGGGATTTAAAAACCAATGATGTGAGAAAATACTTTCTAAGGTTATTCTAAGCATAATCTACTCTATAGCAATTAATACTGGAGAAATTATAGCTCATAAATGTCCATATTTTGATCAGCTTGAAATGAGATTTAGACCAGTTCAGTTTAACATGTACTAACTGAATATCTACTATAATCCCAGACAATTTGTTAGGAACTAAGTATGCAGAGCTGAATGACACAGGCTCAGTCTTCAAAGATCTCACTAGAGCTTTGTCAGCAAGTAGGAAGACTTCCACATTTACTCCTCAACATGGGTCTGAAAGAATCTACGTTTCAGACCAAATGTGCAACACAGCACTACATTTCTTCATGTTAGTGATTATTTGTTTTATTTATTTATTTATTTATTTATATTTTTATTTTGAGACTGAGTCTCACTCTGTAGCCCAAGCTGAAGTGCAGTGGCGTGATGTTGGCTTACTGCAACCTCCACCTCTGGGGCTCAAGTAATTCTCATGCCTCAGCCTCTCGAGTAGCGGGGACTACAGGTACATGCCATCACACCCGGATAATTTTTTTTTATTTTAGTATTTAATATTAGCATTTAGTATTTAGTATTTTGTATTTAGATTTCACCATGTTGCTCCAGGTGGTCTCGAACTCCTGAGCTCAGGCGATCTGCCTGCCTTTGGCCTCCCAAAGCGTACTGGGATTACAGGCATAAGCCACCATGTCCAGCCTATTTATTACTAATATGTATCTTTTCATATTTGTAGTAGTAGCCATTAATATCTGCAAAATTGTTTACTAGGCTTTGATAGGGCCCATTAATATCTGCAAAATTGTTTATGTAGCTTTGGTCAATCTCAACCTAATTGTTGATTTATTTAAAGCCTACTTCCCTTTGTAGGGTCATTAATAAACAGAAATATTTAAATAGTTTTTAATTAGGCCTAGGAAAAAGAAAAATACATATAAGCTCTAATAATTACATTGTCAGATTCAGCAAGAATCTTTTTGTACCTGTTTACCTGTTGCCATGAAGGTCCATTCCCTTTTTTCCACTGGTCTGAATTTTCTTCTTTCTTAGGCTCATCTCAAATCTCATTTGTTTTCTTCAGCCTTTTTTATCCAACCCAGGCCTGTCTCCAACTCCCAAAACACTGATTTGTCTGGCCATTTTTGACACTTAGCTTGTATTTTATTGTTATCTCTCATCTCTGCTCTTCAATAAGCCCTGTGAGAAACTCAGGATGGAGCCATATTGCCTATTCTTTCGTGTTCTTTGAGCGTCTAGCTTGGTACCTTGCACATACTGAATATTTAGTAAATAGCTCCTATTTGCTAGTTGATTTTGCTTTTTTCTACTTGAATTGTTAGTCATTACCCATATTAATTAATGTCTAAGGCAAACCATGTGAGAGCTACTTGTGCCGGCCTAAGAAAAAGAAAAATCAAAGCAAACCCTTGAAATCGGAGAGCCTAAGACCTCATCTTGATAAGGGAAAGAACAGTTTTATGAGCTCAGCCTTCATTTAGGATTTTGGCTTCCTCTTCATGGATTGGCACTGCACCACACTGCAGAAAAGTCTGCTTACTTCTTAGGATCCTGAGCCGGGGGCACAATACTACTCTCCAATGCCTGCTTTTGTCATTTTTCATGTTCAGCAATTGAAGCTGCTCCAAATAAAATGTTTCTTGCAAAAAAGTTAAAAGCAACATGACCACTGAAGAGACATTCTGCTTGGAGTAAGGACTATCTCTGTATTGCTTGTTTGGTTTTAACATCCAGATTGGCAAATTGCTGGTTTATCAGTGCTTGAGGCTGTTCACTACGCAGCATTTCACATCTCATTGGAACAATTAAAATGATACAGAAAAGTCAGGGCAGTGGAATCGAATTAGGGAGTTTTCTGGGAACCTTTGAAGATACTTGGCAGATTGTACCAAACAGGCCTAGGCCATATGTAGGCAAACAACCATGCATTAAATAAATTTCAAATCTTCATATAATCTCTCGTAGAGATCTTTTTTCTTTCATTTTCAAAGACACAAAAAGAAAGAGTCAGTGCTGTTGCACATAAATCATCTTAAGTTGCTCAGGGATGAGATAATGTGGTTCAAGGTCCAGCACCCAGGAAAGATGGAGATTAGTGTGGCAACTTTCCCCACTTCCTCTCTGTCTTCCAGGTTAGGTAAGCTACTTCCTCTGGCTCTGATATGTGCTATAAGCGTATATCCTCTAAAACCTAAACTTGCGTATACATATTTGACAACCTACAGCAAACTTTCTTTTTTTGGAACAGTGGGGAGAGAAAACAGTAGGTAAATATGATTATCCCCTTTAGCACAAGACCCTCTGTATACATATCTTTATTTTGAGAATCCTTTTCGAGTTGGAAAGCAGTAGAGCTGAATTCTAGTACTGTCTCTTTTCTAAGGAAAAAAGATCCCTTGGAATCCGAGGCTTTGGAATTTATTCATAGCCACAGAGATAATCCTTTTCATGGAAAGAATAAGCTAGCAAATAATTCCCAGCCTTGAGCACATTATCTCCTGCCGAATCCCACTCCCCACTTTTCTCCAGTTGTATGTTATATTCATTATTGAGAAATGCATTTGCTTTTTGAACAATTCTCTCCTTGTGCCATTATTTTTTTGGATTTTGAGGTTCAAGATTCTGGTCTGGAGGAAACTTGGGTTATTATCAAGTCTATCCAAGACATGGAGGAAAGATCCCAGTTCAGGTTAAATTGCGTATGTTTGCCCACAAATTCACATTTGCATTTGCCTCTTAGCCAGTCTTCCTTTCTTGGAAAGCATTTTTCACACATGCTGAGCCTTGGTGGGAAAATATAAACTCCTGGCTTTGAAGGGTGCCATGCATGCAAATGTAAAAATGTGGTAGGATAAAATATAATTCCCTACTGGGCCAAGTTTGGCTTTATAATTTCTCATTTGAGTTGGCATCAGTGGCTTTCTCGATTCTGAAAAATGTAAGGAGAGTGCTGGGTGGGGTTTATTTGGGTAGTCTTACCTGTGTAGATATGCAATTTGGGTCATCTAGATCTCTGGACTTTCATTTTAATTCAACAAGAGCATTGAGCATCTGCGTTCATTTCATTTTGCCTGTCAGAGAGCAGCTTGACTGTTTCCAATGGGCTATTCTTATATTGCTACAGTGGTTCCAGGGTTCTTTTGAGACAAAAGGATAAAAATCTAGAAGTGAGGAGTAAAGCAGTAGAAATGGTTTTGGGAAACTTACTTTCTTCCCAGATTTAACTCAATGATTGAAAGTGTGCAAAAATGAAAACAACTATTATTAAATAGTATAATCTAGTCAGGTATTTTTATGTGACAAAAATGATGACTCAGAAACAGAGTTCTAGCCAGTCCTCTCAGGAAGCCCTAACAAATGTCTGATAGTCATGGGTGTAGCCGTGGAAAATCATGGTAAAATAATGAAGTGTCACAAAAGTTCATTTATGTAGCACAAAAGGAACCAATGACATTGGTGAGCCAATTCTGAGGATAGGAGGGAATACTTTCATTCTACCAGAGTATTTTTTCTGACCGTTGTCTGTGACTCTGCAAAATGTCTTAGGACTTTCTGTGTTGCTTTTAAATTCTTTTCAAAATTGGGTGCTAATTGTTGATCAAGGCAATGGAGCCCAGATAATTATATATTACTTGTTCATTTTGCCAGGCACTGTGGGAGCAAGGCAGACATGTCTCCATGGAGTTTATAGCCTAGAATTAGTGACATAGCTCTGGGAAGGTACCTAACATTGCGTCTGGCATAAAACGGGTACTCGGTGTGGCAGTTACCAGTGCATTTTAGAAATGATCCTTGTCTCTCAGGGGCATATAGTCAAGTAAAGAAAACAGAAAATGAACATAAAACTATTATTGCTATTATTATTATTTTTGAGACAGGGTGTCACTTTGTCGCCCAGGCTGGAGTGCAGTGGTGCAATCTCGGCTCACTGCAACCTCTGCCCCCCCAGTTCAAGCAATTGTCCTGCCTCAGCCTCCCAAGTAGGTGGGATTACAGACATGCACCACCATGCCTGGCTAATTTTTGTGTTTTTAGTAGAGACGGGGTTTTACCATGTTGGCCAGGCTGGTCTGAAACTCCTGGGCTCAAGCGATCTGCCTGTCTCGGCCTCCCAGAGTGCTGGGATTACAGCATGAGCCGTCACGCCCTGCCGACATAAAACTATTAATAGTACAAGGCAGCACATGGTTGTGTATCTGTATTTACAATATAGTCATTTAGGCTGAGTTTTAGTGGTCCAGAGAAGGGAGACATCAGTGTGCACTTTGATAGTGGGAAAGGCCTCGTGGAGCAGAAAGGACCTGAACTAGAACTGAAGTTAGGGAGATTTGGACAGGCAAAGAGAAGGGAAGTGAGAGATTAAGGGTAAGAAATTGATATGGTATGATCAAAGGTAATCAGGCCAAATGCTGGTAGGGTAGTAGGCTAGATTTCAATGGGCTTTCAATGTCATCAGCTTAAGTTTGGTATTTGGTCCTGTAGTCAGTGGAAAACATTTGGCCACTTTTGAGAGGGATTGTGACAGAATGAAAAGGATTTCTTAGAAAAATTATTTTGGCTAGTGGTCTGTAGAATGGATTGCTAGTGAGAGACTAGAAACAAATGAAGGCAAACATTTAGAAGGCTCTTGCAATAATCTAGATAATCTAGGTAGGGTAGTCCTTACCATCTACCCCCATTATTGCATCACCATTACCTAGATTATTGCAAGACCCTTTTAAATTTTCACCTTCATTTGTCTCTAGTCTCTCCCTAGCAATCCATCCCATAGACCCGTAGCCAAAATAATTGGAGCAGAATTGGAATGGCACAATGGGGAACAAAAGCAAAAAACTGAATGACAGAGTATATACATTTTGAAAGAAGAATGGGTACCACTTGGTGACTAACATATGTTTGAACTAAGAGGTTTTGGACAGCAGGGAGACTTTGGGTATTTATTAACATAAATTGGGATGGGGAAATCTAAGTTTTGAGGAAAAGACTGTGAGTTTATTTCAGGTAGCATTTTGATCCAGTTATGTGATTTAGTTGCTTGGACCACTGTCCCTTCCAAATTTCCTCTTGCTTGGAGTAAGTTCTGGGTTTTGTTATATTGCTCAGTAAGAAAAAAGAAAAGCTGAGTTATTCTGATTATCCAGTTTTTCTGAGGGAACTCTCTACATGCACAATCACTTTGGGGGATAAGAAACTATAAACAGAGCCCTCAATAATATTGGTTAGAATTTGCTACTCAGTGATGATAAGACATTCCTCTGCCTAAGAGACAGTTTTGGTGGGAAACGTATTTTTAGAAAGAGGCCTGCCTTTTCTATGTTCTTCTGCTAAGTCCTACCATTTAGCAGTTTGCTATGTGCATTGCCGGTTCTTTTAAGGATCACTTGATATTGACCTTCTAGAAGTTTCTTTTTCATTTCCACTGCAAGACATTCTCAGAAGGTGGCTGAACTTTGTAACTGATAAGTCCAATTTTGTTTTCTTCTGAGATATACTCTATATATACTGGATCCCTGAAATAAACAATATTTTTCTTTCTTGTTTAGTCACTTTAATATATATATATATATATATATATATATATATATATATATATATGTATTTTTTTTTTCCCCTTTGAATTGGAAAGTGGGCTTAGTCTGTCATCTTGGAGGAAGCTGGGTACCAGTTTATCTGATGACAATGCTTTAAATGAAGCAGCTTTCCTGGGCACACATTCTAAGGTGAGCTATCAGAAGAAGGAGATTCTATATGTAGATTTCCCATAATATCTGACCAAAATCTGGGTCATAGAATTAACATTTCAAATTCAAATTAGATCATTTCCGTCCACTGACATGAGTTAAATGCTGCACCTTTATGTAACTGGTTTGAAAAATGCTAGTTCCTGAACACAAATCCTATATTTTATTTTATAGGGCAAATGTTATGTGCCTACAGCATAGGGTAGGATGTCATAAAAGATGCTTGGCCAGAGCTCAATTATTGTATGCAAGACTCCAGCAGAGTGATTTCAAAGCCTTTTTTTGAATGACTGAATATTCAGTTTTCTGTGCCCGCAGCTGTCTATCCTTATGCTTTATGGAGGCCTTCCATTCTTCTATTTGCTGAAGATATAAAACCACATCTCAAAAACCATGTAAAAATACTATAAAAAGCATACATGATTAATAGAACATTTTCTGCATTAACTGTCTTAACCAATTCTATTAAAAGAAATTTTAAAGAATATCTTCCCCCCTTTTTTCTCCTTCCAAGTTTCAGGGGGTGTTCCAAATATGGAAGCCTTCTGTCAGAATTCCCTCGGATTGATGGGGTGGCATTCTGATGGTGATATAAAAAGACAGAGGTTTCTCCTTTTTGCCCCTCAAATTGTTGTTTTAACTATTTTATGACTAAAAATATGCTGGAGGGCTTGGTATACTTATGAAAATGGAGACAACACACTCGAGCTAAGACTGAATCCATTTCAGAAATGAAACAATCAAGGTGCCTCTGTTGTTTCCTTAGCTCACTGCTTCAGGCTTTCCCGTCTCTGCGGCTGTACCATCTCCCAGGACTTCCTCCTCTCTCTTTTCCTCCACTGTTACCCCTGCTGACCCTTCCATGGACTTCATCTCACTTAATGATAAATTGCAATGACAACATAACTGAGGCAATGATGGTCAGGTTTCAAAAAGCAACACAGCACGTTGATGAGAAACAATCGCCACAACACAAGGACTTGTAAGAAGCCCAGGATAAAAGAACCGTATTTTCTTGGCAAGCCCCGTAGATGTTCTGCAATGACGAATGATATGACTGTTATCTTGACACCATACTCTCCCATGTTGAAACTGTTTATGAGAAACAAACATCATATGAAAAACAGATTGCCAGACACTAAGTAAATCACTGTAAAGGGTGGTGAGTCAAGTATTGCCAGTTTTACCCACATTGTCATTGTTATGATGTAACACATTCCTTCAGACTGATATTGTATCCAAATTTGGGCACGAAAACCTCCTCTTGATCAGTTGGCTGAGATTCCCTGCCCTATAATAAGTCACACACCCACATAGACACACAGACACACACACAGGGATTTGGACACACACTCAACCTGAATAAAGCAGAAAGGGCAATCCAGAAAGGATGGAATATTAAAAAGGTGTGCAGAGATTATACAAACTGTAAATTTCAGCCCTTGCCCAGGCAATAAACCCAGTAATTCTCTAAGCTCTGCTAGCAATGATTAATAAACAGTGGGTGTGCTAAACATATGGAAAAATCATCCCATCTGGACCATTTAAAACTAGGACATAGACTTTATCTTTGTTTATTTCATCCTTAGCTAAAAGGCTTATTATGAATTGCAATAATCCAAGAAGCCAACCATGGAAGACAGACAAACTCTTTAGATAAAACCAAAAAAGCAAGTTCTGTAACCGAGGACCAGATGTATTTTTGGGTTTAGCCCTTGTACATATTTAGCCGAGCTTTTCAAGTGGTGAAGATTTGCATGTTTGTTTTGCAATACTAATGAATATGTTTTTGATTTACATTTTAGAAAATGGAAACTTTTATCTTCTTGGGGCTTTGTAACTTAATGACTTCCAGAGGGTGGTTTGGTGTCCTCTTTTAACCCTTCGCACGAGAAACCTATCTCTTCAGAGGCTCCGTTCTCTATCTTGCTGAGTAAAACCTTAAGATAATGTGGTTCTGTCTTTTGTTGCCGGAATGGCAAGGGTTGAAGAGCTTTTGACTTTCAATCTAGTGAAAACATATGTAAATGGCAAATTATTTTTAAACTAGCTTTAATGTAAATCTTGGGGGTATAAAAAAGTGACTCCACAGATGATATTTATATTAGATGAATAAGGACAACTCTTTTGGAAAAACATTGCTTTGAGAGGTAGGATCTTGAGTATTGGTTCAATTTCCTCAGAGATAAAGGTTGTATTTTAGGAGGATGAAGAAAATGTCTTACTGAATTTTTGCTTCTGGAAGATATCCTTAGGGTGAGTTCTTTCTTCCTTTAAATTTCTTTGATGGCGTTACATGGAAAAATAAGTAAACACATCTCCCCCAACCCTGTTGCTCCCAAGACTTCCTTTGCTTATAATTTGGATTGGATGAGGACCTTATCAGAAATGGAAAAATTTATCCTTGAGGGATAACGGAGTGTTTTAGAATAAGAGATAACTAGAGCTTTGAACTCTCATTATTTGACAAATTTGTCCAAAGAGATTGCTTTGCTTCCAAATTCTTCGAGTAGTTTTTTAAAATAGAATATGATAGGATAATAAGTATGCTTCTAAATGCCTGTGTTGGGGCCATGAAATCTTGTAAATACTTAATTTTGTGGGACAAACAAGTAAAGGTGTAATTTCACAATGAGCATGCAGTGGGGGACTTTTTACATTAGTCCTACAGTGATTAACTGTGTTGAATTTCAATGAAAATGAGCTAATGAAGGCCAAATTGCTGTATGATAAGAAACCTAATGGCATTTTTATTGTCGTATTTGAAAGACTTAAGATCAAAACTCCCTAAGCCTGATTCTTCACCTTGGAAATCATTTTATCTCTAGAAAACATTTTTCCTATCCAGAGTCTGTCAATAACTAATTTTAACTTTCCCAGTTTTATAGCACTGTATTATAATTGAACACATATT
This sequence comes from Homo sapiens, assembly GCF_000001405.40. NCBI lineage: Eukaryota > Metazoa > Chordata > Mammalia > Primates > Hominidae > Homo > Homo sapiens. The sequence goes on along the minus strand of NC_000008.11, from coordinate 116,515,936 downwards.
TGCTGCAAGTTCTTGAATAGCAAGCTCTTCTCACACAATTTCCTCAAATCAGGAAAGGTTGAAATGTGGCATAAGAATTTCTTATTTTCCCTTAAAAATTCCACCAAAATTTTCAGTCCTAGACTATTTTAGGTCCTAGAGAAAACGTATCGAAATGTTATTTATTTATTTATTTTTATTATTTATTATTATTATTTTTGAGATGGAGTCTTGCTCTGTCACCCAGGCTGGAGTGCAGTGACACAATCTTGGATCACTGAAACCTCCATCTCCCTGGTTTAAGTGATTCTCCTGCTTCAGCCTCCCAAGTATCTGGGACTACAGGCACGTGCCATCATGCCTGGCTAATTTTTGTATTTTTAGTAGAGACAGGGTTTCACCACTTTGGCCAGGCTGGTCTCGAACTCCTGACATCAAGTGATTCATCTGCCTCGGCCTCCCAAAGTAGTGGGATTACGGGCGTGAGCCATCGCACCTGGCCTAGATGTCATCTAAAACCAGATATTTTTCTTATTATTCAGAATTCAGGTCTAAAAAGGTACTTCTTTTAGTGTGATCTTAATTTATCACAGCTTACTTTTAAGTTATTTATTAATAATTTACATCTTAATTAATCTGTCCTCTTCTTCTACGATAGAGAGGAGAGGAACTGGTAACTAACTAATTCTGTAAACATTATGTGCCGGGAAGTTTGTCCTTGTTATTTTGTCTTGACAAAAGGCCTACAAATAGGTCTTATTTACAGAAGAGGAAATTGAAACACAGAGCAACTAACTCATAGAAGTTCCTAGAGTCAAGTGGATACAGAGCTAATATTCAAACTCAGGTCTTTCTGCTTCTCTGAATCATTTTCTTTGCCCAACATCATGTTGTCTTAACTCCTATGTTTCTGGGTCATTCATTTCAAACATCATTTTTTGTTTGTTTGTTTGTTTTTGTTTTTTTGGCTGGTGCACCTTAAAATGAATATGTCCACCATAGCAGATACTTCAAATAATGTAGATCTGGTTGGCTAAAGAAAATCAGTTGCTTGTGGGATTGCTTGATGAATGATTTTGGAGCAGCTAGTAAGAGAGAGTGGGAGGTGATCTGACATACCTGGGAATAGAACAGTGGCAGCATTGGCCAATCGCTCCTAACTCTTGCACCTAACTCTTGCATTCTTTGAGATGCTGATGGAAGTTTGAATTCTTTCCCTAGAACATTCCATATACATAAACATTTACTTAAAATTTCAAGAATTTGCAGACGTACTGAAGCTACTTGGATTGATGGATTCTGTGCTGAGTCCTTGCTACTTTAAAATACGGTCCAGGGCCAAGACACATCAGCAGTCTCTGAAAGCACTTACAAGAGCAGAATCTTGGGCTCCACCCTAGATCTCCAGATTTAGAATCTGCATTTCACAAGATCTCCAGGCAATTCCAAAGCATATGAAAGTTTGAGAAACATGGGTATAGATAAGAAACAGCCACGTAGGAATGAAGATAGTGTTTTTTTAATGGGAGGTGTTGAAGAGACAGGAAGAAGGTACTGAACATTGTGGTTGAGCAGAAAGGCTTGGGAGAGAGCAAGGTCTCAGATTTGTCAGGAAGTAGGGAGACAGTTGAAGGCTGGTCATGGGATTGTCAACTGTGCATATTTCTCATCTTCAGTTATGATAAAGGGCAAGCACAGGCTGCCTGATTCTTCTTGCCAACAATACTTATGGAGTTTCCAATGACTAAAGACATTTTTACAAAACAGTAATGAAGCAGTCATAGTTTAAAAGCAGGAGGAATGTGAGAAATGATGGAATTGTAGATTTGAGTATTATTTAGTCACTTATTTAATTTTGAGGTTGTTTGATCTTCTTAAGTCAGTAATGTTAATGGATGTGTTTCATTTTGTGTGAAAAAGTGGTTTGAATTATTTTCTTATTATTAAAGGTCCTGGATTGATGTTTACACAGTCATTGTTTTAGGGCTAAGTTATCCTCTTTGCCCCCGCAGACAGTTGCAGGAAATAGCTGAGCAAGGTGTCTTGCACATCACAGATATTTAGAGCATTTTAAAAACAGAAGTGGGTGGGAGGTCCATGAGTTCACTTGTGGGGATTGGCCGTGGCAAATTTCCCTCTGGGATGGACTTATTGGGACTCTTAATTCAAACTCAGTTCAATAACCCCAAATGAAAAACTGAGTCATGCAGTTGGTGGCCAAAAGACAGTTTTGATGTAAATGGACTTATTACCTTTATTTGGTGGCCTTTTATGCATGTGCAGCCCTGGTGGGTATTAATTAATTGCTCTATTCCTAAAGATCACTTTGTGAAATGACAGCATCCAAGTATTCCTATAGCATGCGAATGGTACTGGTGTTCCGTTCATCAAGCCAGGGAGCCTGTCTTGGGTGGGAAAATGACTTGAGAACCATAGAATAGTATGATTTAGCAAGGTAAAGTATCTCCAGTTAAAGTATTTCTAGGTGCAATGGATTTCTGGGGAAGCCATAGCAGGGTTTTCATTAACAAAGTAATTAAGTCATTTAACACCCAGTCCTTGAGAACTGGCTAGGCTGCAAGCCCTGTTTTGGTGATGAAAGTTGAATTATGACAAAGATACATTCCTAACCCTTAAGGAGTCTGATGGGGGAGGTGTAGAGTTGCATAAAAATATATAGGAAAGAGTCCTTACCCTAATTTGTTGGGACAGGGAAGATTGGAAGAAAGTAAAAAAGGAATTGATTTGTAAGCTCATATTTGAAGGACAAGAAGGTAGAAGAGTGCCCAGACAGAGGGAATGCTGTACCCAAAGAATCAGAGGTGAGAGGAAATGTGGCACTGTCAGAACAGGAAATACACCGCATTAGAGTGCTTCCCTGGGGGATCTGAAATAAAACCTTAGAGTTTGAAGAGGTCTTTTGGGTCATCTATCCAAGCCACTCAATGATGTCTTTTTTTTTTTTTTTTACTTTAAGTTCTGGGATACATGTGCTGAATGTGCAGGTTTGTTACATAGGTATACATGTGTCATGGTGGTTTGCTGCACCTATCAACCCATCATCTAGGTTTTAAGCCTCACGTGTGGCATGGGCAAAGACTTCATGACTAAAACACCAAAAGCAATTGCAACAAAAGCCAAAATTGACAAATGGGATCTAATTAAAGAGCTTCTGCTCAGCAAAATAAACTATCATCAGAGTGAACAGGCAATGTACAGAACGGGAGAAAATTTTTGCCATCAATCCGTCTGACAAAGGTCTACAAGGAATCTATCTAGAATCTACAAATAACTTTAAAAAATTTACAAGAAAAAAAACCCCATGAAAAAGTGGGCAAAGGATATGAACAGACACTTCTGAAAAGAAGATATTTATTGGGTCAACAAACATATGAAAAAAGTTCATCATCTCTGGTCAATGATGTCTTAACGGATGATTACTTGTTGCCTTTTGAACACCTCCAGTGATGGAAAGCTTTCCAGGGAAGTTCGTTCTTCTTCTTTTTTTTTTTTTTTTGAGACACTACAGTGGCGTGATCTTGGCTCGCTGCAACCTCCGCCTCCTGGGTTCAAGGGATTCTCCTGTCTCAGCCTCCAGAGTAGCTGGGATTACAGGCGCCCACCGCCACGTCTGGCTCACATTTTTGTATTTTTAGTAGAGATGGGGTTTCACCATGCTGGCCAGGCTGGTCTTGAACACCCGATCTCAGGTGATCCACCCACCTCAGCCTCCCAAAGTGCTAGGATTTTAGGCGTGAGCCACTGAGGCCGGCCAGTTCGTTGTTCTTTGTAGCTGCTCCAATCAAGCTCTTTTGTATGTGGAAATGAAATTCACCTCCCCTGTTTTATCACTGGTCCCAGTTCTACCCTTTCAAATCACCAGCTTCTCCACTGGTTAAGAGTCACTAATCAGTGACTTCTTCTTTTGGGGATTCATGTGGAAGGAGACAAGGCAGAGTGAAACTTGGACAAGTCATACATGTAGGAAATATTTGTACTTTGTACACCAAAATCCTACAGTATCCCTGAAATGCAGTTTTTTATAAGCTCTCAGTGAATCATGATATTTCACAGGGAAGGGGGAGGCCAAATATCTGGCTGAAAGAGCTCACATTATTCAGATTATATTAAAGATTCAATTTTGTGCAAGCCTTCCTGTAAATTTCCCCTTCCCAACCACCAAGTCTCACACCATGCCACTGTTGTGCTAGCTTGAATTTTCAGCACACCTGTACTTTTTTAATGATTGTGGCTAAACCTCCATGCCAGCTGGGGAGAAAGGTCACATTTCATGGTGGTGTAACTGGAGAACGGTGTTTCTTAGGAGCAGAGGTAGCAGAGCCTTGTTGGAAAGTTTGAGAACATAGACCTATTCAAAAACCACTTACTTTTGGTAGTGAATCATCTTTTAAATACTTGACTGCACCTCAGTTTTTATTGTGACTGCTTCCTTATATAGGTAGAGGCTTAAGCTAGCATTTAGAATTAGATATGTCCAGAAACCAAGGTAGATTTTGGGTTGTAAGAGAAGAAAGGGTTGCAGGTAATTGGGTCTGGTGTGTAATATGGAGTCTATAATACATCTTCACACCTCCTTCATATTTGATTGAATGGATGATTTTCCTTAGCAAGTTCCCCTAAATTATCTTTTTTAGTTAAAGCCATATTTGCTGTTTTAATAATAAAAATGTAAGTCTTATTTCCATAACCAGTCTGTTCCCTAAAGCAGTCTGTGGATGGAGTGCAGACAGGGTTAAGTATTGTCTTAGTGCCTTTCAGATTTTAAATGAATGTCTATATGAATGTATATATTCACACTGCTTAAATTATAGAAATCAACTTGGTTTCAGGGGAGATGAAGTGACATCTAAAAGACGAAAAATGCATAGCGTTCGAGTTTAGAAAATTTTAGTTTCCTTTGCAGTAACGCAGTGAAAATATCCAAGATCTAATCTTCAAACTTGGCTCTAACAGACATGTGTAATAAATTAGCAGATTAAAGTTGTTTACACCTTTGGCATTTTTAATCTCATATTTCTGCTTTAAATAGCTTTTCTGGCAATTTTACACTAGTTTTTTTCCACCATATAATTCCAAAAGTTACATGTTGGACATATTTTTGATATTTATCTCTACCATTTCTTTCTCAGCCCCAGGCTCAAAGATGATTATTAGTTAATGATAATAACTAACAAAATATTCTCATTTATGTTTGATTTAAGTTTCATATGAATAAATGTAGTATTTGATTGAACTATTTTCTGTTTCTTTTGAAAATGCCTTTATAAGGCATTACTTTGATACTTTGAAATAATAAATATTTAAACTAATTCAACACATTTAAAGAAATATTTATGTGGGCCTCCAGTGAGTTATGTATGGTGCTACATCCAACAGAGGATAGCAAACTGAAGGAGACAGTCTTCAGATCCACAGGAGCCTTCCAAGCAAGTAGAAAATTTAGGACAGAGACTCATATGAGTGTGATAGAAAGGCCATGAATGACACTCAAAGAGAGCACTGTGAATTCAAAGAAGGAAATGATAATACCATTATGTGCTAAAAATGAAATACTTTTTTTTCATATTGGGACATCTCCATTAGCTACTATCTCAAAAATACTTTTCTTGATGACTTGCTTTCCCCGCCATGGGTCTGATTTTCTTGCTCTTATAAAGCTCTATATGTTTTCTACTTTTTAAAACCCAGCTTAATGAGGTATATTTCAAATACCATAATGTCCACCTATTTAAACATACACTCATCTGTATGTTTCCTTGTGCTTGTGTGTGTATGTGGGAGAGAGGGTGTAAGTCTGTTTGTATGTGTGTGCATGTACATGTGTGCACATGTGTGAGGGGGTACGCATGTACAAATGTGTTTGCATTTATGTACATGTGTGCACACACGTGCGAGGGTACCTGTACAAGTGTTTGTATGTGCATGCATGTATATGTGTGCATATGAGGATGTGTGCATGTACAAGTGTGTTTGTGTGTATGTGTATGCACGTGTGTGTGAGGGTGTTTGTATGTACAAGTGTGCTTGTGTGTGTGCATGTATGCAAAGGTGTGTAAGTGTACAAGTATATGTGTGTGTACATATATGTGTATGTGTGTGTGAGAGAGACAGTGTGTACATGTACAAATGTGTTTATATGTGTCTGTGCATGCATGCACAACTACTCTAAATCTAAACTTTCTCTGAGCACAATCCCTTCCTCTCGCAGCCCTCTCCAGTGGTGGCTTTTTCCCTCCCTCACCTCACCTAGCACTGGGCCTGGCAGTACAATTGGGTGGCTCAGTTCAGCATTTCAGTTTCCAGACCATGCGTTCTCTCTCCCTCTTTTCTAAAGAAAGAGGTGGCTTTATGCCCTTGTCATCTACCATCTTTGGTATAGTCTTCTACAGACCCCTGAATCACTTTTGTTCATTTGTTGATTTTGGCTTTTGGCTCACTGACATCCTCTCCTCCCTAATTCTCCCTAATTTAATATCTAGAAGATGCTTCCACCATCCTGACCACTCAGTTCCTGTCCTGGAGCTCCTTTCCTTCAGTGATCTCTTTGCAGTTCCATTCCTCTATACTTTGTGCAACCTATTCATAATTTCACTTTCAAGTATCCCACCATTTGACCACCACTTCCTGCATTTTCAGCTTAATCCCTCTAATAGCCTGATGCCATCACTCCTTAGACTTCCTGGGATCTGCAGTCTACTGATCCTAACACTGTTCTCCTCTCCTTCCCTCCCAATCCAATTCCTCTTGCACCCATTGATTCTATCCCCTTTTCCCTCTCCTTTCTAATCATATTCCTCCCTTTCCAACTTAAATACTATGGCCAGTCTTTATAATCACCATCTCGCCTCTACCCTCAACTCCCTTGACCCTCTTGCTTCCTGATACTCACTTGGCAAAACCCCAACCTTGGTAAATTCCTATTTCCTGCCAATTCTATGCCTGTACTTATGCACTGAATGTGCTTGAAGCACACACACACACACACACACACACACAAACATCATAACTCATTTTATTGTTAAATTTATGACCATGAACCTGGTGGTAATATCTAGCACTTCCTGGGAATCATACTATATTTTCTTTATTTATTCACCCTGCTGTTCTAGGTAGCAATTTTTTACTTTTTCCTTATTTTTCAAATGTCCAGTATCTCTGTGTCACTGGATATAACTTTGCTTCCTATTTTTACTGCAAACAAAGAAGCAATCGAAGGCTAACTTCCTATAGACAACCACCACAATATTTGCCTGCCTTCCAGCACCTGTACTGTTCTACTTTGTCTTCCCTCCTGTTGCTATATAGAAGAAATATCTGTGCTCCTATCTAAGGACAGCCAGCCATTGTAGTGAATTCCACTATTCAAGGACATTGCTCTAGTAATTTTATTTCTCATATCACTAACTTCTTTCCTCTCTAGTGTTATTCCAATCAAATATACATATTATTTCTCCCATACAAATCTCCATCACTTTCCCGAAACCACTTTCCTCAAAGTTGCCAGTGACCTTGCATCGCCAAATTTATCAGTCAATTTTCAGTGCTTATGCTTGGCCTATCAGAGGCATTAGATGCAGCAATTACTTCCTTCTCTTTTAAATTGTTTCTTCACTTGATTTCTAGCATACTCCCCATTCCTTGTCTCATCTTCACTTCATCGATGGCTTCTTCTCTTTCACTGACAGGTTCCTTTTCATCTCCCCAACATCTAATGGATTTAGTCCTTGCTCCTCTCCTCTTTGTCAATTGTATTCACTTCCTTGGTGTTTTCATTCAGCTTCATGACTGTAAATACTGTCAATATTCTGACAGTGCCTGAATTTATATCTCCACCATGACTGCTCTGTGAACTCCAGGTGTATACGTCCAACTGCCTTCTGGGCATCTTCCTTTGAATGTCTAACAGGCGTCTGAAATCAGATATCCCAACAGTGTGCTGCAGATCTTTCCTTCCAAACCTGCTGCATCTTCTGTCTCTCCCATCTTGGTTAAAGATGGCTCCATCTTCCTACTTGTTCAGGCGAAAATTCTTGGTAGCATCTTCAACTCCTCTCCCTCTCTGATAATCCATATTCAATATGTCAGCAAACATTATTGGCTCTTCCTTTAAAATATATTGAGAATACTAACACCTTTTCTACCTCCACCTCTGTTATTCAAGCCATCATCATCTTTTGGTGGATGAACGAACTTCTAACTGGACTTTTTGCTTTTATTTTCACCTCAGTTTATTCTATTCTTAAAACACCATTGAGATTCCTTTAAATACTAAGAAGATATCACTGTTGTTTTCAAAAATTCCAATGGCTCTGCATCTGAGGCAGAAGAAGAACCAGGGTCTTTCTAGTGATGTCTGAGACCCTACCCAATCTGTTGACTCCTGTTCCACATTTACCCCTATGACTGCTACTCTCCCCTTACTGTATCCACTTTAGCCACACTGCAGGCAAATCCCCCTGGGTAAAGGATTTTGTTCTTTCTATTTTATCTGTCTAGAATGTTCCTTGCCTAGGCACTATACAGCTTGTTCCTTCACTTCCTTCAGATCTGTGCTCAAGCATCATCTTCTCAATGAGGTCTTTCTTTACCATGTCATTAAAAATTCTAACCTACCCAGCCCTTATCTTCCTTCCCATAACATTTAGTTCACTCTAATGTACTATACAATTTGTTTTATTTATTCTGCTTATTGACTTTCCCCTGACCATAATATACACCCCATGAAGGCAGGAATTTGTCTCTGTGTTTTGTTCACTGCTGTATCCCCTAGAATAGATAACTTGATGCTCAGTAATATTTGTTGAACAAATGAATGAATTCCACATTAGCTTAGCTAAGACAAAGCCTACAGAGGCCATATGAAGGTCTGATAACCTTGTAGGTTCCTCCTCTAACGACATGATTTTTAAAGCCTGCCTCTTCCCTTGAACTTCTCATTCTCCTCAATTTCCCTGAGGACTATTCAAAGGAATCCAGGTCAAACTGTATAACTGATTTCCTGGGGTGGAGGAAAGAAGGTGTGGGGCCTCTAAGGAGGGAATCAAAGGGGTTAGTACTGGAGGCAGCTCAAGGTGAGGAGTGAGCATGACCCAGAGGAGGGGGTGTACTTTCTTGGAATCAGGCTAACAAATGTGGGTGAGCTCCTGTACAAAAGATCAACCCAAGCCCTCCCTTCAACTCAGGGTGTCTCTGGGCATTCAAGGTTTGTCATGCTCTCACGAGACTTTTCTTGCAGTTGTAAAATAAAACATCTTCATGGGTGGTGGGGGAAGGGAAGGAGTCATAATTCATTTTTATAAAGTGCTCCGAGATTCTTGCATGAAAGGTGCTAAACACACAAACTGTTAGATTTTATTTTTAAATTGTGCAAGCTATATATTTTCCCCATTAAATGTTCACTTGCCAGTTATCTTCTTTCTGCCTAAAAAATAATCAAACCAAATCATATATTATTCAGTTTCTAAGATAAATTTGAAATGAAAAAAGAGAAATCATTCCTTCTTGTTTATATGAACAAGTGCTTCCAATCATTTAAAGGATAATATTCTCCGTAGTGGTCTCCATATCTTCATTGCCAACATCAGTACCATTCAGCTATAGACCACTATCTCTGAATCAAATCATAGAAGAATAGAATTTAGGGGAGTAAGAATTGCCTCTCTCTCTGCCAACCTACCCTTCTAAGTTGCTTGACCTTTTCCAAGTCAAAATATCTCTCTCTACCATCTTAAAATTATTTTAATATATTTTAATTTAAAAAGAATAACCCTTTATTGGTGGGAAAATTAATTTCCTTTTCCAGCATACATACTACCTCTTTCCTGTTAAGAAGAGCTCCCCTCCCACTCATCTAATCCATCCTGTTGCTTCTTGATAATTTTTCATACTCAGTTATCAGTTGGACCACTCCAGTGTATGTATGATCACCCTTTAAGACAAGAATGAAATTGTGGCATTTGTGAGCCTGAGCTTTGGTCTTCTATCACTTACTGTGTTGAGAATCTTGGGCAAATTCCTTAATTGCTCTGAAACTCAGTTTCCTCTGTTGTTGAATAGAAATAATAATACATGCCTTTACAGGGTTGTGTAAGGATTAAATGAAGTATGTTGTCAATGCTTTTCAGCCAAAGACCACAGGGTAAATACCTGTAATTAAACAAGTTGGGCTTGTCACAGAGGGACATTACTTGCCCGTATACTATGGGTAACTGTGGGGTGTCTCAATAAAAGGGTGTTAGAAAGAACCTATATGGGATTTTGGGTAGTTGATTTAGGGGGAGAATTTGGTCTAGACTAGATGCTTTTGGAAAGCAGGGGCAATTCTATGATTGTGTAGCTCGGTACATCTTATCTATAGGGAGTAGAGACTAGCACAAGTTTAAAGCTGTAATTGATAAATCAGCAGCAGTCATTCATTTTGGAAGAGAAAGAGAGTGCTTGGCATGTTTAGGGTGGGACTTGATTTTACCTTTGTGCTTGGATGAACTGACAAAGTGGTTTTGCTTTGTCTCATTTCATCATGGTCTTAGAGCAATGTCTGAGGCTGGTATTCTGTGAGATGGTTTCTGTCTAACAGAAGAACAGCAAGGCCCAGCTGTGAATGCCAGGCCAGCTTCTGAATGTTGGGGGGCTGCTTTCCTTTTTTATTTTTTAGCACAAGTCCTTGGCACAGCATATAGCCTCTGAAGACTCAATACATTGTGAGTTTTTTCATCATAAAAATCTAAATTACACATCGAGCCTTCTTAATTCTAGAATAAATAATTCCAGTTTCCTCAGCCGAGCCTCTGGGTACTGGAGGGTAATAAAGACAACCGATACTTCTTTAAACTTTATGCCAGTACCATGCTAAACACTTTAAATTGACGATCATGTATAATCTTTACTACGATCTGATGAGAGAAGTATTATTATTTTTCACATTCCACAGATGAGGAAACTGATTTTTAGAGAGGTTAAGAGACTTCCTTAAGGTCACACACACATGAGTAAATAAGAGAAGGGCAGATCCACCCCCAGGATGTCTTTTTTCGGAGTCCAGATTCTTAACCATTACATGATGCTGCTATTTCCTGACTCATTGTGAATGCGCTAATCCAGAGCTTCTCTAGCATCAATTACATTTCTTATTCCCCATCTGAATAACAATTAACAGTATATTCCTTGCACTTATTTTACAACCATCCCTTTGTAGTATCCCAGTATAGTATTAGCTGATAGCAGCAAAGCATGCCGCTTTAATTCAAGACAGCTGGATTCTGCCTTCAGCATTAATTGAAAGACAAATCTGGTATAGTTTTAAATTGGAAATTTTTAAATCTTCTCTTTGGACTAGAGGAGAATGGTGATCCTAGATTGTGAATTCAAAACACATTGTAGTCCCTGTGCTACTTTAAAAAAATGACTTTACGATGTTCAAGCATAATAGTTTTTGGAGTTTTAACAGAATGGCAACACAAAGCAATATGTACCAGCCTGAAATTGGCATTTGCTCGGCCTTATTATAATGTTGCTGTATCAACATTCAGTTGATGACAATTCGAGTCTCTGGCATTCACAGTTACATGCGTTATGTCTGCCTTTTTGGAGTTCTTTGTGGAAATAGAGATCTCTGCTGTAGTACAGAGTTGGAAGAAGATAATTAAAATATTTTGAGTATCTACTTTATGCCAAGAATTCTCCTAGGTGCCTTTATGTTATTGCATTTATTCTTCATAACAAATTAGAAAAGAAAATTACTGCTGTGGCTCCACCCTCTTTCCAGGCTGGGTTGCTGCGTTATTAACTTTCTAATTGTGCTCCTTGCTTTCACTGTTGCCCTCTTATGGTAAGTCTGAAGGTAAAGTTATCTTTTAAAATTAGAAATCAAAACTCATCATTTCCCTTCTTAAAACCTCACACTGGCTTTCCATTGCACTTGGAATAAAATCTAAATTCTTTACTATGACCCACAAGCCCACTTGACTGGGCTCCTTCCCTGCCCCTCTGACTTGGTCTCAGCCACTCTCCTGCTCGCTCACTGTGCTGCAGGCACACTGGCCTTCTTTTTTTTCTTGAATACCTCAAGCTTGTTCTCACCCAGGGACCTTTGCACTTGCTGTTTTTTTCTGCCTGAAGCCCTCTGCCCCCAGTTCTTTCTTGGTCTGACTCCTTGTTGCCATTCAGTCTTTAGCACAAATTGCAATTTTCTCTGTGAAACCTGCTTTGATCATAGAAGTTCGTCATTCCTTATCCCAACCAGTCATTCTGCAATGCCCTGCCATGCTTTTCTTCATAGCACCTCTCACCATTTGAAATTATATTGTTCATTCATTTATTCATCTCATATTATCTGTCTTTCCATTTTTGGAAGTAAGTTCCATAATGGCAAGAACCTCATTTGTCTTGTTCACAGCTATATCCCTGGAGCCTCATTCAGTGTTTAATGGATGAATGAATGAATATGCATTTTTACAGACAAGGAAACTGAACCCCCACAGTAATAATCACCATAACATTAACCAACCAGCATTTATTATATTTATTTTATTTTATTTTTTGAGATGAGATCTCACTCTGTTGCCTAGGCTGGAGTGCGGTGGCACCTTCTTAGCTCACTACAGCCTTGAACCTGGGCTCAAGCAATCCTCCTGCTTCAGTCTCCCAAGTAACTAGCACTGCAGGCACATACCACTATGCCTGGCTAATTAAAAACAATTTTTTTGTAGAGCTGGGCGGTCTCACTATATTGCTTAGACTGGTCTCGAACTCCTAGCCTCAAGTGATCCTCCTGCTGCGGCCTCCAAAGAGTGCTGAGGTGTGAGCCACTACACTGGCCTAATAACCACCACTGGTTGACTGTCTTCAAAGTGCCAGGCACTAAGCAAGGAACTGTAAAAGCATTATTTCACTTCTTTATTTCATTTTCAAAGCAACCTTCTGAGGTAGGTATAATTTGTTCTACTTCACAGAGAAAGATGGCTGAAGTCTACAGCTGTAACGTGGCCAAGCTTGTTTAGCAAGGGATGGAGCCTGGGGCGAGACTTGTTTGACTGATTTGACTTTTCAGTGTAGAGCATGAAAGAGTGGGGCTGTGTCAGGCGCTTATTCAATGGCAGAAGTTTCCCCTTTCAATAGAATAAGAGGCAAAATTCCACTTTTGATATGATAGTACGTAGTAATGCTAATTCTCAGAGTTTCATAAGAAGAAACCACATGTGGGGCTGGGCACAGTGGCTCACGCCAGTAATCCCAGCACTTTGGGAGGCCGAGGCAAGAGGATCACCTGAGGTCAGGAGTTCGAGACCAGTCTGACCAACATGGAGAAACCCTGTCTCTACTAAAAATACAAAATATTAGCTGGGCGTGGTGGCACATGCCTGTAATCCCAGCTACTTGGGAGGCTGAGGCAGGAGAATCACTTGAACCCTGGAGGCGTAGGTTGTGGTGAGCCAAGATTGCGCCATTGCACTCTAGCCTGGGCAAAAAGAGGAAAACTCAGTCTCAAAAAAAAAAAAAGAAACCACATGTATTCCAAGCCAGGTTGGCAGAGGCCTGAGCAGAGGGGCAGGGCCCAGTGTGTGAAGCCTGGCCTGAGCAGGTTCTATGCTGATGGTTGATAAGCTGGTGCAGGACCATAGTGAAGCAAGGCCCTGCCATGTATGTGGGCAGTGACAGCAATGGCAGACCATCCACCACTTTATCAAGGACCAGCTGCTGTCACTTGATTAGCAACACATTGTGTTCAGACTTGCCTAGGAGGACTATTTCAAAACAATTTCATAAGCAATTCTCAGATATTCCAGCTCCTTTTCTTCAGGAAAGTGGGACTATTTTGAGGTTCCCAGGACAAAAAAAAAATATTGATGACCAGTTGGGCTGGTGTGGTCTAGTATACTCTACACATTGCTTTCTGGCAGATCTTTAGGTACCTGAACCTCATTCTCAACTGCAGGCCCTAATCCCTCCCCAGCCTTTGCACTCAGACTGACCTGGGCTTAAATCTGTTTTTCTGTACTTGTCTTTGGTTGTCTTCAGGGTCACTCTGATGGCTCCTTTGAAGATACAGATCTTCCTATTTAAGGTTGTTAGGAAGTGTGACTCCTGGATCACAGGAAAGCAGTTTGGGAAGCATGGTGTGCTGGGGTACAACAGGTAGAGGCCGGAAGGACAGGTAAGAGCTGTTTTTGTGAAAATGTTTAGGCTTTCAGTATGCCCTTTGCAATTGTCAGTATGTTAGCCTACTTTTTAAGTCAAAGGGGATAAGTGGAATTGTATGACTCAGGAATTGTGCAGTGGCCTGAAGTAGGCAATTTACTTCCCAAGAACATGAAGGAGCCAAGGGCTGTGGTGGGACAGCAGGAATCTTGAGTTCTCTTCTGGGCTGTCCAGGGATGCAACAACTGATGTAGCAATCAGCTTGAGAGACCATGTGGTGACTTGTTATGTCATTAAAATGGTTGCAAATAACCACATCATACTAAATCCAGTCCAACTGTTTTAGTCACTTTGACATGATCTGTGACTTGGAAAAGTGAAGCCTTCTCTTTAGAAGGGCTGTCGCTTTGGGGCCGGGTGCAGTGGCCCACGCCTATAATCCCAGCACTTTGGGAGGCCGAGGCCGGTGGATCATGGGGTCAGGAGATCGAGACCATCCTGGCTAACACAGTGAAAACCCTTCTGTACTAAAAATACAAAAAATTAGCTGGGTGTGATGGTGGGTGCCTATAGTCCCAGCTACTCAGGAGGCTGAGGCAGGAGAATGGCATGAGCCTGGGAGGCGGAGCTTGCAGTGAGCCAAGATCAGGCCACTGCACTCCAGCCTGGGCAACAGAGCAAGACTCCATCTCAAAAAAAAAAAAAAAAAAGGAGGGCTATCACTTTGGGTGTGGCAGGGATAATTAATACATCATCTCAATTGTTGTAATGTTCCTGCAAGGTCAGTATTTTTATTTTCAATTAAAAGTGAGGACATTGAAACTTGGCCAGACTTAAATGATTAAGGGCAGACTTGAGATTAAATGCAGGCTTGTCCAACTGCAAAGCTTGAATTCTAGTCCATGGACTCCAAAGTTTTTCTCTTTGAATCTTCTCTATAATCCAACTGATATGGTTTGGCTGTGTCCCCACCCAAATCTCATCTTGAAGTCCCATGTGTTGTGGGAGGGACCTGGTGGGAGGTAATTGAATCATGGGGGCAAGTCTTTTCCGTGCTGTTCTTGTGATAGTGAATAAATCTCATGAGATCCGATGGTTTTAAAAAGAGGAATTCCCCTGCACAAGGTCTCTCTCTTTGCCTGCCGCCATCCATGTAAAATGTGATTTGCTCTTCTTTGCCTTCAACCATTATTGTGAGGCCTCCCCAGCCATGTGGAACTGTAAGTCCAATTAAACCTCTTTCTTTTGTAAATTGCCCAGTCTTGGGTATGTCTTTTCAGCAGCATGAAAGCAGACTAATACAGTAAATTGGTACTAGTAGAGTGGGGTGTTGCTGAAAAGATACCTGAAAATGTGGAAGTGACTTTAGAACTGGGTAACAGGCAGAGGTTGGAACAGTTTGGAGGGCTCAGAAGAAGACAGGAAAATGCGGGAAAGTTTGGAATTTCCTAGAGACTTGTTGAATGGCTTTGCCCAAAATGCTGATAGCAATACAGAAAATAAAATCCAGGCTGAGGTGGTCTCAGATGGAGATGAGGAAATTGTTGGAAACTGGAGCAAAGGTGACTCTTGTTATGTTTTAGCAAAGAGACTGGTAGCATTTTGCCCCTGCCCTGGAGATTTGTGGAACTTTGAACTTGAGAGAGATGATTTAGGGTATTTGTTGGAAGAAATTTCTAAGTAGCAAAGCATTCAAGAGGTGACTTAGGTGCTGTTAAAGGCATTCAGTTTTAAAAGGGAAACAGAACATAGAAGTTCAGAAACTTTGCAGCCTGACAATGAAATAGAAAAGAAAATCCCATTTTCTGAGGAGAAATCCAAGCCTGCTGCAGAAATTTGCATAAGTGACGAGGAGCCAAATGTTAATTCCCTAAGACAATGGGGCAAATGTCTCCAGGGCCTGTCAGAGATCTTCACTGCAGTCCCTCCCCTCACAGGCTAGGAGGAAAAAGTGGTTTTGTGGGCCAGGCTCAGAGCCCTGGTGCTGTGTGCAGTCTGGGGATTTGGTGCTCTGTGTCCCAGCCACTCCAGCCATGACTAAAAGGGGCCAAGGTTCAGCTCAGGTTGCTGCTTCAGAAGGTGGAAATCCCAAGCCTTGGCAGCTTCCATGTGGTGTTGAGCCTGCGGTTGCACAGAAGTCAAGAATTGAGGTTTGGGAACCTCTGCCTAGATTTCAGAAGATGCATGGAAATGTCTGGATGCCCAGGCAAAAGTTTGCTGCAGGGTGGAACCCTCATGGAGAACCTCTGCTAGGGCAGTGTGGAAGGGAAATGTGGGATTGGAGCCCCTGCACAGAGTCCCTACTGGGGCACTGCCTAGTGGAGCTGTGAGAAGAGGGCCACCATCCTCCAGACCCCAGAATGGTGGATCCACCGACAGCTTGCACTGTGTGCCTGGAAAAGCCACAGACACTTATTGCCAGCCTGTGAAGGCAGCTGGAAGGGAGGCTGTACTCTGCAAAGCCACAGGGGCGGAGCTGCCCAAGACCGTGGGAACCCACTTGCATCAGCATGACCTGGATGTGAGACATGGAGTCAAAGGAGATCATTTTGGAGCTTTAAGATTTGACTGCCCTGCTGGATTTTGAACTTGCGTGGGGCCTATAGCCCCTTTGTTTGGCCAATTTCTCCCATTTGGAATGGCCGTATTTACCCAATGCCTGTACTCCCACTGTATCTAGGAAGTACTAACCAGCTTTTGATTTTACAGGCTCATAGGTGAAAGGGACTTGCCTTGTCTCTGATGAGACTTTGGACTGTGGGCTTTTGAGTTAATGCTGGAGTGAGTTAAGACTTTGGGGGACTGTTGGGAAGGTGTGATTGGTTTTGAAATGTAAGGACATGAGATTTGGGAGGGGCCAGAGTTGCAATGATATGGTTTGGCTGTGTTCCCACCCAAATCTCATCCTGAATTTTCAAGTGTTTTGTGAGGGACCTGGAAGGAGGTGATTGAATCATGGGGGTAAGTCTTTCCCATGCTGTTCTCATGATAGTGAATAAGCCTCACAAGATCTGATGGTTTAAAAAAGAGGAATTCCCCTGCCCAAGCCCTCTCTCTTTTTGCCTGCTGCTATTCACATAAGATGTGACTTGCTCTGCCTTGCCTTCCACCATGATTGTGAGGCTTCCCCAGCCACATGGAACTGTAAGTTCAATTAAACCTTTCTTTTGTAAATTGCCCAGTCTTGGGTATGTCTTTATCAGCAGCATGAAAACAGGCTAATACACCAACCTTTTTTTTCCCTTCAGTGCTTTTAAAAAATTTAAATTGTTCACTATTGATTGATTATATCTTTCTCTGAGTTGTCTTATCTATACCAGTGTTTTTCAACATTGGCGCTACTGACATTTTGGACCAAGTGATTTTTTGCTGGAGAGGAATGTTCTTTGTATTGTAGGATGGTTAATAGCATCCTTAGATTCTTACTATTAATATACACAAGTAGTCATGATGCCCCAGTCATGAAAATAAAAATTGTTTTACGATGTTGATGAATGTCCCCTTGGGGGAAAAATCTCCATGGATTGAGAACCGTTGGTCTATATTATTAAGCTGTAAAATTCTTGAAGGTCAAAGTCTCTCTATACATATCTCAAAAAAACCTGTGGATGTCTATGTCATTGAGGTCATCTGGTAAACACGGTAAACACCACTATGGGGTTATTATTTGAGTCATTCAGTAAATATCATAAAATCCATTTTAATTAGAAGTTTTCCAAATCTATCATTAAATAACTGGAGTATATAAAAAAATCAATGAACATGAAAATGCAGGAATAGTCCAAGCGAGGTCAGGAGTCTAGAGCCCTGCTCTCAAGGCCTTGCCATTATCAAGTTACAGGCCCGGAAGTATCTTTGTGGAACCCCAGGACAATCTGGAGCAGAGTTTGAAAGCCACAAACCTGTAGCGAAGCTTGAGCTTGCCATGCTCAGACCCCAATTGTCATTGGACACTTCCTGTGGCTCCTCTTGCCACTTTGTCCTAGGTCTCTTTATACATGTACAGTGATCAGGAATACACAGATGATAGCAGTATGTAGTCTCTACCCTTGATGGATTTGCCATTTTTTTTAACTAATGAAAAATAATCACCTGAACAATTATGTCTATGTCTCAATGAATGTTATTCTTTAAAATCCTGAACTGAGGTCAATTCTGCTGCTATTTTTCAAGATGTTTAGGGAATTGCCTTTGAAACTCTTTTCTAAGAAGCTCTGCCTTTTTATTTTATATTCACACCTTAAATTAAGAACATTTTTCTCATGCTGGATATTTGCTACTCCCAATCCATGCTGATATCTGTGTTGTTTAGAGAAATAAGATTGTATGGCTATCTTTACTTCTTTGTTTTTAAAGACTATGCCACTAAAACTAATGTTTCATTTATTAACATTTGTGCATGTATATTACATATATAAATTACATACACCAGGCCCTTTTCTGAGTACAGACGTCAGGGATTACGCTCACCTAATTCTCACAGCAGTCCTATGTGGTGAGTACTACCAATATTTCCATTTGACAGATTTTTCTAATGCACAGAAAAGTTGGGTAACATGCTGAAAATTACAAGGTGGCAATCAAGGGCATCTATATGTGACTGCAGGAAGAGTGAATTCAGAGCCTCATGCTCATTCACCCTGTGGCCTCTGCAGTAGCCAAGAACTGTCCAAACCACACTCACAGCTTGTGGTCCTTAGCTGCATCCTCAGTCACTAGCCAAAGCAAGTGGATTCAATGGGAGAGCTGATTAACATTATCGAGTTGATTCTAACGATGTGTTTCCTAAAAAGGAGATGGTGGATTTCCCTATAACAATCCCAAAGAACAAATACCAATGAGATAATTGAATGCAACTAAAATGCCAGGAAAGATTGAAAAAGTTTCCTTCTCAGAGAGACTCTCTGGCCATACTACTGAAAATTTCTACCCTTTTCAACTTGTGACATTTCATGTTTCTCCTCCCTAATTTTTTCTTAGTACTTAGTGGTTGCTAATTTATTATATATTTTACTTTTTACATCTTGTGTATTCAACATGACTCACAGCAGATGTAAACTCTGTGAGGCTGGGAGTTTTGTCTGTTTTGATTGGCACTATATCTATGGCACCTAAAAAAGTGCCTGGTACATAGTAGTTTCTCAATAAATATTTGGTGAAAGAATGAGTGAGTGAATCATGACGACTCCATAGGGAACTCAGGCACCATCTATTTAATTTTAGCCTAACTTTTCTTCCTCTACAGATGTATGACTAGAGTATGGTGAGATGCAGTGACATTAAATGGTGACAAGCATTAGAGTCCCAGGAGCCAAGTTCAAATTCTGCTTCTGCCCCTTATGCTGTATGATCTGGGTAAGCCACTCAGTCTTCCAGCCTGTTTCTGCAACTGAAAGGTGAACGTGATTAATTGCTGATTGTTATGGAAATGAAGTTATTAAAAACCCTGGCCAAAAGCATGTGCTTAATTAATATAAGCTGGATCAGAAGGAAAGCTCTTATAAAGGTTTCAGCGAGGGATAAAAGCTACAGGCAGTGTGACATTTTTATACTCCTGAGGGGGCCCTAAAACATTTTAGCAATTTCCCTTCTGGCAAATGCCAGAATAAAAACTGGCTGCTTGGTACACCCACCTGCCCCTTCTACTCAGACTCGCATCAGCCTGCAGAGCCCCAGGGAATCCAGGGCAGTTTCATAAATGCTTGGAGACTGCAGGTGCTTTGTGAGGGCTTCCTTAACCTGCAAAGGCCAGGAGGACGTGTAGCCGAATGTCAGGGAACTTGAGTTATACAGTGGATTGAGCTAGCTGTGGGTTGGTTGTGAGAAACCATTCTTTAACAAGTGCAGATTAATGCTGCCTATAACAGCAGATTTTTATGCCTCCTGTACATGCAGTGCTAGTATTAAAAATGGAAACTGAAATGAAATCAATCAGGAAGGTACTGATATTCAAGGTATGAAATATAATGGGTCATAATACCCCATGTTTTCAAATGAATCTTTACATTTCATTCGTTTGTGCAATGCCCACGATTAGTTATGAATTTTGGAGGGTAATTAAGCTGTACTGTTCTTGGCAGGAGACTCTATGAACCAAAATATGGCCGTGGTGGGAAAAGTGATCAGGACTGAGATGAAGCTGAGAAAGTCATTTTGTCTGTGCATGGGATACGGTCATGAACCTTTCTATTGACAAGATGAATGAAGGGAGTCCATTAACTCCATAGGGCTGGATAAATAGAATAAATTACATTTCTTTGGGTTCTAGTGGAATAGGTGGCTGTAAACTGTTGTCTTTCATGACTGTTTGTTAACATCACTTTGAAGATGGGCTTTCAAAGAATAATGTGACAATGGCAGGACTGACATAATTCAGAACTATGTAAAGAAGTGTCTGCTTTTAAAGGAAGTGCCTACAAAGCTCTTAAACATAAACTTAGCAGCATGTATTTAAGAAGGCTTTCTATAAATGTGATGTAAAATGGAGCCAGAGATTGAAATTGCAAATAAGCTAAGATGGTTTTCCAAAGATTGTTTTGCCCCATAGCTATTCTGTTGGAAATGTCGTGAGAAAAATAGCTGAACACGGAAGACAGAGCATTGCATGTTATTTTGAAACCATGTGCAATTCCAGTCCTCCGCAGAAAGACTGTAGGTTGATGATCGTCATTTCTTGTCTGTGAGTGTGGGCCTGCAGACAGTGGGAGAAGAGGGTACAAGGGAAAGGACTGTGTTAAGAATCAGAAATTCTGGGTCCCGCCTGTTCCTGTCACCATGAAACCTTGGTCAAGTTTCTTGACTGCTCTGAGTTTCAGTTTTGTCTTCTCTAAAATGCCTAGCCCACAAATCACAAAAGCCTTTTGTTAAATTCAAATAAGATACTGTCTATGAAGACACTGAGAGGTTGTAAAGTGAAATACAAACACAGGGGAGAATGATATTTTTCATATGGTTTGGACCTCAATTGCCTTTTACCTCTTCCTACAACTGACAGGTACCATTTATCCAAGTAGAGCCACAGAGAGGGAGAGAGATGAGACAGGATGGGATCCCAAGCCATTGAAGCTACCGAGTAATTCACTGGAGCCTGACCAGGGCTGACTGAGATGATGGCATTCAAGAAGGAAAGGAGCAGGGTGAAGAGAGGTGTGGTATAGGGGTGTGATATCACACAGCTGCATAGTGGATCATTCTTTCTTCAACCATTTGTTGATATCATTTGGGTCACTTTTGTGTCTGTGGATAATGAATTATAATCCTTTTAAATTGTAAGACTGAACATGTGCATGTAATGGAAACACATTTTTAGAGTAGCAATATAAAAAGGGGAACAGGGGAGAAGTTATATTGACTGAGCAAGTAAAATGCTGTGAACCTGGCCCTCAAATGGAAAATATGAGTTTAGTTAAGCCCCACTGACAATTCATGTTCTGCCTGGGAGGACCAGCCAATGGCAGAGGAGAGGAGAGAATTCTAGCTCCCACACACACTTCTGGGCACAGGACTGAGGCTATGGCATAAGGACAAAGGGATCAGCCAAAGGAAAGAGTGGTTTTATCCTTTCCAGGCCTGAAACCTCTGCCCAGAGATTATTGAACCATGACTACATGCCATGCATGTGTACATTGACCAAAGCTCATTTAGTATCTCAATAAAACAAAATATCTGTTTTTTCTGATACAAAAACATTAATAGAAGTACTTTTGAGTATATATGAATAAAGGTATTGTTTAGGTATAGAAAAATATGAGATAAATTAAAATGATTGTGAGAGGGTAATAAATTTTGGAGAGTGGTTTCTTCACATCAGAAGAAAAGGGGACAAAACAGGGAAGAAACACTCAGCTTTAAGTTACTGTCAATGTTCTAGTTCTGTAGCTGGGTGTTGGGATCAAGGGAATTTATTTCATTATCAGAATAAGCCAACAATAAAATAAAATGAATTAAGATGAAGTAGAACCATGCATGAAATCAGGGTGATGGCATCTTATGAACTGAGGATTAGGATTAATCCAATTCTGCACATCTGATTATTATAAAAATAAATGAAGAAACAAAGACACAAACAAATAGAGAAAAACCAATGGAATGAATGAGTGAATAGATGAATAAGTGAATAGTATATCTCTTTCAGTGCAGTAATTTTTTATTCCAGTGCTGGATCTGATGACCAGGATCTTTCCCAATGTAATTTATTTGGGGCAGGAAGAATCTAATTTATGGAGAGATACTGAAATGAGGAAGGATGTTGTGATTAATACCAAAGCAGTTGGAACTATTCTGAGAATGTGTTGGTCGGTGTTGAGATGCTGTCCAATCCTTGGCTCATGTCTTAAGGTCACAGAAGCTGTGTTAATAGCACTGTGTTAATAGCAGTGAATGATGGCAATGAACCACACCATCTGAAAAGTAGATGTCAGTTGCATTTATTTCCTTCCTTCCTTCCTTCCTGCCTTTTCTTTTTTCTTTCTTCTTTCTTTCTTTTTCTTTCTTTCTTTCTTTCTTTCTTTCTTTCTTTCTTTCTTTCTTTCTCTCTCTCTCTCTCTCTCCTTCCTTCCTTCCTTCCTTCCTTCCTTCCTTCCTTCCTTCTTTCTTTCTTTCGTAATGCAATTGGCCTTTATTTCTTTTGGATGGAAAGAAAGACACTGTTTTAAGTCTATGAAGCTGAGAATGACCCAGATTTTGCCCTTAGGAACTTACAGTCTTGTTGGGGTGACAGACACATAAGCAGGTCATACCTGCTTGGAAGAGAAACATCATAAATCAGGTGAAGGTGTGCAATGAAAGTCTGGAGAAAAGATGAGTAGCAGGGACCAGGGAAGTTTTCAAGAAGAATATGAGGGTAATGTGAAGGATGAATAAATTTTCTGGGAATGTAATCCAGCTATTCTCATTTTTGTGACTCATGTTAATGGCCAGGCATTAGTTTCCTTCAAATAAGGTTTGTGTTAGAAAGTTGGGACAGTTTTAGGGACCGAGAAAAATCTGGTTCCTAATGTTCTCATTAAAGAGGAGAATCATGATTGTTAAGAAATAGTTCCCTTTTACCATACATTTACGCTGATTAATTTTTACCATTTCTTTTCTTTTGGGGGTGAATTTCTCCCCCCCTTTTTTCTTTTTAAATGCAGTCTTAAGAACCAAATAAATTGTGAAACTGAGATTGGCCCATGATTCTTTTGAGATTCTCAAGAAAGTGAATCAACTTTGCATGAATTTTAAAATATATTTTCAAGCAAAACTGTGAAGCACTTAGCTGAAGTTTCTAATTTTAATATTTTGGCATGTTACGCAAGCAAATAAAGGTCTCATTTTCATATACACAGAGTCTCTCTATATAAAAGTCTACTTGTCTGTATATAGACACACATATGTGTATATCTATAAATGTAGGTGTAATAACTGAAACTTTATTCTGGCGAGTAGTAGTATGCATAATATACTCTAAGAGCAGTCTTTCAATGCCAGTTAATGTTTATTCTTGAACAAATCTATACAAAAGCAGCCAGTTGTCTCTTTGGGTTAAAAAACATTGAAATGTTTAGGATGACTGAAACAATCATTCCTCAGAGAGGAAGGAACCCTAAGAGTAAATATATAAATGATAGAAGTAGTCACTTTAGTTCTATAGTTTACAGCTTGAAATACCTCGCAGGTTATAGTTTATTAACTTTGGGAAAAGCTGGAGAGGGGCTTGGCAATTAACTGATGGAACAGCTTTTGTGACTTCTCTACAAATTGAAAAAACTTCCATTTGACATACTGCTCATTTCTTCGTTAATTTTACTGAAGCTTTTATTTATCTAATCTTCACTGAATAGTTTCCATTTAAACAGAAAAAACTCTTGGAGGATTTTATTCACCATTTAATCTTTCTCTCTGTCTTTCTTCCTTTCCTATAAATGTTGCCATACTTAAAAATCATCATAAGTCACCTTCATCAACTCTTTTAGACAAAATCTCTTCTTTAGTCCAAAAGGTTCCTAATGAAACAAGCACGATTAGAATTGTTAATTATGCCAAAAATATGAACTAGCATAATTCTACTTTTGGTGCTAAACGGTGGTTTTTCTTTTGAATTCTTTATGATGGCTGTTAAATTATACAAGTAAATTGCAATCAACATGGCACTTTGGTAAGTCTGAAGTAAGGTGTTTCTCTATAAGGGAAGAAATCCCCACCCCCATCTTTTTCATGACAGGGTCTTGCTCTGTCACCCAGGCTAGAGTGCCGTGGTGTGATCATGGCTCACTGCAGCCTCAACCTCCCTGGTTCAAGCGATCCTTCCATCTCAGCCCCCCAAGTAGCTGGGACTACTGGCACATGCCATCATGCCTGGGAAATTTTTGCATTTTTTTGCTGGGATGGTGGGTTTCCATGTTGCCTAGGCGACTTTTCAGCTCCTGGGCTCAAATGATCTGCCTGCCTTGGCCTTCCAGAGTACTTGGATTACAGGTGTGAGCCACTGCACCTAACCTCACTATTTTTTGAGGATTAAAGGGTCATTACCTCAGGGGACACCCTTATTGATGTTTATGAAGGGTTGGGGGATGGGGAGGACTATTCTAGAAAATTAGGTTTGTGAGGAGTTCCTGACTAAACAAGATTTAGGGATTAGCCATCATCAGAACCCCACTTTGGTCCAGACCCATCTTTGCCCAGCCCAAGATTCAGGGGTCATGGTCAGGGGTCATGGTCAGATGGGTAGTAGAGGGGAGTCAGGGAGATGGGCACTTGCCTGTTTATTATACTGAAGTGACCACTTCCCCTGCACCCTGCCTCCTTTGGCTCTGACCTTATGAGGAGTAGTTTCTCTTCATATGCATGAGTTCTTCCTTCTCATAGAGGCTGTCCATTCTATAGTTTGTCCTAAGAACTGAGACTATGAAGAAAAATACTTAGAGTAAATGTTTTCCCACAAATTTCTAGTGCATTTTAAAAATCCTCTGAATGATGGGGATCTTGCAGGAGGAATTTACTTTCCTGCAGAATGAAGCCAGTAGATAACAGTGCAACTTCACTATGGTAAACAAATTGGATTACCCTAAGTGATGGGACACAGAAAGACCATGACTGTTCCACTATCACTCTTGGATTATAACAAGCAATCCTAGAATTATGGTAAAGACAGAAGCTGATCTGAGCATGAACAAGGCTCACCACAACTTGAAGCTTGCGATGCTTCATTCGGTGTCAAAGGCAGAGATAAGTTATAGCCACAGCTGCCTGGCTTTGCTTTGAATTCCGTGGAGTGAAAATAGTTCAGCCACCACTCTCAGCAGTGGGCAAATGGCTCAGGATGAGGAAAGAGGGTTGGCAGTGATGAAATGTGCAGGGAGAAAGCGATGAAGAAAGAGGACCACCACAGAGATCCATGGGAGGGAGGAAAGAAGATGAAGATAAGAAAATGCGAACAAGTTGGCCGGGCGCGGTGGCTCATGCCTGTAATCCCAGCACTTTGGGAGGCCAGGGCGGGCGGATCACGAGGTCAGGAGATCGAGACCATCTTGGCTAACACGGTGAAACCCCGTCTCCACTAAAAATACAAAAAATTAGCCGGGTGTGGTGGTGGGCACCTGCAGTCCCAGACACTTGTGAGGCTGAGACAGGAGAATGGCGTGAACCTGGGAGGCAGAGCTCGCAGTGAGCTGAGATTGTAAGATGTGCCTGCTTCCCCTTTCACCATGATTGTAAGTTTCCTGAGGCCTCCCCAGTCATGCAGAACTGTGAGACTGTGAGTTAATTAAATCTCCTTTCTTTATAAATCACCCAGTCACAGGTATGTCTTTATAGCAGTGTGAAAATGGACTAATATAGGGTGGTACAGAAAATGATGGTGCATTGAGGCTAGTTTCCAAAAAGGGTGATGTCTAAGCTGACTTCAGCTGAAGCCAGATGAAAGGTGATGGTGATTGAGTCCAAGGACAGGACAAAACAACAGGAGAGCTTTACAGAAGGACCATCATGAAAAAACAGGGAGGCAGATACAGACAAGGAATGTGTGGTGGAGAAAGGAAATGCTCAAGTCACATGGCCTGAGAGGGGGACATAGAATGGGAGCCTTTGGTGGAAGAGACTCAGGAAAGTGGACACAGTACAGGTGCCCTGTAATTACAGAGTTGGACTCCTAAGTACATAATGAGTAAATAGTTCCGTGAATTGATTCTTAAAAGAGTGAGTAGAGCTGTCATTGGCTGCACACTGGAATTGTCTGGTGAGCTTATAAATGCATAGAGGCCTGCATGCCCCTTTCTGCTCCAGAGATCCTGATCCAAGTGACCCAGAATGCAGGGTGAGCATCAAGGATTTTAAAAACTCTTGCATGACTCTGCACTATAGACACAGTTAAGAATAAGAATTAACTTGGTGTGTTAGTTTTGTCATAAACAAAATGAGGAAAACAATATTACCTAACTCAAGATTAAGGACAAAAGCAATTTTTAAAGCAATAAAGAGGGTTGGTTGATGTGCAACACTGGTTCTCAACTTGAGATAATTTTGCCCCCGAGGGGACATTTGGCCACGTCTGGAGGCATTTTTGATTGCCAAGACTGAGGGGGAGGTGCTATTGGCATCCAGTGGGCAGGGGGCTGGGAGACTACTAACTGCCCCACAAAGCACAGAACAGCCCTCACAACAAAGAATTATCTGGCCCCAAAGGTCAATAATGCTCAGATTGAGAAACCCTTGGCTATCAGGTAAACACAGGCTCTGGAACTAGATTTCCTGGGTTGTAAGCTGCATAATATTGGGTAAGTTACTGCTCAACTTCTTTGTGCCTTAGTTTTGTGATAAGTTAAATGAAGAAGTAATATTATCTAGCTCATAGGGATTTAATGGTGAATATGTGAAGACAGAACAATACCTGGCAAGTCCTTTACTCTTACTTGAGGAGTAAGAAATGACTACCCATAAGCCACAAGCAAAAATTTTGGAATTTTCTTTGCCTGGATCTTTGGGTTTAGGGGTCTTTAAAGTAAGGATCAAATAAAAATAACAATAGCTATTGTTTGTTGTGAGCTTACTACTTGTCAGGTAATATGTTAAGTCCTTTTATCCCTATGATCTTATCTCTACGGTTATTTATAATAACCCATATAATTTAGATACTATGAATTCCATTTTATAGAAACAAAATCGAGACTTAAATAATGGAAGATATTGCCTAAGTTCAGGCAGAAAGAAAGTAAAGGAGGCGGAGTCTGTCTGATTACAAAGCCTGTGCACTTAAAAGAAGGCGCGAATTGTGGTTATAAGGAAAACATTAGACAAGGAGTGATCAGTATATTAGGCCTTTTGACTCCTCCCTGCCTCCGTGTGCACCTTCTGGTCTATCTCCACCAGCTTTTTCCCAGATCTCAACCTTCCATGGAAACTGCCACCACAGTGTTAATCATTTGGGGCAGTGGTATCCAAACTCTATTTATCATGTTCTCCTCAGTGAGCAATTTTTGATCAGGCACCCCAATATATAGGTATTTTTTTAGACATTACGTACCTATTCTACCATATTGCATATCATATATATTTTAAAATGTAAGTAAAAGCAAAAACTTTTTTTTTAAAGGGTAAGACAAAACATAAAAGTCCTAATGTTTTCTTTCTACGTCACCCCCTGAGGTAAATGGATCCATTTTAGAGAGCATGGTTCTAGAGGGTTCCTGCAAGGGCCCCTTTCTCCTTTATTTTAACAAAGGTAAAGTTACATATATTTTCAAAGTAATATTAGCTTGGAAACTAAATAAAAAGGACAAAAAATATAAAACCATGCAATTTCTTCACCTGATTTAACCAAACCTCAGCCACAGCTAGCTTGGCTGGGATGGTGTATAGGACTCCAGTACCCTATGTTTTTCTGCACTCAGACTTCTTGGTAGACAAGGTGGAGGATAAAATAGGTAAAATACATATTGCACACCAGCAGTATCTATCTATGATAGACTTAAACTTTAAGGTAACACTTGTGTCTTCTGTAAATATTTTTTGATGGTCTATATTTTTTGTGTTCTTTATTCTTGATTTCCTAAGATCCCTTTTTTGAAATGTTCCACTATACTATTGATCAAACTATAGGAAAGAGGATTTATTTAACCAATATTCATTGGTTGAAGATGAGCAGAAGGTCAAAAACATCAGCTCTGCTGGCAGCTGAAGCCACATTGGTTCAGAATCTCAGGAATTGTTGGTAGAATTGGGGCAGACCCAAGCAAGAAAAACCAGAGTGGTAGTGTGAAGCAAGGGAGGTGACAACAAGGCTTTGCATCGCAGGTCACACTGCCTTGTCAGAAATCCTGATTCATTCTTGTTCATCTAATTGCATTCAGAACTTTCAAATATGTCCTATCATTCCTTAAAGCAACATCATGGAAAGAGAAATTTGGATTTCAATTCTAAGAAAGCAGTGTTGTTATTGTTGATATTGTAATTGAAGAAATTAACTTGATACTTTTGCATTCTTGGGAAGAAATTAACTTAATACTTCTGCATTCTTGGGAAGTTAAGAATTTATAAACAAAGCTGAGGATTAGAAAATTTTAAAGCAATAGCTATTAAATGGAATTGTACTAACATATTTATGCAATCAGACAAGCAGTTAGAGGGAGGAAAATGATTAGTTCGCTGCATGTGTAGGCATCTTTTATATCTACGGATGAAGAAGCAGATGGTCTTGTTATCAGTTTGCACATTTGTCTGAAAAAAAGCAAACAGCACAGGTGTAGGACCCACATTCCATTCCACACAGCACATGTGGTAAGAGTCTGGCTGGGGGTTTGTGATGGTAGTTGCTGCTTAAAGAGCCTGACATTATTTTGCTGCATTCCTGGTGCTCTGAGCCTTGAGCAAGAGGCCATCCATTTCTAGTAACCATACTTCAAAAGTATTTGTGCAAGACTTTGTTGATATTGGGCCTCACTACCCTGCTCCACAGGACATTTTTCTGGCTTCTTGTAGTTCTTATTTCTCAACTGTATGGTGCCTACTTGGCTGTCCTCTGGCTTGGCACACAGCCTCTTTTTTTTTTAGACCTCCTGTCTCTTTTCCACCTTCCCTACAGCTACTTGATCTATCTCCTCAGCTTCCTATCCCCAAGGGTGCCAGCCTGCAGCCCTTGGTTCTGTTTCCTGCTGGATGGCACCAGGGAATCCTTTCTGGAGGAAGAAAGAGGGGCAAAGAAAAAGAGGTTTCCACATTGGTCTACCCTCAGGGCATGGTGTCCACATGGTAATCACATGGGCTGGATTATAATCTCATGATCCTCTATTGCTTTTCATGCTAAAAGACTGTTAATCTCTTTCAATTATTCTGTTCAATGCCAAACCCCAAGAAGAAGAAACTGGAAGAAAAAAATCTGGTTCCAAAAGTTGTATGGTTGCCCTAGTGCTAGGGATGTAATGAATGCTTAATATATTATGGTTCTTACTATTTTTCTAAGGCTTATGTAATAAAGTACTACAGTCTAGGTTGGCTTAAACAACAGAAATTTATTTTCTCACAGTTCTGGAGGCTGGAAGTCTGAGATCAAAATGTTGGCAGGGTTGGTTTCTTCAGAGGCCCCTCTCCTCAGCTTGTAGATGGCGGTCTCCTCCCTGTGTCTTCACGTGGTTTTCCCACTGTGTGTTTCTGTGTCCAGATTTCCTCTTACAAGGATTCCAGTCATATTGGATTAGGGCCCACCCTCGTGACCTCATTTTAATTTAAGTACCTCTTTAAAGATCCTATCTGCAAATACAGTCACATTTTGAAGTATTGGGGCTTAGGCTTTCAACATATAAATTTTGGGTGAACACATTTCAGTCCATATATTATTATTATTATTATTATAACACAGCCCCACATCTTCAAAATGTCATATCCTAGATGTTGAGACATCCATATAAGCATATAGTTCAGTTTAAGGTAACAAGTGTATTTACCCTGCTGGTAGATTTGTCGCTTTGGTTGACTGCATAGAAGCTGATAAGGATTGCTCTTCTCTGTCTTAGACATGAGGCCTGGTTCAAGAGTAAAACACGGATTGGAGTTGGGATAGCTGCCTTAGCAGGTCACTAGCCTGGTTGAGTGATATAAACTCATTAGAAATCTTGTCTTGGCTTTTAGGTGTGCAGAGGTTACTGGTGAAGCAGATGAAATAATTTAAGAAGCTTTTGTAATAGATGAGGAAGTCTAATTAGATTAACTCACCTCAGGACCCCAAGCTAGCATTTAGTACAGAATTTGGATCAAGGAATGTTGGCATTCTATAGAGATACCTGGAATCTGATTCTGCATAGTTTCCTGGCATGTATCTGTTTCTCAAAAGACTTTTAGCTTTATTTCTCAAGTTTTTGTGTATGTATATCGTGGAACAGTTTTGGCTGTATTTACAGCTTCTTTAGTGGAGACAAGTAAGCATATACATCCTGATTATTACATCCGTACATAGGCAAAGCAGTCCATGCCTTCTTATATTGTGTGAATGCTTTCAGAAGAAAGTTTTATTAAAAATACTGCATAATTACAACTCAAATTTGAGTGTCAGCAGCACAATGATACCTGAGATTTGGGAACAATGACTACCTGTGCGTTTGCTGGTGGGCAAGCTCATAAAATGGTGGCCATAAGCCAAATCCAACATGCTGATGTATTTTTCTTGGTAAATAAATTATGTGTGTGTGTGTGTGTGTGTGTGTGTGTGTGTGTGTGTGCGTGCTCACTGTGTTTTGAGTGTTTGTCGGTAGAGCAAACATTCCCTAGTTTTTCACAGTCTTTACCACTCATTGTTATCTTATTTCTGCTTTATTCACACATTTACATTACTTGACAGGTGAGTCTTCAATTTTGTCAGCTCCAATAGATATGGGAGGAAAAACAAATGGAAGATGAAAAAGCAGTAGGAACAAATGGGGTAAAAAGAAAAGGCTAGAAGTGCAGACAGGAGATTAAATAATGCAAAATCCTGGGAGAACCAGGCTCCTGGGCCTGGCCTAGAGCAGGGGCCCATGGAGGACAACACAGGTGTGTGAGTGGGAGGACAGGGGAGAAGCCGAAAGGGAAAGTCCTGATGTCTAGTAGGTATTACATCTCAGGCACTGAACCCACGTTATCCCCTTTAATAAACATAAACCTCTCCCACCAAGCAGGCATTCTTATACCATTTGTAGTTTAGAGAAGTTGGGAGGTTAAATATCTATAATTTTCAGCCTAGAATGGTCCCGAGTTGTGTTTGTTGAGTAACTCTCACTCATAGTGAGTATTAGCCAAAGAGTGGGGTCTCAAACCTGGGGCTCTGTGGCTCCAAAGCCAAAGCTTTCCTTCTTTCCCATTGCATCAGTTATTATAATGTCACAGGGGTTGTTTTAAATTTCTCCAGGGCCAATTCTGGAGAAAATATTTTTTGGCCAAATTCTTTTAAATCTAAAATTAAAGAAGCTTTAATAGATGCCATATATATATATATATATATATATATATATATATATATATATATAAGATATCTATACATAAAATATATATATAATATATAGTAACAAATTACCTATTTTACTGAATAAAGGATTGCCAATGAGAAAATTGGAATTACTTTTAGATACTAAGAATATTAGTCTCTCAGAAGTAGAAATATAGGCCAAAGCACGGATCTAGTTGGGTTTGAATGAGGATTACTCAATACACATTACATGAGACCATTCCAGGCTGAACATTACAAATAGAATCAATAGTATATCCCTGATTTTTACCCCAAAACAAAGTTGAAGATGCAGCAGAAGAGGAGACATATCCCTGCTTTTGTTGCAGAAGCATCTTCTCAGTAAAGCCACTGAAAAGCTATTTGTAGTAGAAAATAATGGTCTATGATACATCTAACATAGGTTATCCGGGAAAGGGAGATAATAAGAGAGAATAAGTTAATCATGTAGCAAAGCATCAATGTAGAAGAGAGAATATCTTACAAACAAAGCAGGAGATAATTTTTTTTTTTTTTTTGAGAGAGTCTCACTCTGTCATCCAGGCTGGAGTACAGTGGCACAGTCTTGGCCCACTGCTACCTCTGCCTCCTGGATTTAAGCAATTCTCATGCCTCAGACTGCTGAGTAGCTGGGATTACAGGTGTGTGTCACCATGCCTGGCTAATTTTTATATTTTTAGTAGAGATGGGGTTTCACTATGTTGGCTAGGCTGGTCTTGAACTCCTGGCCTCAAGTGATCTGCCAGCCTCAGCCTCTCAAAGTACTGGGATTACAGGGATGAGCCACCATGCCCAGCCAAAATATTTTTTTCAATGAGAAAAAATAGTTCCCATTAATAAATCTATAGGAATGATAAAATTAATTATGTCTGAATACCTAATGCATGTGGGGCTTAAAACCTAAATGATGGGTTAATGGGTGCAGGAAACCACCATGGCACATGTATACGTATTTAACAAACCTGCACGTTCTGCACATGTATCCCAGAACTTAAAATAAAATTTTTTAAAAAACAGAAAAAAATTATGTATGAAATTACAAAGATATGGAACTTCCTTTTAAAAAGTTAATTTTAAATTGACAGATAAAATTGTCTGTATTTATTATGTACAACATGATGTTTTGAGGCATATATACATTGCAGAATGGCAAAATCTATCTAATTAGCATGTGCATTATCTCAATAGTTATTTTTGTGGCCAGAACACTTAACATCCACTCTCTTAGCATTTTTCAAGAATACAATGTATCATCATTAACTACAGTTACCATGCTATCCAATAGATCTCTTGAACTTATTCCTCCTCTGACCAACATCTTTTCCCCAATTCTCCAACCCTCCAGCCTCTGGTAATGTACATTTTTGTCTCTACTTCTATGAGATCAGCTTTATCAGATTCCACATATGAGTGCAATCATGCAGTATTTGTCTTTCTGTGCCTGACTTCTTTCACTTGACATAATGTTCTCCAGGTTCATTCATGTTGTGGACCAGAAACACGTATTCCTGGGGTATGTATGTCCAAACATGCTAAGTGGTCTTTTATCAAGAGCTACTTTTACGGGCTCTTAATTATTTTATAATTGTTTACATTTTCCTTGATGATAATGCCCTGTTAACTGTACATTAAAAAGAAGTTATATTTTTGATAATTTTTTGATAATTTTTTTATAATAGAACTTTCTTTTAATGTGTAGTTAATAAGGCATCATCATTAGGAAAATGTAAACAATTAGGAAATAATTAAGAGCCTGTAAAAGTAGCTCCAGACAAAAGGTAGTTAAAAGACCACTTAGCATGTTGGAACATATATACACTAGGAATGTGTGTTTCCATTAAGATGTTGGTGACAACAGCAGTTAACAGTGATTGTTGGCCTCTGAGGACTATTGTGAAAATCCATAAGAAGTGAAAAGTGGCAACAAATTTGTTTTACTGGTGGGCTTTATAGTAGTGCAGGAACTCATGAGATGCCTGTTTTACATCAAGCATTTTTTTGGGGGTAAGTTAAATGACTTGGATAACTCACTTGTGCTGGGTGGTCTTTATCTGCCCCCTTGGCTAGAGTTTCCACCTCACCACCCTGCTCTGTGCCCTGGGAGGCTGATCTGTATAGACTGCATCAACTAGATTCCTTTGCTCTCTGACTTCTGGTTGAATTTACCAATGGGGGCAGCAGCAGGAGAGGGCAGGAGGAGAGTGTGGTCAAGGTCTTCATTTCTTTTGCTACCTCCCTATTGTGCCATGAATTATCAGTGTCTTTGTTTCTCTACCAAAAGGCATAGCTCCTGTATGTGGAGGGGTGGAGGGCACTTTTCTACAGCTCTGGATGAGTATATGCAACCATGCTAAGGGTGGTTAGTGTACTACCTGTTGGTAGTTCCAGTGGGCTTCACACTACTTCTTGCATCTTTCTATCTCATTCCTTTACAAAGCTCTTCTCCAATACCTTATCTGATGAATATGCCTTCTGTCTCCTGACTGATAAGTCACTGAACTCCAACTTTGACCTCTGTATAGTGGGTTTTTGGAGGTCAGGCTACTTCACTTCTTCTAAGCGCTTACAGAAAGAAAGTAAATTTTCAAATAATAGTAATTTACAGTAATAAAAGCATTATAAATAATATTATTCACCAAAAAGCAAACAAGAATATGCCTTGAATGAGAGGAAAGAAAAGCCATGTGAATGTTGATGATGGAGAGACTTTAGAATGGGCAGTCACTGGAGGGTATGCAGCAAGTTTCTAGTGGCAGGATTTGTCTGGTCCCTCTGGTTGTCTCTCATGGATTAATGTTGTGTTGGCCAAGACAGTCTTGGTGTCAGGCTTCCAGCCTGTGCTATGGTGCAAGTTGGAAGCTAAGAAGATTCTAAAGAAAGCTCTGTTTATGCCCAACAGCTCATACTGCTTCTTATGAACTGTGGTAAGTCCCCATGCACACACAGAAAGTCTTATTTTGGAAATAGTTTGCATGTGAAGGTACTATAGATGGAATGTTTGTGTCCCCACAAAATTCATATGTTGAAACTTAATCATTACTGTGACGGTATTAGGAGGTGGGGCTCTGGCGAGGTGATTAGGTTATGAGAATGTAGCCCTCATGAATGAGATTAATGCCCTTATAAAAGAGACCTCAGTAAGCTCTCTCACCCCTTCTACCATGTGAGGATACAGTGAGAAGACATAGAACCATCTATGAACAAGAAAGTAAGACCTCACCAGACTCTGGGTCTACTAGAACCTTGATCTTAGACTACCCAGACTGCAGAACTCAGCAATAACTGTTTGTTATTTATAAGTCACCAGTCTATAGTATTTTGTCCTAGCAGCTTGAATGGACTAAGACAGGAGGTATCCCTAGAAAAGGTCCTAAAATTACCCATCAGTATTGAGTCAACATCCTCAAGTCAACTTCTTGTTCTAGCTGCTGGTTTGGAAAAGAGTGTTGATTTTCACATGATGTGGACAGTTGTGACTTCAAATTGTCTTTAGTTGCTTTCTTGCCATAGGATTCCAAAGTACTTTCCACATTCAGCAAGAGAATGGCCAGCTATTGCATTAGGGGAAATCATAGCCTCTTTGAGGTGAAACAGCTTCAGAGGTGAAATAAGGATAGCTGCTTCCCCGGACACATCACAGCACTGCTCAAGAGGCAAGGAATGAGGCCTGGAAAGAAAGGTCCCCTTCTCCCCCAAACTTTTACAGTCATAGAAGGAATCAGAGGCAGCATCTTATAAATACTTCACTGGCGTCTAGCCAGAGCAGCAGGGCTAACACCTTTTCAATGCTTTTGGCCACTAGAGTAAACCACATGAATTGCTGCTACCGTTGCCCCTTCCTGGTTTCCCTCAGCTCTAGGGAAGATCTCAAGTCTGCTCACTCCTATTCTATCACAGAGCCACTCAGGTTTTGTTTATATACCAGTCCTGCCTTTAATATGCTGAACTTGGTGCTAAGATATTAATTAGGAATCAGTATTACAGAAAATATAAATTTTCCATGTTAAAAAAGCAGCCATGAAAAGAAAAATTCAGTTGTGCTTTAAATGTGCTGTGTGAAGCTACTTCTCCAGAAAAAGAATTTCGAAGTTTCAGGACTTTCCATTTATGTAGCTTCATTATTGCTACACGTAGGAAGAAGGCTCTTAGACAACCAATACATCAGTGTTCTGAGATGGCCAGAGTCATTCAAGGGCTCATTAGCTCCCACCATTTTTCACACAACAGGGAGGGCAACGGGCAGACATTAAAATCCTAGGGCTCTTTCCAGATGAATCATAATAAGATCTATCCAATGGGATCCTTAATTTCATGCCTTCCTCAGAGGAACAGTAGACAGACAACTGGGAGAAAACGTAAGAAGGTTTTTACATCTTATTAACACAAATTATATGAATACAGGCATTGGCATTGTGAACCATGCATCCTTGTATATCCTTTTTTCCCCCCTCTCTCTTCTCTCTCCTGGTGAAACAAGGGCATAAAAAGGCAGAGAAATTGATAGTTACCAAACAAAAATAGTGTTAGATCCAGCATTCCCTCCTCGGAGGCAGCATTATCTCCACATTTTTCCAAGTTTTGCAGGCTTGATAGAAGGTTGCTAAAAGAATACACAGTCTGTATGCCGACAATGCTTTAGCTATAATCCCCTATTAGTAGAAAAATCAGAAATTGCTTTTGCATGATTTGGTAGTCTGTGCCATAATATCATATTACTGAAAAACACAGTATAGTTTCCTTTTCATAGCCCCAAATTGTCTTGCTTAACAATTTAAGGAGGAATTTAAACAAGGTCTTAAATCAAACTCACAACAAATATTAACCTAGTTATGATTTAAAGCCAAATAATCTGTCCTAATGCATTTCCCTTGTGGGAACATACAGAGCAATTTAAGGAGATTTTTACAAAAATAATAAATCTTACCTAAGGGAAACGGAAATCTACAATTCTTTTAAAAGTGATTCACACTTCCAGGGAACTGGGCGAGTCAAGGTTAGCAAACTTCATCAGCTGCATGGCCTGCATGGTAGGGGCAACCCAACAGTATATATTTCCAATGTTGATGTAATCTGAGAATTTTTTATTTTTTGTCCTTAAACAATAAGCAAATCAAGTCACGGCTGAATGGAAGTATTTCTCTGGTATTTTAATGTATTACAATTTACGGCAGTATTTACTTCAGTTCTTGGCTTGCTGACACTAAAATTATCTTAAACAGGAATTATAACATAAAATTAGATTAGATATACTTCAACAAGTTTATCTCTAACAATAAATATATACAAATTCTGAAATGAAGTACCCTGCAATTTTCAGCCAGTGCTTAAAGTAATTACACATTCTGTGGTGATAACACATTCCGTTTTTTATTGTGCCACAAGCTGGTGAGATACCTCTACCACGCATGTTAATGCTAATTAGCAGATAAAGTGTAAATCTGAGGAAGCCTCAAATTCTGTTGCTTTGCCAGTTTTCCCTTGATTGGAAATTGCAGGCCAAATTTCCTCTCATTCTGACTTGGCCTATTCAGGCATCGCTTGAGATGTCTTTCTTCGGTGCATTTTAATCCATCAGATCTGTTCGTCGTTGAATGCCTCACTGTTTGTTTTTAATTCAGCAGACTCAAACAGTTTCCTCTATAACTGCCTTTTATAATCAATCTTAGGAGAATTTCGACTCTGCAGAACAATAGGTAGGGATGACATGTTTACTCCACGCTCCCTCATCCCTGTCGAAGAGGTGTTTTTGTTTAGCTGCTAATAAAGTGGCATTTTGAAATATGTTCCTGAACCAAGAGGGAGGGAGGTACGTTCTGTAGCAAGCTTTGTTTCCACTTATGCACCCAGAGCCCTTGAACTAGAGGAGCGCATGTACCCAGAGATTCCAATTAAAATGAGCATTCAGAGGGACGCTAACATTTGGACAGTGGAGGACTGTCCAACCTGTCCTATGGGATCACGAAGACCCAGGGGGATGTCAGTAACCTCCAGGGTTTAATTCTACTCTGCAGTAGACAAATGCAAAGCTTCTGGTACATTCCATAACCTCTTTTCCTCTCTGCCCTGTGGCCCAAATCTACCTTTGAAGTCAGTGGGAGATTGTTTATGAGGAGTTTTTGCTTTGAGTTGTTGTGCTTGATTTAATTTGAATTTACATTCTAGGCCTACAGCAAATATCTTTGGGTTTCATAGATTAAGATGTTCTCATCAAGTCCCTTCCACACTCCTTTCTTTATTTCCATCTGCCTTTCTGACTTCTGACTCTATGTCAATTATGCACCAAAAAATTTCCCTGCCATCCCCACCACGTGTGTGTCATTAGCTCTGTCCATATTTACTAAGTGCATACTGCATTCTTGACTGAGTGTGTGTGAACCACTTTGGCCCCAAAGATGAACAGGCAGTGTCATCAGCAGGGTGTAGAGAAGAATAAAAAATGCCTAGAAGGAAAAGTAGCTCTGGAACATTTGGAAGTCAGTGAAAAAGCACTGTCTCTTCTTCCACATCTTGATAACAGTGAACAGGGGTATCAATGGTGCAATTGCTCAAAAGCTCAACGATGAGGTTAATTACCAATGCACAGTAATAAAGACAATTTTGTTGGGCCATGATGTTTGTATTAGTCAGATCAGGCTGCTATTACAAAATACCATAAAAATTTACCAACCGAAATGTATTTCCTCACAGTTCTGGAGGCTGGGAAGTCCAAGATCAAGGTGTAGGCCAGTTCAGTTCCTGGTGAGGGAGCACTTACTTTCTGGTTTGCAGATGGCCACCTTCTCACTGTGTCCTCACAAGATGGAGAGAGAGCTTGCTCTTTCGTGTCTCTTCTTACAAGGACGCTAAATCTATTGGATCAGGGCTCCACCCCGTGACCTCTTTTAACTTTAATTACCTTCATAAAGGCTCTGTCTCCAAATACAGTCACACTGGGGGTTGGATCTTTGGGAGGAGACAAACATTTAGTCCATAACAATGTTTCTTTAGGCACTAAAGGCACAGAGAAAGTACTGTGGATCGTGACTATAGAAACGGAATTTTTCGCTGGACATGGTGGCTCATGCCTATAATCCCAGCATTTTGAGAGGCTGAGGCAGGTGGATTACCTGAGGTCAGGAGTTTGAGACCAGCCTGGCCAACATGGTGAAACCCATCTCTACTAAAAGTACAAAAAATTAGCCAGGCATAGTGGTGTGTGCCTGTAGTCCCAGCTATTTTGGAGGCTGAGGAAGGAGAATCACTTGAACCCAGGAAGCAGAGGTTACAGTGAGCTGAGATGGTGCCACTGCACTCCAGCCTGGGTGACAGAGCAAGAAGTGTGAGGGCCAGGCGCGGTGGCTCAAACCTGTAATCCCAGCACTTTCAGAGGCCAAGGCCGGCAGATCACGAGGTCAGGAGATCGAGACCATCCTCGCTAACACAGTGAAACCCTGTCTGTACTAAAAATACAAAACATTAGCCAGGCATGGTAGTGGGTGCCTGTAGTCCCATCTACTCAGGAGGCTGAGGCAGTAGAATGGTGTGAACCCGGGAGGCGGAGCTTGTAGTGAGCGGAGATTGCACCACTGCACTCCAGCCTGGGTGACAGAGCGAGACTCTGTCTCAAAAAAAAAAAAAAAAAGAAGACTGAGCCTCTGTCTCAAAACAAAGAGGACTTTTTCTGGACATGTGGTATCATGTTTAATTGTTTAGAGTTATGCTTCCATTTTTATTACATTAAAGATAAGTAACATTAAGTTTTGTTTTTATTAAAGTTGTAGTGTTCATTACAGAAAATGTAGAAAATATAGCTGAGAAAGAAGAAGGACGAAAGTGATCTTTAGAAAATGTAAAAGAGAGGACCTGATAACCTGAAGAAAATCTTTCTCAGATTTTCCTATACAAGCATATATGTGCACATGTGCACACATACTGTATTCTATTTTTCGAATATGGATTCATCTTGTGTTTGTGCTTTAGAAATCTGCTTTTTTCCTTTACCAATATATCTTGAATATTTTTCCATGTCATTAAATGTTCTTTTATAACATGTGTTTCCATTTTTTAAATGAAAAAAAGTAGAGTCTGCTGCAGAATTTCACAGTTAACTTGTTTAAATTTATGTCAAAGACATTTTTAATTGAAAATGTATTAGAATGACACGTCCAGTTCTGGGGAGAAAGTAGAATAGCAGTGAATAAGGAGATGTAACCTAAGGACCTGGAACCACACAGAGGACAAATCACTAAACAAATCAATACTCGAAGTGGGAAAGTATCAGTGCCCCAGTTTCAAGCAAAACTCATTCTGTCTCTTGGAGACATTATTTGCAACAACCCCGAGACTCAATAAAGCGTGTGTTCACTGATATGATATTAAGTTGATTTAATAACCAAAGACCCTGCAACTTTTACTCAGCTGGCATAAAAAGCTGGCCCTGTGGTCTAAAAAATGTGTGAATCTGTTGGATTATGTGGAAACATAGCAATCAGCTGCTGTTTAAATACTTATAGGGATTACTTGCCATCTCTTAAAATCAGTTTTCTAAAAACACCTTGTAAATTTACTTTCTGAACAGCCCTTGCAAGAATGTTAATTTGGTGATGGGCCAGAAAGTGACTGGCAGGAATTTAAATAACAATGAGAGCAGACAGATTAAGGCTAAAGATATCAGTTGGTTTGGAAAGTGTGAATAAAGAAATTAAAATCTAGGAAAAAGGAGAAAACAAAGGTGAAGGAAAAGCTGTGAGCCCCATTAGTGTAACTTAGAAAAGATGACACCAAATGGGATATCCAGTCATGCGTCTGGAGTATTGTATTCATTTGGCAGGGGTCTTAATCCTTCGGGAACCATGACAAATGATGCACTTTGCAGTGGAGAGAAGACATGATGGTGGAGAGTCTGAAAACCATAGTATATGAAGAACATTTGAACAACTATGAGCATTTAGTGGGGAAAAAGGAGGACTACAGACAGCTACATTTATTTGGACTGAGGTCTGATGAGGTACATGCGTATACTTACCCTGGGTTGCAACAGATGGCTCACCTGGGACTATGAAAGGAAAACTTTTCTAACAAAACTTTCTCATGATGATCTGGCACTGGCTGGATGACCATTCTGTGGTGTTTGTGGCACATCTGCATTTGTAGCATGTCACAGTAGATTTCTAACTTTCTTTCCAATTTAGATTTCCAGGGCTTTAGCAAGGAGGAAATCACCTTCATGTGAATTAGAAAAGAGCTCTTTGGTAGAGATGAATGTCAATCCACTGAAAGTTTGTATTCTGCTTTGCATAGTGTGGAGTTGTTGCTGGGAGGAGATGTCCAGTCAGGGACTTTATCTTCTATTTTCTCTCTAGGGGTAGCCATAAGACTCTTCTCACCAACTGAATGAGACCAGATGGAATGCCACTAACTTCTGGGTCAGGGCTTTTAAGATACAGGCTGGGCTTCTTCTATTGTCATTTCCTGTCTGCCAGTGAATGCGGAAACCTTTGAGGTCTAGGGGCTGGTGAGCCACGGGTGGAGGGAACAGGTCCCTTAATCACCATATGGGCAAAACTACCCACCAATCAGAAATAACAGCTTTGGACTGTTACGTAGATAGCTCAGTTCTTAAGGTGTTAAGCTGTTAAAACTTGGTGGTTTATTTGTTATAGCAGCTAACCTAATAGTTTCATGTGGGCTGATGCTGGGTTGTTCCCCTATATTTCTTTTATTTATTTATTTATTTATTTTTTGAGACAGAGTCTTGCTCTGTCCCCCAGACTGGAGTGCAGTGGTGTGATCTTGGCTCACTGCAACCTCTGCCTCCCAGGTTCAAGCGATTCTCCTGCCTCAGCCTCCCGAGTAGCTGGGATTACAGGCGTGAGCCACCACACCCAGCTAATTCTTGTATTTTAGTAGAGACAGATTTCACCATGTTGGTCAGGCTGGTCTTGAGCTCCTGATCTCAAGTGATCTGCCCACCTCAGCCTCCCAAAGTGCTGGGATTGCAGGCATAAGTCACTGCGCCCGGCCCCCTGTAGTTCTTTGAAGAGTTTTCTCTGCAGGAATAAAGAAGGGTGGAGAAAACAATTCAGTGGTTCAAATAAAACAACTGTAGAGAAAGCACAGGGATTGTGACTAGACAACTGGGCATGAAGAATTTCACCTTGCCTAGGACCAGCAGAAGGTACAGAAGGTGCAATTCTCTTTTTCCTCATCAGTTAATATGAGAACTCTGCTGAGTAATTTACATTTCAACTTCACAATAACTCTGCAATAAGCAAAAATCTCCCATGGCAAGGATGAATAAATGGAGATTCAGATGGGTTAAGTAACTTGCCAAAGTCACACAGCAAGTATGAGACTAGACTAGAATTTGAAGGAAATCTGTATAATGGCACCATTAAATTCTAAGCCTGTTACTTGAAGAAAAGAAATCCTTTTCCACCCTGGGGTCATACTCACTTTAGAGGAAGAACTGCATGCAGAGACTTTTGTGTTTCACGATGATATTGGAACTCTATATCACAGTGTATTGCCTAATCTCTTCTGAGGATATAAGATTACTTGCTTTGTTGGTTTTCCTAAAAGTTGGCTCCTATAGAGCCTACCTAAGGTAACAAGAAATGCAGCTTCAATTCAAGCCCTGCAATGAACTCTGGAAGGGAACGCATCTGGATTCCCTTCACTGAGTATAAAGTGTAGCTTTCAGCCAGAAACACTGCCTCTTACTGCTGAGAATCCCACACCGAATCCAGAATTTTCACTCCACCCCATTTTTTACTACTTATGTTAAATCTATAAGAGCAGCTCTCTCTGTGTTGAATTGAAGTGAACTACACAACTCTTTCATGCCCTTTGTATAATTAACCTATGATGTATCTTTGGCTTCAAGAACTTAGATGAAAGGAGGTTTTTCTTGTTTAGCGGGTTGTTTGTGGACTCTCATCTCAGATATATAGATATGCCACTGGGCTGTTTTGTTCCCGGGTTGTACCGGGCAATGGAGGAATTCTTGTGCAGTTACTGCTGAACTGGACTGAATTTTTCTGAGTATCTCTTTAGGTTCTAGGTGAGGCATAAGAACCTACATATTTAGTAAGCCTCTCATGCACATTACATTTTGAAAAATAAATGCTTTAGAGGATTGTAGAAAAAACGGTGGCTGTAAAGTTTGTCTTTCTGCTTAAACATCCAGACAGTATGATGTTTTCTAAGCATCTATCTGATGATTGAGCAAATGCTTCTATTTGCTATGTCTACATCCCTCTCTTAGGAGCTGGAGATAAAACACCCCCTTGAAGCTTCCAGTCTAGTTCAGGAGGCACAATCAACATTTATAGTGCAGTGTAGAAAATTATTGCTATGCTTTGCTCTGTTAGA
The DNA here is from genome assembly GCF_000001405.40 of Homo sapiens. Taxonomy (NCBI): domain Eukaryota; kingdom Metazoa; phylum Chordata; class Mammalia; order Primates; family Hominidae; genus Homo; species Homo sapiens. The sequence continues at coordinate 116,473,002 of NC_000008.11, read as the reverse complement.
TCTGGTAAATTACTCTGCCATAATACACTGACTTCCTAGTTAAATATTCTGTTAAAGTGGAGGTCATTATCTAAGGAATATTTTGTAGGGTTTCTCAATCTTGGCTGCACAATACTATCACTTGGAGAATTAAAAAAATTTGGCACTCAGGCTGCACCCCAGACCCTATTAAATCAGAGTCACTGGGGTTGGGATGCAGGCATGAGTGCTTTCCCCCCGGGTTTTAGTTTCAGTTTCTGTCTTAGCAGAATGTTTCTCTCCTACTCCTTCCCGAGCATCTGTACTTTGGGTCCTGGGAGGGTGTGTGTTTCCTAGAGACATCCATCATCAGTGAGCAGGGTTTTTATTCAGATCTGATAGAAGGCCACGTACTTTGCTTTCCATCTGGGATGCCAGGTCCAACTCTTTAATTAGGCTTTCCCCACGTCCGCTATTGTATCTCATTGTAATTATAACAAGTTGGCATGGCTTATGTTTGAGCAAGGCTTTGAATGATGTGGGCCTGTTCTCTGACATTTAAATTAGAAAAAATAAATTTGCTGAGAGAAGAACTGAGGGGCTACCAGAGAGCCCCCAACCAAATAGTCTATTTTCAGAAACATAATTTCCTATTTGTTTGTATATTGCATTTCAGGAAGTGTTAGGTGCTGGGTTGATGAGAGAGGTGTAAAGCAATTCTACCAGCCACCCACAGGTAAGATGTTAATTACATTGGGTGGGAGCCCAACACCCGTTGAAAACTAGATCCATGAATACTGAGACGGGTGATTTTCCACTGAAAAAATATTTTTCCATTCTGGGGGTTATGCTGCTGACCTGAGACAGCAATTTAATAGTAGGGCCAGTTAGCTTATATTAGATTTCTTTTTAGCCCAGGACTTTCTCAAAGTCCCAGCTAAGCCTAGGGACAGAATCACTGGCTTGGAAATGCAGGACTCTAACGTTCTCCATTGTTTGCGCGTTTCTCCAGATGCCCATCCACTTCGGCCTGGGTGGTCCAAGCTTGTGTTGCAGGCAGCTGCAGAGGTTCCAGCAGGCTCAAAGCCTCTGACGCAACCTTCCTTGTGAAGACTGATTGGCCAAGAGCTGGCAGCCAGCCACGGCTGTTTTTTTTTTTTTCCCCCTCCAGTGTTTGCACTTTTATGTCTAAGCTGCTACCTTTGCTGAACTGAACGGAGGCAAAGTGTTTGAGCTTTATTTTCAAAACTGGGAAGGGTTTGTGAGAAGAAAGCAGTATCCAAGTTTTCATGTGGGTCTCCAGCAGATCATGGCAGTTTTTTGTTGTTGTTGTTGTTGTTTTTTCGGTAAGCATTTATAGATTCAGATATCTCAGAGTTTTGTTATTTCTTTTTTTTTTGACTTTATGCTTCTCAAAGAATCACTGATTAAAGTAATTTAAAGGATAAAACAAGGAGGCAATGTGTGCTGCTCATCTTTTACAGCTTCCTGAATTACTAATAGAAGACTCAAATATCAAAATGCTGCCTAATTGTTTGAGTGCCCACCTTGATTTCAGAGACAAACCCACTTATTACTTCCACGTCTTGTCTTTACATATTTCCTTATCCAGTAAGGATAACTGGGCTTGAACAAGGGAATGGAATAAATTGCTTTTTGTTGACTGTTGTCTAGGTGACAGTCTGAAGTAGCTAATCCTTACAACAGTTCTCTAAGGAGGGCGCCATTAATATCTTGATCTGACACCAGAGGAAGCTCAGAGAGGTGAAGCAACTTGGCCAACGTTACAATACAGGGATGCTAGGAACTGAACCCTGGTCATTGTGACGCCAAAGTCCATGCCTTATGATGGCCATCACTTGCCTCCCTGCCTCAGCTAATGCACAAGGCCAGGGCCTAGAAGACATCTTAAAAATAAGGACTGTTTTGCACAGGCAGCTCTTATCATCTGTGTTATTCACCACTATATTCCCAGAGCCTGGAATAGAGCCTCCTACATAGTAGATGCTTGGTAAATGTCTTCTAAATGACTGAACACTTTTCTTTTCATTGGAACTCTTCCAACAGCATTGTCAAAATATGTAAGCTTTGATCTAAATTATGGTGGTGTATTATTATTATTATATTTAGTGTTGAACTTGGAAGGCTCTTTTACATTTTCTGAATTATGCTTTGAAGGGAATGAGAAACCCCGTTGTTTGGTTCTAACTGGTGTAGTGAGTGTCAGCAACTTAAGCCCTTTCTGCTGCCCCCAAGGAAATCAGCTCCTGAACAAATACCTGTGGAAGAAAAATACAGTTTGTGTCTTATCTGATTCAGAAAGTTTTGTCTTGCTCTTCAGAGGCAAGCTGGTGAAGTTCTGGCACCATCAGATTCAGTGAGGTCTGTTTAAATGTGAAACTTGTTTAAAGAGACAGTGCCTGCACTGGAAATGCCAATAGTCAGTGCATATGATGCCAGGTTTGTCAGAATGTGATGTTTTTCTGTCTTATTTTATGGACATGCAATATAATATATGTCTCAAGGGCTGAAACATCTGTGATAACATTGGATACCTAAACTATATCAAGCTGGGCATAATCATGCACTGGCATATGCGGGCTCATGTCCATGTAGGTTTATTGATGGAAAACGGAAAAGGGGGGAATAGTTTAAATTATCAGTCTTTTCTATGAAGCAAAATAATTGATCTTTTTGTAGAGTATTTTTCTCTGACTGTTTTCATGAAACATAAAAAGTTGTTAAAATACTTTTGCAATTCATTGGGACTGCTTCTTCTAATCTCTTCTTGTAAATGATTCTTTTTTGTAAGAATATTTAAGAGATTATATAGAAAGAATACAATATATAATAATAGTAATAATACCAAACAACAAGTATTTTTTGTTCCAGTCATTGTTACAAAAAGGAACTTTGTCTATAATACCTTAGAGGTGGATACTATTAGTCTACTTATGTGTGAATACCAGGGCTCTGAGAGGTTTAAGACCACACAGCCAGCAAGTAGTAGAAATGAGCTTTAGGTCTGGGTTTATCTGAGAACCAAGTTCATGGCAGGTTCTTAACCACTGAGGACTCTATCTCCTGGTCACGTAGACAAAGCTTTTGGACTACTGTGGTTTCTCTACTACTGTCCTTCCTAAAGTATACATGCAGTAGGTACAAATTGTACTACTTTAAATGTTAATTAATTTGTGAATTTACTAATAAATTACTTGGTCTCTGCATACTGGGGGAGGCCATTTAGGTGAGGGCACCTTATTGTATTTTGGCAGAGAACTACCAGATCCGGGAACTCAAATGTCATTTCGTAAAGGTATGACTACATCTTGGGCCAATGAACCAATGTAGGCCTCGTATTCACAGAAGCAAATGATAGTAACCAGAATCCACATAGAAAGATGTCTTACTTTGTGACCAAAGATATAACTTGAGAATGTTCTATGGAGAACATTTTCTTTTTTGGATGTTTGGTTTCATTTGGAAACAAATTGCAGTATGAGATGTGGAATGACATGGTGAACAAGAATGAGGGGTCGAGGGTAAAATCGCCTAGATTGGAATTTCAGTCCCACTGTTTACTATCTGGACATATTCCTTCAACATCCCTTGCCTCGGTTTCCTCATCCTTAAAATATGAATAAAGTTCACTTTGAAGGTCCAGTGGAAAGATAAAAATAAGATGATCTTGGAGGTTATTTTTGTCTAACAGAGTAAGTGCTCAACAAAAGTTGACAATGATTGTTAAATTTGTTTTCCTTTATTTTTACAGTTACAGAGAGTGTTGGGTGAATATGGTGATTCAAAGTCAATTGGATATTTCTAAGCATTATCTTAGCAGGCTTGGAGAACCCAACATGTGATTTTTCTCCATCGTGGAAAAATGATCAAAGAACTAGAAACCAGGATCTGGCACAGAGTTCCCACTTCTTTAGCTGGAGCTAAAAAATATACCCATGGTGTCTTACTTTGCAGTTTGTACTTTCTGAGAGTCTGGGCTACACTTCTTTTTTTCTTTTTTTGTATCATTAACAGACTGAAATTCGGCGTTCCTTTTCTAATTCTCCACTGTTCACTCTTGCCTCACACTCCTTTTCCCATGCTACAGTGCCCCAGTTTATGTGTATGCTAATTCTAAGTGGTGTTAGGTATTTGTTCTTTTCTGACATTCACCTTGGCACACACCTTACCTCGGGTCTGTAATAATTACAGGCCATGCATTACACAAAGTCTTACTGTGCAATTAGTGAAGCTGCTTTAGTACTGTGTTTCTTGTGTTTTTCATAACCCAGTTTAATACTGTATTAATGGTTATTTACTTGACTACTCCAAGATACTTTCTTTTCTCCCTTCCCAAACTTCCAAATTAGAGTTATTTGATATGGTTTTTTGGGGGCCATAAATACTTTTTCATATATACAATAGAATTTCATTAATTTTTATTCTTCAAGAGTTTAGTAGCAGTGATTCTTTTGCAGTTTCCAGACTTGAAGTAGTATTGAAAAATGTTAATTTTTCTAAAAGTTTTTTCTAATTTAGACCTTTCCTAGTTCATATAGAGCTCCTTTCCTTTTTTCCTTCATTTGAGTTGATGTAACTTATTTTCTATTTTTGTTGATGATAGATAAATAGATATTGAAAGGGAGTACATTATTACTGCATATATTTTATTATTTTATTTCTTGTTATTAGTAATAATGTCTATTTATATAAAATATGTAGTTTGCATATGCTTTTAACTACAGTGTTGTTATTTTCATTTGACAGATTAGGAAATTAAATGACAGATGACTACTAAGTGGCAGAATGGTAATGTCAAGCTCAGTTTTCTAACTGCAGAATATATGTTTCCAATATACTACAATGCTTTTTTGACAGACACACTGTATTTACATGTAGGTAGAAATAGGTGAGTCTCACAGAAGATGTGAAACCAAGATTACCCATGTATCTGAGACTCCCTCTTTAATATAAAAGTAACATGTTTTGGGACTCACATTGCATATGGCATTAAGCAGATATGGTTGTCTTCAAGAGATCTGACTTTGTCTCTCTCGTCTTAAGATAAACACGTCTTAATTTCTTGTCCCTCTTCCTTTGGTTTTCATCTATAAGAAATCAGAGGACTTTTAGTCTGTGACTTTCCGCCATCTTAAACAATTTATGTAAGCTTTCTCAACTTGTTTTTCTCATTAAATGTGATACCGCAATGGGTAACTGTGAAGAGCTGGCACAATATCAAATTCAATGTAGTGTACCATATAAATGTCTTTTAATATTATTATTGCTTTCATATTGTGTTTGACTTATGGGGTTGATTTTTAAGAGTTATGATATTAACAATTCTTATGTTAATCACACAGCAATTCATTGGATCACTCCATGTTCAAACACCACTCCAGAGCTTTAGGTCTTTGGCTTTAAGAGATCCGAGATGCCCTTCAGTGATCTATTCAATTAGTTGACGAATAGATTTATAACTGTAAACCATATTTCAACTCAAATGAAGCAACTAGGCTCAGAGAAGTGGTGAATGATTTGAAGTCAAAGAGCAAGTTAAGTGACAGAGAAAAAAACAGGAACTTAGGTCTTTCGATTCCAAATCACTGGGCAACATCCTTAGAGGAAAGACTGGGCTTGAAAATGGCATAGTACTAGTTGTGTATTCTGGTTCAGAAATACTTGAATTAACGTGCGTATTTTCAGGTATTTCACACCTATTTCCAGTGTGGATACCCACAAGTGTCCCATATGAAAGGTTGCTTGTTTAGAGACTAAAACAACTTTTCATATATCTTAACAGAGACATGGTGGTTTCCTCTGAGCTGCTGTGAATAATTTCTGATTGCTGTCCAGTGGCAGATTCTCCGTTACTCCCTCTTCTCCAGCAAAAGAATTAATTTCTGATATAAAATGCCTCCCTAACTTTAGACACCAACCATCTGAAGAAGGTGAAAGCAGGGTTAATTTTTAGGGTAGAAAAGTGGCTTTACATGAAACTCATAAAATTATCATGAAATAAATATTTGGATTCATTCATCAATGTTCACCCATGCATTGACTCTGTTTACATAGGTGATTGAGAAGCTTGATGCAAATAGCTTTAGGAATCATAGTACAAATCAAATATATGAGATTTAGAAATCTCATGCATGATTAGCGCTCTTCAACGTTTTAGACAAATAAATAGAAAAGAATGCCAATTTGTTTCTGTTTACTCTGAGGCCAAATTGATAAACATTGTGAGAAGAAAGGAGTGGTTCATTTAATAGCATTCAGGAACTTGGTTCTGTTTTATTAAAAGTGCGTACCATCTTTTCCTTGCTGCCGTATTTGTTTGTATTTGGGGCACTCTATTCAGCAATCTTGGAAGCTGGATCTCAGCTACTAGCACAACTACTCCCTTTAATAACAGTGATGAATGTTCATTCATGACAGTAATCATCACTGGCTTTAGAATTCTCATAAGTGCATTTAGTACCATGTGACTTTAAAAGGATTGAAAGCAGGGGCATACAGGGAAAGAGTGAGAGAATTTTAAAATTATTATTATTATTAAAGCCTTCAGTCTTGTAAATAGTTCTACAAAGGGTTAGACTGTGACAGGTGAAATTCCAGTCAACTGAAACGGTGATCTTTTAACTCAGGAACTGTGGGATATATCTTAAAGGATTTTTTTTGTTTCCCTCCACAAATCTTTGCAAAGCCTGTGAGTCTGCATAGGGGAGAAACATCTCCACAGAAAACACATTTGAATGACAGGTTTTTATGGTCTAGACATTCCAGAATTTCATAAGATTTACAAGCCTCCAGTAAAATGTGGTAGATAACCCATAAAACTCCAGTGGCTTGAAATGAAACATTTTCATGAAGTGGAAATCAACCTGCTTTGATTAAAACACAGTTCAAAGGGAAATAAACTAATGTGATGTAACAGATTTAGTTAAAATAGTGCATTTTCAACATCCTCCACCACTCTCTTTCATTTCCTTCTCATCAGAGAAAACAGCAAAGACATCACTAATTATCTTTTACCTGTGAAGATCCTGATACTATTGACCCTTATTATGTATATTAGAAATAAATATAGCTACTTTGAAATAGTATTTTGTTAGGTACACACATGCTAGCACACACATGCAGACACTTTAGACTTTCACTTGGAAGAGAAACACTATATAGACCCCATTTTAATTTGGGGAAGAGATGCAGATGTGTAATTTAAATGTATTTTCAGTGTTGGATCATAAGCATGTTTTCAAACAAGCTGGATCTTTTTTTCCATTGACTTTACTGTGTGCTGTGGTTTTGGAAACAGGTGCAGGTAATAGAGTTAGTATTGGTTCTTCTTGGTCAAAGCCTTATAACATTTTCTTCTAGGGGATGGGTATGTGCTTGGTGGCAGTAATGGTGAGATGTAGATCTTTTTGTCTCTGCCCCTCCTGCTTCAGTTTATTTATTTTTTCTTAGTTTCATTTCAACAGAGATGACTGTAATGGCTAAGAAGCTGAACTGAGAGACATGCCATCAGGAGGTTTAGCGGGTTGAGAAGGAAGCTCGTCAGCTCATTTAGGGTTTTTAATCTCTTGGAATTTGTCCCATACTAATAAAACTTCCAAAAAATTATGGTGCACCAGCAGGCCAATTATTTAGGGAAAAAGAGATAGATTTCTAGTGGATAGATTATTCTTGTACACTAAGCATGCTACTTCTTTCTAGTATCACAGCACCTGTCAAATCAAATTAATCATCCCCAAGTTTGCCTTTGAGCACAGAATCAGAGCACAGAAATATAGACAGTCTATTTTTTTTTTTTTTTTTTTTTTTGAGACAAGGGCTCACGCTGTTGCCCAGGCTAGGATGCAGTGGCATGATCTTGGCTCACTGCAATTTCTGACTCCAAGGTTCAAGTGATTCTTATGTCTCACCCTCCCAAGTAGCTGGGATTACAGGTGTGTGCCACCACACCCAGCTAAGTTTTGTATTTTTAGTAGAGACAGGGTTTTGTCATGTTGCCCGGGCTGGTCTTGAACTCTTGGCCTCAAGTGATCCACCTGTCTTGCCTTCCCAAAGTGCTGGGATTACAGGTGTGAGCCAACACACCCGGCCCCTTTGGTTCACTCTAGTGTGTGCTAGAATCACCCAGAAGTCTTATAAAAGACAGATTGCTGAGCCCCATTCCCAGGGTCTCTGCTCAAGGAATGGAGCCCAAGAATTTGCATTTCTAACAAGTCTTCAGGTCATGCTAATGCTGCTGGTCTGGAAGCCTGCTGAAAAGACTACTGTTCTATAATAGTAATGTGTTGCTCTATTAGTATTACAGCCCCATGAATTATTTCTACTTTGTTGTGGAGTATAATTTCCTTGTAACTAGGATACTTCTGTCCACCAAATGCATTTTTTTCTACTTCAGACAATACTGGATAAGCAAAGCAAACTCTTATTAACCAATACTTTTCCTACATCAGCCACCAAAGATAATATTATTGAAGCATGTTATTTGGTAAGTATATACAGCATAGTTGAGATGCCCATAACTTTCTTTAACAATTATTACACATCAATTACTTTTCTGAGCATATTCTTTAGGAGCTTTGCTTTCACTGGTAACTGGATTGCCTAGCTAGAGTTTTGGGAGTCTGCATTTTCTCATAAGAAAACAGCTTACGAACCATCTTCTTAAGATGGAGCTATTTCTCTAGAGAGGCAATCGCTTCTATCACAGATTAGTTTCACCTGTTTCAATTTCGGAGGGTGGCATTTTTCCTAGCCTTGTCTTCCGAAATGAGTGGGGTGCACAGTTCGAGTTTCCCATGTGCGTTTATGATGAGCAACGGGATCTCACATTTATTAAGAGCTTACAATGTGTCAGGGGTTACTCTCGGCACTTTATATGTATTAACTCATTTAATCTTCGCTCAACCATATGAGGAATATACTTTTATTATCACTACATTAAAGATGAAGAAGTGAAGCCAAAGAGAGGTGAAATAGCTTGCCTTCGTTCACACTGATAATATGTGGGCAAGCTAAGATTTGAACTGCAAGATTAAATATTTTCTTGTCTATTTGTTGCTTTTGCTCCTCCCAATATGGGTGGTGAGGAGGGGAGCTTATCCCTGACTCATATTTCCATAGAAGCGAGCGGAAGTTTCATCACTGCTCTTCAAGTTAGTCCAGCACAGAGCAACCAGGACAGGAGGCAGAGAGCAGCTGGAATTGAGCTATGCTTGTGTCACTAAGCTGTGCCCACACTGGGGTAGGCTCCACCATCACGGGTGTTTTTCTCCAACTTCACACAAAGGCTCTGTGTGTAGTCAGAAGGAAACTCTTGCTCTGCTCCCCAGGAAGGGAGAAGTGTAGGAAAAACACGTTGGGGTTCTTTCTGACCTCTCCTTCTCTGTGAAAACCAGGGTATCCTTGCTGGTGTCCAGCTGTTCCTATGATTTGGGTGGGGGCATGAAGTTAAGTTCAGGGTGCATATGGGTGGTAGAATTAGAAAGCCTGATTGTAACCTCAATCTAAGCCAAGTGTCTTAGGTTAGGCTCTCTAGAAGAAGATCCCAAGGCGAGGGTTTACATGCATGTGGTTTATTGAGAGTGCTCAGCAGAAAAACCCACAGTGGAGGGAGGTGAGCAGAATAGGAAAGGGAGAAGAGCTGAGCAAACAAGGATGTGGCCTCAGTTTAAGTGCACCTGATCCATAGCAGAAGGCGCCAGCACATAGAGACCAGGGCACAGTCTCTTGTTTTTGAAACAAGAGGGCTGATGGGCTGTGGGGGATGGGGCAGGGAGTGGATGGTGGGCTTTTAACTTCTCAGATGAAGTAGCCCCATCAGCTGAGGACAACTCTTCAGATAAGGGAGTCATCTACGAGATGTTACGCAGTCAATACTCATGGTAGCTGGAGTGGGTGCACTGGTACCCACCTTCGGCTAAAGGAGATCTAGTGTGGTACCAAGCTTTGTTTTCGAATTTAGCTTTAATGGAAATACACCTTATATGTTCATCTTCTGTTTGACTCATATATCTATTTTTCATTTGGGGAAAAAGAGATTTGATTATTACTCTAAAACCCCAAAAGTAGAGAACTAAGCTTTACTCTGCATGGATACCAGCTTGTGCATTATTTATAGGATAATCACACATTTACTTAAGCTTTTCATCACAGCAATGTATAACTGAGTTTGTCTAGAAGAAGGAAATTGAAATAATAATTTGTTTGCTTTGTTTTTTTTTCTTTCTAATAAATGAAGGGTATAACTCCTAGTTTATTGTAAAGAAAAGAAAACGAGAGAAGTCAAAGCAAACCTGTAAATGATACTTCTGGTTAATACTGAGATTGCTCCAGCCATGAAGGCTTTGTAACATATGGAAAATATCCAGGCTTTGGAGAAAGACAAGGAAAAGTTCAAATTGAGATTCTGCCCTCAGTAAGCTGCTTGAGCTTAGGTAGTTAACCTCTGTGAGATCCATTCTCACTCAAAAAAGATGTTGCATCTAAAGCTTTTGTTACAGTGCCTGGCCCATAGTGGAGGCATGAAACATAGAAATTTCTTGACTGGGACTATTCATTCAATAAAAATGTATTTCCTGTACTACTAGAATATATCCCGAGCAATGTACTGGGCACTGGGCCTATCAGCATGAATGTGACACAGTCCTTACTCCTGAAAACTTTTAGTCTAGTGAGGGAGACACATGAGTAAATCATTACAGTGTTGAGGCCGGGCACGGTGGCTCACGCCTGTAATCCCAACACTTCGGGAGGCTGAGGCGGGTGGATCACGAGACCATCTTGGCTAACATGGTGAAACCCCGTCTCTACTAAAAAATATAAAAAATTAGCCAGGTGTGGTGGCGGGCGCCTGTAGTCCCAGGTGCTCGGGAGGCTGAGGCAGGAGAATGTTGTGAACCGAGGAGGCGGAGTTTGCAGTGAGCCCAGATCATGCCACAGCACTCCAGCCTGGGCGACAGAGCGAGACTCCATCTAAAAAAAAAAAAAAAAAAAAAATTACAGTGTTGAGTGGGACCAAACAGGTGACAGGTGTAGCTTTGGGAGACTGATGAGGAAGTAATTTTGTGCAAAGACTGAAAAGTCTTTGAAAAGGAGAAAAAAATTGAGTTAGATTTCAGAAGAGGGAAACAAGTTTGCTAAAAGATAAAGGAGGCCCAGGTAGAGGAAAATGTATAAGGCATGGATATATGGAAAGGCATGTGGTGTGAAACACTATGTTAAGGGTCACCAGCAAATACATGCTCAATATGAGTTGTCTCAAAACTCTGTTTTTGGCCAACCTGATGTTCATATCTCTTGCTATAAATCAATACTTACTTTTCATTTTGGTCCTATAAACTTTTGAACTGAAAGACTACATATGACACTTCAGTCTCATTCCAAACATGATTTCTGTATGCACCCAGTTTTCAGGAACTGCCTCTGGCCAAGCATTAGGGTGACACAGCAGCTCAAAAACACGTGGGTGTCCCGTCAACCAACTTTACTGTATGACAGGTAATGGTTACCATTTATTGGCAGTTTGTCATGTGCCTTGTGCTAAATGCTGGATATGCATCATGTTATTCTCACAAGCTTGTGAAGTAGGTTGTTTCAAAGGAGGAAGTACATTTCAGAAAGGTCAAAGAACTTGCCCGAAGTCATATAGCTTCTAAGAGGCAGATCCAGTATATAAACCTACTTTTACCAGCATTTTAAATCATTGTGGTGCATAATCATACTTTGCATATTCCTATAATCCCACTCTGCCATAAGCCTTCTCTGAAGATCCTGAGAAAAAAAAACAGTTTTCCCAGCTTATTTTCTACTTTCAGAAGGCAACTGCACTGCCAGTAGAAGTTTCTGCAAGAAGAATACAATTTACTTTTGCCAAGACAAAAAAGGATTAACCTAATGTGGTGCCACTCTGCTTGCCAATAAGTTACAGTATCTTAGGTTGGAAGATTGTGGAAGTCATCTTGTTTAGCTTTTTCTTCCCAGAATGGCCTCCCCAAGCAGAAGTTATCCAGCTTTTGTGTGGAAACTTCCACTGATCTTTCAATGGCTCACTTTGGCATGGTTCCAGTTGTTACAGAACTCTTTATTGATTTTCATTTTGTAACATCATTTTAAAGATTCTAGGTCTATCTTCTATACAAGTGCAAGCCTTGGCATCACAAAGATCTGAGGTTACATCTTTCTAACATGGAATATTGTTTATCCTCACTCAGCTCCCACCTGCTCATTATTAAAACGAAAAGAGAATCTCTAGTACTGTCAGGTCAAGGTAAGGATTAAAGGAGAAACTCACGTCTTTAGTACAAATCTCCAAGGGAATCTGAGTAGTCTGTTTAATTGCTAGGTAAGAGTAGAACTTTTGAATTAGGTGACCCCATAGGCTGTTGGGCAGGAAGTAGTTTATCTGCCCCTGTGTCAGGTGTTTTATTGTGCCTAGGGCCCACCTGGCATGATAGAATGTCCTATTTCAAAAGTTCGCCATGGTTGTACCATATCCGGGATGACATGCATGGCAATTTCCTTCAGGAGAGGGCCACAGGCAAGGTGTTAACTTAGAGAGTAGAAAAGTCCTGCATGGTATCTACACCTAGTTTCACATACAAGTGCTCAGTAAATGTTAGTTCATTTCATTGTTTTCTTATTCCACTTGAAAACCTTTCAAATTCTCAGAGATATTTCTTACTTGGTTCAATGCTGGAAATACCATCCAAGGCTTAGTGTGTTTGTCTGTTTCCTATTTCTGCTGCAACTCCCTCCCCCCACCGTCCCATGCAGTAATTTCATCTTCCTACTTTTTAGTCTTATCCTATCGTCCTTGGATAATGGTGGATCCCAAAGGGGGCAAGTCTTCAAAGTTTAACAGTCAACACAATTGAGTCTAATGTACCACTACACTGAAATTTTCATTCTATAATGAGGGAAATAGAATTCTATCACAAGTTATTTCTGCTCCCCACAATTTCTAATAGCCTTCATTAGATGGTGAAGAGTTGAAAGTGTTGAATCTAATAAAATTCGCATTGAAGGTGTTTGGAGGATCGGACCATGCATGTAATAATTGACTGACTCCTACGGTTCTTGTCGATTGATTGATCCTGCTACATTTCCTGAGATCTCGTGCCCTAGAGCAGCTCAGCTTCTAGTCCAGTTGTCCTCAAAGTTTAATGTGTATGAAAATATCCTGGGAAACATTTTTCAGATTTCTAAACTCATCTCCAAGGATTGTGATTCATATGAAGCCTCAAAATTGACTTTTAAAAATAATTCCCGGGTAAAATCATCATCAACTCCATGAACATAAAGTTGTTGTGGATTTGACAGTGACTATCTTCTTGGATTCAGACTCTGAGCTTTTGTTTCTTCCTGTGAGAAAATATTTGCCTTTTACCCCAATGTTGGCCCTTGTCTTGTAATCACCCCTTTGCCATGCCTCTCAGGAACTGGGGACATGCTGCTGAATCCAAGTCCATCATGGCTGGGGTCTGTGTTCTCTATATTAACTGAAGATAAGGATTTCAGAACCCAGAATAAGGTAAGGGACAGGTAATTGATTAGATGAAGATGACAAAGGAAGAATGATTCTATGACATATCTCTGGTATGATAAGGTTGAATCAGAAACAATAGTTGAACCATAGACACCGTTCTGAAGTTGTCATCCTTGGACTTTTCTTCATGACCCAAATTGCCCTTTGAGTTCCTAGCTCATTTTATTCTTCTTTTTGGTTTTCTGGCTCTGGTTTTTGAGTGTGTAAATTCCTATTTCGGACGCTCTTATCTGACCCTGCACCACTTCTAGACTATGACTTAAGTCTAATATTCTGTCGTATATTCCTGCTGAAAACTTACATAATGATAATAATGATGGTGATAATTATGATGATAATAAACATCTACAGAATATATATTTAAGTTTTACATTTATATCATTTAATAAGAATAGTTGGTCTCTTGTTCTTTTCCCCAGTTTTAGGCAAAGAAACTGAAGAACAGATAGGTTAGATTATACAGTTGTTAAGTGGCAGGGCCTGAAGAAAGATGCAGGTAGTTTGGCTTCTGAAGCTGTGCTCTTATCAAGTGTATTATATTGCTTTATTACATCTCTACCAAGCCCTTCATTGCTCACCGAATGACAAAGAAGTCTGTAAAAAAGCCTCCTTTTCCTTTCGTGCTTGTGATAACATATGGCATTGGGGAGCTAGAGTTCCCAATAATTCTTCTTTGGAATTCCTTAGGCAGCATTTAATTTCAACATTCTTTCCCCCAAAAGAGCATTTTTAAAAGCATGACATTTCCTGTTATCTCCCCTAAATAATGAGATCACCCAGATGATTCTGGGGGACTAGTTGCATTTTATCAGTGGCGCCTTTGTTGCACAATTTACATTTTTGCTCTTGAAGATACAATAAAAGATTTATGTCTGACGGGCTGTGATGTGGTTTGCATCTAAGAGAAAAACAATTCCTTCCAAAAAAATACCATATCCCCAAATGATTTCATAATTGCAAACAGTGTTGACGAGCTCTTTGGCTTAAATAAGTTTATAACATATTTGCTGTGTTTTTGTGTAGATATGTTTTGATGCTAAGGAAAAATAATGAAAACCCCTCTGCCATTTCTAATTGAGAAGAAAGAAATGTAATCCATTAGTTGATGTCTCCCATCATAAGATTATTTTTTCTCCCTCATTTCATTCCAGATTTGTTTGAAAAATTAACTTGTGTTAAATAGTTTCAGGTCTGAAAGTCAGCCATGTTTCTCATTATTGGAGATCAAAATGGCCTCATTCCCTTTGTGTGTTGGTGCCACTAAAACACAAGGGAATCTTAAAAGTACAAACTTCTGATAGAAGCACCACATTTCCCTAGTCAATCTGCCCAGCAGAGCTTACATTTTTTTTCCTGCATTTACTGCTGGAACAATGCTTTATACTGACAAGTTTCAGGGTTTTAGTGTCATGCTCAGACTGGGAAAGACTTTTAGTGAAGACATGCTGGCCCCAAGGCTCTAGTCACCCTTGAACTTGTAAATGTGTCATTATGAACCTTGCTCTCTAATGCTCCTTCAATCAACTATTGTCTTTGATCTTTAAGCAGAATGTGAGCATCCACCTGGTGACATAAAGACTCATGACCTACATTAATCTAGGGGTCTCTGCATTTAAACAAACCTGGCTTTCATCCACTGATTGTTATATGACCTGTTTCAAATTTGAAAACTTTCTTCATCTACAAAATGGGACTATTGGTAATAGATGACGTATGTTAAAGAATTGCTGGGCAAAGGAGGACATGTTAAGTGCCCAGTTAGTGCTATTGCATGATACCTTATTACATTGAAAGGGAGGAGATTGATTTCAAAGCCTTCTGAAGATTCTTTCCAGCTCCAGCATTTCATTGTGACACTGCTAGAATTGGTTACCTGGTTGATTCAGTCTAAATGATTAGATGCTAAGGGAAAATTTGAGGGTCATAGAGGCATAGGGCAAGAAATAGCAGCCATCTTCCCTGCTTAAGAGCTGAACCAATTAAGAGAGAAAATCAAGCAGTAAAAGAAGTGGAGATCAAGATATCACTTTTATGATTGATGGAACCAAGAATGAAGACTAAGGCATGTGTCTGTGGCTTCCTCTTGGACAACTCCACAAGGAGCCAGGTTTATCCTTTCAACTGGCCTCGGCACTGGCTTCACACAAGAAGACCAGAGAACATGTGTTCCCTCCTAAGAGCTTGCTCCCTAGAGGAGGTGACAGAGGTCTTCATTCTCATTCCAAACTCACCAGTCAGTGCGGAGGGAGTGAGAGGATGGAGAGGAGCCAAGAGCACTGTGCCAATGATTGTCCTCCACCTGGAAGGGAATATGAGAGATGGGAATGACAGGGTCATCTGCTTCAGTGTCTATTGAGTTCAAGAAATAAATGACCTAGATTTCACTTTGTGAAGATAGAGTTTGTGGGAGATAGGCTCAGACTTAGGTATTTCACCTTCCTTGTAGGTTAAATTGATTCATATCAATGAACTCAGCCTTTTTCTCTAAATCCATAGAGTCCTGGTGGGATAATATCCCACACACAAAGGTGAGAATTAAGTAAATAATCTTCTCTTGACCATCCTCTCTTCCATCTTCCTCTAGCTCCTTTCAACTTATGACCGCAACAATGAATCTTAAATAAACTGCTTCAAAGTCGTCATAATGAAGTAACTGATAGGATAGTACTGGCAGCCACATTGATGATAATGAACCTGAGGATGAAGGTTTGATTTCTAATACGCTTTAGTTTTGAAGTGAGATAAATTGTTTTGTTAGAAGACTTGGCACCTCTGCTCTTGTCCAGCTGTTTAACAAATGTGAGTCCTTGGTCACCAATGAAGCCAGTCTAGAGGGTGTAGATAGCTGAGTGTGAGCCATAATTACTACTGTGAAAACAACTCGAAGCACATGTCCTACTGATGGGTGTGAGATGGCATGCAGTACACGCACAATGCAGACTTTTGGAGGTATGTTTTCAAGTTGTGCTTTGCAGGAGGTCTTAGCCACACACACTTTCAGGGTCTTAGAATCCTAGCTTTATGCATGAGTAGAGGGATCCCCTGTGTATTATTAGTAATTCCTTTTATTTATTGTGCCATCACTTGGAGGGTGTTCTCAAGATCCGAAGCCTTTGCCTCTGTGCTGGGGCCCTTTTCTGTTTTTGTTTTTTTTTTGACGGAGTCTTGCTCTGTCGCCAGGCTGGAGTGCAGTGGGGCGATCTTGGCTCACTGCAAGCTCCGCCTCCTGGGTTCAAGCCATTCTCCTGCCTCAGCCTCCCAAGTAGCTGGGACTACAGGTGCCTGCCACCACACCTGGCTAATTTTTTGTACTTTTAGTAGAGACGGGGTTTCACCTTGTTAGCCAGGATGGTCTCGATCTCCTGACCTTGTGATCCACCTGCCTCAGCCTCCCAAAGTGCTGGGATTATAGGCTTGAGCCATAGCGCCCAGCTCCTTCTTTTACTACTTTTATCATAGTGCATCTGTGTCATATTATTTTTAAAAATTTTTCACTAGGCTGTGAACTCTGGAGGATTGGTGCTGAGACTATCGTGTTCACAGCTATATCAGTAGCACTAAGTACAGTGTCTGACCCATGGGAGGGGATTAGTGGGGATGTTGTTGAATTAAATTAAATGTCAGTTTGCTTCCCAAGGTAGGGCACACAGGCACTCTGGGTTGAGGCTCTGGTTTCGTTAAGAGGGCACCTCTTTAGTCTGGTGACCTTGATTTACTTCTAGCAACAACCTGCAGACTCATACAGTTTTCAAGGGCCTCCAAGATTCCTGAGAAATGAATCACATTAACCTTCTTGTTTGGGATATCTTCATCAACAATACACAGAGATATGTAGGCTGCAGAATTCTCAACACCCCAATGTAAAGAGTCACATTACATCTACCTGTGAACTCTCTGCTGTGTCAGTCTATGTGACTGTCTCCTTGTCCTTCAAGGAGAACCAAGACTGGGATTCAGGCACAAAATTAAAGGTGTGCCAAAAAACTCCATAAGCAAGATAAATAATACTTTAATGTAATATTCAAAATTAATGCAAACATTTTACAACTCACAAAATATGAACTTTTAAATAACGACCGTTTTGGTATTCTTAATTTTCCTTTGCCGCAACGGCACTTCTTTATTGCCTCCCCTGCCTGGTCCTAGAGAAGACAGAACCAATGAGAAATTACCTTGGCCATAACTTTCCTGAATTTTACTCCTTTATTTTATTTTAAAAAGTTTCCATATCGGCTGGGGTGGGTGGTAGTATGGAGTTTCAGTAATACTGAAAGGTAAATGCAAAAACATAATCATAAAAATTGGATGAGGTAGTCAAACCTGAAGTGCCTACATTAGAAAAGATTTAGCAGGGAAAATGTTGCATATTTAATAACTAGATAACGCAAGACTGAAATAAGTAAAATTTAATAACATTCAGAAATACAGCTGCAATATTTCTTTCTCAGATGAATGTGTATGGCTTCATTTTTATTTGCTTTGTCCTTCATTGGAATTGATTTTTAAAAGGGCTTCTTAAATTGTTCTAGATTTCCTTTAAGCAGCACAAAATGCTGTTATATGCAAAGTTGCTTTAAATGGGAGCAAATGTGTATGAAATCAGCAACTGCTCCAAAGGCGCCATTCTTTCCTACTGGAGGAGCTTTCTTCATTTACATAGGAGCGCATGAAGCCAGAAAAAGGGGAAAATACAAACATGAAATCTTCAAGAGGTTTTTGGAATTGCAGCAGAAAAACACAACGCTTAAGCGTAGATGTCAAGTGCTTTTTGAGTTTCTTGCAGGGCGGCAGCTACAGGGGGAGCGTTACCTCCTGGGGAACGTCCAGTTGCTCTGGATGGAAAATAAAGTGCTGCCGTTTTGCAGGCTTTTGGATGGGAGAAAGGAGGGAAAGGATTGTGTAATTGCAGAAAAGCATCCTGAAACTTTTTCAGTTTCATTTGTTTCCAAACAGGAAAACAAAGTGCTGAAGAAGCGTTAAAGAGAAGGGGAAGCCTCAGGCTTTTTTTTTTTTTTTTCCGATTGAGGCACAGCTGTGGCAATATCACAATATTTCCCTGGTGTTTTCTTTGGATCTCCTTACCTGGTGCCAACCGTACACAACGAAAGTAGAAGAGAGTTGCTTGGTTGGAACAAAATCCCAGTCAAAATGCTGAGTTTTCTCCTGGCCCATTTCTGTAGCACCGGGTGCGTCTGATTTCCTTATATTTGCAAGTGATCCCCCTCTTTCTTAGACCTCCCCACCTCCACATTTTGGAGGTACAGGCTGCAGGCAAGCTTGGTCTGTAGAGTCTGAAATGGGGTGGAAGTGGACCCACTACCAGAGACCAAATTTCTGTTTTTTGCTTCCCCAGCTACGGAATTGCAGGTATGAGGAAGTAACCATTTAAATTTTTTTTTTTTTTTCTGGAGGAGTCATCTCATGGCTGGTTGCACATTAAAAACACCTAGGGAGCTTTAAAAAACACTGATCCAAGGTCTCACTTCAGTCCTATTAAATTAAATATCCTAAGGGTGGGAACCGTGTATCCACAAGTTTTTAGAGCTCCCCAGGTGATTATAATTTGAAGCCAGGGTTGAGAAGTCCAGACCCAGAGCTCAGGCCCCCTAACAACCCTTTTCTCTCCTTAGGGTCGACTCTCCACCCAAACAGCTCGATGATCTCCATCCGAAGCTAAGTCTGCCTTTCAGTTTAATTCAGTTCAGTTACATACAATTCAATTTAATAAATATTTATTCAACTGCCTCTCCACCCTTAATTTCTGATTGTGTGTCCCATGAGAGTGGTGAGATCCTATTTTCAAAATAAGAGGGCAGAGATACTTCAATTTATCTCATTTTTTAGAAGGATATTTAAAAAAAAAATTACCGTCTTAAACACAGATTGCAAGTTTCTAAAAATTGTGCATTGGATTCAGATATCATTCTTTTTCTGACGCTCAAAGCTCTAAACAGATAGTTGTTTGTATATGTGTAAGACATCCATCTTTTGATTTGTTCAATTGTTCAGTGCATGTTAATAAATATCACTGAGCTAAGATAACTAAGAGAGAGTACTTGGCTTTTGAAGACTGCCCAGAAAAGTAGGAGACATGATATGTGAGCAAGAGATTAAAGTACTGTGAACTGCTGAAGCTAAAAGAGACATGCATAAAAAGAATGTTTCTGATTTATTCAGAGGAAGCAATTGTGCAGGGCACAGCATACAGGCTTACAGAGGGCCTATGGAAGAGTTCTCCATGGAGTATTTCAGGCAACAGGAGGAGCACATGCAGTTTTCAAAGGTGAGAGTTAAATGTTTTGGTGAAGGCTCACAGGAAACACAGGAAGAGACAGGGAAGAAGTTTGAGGGCTCCCAACTCTCTTTAGACCATTATCTGTTGAGCCAGGGTTTCTAAATCATTTTTGCCTCATGGCTGAGTTTCAAATTCATGAATTTGCAGCTACCTTCGGGCTTGCAGGGAATGAGAGTGCACGCTCAGTGGGGAAGGAATATAGCTGGCCTGCTTTTGGAAACTGATAGAGAAACCTTTGAGGAGGACTGGATTGACCTGGATTTCATACATGAGCTGTGGAATCTTGAGCAAGTTACTCAACTTTCCCTTCCTCAACTGTACAATGAAGATACTTCTGCTCACCTCAAAGTGATTTTTGTTTCGTTTTGTTTTTTAGATGAAGATTCAATGTATTAGGTATTGTGTAAAATGCATAACAAACTACCTGAACATAGGAAGTATCCATAAAATGGAGATCTGCAGCTGAGGTACTGAGTTTTCTGTCTGCAGTTTTCTTTACATTTTATTTGTGTTTATTTGTGTTTCCCTCCATACCTGGCCTTCCCAGGGACCTACCCAAAGACCAGCACACTGGCTGTGGTGAAAAGTGCATGATTTTGAATACACAAGCAAATCACCATCAAGGAACAACACACTTCTAGAAAGTTCTCTGACAGACTCATGACATGTCTTTTATCTTTTTTTTTTAATTTAACAGAATTTAAATTAAATTAAATTTAACAGAATTAAATTAAATTAAATTTAACAGAATTTAATTAAATTAAATTTAACAGAATTTAATTAAATTAAATTTAACAGAATTTAATTGAGCAAAGAATGATTGGCGAGTCAGGCAGCCCCTGAACCAGAATAGGTTTGGAGAGGCTCCCTGTGCTACCGTACGGTCCAAGAAGATTGATGGACAGAAAAAAGAAAGTGACATACAGAAAATACTTTGGTTACAGGCTTGGTGTTTTCCTTATTTGAACCTGGTTTGAACAGCTGGCCACCTTTGATTGGCCAAAACTCAGTGACTGGCACAACAGGAGGTTACAGTCTGTTTACACATCCAGTTAGGTAACAGTTCAATATGTGTGGAGAAACTTTAGACTGAACTTGAAATATGTAAGAAGGCAGCTTTAAGCTAAAGTTCATCTAACAACCTACAGGTCCTTCTGTAGTTTACTGTGTCTTTACCTTCAAAATTAAAATCAGTGCCCAAATTTCCAGACTTAGTCTTTCTACAGCATCTCATCTGACTTCTCTATGGTTTGCTCATCATTTTTTGATATGGTTTGGCTGCATCCCCACCCAAATCTCATCTCATTGTAGCTCCCATAATTCCCACGTGTTGTGGGAGAGACCCGGTGGGAAATAATTAATCATGGGAGTGGTTTCCTCCATACTATTCTTGTGGTAGTGAATAAGTCTCACAAGATCTGATGGTTTCATAAGGGGTTTCCCCTTTCCCTTAGCTCTCTCATTCTCTCTTGCCTGCCGCCATGTAACATGTGCCTTTTGCCTTCTGCCATGATTGTGAGGCCTCCCCAGACATGTGGAACTGTAAGTCCATTAAACCTCTCTTTTCTTTATAAATTACCCAGTCTCGGATATGTCTTTATTAGCAGCATGAGAAAGGACTAATACATTCCTTTACTTTTTAAGATGTGGTAAAGACAGCGACGTTTGAGAAGGACCTTGAAGTATGCATGGAATTTCCTTAAGGCAGAGAATAGGCATTCCAGGTGGTGAGATTAATATAAATAATGGCATAGAAATATACTTAGAAGCAAAAAATAGTAGAATAGTTGTTTTTTGGGACACAGGTCTGTGTACAGGAAAAATAGAGAAACCTTAAAATTTAGACACAGGCTACAGTTTCTAACTTGAGAATGAAAACACACACAATTAGTACATCCTATACAATAAGTGACATCTCTTAGCAAACCTGGTTTTAGATTTCTTTTAAAATAATTCAATCTTGTCTTTCGTTCTATTATTTTTATTTCTCTTTGTGTTTATTTATTTATTCTCTTGTGTGTTATTAAAGACATTTGTGGTAAGGTCTCAATCTTGGCTTGCTGAGAGTTCATCTGCTTCTGATGATTATCTTTATCCACCTAAAGTCACAATCTGTTCTTGGGAGAACATACTTATTTGCACAATAACCAATTGTGATGTGAAAAAGGGAGGATTATAACATTAGTTGGGGCATGAGTGGCTGGCACAGAAGGAGTCCAACAAGGCATGGATCCTGTTTCTGTACATGTGTCCTTAATAATAATGAAGTTGTAGAGGGTAGAGTATGCTAGAAGGGAGCACTATGTTAGAAGGGAGCAGAGTTGTTTCTGAATAGCTCATTTTCTGAGGGAGTACATATGATGTCAGCAATTAATTCAGGCCCTAAATTCTGTTTTCCTATAAAAAAATCCTGTTTTAGTTGTGGTATCTTTGACGCATCTGCTGGCATAAGCAGGATATATGCCACAAATAAAAATTCAAAAATATCTCTTTCTTATAGAACTTGGAAACAGAAATTCTGAGATGGGAAGAAACCTACATATTATCCAGAAGGATCCCCAGGCCCTTTCTGATATGGAGAGCAGTGAAGTCCATGCTAAATCCAGGCACCTCTTGAGTGCAGGTCCTGGAGGAGCTTCCAAAGGGAAGACAACTCTGAAAGGAATCAGGTCAGGATTTATAACTGGGTAATTTCAAGCCTATGTTAAGAGATCTTTCAGTGGCAAGGCCATTTCTGGAAGAAATGTTAGACAATGCCAAAAGCTGAGTAAGAGTGAAAAACACATTCCCAACCCCAATAATGAGAGTGAAAACTTTAGTAGTAGGATACTGCTAACAGAGTGTAGAAGGTGGACTACCAGGCATCACAAATTGCATTCACAAATCTTCATATTCTCTGATAAACTTTCCCAGTTTCACAATTGGGAAATTATTTTGGCAACTTTACCTAACAGAAGGACAAATGGATTCTAATTAGAACTTAGAGATCTCTTTAAAAAATGAGATAGATTTCGAATGACAGATTATTTGAGCTCAGAGAGACTTGATTGCTTTTTGAGGCAAACGTCTTCATTTATTGAGGAAATTGATGTCCAGCGATCAATTGATGCCCAGCCTCTGGAAAAATTTTGGTCTTGAGAGGACTTTATCCATGTTATTTTAATGCCCAGCACTCTCTTCATACATAATCCCAAGAGTGTCCTAAAACTTGCTGGGCCAGTCCCAAGGTAGGTGTAAGGAGGAATGGGTATGTTATATGACTGCTGTGGAAAATCTGACATGTCACTATAAACTACAGAGAGGAGCAAGTAGCCAAAAATCACAAAGAGAGTCCAAATAGTGGTGTGGCCAATTCAGTCTAGTTTTCTGGTCAGCTTCAAGATTTGGGGGAACCAAAATAGGGACTTGTTTGGAAATATAGGATGAAGAATCTCCTCAAAATCAGAGCAAGGATACTCTTCCAAGTCGATGCAGTAGGAATGAGGGGAAGGGGCCCAGATACCCAGGAAATGAGGCTGCCACAAAGAAAAGTTAGGGAAGCAGGTCCCGGGCCAACCAGCTGCTACGAAAGGCAGGTGGTGATTGTGGTGACTGGTGGTGATGGCAGGAGAACTTTTGAGAAAACGTAAATACCTGAGAAGTTCAGGAAGAAGGGGGCAGAGCCATTTGGGAGTGGGAAGATTATCTGAGGTTATCAGAAGCTTCCTCTGATAATGCTGACAAAGCACTGAAAGCCGCAGCCCTCGGCTCATGCTCCCCGCTGAGACGTGAACTTGAATATGAACTCCCTGGTGGTACATAAGATATGAACTTGCTGATGGGAGATGAACCCAGTGA
Organism: Homo sapiens; assembly: GCF_000001405.40. Taxonomy (NCBI): domain Eukaryota; kingdom Metazoa; phylum Chordata; class Mammalia; order Primates; family Hominidae; genus Homo; species Homo sapiens. The sequence goes on along the minus strand of NC_000008.11, from coordinate 116,449,351 downwards.
TTTCATACTGATTCCAGGGGAGGAAAAAAATCAGAAATCAGATCACTACATCTCAGAATTTATTTTATAGAGTAACCTAAACAATGTTCATAAATGACTTCTGTTCAGTGGAGGAACACACAATGAGGAAGATCTTTTTTCTCTCTGTTAAATAATGGCACTTTAAAAATTTGCCTCTTGATCTCCATCCTAATAACAGACAGGAAAAAATTATCTTCAGGCATCTGCCTATCAAAAAATTTATCAGAGAATATGATGATTGACAGAGCCTCAGCAGAAAATATTAGAAACAAAGAACCAGAGTTCTGGAACCTTGGGTTAGGAATTCTAACCTCTACACAATAGAAGAGAGACTGAGAATTCTAACAGTTAGCTTTATTGGCAACAAAGGGAGGCAGTAGCGTATGAAGTGCGACGAGCAAGGAATATAGATAAAAATGAGGGGTAGAAGGTGGTCAATAGGCAGCAGGCACCAAGGAGGTAAAGTGGGACCTGACCTGGCCCAGGCAGCTGCCTCTGCTTCATGCTAAGAGATCACTGAATACTTTATGAAGGCTAATTTTAAGATAACATATAACTACACTTTGTTGTTTCTCTGAAATATTTGTTAGTATGATGAAACACACGTACACAGATGATAGTTGATGGATTAATAAATAATAGCTTATTTCTTACACGGGGTCATTTTTTTTTTTTTTTTTTTTTGAGACGGAGTTTCGCTCTTGTTGCCCAGGCTGGAGTGCAATGGCGCGATCTCGGCTCACTGCAACCTCCGCTTCCTGGGTTCAAGCGATTCTCCTGCCTCAGCCTCCTGAGTAGCTGGGATTACAGGCATGTGCCACCACACCCAGCTCATTTTGTATTTTTAGTAGAGACGGGGTTTCTCCATGTTGGTCAGGGTGGTCTGGAACTCCCAACCTCAGGTGATCCGCCCGCCTCGGCCTCCCAAACTGCTGGGATTACAGGTGTTAGCCACCACGTCTGGCACACAGGGTCATATTTAAATCTCTTTAGTGAATACTTTCGATTGTCTACATGCAACCCTGCGTTATAAGAACCCCCCGGGCAAAGGCCTGTTAGGGACATCTTTGGAAACAGGTGGGTCTGACGTCCTCGTCATCCAAATGTAGCTTTCCACTGTGGGCTGACCGAGGAAGCTGCCCTCTTACTGAAGATGAGCTTGAAAAAGATCAAGGAAATGAAAATAAAACAAAAAAAAAAAAAAAACAAAAAAAAACTTGCAATTACACTCTTCCACCACTAGATGCTATACACGTATAAGCAAGATAAAAGTCCTCCGCCATTTCTTTTCCCCATCAGTGACCTCAGTGATGAATGGGTAAGTTAACATATCCAGAATTCAATTACAAATGTTACTAGGAAAGATAAGCAAATGTGAAAATGGAGAACTGTCAGTACTGATTAAGATAATAACTCTAATAACAAATTTATTGAACACGTATTGTTTAAGACAGGGGTCATTAAACCACTGCCTGTGGGACAAATCCAGCTCACCACCTGTTTTTGTAAATAAAGTTTTATTGGAACACAGCCACACTCATTTATCTGTGGCTGATTTTGCTCTACAGTGACAGAGGTGAGTAGTTAAGACACAGACTGTATAAAGTGCAAAACTTAAATTATTTTTATCTGGTCCTTTATAAAAAAAAGTTTTCCAATGCCTGGTCTAGGCATATAGGCCATACTAACTCAATTAATTCTCATAACTTTATGGCTATGGGTATGTATTATTATTATTTGTTTTACAGATAAAGAAATTGATTAAGAACACATGATACATTCTGGCACATACATTAAATGACTATTGTAGACATGTATGACAAGTGCTGTAACTATGGATATAGGACATGTGTGATACTCTTGGGCTTGTGTAACCAAGATGAATGAAAGCTGGCTTCCAAGTAGGTTGTAGGGGACCCAGAAAAATGAAATTAAAATTATTAAAGGCCAGGCTGGCTTTCTGTATAATCCACAGGTAGAAATGTAGCTGGGATGGAGCAGCTGCCTGTAAACGCTTCCTCCTAAAGTGACACATTCAGAATATAATATGAGGAATTATTTTGACACACGAATTCGTAAAACTGAGGATGGAAACTGTTTTTAAATTGTGATTGAAACATCAGCAGTCAGGTGGAGGACACAGAGAAGGCAGTCAAAGGAAGGTTTCTTTTCAATGTCTTGGTTTTCCCCAATTGAAGGGGGCTTTTGCTCCTCCAGTGTTAGAGCCTGGGTATACCTGGACCCTTAGAATATCTCCTGGGAAGGCAGAAGTTCAGTGTGGGGTTGGGGAGTAGGTAGTATTACGATTTAGACTACTTAAGGATATCTTTAGGGATGTCCTCATCATTTTAAGGGATATCTTTCCCCATAGCTTATAATGAGCAGTGTCATACTAGGATTGTCCTTGTCAACTGCTCATTCCACACTTGTGATTGCTGGTCTTTTTTTCTTCTTCTTCTTTTTTTTACCGAAGGGTTTGGGTAACTAATTGCCTCGGAGTCATACATTGTGAGGAGGAGAGGGGAGAATCAGAAATGGGGTCTAGTCAGCCAACTTAATCCTTTATCCCACGTAATGAGATGGAGCCGTATTGCCTAGGCCTTCCAAGAGTTTTCCTCATGGACACTTTTCCTGGATCCTATTCCCTCTTTCTTTCTCTCAGGGTGACTCTCCTGCTAAATTCTTCCACGTTTTGATGCCCCCTTTCCCTGGGACTTTCCGCCATCCATACAGAGTAAAGCAGATCTGGTAGATTGTACCTTGCACTCTGCACTCAGTCCTCGTTGACTCTACAATAGAGGAGGTGCCAATGTTTGATGTCTCCCTGAGGTGAGGCAGGGAGCGTAGGTAGGGGTCAGTGTGAGCAGGCAGGAAAAAGAAACTCTGGGGCCTTGAAGAGTGGGTGGGTGGGTTATTCCTTTCCAGGGGCTCCGGTTCCTTTTTTTTTTTTTTTTTTAGTCTGAGTCTCACTCTGTCGCCCAGGCTGGAGTGCAGTGGCTCACTGTAACCTCCGCCTCCCGGGTTCAAGCGATTCTCCTGCCTCAGCGTCCCGAGTAGCTAGGATTACAGGAGTGCATCACCACGCCCAGCTAATTTTGTATGTTTAGTAGAAACGGAGTTTCACCATGTTAGCCAGGCTGATCTTGAACTCCTGACCTCTGGTGGTCCGGCTGCCTCGACCTCCCAAAGTGTTGGGATTACAGGCGTGAGCCACCGTGCCCGGCCTCCGGTTCCTTCTTAAAGAATGTGAAATAAACCAAGCTTCCTGTAATCATATATATTTTCTTTTTCTAAAAATCATCCTATCTGGTGTTACGTGAAAAATGTATATTCTTCCTAATAACATAGCTTGAAACTTTTTCTTGGCCAGGGGGACTGGAGGAGGGGTGGTTAAAATAATAATTCCAGCCTCTTTATACCAATGGAGCATTTGCCCTGAGTTTCATTAGAGAATGAATGTCCTGATATCAGGTGGACACATTCACAGCAGTGATATTTTAGGAAAACGTATCTGGAACTAAGTATAGGATGAATTAGAGAGGAAAGATATAAAATAGAGAAAAAATAGAGGTGAATGCGAAGATATTGCATATTTTTTCTTTCACTAAACCCCCCATGTGAAATGATCAAATTTTAAATCTCATTGCTATTACCACAGCTGTAGTTGGAAATAGCTGACCATGAATCAATCATTGCAACAGTAATTGTAACCAGAAATAGGAAATGTTTCATAAAAAGTCTATTTGTATCACTTCTGACTACGTGGCTATGTATTGCTGTGCCCAGTTTGCAATGTTCTACAAATGTGGCATAATGAAGAAAAAAAAACATCAGAAAAGTAGATTCTGTGTTTGCCTCATTCATGATCTTTTTCAGATTGGTTTGAGGAGTAGCCTATTTAATAAATATTATTTCTTTTTCTTCTTGCCATCTTCACATTTGTATCTGAGGTGACTCCCTTTACTACTGCCCCTGCTGCCCTTCCTTTTCTCCTTCTCCCTCCACCTTCTGCCCCTCCCCCTCTCTCCTCCCCCGCCTTTCTATCCCTTCCCTTCCCCCTCCTCTCTCCTCCTCCTGCTTCTTCTATTAAATGAGAGCCAGCTAATAAGAAACAGCCAAGTTGGAGTTATCAAAGCAGGTTTTCTTCAATTCTTCCTTATTCCGCCCCTGGTACTTGGTAGATATGTTTAACTAGAAGGGCTTGCTTTCAAAATCTCTGTGTTATTGGGTGGAGAAATGAGGGCTGAAGTCCATCTCTGGTTACGTCAAGTGGTGTCAAATTTGGCCTGCTCTTCTCACTTCCTGTTGACTCCAAGAGAAAGGCTGCAGTTGGCGTCTCACAGTAAAAAACATGAAGCTCTGAGACCAGTCTGAATTACTAATCACTACATGTCCTGTTCAGTCTAACCACTTTCCAAGCGATTAAATAAACCAGCCAGGTCGGTGACTCAGCTTCCGAGGGGAGAGCCAGCACTCCCGGCTGATCCACACATCCCTGGTTTCAATTCCCAAGGTTTGATCCAGGGCTGTCGAGGCAGGATGATTTCCCCCTTGGAACTTGTCCCTCCTTGGACAGAAAGATGGACATGGATGATGAAGTGTATAGTCTAGTGGAGAAGGGCCACCTCACCATGAGTCTGTTGAGGGAAAGGATTGCAAAAATGTCATCTTTCATCAGTTAGTGTCACTCTTTGGAACCAGTTACAAGTAGCTGGGTGTGGTGGGGTGAAGCTGTCTGAAGTTTGAAAGGAGAAAATATATTGAGTAGGAAACATTAACTTTTTCCTTTTTTGGCTTAACTGTCAGTAGATACAGTATTCCCTTGTTTATTTCAGTAACTACAGAAGGTTCTTGAAGGAGATGTCACAATTTTAGAGTAGTCTCTTTGCCCGTCTTTCTAAGTGACTGGCTGAACTTTGCTGCTTTCCCTAAGCTTAATGTCCAGTTACTATGAACAAGGCAGCATGTAGTCAGTGGTGCTGAGTGTTGGGACCACATGGGAATGTAATTCCAGGAACTCCCAGTTTCATATGCAAATTAGATTAAGCTGCACTGCAGCCAGGGCTCCCAGGGCAAATAATTCCCATTACCACCTCTTTTCTTACATTATCTCTTGTGGGAATAAAGAAATCACTTTCAATTTATTTCAGCTACTGCCTTGTTTTTAAAAAGTACATTCTGGGCCGGGCGCGGTGGCTCATGCCTGTAATCTCAGCACTTTGGGAGGTAGAGGCAGGTGGATCACCTGAGATCAGGAGTTTGAGACCAGCGTGGCCAACATGATAAAACCCCATCTCTACTAAAAATACAAAAAATTAGCTGGGCGTGGTGGCATGCGCCTGGAATCCCAGCTACTCGGGAGGCTAGGCAGGAGAATCGCTTGAACCCAGGAGGCAGAGGTTGCAGTGAACCGAGATTGTGCCATTGTGCTCCAGCCTGGGCAACAAGAATGAAACTCTGTCTCAAAAAAAAAAAAAAAAAAAAAAAAAGGAAAAGAAGAAAGTACATTATATGCCTCAGTTTGTCTACTTGGCTTAAGAAAACTCCGTACCAAGTAACCTTTTAAATTCTTAAAAAGAGAGATTTTGAGATCCTTGAGAAGAAAATACTGTATGGAAATCAAAGTCCTATGCTCTCAGAAAAAAGTAGAGTCTTTTGAATGGCTGGTGCCACCACATCCTTCAGGCAGTTTTCATACTTGTCATGAAACTTTTAGTCATTTCTCATATTCCCTTTGTTTTGATTAGCTAATACATGATAACTTGACAACACTGAAATGTGAAAGCTTGAGGAAGTGGAGTGACAGGGAGGGAAGAAGCCCTTCAGCCAGCAATTCTTTCTTTTTATTTTATTTTTAAAAGCATGAATATTTCTCTAGCACGGGGACTGAAGGTGAACTTGAAGAACTTGAATCTCCGAACGTTGCCATTGCAGTGTTATCTGAAAAGAATGTGTGAGCTCCTGCACACCAGATAGCAAACATGCAAATCACTCCTTTCCCAGGACACTTGAGTGCTGCTGCTTCATCCACGCAGATGTGCTGTGGGCCTTGCAGATAGCATCTGTTTGTTCTATTTATGGGGGAAAAAGGCATGTATTTGTGAGCTCAGCATGAGCACAACTTTCCTTTTGGATCTTTTATTTCAGAATTTTTTTTTTGTACATTTTGCATTTGGAACCAAAAATTTTTAGAACAGTTATTCTAGATGCCATCTAATTCCCTCTCCTGTTCATTCCTTACCCACTCCCCTGCCTCCAAATTTCAGAGTTAAAATGAAGCGTGGAGAGATGAAGTGACTCGCACAAGAATATATATTATTCATTCTTGCTTTCATTCATCACTTATTGATCTGTTTAGCTATTAACTATTTATTGATTGAGGACCTACTATGTTCCAGGCCCTGAGCAAAAAGCACCACTGTTCCTGCCCTCATGTGTTTTATAGTTTACAGGGGGAAATACACATTAATAAAAAGAATGACACAAATATGCAACTGCATCTGTGACAATTACTACATGTTGCTCTAAGAGCTTAACATAGACACATTTGAGCTGGTCAGAGAGGTCACAGAAAATTTCCTTGAGGAAATGATGCTTAAGTAGTGATCTGAAGAATGAATAAGAACTCACAGGGCATTAGAGTGAAGTGAGCAGGAAAGCGCTAAGGCTGAGAGGTGAGTCAGAGCTACACACTGTAGCAACTTGTAGCTCATTCTGAAGCTTTGTTTTAGAGGGGAAGGGAAATGCAGGTAACGAACAATGGGAGGAGGGCAAGGGTGGATGAGGAAGACATTGAAGGCTGTAATAGCGGTCCAGGCAACAGATGACGAAACCTTGGTCTAAGGTAGTAGTGATGAAAGAGCTAGAAAGGAGTGGATATATTCAAGAGATATTTAGAATGTAAAAGTAATCCCAGCACTTTGGGAGGCCGAGGCCGGTGGATCACGAGGTCAGGAGATCGAGACCATCCTGGCCAACATGGTGAAACCCCGTCTCTACTAAAAATACAAAAAAAGAAAAAATTAACTGGTCATGTTGGTGCGTGCCTGTAGTCCCAGCTACTCAGGAGGCTGAGGTATGAGAATCGCTTGAACTCGGGAGGCAGAGGTTGCAAAGAGCCGAGATCGCGCCACTGCACTCCAGCCTGGCGACAGAGTGAGACTGTCTCAAATAATAATAATAAAGAAAAGTCACAGGATATGGGGAATAGAAGACTAAGTGGGGCCAAGGATGACCCCTAGGTTTCTGGGCAGGGAATAAAGATGAATAGTGGTGCCTAGAAGGTGAGGGGAAGGGGAAGATGATAAACTTATTTTAGGAAATGTTGAAGTGAGATGGTAGGTTATAGGTTGAATAGATTGGTCTGGCCCTCAAAGGCATGGTCTGGGCTGAAGATAACGTACTTGTGAATGAGTTGCATATGGTTTCGATAGCTGATGTGATTTATTCATCTGCAGCGCCTGGTATCACATCTCTGTATGTAGAATAATTCAAGTAGTCTTGGACAACAGGCTAAGTGAATTGTCAAACAACTTATTCTATATGGCAAGTACTTGAGGGAAATACGCGAGGTGGATTCAAGTCCTTTGCAGATGAATTAAGTTGTGTGATTTGAAGATACCTCTGTGCCCAGATAGTTTTCTTTTTCCCCTTGACCTGCAGGAGGGCCTGAATTTGCTGGAAGTTATGTTATTCTTTAACTAGTTCTCATTTTATTTGGCTTAGAACGATAAAATTTGAGTGTTTGAAGGGAATGTAAAAGTTGTTTACTCCAAACTTCTCATTCAAAATCTGAGCCTGCTTCACACAATTTCCAGACTTATAACCTCAACTTGAACATGTCTGTGATTGGGAATCCAATATTTGGCAAGATAGTGCAGAGTTTTCATTCTGTTCCCCAAATTCTTCTTTATTTTGGATTCTTCCACCTGGGATAACACAGAATAGTTCTCCTTTCTCTTCCACATAGTAGACCGTCAACTAGTGTTACCCCATAAATCAATCACTACTCTCATCTAAGCTGCCACAGGGGTGAGTGAATTACATTCAACAGTCATGGAAGTCATTGAAGCCCTTGCAAATACATCATCTTACTTAGATGTCACAACACACTTTGAAGTGAGTATTATTATTCCATAAAGAGATGAGGAAAACTTAATCTCTGAGTTAACTGACTTAATGAATGAGAGGTCACACGAGTAAGGAAGAGAGCTAGGATTTCAATCCAGTTATTCTGACTCCCAGCCCAGAGTCCTACTCAAGATGCCCTGAAAATCTGGGTTAGGGCTCAGTACTGACTTCAAAGGTAACACGTTAGTAGCGACCAGTGGAAATCAGCAGAAGGCATGGGGTGGGGGGCTCACCCTGCTGCTCCCCATGGGCTGAATGATGCCTGCCACTTGGACTTCCTCAGGAAATGTTTATTAAAATATAATTACACATGTTCAGACTATTTTTGATTTTGAACAGCTGGAGGCTGGGCATAAACTCTTCAGTTCTCCATTTTCTCCACTGCGTCCTTTGGCTGTATGCATTTGTCTATGGGCACAGCCCTGGAAAGCACTTGTGCTTATCACCTTGTATCCCTTTAGGAATGGCATAGAACTCTAACCTTCAATTTTTTTTCCAGATTTCACACCCTATTAGTTCAAAAAAACTTGAGCACATATCCCAAATATATTTATATGTGTATGCATGGGTTAAATACAAATATTAATGTAATCAAATATTATCTTCATTTAAAAATAAATACATCAAATATAAGTTTAAAGGAATATAAAAAACATAAATGAACAACTTACTATTTTCTTCTTCTTATTCCAACAAATTATCTTCATGAGCTTCCACTGGAGGGACCGCTGAGATGGAGTGTGGAACAGGGGCAGGAGAGGAGCCTGGTGTGACAGGCCATGGCTAGTTGGAGGACTACACCCAGAGACCATAAGGAAACAGAGTAGATGTGCTAACAACAAGCTTTCCTCGGATTGCCCAGCATCAGCCCTGTTCAGAGGAATGCACAATGCTAAGATCTCTCTGGAAGCTCAGAGAGTGAAGGGCTCATTGCTTTGGTCTGTGTTGTTTGTCCTTGGTTTTAATTGTCACTTGTGCCCTGAGCTATGTGGTAATAGCACTAACAGCTAACATTTGTTGACTGCTTACTATGTGCCACTGTGCTGAGAGATTTACGGACATTACCTCATTGTCTTTATTGCAACCCTGCGAAGTACTGTTATCCTCACTTTACAAAAGGGAAGGCTGGGGGCGAGATGTCTCATACCCGTAATCCCAGCACTTTGGGAACCCATCGCGGGCAGATCACCTGAGATCAGGAGTTCGAGACCAGCCTGGCCAACGCATAGTGAAATCTCATCTCTACTAAAAATATACAAAAAATTAGCAGGGCGTATTGGTGCAAGCCTGTAGTCTCAGCTGCTTGGGAAGCTGAGGCAGGACAATCGCTTGAATCCAGGAGGCGGAGGTTGCAGTGAACCAAGATTGCGCCACTGCACTCCAGCCTGGGCAACAGAGTGAAATGAGATTCCATCTCTCTCTCAAAAAAAAAATAAATAAATAAAAGGAAAACGAGGTGTAGAAAGCTGTGATTTACCTATGAGTGTAGGGCTAGTTAGTGACAGAGCTGGGATTTGAACCCAAGTCTATTCTCTACCAAATCACTCATTCTTAACTACTGTGCTATACTGACAATAGGATTAGTGGTTAGATTCCTGGTGGTGATCTGGATGGATTCCATCAATAGATGTAATAGTGATGGGAAGAATCACTAGCCCCACAGACCAAAAGGTTAGGCTTATATCAGGTGTGGATAAATGAGAGGAAACGGCCAGGTTTATAGAAATACAGATGTGCCAGTGCAGTTAAAAATAAAGCTTTTCAACCAAGTCTGAGTTCTTCTTTATTTCTAGCTCACTGGGCTCTTGTCATAATCCATAGCTCTAGGTAGCAAACATCCTAAATACCGTTTTGAATAAGACTGTCGGAGGCTGTAGTTGTTGTCTAGGGCACGTGAGTTCTATTTCAGTCTGTAAATAGATCAACTTTACATTTAAGAGTTTGGAAAATAAGAGAGAGAGAGAGAAAGAGAGAGAGATATCCAGGAATTCAGGAGTTCTCATTATCTGATAGAGTGATTCAAACCATTGGAGTCAGACAGATCTGGGTTTGAATTCTGATTTTGCTATGTATTCACTGTAAGAAATTTAGTGAGTTATCTAAGCTTTTCAAGCCATAATTCCTTCATGTTTAAAGTGAAGATAATGATACCTGCTTCAAAGTGGTGTTAAGATATAATGATATGCTATATGTAGAGTGCTTTGCATAGCACTTGGCACATAGTAAATACTTAAAGATTGATACTAATCATTGATCTCTTTGACCCTCCCTTCTCTAAGAAGAGGCACCGATTCTGTGGCATAAGCCCATGTCCTCTGCTGTGTGGGTTACCTCCTATATGTCCTATTTGAAAATGTTGAAAATGAGAATGAACTTTCTTCTGGATATCCTCAATATCTTGCTACCACAGAAAAAGAAATCTCTTTCCACAAAAGAGAAGCAAGAACTGGAGACACTGAAAGTTTATGGGCTGGAGAAGGCAGCTCTGAGAAGAAGAAAATAATTCTGGTGATCAGTGGCACCCTTCTGAGGGGGCCCAGATGCAGGCCAGATGCTGAGAATCTGTAGAAACTCAGGCTCAATAAATGTCATGCCATGACTTTCATCCATGTGGGCATGAAGAATAGCGACTGATCTCACTGAGATTATTAAGAGTGACTCAGGGTTCTGGAAACAGGGTTGTAGGAGGCTGACACTCAAGGGGTGGTCTTGACAATCCTCCCAGTTGAGCCAAAGAGTTTCTGTAGATGACAGCTCTGCTCTAGTGATGGATATCTACTTCACATGCCCTGCCCCACCCTAGAAGGGAGCTAGCAAAAAACACTGGGGATACTTCAATGGAAAGTGATTTGAGATTTCTGCCAATGCAGAGATCTAGCAATGTAATTTTATTGTTAGTAAAGTTGATTTCTATGGGATCATCACAATGGTGATTACTCCTGTCACTTTCTGTTAGGCTCAGCCTGTGTGAACTCTCTTCTAGCTGGAACTTCACTGTAATGCATCCACTTTCCACTCCACATTTTGATAAGCATGTTTTGTTCTAAGTTTTTAAGGATGATGGAAGTTTCTCTTGTTATGATTGGCATGAGTAGAGGCGCATTAGAATAACTCTTAAAATAAGAGGTAAAGGCAAGAGTTGAACTCTGGACAGAGAATGGACAACATTGATTGTTGACTCTTCTCTGCCTTCTGTTTCACCCCTTCTTTTCTCCATTTAGTTCTTTCCACTGTGGTCAGAGTGATAGTTCAGCCTTCATACCCATTACGTTAATTTCCTGTTGCTGCTGTAACAAGACCACAAACTCAGTAGCTTAAGACAACACACATTTCTCCTCTCAGTTCTGTAAGTCAGAAGTCTGAGAGGGGTCTCAATGGGCTAAAATCAAAGTGATTCAGGGCAGAGTTCCTTTCTAAAGGCTCTAGAAGAGAATCCGTCTCCTTGGCCTTTCCAGCTTCTAGAGGCTGTTCACATTCTTGGCTTGTGGTAATCTCCTTCATCTTCAGATCAACAATGTTGCATCTTTCTGACCATTCTTCCACAGTCACATCCCTTTCTGACCACAGCTGGGAAAGGATCTCTGTTTTTAAGAACCCACATGATTAGAATGAGCCCATCCAGATAATCTAAGATAATCTCCATACCTCAAGATCTGTAATTTAACCACATTTGCAATGTGACTTTTGTCATGTATGGTGACATATTCACAGGTTCCTGGGATTAGGATGTGGATCTCTTTGGGAGCCATTATTCTGCCCACCACACCTACCATCCTGCTCCAAGCCCACATCTCTTCCCTGGACAGCTGCTATTGCCTCCTAAAGGGTTTCTTTTTGTGCTCCTGATTGTGCCCTCTTCACCTTTTGTTATTTCTCCTCTGATTCACTCTGATACAACCACTCTTGCCTCCTTGTTGTTATGGACCACACCAATTATACTCCTGCCCCAGGGCCTTTGCACTTGCTGTTCTCTCTGCTCGCCTTGCTTTTTACCCAGATGTTTTCATGACCACCACCCTCAGGGCGGTTCAAATATCACCTCTACAGGGTGTGGTTTCCTGAACAATTTACATAAATGAGTCCTCTCCTCCTCACTTCCCTCAGTCTAGTCCTTTGTCTCATGTTCCTACCTATTGACGTAGGATGAAAGATATGTATATACGTATGTATGTATTGTCTCTTTTCCTTAAGTCTTTATTTCACTTTAATCATTTTGAAAGATAGGCTCATTGACTATAGAAATCTAGGTTGCCAGGTATTTTTTTTTTCAACATTGCATTATCTTCAGGATAGCATTGTTTCTCATGAGAAGTCTGCTATTATTTTTAGTTTTCTTCCTCTTCATGTAATTGATACTGTTATGATTTTCTCTTTGTCATTGGTTTTCAGAGATTTAATTATCCTTTGCCTTGATGTGGCTCTCTTTGTGTTTCTTTTGTTTGGTGGTCATTCAGCTTCTTATGTATGTGGTTTTATGATATTCGTCAAATTTAGAAAAAAATTTATTGAAATATTAGTGCCTCCCATTTTTCTGGGACTCCAATTACACATATGTTAGTTCACTTGATACTGTTGCATAGTTCACTGAATCTCTGTTTATGTCTTTCCACCTCCAGTATCTTTTCTCCTTATGTTTCATGTTGTATAGTTCACTTAATCTCTGTTTATGTCTTTCCACCTCCAGTATCTTTTCTCCTTATGTTTCATGTTGTATAGTTCTATTGCCTTTTCTTGTATTCACTACTTCTGCATCTAATCTGTTGTCAATCATATCTAGGGACATGCTTTAAAATCTATCATATGTAGCAGTATTTTTTAAATCTCAGATGTTGTTCTTGTAATTTCTATAAGTTTAGTTGGTATCTTTTTACTTCATCCTAATTATACTTAGACTTTTCTCTACTTTCTTAAACATATAAAGTATATTTCTTGTAGCTAGTTAGTGTCCTTATCTACCAATTCTATTTTCTGTGTCATTCTGGGTCTGTTTCTGTTGATTGGCATTTCTCCGTGTGGGCCATATTTTCCTGTCTGTTTGCATGCCTGGTAATTTTTGATTTGATGTAGATATTGTGTATTTCATATTGTTGATTGCTAAGTTTTTTATTCTTTTAAATAATTTTGGCTCCCTCCCCTCCCCTTTCTTAGGATTCCTTTATTCATTGATAGTTTTGTTAAGGGAAATCTAGAGCATCTTTTAGCCTAGGGTTAATTTGGCCATACTCCTGGGACAATATTCTTCTGAGGACACTGTTTAATGTCCTGCATGTTAGGAGTTCCTCTATTCCGGCTGGTGAAGACAACAACTCTTCATCATCCTGTTTTCCCTGGAGATTTTTCTGCTAGCTCTTTTCCAGTGGTTCTTTCTTTGGCCTTGGCAGTTTTCTCACATGCATGTGATAATCAATAGTTAGCAAAAAGCTTCAGGGGACCTGTCTGCAAATATCCAGAACTTTATCACATTGAAGCTTTCTCCTCTGCCCCAGAGTTTTTTCCACCTTGGGCTTTCTCAACTCGGGGACATGGGTGAGTTTTGCTTGGGTTCCTCCTCCCAGTGGTGTGGCCTGAAAATGCTCTCCAAGTATTAAGCTCAGTCACTCATAGGGCTTAAGTTATTTCCCTTCTCTCAAGATTACTATTCTACATTGCCCATTGTCCAATTTTTGAAAACTGTAGTTCCATAGTATGTTGTCCAGCTTTTTAGTTGTTGAAGGTGAGAAGTTAAATCTGTCCCCTGTTATTCCTTTTTGCATGGGAGCAGAACTTCTCAGCTTCCTGGCTCTGTGCTCTGCTTCTGATGCTGCCTCTGGCACTTCCAAGATCTACCAGTCTTCCCAATCTTTCTCTGGGTATTTGAATTTAAATTTTCTGCCTAGATTCTGACTTCATTCACTTTTCTGACCCTTTATCTCTGATCAGCTCAGCTGAGGGGTCCAAGCACATGCTTTGCCTTCTGGATTTTCACTCAGCCTCAGGAAGCACTGGTTCCTTTGCTGGGGGTGGAAGTCAGACAATTACCTATTTAAAAATCTGTAATAATTTGATAGGTGAAAATAAAAACTTGTTTTGATTTTTATTTTTATGGTTATTTGTGAGGCTGTTTATATTTCTTCTTTCATGTGTAGACACTATCCACTTTCAATTTTCTATTTGCTTTGTCCCAGAGGTGCCACACTGGAAACTTTAGTTCCTACTGTAGTTTGGATAGATTTATGGGACAATTGATTATGCCAAAATCCCAGTGCTCTCTTCATCAAATGGGGATCTCCATATATCCATATAGTTGAAGGACTTTTCTGCCCTGAAGTCTTCTTAGAGAGTTTTTTGCTTTAGTATGAAATATTTAATGCTAGAAAGAAGACATTAATTATTGATTTTTCTTCCCATCATTTTACCACTTAAGATCAAATATCAGGAACAATGCCTAATCACTGAACTTGATTTCTTTTAATTAATTTTGGTTCTGAAAGTATATTGGCAACTATGTCTAAATCAAGGAGAGATGAAAATATATGAAGTAATGCATTTCACAAATTAAAAAGACTGATAAATGAAGGATATGTTTTTAATGTCTTTGAGGAAGAACTAATGGATGAACCAAGGACAACTGAGAACTTTGCTAGCTGTGGTTTTACAATTAAAGCACTGGTCTACATTTTGTCTTAGAGGTTTTAGTGGATTTATTGGTGTAGAGCAAATCAATGGATCACCATTGCTCAGAGCTGCTCTTCCTTGTACTATTCACAAACGTTATCATCAATGTCATGACTGTTTTTAATTTACTATCATATTAGGGTCGATCACTAACTTCTTTTTTTGTTATATGATGATTTGAACTCCTGGAAGATTCTGATCATGTCTGCAACACACAATTTAACAATCTTTTCAGTAAGTCCAGGAGATAATATTTTCCTCTTTTAATGTCTCTACAAAATGAAATTATTCGCTGAGATAACAATGGGGTAATGTAATCTTCTAGCTTGGATGCTGGCTTCATATCAGTGTCCAGATTTGGTAACTTGCAATTTCCTCCGTCTGCATAACTGAGCACAGTTCCCTAGCAATGCCTAGTTTTTGTTGATATTTTACATGTTGGGTTTTCTTGGAGAGAGGGGAAGAGGGCAAGGTGTCAATACATAATATACCTTTTTTTTGCCCTTCCAATTAGAGGGTTGGATCCAGTGGTAAGACAGAGATCAATGGATTGTGTCAGCTCTATTACTGATAAAGTAATGGAGCATGTGACATTCATTTCTTGGCCAAAGGAATTTGCTGATATTTCAACTCTGAATAGACACACTTTACATCCACTGCCCCTTCAGTCTCTTACATACCAGGAATAATGCAAGTCTTCTCCAGATGGTAGCCCCTTACATTCAGTCAGGGGGGCAGTTAGGAAGAGAGGAAACAAAAAAGGGCTGAGAAAAGCATGCTCTGTTTCTTCTTCCAAAGTCAACAACCACATCAGCCACTCTCCCTACTGGGTTTAGAATTAAACCCAGTAGCTCGCTCCATTCCAGCTTTGCCTCATTAAGAGGTCTCTATGGATTAATTCCCAAGAGATCAAATCTCCTTACTTTACTGTGGCAAAGTGAAATTAGTGTAAAGTAACAAGGAACCAGATTAATGTGACCCCAGGAAATAATCCATAAATAACTTATGAAGCCTTTAGCAGGCTATAAATTGGATTTCAGACGGGCAAGGGGAGGGGGAAGAATCATGTTAAAAACAATTGGTTTGTAATGAATAGGGCTAATATTTTAGCACTTTGAAATGGAAGAAAACAGCATAAATAACTCAGAGAACCCAATGGCAATATTTTCTAACATGTGTAAATAATTGAAACTGTGATTATAATCCTAACTGAATTTTTCTTGCTTTGTGTTTGCTGGGAAGTGTATTGTTCATTAAGCATCACAGAACTCTAAATCAAAGGAACAAAAGAAGGGGAAGGCAAAAGAAAGAGGTAGAAAAGAAAAATATTTTGTCTGGGGTGATCTGTTGTCTAGCTTAGTCTATAGTGAGAAGAGTCAGTGGTCTTGGTCCCTTTACTACAAAGCAGTTGGCTGTTGCAAAGATACATTCATTCACAGGCTGTGGCAGTTGTAGCAGAGCATGTAAAAGCAAATAAACAACTCATTAGGTCCATGCTGTGCTTTTCTGCAGCAAGGAAACTAACTTGCGAAAGAGGAAAAATGTTTTGGATGTTGATAGGACACCCCCGCCCTCCTCTTTTTTTCTTTCAAACAGTGTCAGGAATAGAGAAGTGACAGGCACTCAATAGTTGTAGCCAGCTCTCCTGTGTCATCAAGTTAAGAAAGGATGAGGGGATGCCACATTAGCCTTGCTGTGTTGTACATCCTGAGACCTTTCGGTTTGTACACCTTATTTTATCTCATTGTCTTCCTGGAGCCTCTTCTTATAGCTTGGTTGTGTGCTGTCTTTGGAGCCAGAGGAAACGATGTGGCAAACAGAAGGTTGGTGGGCTGGGTTGGCTATGAGGAAACCAGGCCCATTTTAAGGAAGATACAGATGGCCTAAGATCAGGGAAACAGTATAGAAGGTTGGAAGTGTAGAGGTCACACAGGTTTAAAGGCAGAGTTCAAAGGATTTGCCATGTAGGCTCCTTGAAGTCTGGGTAAGCTATAAATAGTAGCTGTGGATGCCATCTGTGGATCCAACAGGAGTCTTGGTAGGGGATGGGAGGTGGGTTTCTGGGGACTAAAGGGACTGAAAAGCTCAGGCCCATCTGCCCAGCCCTACCTGCCTGGGCAGTCTTTTTGGGTTAAATGGGAGCTTGTATCTTTCCTAGATTAGTATGTATGTTTAATACCATCCCAATTCTTGATGAAACTCAAGAAAGCACCTCTGAAATTATCTGGAACAATAAACAAGTGAAAATAGCTTTAGGTCATTGTGGAAAATAGGAGCAATGAGAGGTACTTATCCTGCAGGTTACTAAAACATGTTATAAAACTACAATAAGTAAAGCAATGTGGTGTTTGGGCAGGTAGACAAAAATAGATCATAATGGAGTGTTCAAATCATCATATAACATATGAAAATTTAATATGTGGTAGAGGAGATAACCCTAATGATATAAAGAGAATGACTTAATTAATGTGTTACTGGGGGAAAACTGCTTTGACATTTAGAAAATAAGTTAATTGAGATTCTTAGCACTTATCATATAGCAAAGTTCCCAGAGAGTGTGGTGTGTGTGTTGAGGATTGAATTATGTCCTTGTCAATGGCCATACCACCCTGACTGTGCCCAGTCTTATCTGAATTATGTCCTCCAAAAAATATGACTTTGTTACATCAGCCCTAGGAAACTAACATTATGTATATTCACATAGATGTATATATGTAATTTTAATAGCTTTTAAAATCATTTGTGTGAATTTATTTTTTTAATTGAAAAATAAAAATTTTATGTATATATAGTGTACAACATGTTTGATGTACACATTTTGGAATGCCAAAATCAAATTAACTAATGTGTGCATTGTCTCATTGAGTTTTTTTTGTGTGTGATGAGAACACATAAAATCTATTCTTTTGGCTGTTTTCAAGTACAGTTATCCCTCAGTATCCGTGAGAGATTGGTTCCAGGACCCCCTGCAGATACCAAAATCTGCAAATGCTCAAGTCCTTTGTATAAAATGGTGTAGTATTTGCATACAACCTATGCACATCCTCCTACTTTATTATAAGTAATCATCTCAAGATTACTTATAATACCTAATACAATGTAAATGCCATGTAAATAGTTATCTTGTATTTTAAAAAATTGGTATTTTTTAATTGTTGCATTTTTTATTGTTTTCTTCTTACAAATATTTTTGATCCACAGTTGGTTGAATCTGCGGGTGCAGAACCTGTGGACACAGAAGGCCAATGTGTACAGTACATTCTTATTAACTATATCACTGTGTCACATAATAGACATCTTGAGCTCCTGTATAACTGAAATGTTCATATCCTTAATTTTTGTAGTTTTCAATTTGGACAGGGGTAGCTAATTAGATGAAGAAGCTTGAGTGGCAAGTTGCCTTAACAGGTAGTAAACATTTCATAAAGCTGCAGTGATTCAAACAAAAAAACTGATAGATCATTAGAGGACAGAATTGTAAGTTTAATATATACAAAACATAGGGGAGGTGAGTGGGATGTGGGCAGGCAACTTGGCTTTTCTCCATGGAGACCTCTGCATGGTCTGCTTAGGTTTCCTCAGAACATGCTTTTTGAGTTCTGGAGACAGTATCCTCAGAGAACAAGGTGAATGTGAGTGGCATTGTATGAGCTAGCCTCAGAAGTCATATAGTGTCACTTCTGACAGACTCGATTGGTCAGCTAGTCACAAAGACCTGCCCACGTTCAAGGGGAGGGGACGTAGACGTCCATCTTGCTGGAAAAATGGCAAATTTCTAGGAAAACACGTGCAATGGAAGATGTTGCTACTGTCATAGGAGAACAGCCTGCCATACTTGCGACTTGAGAAATCCTAACTCTCTCCATATGGAAATTGCATTGGCTCTAATTGGCCCTGCTCCCTTGCTTAGCTTGGTTTTTACATTTGCATCTGTCTCTTTGCCCTCACCTTTGCTTCCTTATTATTATTTTGGGGCAAAATTTCTGGACATTGATGGCAATTTTATTTTGTGAGGTCTTTTGGGAAAATATTTGAACTCGATCTCCATCAGGGTTAAAGCAATTGTGGAATTAGTCTCAAGCATAACAAATGTAAAACACAAAGAATACTGGATTTGTGATAATTTTAGGTGATACAAATTTGAGGAATTGTAAAAGGAATTGTGAGCATGTCACATATCCATGCATGCAATTTTCTTGATGTCTGTAGTTGTGGAATGGTCACAAGAATCTTGAGCTCTCTCCACATTGTGTTGGGGGTTCAAGACAAATTCCACTTCACAAAACCTAAATCATAGCCACGTTAAGTTTGTGGACTGGAAATGCTGTATTGTCAGTTTTATGACTTTAGCTTTGAGATTTTGTTTTGTTTACCTTTTTTGTAACAGGATTCTGTTTTCCTCCTTCTACCCCACTTTCTCCATCCAGCCAACCATAGCCTTGCTATATCCTGGGGTCTTGGATAATGTAGAAGAGTAAAATCTAAGTCTTGCTTACAGAATCTGAAGAAACTCTTCTGACTTCAAAGCTCAATTCTGTGCCATGGAAATCAGATATACTATATCATATCTCAACTTAAGTGCAAAGGAGCAAACTCTGGCAAAACTTTATGTAAAGGAAGAACTTTCTCCTCTTCTCTCCCCATATCATCATAGCAGCTACATCCTACAAACACACAGCGGCTGTTATCAGAAATCAACTTGTGAAAGTCACCTCTACCCATAGATGAGGTTGTGATGGTTTCATCCAAATGATTTTATGGCCTGTGAAGCAGTCATTTGGATCAAGGTTAACAAATTCTTGGTATCAGAGGTGCTACTGAGGACTCCACATACCGATACCAATAAATAATGTCCATACAACGAAGGTGGTGTTGGTTGATACGGTTTGGATCTGTGTCCCCACCCAAATCGCATGTTGAATTGTAATCCCCCAGTATTGGAGGTGGGGCCTGGTGGGAGGTAACTGGATCATGGGGTTGGATTTCCCTATTGCTGTTCTCATGATAGTGAGTGAGTTGTCATGAGATCTGGTTGTTTAAAAGTGTGTAATACCTCCCACTCACCTTCCTCCTGCTGTGGCCATGGAAGATGTGCCTCCTTCACCTTCCACCATGACTGTGTTTCCTGAGGCCTTCCCAGAAACTGAGCAGATGCCACCATGCTTCCTGTACAATCTACAGAACCTTGAGCCAATTAAACCTTTTTTTTATAAATTACCCAGTCTCAGGTATTTCTTTACAGCTGTGCAAGAATGGACTAATACATTGGTATAGAATTTCAGCTGTACTTATCTAAGCTCCATTCAAAAAGAAATAAAAATAAAGGGAGACAGCATTTTAGCTAATGAAAGGGGAAGGGCAGGCATAGCTAGGTGGATGCTACGCACACTCTCTCAGGCTTAACATACTTCCTGCACATATGGATGATCAACACAGATTTGTTGAATAACAAGATAAAGGAAGGAAAGAAGGGATTTGGATTATGTTAAACAATAAAGCTAGAAAAATTATGATATAGAATAATGGATTCCTTAGCATTGAGATATTGTTATATCATGCAGTGAAGTATTCAATATTACTGTATTGTGTATTTCATTAGTAGTTATGGGTTTTTGTCTACTAGGTCATGGCATTTTGTGAGGAGGGTCAGTTTGAAATGCTTTGCTTTTATTCATTACATACTTATAGGCCAATGAGTTCTATAAAGACTACAAGTTTTGTTTGTAACATCTCCTAATAATGCTTCTTTTTGGTGTAATGGCATCTGGATAACATTTTAGATTTTGTTCTCTTTGCTTCTGATGCCTCTCAATGGTTGATTTCAGATAGTCTTAACACACACACACTTTGGAATAAAGTGAAGGAAGCTGTTAAGATTGTATTCCAACTCATTCTAAACAGAGGGTGTAGAAATGCAATTGTGAGAATAATAGATATGATGAAAAAATCCTGTACAGTGCTTTCCCAAGGCACTTGGGACACTTTGAAGATATTAATTAATGCTTGTTAAAGTCCTATGGGGTAGGAAAGGGGCAAGTATTATTAAATTGTTTTATAGGGGAAATGAAGCAAGAGAGCTTTAATAAACTCGCTGGTATCAAGCGGTAATTATGTAGGATAAAAAAGGGTCAAACCCCAAACTCCTTTTTCTCAGGGCCTTGCTCACCGAAGCACAAGTAAAATTGCTCCCGAAAATGCAGTCTTGAGTAAATTTTGGCAAGCCTTGTACTTATCTTTCTTACCTACACATCTTGTTCCTCTGAGCAGGTGTTCTCGGGCCTTTTTACACCGCTCAATCCTCAGCCTTCCAATTCCCTCCCTCTCAGCAGATGAAATTACCTCCTATTTCACAGCGATCCTTGAAGCCATATACGGTGAACTCTCAACCTCCCTTGTCTCTGATTCAAAATTTATTTTTATCTTCACCCGTGTTCTGCTCATTCCTTTTTCTTGTTTCAGAGTCTCATCGCCTTTAAAAGTCGAATCTGTCTACCCCTCTTCAGACCGGCATGCATTACAGCCTTCTGGCGGGGGGCAGGGGAATTTCCACCACCTGCCACCCCCATTGCTCTTATCTTTAATCTCTCCTTCTCCCTTAGCTCTTTTCTGTCAAGCTAAAATCAGGCTCCAAACTCTCCTTCCCTGAAAATGCTTTTTCTTGGCCCCGCTTTTCTTTCATGCAACTTCCCTATCTCTTGCACTTCTTGTGATCGTTAAATTTCTGAAAAGAGCAGTCTGTGTTCTGTTCTTCTGGGGTCTTTGCAAAGATTGTTTGGACTGCCCTTGTTTTCCTGAGAAGCTGCAGGAGCTCTGAACCAGACTGCCTGGGTTTATTTCCAATGAGAGTAAGACCGGCCTTATCACGACTCTGCTGTTTACTGGGAAGAAGTGATCCTTGCTTTATTGCTGCCTTTTCAAGCACGGATTTACACCACTCTAAGCAGTTTACAGCAGCTCTATCTGGAGAGGTGTCTCATCTGCTTTTATGTTCAAAATTAAGCTCATGTCTGAAATAAATACTCATGTTTCCCTTAGAATTCAGTTGAGTTTGTAGTTTGTTAAAGAGAATGACTTACATTTTTGAAATTTAGATTTCTTTTTTTCTAATTGGAAGTGAGGAAAAGAGAAATACCAGCCACAATTACGAAGTAAAAAATACATCTACATGTAATGGACTGGCTACCACTCTCAGATCTTTAGCCTCTTCTATCAAAATCACTGTACCCACAGAAAGGATAATCACTTAGGCCTGGGGAAGCAATTTTTATTTTTTTAGACTTTAAGGTAAAGATAAAGCAATAATTACCTCACTAGTTACCTGGAGTTCTCACAGCATTTCTTTCCTACACTTGGTTTAAAATTACTGATTGGATAGATAAGAGAGGTCTAAATATGTCATGAAGATTGTTTTAGAATAAGGGAGGTGTTCTGTTTAAGGGCAGAGAGAAGAGTGAACAAAGGGTTAAGGGCTTATTGGTAGTAGTTATCTAAGTAACAAATAAGGCACCATTATGTTAAAAATGGAATCTGATAACTTTTGTAACAAGAGACTGTCAATCTACACATACAATAAAAGCTGGAGGATGTTACCTGCTGCCTATAGCTGGTAGCCACCAGATAGACATTCATTCATTCGACAAACATTTACAGAACACCTTCTAAGTGAGGCACTGGGAAGGAAGGAGAGAATTACCCAGTCCTTGTTCTGATGGAGTGCAGGATCTAGGGCACGGAACAGATAGGTAAAGAGACAGCTTACATGTGATAAATGCACGATTCAGTTTTGCCTGGAGGTGTGATGAAATGATGCGGGCTTGGAGGAACAGGGCAAGCTTTCCCTGTGGAGGTGCCTACAGGGAAGCATGCAGGAGGGTTGAGCCGGAGGAGCGTGGAGGAGAGGGAGTGACAAGGTACTTGGAGAGAAAGAGAATGGGGAAATGTGGGGAGCAGAACCAAAGAGGGGAGGGTACAAGATAGGGCTGGAGAAGTAACCCAAGTCTGAATCAAAAATTAAATGATGCTGAAATAATACTAGTGGCAATAAAAACGGGGGTGAGAAAATACAAATAAAGAACTAAACATCACAAATAAAAGATTCTGGCTGGGAATGGGAAATGTAAACCAAGACTTTAAAAAGATGATTGTAAACCAGACTGCATGTGGGTCTGAGTGACCTTGACACAAGCACAATAACTCCAAGAGCCCGAAACTCTTTAAAGGGCCCCTAAGGCTCCAGATCGCAGTTCTGGTCTCAAATATGCTGTGTTCTTGTATTTCAAGGGAAACCCACTTTATACCTGTCTTTATTTTCATCTTCCTTTCTTATGCCCTACTGCAGGGCAATGTAGATTAGGTGTAAGTTTGGTTTGGTCTTGAGATATCCCTTCTGGTCACAAGGATAGATGAGCTAGGCTGTGCTTGCTTTGTGGGTAGAAGTCTGGAGTGGCTGTGTTTCCACCCTGCTCCTTGAGTAATTCCTGCACATGTTTTAGCTCTCATGATCTCAAGTGGCTCACCTTTGTAAAAGTGATCTTCACAATGCAACTGGCAGTTTTATAAAGAAATAGGCAGTGTTTATAAAGAAACAAAGAACTACTTCACCAGTTTTACAGAGTCTGGAGCAACTTCTACAATGCTTGGCAAATATTTTTTAAACATGGCACTGAAAATGAAAAAACATACAACTTCTGAGATAGTTATTTCTTTTCTTTCTCCTGTTGTATATTTGCTCTGCTGAAAGACAGATTTAAGAGCAAAGCAGAGGAGGTAGCATTTACTCAGCCCTTGTTACATTTCACTTGTTTTCCCAAACATTACGTCACAACAATCCAGTGAAGTTGCGAGGCAGAAAGTGTTATTGTCCCCATTTTATAGAGGAGGAAACTGAGGACCAAGAGATTAAATAATGTGCAGAAGATCACAGAGCTAGTAAAGCACTGTGATTCTAGGTCCTGCCTATTTGATTCTGAAGCTTAAGTTTTTCCCATAGCAGTAAGTTACAGCATTCTGGGGGGTCTTTATACTCCCAGGGCCCTATCTTTCCCCTTTGTTGGTAAAAGCTGTAGTAAAATTTACAAACAGGAAAGTGAACATGTATCATAAGTGTACAGTTTGATGAATCTTTCAGATGAACAACACGCCCACGAATCAGCTTTCAGATCAAGAATGAAACACCATCAACTTCCCCAAAAGTTCCCACCCAATCATGAATCCCCACATCCAGGGCAACCAGTATCCTGACTTCTACCATAGGTCACTTTTGCCTCTTTCTGTATTTCATACACAGGGACTCATACAGTCTTCTGTGCCTGACTTATTTCCCTCAATATTATGCTTGTGAGATTCATTTATAATAGTGCATGTCATCGAATGGTGTTCATTCTCATTGCTATTATAGTATTCCAGTATACAAATATACAGTTTTCCATTCTTTTGTTGCTGAGACATTAAGCAATTTCTTGCTTGGGCTTTGTAGTAGACAGAATAATGGCTCCCCAAAGATGTCCATGTCCTCATTCCTGGGAATATGTTACCTTACATGGTAAAAAGGACTTTGCAAATGTGATTAAGTTAGGGATCTTGAGATGAGGAGATTTTCCTGGATTATCCAGGCCTGGAAATATAATCATGAGTCCTTATAAGAGGGAGGTGGGAGAGTCAAATTCAGAGAGGAGATAGGATGATGGAAGCAGATGTTAGAGGGATGCATTTTGAAGACGGAGAAAGGGGCCAAAATATAAAGATGGCAGTTGGCTTCTAGAAGCAGGAAAAGGCAAGGAAATAGATTCACTCTTAGCTCCTCCAGAGGGAGTGTAGCTCACTGACACCTTGATTTTAACCCATAAGATTCATTTTGGACTTCTGACCTAAAAACTATAAGATAATAAATTTGTGTTGTTTTCAACCACCAAGTTTGTGGTAATTTGTGAAGCAGGAGAAGGAAACTAATACAGTGCTCCTATGGAGACTGCCACTGTGAAAATTATAATACTTGTATTTTGGTAGAAATACAACCATAATACTGTTGAGTGTCTCCCTGGGAGGGAGACTGCTGAGTCATAGGATATGCACATTTAAGCTTTACTTGACAATGTCGAATCAGTTTCCAAAGTGTTTATACTAATATATACCCCCATTAGGAGTGATGCGAGTTCTGGTTACTCTACGTCTTTGCCAATATTTGGTTTGTCTTTTTTTCATTTTAGAAATTCTGGGAGTGTGTAGTGGTATCACTTTGTGGTTTTAATTTGCATTTCTGTGATGACTAATGAGTTTGGGTACTTTCATGTGTTTATTGGCCATTTGAATATTCTTTTTTTGAGAAGTGTTTGTTCAAGTCTTCTGCCTCCTTTTTTCCCTGACTGGTTATCTGTCTGTTGTGATTATTTTGACTATACAATTCCATTCAGATCTGCTCTCCTGAAACTGTACCCTATACTTCAAAATTACCTTTCCCTGTTCTTTTCCATTCTTCTAACTCCCATTTCTTCAATCGCCTTAAGGGAAACACATCATAAGCTGATTCAGACCTAGACATGACTCACTGTTAGCAGTTTGTAATTACCCCTTTGAGAGCTTTGCAATTTTGAAAAAGGCTTTTTGGTTTAATTTCTTGACTGAACCAGCATTTGTGCATCCTCCCTTAACTTGGGCCTCCATGGCAAGACCCAGCAACTCTTCCATTTAAAGCTACTTGCGACTTTCCACCTACAAGGAAAGTCAGCCTCATAGCCTCTCTTCTCTGCAGCCATCTTTGGCTGTTAACAGCTCGGTGGATTATGGAGTTCACGATTAGTGGGAAAACACCAACATAATTGTAATCCTTCAGTTTATTCCAAGGATGTGCTATTCCTTGTGTTGACTTTCAAGGAGGAAATCTTAAAACACAGCAACACACTTAAGTATAATACATGAATATGTAATATACATACTACATGAATGTTATATACATAAGTATTTTATTGTTTATTCTGCAGTTCTATCAATTTTAGCACGTGTACAGATTCATCTAACTATTGCACAAGTAGAATACAGAATAATTCCATTATCCCAAACAACTCTCTTGTGCAAGCCTTTTGAAAGGATATTCTCTCCAACCTGTAACCCGTGGCAACCACGGAACTGCTCTCTATAGCTTTTTGTCTTTTTGAAAATTTTATATAAATGGAATTTTACAGTATGTAATCTTTTGAAACTGGTTTCTTTCAGTCAGCATAATACCTTTGAAATTCATCCAAGTTGTGTTTTCAATAGTTTGTTTCTCTTTATTCTTCCTTTTACCATTCCTTCTTATTGTTCCATTCCATCATGTGGATGTACTAACAGTTTATCTATTTACCTGTTGAAGGACGTTTGGATTCTTTCCAATTTTTGGCAATTATGAACAAAGCTGCTATAAACTTTTGTGTATACGTTGTCGTGTGAACATAAGTTTTCATTTCTCTAGGGTAAATACCCTTGAATGATATTTCTAGGTCATATGGTAAACGTATGTTTCACTTTATAAGAAATTGTCAAACCGTTTTCAGAATGGCTGTGGTAATTTACACTATCACCAGTAATATATGAGAGTTCCAGTTACTCTGCATCCTAATCAGCACTTGGTATTGTCAGTGTTTTTTATTTTAGCCATTCTAACAAGTAGAGGTAACTCTTTATGATTTTAATGTAAATTTTCCTAGTCACTAATGATGTTTAACATCTTTTGTGTGGTTATTTGCCATTTTTGTATCCTCTTTGGTGAGTATCTGTTCATTTTGCTTATTTAAAAAAATTGAGTTGTCTGTTTTCTTAGTGATAAGTTTCGAGAGTTCTTTATGGATTCTGGATATACATACTTTGTTACATATATGACTTGCAAATATTTTCTTCCGGTTTGTTGCTTACATTTTACTCCTCTTAGAAGTGACTTTTGCCAAGCAAATATCTTCAATTTTGATGAAGACTAGTTTATCAATTTTTTTCCTTTATGGATGTGCTTCTGGTGTCATGATTAAAAAAGCTTTCCTTATCCCTAGGCTATAAGGGCTTTCTACGATGTTTTTCTTTTGGAAGTTTTATAGATTTACATTTTATTTATATCTATGATTTGTTTTAGTTAATTTTTGGATGACATGTGAGGTGAGGTTTAGGTTGAAGTTTATTATTTTTTTGCTTATGGACATCCAGTTGTTCCAAGATCATTTGCTGAAAAGAGTATCATATTTTTTCCCATTGGATTGCTTTTATACTTTTGTCAAAACAGTGTGTATTTGTGTGGCTGTTTCTGGAATCCCCATCTTTTTTTCCATTGATATATGTGTCTATCCTTTCACACTTTATTCTCTTGATTATTGTGGCTTTATAGTAAGCCTTAAAATTGTGTAGCTGAACTCCTCTATTATTAATCTTCTTTTTCAAAATTATTTTAGCTATTCTAGTTTTTGCCTTGCTATATCCATTTTAATGTCATCTTGTCTAAAGGTTAAAAAAATCCTGCTGGGATTTTGATTAGAATTGAATTAAACCTATGGATTAACTTGAGGAGAATTGATATCTTTACTATGTTGAGTCTTCCAATCCATGAACAAAATATGTCTCTCTCTTTCTTTTCTGATTTATTTGATCAGCATTTTGTAGTTTCTTGCATAAGATTTTGTATATGTTTTGTTAGATTTTTTTCCTAAGTATTTAATTTTTTGGAGTTATTATAAATATTATTTTTGAAAATTTTGGTTTCCAATTTTGTGTTGCTAGTATATAAAAATAGGATTGATTTTTGAGTGTTGACCTTTCATCCTGTGACCTTGCTAAACTCACTTAGTAGTTTAAGGAAATTTATGTATATATTTGATATATATATTATATATAATATTTATATGTATAAAATATATATATTATATATATATTTCTGGAGATTTTCTGTTTATACACTCTATCTCATCTGTGAATAGGGACAGTTTTATTTCTTCTTCTCCAATCTGTGTGCTTTATTCTTTTTCTTGTATTATTTCACTGGCTAAGACTTCTAGTACAATTTTTGAATAGGAGTGGTAAGAGTGAAAATTCTTGTTTTGTTCCCAAAGTAGGAAAAGTATTTGGTCTTTCACCATTAAGTATAATGTTAGCTATAGGTTTTTAATAGATTTTTTTTCTTTTTTTTGAGACAGAGTCTCACTCTGTTTCCCAGGCTAGAGTGCAGTGGCGTGATCTTGGCTCACTGCAACCTCTGCCTCCTGAGTTCAAGAGATTCTCATGCCTCAGCCTCCTGAGTAGCTGGGATTATAGGTGTGCACCACCATGACCAGCTAATTTTTGTAATTTTAGTAGAGACAGGGTTTCACCATTTTGTCCAGGCTGGTCTTAAACTCCTGGCCTCTGCCTCCCAAATTACTGGGATTACAGGCTATTTTTTTAATAGCTCTTGTTACCAGGTTGAGAAAATGATTTCTGTTTCTTCTTGTTGAGTTTTTTAAAATCATGAATAGATGTTAAATTTTGTCAAATGCTTTTTCTGCATCAGTTAACTCAATCATGTTAAAATCCCCTTTAGATAGTTAGATTTACACTGTGATTTATGATAGATTTACACTGATTTTCAAATATTGAGTCAGCCTTCCATTGCCAGGACAAACATCACTTGGTCATGTTATATTATTCTTTTTGTATATCACTGCATTCAATTTGCTGACATTTTGTGGAGAATTTTTGCATTTCTGTCCATAAGGGTTATTGGTCTATGGTCTTCT
Organism: Homo sapiens; assembly: GCF_000001405.40. Lineage (NCBI taxonomy): Eukaryota > Metazoa > Chordata > Mammalia > Primates > Hominidae > Homo > Homo sapiens. The sequence goes on along the minus strand of NC_000008.11, from coordinate 116,420,819 downwards.
TTTGTACTGTTTTTGTTTTGTAATAGTATCAGAGTAATAGTGGCCTCATAAAATGTACTGGGAAGCATTTCCTCTATATTCTGAAACAGTTAGTGTAGAGATGGAATACGGTAGAATTCAGCAGTGAAACCACCTGGGCCTGGAAATTCATTTTTCGAAGATTGCTTTTATTATGGATTAAATTTCTCTTATTGTTATAGAACTAGTCATGTTACTTATTTCGTCTTAAGTAGACTTTGATAGTTTGTGGTTTTGAGGAATTGATCCCTTTTATATATGTTGGCAAATTTATGTGCATGGAGTTGTTCATAATAGCCCTCACTTTCTTTTTAATGGCCATGGGGTCTATAGTGATAGCTCTCCATTTATTTCTGATACTAGTGATTTGTATTTCTCTCCTTTTTTCTTTGTTAGTCTTGGTAGAGGTTGATCAATCTTGCTTTTCAAATGAGCAGCTCTTGATTTCATGTATTTTTGTCTATTAGTTTCTGGTTTTTAATTTCATTATTTTTCTCCTTCTGCTTTGTTTTCTATTATTTTAAGGTGTAAGCTTATATTGTTTATTTGTAACCTTTATTTTTTTCCTAACAGAAGCATTTAATGCTATAAGTTTCTCTCTAAGCACTGTTTTAGGTACATCACAGAAATTTTGATATGCTGTAGTTTTATTTTTATTCAGTTCAAAATATTTTCTAATTTTTCCAATTTTCTTTAGACTCCTGTTTTGAACTATGGATTATTTAGAAGTGTGCTGTTTAATTTCTAAGTGTGTAAAGATTTTCTTTTTATGTTTCCTTTATTTCTAGTGTAAGGCTTCAGTTGTGATCTGAGGACATGCCTTGTGTTATTTAAGTTTGTTAAGATTTGTTTTATGACTCAGGATATTTCCTATCTTGGTGAATGCTCCATGTAACTTGAAAAAACAAGACTCTGCTGCTGTTTGGTGTAGTTCCATACATACTTGATCCAGTAAATTGATGGTGTTCAGTTCTGTATCCTTGATGGCTTTTTAACCATTAGTTCTATTTTCTACTGAGAGAAGAGCATTGAATTCTCCAGGTATAATTGTGGATTCATCTATTTTTTAGTTTAGTTTTGCCAGTTTTTGCTTCATGTATTTTGCAGCTTTGTTCCATGCATATAGATTTAGAATTGTTATGTCTTCTGGGTGAATTAACCATTTTATAATCGTTTAATGTCTCTATAATTTGACTTAATCTTTCTATCTGCATTTGGAATTCAAGAAAAATAAGGCTGTGGCATCATGGATTCTTTATTGTAGACTTAGTCCTGATTGTATTTTGCTCTTTCTATAATGTTAAATTGTAAAGGTCTTGACTCTTCTAATATTAATCGAACCAATATCATCTGTTTAGCCATATCTTAAACGCAGAAAAGTTAGAAGAATTTGTCATTGAGAAATTTTCAGTCCAGTGAAGTCATATTTTGCTAGAGTAAATGGATTTCTGCTTTTTCTTTTAAAGTCTGTGGTAATAATTGTCTGTTTTTGAAAGGCTTAGTTTCAGTTCATGGTTTCTGAGTGGATGAAGATTTTTCATAGGATCATTGTCCAAGAGTTCTCTCTGTTTTGGTTTTTCTCCATCTCATAGATAGACACAGTTTCTAAGAGATGGAGGAAACCTATCCATGATACAGCAGGCTAAAGAAGATGAACACAGACAGAAAGAGACTTGTGGCAGTGAGGGAAACCAAATTTTCAAAAGGATTTTTCCCTTTCTCCAGCAGCCTTAAGATTTGGTCACTCAGGCCACTGCACTTCTGATAGACTAATTATCTGATGGGTTGTGGCAAATACAATAGTCTCTAGCTTGTTTCACTTAAGCTGAGCCTTTGCAGTGAAAATGACATGGTGCCAATTGTCTCTGAAACAACCTTTCCTTGTTCCCAGTCTGCCTCTGAAGCAGGAAATGACCATTCTGGAGAGTAACACGGAGAAGTAGCAAGAGGTTAGGAAGGTAGAAGAAAGGGCAAAAGTCCCTGAAAGCATTTCTCTTGCTTCTTCTTATATATGTCAAGTTAATTATGCTTCAACTGAAATAATAGATGGTCACCAAATTGAACACCACCCTGAAATTCATTCTCAGCATTAAACTACCATAGATTAACTGCTTAAATTGTGAGCTTTAGTTTACAGAATCAGCACAGTCCTTGAATGAATTATGGACTTGTATTCACTCCAGAACTATCTATTACCCACCACATAACAGAAAATGCCATTTATTGCAATTTGTGCAAACTATACATCAATACATTATTACTTAGAAGCATGTAAGTTGTGGCTGTACTGCATACTCCTGCATTTGGTAATGATGTGTGTGTTGGGTGTTGGGGGAAGACTAGGCACATATTTTGTTTTTTCAAGTCTCCGTTTGAGTACCTGTAAAAATTCCTAAGAGAGGTAAGGCTGCTGTCTCTTTATGTTGCAAAGTGGTATCTCTGTTCATATGTTCCTGTGGGTCTCAGATACTGACCAATCTCAGATAGTCAACTTTTGAATGTAGTATTAAATTGGAGGAATTGATTGAGCACAATTTAGAAGGTGTTAGAATCCTCTCGCAAAGGTTCCAACCCTGGATGTCCATTGGAGTTGCCTAAGAAGTAGAAAATACGTATGCTTATGAAAAACTCCAAGCCATTCCAATCAAAACTTTAGGGTGATGCTCAGACACTAGAATTTTTAAAAAGTCATTCAGATAAGTTTAATGTGCTTCTTGGGTTAATCATCTTTGCTATACAGAAGAGGAAGAGGAAGAAAACAGAAAATGTAAAGAGAGGCTAGTTATTGGCTGTAATTTTTTCAAATCAAAGAGTAAATGCATATTGAGTATTTCAGATAGAAGTAAATCCATGGCATGCTGCTTAGAGTATTTCTGAGAATACTCTGAGGACTGAAAAAAGATAAAATTAAGTGTTCCTGACACAAAGTAAACATTTAATAAATCCTTATTGTTTTCCCTTAAACATGCCTACTGACAGAGACTTATCATGTACTGATAAGCATACTCAGCCTTGCACAAAACTTTGTCCCTTTGCTTGATTCTTATTCCCTGCTTCCCGACTCTTCCACATCCTGGCATACTGAGAGAAGGATATTTTACCTGCATGCTGCAGTGAACAGCTGAGACCACTGCTCAGCTGCCCTGAAGTCTGAGGGGTCAATATCTGGTGGGAAACTGATCTGGCTTCTTGTCTCTGGAAGACTGGAAAGTTTGCAAGAGTTGCTGGATATTTCTTGCCTACTGTATACCTCTCAAGACTATTTTCATTTTATGCACAACAGCAAGGCACACGAAACCACCAAGATGGCTGTCAGGATTGTCAGGTAATAAAAAGAGCTACAGTTTGTCAAGTGACTATGAAGTGCCATTTACTATGCTAAACGGCTTAGCACATATCAGCTCCTTTCATTACTCTTACCACCTTGTAACGTAGGCATATTTATTCCTATTTTCCATTTTCCAGATAAGGAACCTAAGATAGGAGGGAAGTTATTTGCCACAGCAGTACTCCTAATCATGATTCTGTGCCACCCCAAAGTATCTCAGCATTTCTGTTCTAGTCACTCTCTATTTCTAGTCAATCCTTCCTGGATTTGCCAGTAGCAGTGGCCAGTGGAATACTCCTGAAAGGAATATTCCACCCCAGATTTTAGCAACCTGGAGCCCCTCTCCTCCTCATTCGTGATTCAGATCCTGCCTCCTTTCTGACCTTCCCTGACCACCACGTTGGTCTTCTTCATTTCAGACCTTGGAATCCTGTAGCATTTGGATTTGTAATTTGTAATCTGCTCTGTTGCACAGACCCTTTCTGCTCCATGTGGTTACTACGTGTTTGTGTGTTTTTGTGTGTGTGTGCATGTGTATGTGGGTGTATGTTTTTCATTTTCCCAAATAGTTTATAACTATCTCGATAGCAGGTCTGTGTCTCATGCATCTGTGTTTCTCCATGGACACCTTAACTATAAAAAGGCTCACTATATACTGGTAATCAATTGATTTTCAGAAGTTTTCAACAAATGTTCCCCTTGAGGATTGGAATGAAACATAAGTAATCAATGTAGTGTAGTGGAAAGGGAGACAGTTTGAGATAAGGTAGACCTGGGTTTGAGTCCTGACTCTGCCGTTTACCAGTTGTGTGTCAATAGGCAAGTTAAATATAATAATTCTCAGAACCTCTGTTTTCTCTTCTGTAAAATGGTACAATAGTATTACCGTGTTGAAAAATCCTGAGGCTTACAGTAATGCACATAAAATATCTAACCCAGTGCCTGAAACATGTCCTTAGGAAATGACAGCTCTTTTATTGGCTGCTGTTAGAAATTTTTTTCTTTTTTTCTTCTTTTTTTTTTAATTATACTTTAAGTTCTAGGGTACATGTACACAATGTGCAGGTTTGTTATATATGTATACATGTTCCATGTTGGTTTGCTGCACCCATTAACTTGTCATTTACATTAGGTATCTCTCCTAATGCTATCCCTCTCCCCTCTCCCCACCCCAAGACAAGCCCCAGTGTGTGATGTTCCCCACCCTGTGTCCAAGTATTCTCATTGTTCAATTCCCACCTATGAGTGAGAACATGCAGTGTTTGGTTTTCTGTCCTTGTGACAGTTTGCTCAGAATGATGGTTTCCAGCTTCATCCATGTCCCTGCAAAGGACATGAACTCATCCTTTTTTATGGCTGCATAATATTCCATGGTGTATATGTGCCTCATTTTCTTAATCCAGTCTATCATTGATGGACATTTGGGTTGGTTCCAAGTCTTTGCTATTGTGAATAGTGCCACAATAAACATACCTGTGCATGTGTCTTTATAGCAGCATGATTTATAATATTTATACCCAGTAATGGGATGGCTGGGTCAAATGGTATTCCTAGTTCTAGATCCTTGAGGAATCGCAACACTGTCTTCCACAATGGTTGAACTAGTTTACACTCCCACCAACAGTGTAAAAGCGTTCCTATTTCTCCACATCCTCTACAGCACCTGTTGTTTCCTGACTTTTTAATGATCGCCATTCTAACTGGTGTGAGATGGTATCTCATTGTGGTTTTGATTTGCATTTCTCTGATGGCCAGTGATGATGAGCATTTTTTCATGTGTCTGTTGGCTGCATAAATGTCTTCTTTTGAAAAGTGTCTGTTCATATCCTTCACCCACTTTTTGATGGAGTTGTTTGATTTTTTCTTGTAAATTTGTTTAAGTTCTTTGTAGATTCTGGATATTAGCCCTTTGTCAGGTGGGTAGATTGTAAAAATTTTCTCCCATTCTGTAGGTTGCCTGTTCCCTCTGATGGTGGTTTCTTTTGCTGTGCAGAAGCTTTTTAGTTTAATTAGATCTCATTTGTCAATTTTGGCTTTTGTTGTCATTGCTTTTGGTGTTTTAGTCATGAAGTCCTTGCCCATGCCTATGTCCTGAATGGTGTTGCCTAGGTTTTCTTTTAGGTTTTAATGGTTTTAGGTCTAACATGTAAGTCTTTAATCCATCTTGAATTAATTTTTGTATAAGGTGTAAGGAAGGGATCCAGTTTCAGCTTTCTACATATGGCTAGCCAGTTTTCCCAACACCATTTATTAAACAGGGAATCCTTTCCCCATTTCTTGTTTTTGTCAGGTTTGTCAAAGATCAGATGGTTGTAGATGTGTGGTATTATTTCTGAGGCCTCTGTTCTGTTCCATTGGTCTATATCTCTGTTTTGGTACCAGTACCATGCTGTTTTGGTTACTGTAGCCATGTAGTATAGTTTGAAGTCAGGTAGTGTGATGCCTCTAGCTTTGTTCTTTTGGCTTAGGATTGACTTGGCAATGTGGGCTCTTTTTTGGTTCCATGTAAACTTTAAAGTAGTTTTTTCCAATTCTGTGAAGAAAGTCATTGGTAGCTTTATGGGGATGGCATTGAATCTATAAATTACCATGGGCAGTATGGCCATTTTCATGATATTGATTCTTCCTATCCATGAGCATGGAATGTTCTTCCATTTGTTTGTGTCCTCTTTTATTTTGTTGAGCAGTGGTTTGTAGTTCTCCTTGAAGAGATCCTTCACATTCCTTGTAAGCTGGATTCCTAGGTATTTTATTCTCTTTGAAGCAATTGTGAATGGGAGTTCACTCGTGATTTGGCTCTCTGTCTGTTATTGGTGTATAAGAATGCTTGTGATTTTTGCACATTGATTTTGTATCCTGAGACTTTGCGGAAGTTGCTTATCAGCTTAAGGAGATTCTGGGCTGAGACGATGGGGTTTTCTAAATATACAATCATGTCATCTGCAAACAGGGACAATTTGACTTCCTCTTTTCCTAACTGAATACTCTTTATTTCTTTCTCCTGCCTGATTGCCCTGGCAGAACTTCCAACACTATGTTGAATAGGAGTGGTGAGAGAGGGCATCCCTGTCTTGTGCCATTTTTCAAAGGGAATTCTTCCAGTTTTTGCCCATTCAGTATGATATTGGCTGTGGGTTTGTCGTAAATAGCGCTTATTATTTTGAGATATGTTCCATCAATACCTAGTTTATTGAGAATTTTTAGAATGAATAGCTGTTGAATTTTGTCACAGGGCTTTTCTGCATCTATTGAGATAATCATGTGGTTTTTGTTGTTGGTTCTGTTTATGTGATTGATTATGTTTACTGATTTGCGTATGTTGAACAAGCCTTGCATCCCAGGGATGAAACTGACGTGATCATGGTGGATAAGCTTTTTGATGTGCTGCTGGATTCGGTTTGCCAGTATTTTATTGAGGATTTTTGCATTGATGTTCATCAGGAATATTGGTCTAAAGTTTTCTTTTTTTGTTGTATCTCTGCCAGGCTTTGGTATCAGGATGATGCTGGCTTCATAAAATGAGTTAGGGAGGATTCCCTCTTTTTCGGTTGATTGAAATAGTTTCAGAAGGAATGGTACCAGCTCCTCTTTGTACCTCTGGTAGAATTTGACTGTGAATCCTTCTGGTCCTGGACTGTTTTTGGTTGGTAGGCTATTAATTATTGCCTCACTTTCAGAACCTGTTATTGGTCTATTCAGAGATTCAGCTTCTTCCTGGTTTAGTCTGGGGAGGTGTATGTGTCCAGGAATTTATCCATTTCTTCTAGATTTTCTAGTTTATTTGTATAGAGGTGTTTATAGTATTGTCTGATGGTAGTTTGTATTTCTGTGGGATCGGTGGTAACATCTGCTTTATCATTTTTTATTGTGTCTATTTGATTCTTCTCTCTTTTCTTCTTTATTAGTCTTGCTAGCGGTCTATCAATTTTGTTGATCTTTTCAAAAAACCAGCTCCTGGATTCATTGATTTTTTTTGAAGCGTTTTTTTGTGTCTCTATCTCCTTCAGTTCTTCTCTGATCTTAGTTATTTCTTGCCTTCTGCTAGCTTTTGAATGTGTCTGCTCTTGCTTCTCTTGTTCTTTTAATTGTGATGTTACGGTGTCAATTTTAGATCTTTGCTGCTTTCTCTTGTGGGCATTTAGTGCTATAAATTTCCCTCTACACACTGCTTTAAATGTGTCCCAGAGATTCTGGTATGTGGTGTCTTTGTTCTCATTGGTTTCAAAGAACATCTTTATTTCTGCCTTCATTTTGCTATGTACCCAGTAGTCATTCAGGAGCAGGTTGTTCAAATTCCATGTAATTGAGCGGTTTTGAGTGAGTTTCTTAATCCTGAGTTCTAGTTTGATTGCACTGTGGTCTGAGAGACAGTTTGTTTTAATTTCTGCTCTTTTACATTTGCTGAGGAGTGCTTTACTTCCAACTATGTGGTCAATTTTGGAATAAGTGCGATGTGGTGCTGAGAAGAATGTATATTCTGTTGATTTGGGGTGGCGAGTTCTGTAGATGTCTATTAGGTCTGCTTGGTGCAAGTCCTGAATATCCTTGTTAACTTTATATCTCGTTGATCTGTCTAATGTTGACAGTGGGGTGTTAAAGTCTCCCATTATTATTGTGTGGGAGTCTAAGTCTCTTTGTAGGTCTCTAAGGGCTTGCTTTATGAATCTGGGTGCTCCTATATTGGATGCATATATATTTAGGATAGTTAGCTCGTCTCGTTGAATTGATCCCTTTACCATTATGTAATGGCCTTCATTGTCTCTTTTGATCTTTGTTGGTTTAAAGTCTGTTTTATCAGACACTAGGATTGCAACCCCTGCTTTTTTTTTGTTTTCCATTGTTTGGTAGATCTTCCTCCATCCCTTTATTTTTAGCCTATGTGTGTCTCTGCATGTGAAATGGTTCTCCCGAATACAGCACACTGATGGGTCTTTACTGTTTATCCAGTTTGGCAGTCTGTGTCTTCTAATTGGAGCTTTTAGCCCATTTACATTTAAGGTAAATATTGTTATGTGTGAATTTTATCCTGTCATTATGATGTTAGCTGGTTATTTTGCTCATTAGTTGATGCAGTTTCTTCCTAGCATTGTTGGTCTTTACAATTTGGCATGTTTTTGCAGTGGCTGGTACTGGTTGTTCCTTTCCATGTTTAGTGCTTCCTTCAGGAGCTCTTATAAGGCAGGCCTGGTGGTGACAGTATCTCTCAGCATTTGCTTGTCTGTAAAGGATTTTATTTCTCCTTCACTTACAAAGCTTAGTTTGTCTGGATATGAAATTCTGGGTTGAAAATTCTTTTCTTTAAGAATGTTGAATATTGGCCCCCACTCTCTTCTGGCTTGTAGAGTTTCTGCCAAGAGATCTGCTGTTAGTCTGATGGGCTTCCCTTTGTGGATAACCCGATGTTTCTCTCTGGCTGCCCTTAACATTTTTTCCTTCATTTCAACTTTGGTGAATCTGACAATTATGTGTCTTGGAGTTGCTCTTCTCAAGGAGTATCTTTGTGACATTCTCTGTATTTCCTGAATTTGAATGTTGCCCTGCCTTGCTGAGTTGTGGAAGTTCTCCTCGATTGTATCCTGAAGAATGTTTCCCAACTTGTTTCCATTCTACCCGTCACTTTCAGGTACACCAATCAAACGTAGATTTGGTCTTTTCACTTAGTCCCATATTTCTTGGAGGCTTTATTCGTTTCTTTTTACTCTTTTTTCTCTGAACTTCTCTTCTTGCTTCATTTCATTCATTTGATCTTCAATCACTGATACCCTTTCTTCCACTTGATCGAATTGGCTACTGAAGCTTGTGCATGTGTCAGGCAGTTCTCGTGCCATGGTTTTCAGCTCCATCAGGTCATTTAAGGTCTTCTCTATGCTGTTTATTCTAGTTAGCCTTTCGTCTAATCTTTTTTCAAGGTTTTTAGCTTCTTTGCGATGGATTCGTACATCCTCCTTTAGCTCTGAGAAGTTTGTTATTACGGATCATCTGAAACCTTCTTCTCTCAACTCGTTAAAGTCATTGTCCATCCAGGTTTATTCCGTTGCTGGTGAGGAGTTGCATTCCTTTGGAGGAGAAGAAACGCTCTCTGATTTTTGAATTTTCAGCTTTTCTGCTCTGTTTTCTCCCCATCTTTGTGTTTTTATCTACGTTTTGTCTTTGATGATGGTGATGTACAGATGGGATTTTGGTGTGGATGTCCTTTCTGTTTGTTAGTTTTCCTTCCAACAGTTGGGACCCTCAGCTGCAGGTCTGTTGGAGTTTGCTGGAGGTCCACTCCAGACCCTGTTTGCCTGGGTTTCACCAGCGGAGGCTGCAGAACAGCAAATATTGCAGAACAGCAAATGTTGCTGTCAGATCCTTCCTCTGGAAGCTTCGTCTCAGAGGGGCACCTGACTGTATGAGGTGTCAGTCAGCCCCTACTGGGAGGTGTCTCCCAGTTAGGCTACTCGGGGGTCAGGGACCCATTTGAGGAGGCAGTCTGTCCATTCTCAGATCTCAAAGGCCATGCTGGGAGAACCACTACTCTCTTCAAAGCTGTCAGACAGGGACTTTTAAGTCTGCAGAAGTTTATGCTGCCTTTTGTTTGGCTATGGCCTGCCCCCAGAGGTGGAGTCTACAGAGGTAGGCAGGCCTCCTGGAGCTGCGGTGGGCTCCATCCAGTTCAAGCTTCCCGGCTGCTTTGTTTACCTACTCAAGCCTCAGCAATAGCAGATGCCCCTCCCCCAGCCTCGCTGCCACCTTGCTGTTCGACCTCAGACTGCTGTGCTAGCAATGAGCGAGGCTCCATGGGCGTGGGACCCTCGGAGCCAGGTGTGGGATATCATCTCCTGGTGTGCCGTTTGCTAAGACTATTGGAAAAGTGCTATTAGGGTGGGAGTGTCCCAATTTTCCAGGTACTGTCTGTCATGGCTTCCCTTGGCTAGGAAAGGGAATTCCCCAACCCCTTGCACTTCCTGGGTGAGGCGATGCCCTGCCCTGCTTCAGTTGACACTCTGAGGGCTGCACCCACTGTCCGAGAAGCCCCAGTAAGATGAACCTGGTACCTCAGTTGGAAAAGCAGAAATCTCCCGTCTTCTTCATCGCTCACACTGGGAGCTGTAGACTGGAGGGGTTCCTATTCAGCCATCTTGGAACCTCCCTCAGAAATTTTTTCTAATGTAACATTTGAAGGAAAATATCAGGATAGGTTCTTTTATAGTGAGTTCTCTTTGTATCCTTATAATTTATACCCTGGTTGGGGACGATTGTTGGGAGACTTACAGGGGGCAGATAGCAGAACCAGTGAGTAAGAGGCATAGGCTAGAGGTTGCAGGGTATGTTATTAGGTGAGGTCCACTCAGTTACAAAAACTCATCCAGGCAGTCAGTTGGATGGAGCATCATAATAAGAGCACTGGGCAAGGAGTCAAGGCAGCTAGATTTACTGCTTGACTCTGTTGCAAACCAGCTATGTGACTATGCCCAGCAGCCAAACCCAAGTATCAGACTGGGTCCAGTCAGTTTGGGACCCTCTTTCCTTTTAAGTCTGCCTGAAGGGGCTTACCTCATTTGTTCTCAAAGACAACTGACAAAACTCATTGAGAATGAATGAACCGCCCACCCCCCCACTCATGGAACAATAATTATGCAATGTTTACTAGAGTTAACCTAAATAAAATTCTAGCTTTTTTTTTTTTTTTTTTTGGTGACAGAGTCTCACTCTGTCTCCCAGGCTGGAGTGCAGTGGCTCAATTTTGGCACACTGCAATCTCCATAAAACTACCGGTTCTACTTAAACTCCCTGGTTCAAGTGATTCTCCTGCCTCAGCCTCTCAAGTAGCTGGGATTACAGGCACCTGCCACCATTTCCAGCTAATTTTTATATTTTTAGTAGACATGGAGTTTCGCCATGTTGGCCAGGCTGGTCTCGAACTCCTGACCTCAGGTGATCTGCCTGCCTCGGCCTCCCAAACTGCTGGGATTACAGACATAAGCCCCCACACCCTGCCACAAAATTCTATCTTTTGTCTTTGCACTTCACATCTTTCTCACCAATAACTGGAGAGTCTGTTTAATTTGTCATCCAAACCAAACCAAGACACTTCTTTTTTTTTTTTTTTTTTTTTTGAGGTGGAGTCTTGCTCTGTGGCCCAGGCTGCAGTGCAGTGGCATGATCTGGGCTCACTGCAACCTCCGCCTCCCGGGTTCAAGGGATTCTCCTGCCTCAGCCTCCCGAGTAGCTGGGACTCTGGGCGCGCGCCACCACGCCCAGCTAAATTTTTGTATTTTTAGTAGAGACAGGGTTTCACCGTGTTAGCCAGGATGGTCTCGATCTCCTGACCTTGTGATTCATCCGCCTTGGCCTCCCAAAGTGCTGGGATTACAGGCATGAGCCACCGCACCCGACCACCAAGACGCTTTTGAGAGTGGAAGGGCATGCTACTGCTACTGATGATAAACTGAGATTTTCCTGGACTAACCAGTATCTGTGGCCACACTGCCTCTTAACATTTTATTGCCCTTCCTTCTTGACCTAACCCCTCTGCTAGATGGTGCTATCCTGAGGGCAGGACAACATCTGATCTCTAGTCTTATCTTGGACACATTAAGTGCTCCATAGATGTTTGCTGAATGAAGGGATTCAATGGTGAACTAATTGGGAACACACTGGGTGACCCTGAGTTCACTTAAGTCTTTGTGCCTCTGGAAAATGGGAAGCACACTGATAATCTCCAAGGTCCTTCCAACTTGGAAGCCTGTGACTCTCCCCATCTCGGGCAGTTTCTGCTTCCACCCATCCTGTTGGATGACTGAGATGCACTCTGTGAGCATCCAAGAAAGCCCTGGCCCTTTGCTGGAGCTGATGGTGAGAAGACTGTCAGTGCCTGCCCCATCAGAGCCCTTGGAAAGATCTCATCACATCTCCAGGAGCCCAAAAGGCAGAAAGGAGGAAGAAATTAAGAAAGCTGTGTTTGTGCCTTTCTAATTTATGGTCATAAAAAAAAAAAGAGAGACATGGAGAGGAGGCTCAATGGTGCCAAGGTCGCAGAATAAATTGGTGACCTGACCTGGATAGGAAGAGGCTCAGACAGCTATTTACTTAGGGACCTCTTTCAACCTGAGCTGGGAGCTGAGCCCTAAGGAGTTCCTGAGCATGGCACAGGGTGGCATTTTTGTCAGCGGCAGCCCTTTCAGGGAACCATAACTGCAGTCATATTGAATCATGAACTAGATTAGCCACATTAGAGGTTTAGCTACAATATATTTCAAAGTTAAAACACAGGCTGTGGCAGTGGTATCAAAACCTGTAATTTCTGATGCAAATGAACGGCATGAAAAATGGCCCCTGGCTACTGGGACAGACAGAAGAATATGTGAGTGAAATAACATGGCAGTTATGTCAAAATTGGAAGAATAACTATATTCCAGAATAGTAAATTATTATCACGGCCTGACTGGTGGAGTAACCCATAAGGCAAGAGATTGTGTGTGTGTTTTTTTCTTTTTATACCTGGATAAAATTACATTGTCAATTTTGTTTAGTCCCTCTTTAAAACCTGAACATTCATTTTTGAAAATATGTGTGGAACATAAGGTGACATTTGGAAAAAAGCATAATTTTCAAAGAATACTGATCCCATTAGTTCTTATATTACAGATGCCAATGAATTTAACTTTTATAGTGTTGCTAACACATGGAAGACATAAAATGGACGTTCAGTTACCCAGGGTTTTCAACAACGTCTCAGGGAAGTACCTGAGCTTTATAAAATGTTTTGTGGGGGCACACTATGTTATCAGGTTTCATGGACATAAGGTCTGCAAGCAGAGTAGGAATAAGAAATCTCTACTTCAAGTCCTAGGCCCATTTCTTCTCATTGGCTGAACACCTTCATGCAACCTACATACTCATATTGAGCCAAACTTTTCTTTTCTTCAGAATAGGGATAATAATAGCTTCTTCACAGACTCATAAAGATTAAAAATTATAATATGGGTAAAGCATTCAACTTTACCCGTTGTATAGCTAGACGTTCTTTAAAGGAGAGCCGATATGATTATTATTGTTATTTAATCTTCTCTTATGTAGGATGTGCATCTTTAAAAATTTAGAGCTTAAGGATTGACTCAGAGGTTAAAGCAAGTAGGTGGGCTTAGCATTTTGTTTACATATTTAACATTTGCCCATGTTTCAATTGACTGACTGTGGGCTGTTTGTGTGTATAGTGAATTAGCTAACCCTTCTACGGGCAGCATTTTGAAGAATGTTTGACAAACTGATCTGATGGACAATACTAGTATATTTAATCTTCATTTATAAAAATATCATTTACTAAGTGTTACTGTTATTGAGACATAAAATCTACAATAACAGTAAGTCACAGCTTTTCTTCTTGCTAGCTGTGTGATGTGAGGCTAAGCCTCTATATGCTTCAGTTTTCTCATCTAGAAAATGAAAGTAATATTTACTAAATATTGTCTTAGGGATTAAACAAGGTAATGCACATGGATACTAGGCATGGTGTCCGTCACACAGTATGGCATGCATAAATAGTGGTTGTCATTTAAAAAGTTATGTGAGGCCCGAAATCATAATTCGATCAGAGGGCAGAAATATTTACAGGATTTCTCATTCATGGAAATCATGTAAATATGCAAATAGTTCCTAAAAAGTAATCATAGGAATGGATATAATTTCTGTGTAGAAGACAGAATTTTGCAGATAATTTTTGTGAGTGGATGGGATTATTTACTTGGTGTTCCAATACATTTCTTAGCTCCCAAAAACCATGGCAGAAAGGAAAACAAAATGGGACATTGTAAGTAATTAACTATACCATATTAACAAGAAATGAGACCAGCTGGCCAGCTAGTGGTTTTTGTTGTTGTTGTTGTTTGTTTGTTCACTCTACTATGTTGGCTACCAACAATTAGGTATGGTCTTCGGTTTATGTTATTGGCAACCTTAGTTCGATACAGTGCATTATAGTGTTCAAAGCATTTTTCACAACTGTTATTTCTGTAGGAAAGTGTGGGTATGAGGTGTGACTGGTATTGGTAAATGTGAGGAAAGCTAGTAAAAAATATTATGGCCTGAGTGAACATTTTTGTAGACCAATATATGTATATAGATATGGTTTGCTAACTGAGGATTTGAAAATGATCTGTTTTGTCATCCAATAATTTTGGTTGTGGGTCTCTTATTCCTTTTGTTAAAAACCCTCAAATTCAGCAATTTGCACTGGGTTTTTTCCTTGGTGAATATAATGCATTACCATAATTCAAGTCATATTCGGTTGACTCTGTGGTTTCAGGGAGCCCATACATTTCAAATTTATTTCCAAGGTCATGAAGCCATCCCCTGTGGCAAGTGCGAAATGCCTTTGATGTGGTGGGCACAACATCTGTGCAGACAGACACACTTAATTCATGCCGTGCTTTGATTTCACATTTTGGTTGAGAGGTAAGGGCTTTTGAACCCACGTACATTTAACATTAAGTCACATTAAACAATTAGGAAAATGGGGACCTCGGCAGTGGGGTAGATGGTACCCTAGCTATAAAATCTGTCCTGGAATACCTTTGCAAGGAAAAAGAAGGATTCCTGTATTGTTGTTATTGCCATCACCTTTGTTTACATGAATCAGGTCCTAAAATGCAACATATTCAATGCAGTATATACAATATTGACCTGCATAGCTCCTAAATCTGTGTCTCCTCCTGGTTTCCCCAAAACAATGAATGAGTAGCACCAATGTCCTCCCAGGTGACTGTGCCAGAGCCCTAGTGTCATTCTTAATATATTTCCCTCCTTCTCCCCCCATATCCAGTTGATTGCCGAGACTGACTAATCCTAAAGTTGCTCAAATTTCTCTATCACTGCTTTGTCTTCATCTCTCGCTTGGATAATTACCACTGTGTCCCAGATTTCCTTCTTGACTTCCAGGCTTGTTCCACTCCAATCCTTCTCTATTCTGTAGCCACGATGATATGGTTAAGCCACTTCCCTTCCTGAAGTATTTTAATGTTTTCCTGCTGCTCCATGGATAAAGAAGATCCAAGTTCTTTTTATCCGGCCTCCAAAACTCTTCCCAGATCTGAGAGAGCCTCCAGTGTTAGCACTCTCCACCTTGCATTCTGGGTCCATGCTCTTCTTTTTGAATGGAACACTCATTTTAGCTTCTTGCCTTGGCTAAATCCTATCTCTCTTTTAAGGTTTAGCTGAGATAGAATTATCACTGGAAAGTCTTCCATGACTGGCACCCTTAACTCCAAGCCAGAACTGAGTTATCAGATCCTCCCATGCACCCTGCCTTCCCTTCCTTCATAGAGCTCCTCACGCTGCATTCCATTCCCTCTGTCTTTGTCCACGTCTGCTGACTGTAAACTCCTCTGAGCTGTGATTAGTTCCTGTACCTAGCAGAGTGGCACATTTTCAGAGTTCAAAAAATATCTGTTAATAAATATATGATTTTTAAATCTCCCACCCTTTCTCCCTACAACTAAATACCAGACCTTGGTATAGGTTTATTTGTACATCTGAGTCAATGTTAGGCCCCTTTACAGCCCATTTCTATTAAAGACTCCTTTATAGAAATGTCAATGGAAAGCTAGAGCTTTTTTTGATATAATAAAACATTATTAAAGACACCAGAGCATGAAGTTCCATATCTAGTCTGCAGGTAGTGGAAATAGAGCAGAACTGATCTACAGCTTCTTGTAGAGAGTTAGCAAGTGTAAGGAAGTGCCGGGGATGCCAGCAGAGTGGAAAGGATGTTTTATGCACACATCCCTTGCCTTTTCCAAGTTTATGGATCTTTTCTGAATAGTAGTATTTAATTGGGTTATAAGGGAATTAATTTTCCATGTATACAAATAATTCTTAAGCATTGTCATTTATGCAAGGCTGAGTAGGCACTGCTGGGTCTATAAAGAAGATGGTTTCCGTTCTAGGCTGGGCGCAGTGGCTCACACCTGTAATCCTAGCACTTTGGGAGGCCAAGATGGGTGGATCACGAGGTCAGGAGTTCGAGACCAGCCTGGCCAATATGGTGAAACCCTGTCTCTACGAAAAATACAAAAACTAGCCAGGCATGGTGGTGCACGTCTGTAGTCCCAGCTACTCAGGAGGCTGAGGCAGGAGAATTGCTTGAACCCAGGAGGCAGAGGTTGCAGTGAGCCGAGATCATGCCACTGCACTACAGCCTGGGCAATAAAGGGAGACACCGTCTCAAAAAAAAAAAAAAAAAAGAAGAAGGAAAAAGAAAAAGAAGATGGTTTCCATTCTACAAGATCTTAGAAGATTGGGGTGACGAGATTTGAATAAAAGTATCAATTAGAAAAAGAGTCAAAATGAGATTTATTCAGATGGTTGTGGCAGTTGAGCAGGGAAGTGCTGACGGGAGGAGGTGCCACTTGGCGACAGAGCAAGAGAAGTATAAATTTCTCAACCACTGCTCCCCTACTGCCCTCCATAAAATGGAGGGAAATGGGCCCTGGAAGAAGCATGAACTTGGAGCCATGTGAATTTGTGACTCTGTCACTTCCTTGAGCTGTAGAACATTGGGAAAGCTGCTTAATCATGCTGATCCTAAATTTTCTTATTTAAAAAAATGGGGACAAGCCCACTTCATTAGATTATCAGTATATAAAACCATGTGAGTTAACATGACTCATGCAAAATTGTCTAACAGTGTAACAATGTATTTAAGCATCACGTCTCATAGTGGACAGGGATTGCTTTTATGTCTAGGGGTCAGAGGAACATGTTAGAGTGAAGCCAAGTTTTAAAAGGAAGGTTCAAATATGCACTAGGTTTTGCCCAGGATCCAGGAGGAAGCATTGTGTATAAAGAAGGTAAGCAGAATGGAGTGGTTACATAAGGGGGCTGGGGGCTGGGAGAGTATTTCTTTCTTTCTTTCTTTTTTTTTTTGTTTTTTTGAGACGGAGTCTTGTTCTGTCGCCAGGCTGGAGTGCAGTGGCGAGATCTCAGCTCACTGCAACCTCCGTCTCCCGGGTTCAAGCGATTCTCCTGCCTCAGCCTCCTGAATAGCTGGAATTACAGCATGTGTGCACCACGCCCAGCTAATTTTTGTGTTTTTGGTAGAGACAGGGTTTCACCATGTTGGCCAGGATGGTCTCAATCTCGACTTCGTGATCCGCCCGCCTCGGCCTCCCAAAGTGCTGGGATTACAGGCATGAGCCATGGGAGAGTATTTCTGGGGGCAATCAGGCATATGATGAAGAGGGCAGATGCCAAGTCAGGCACTACAGGGGTCATCTGGGAATCTAGGAAGAACATGAGCTCGTGTATTAAGAACTACCTATTGTTGTAGGCAAAATTCCAAAATGACTGCTGTTGACCTATGCCCTTATACAATCCCATCCTCTTGAATGCAGTGGGACTTGCAAGTATGATGGGATTTCTTTCCCATAATTATGTTATGTTATATGGTAAAATGGGTTTTGTAGGTGTAATTAAGTTCAACTAATCAGTTGATTTTGAATTTCTCAAAGGGAGAATATCCTGAGTGGGTCTGACTTAACCAGGTGGGCTGGTAAAAGAGACAAAAGGTAACAACAGATTCTCTTGCTGGAGTTGAAAAAGTCAGTTACTATGTTTTAAGATGAGAAGTCCACATGGCAAGAACGTGAGAATGGTCCCTGACTGACAGCCAGCAAGAAAACAGGGATCTTGGTCGTATAACTTCAAGCAAATGAATTCTTTCAATAACCAGTGAGCTTTGAAGGGATCTTGAATTTCAGATGAAATCACATCCTTGGGAAACATTTTGATTTTAGCCTAGTGAGACCTGGAGGACCTGGCTAACCCATACCCAGACTCCTGACCCAAGGAATCTGTGAGATAATAAATCTGTGTTGTTTTAGTGACTCAGTTTGTGGTGGTTTGTTCTGTGGGAATAGAAAATGAATACACATACTGTTTCTTGTCTACCCCAGCCTTTTGACTCTAGAGCCTTCTGATGACTCTTTAGTTACAGCCCCAGTCACATTATTTCATAATTTTGGTTTACAGCTGTGACTTTCCCTCTAGGATGTGAACTCTTCGTAAGAAGCTAGATGTAGTAGAGAAAACTTGTTCTTTGGAATCAAGGTGACCTATATTCTATACCTGGCTCCATCAATTAATAGTTGTGTGAATTTTGACAGTCTATTCAACTTCTCCAAACGTCAGTCCTCATTTGCAGAATGGCAACAACACTGCTTGACCAGTGGTTCTCAATTGGGGGTAATTATTTTTTTTGTTTTTTTGAGACGAAGTCTCACTGTGTCGCCCAGGCCGGAGTGCAGTGGCACAATCTCAGCTCACTGCAACCTCCTTTTCCTGGGTTCAGGTGATTCTCTCACCTTAGCCTCCTGAGTAGCAAGGATCACAGGCACGTACCACCACATCCAGCTAATTTTTCCACTGGGGGTAATTTTGCATTCCCTTGGGCTACATTTGGTAATCCTGGAGACATTCTTTGATTGTCCCAGCTAGGTAGAGGGGTGCTACTTGCATCTAGTAGACAGAAGCCAGGGATGCTGCTAAATACCCTATGGTACACAGGACACCTCTCTATTACAAAGATTTATCTGGCTTAAGTGTCAATAAGGCCAAGATTGAGAAATCCTTTAGTAGACTAAAAGAAATATTTTGAAGAATATAAAATGACTTTCACAGTATTTTATATTTTGTTGGAGGGATTGTAACTCCCTTATGAGGGCACCCTAAATTACTGGGGAAGAGGGTACTTTAATAAACAAAATGCATGTTTCCTCTCCTCACAAGATCCTGAATTTGTTTATCTGCCTCTTTCTCACTCCCTAAAATCATTGCATGCATTAAGGGATGTTACTAATAAGAGTTTCTTATGCAGGAAGAAATTTGAGAATCATTGGCTATAAAACATGGTCGCTACTGAATGATTCCCTTTCCCTTTTTGAGTTGTATGATTTTATCTAATCTTTAACACCTACCTGCGTGCCAATACATCAGGAATATGTTAATGCTTACTAAATGCCTGAATAGATGAATGTCCCTTTGAATAATTTTTTTGTAATTTATTACTTCTTCAGCATTTTGATTCTATTACACAGTATTTTGATAACACTATGATAAAAATGTAAAGTGAATGAAATTGCAATTGGAAACTGTTGCATGGGGTCATTGATTTAACATTATTAAGCCTTCTCTCAAGGAGGGATAATAACCTCTATCTCATAGGATTATAAGAATAAAAAGAAAGCTGGTAAGCTTCCCCCTTCTTTCAAGACTTAGCTCAAATCTCAGCTCTTTGGAAGGTGTTTAATAACATTCTTGGTGATAATGCTGTTCTCCTAAAGGAATTTTATTTATATGTCAATCATTACACATACCACATTGTGCTATAAATGTTTGTTTACCCTTCTGTTTCCTCCACTTGACACATGTACAGGTCATTTGTTTAATCAACATTTTTAATTTTGAGATCATTGTAAACTCAAATGTTTTTATTAAAAAATAGTACCAAGACCCTGTGTGTCTTCTACCCCCAGGTGTCTTCTTCCCTCAAAGGTAGTATCTTGCAAAACTATAAAGTATGAAACTTAGTTTGATGTTATTTTTTTGTTTGTTTTTGCTTATGAATTCCACTGTCTTATTTGTGGAAAAGACTTATTTCCTTCATTGAATTGCCTTTGCATCTCTGCCAAAAATCAGTTGGACTCATTTGTACAGGTTTATTTCTGGGTTCTCTATTCTGTTTCAGTCATCTATGTGTCCATCCTTCTGCTAATACCACAGAATCTTGATTACTTTTGCTCTATAAGTCTTCAAATCAGATAGGCTGATTTATCCTACTTTGTTCTTTTTAAAAATTGTTTTAAGAATTCTAATTCCCTTGACCTCTATATAAATCATATGTAATAATCTTTATATCTATAAAACATCTCGAAATGATAGTGATAGAAATTTCATGGATCTTTTGAGGAGAAATTCGTCTTTACTATGTTGTCTTTCAATACATAAACATGGCTGTATCTCCATTTACTTAGATCTTCCTTGTTTTATTTCACTAGCATTTTATAGTTTTCAGCATACAAGTCATATACATGTTTTGATAGATTTACATTTAAGTATCTTACTTTTTAAGCAATTATGAATGGTATTGTATTTTAATTTTGGTTTTTATGTTTTCATTGCTAATGTATACAAATAAAACTAATTTTTGTATGTTTATCTTATATCCTGCCACATTGTTGAAATAATGTTAATTTTAGGAATTAAAAAATTGGATTCCTTGGGGGTTTCTATGTAGACAATTATGCCATTTGCAAATAGAAGCAATATTATTTTTTATCTTCTGATATATATGCATTTTATTACCTTTTCTTGTCTCATTGCACTGGCTATAACATACAGCACTATGAATAAGAGTAGTGAAAGCAGATATCCTTGTCTGTTTCTTATCTTAGAGAGGTGTTCCTCAGTGGGCAGGTATATGCAAAACTACCCTCAAAGGTTGAGGGTGCTGAGAGGCTGGAGAAAGAAGCTGACAAATCCAGTTTTTCAGGAAGAAATATTTAATAGGAACTTACAAACATTGCAACCATGAGATGGTGGATCCCCACATCTGCTTTCTAGAATATATTCTTTATATAGCAAGCTTTTAAGATAAAAACAGGTGCAGCTGGTCATGTCTCAGACTTTTTTTGTTGAAACCCATGACCACGAGGAAGGTTAGATAAACACCTTTAAGAGGAGTTACCTATGCCATAGACTTTTTTTTTCCAGCTTGCATCTTTGTAAATTTCTTTTTTCTTTTTCAACTTTGATTTTAGAATCACAGGTACATGGGCAGGTTTGTTACAAAGTTATATTGCATGATGCTGAGTTTGGCGTATTACTGAAACTGTCAACCAGATAGTGAGCATAGTACCCAATAGGTAGTTTTTCAGTCCTTGCCTCCCTCCCTCTCTCCCACAGGCAATGTTTAAGACTTTGCTGTGGAATACCTTGGTACACAGGAATCAAACATTGATCATCATAGTGGTTTTGCTTCAAGATGGCATCAATCTTGCCATGCAACAGGCTGTTTTTCTACAGAAAGCATTCAGTATATTACCATTAGTGGCGTTAGCTGCATGATTTTTGTGGATGCACTTTATTCAATTGAGAAAGTTCCCCTCTATTCCTATTTTTGTGACAGTTTTTATCTGAATTAGTGTTGAATGTTGTCAAAGGTTTTTTTGGAGCATGATTGATATAGTCATATGACTTTTCTCCGTTAGCCTGTCAATGCAGATAATATTGATTGATTTTCCAATGTGTAACTAGCCTTGAATTCCAGAATAAGTTCCACTTGGTTATGAAATATTTTTATTGTCTTTGCTGGCTTTAGTATCAGAGTAGTACTGACTTCATACAATGAATTTGAAGGTGTTCTTCTCTCTTCTATTTTCTGGAAGAGATTGTGTTAAATTTTTGTTAAGCCTTTTAAAATTATTTGGTAGAATATTCCAGTGAAACCATCTGGGCCTGAATAATTTCTTTTTTTAAAATATTAAAATTATGAATTCAATTTTTTTAGTAGTTATGGAGCTATACAAGTTATTTATTTCATGTTGGAAGAGTTCTTGTGGTCAGTATTTTTCAATGAATTGGTACATTTTATCTAAGTTGCCAGATTTATGTGTTTAGAATTGTTTTGTAGCATTCCCATGTTATTTTGATATCTGTAGTATTTGCAGTGAGATCCCCATTTTAACTCCTTATATTGCACATTTGTATTTATCTCTTTCTCTGTCAATGCTGCTAAAGGTTTCAGAATTTTATTGATCTTTTTTGAAGAAACATGTCTTTAATTTATTTTACTATTGTTATTCTGTTTTCAATTTTACTGATTTCTGCTCTTTACTATTTCCTGCCTTCTACTTGCTTTGGGTTTATTTTGCTCTCTTTTTTTTCTCTAAGTTCTTCATGTTGGGAGCTTAGTTTATTGATTTGTGATGTCTCCTTTTTTCCTAAACTATGCATTTAGTCATCTAAAATTCCTTTCAGCACCACTTTTACTGTGTTCCACAAAGTTTGATATGTTGCATTTTTACTTCCATTCAATTCAGTGCATTTTTAAATTTCCCTTGAGACTACTTCTTTGACCCATGGATTATTTAGAAGTGTGTTGTTTAGTTTCCAAGTGTCTGGAGGTTTTCATATTATCTTTCTAGTACTGATTTCTAGTTTTATTCTATTGTGATTGGAGGAAACATTCCGTATGATTTTAGTTCTTTTATATTTGTTGAGATTTGTTTTGTGGTTTAGGATATAATCTTCTTTTGATATATTATTCATGGACACTTGAAAAGAATGTGTATTCTGTTGGTGTTGGGTAGAGTATTTCATACATGTTGATTACTGCTGTTCGTTGATGACAGTACTGAGCTCCTCAGTATCCTTTGTGATTTTTCTCTTTAGTTCTATCAGTGGCTGAGAGAGAGGTTTTGAAGTGTTCAACTATAATTTTGGATTTATTTATTTCTCCTTTCAAGTCTATCAGTTTTTGCTTCATAGTTTTTTGGAGCACTAATGTTTGGCACACAACCATTTAAGATTGCTATAGCCTCGTGGTTCTTTAACCCTTTTGTCATCATATAATGCTCTTCTCTGTCTTCGGTCTTTCGTAATTTTTTTGCTCTGAAGTCTTCTTTATCTGACTATACTTTATGCCTGTTTTCTTTTTATTAATATGTACATGATATACCTTTTTCCATCCTTTTGCTTTCCACCTGTGTGTCTTGTTATATTTGAATTGAGTTTCTTGTGGAGAGCATATATTTGGGCTATATATATATTTAATCTACTCTATGAATCCCTGTCCTACAATTAGTATTTAGACCGTTACATTTAATTGAATTATTGCTATGTTAAAACTTAAGCTTATTAGTTTATGTTTTTTTCTTCATTCTCTCTGCTTTCTTTTTCTCCTTTTTTCTTTTCCCTGTGGGTGATTTGCACATATTTTAGTATGCCATTTTGATTTATGTATATGTTTTTGAGTGTAGATCTTTTACAGCATTGTCAGTGGTTGCCCTAGGTTTGTTGAAAGATTGGGGTGCCTTGATACAGCCAGGTGAGGGAGTGAGGGGAAAAATCTAGGCCCCTTGCTTGGTCTTTGCTGCCATAGGTGGGGGGGTACTTTTTAATTTATTTGCTAGGTTCTTAATTTGCTAGGTTTATTTTTGTAGTGTTTTTCTAGAGTAAAGCAGTAATTGTCTGAAAGTTTTCTGTCTTGCTAGGATGCCCCTTTCCTGGTGCTTTGATGAGACAGAGTGGATTTTTGATGTTTTTATTTTTGTTTGAGCTTGTTGCATTTCTAGGTTGATGGCTTCTTCAGCTGTAAGTCTGGAATAGATGAGGCAAAACAAAAATGCTGGGAACTTATCACTGTGTCTTTCCTTGTGTTCTGAGATTCCTAGCCAACCTTCCTTATTCTTTCTGTCTTTTAGAGTCATCTTATGTTTGTTTTATATGTAATGTCCAGAATTTTTGAATGTACTTAGTAGTAGAAATGGGGAAAAGTATGTCTGTTACATCTTCCTGAGAGCAGAAATTAATGGTCATTATTATTATTATTATTATTATTATTATTTTATTATACTTTAAGTTCTAGGGTACATGTGCACAACGTGCAGGTTTGTTACATAGATATACATATGCCATGTTGGTTTGCTGCACCCATTAACTCATCATTTACATTAGGTATTTCTCCTAATGCTATCCCTCCCCCTACCCCCAACCATACGACAGGCCCCCATGTGTGATGTTCCCCACCCTCTGTCCAAGTGTTCTCATTGTTCAATTCCCACCTATAAGTGAGAACATGCGGTGTTTGATTTTCTATCCTTGTGACAGTTTGCTCAGAATGATGCTTTCCAGCTTCATCCGTGCCCCTGCAAAGGACATGAACTCATCTTTTTTATGGCTTCCTAGTATTCCATGGTATATATGTGCCACATTTTCTTAATCCAGTCTATCATCGATGGACATTTGGGTTGGTTCCAAATTCTTGCTATTGTGAATAGTGCTGCAATAAACATACATGTGCATGTGTCTTTGTAGTAGCATGACTTATAATCCTTTGGGTATGTACCCAGTAATGGGATGGCTGGGTCAAATGGTATTTCTAGTTCTAGATTCTTGAGGAATCGCCACACTGTCTTCCACAATGGTTGAACTAGTTTACACTCCCACCAACAGTGTGAAAGTGTTCCTATTTCTCCACATCCTCTCCAGCATCTGTTGTTTCCTGACTTTTTAATCATCACCATTCTAACTGGTGTGAGATGGTATCTTGTTGTGGTTTTGATTGGCATTTCTCTGATGGCCAGTGATGATGAGCATTTTTTCATGTGTCTGTTGGCTGCATAAATGTCTTCTTTTGAGAAGTGTCTGTTCATATCCTTTGCCCACTTTTTGATGGGGTTGTTTGATTTTTTCTTGTAAATTTGTTTGAGTTCTTTGTAGATACTGGATATTAGCCCTTTATCAGATGGGTAGAGGGCAAAAATGTTCTCCCTTTCTGTAGGTTGCCTGTTCATTCTGATGGTGGTTTCTTTTGCTGTGCAGAAGCTCTTTAGTTTAATTAGGTCCCATTTATCAATTTTGGCTTTTGTTGCCATTGCTTTTGGTGTTTTAGTCATGAAGTCCTTGCCCATGCCTATGTCCTGAATGGTATTACCTAGGTTTTCTTCTAGGGCTTTTATGGTTTTAGGTCTAACATTTAAGTCTTTAATCCATCTTGAATTAATTTATGTATAAGGTGTAAGGAAGGGATCCAGTTTCAGCTTTCTACATATGGCTAGCCAGTTTTCCCAACACCATTTATTAATTAGGGAATCCTTTCCCCATTTCTTGCTTTTGTCAGGTTTGTCAAAGATCAGATGGTTGTAGATGTGTGGTGTTATTTCTGAGGCCTCTGTTCTGTCCCATTGGTCTATTTCTCTGTTTTGATACCAGTACCTTGCTGTTTTGGTTGCTATAGCCTTGTAGTATAGTTTGAAGTCAGGTAGCGTGATGCCTCCAGCTTTGTTCTTTTTGCTTAGGATTGTCTCAGCAATGCAGGCTCTTTTTGGTTCCATATGAACTTTAAAGTAGTTTTTTCCAATTCTGTGAAGAAAGTCATTGGTAGCTTTATGGGGATGGCATTGAATCTGTAAATTACCTTGGGCAGCATGGCCATTTTCACGATATTGATTCTTCCTATCCATGAGCATGGAATGTTCTTCCATTTGTCCTTGAGCAGTGGTTTGTAGTTCTCCTTGAAGAGGTCCTTCACTTCCCTTGTAAGTTGGATTCCTAGGTATTTTATTCTCTTAGTAGCAGTTGTGAATGGGAATTCATTCATGATCTGTCTCTCTGTTTGTCTGTTATTGGTGTATAGGAATGCTTGTGATTTTTGCACATTGATTTTGTATCCTGAGACTTTGCTGAAGTTGCTTATCAGCTTAAGGAGATTTTGGGCTGAGACGATGGGGTTTTCTCAATATACAATCATGTCATCTGCAAACAGGGACAATTTGACTTCCTCTTTTCCTAATTGAATACCCTTTATTTCTTTCTCTTGCCTGATTGCCCTGGCCAGAACTTCCAACACTATGTTGAATAGGAGTGGTGAGAGAGGGCATTCCTGTCTTGTGCCAGTTTTCAAAGGGAATGCTTCCAGGTTTTGCCCACTCAGTATGATATTGGCTGTGGGTTTGTCATAAGTAGCTCTTATTATTTTGAGCTACATCCCGTCAATACCTAGTTTATTGAGAGTTTTTAGCATGAAGGGCTGTTGAATTTTGTCAAAGGCCTTTTCTGCATCTATTGAGATAATCATGTGTTTTTTGTTGTTGGTTCTATTTATGTGATTGATTATGTTTATTGATTTGCATATGTTGAATCAGCCTTGCATCCCAGGGATGAAACTGACTTGATCATGGTGGATAAGCTTTTTGATGTGCTGCTGGATTCGGTTTGCCAGTATTTTATTGAGGATTTTTGCACTGATGTTCATCAGGGATATTGGTCTAAAATTCTCTTTTTTTGTTGTGTCTCTACCAGGCTTTGGTATCAGGATGATGCTGGCCTCATAAAATGAATTAGGGAGGATTCCTTCTTTTTCTATTGATTGGAATAGTTTCAGAAGGAATGGTACCAGCTCCTCTTTGTACCTCTGGTAGAATTTGGCTGTGAATCCGTCTGGTCCTGCAGTTTTTTTGGTTGGTGGGCTATTAATTATTGCCTCAATTTCAGAGCCTGTTATTGATCTCTTCACGGATTCAGCTTCTTCCTGGTTTAGTCTTGGGAGGGTGTATGTGTCCAGGAATTTATCCTTTTTTTTCTAGGTTTTCCAGTTTATTTGCATAGAGGTGTTTGTAGTATTCTCTGATGGTAGTTTGTATTTCTGCGGGATCGGTGGTGATATCCCCTTTATAATTTTTTTTATTGCATCTATTTGATTCTTCTCTCTTTTCTTCTTTATTAGTCTTGCTCTAGTGGTCTATCAATTTTGTTGATCTTTTAAAAAAACCAGCTCCTGGATTTATTGATTTTTTTGAAGAGTTTTTGGTGCCTTCATCTCCTTCAGTTCTTCTCTGATCTTAGTTATTTCTTGCCTTCTGCTAGCTTTTAAATTTGTTTGCTCTTGCTTCTCTAGTTCTTTTAAATGTGATGTTAGGGTGTCGATTTTAGATCTTTCCTGCTTTCTCTTGTGGGCATTTAGTGCTATAAATTTCCCTCTACACACTGCTTTAAATGTGTCCCAGAGATTCTGGTATGTTGTGTCTTTGTTCTCGTTGGTTTCAGAGAACATCTTTATTTCTGCCTTCATTTCATTATTTACCCAGTAGTCATTCAAGAGCAGGTTGTTCAATTTCCATGTAGTTGTGTGGTTTTGAGTGAATTTGTTAATCCTGAGTTCTAATTGTATTGCACTGTGGTCTGGGAGACAGTTTGTCATGATTTCTCTTCTTTTACATTTGCTGAGGAGTGCTTTACTTCCAACTATGTGGCCAATTTTGGAGTAAGTGTGATGTGGTGCTGAGAAGAATGTATATTCTGTTGATTTGGGGTGGAGAGTTCTGTAGATGTCTATTAGGTCTGCTTGGTGCAGAGCTGAGTTCAAGTCCTGGATATCCTTGTTAACCTTCTGTCTCATTGATCTGTCTAATATTGACAGTGGGGTGTTAAAGTCTCCCATTAGTATTGTTTGGGAGTCTAAGTCTCTTTGTAGGTCTCTAAGGACTTGCTTTATGAATCTGGATGCTCCCATATTGGGTGCATATATATTTAGAATAGTTAGCTACTCTTGTTGAATTGATCCCTTTACCATTATGTAATGGCCTTCTTTGTCTCTTTTGATCTTTGTTGGTTTAAAGTCTGTTTTATCAGACACTAGGATTGCAACCCCAGCTTTTTTTTTTTTTTTTTTTTTCTTTTTTTTTTTTGCTTCCTATTTCCTTGGTAGATCTTCCTCCGTCCCTTTATTTTGAGCCTATGTATGTCTCTGCACTTGAGATTGGTCTCCTGAATATAGCACACTGATGGGTCTTGATTCTTTATCCAATTTGCCAGTCTGTGTCTCTTAATTGGGGCATTTAGCCCATTTACATTTAAGGTTAATATTATGTGTGAATTTGATCCTGTCATTATGATGTTAGCCGCTTATTTTGCCCGTTAGTTGATACAGTTTCTTCCTAGCATCAGTGGTCTTTACAATTTGGCATGTTTTTGCAGTGGCTGGTACTGGTTGTTCCTTCCCATGTTTAGTGCTTCCTTCAGGAGCTCTTGCAAGGCAGGCCTGGTAGTGACAAAATCTCTCAGCATTTGCTTGTCTGTAAAGGATTTTATTTCTCCTTCACTTATGAAGCTTAGTTTGGCTGTATATGTAATTCTGGGTTGAAAATTCTTTTTTTAAAGAATGTTGAATATTGGCCCCTACTCTCTTCTGTCTTGTAGAGTTTCTGCTGAGAGATCTGCTGTTAGTCTGATGGGCTTCCCTTTGTGGGTAACCCGACATTTCTCTCTGGCTACCGTTAACATTTTTTCCTTCATTTCAACTTTGGTCAATCTGACTATTACGTGTCTTGGGGTTGCTCTTCTCGAGGAGTATTTTTGTGGTGTTCTCTGTATTTCCTGAATTTGAATGTTGGCCTGCTTTGCTAGGTTGGGGAAGTTCTCCTGGATCATATCCGGAAGAGTGTTTTCTAACTTGGTTGCATTCTCTCTGGCACTTTCAGGTACACCAATCAAACATAGATTTGGCCTTTTCACATAGTCCCATATTTCTTGGAGGCTTTGTTCATTTCTTTTTACTCTTTTTTCTCTAATCTTGTCTTCTTGCTTTATTTCATTAATTTGATCTTCAATTACTGATACTCTTTCTTCCACTCTATGGATTGAAGCTTGTGCATGCATCACATAATTCTCGTGCCATGGTTTTCAGCTCCATCAGGTAATTTAAGGTCTTCTGTACACTGTTTATTCTAGTTAGCCATTCGTCTAATCTTTTTTCAAGACTTTTAGCCTCCTCGCGATGGGTTTGAACATCCTCCTTTAGCTTAGAGAAGTTTGTTATTACCGACCTTCTGAAGCCTACTTCTGTCAGCTCGTCAAAGTCATTCTCCATCCAGCTTTGTTCCATTGTTGGTGAGGAGCTGTGATCCTTTTGAGGAGAAGAGGCACTCCGATTTTTAGAATTTTCAGCTTTTCTGCTCTGGGTTCTCCCCATCTTTGTGGTTTTATCTATCTTTGGCCTTTGATGCTGGTGACCTACAGATGGGGTTTTGGTGTGGATGTCCTTTTTATTGATGTTGATGCTATTCCTTTCTGTTTGTTAGTTTTCCTTTCAATAGTCAGGTCCCTCAGCTTCGGGTCTGTTGGAGTTTACTGGAGGTCCACTCCAGACCCTGTTTGCCTGGTTATCACCAGCAGAGGCTGCAGAACAGCAAATATTGCTGCCTGATCCTTCCTCTGGAAGCTTCGTCCCAGAGGGGCACCTGCCTGCATGAGGTGTTAGACGGCCCCTACTGGGAGGTGTAGCCCAGTTAGGCTACATGGGGGTCAGGGACCCACTTGAGGGAGCAGTCTTTCCATTCTCAGAACTCAAACACTGTGCAGGGAGAACCACTGCTCTCTTCAGAGCTGTCAGACAGGGATGTTTAAGTCTGCAGATGTTTCTGCTGCCTTTTTTTTCAGCTATGGCCTCCCCCAAGAGGTAGGGTCTACAGAGCAGCAGGCCTTGCAGAGCTGTGGTGGGCTCTGCCCAGTTCGAGCTTCCTCAGCCACTTTGTTTACCTACTCAAGCCTCAGCAATGGCGGATGCCCCTTCCCCTGCCATGCTGCTGCCTCCCAAGTTGATCTCAGACTACTGCGCTAGCAGTGAGCAAGGTTCCGTGGGCATGGGACCCGCCGAACCAGGCGCAGGATATAATCGCCTGGTGTGCTGTTTGCTAGAACCATTGGAAAAGTGCAGTTTTTTGGTGGGAGTCTACCCATTTTCCAGGTACAGTCTGTCATGGCTTCCCTTCGCTAGGAAAGGGAAATCCCCCGACCCCTTGTGCTTCCCATGTGAGGCGATGCCATGCCTTGCTTCAGCTCACTCTCTGTGGGCTGCACCCACTGTCCAACCAGTCCCAATGAGATGAACCAGATACCTCATTTGGAAATGCAGAATTCACCGTCTTCTGCATCGATCATGCTGGGAGCTGCAGACCAGAGCTGTTCCTATTGGGTCATCTTGGAACAGAATCCTTATTGTGATTTTTAACTCCAAGCACCCATAGGAGATGTTTAGTGAGGGTTGAAAATGACAAAGATGGAGAAATTATTCTTAAACTCTAAGGCAGAAAACAGATGTAATCAATTATTTTCCCACCATTTTAGTTTTTTATTATTATAGAAACTAGGAAAACTTCTACTTGTGAAGGAAATAGTGGGTTTAAAAATTGTTTTTATTATGTTTTATCATTTGATTTGCTGTTTACTCCAGCAAAGTGGAATAGTTCTGATGAGGATGACACAAAAGGAAACAAATACTCATTAACACAGATGAGCTACTGCCAAAAAGACCAATATTCGCTTCTAATTGCCTAGTAAACAGGAAATACAGGAAAATGTGCTTAAGTGAGCATGGCAGCTTCTTCTTCTTCTTTTTCTTTTGAGATAGATAATTATTTCTCTGTCACCCAGGCTGGAGTGCAGTGGCATGATCTTGGCTCATTGCAACCTCTGCCTTCTGAGTTCAAGCAATTCTCCTGCCTCAGCCTCTTGAGTAGCTGGGACTACAAGTACGTGCCACCACACCAGGCTATTTTTTTTTTTTTTTGTATTTTTTAGTAGATACAGGGTTTCACCATGTTGGCTAGGCTGGCTTTGAACCCCTGACATCAGGTGATCCACCTGCCTTCGCCTCCCAAAGTGCTGGGATTACAGGCATAAGCCACCATGCTCAGGTCTTCTTTTTAATTTTTTAATTGAGGTAAAATATACATATATAGTTTACCATCTGTATTAGTCTGTTCTCATGCTGCTATATAGAACTGCCTGAGATTGGATAATTTGTAAAGGAAGGAGGTTTAACTCACAGTTCTGGAGGGCTGGGGAGGCCTCAGGAAACTTACAGTCATGGCATAAGGGGAAGCAAACATGTCCTTCTTCATGTGGTGGCAGGAAGGACGAGTGCCGAGTGAAAGGGGGGAAAGCCCCTTATAAAACCATCAAATCTTGTGAGAACTCACTCACTATAATGAGAATAGCATGAGGGTAACCATCCCTGTGACTCAATTACTTCCCACTGGGTTTCTCCCATGACACATGGGGATAATGGGAATTACATTTCAAAATGAGATTTGGATGGGGACACAGCCAAATTATACCATTCTGCACCTGGTGTCTTCCAAATCTCATGTCCTCACATTTCAAAACACAACCATGGCCTAAACAGTCTCCCCAAAGTCTTAACTAATTCCAGCATTAACCCAAAAGTCCAAGTCCAAAGTCTCATCTGAGACAAGGCAAGTCCTTTCCACCTATGAGTGTGCAAAATAAAAAGCAAGGTAGTTACTTCCTAGATACAATGGGGGTACAGGCAATGGGCAAATACACCCATTCCAAATGGGAGAAATTGGCTGAAACAAAGGGGCTACAGGCCTCTTGCAAGTCTGAAATCCAATAGGGCAGTCATTAAACCTTAATGTTCCAAAATGATCTCCTTTGACTCCATGTCTCACATCCAGGTCACGCTGATGCAAGAAGTGGGCTCCCACATTAGGCAGCTCCGCCTTTGTGTCTTTGCAGGGTACAACACCCTCCCAGCTGCTTTCATGGCTGGCATTGTCTGTGGCTTTTCCAGGTGCACGGTGCAAGCTGTTTGTGGATCTACTATTTTGGGGCCTGGAGGACGGTGACCCTCTTCTCACAGCTCCACTAGGGAGTGCCCCAGTGGGGACTCTGTGTGGGGGCTCCAACCCCACATTTCCCTTCTGCAGTACCCTAGCAGATGTCCTCCATGAGGGCTCTGCCCCTGCAGCAGACTTTTGCGTGGACATCCAGGCATTTCCATACATCATCTGAAAAGCAGAGGTTCTCCATGAGGGCTCTGCCCCTGCAGCAGACTTTTGCGTGGACATCCAGGCATTTCCATACATCATCTGAAATCTAGGTGGAGGCTCTCAAACCTCAATTTTTGACCTCTGCACACCCGCAGGCCCAACACCACATGGAAGCTGCCAAGGCTTGGGGCTTGCACCCTCTTAAGCAATGGCCTGAGCTGTATATTGGCTTTTTTGTTTTTTTGAGACAGAGTCTGGCTGTGTTGCCAGGCTAGAGTGCTGTGGTATGATCTTGACTCACTGCAATCTCCGCCCCCTGGGTTCAAGTGATTCTCCTGCCTCAGCCTTCTGAGTAGCTGAGATTACAGGTGCATTCCACCACACCCAGCTAATTTTTGTGTTTTTAGTAGAGATGGTGTTTTACCATGTTGGCCAGGATGGTCTTGATTTCCTGACCTTGTGATCCACCTGCCTCGGCCTCCCAACGTGCAGAGATTACAGGCATGAGCCACCACTCCTGGCCCATTGGCTTCTTTTAGCCATGGCTGAAGCAGTTGGGATGCAGGGCACCAAATCCCAAGGCTGCACACAGCAGGAGGACCCTGGCCCTGGCCCAGGAAACCATCTCCGGGGCAGGAGAAAATGCTGCCAGTCTTTTTTGCATAACAAGAGTTACCTTTATTCCAGTTCCCAACAAGTTTCCCATCTCCATCTGAGACCACCTCAGCCTGGACTTCATTGTCCATATCATTATCATCATTTTGGTCAAAGCCATTCAACAAGTCTCTAGGAAGTTCCAAATTTTCCCACATCTTCCTGTCTTCTGAGCCCTCATAGTCTCTAGGAAGTTCCAAGCTTTCCCACATTTTCCTGTCTTCTTCTGAGTCCTCCAAACTGTTCCTACCTCTGCCCGTTACCCAGTTCCAAAGTCACTTTCACATTTTTGGGTATCTTTACAGCAGTGTCCCACTCCTGGTACCAATTTACTGTATTAGTCCATTCTCACACTGCTATAAAGGACTGCCTGAGACTGGGTAATTTACAAAGGAAAGAGGTTTAATTGACTCAAAATTCCACAGGGCTAGGGTGGCCTCAGGAAACTTGCAGTCATGGCAGAAGGGGAAGCAAATACATCCTTCATCCTTCTTCACATGGCAGCAGGAAGGAGCAACCCCAAGACACGTAATAGTCAGATTGACCAAAGTTGAAATGAAGGAAAAAATGTTAACGGTAGCCAGAGAGAAATGTCGGGTTACCCACAAAGGGAAGCCCATCAGACTAACAGCAGATCTCTCAGCAGAAACTCTACAAGACAGAAGAGAGTAGGGGCCAATATTCAACATTCTTTAAAAAAGAGTGAAGGGGGAAAAAGCCCCTTATAAAACCATCAGATCTCATGAGAACTCACTCACTATCACAAGAACAGCATGAGGGTAACCGACCCCATGATTCAATTATCTCCCACCAGTCTCACAACATGTGGGGATTATGGGAACTACAATTTAAGATGAGATTTGGGTGGGGACACAACCAAACCGTATCACCATCTTACTCTCTCTCTCTATATATATATAGTAAGTGTGTATATATATATATATATATATATATATATATATATATATATATATATGTGAGTATATATGTAAGTGTATATATATGTGAGAAGGTATATATATAAGTGTATATATATACTTATATATAAGTACTTATATATAAGTATATATGTATAATATATATAAATACTTACATATAAGTAAGTATATATATAAGTAAGTACATATATATTTCAGTGGTAGCATGTTTTCCTTTCAATTAAGGCAAACAGATTATTGTTTTTGTATCATTGTAGTTTGATTCTCCATTTCATCAATAAATTTGTCAGAGACTGGGTTATTGTAAAGAAAGGATGTTACAGAGGAGTGGTTAGTCATGTGACC
This sequence comes from Homo sapiens, assembly GCF_000001405.40. NCBI lineage: Eukaryota > Metazoa > Chordata > Mammalia > Primates > Hominidae > Homo > Homo sapiens. The sequence continues at coordinate 116,386,989 of NC_000008.11, read as the reverse complement.
TAGGAGCTTCTTTAACATGTCAATATGTTACATTGTCGGTTGCGAAAACTATTGAGAAATGTTATTTTACCCAAAAAAGAAACAGCAAGTTTCATTTTGTGGGATAATTAATACTTACCTGAATGGTTGTTTGTAAAGCAAATTTTATTAAGATGAATTGCATTTTTTTATTTGGATTTATTATATGCTTAGAGATAAACCCACAGCAAATATAGTTGTCACATTGCAACCTAAAAGTCATTTGCTCTGAGAATCCTCCCTTGATTGTATATTGCACATCCCTTTCTTATGACAGTCATCCTACAGAATCCCAATAAATATCTGGTTCTACAGTCTTATTTCTTTTTTTTTTTTTTTTTTTTTGAGACGGAGTCTCGCTCTGTCGCCCAGGCTGGAGTGCAGTGGCGCGATCTCAGCTCACTGCAAGCTCCGCCTCCCGGGTTCACGCCATTCTCCTGCCTCAGCCTCCCGAGTAGCTGGGACTACAGGCGTCCGCTACCATGCCCGGCTAATTTTTTGTATTTTTAGTAGAGACGGGGTTTCACCGTGTTAGCCAGGATGGTCTCGATCTCCTGACCTCGTGATCCGCCCGCCTCGGCCTCCCAAAGTGCTGGGATTACAGGCTACAGTCTTATTTCTATACCAAGTTAAATATTCTCTTTGAAATCTGAGCATTTATTTTAATAAAACCAGCTTTGTTTTTCTAGTGTTTTCTTGAAGGATAATATTCTTGAACTGAATTATTTGAAGTGATGTAACTGATTTTATGTTGTTAAATATTTTGCTTCAATACTGTTGTCTTTATTTTTTCTTGTGTTTCTACTGTTTGTAAACCACACAAGACAAGGACCTTTCTTTAGTTCTTTCTTGCTTTTCATTGTCCGTGTCTTCTACTTTTTTTTTTTTTTAACATACCCTGCATTTTAGCACTAACAAATCAGCTTTTGCTATAAGGACAATGTCACAGGCTTATTGATTATCACTGTTTCCTGAAGGTGCATGCTTGAATCTTCTGTTGTCTTCAATGAAACTAGCTACATGGTCATGTTTCAGAGCATTGGGCAGATCAATATAAGTCAGGCAGCATGAAGTAAGTGCAGCCATATTCTGAGGTTAATACTTCAGCTCACATGACTTATACATAGTTAATTGGCCAATTACTATTACTCCCCCTGCCTAGAATTTTCTTTGGTATCTTATTCATCTAGCTTAAATGTCACCTTCATAGGGAAGCCATTGCTTGTGTTAGGTAACTATTATTCTATGTGCTTATAGTATTTATCATTTCATTTGTTCTATCTCCAAATACTTCTTGCGTTTTTATGCACTAGGAATAATTCTAAGCTGTCTATACTCTAGCACTCTGCATGGCCGTCTATTAATAATTATTCAAATTCTTATTCACCTAACATTTATTGAGCGCCTACTGTTTGGCAAGTTCTGTGCTATTTACATTTCTGTGCACTGTAGGTACTTTTGCTTTCAGTTGCTTCTTTGTATATATTGTAAAATTCTAACCAGACTTATAATCTCAGGAACAGTATTTCATTTTGATGACCTTGTACCTAGAATAGCTCCTGTTACATAGTAGGTGCTCAGAATGTATTTGATGAATAAATGAATGGATAAAAAAGCAGGCAGGACTGACTTTGGTAGTGTAGAAAGGGCCGAGTGTCATTGCATGTGAAAGGATAAGGTTGTCTCTGCCTGGGGTGTCTGTGACAGAGTCAATTCCATCATAAGCAGATCCAGCCAAATTGACTCTCCTCAGGCATAGAGATGTTTTCACTCAATCAGATTATGTGCCATTTACCATATACTACTTGATGCCAAAGTATGCTCCCCTGATGAGCATGACATTTTATTTGCATGCACATAAGCAAGTTCATAGTGTTTAATTTGAAAGTGCAACCCCACTAAGAATGCATTTGTTTGTATTTATTTAGAAGCTCTGTTTGGATGGACACGTGGGGGTGATCTGGGACATAGAAACCTGGAAAAGCTGATGAAAGCTGATTTTCCCTTGAAGAAGACATTTGGAATGAAGCAATGTGACCTTTAATCACCCTCAGACCTCTTTTTGTTCTTGTTCCAGGACATTCTGTAAGTAAAAATTCCCAGCCTCCTCTGTTCTTTTGTCTTCATTTTATATGCCTTTGGTGTTTGAGTTGGGTTTTCTGTTGTTTAGTGGTGGATTTTGAGGGGGTTTTATCGTGGTAGGACAGATATGTTTGAGGGGAGTTTGTAAGGACTGATCAGATTTCTATCAATTAAATAGTAACTGTCACATCCCTTCAGATGAACTTCAGCTATTACCACCAATCCATTAATGTAACCCTATGCTGCCTCAAGGAACTGGGCTGACTTTGTTTCCTCATTTTTTCAAATCTGTCATAAGTGTTGTGGATGGAGCAAGAGTTTCAGTTTCGCTTTGGCGCAGAGTCGCCTCTATTCAGTGCGTAAGACAGCCTACCCTTGTTTTGTTGGATTACAAATATTCCCTTTGTTGGGGGAAGTAGTAACAAAAAGAAGTTAATTTTTTCTTCTCATATCCAACAACTTTGCATGATGTCTCTATTTAATGTATGAGTATGAGTATATACTTCACAGACTTCTTATATAGAGACTTAACATTGGTAATGAAATAGGAAACGCAAAGCAAATACTGGGAGAAGGGCATGGTTAGTTTAACACAGTTCCAAGCACCACTCAATATTACCTTCGTTTTAAGGCAGTCAACAAACAAAGGAGACACCTTCTCCTCGAGGACATCTGTTTATTTTGCAATTAACCAGGAAAAGGAGAATTTTTCCAAAGTTTTTAAATTGAGGACTCATAATTTCAGTGGAAGCTGTTGGTTTCAGGATTAAGAGCATTACAAAGAAATTTCTCATAGGTTTTAGTTCTATCAAGTTTGTAATGGCTTATATTTACACCTGCGATTAGCCTATAGCCCTGTAGGTTTGTGCTGTTTCACAGACTTTTACACCAACTTCATTGTCATAGAGAGACACCTGAATTCAATCATAATATCAGAAAAGAAAATAACATATATTTGCATATACCCATTGACCCTTGAGAATGTTTTTCTTCTTTTATTCATATGAAAAGCGATTTATAATCAAACCAAGGAAAACCTCAAGTTACTGGTGTGGTAAGATTTATTATTACTACCTAAACTCAAGCAGATTGGAAGGCTTATATTTGGTTCTAAGGTTCATCCAGATCACTGCGGTTTGGAAATTACCTTAAACTTGAAGTTTTTTTTTTTTTCTTTCCACTTAAGCCAGCATCTTACATTTACTCTAGTCTGTAGGAGGTAAGGTAATTTCAGTAAAGCTCTGGGTTTATAATTTTGTAGCTTACTTGGATGTCTTAAGATTGGCTTACATAACCTGATCTTCGACGTTTCCACAGTTTTTTTTACTTTTCCCACCCTACTACTGAGATGTATATATTTTGATGTGAAATTACTTTGTTATATCCAGTGCTTATCCCCCAGGAAATGTGAATAAAGTAGGTCAATCCCATTTATTATTTAGAAGACAATCGTTATAATATCTTTCTTTAGTATGGCACTCTAGTTTTCAAGTCACTTTCACATAATTAACTCATTTGATTCTTAAAACAGTTTTTTGAAGTTAGCAAGGAAGATAATAGTATCTCCATACATATTATAGAGGAAACAGGTTCAGGGGGTTTAAATGGCTTGTTTGAGGCCACATGATAATTAAGAGGCATCGCAGGATGGGAGAACATGAGGTCTCATTCCATGGCTACCCACTACACTACTGTGTCCTTAAACTCTGCTTTGGACCAGATCCTGAGGAATAAGGTGATTTTCTCTTAATGAACTGAAGAAAAAAGTTCTTACTTTGTAGTACCAAAGGCAAAATATGTACATTGAAACTATCTCACATATGCTGGTAAAAGCAACAAAAGATCAAGTTGCTATGAATAGGGTATTTTTAAAAGACTTAAAATTTTTTTTTAATTTTTTAATTATAACTTTTATTTTAGGTTCGGGGTGGGTATGCAGGCTTGCTACGTAGGTAAACTGTGTGTCATGGGGGTTTGGTGTACAGATTATTTCATCACTCAGGTAATAAGCATAGTACCCAATAGTTATTTTTTCTGATCCTCTCCCTCCTCCCACTCAGGTACTTTTTAAAAGACATACCTTTGGTAGTATTAATGAGGGAGCACGTATTGTAGAAGGCAAATGTGAAAATGTTTATTGCTTGTGCGTGTTGTGCTTATTTGAATCCTCTGAGAAGCAGACATCAAGGCAGGATTAGACATACAAGAGATGTATTGGGGAAGTGCCCAGTAGGGGAGAGGGGCAGGGAGATGGAAAAGGTGGGGACAGCCTTCAAAGCATGATGCAGGTCTGACCCCTGAGGAGAGAGGGAAAGAGGATGGGATCAAAGAAAGAGTCCCATACTGCAGCCAGTTCTAAGAAAATTTGTGCCCAGGCTGACAGAGAGCCCTTGAACCAAGATCTGTAGAAGAGTCCTGCATCTCCCAGCATGGGGTCTGTGCCAGTATCTTTGCTGGGCTCCACCACTGGCTGGGAGTAGCCTGCGGGAAGTGTGGCCTCAGCATGAATGTGGTGGTGGATTCAGAGAACAGCTGCTGGCACCAGTCAGTGAATTATATTCCCACAGCAGGAGATCAGCAGGGTGCACTGTTATGGCCCCCAAATGTGTTGTCATGGTGGCATTTATTTTCTACCTCTTCAAGAGTAAGGAAGAAACAAAACCAGCCACAAATATTCTTAGCAAAATGCAGGAACACTGGGAATAAAATTAGATGCTCAGTTATCATCATTAACAAACTGGTCTCTAATAGATGGGAAGTGCTAGAAGAATTCTAAAAGATTTAATTCAAAGGTTATATTTATAATCCTTTTTGACAACCAAATTATGTGCTCTGTGAGAACAATAATGACAACTTTCTTAGAATTTTTTCTTTTTTTGGGGTAAGCTATTTTTTTTTTTTGCTTACACAAGTACAGCACTTTATCCATAGTGTGTGTCCAGCAAGTTATTGTTGAATAAATGGGTGATTCAAGTTAAAGGATAAAAAGGCACATATTGTTATTTCAGAACATTTTTCTTTTCTCCAGTATTGAAATAACTTTCAAGGGTGTTTCTTTATTAAGCTTATTAACAATGGGCTCTGTTAAGTTTCTGGAGTTGGGGAAAATTTGGGACCTCTAAAAAGGGATGAAAGCTAACCCTCTCTAGTCTACCAAGCTTGGATCTGAGCACTTGGAGCAGGTTTGGTCTTACACAGTCTTTCGCCAATATAGTTTGGTTGTGTCCCCACCCAAATCTCACCTTGAATTGTAATAATCCTCACTTGTCAAGAGCAGGGCCAGGTAGAGTTAATGGAATCATGGGGAGGTTCCCCCATAACGTTCTCTTGGTGGTGAATAAGCCTCATGAGATCTGATAGTTTTATAAATGGGAGTTCCCTTGCACAGGCCCCCTTGCCTGCTGCCATGTAAGATGTGCCTTTGCTCCTCCTTTGCCTTCTGCCATGATTGTGAGGCATCCCCAGCCATGTGGAACTGTGAGTCCATTAAACCTCTTTTCTTTTCTTTTTTTTTGAATCTCGCTCTGTCACCCAGGCTGGAGTGCAGTGGCATGATCTTGGCTCACTGCAACCTCTGCCTCCTGGGTTCAAGTGATTCTCCTGCCTCAGCCTTCCGAGTAGCTGGGACTATAGGCATATGCCACCACACCCAGCTAATTTTTTGTATTTTTATTAGAGACAGGGTTTCACCATGTTAGCCAGGATGGTCTTGATCTCCTGACCTCGAGATCCACCTGCCTTGGCCTCCCAAAGTTCTGGGATTACAGGTGTGAGCCACCATACCCTGCTGGGTGTGTCTTTATTAGCAGTGTGAGAACAGACTAATACACTCCCTCTGCACATCATTCTGTAGATGGGCAAGTTTGTCTTAAATGGATACTTCTTTCTCTTAGTCTTCTTGTTTAGGGAGTCAAAAAAGTGCTAGGATGGCAAAGAGAAGGAGATGAACACTGGATACACAGGTGAGTGAGGCCTTTCCATGTTTGTAAAATCAATAGAGATTCAGTACCTGAATAATGTATTTTTGAGTTCCTGCATATGTACAAGTTTATTTGTGTGGCATTCCAGTGCATGTTTCCAAGACCCTTATTTCCCCAGTCCCTTTGATTCTCCCTTTCTTTCATATCCAACTAGTCCTGAAGTCCTGCCAATTCTTCTGTCATTTTATTTATCTATTAAGATTCTTTCTTTTCTTTTAGGAAACATTACTTAAGTGCTCTGACTACCATGTGTACCTCTAGTGGGTTGCACCACTTTCAAGAGGTTTCAACTGTGCATCTGTAAAGAAATGTCATGTGCACTTGGGCTTCAGACTCAGATCTACCTTTTCTCAGAAGTGGGACTTTAATAAAAATCATTTATCCTCTATCAGCCTCAATCATCTCATCTGGAAAATGGGGGTAATAGTGCCTACTCCAGGGAGTGGGGGTTGACATGAAGTGAGATAAATCATGGTGAGCACCTATTACAGCATGATGATGTTTCCCTGTTACCAGGGAGCCTAGGAAGCAGCCCTGAAACCACTGTCTGGTTTGTCTTCCAAAGGGATTATGTCATCCTTGTCTTCAAATCAACTTTTTCTAGACTGGCTGCTCTTTTTTCCAGGTACCTCTAATGGAGTATGGTCAAGGAAGTTTATCAGTCTGCTATTCAGTGTTCTCTACAAACTGCTTTTTCCGTAATTGACTAATGTTTTTTTCTATTGTTTTCTTAAAGAAAGTCTCCTGCTCCCGAGAAGCTGGGTTACTCACATTCCTTGGGATGCCCTGTGTAGACACACCTTTGATTCTCAATCACACCTTTCCTTCTTAATGTGACTTCCTTATGCCTTCCATTGTATCGTTGTCAAAACCCAGTGCAAATCCCTTTCCTTCAAACAGCCCAACCCATGGCGAAGAGGACATTAAAAAAAGCAGAGCTTCCTATGTGTGAGAGTTCATGCCAATCTGCTGGTGTGGACTGGAAAGACCAGCAAGGGAAAGCTCTGGCGATTTACCTTTGGTTATAGTTATGAGATAAACACAGACAAATTCATGAAAACCAGAGAAGACTTCATTCAGAAGAGTTGATTGCTTGGCCTAAGATGTGGATAGAAAATTAAAAACAAAGAAAAAACAAAAATGAAAAAAACAAAAGCCCACATATTTCCTGCCTTTACTGTAAACTCCTTGAGTAATCTTGAGGAGTTTCCACTAGACTTTTGTCCTGCCAATCAATGATTCATGAGAAAACATGGGGATTGTTTCAGCAAAAGATACTTAAAAAAAGATTCTTTTTAAGATTATAATGGTGGTCAATGTGATTGGAATGAAAGAGGCCTCACGGACTAGCAGATAGAACTTCTGAATGGGGATTAGACAACTCTGGTGCTACACTAGAGTTGCCAATTAATTCTGGAATCCCAGGAAACTACTTATTAATCATCCATACCTCAGTTTCCTTATGATTAAAAATCAACGTATTTCAGTGGTTGATTTTTAAGATCCTTTCTAGCTTTAAGATCTCATTATTCTAAAGAATAAAGGGAGTTGTAAATGATCAATTATCTTTTGAAAATACCTTGCTATGGTTTTGGGGTAGAGAGGTAGGAAAATGTAGTCTATTTTCCGTGGCTTAAGGTGGCATAAATACACTTATGAGAACTGTCCCTTTGAATTCTTTTAAAATTCTGATGCGTGTTTTATGGACGTTTGAATTCTAAGTCTCCGTAATTATTTTCTAAAAACAATTTCAGGTCTCTCTTGTTGACTGGGCAGATTAGTCAAGGAAAACCACAACACAACCATCTTGAGACTGTAACTGGAATGTTATGCTAAAACTGTTTTCCATTTTCATTACAACTGTCATAAGAATCAATGTACATAACAGCAATTGTAGTTTCTCCTGCTCCTTGTTGCCTCATATGTTCTTTGAGTTACAGGAGTATGTGGTATTTCCCATATGCTCTGAGTTGATTTACTGCTCCTTCCAGTTGGGTTTTTACTAACCTGTGAAGGAGGAGGGTGTTACAAGAAACTGAAACTCATGATGTGGAAAAGGTCAAAACAGTATTGAATTCAGAGAGGAGGAAGGAGTTTCAGGAAGAATTGACAACAGCATTGCTTTTGCTCTGGGAGGCTTCTCTCCCCCTTTGTGTAGACAAAGGCTGCAGAGGTGAGTGTGGGGAGCAGCATCACCAAGAGCAGAGGCTGTCTTGTGAGCTGAGCTTGAGGGAGTGGGACTTTGATAATCAGGTGGGGAGACTTCCTTTTATTAGGAAAAGTTCCTTAATTCTGGGAAATAGATTCTGCTGTGTTGACATTGCAGACAGAGTTGTACCAAGATGGAAAGGAATACAGAGAGCAAGTCATTTCCTTCTAGAGAATACTTAAGGCTTAATGTTCACATCATAATATAACTGTTGAGTTGCAGAGATCAAATAAATTTTTATGTGCAAAACATTGGATGTCATTTTGCTAGAGGTAGAGTGATCAAAACCAACAATTAATTAAGTGATATATCCTTTCACTGAACAACATTGGCAAAACTAATGAGTCATGTGACATAAGAACATTACAGATTTTCTTTTTCACCTTGAGGCATTGTTTTTTAGGCACAGTGGTAAACAAATTATTAAAACAAAGGTATTGATTGGGATTGTGGCAGGATGCAGCACTAGCTACAGGACAGGCATCCAAAATTTCATGGAATTGAATCTTTTCTGATATTATCCACTACCTTTCCAAAGATATGGTATTTTGTAAAGTTTTTTCTAATCTATTAGCAGTGTAGTGGGAAGAATCCTGGTCTCATAGCTGTCACTAATCACCTGGTTAGTGACTTTGGGTTAGTCTTTTAAACATATCCAGAACTCATTTTTATTATCTACAACAAGGGTCAGCAAATTGTGGCCTACAGGCCAGATCTAGCTTGCCACCAGTTTTTGTGAATAAAGTTTTATTAGAATATAGTCACACTCATTATTTTACATATTGTTTATGGCTGTTTTCACTTACAAAGGTCAAGTTAAGTAACTGAGATAGAGAACATATAGCAGCAGGCAAAGCCTAAAATACAGTATTTACTATCTGGTCCTCTACAGGAAAAGTTCACTGATTCATGATCTACAATGTACAATAGATAAGTCAGTAGCTTTCCACCTTTTAAAATTGGTGAGACCCATTTTTAAACTAAACATTATGCAAAACTCCAATATACAAAACAAACACAACATTTCTGTGGCTGAGGAAGTAGTTGGAATGGAAAAAATACAACAGTTTTCCTGCCTCCTAAGTTATTGCCAAAGACCCCCAGGGTTCCAGTGTGAAAACTCTTTGAAGAGATCATCTCTAAGGTATTGTACAGTTCTGGAACTATACATATAGTTTCTAACTTTTTAAGCATATATGAAATAAGTAGAATTCAGTGATAGGTTTATTTCATTTACAATCTTCTATTCTTAGGTTCTAGCAAGGCTTCATTTGTCTTCAAGCCAATTTCAATTGGTAGTACTGCTAGTACTGTGGTGCTTCTACAACATGATGTATGCTGCGTGGCAAGTCCTTAAACACAAGTCTTTGTGTTTCTTGGAAAACTTTTGTATACTGATAAAAGAGAAACTGAAGCTACATATTTAAACACACCCCAAGGGTAGAATCTATCAAAGCATAATGTCTGAACGTTAGGTGTAAGTTTTCCTTTCCAAGCATGGACCAATGGGTAAATTGTTTATTTCCATACATTTTAAGCCAGCTTTTCTGATTATAGAGGCAGCAAAACAATTGGTTGTGGTCTAACAGCATAATAAAATGCAATTCAGTTAGTGTTTATGGAGTGCCCACAGGGCGTGGGCTATTGTGTTAGACAAGATAAAAACCTCTGTGATGCTCATTTTCTCGTTAGTGCATTTCTAAAAGCTGTTTTACCTTCTCAAGTAACTTGGAAAATTTAGTTCATTGGGGAAAGTACCCAGTGAAGGATATGTTCTTGTCTCTTGACTTTTTACAAGTGTAAAGGAGCAAAAATGGTAATGAGATGGGATGATGGAGGAAAGGAATTAATAGCTATAGACTATCTATTAAGTGTCTTGTGCTATACTCTTTCATAAAACTTTCTCTTTTATTTTGTACAACAATGTATGGAGCAGGTCTTAAATTACATAAATGTGAAAACAGTAACTTCCCAAAGTCATAACAAATAAGTGGAAGAACAGGTATTGTAAATCAGGATTTTGAAATATATCAAATTATATTGTCCATTAGTCCTGTTTCAAATACTGAAAACACATAATATGTACTCATGTAAATGCCCATGTGAATAAATATATCCAAAACCACAGAAAGGTTGGAATTGTCATTGAGCAGCATTGCTTTGCATAGTGAGTGAGTGACCTGCATAACTTGGGAAGTGATCTTGGTCGTTAGTACAAATAAATAATAAGGAGTTGCCTTAGCAAGAGGTCAAGAATAAAAAGATATCCTTCCCTTAAGACCAGGGGTCAGCAAAGAGTTTCTGCAAAGATCCAGACAGTAAATATTTTAGGCTTTGCAGGCCACACAATCTGTGCTGCAACCACTCAACTCTGCCATTACAGCACCAAAGCAGCCATAGTCAAATGTAAACAAGCGAACATGGCTGTGTTCCAATAAAACTTTATTTATGGGCAGAATTTCAACAATTTCAACATGTCATCAAATTCTTTAGATTTAAGCAAAGTTACTTAAAAATATAAAAACCTTTTTATTGTTCTCCAAGATGGCAGCTTAGAAGCTTTTAGCGTGCTTCAGCCACTTGGAAATAGCAAGATAGTGCATAAAGGTCAACTCTAAGCTTTAACTCAAGAAGGAAAATGAGAATCCGCCCTGGAATTGTGAAGGACACCCCAGATCCAGAGAAGGGGAACATGGGCAAACAGCCCCCTTGATGGCATTTGGCTTATAAAAGTGAGTGAAGCCTCAATATGTGAGACAGCAGAGAGCCTCCCTCTGTGACTCATCTTTCCACTGAAGATCTGAGTGACCCAGGCGGAAGAAGAGCACTTTGTTTCTCCCAAGCCTTGGAGCTAATTTGGGGAGAGGCTTGGAAATCCTGTTAGGGAAAGATACCGGGAAAATTTGCAGGTATTTTCCCAGACCTGGGATTGAACGCAGGAGGCCTTTTTTAATCCGGACACACAAAGCCAGCCATTCTTAGCCACATGGCAGCATGGCTGTGCAGGCATTTGACTCAGGCTGGAGAATGGAGCACCTGCTCTGGAGCAGGGTAGGGGCCTCCACAGCCAGAACTGTGGAAAGCACCTCAGAAGTAGGCAGTGGAATTGTGCTCTCCCCTATGACAGGCCTGGGGTGGGAGGAGAGCTGCTATAGCTGTACTTTCTCCTGGACAATGAGACTTATAGCCAGGGTCAGCTTGGCAACCTGGAACTGGTCTACTTGGTGACCCAGCCTTCTCCCCTGACATTGTGAGGAAGTAGGACCCTCTCCATTCCATGCCCAGACATATCTCCAGGTGTTTGGAGCACTTCCTCACCTGGATTGTCACCCTGAACCACCCTACCCTTCCTGTGCACAGATCCTGGTGTGCTCCATGCCCAGGCAGATCTCCAGGCATCTGTGGCACCCACTCTCCTGGGTTAGTAGTTTAGGCCACTCCTTATCCTGTGTAGAGAACTTGAGGCCAAGGAGGTTTCCCAGATCCACACCTAGGCACACTTCTGGGAACTTGGTGATCACCCACTGGATTCTCCCCTTGGCACTAGTGCTTGTGCCTGCCATTGAGGGACCTGTTGGTGGGCCCACCTGGTCCAGCCCCGCCCATCATGCCCGCATCCTCAGGGCTGAGCAGGGAGCTTAGACCCCTGTGCACTCCACAAGTCAGCCTATTGTTTGAGGCAACAGATCTTCTATCAGAAAACATGGATCAAGCATACACCCAACCATGATGGCTGCCTCCCACTCTTACCCATAAGTACCACATAAGTACCATCTACTAGCTTGTAGGTCAAACTCCACAGCCCAGTATAAAACCTGATGACAGAAGTACTAAGAGCTATAGAGGCAAAGCCAAAAAATCCTACCCAGTATTCTCTACCATCACATCCCCTAAGGATGGGGAAAAGGGAAAGGGAAAGAAAAAACCCAATAATATTATAGAGAAAGAAAGACACAAAATTATAACTGCATGAAAATAGTTACAAAAATTAGAAGTACCAGCATCTCCAGATGAGAAAGAATCGGTGCAAGAATTTTGGCACCACGAAAAACCTGCATGAAGTGACAACAACTGACATAGTTTGGCTATGTTCCCACCCAAATCTCATCTTGAATTTTAGTTTCATAATTCCTATGTGTTATGGGAGAGACCCAGTGGGAGATAATTGAATCATGGGGGCAGTTTTTGTGGTAGTGAATAAATCTCATGAGATCTGATGGTTTTATAAGGGGTTTCTGCTTTCACTTGGCACCCATTCTCTCTTGCCTGCTACCATGTAAGATGTGCCTTTTGCCTTCCACAATGATTGTGAGACCTCCCCAGCCACATGGAACTATGATTCCATTAAACTGCTTTTTCTTGATAAATTATCCAGTCACAGGCCATCCTTTATAGCAGTGTGAGAATGGACTAATACAGTAAATTGGCACCAGGAGTGGGGCACTGCTGTAAAGATATCCGAAAATGTGGAAGTAATTTTGGAATTGGGTAACAGGAAGAGGCTGGAACAGTATGGAGGTCTTAGAGAAAGTTTGGAACTTCCTAGAGACTTGTTGAATGGCTTTGACCAAAATGCTGATAATGATATGAACAATAAAATTGAGGCTGAGGTGGTCTCAGAAGGAGATGAGGAACCTGTTGGGAACTGGAGTGAAGGTGACTCTTGCTATGTTTTTGCAAAGAGACTGGTGGCATTTTGCCTCTGCCCTAGAGATTTGTGGGACTTTGAACTCAAGGGAAACGATTTAGGGTGTCTGGCAAAAGAAATTTCTAAGCAGCAAAGCATTCAAGAGGTGGCTTGAATGCTGTTAAAAGCATTCAGTTCTAAAAGGGAAACAGAACATGAAAGTTCAGAAAATTTGCAGCCTGATGATGTGATAGAAAACAAAAACCCATTTCTGAGGAGAAATTCAAGCAGAAATTTGCATAAGTAACAAGAAGCTAAATGTTAATCCCCAAGACAATAGGGAAAGTGTCTCCAGAGCATGTTAGAGGACTTCATGACAGCCCCTCCCAGCACAGACCTGGGGGCCTAGGAGGAAAAAAATGGCTTTGTGAGTACAGGGCCCTCTGCTGTGTGCAGCTTAGGGACTTGGTGCATTGTGGCTCAGCTGCTCTAGCTATGGCTAAAAGAGGCCAAGGTACAGCTCAGGCTGTGGCTTCAGAGAGTGCAAGCCCCAATCCTTGGAAGCTTCCATGGGGTGTTGATCCTGCGGGTGCACAGAAGTCAGGAATTGAGGCTTGAGAACCTCTGCCTGGTTTTCAGAGGCTGTATGAAAATGCCTGGATGTCCAGGCACAAGTTGGCTGCAGGGGTGGGGCCCTCATGGACAACTTCTGCCAGGGCATTGTTGAGGGAAAATGTGAAGTTGGTGCCCCCACAGTGTCCCCACTCGGACACTGCCTAGTAAAACTGTGAGAAGTGGGCCACCGTCCTTCATACCCCAGAATGGGCAGCTTGCACCGTGTGCCTGAAAAAATTGCAGTTGCTCAGTGCCAGCACGTGAAAGCAGCCAGGAGGGAGGCTGTACCTCACAAAGCCACAGGGTGGAGCTGCCCAAGACCATGGGAACCCATCAGTGTGACCTGGATGTATGACATGGAGTCAAAGGAGATCATTTTGGAGCTCTACGATTTGACTGCCCCACTGGATTTTAGACTTGCATGGGGCCCCTTCATTTTGGCCAGTTTCTCCCATTTGGAATGGGTGCATTTATTCAATGCCTGTATCCCCATTGTATCTAGAAAGTAACTAACTTGCTTTTGATTTTACAAGCTCTTAGGTGGAAGGGACTTGCCTTGTCTCAGATAAGACTTTGGACTTGTACTTTTGAGTTAATGCTGAAATGAGCTAAGATTTTAGGGGACTGTCAGGAAGGCATAATTGGTTTTGAAATGTGAGGACATGAGATTTGGGCGTGATCAGGGGCAGAATGATATGTTTTGGCTGTGTCCCCACCCAAATCTCATCTTGAATTATAGCTCCCATAATTCCCACATGTGGGAGGAACCCAGTGAGAGATAATGGGAGATAAATGAATTATGGGAACAGTTTCCCCCATACTGTTCTTGTGATAATGAATAAGTCTTATGAAAACTGATGGTTTCATAAGGGGTTTTCTCTTTTGCTTGGCTCTCATTCTCTCTTGCTAGCTGCCATGTAAGATGTGCCTTTCACCTTCTGCCATGATTGTGAGGCTTCCCCAGCTACATGGAACTGTGATCCCATTAAACCTCTTTTTATATGTAAATTACCCAGTCTCAGGTATGTGTTTATCAGCAGTGTGAGAAAAGACTAATACAAAAACTAAGCATCTCACTAGCTATGCAGCAATGGTTCCTAACCAAAAAGGAAGCTCAGAAATGACAGATAAAGAATTTGAAGCATGGATTGCAAGGAAGCTCAACAAGATCCAAGAGAAAGTTGAAAATCAACAGATAGAACCTTCTAAAGCAATCCCGGAAATGAAAGAGGAGATAAACATCTTAACAGGAAATCAGTCAGAGCTTCTGAAATTGAAAAATTCACTTAAGGAATTTTAAAATACAACTGAAAGCTTTATCAATAGACTGGACCAAGCAGAAGAATTACAGAGCTTGAAGACCTGTCTTTCAAATTAACCCAGGCAGACAAAAATAAAGAAAAAATAATTTTACAAAAATCATCAAAGCCTTCCAGAATTATGGGATTATGTAAAGTCACTAAATCTATGAATTATTGGCATTCCTGAGAGGAGAAAAGGTACACAACCAGGAGAACACATTTGAGGGAATAATTCAAGAAAATGTTCCTAATATTGCTAGAGAGGTAGAAATCTAGATATGAGAAAGCCAGGGAACATTTGCAAGATACTATAACAAATGAACATAACTAAGGCATATAGTTATGTTCAGACTGTCCAAAGTTGATGCTAAAGAAAAAATATGTTAAAGGGAGCTGGAGAAAAAAGTTAGATCATGTAGAAAGGGAATCCCATCAGGCTAACAGTAGACTTCTCAGCAGAAACCTTGCAAGTCAGGAAGGATTGGGAGATTATTTTCTGCATTCTTAAAGAAAAGAAATTCCAAGTAAAAATTTCATATCCCTGCAAACTAAGCTTCATAAGTGAGGGAGAAATAAAATCATTTCGAGATTAGCAAGTGCAAAGGGCATTCATTACCACTAGACAGCCTTACAGGAAATCCTTAAGGGAATTCTAAACATGGAAATGAAATAACAACGCCTGCTACCACAAAAACACACTTAAATACATAGTCCACAGACATTATGAAGCAAGTTTTCAAGAGACCCATCTTACATATAATGATACACATAGGCTCAAAGTAAAGGGTCGAAGAAAGATCTATCATGCAAACAGAACACACAAAGGAGCAGGGGTCACTAGCCTTAAATCAGATAAAACAGACTTTAAGCCATACACAGTAAAAAAGAAAAGGGCATTACATAATGATAAAGAGTTCTATTATGAGAAGACTTAACCTAAATATATATATGCACCCAACAAAAGAGTACACAGATTTATAAAACAAGTACTTCTAGAACTACAGAAATACTTAGACATCACACAATAATAGTGGAGGTCTTCAATGCCCCACTGATAGTGTTAAACACATCATTGAAGAAGAAAACTAACAAAGAAAATTTGGACTTAAATTTGACACTTGACCAATTTGACCTAATAGACATGTACAAAATACTCTACCCATCAATCACGGAGTAGACATTGTTCTTATCTGCACATGGGACATACTTTAAGGTCAACTACATTTTTGGCCATAAAGCAAGTCTCAATAAATTCAAAACAAAACAAAATTATACCAGCCATACTCTTGGACCACAGTGGAATAAAAATGGAATTCAATACCAAGAAGATCACTCAAAACTACACAATTACATGAAAATCAACTTGCTACTACATGACTTTTGGATAAACAAAGAAATTAAGGCAGAAGTCAAAAAATTATTTGAAATAAATAAAAACAGAGACACAACATACCAAAATCTCTACGATGCAGCAAAAGCAGTTGTTAAGAGGAAAGTTTATAGTGCTAAACGCCACCTTCAAAAAGTTAGAAAGATCTCAAATTAATGATCTAACATTGCACATAGAGGAACTAGTAAAACAAGAACAAACTCATATCAAAGTTAGCAGAAGAAAATAAATAACTAAAATCAGAGTGGAACTGAATGAAATTCAGACCCAAAAATTTATGCAAAGAATCAGTGAACCCAAAAGTTGGTCCTTTGAAATGATAAACAAGATCACCAGACTGCTAGCTAGATTAACAAAGGAAAAAAAGAGAGAAAAGAAGATCAAAATAGGTACAATTAGAAATGACAAGGGTGACATTACAACCTATTCTCCCAGAAATACAAAATATCCACAGAGCCTATTATGAACACCTCCATGCACACAGACTAGAAAATTTAGAGGAAATTGAGAAATTCCTGGAAACACACAATCTTCCTAGATTGAATCAGGCAGAAATTGAAACCCTGAGCAGACCAATACTGAGTTCCAAAATTGAATCACTAATAAAAAACCTATCAACCAAAAAAATCCTTGGATCAGATAGATTCACAGCTAAACTCTACCACATATACAAAGAGGAGCTGGTATTAATTTTACTGAAACTATTCCAAAAAATTGAGGAGAAAGGACTCCTCCCTAACTCATTCTATGAAGCCAACATTACCCTGATACCGAAACCTGGCAAAGACACACGCACACACAGACACAACCAAACTACAGGCCAATAATTCTTACGATCATAGATGCAGAAATCCTCGCAAAATATTAGCAAACAAAATCCTACAACACATCAATAAGTTAATTCACCATGATCAAGTAGGCTTTATCCTTGGGATGCAAGGTTGGTTCAACATATGCAAATCAATACACGTGACTAATCACATAAACAGAATTAAAAACAAAAACCATATAGTCATCTCAATAGATGCAGAAAAGGCTTTCAGTAAAATTCAACATCCCTTCAAGATAAAAACCCTCAAGAAACTAGGCAATGAAGGAACATACCTCAAAATAATGAGTCATCTATGGCAAATCCAAGCCATTACTGAATGGGCAAAAACTGGAAGCACTCCCCTTGAGAACTGAAACAAGACAAGGATGCCCACTCTCACGACTCCTATTCAACATAATACTGCATGTCCTAGCCAGAGCAATCAGTCAAGAGAAACAAATAAGACACCCAAATAGAAAAAGAAGAAGTCAAACTATCTCTCTTCACTTACAATATCATTCTATACGTAGAAAACCCTAAAGACTCTGCCAAAAGGCTCCTGGAATTGATAAATGACTTTAGTAAAGTTTCAGGATCCAGTCACTGTACAAAAATCAGTAGCATTACTGTACTCCAATAATATTCAAGCTGAAATCCAAGTCAAGAATGCAATAACATTTATGATAGCCCCCCCCCCCCCACACACACACACACACACTACCTAGGAATATATCTAATCAAGGAGGTAAATGACCTCTACAAGGAGAGCTACAAAACACTGCTGAGTGAAACCATAGATGACAACAACAAATGGAAAAACATTCCATGCTCATGTATTGGAAGAATCTATATCATTAAAATGGCAATATTGCCCAAAGCTATTCCTATCAAACTATCAATGTCATTTTTTCATAGAACTAGAAAAAATGATTCTAAAATTCACATGGAAGCAAAAAAAGAGCCCAAATAGCCAAAGCAATTCTAAAAAGAACAAAGCCAGAGGCATCACATTATTCACCTTTAAACTATACTATAAATCTACAGTAACTAAAACAGCATGGTGTTATATAAAAACAGTCACATAGACCAATAGAGGCCCTCGTCCCTCCTCCTATTCCTTGGATGATACATATAATCCTCACTCCCTGTTATGGCCATGGCCCCAAGCAGTAATGGCAGACAGTAGCTGACTCCATCAACCCCCATGGCTACCAGCATTTGAAGATAGAATTTTGTCACATGATCTGATGAATACATGAGGGTTCAGGGGGCATCTGAGGTATCTCAGTTCCACAAATGCCATAAAATTGATCCACGAAAGACACAGGATGAAATGGTGAAGTCGAGGTCAAAATCCAAATGGTAGTTGTAGGTCCCAGCCTCTAATTTCCCTTCTATTGATACACTCAGAGGAAGAGTGGTGAAACACATAACACCTTGGCAGAAAGGACAGAGAGTGAATACAGGGAGGTGTCGGGGTTCTCCTGAGCCTGAGATGGAGTCTTTGCTTTCATCTAACATATGAAGGTTTGTAACGGTACCTATTGATTAGAAGAATAAATTATTTCTTGCTTCAGTGACAGAGAGTTGAGATTGGGGAAAAAAAATATTCCAATGGCCAGGGAGTGGAAATGCCAAATATTAACACTGAAACCTCAGCTCTTCCCAGAGGGGCTGGAAGATAGTGGAGATCAGTAATTTGGAGAAGAGACCCTTGATGCAGGATAATGATGTATGGGAAAAGTCTTCTAGATTTGGTTATTCAAAGGGCCATCAGTAACATAATTTCAAAGACTGAAAAGAAATAAGCCAGTTTAAAGACAGAAGGCTTGGAAGAGCTTTCATCCAATGCATACACCAACAATCTGAGCAGCTCTCATCTGAAAAGGTGGCCAGGAAAGAAGACACCCTGTTAGTTTACAATTTCAAAAGGGCAGTGAGAGTTTTAAAAAACTTTTGAGTTTCTAGTACTTAAACTTAATGGTAAAGAATCTAAGAAGATTAAGAGTATTGCTATTGAAGAGTATTGCCCCAGTTACCTTCTAAGATCCTCTCATTTTTCAAAGTTTTATAGATGAAAAGTACTTTGCATGCTGGGAGGGACTGAACATTAAGAGTTTCAAAAGGTGTAAGATAGTTTTCTACTAGTAGATTCATGTTTGTTTGGTGGACTTGAAAGAACTACATAAACTTAGTTTATTTGCTTTATAGCAAAATCCTATCACCTAATTCTTTCATCTTCTTTACATGTGCTTATCTATAGTAGGACTGGCCAGTTTACTTCAGACCAAGAAGAAGAAGAAGAAGTAAATAAAAGCCAAGGGCTGAAAGCTAAA
Organism: Homo sapiens; assembly: GCF_000001405.40. Classification (NCBI taxonomy): domain Eukaryota; kingdom Metazoa; phylum Chordata; class Mammalia; order Primates; family Hominidae; genus Homo; species Homo sapiens. Next base: position 116,367,620 of record NC_000008.11, on the reverse strand, counting down.
TCTCTTGAGTTGATTTTGGTTCTTAAGGCTTGTGAAACTTAAAGGAAAGAGCAAAGGGAACACTTCTTTGAGAAGGCGCCACTGTGGTCTAAGAAAGTTTACGTATTCATTTGGCTTTTGCTATTTGCATAATAACCATCCATTTATTTCCCCATTTGTCTAAATTTACACATTCATATGGTTTACTTTATACATAAGAAGACATTACTCCCTCTTACCCCCCATCAGTATGAAGCAATGAAGAAAATCTGTTTGCCAAATGAAAAATAGAGGAGATTTTCAAAAAGGGAATGAATAAATTGGTGGTAGCTCAGGAAAAAAAAGAATGGCAATAATTTTCAAATTAGTTAAGCTTTCTCTGTGTTTTCCAGAAGATTTTGAATGGATTGTTCTAACCTCAAACCAGAAAGTCCACTTTCCTCTTTAACATCCTGATTATCTAGTAAGTCCTTGCTTTGTTACTTAATCTGCTGTTCTGTTCTTATATTGTGGAGCACAGCCACTTCTATGGGAAGAATAGAATTCCAATATTTAGAAAGGAGTTCACATATAAAGTTTGGAAAACCAGTTTTAGAAAGAGCTTTTCTTCTATTATTCTCTTCATTGACACTTAAGCAGGGCAAGAGAAATTACTAGGTTTTTCCATTTGAAGATTCCTGGATAATAAGATAAAATATATAGTCAGAATTGGCAGTGAACAGAAAAAAAATAAAGTGACTAACTGATCAATCATCAGAGTAGCTAATTACACAAAAATAAGTTTCCATTTTCTTTGATGAATTCTCTCTGGCTCTAGCTATCTGATTAATTACAACATATAAATCGAAACTAGCTCCTCAGAGGTAGGAAGCCACTAGAAAAGCTCTTATAAAATGTCCAATGAATTCTATTGGTTCCTTAAATCATGAACTGCTACTTAATCACAGGTTCTTTTATTCAGCAGCATAGAAAGAAATGACATAATAACTTCTTGAGAATTGCTGAGGTTGCTTTTCAAAATATATATACATATAAAATAAAACATCCTTGAAGATGCCTTTCAAACCAAAAATCTTGTTGACTCTGCTTGATTCCGTGTTAAGAATATCCTTTGTGTCATTCCCCAGTATTATGTTTGGTTATCTTTTTTTTCTTAATTATATATATATATACCCACAATCTCTGAGGTTACTTTTCATGCTATAATCTGATTCTTCCTCAAGCTATTGTATTATTTTCTTCCAGTTTGTTTTGTAAGTTACTATTAAAATATCACAGTTTTCTGTATAAAATTTGATCAACTCATAACTATAATTGTCTTCCAAATTGAGGCATGGGGGCTAGGACAGAGATGAGAGTTGTGAAAAAAGGAAATTAAAATAATTCTCTTATCTCTTGAGTTGGTTCTTTCTTTCTTTCCCTTCCTTCCCTTCCCTTCCCTTCCTTTTCTTTCTCTCTCTTTCTCCTTCCTTCCTTCCCTTCCCTTCCCTTCCCATTCCTTCCTTCCTTCCTTCCTTCCTTCCTTCCTTCCTTCCTTCCTTCCTTCCTTCCTTCCTTCCCTTCCCTTTCATTCCTTCCTTCCTTCCTTCCTTCTTTCTTTTTTTTGACAGAGTCTTGCTCTGTTGCCCAGTCTGGAGTGCAATGGCACCATCTCGGGTCACTGCAACCTCCACCTCCTGGGTTCAAGCAATTCTCCTGTCTCAACCTCCTGAGTAGCTGGGACTACAGGCACATGCCACCATGTCCAGCTAATTTTTGTATTTTTAGTAGAGACAGGGTTTCACCATATTGGTCAGGTTGGTCTCAAACTCCTGACCTCAGGTGATCCACCTGCCTCAGGCTCCCAAAATGCTGGGATTACAGGCATGAGCCACCACACCCAGCTTGCTTGCTTACTTGCTTGCTTCCTTTCTTTCTCTTTCTTTCTTTCCTTCTTTCCTTCTCTTTCTTTCTTTCCTTCTTTCCTTCTTTCTTTCTTTTTCTTTCTTTCTTTCTTTCTTTCTTTCTTTCTTTCTTTCTTTCTTTCTTTCTTTCTTTCTTTCTCTCTTTCTTTCTTTTTTCTTTCTTTCTCTCTCTCCTTCCTTCCTTCTTCCCTCCCTTCCTCCTTCCTTCCTTCTTCCCTCCCTCCCTCCTTCCTTCCTTCTTCCCTCCCTCCCTCCCCGCTTTTTCTTTCTTTCTTTCCTTTTCTTTCTTTCTTCTTTTTCTTACTTTCTTCTTTCTCCTTTCCTTCTTTAAAAATTTTTTGTGCTTTAAGTGTAGTCGATGAGATGGAAAAAGAAGCAGGAGATATGAAGAGCTTTGATGCACTTCCCACCTTTCCAAGAAAGAATTTCAACAATTTCAAACACACGAACAAAACACTAGAATGATGTTCTGAGTTCCTAGACTCTGTTCTTCCTACATTCTTCATTGTGCTCCCCTCCTCCACAAATGATTTTCAAAACTCTGATCACCTGTAAAACCTGAGGATGTGAAATAAAATGTCTTCAAGACACAGAGCCATGACAGGGCAGGGTGAATTAGAGAACTCACCCCCATCCAGGGGGAGCCTGCCAGTGACTTGGGAATTCTACGGGATTATTGCCATGCAGGAATGCGGGCCCAGTGTTTTCAGATCTCTGTATTTTCCAAGAAAATCTGGAAATCTGGATTTTATGTGAAATGTCTTGATTTTTGAATGTTTGAGACTAATTCAATTAAACAGAAAACACCATAAGGGCCAATGGCACACACATGCAGGCCAGATTTAGTCTTTACGCCACCACTTCGCAACCTCTGACAAACATAGTATTATAGGCTTTGGCTGGATTCCTGCTCTGCAGACTTCAGTACTACTAAGAAAGAAGAAACTGCCATTTATATGCTTTGATTTTAGTATAATGAGAGAATGAAACTGACATAAATTCATGAGCACATATATTTGCATGAAAAGAGAGACCAAACTCTAGTTCATTGTCTTCGTGAGGAAAGAAGTGTGTAATTATATATCTATTTAGCTTTCTCTCCCAGAAGCTATTTTTTAAAAAGTCTTCATTAGCTTACAGAATTTTTTCTGATTCCATAGAGACCTTTACATTATTTTTATTGTTTTTTTAGAGACAGGGTCTTACTCTGTCATCCAGGCTGGAGTGCAGTGGGTTGATCGTAGCTCACTGCGGCCTTGAACTCCTGAGCTCAAGCCACTCTCTCACCTCAGCCTCCAGAGTAGCTGGAACTACAGGTGCACAAAAGCATGCCTGGCTAATTTTTAAATTTTTTGTAGAGATGGGGTCTGGCTATATTGCCTAAGCTGGTCTCAAACTCCTGGCCTCAAATGATTCTCTCACCTCAGCCTTCTAAACCTCTGGGACTGCAGACATGAGCCACCATGCCCAGCAAATTTCTACTTTTAATTTTGCATCAAGGAGTGAGGATCCATCAAATACACTTTCATCCTTTTTAGCACACATATTTATGTAAAAGAGCAATATGTACTTGTCTTTGAAAATTGCACAATGTATAAGCCTTAGCTAATAGAGTTATTAACCAGACCAGAGCTAGACAGTTTTTTTTTCTTTTGGTAAGTTATACATGCTTTGATTAATAAAAAAGGCAGGGCGTAGTGGTTAAAAGTGCTAGCTTTTGGGTGAAAAAGACTGTAATACCAATGGTTAAGAGGACAGCTTTGGAGTGAGGAACACTTGAGTTTGAATCCCATTTTTCTTTTCTTGCAGAATGTTCTAGATTAAGCTGCCTCATATCTTTAAGCTCCCATCCTATCAGTCACAGTTAGCATTATGACTTGTGCTCTTCAAAGATACTGGACAGATAGAGACTTGGTGGCCTGGAAGGAACAGAGGCTTTGTTTGAGACATAAGTAACAATATGGGTGAATAGGCAGAGCCAGATAATGGAAAGTTGTAAATACATGTGAGAAGTTTGGAGTCTATTCTGTAGGTTAGAGGGAACCGTGAGAGCATTTGGGAAGGGATAACCAGGAATGATTTTAGAATGATTTGGCAGTGGTGTCTGGGATGGCTCCGACTTGGGTAGCTGTTGCAGTAATCCACATGAGAGGTCATATCAGTCTGGATTAGATAATGGTTGTGGACACAAAAGGGGATAAATGGGTTTGAAAGATATCATTAGATGTGACTTTCAAATAAATAGTCCCAGGCTGAAAATTGTGTGTGTGTGTAAAACTACATAGCACCAAATCTAAGAATTTTAGGATGATCTTAAAGGTAATTTGTGTGTGGTGAAAGAGAAAAGAGAAGAGCACTAAAGACTGAGAACTGAGTAATGTCTACCAATGGGGAATTGAGAAGAGGAAAAATGTATTAGAGGGAATGGAGAATGGAGAAGAAATAAGGAATTTGAAGAAGAAATAGGTAGTTAATAATAATAGGGTCATGTCTGTAATCCCAGAACTTTTTTTCATTTTAACAATTCAAAGTGATTTTATATTCCCTATATCTTTAATGCTGTTGGTATGATGATTCATATCTCACTTATCTTCTAAGAAGGAAATATTTTCTTTCCTTGTCATCCTTCCCATTCATATATTCTATTTTAAAGTCTGTCTTTTCTAAGAGGCTTTCTTCACTTGGTTTCATTACTATATGCCTGTCTTCTGAGTTGGTTGTGGGGTTACATAGAAGAACAAGATCAAGAACATCACAATCTGGTGTAAAATATGATACTTCATTTCTCTATCCTTTTTGTATGTGTCTAATATCTGTAAGGAGTCAGAGCCTATTTCATTTTCTTCTTAATGTGTTGTATGACTTTCAGTTTGTTAAAAGTAAGACTGTCAGTTCCTGCAGGGCTGGGGCCTTATTCTGTTGTTGATGCTATCCAGTGAAATCTTGTATTATGCCTTGTGATCTTGTCTCATGAAATATTATATTGGATTGTGAGTAGGTTTTTGCTAAATTTGTTTCTTTTCTAAACAGAAGCATGTTCTTATAACTCACCCTAAAATCTCCTGCCATACTTAGTAGAAACTATAGTAAGGTGAGAGAGCAAAATTCACAAAGAATTGATTAGCTCTTTCCTTCTAACCATTTAAATTTATATTTAACATTAATTAATTAATATGTTTGTTCATTCAATCAATCTTCTCTCTGTCCATTTTAACTATGGCTGGACCAGACCACATCTTCTCTGGCTTCCTTCCACATAAACTCTTCATCACTTAGTTGACAATTTGGGAAAGAAGACTTTCCAGCACCTTCTTCCTTTCTGTGTCTTCTCTGCTCTGCTCTAATTTAGTGTTCCTCCCACAGTTGTCTCATTTTCAAGTTTTTCTGTCTCTCTCTCTCTTTTTTATTTTTATTTTTGGTACTACTTTGATTTCCTTTCTAGTCTCTTGAGTGCTGCTTTCCTTTTCTATATCCCCTTGATGTGACACCTCTCTTATAACTCCATTCTGTGTTTATCAGGTTGAAGCTCCTGGAGGGCGGAGGTGGGTTCTTCTTGACCCCAAAGCCCAAATTAGCACAGTGCTTCACACACAACAGGTGGGCAATGAGTACATTCAACACACAAATACTTAGAACCGTTTTGAGTGTGAGGCACTGTGCTGGAGGCTGGGAAACAAATTTAAGTAAGACATTGCTCCTGTTCTCCATGAGCCTAAACTGCAGTAGAGAGATGGAGAGATATACAAAGTAAGTCAGCAATTATATAAAGGATGGTAAGAACTATTCTAGAAGCCTGTCAGGGTTGAGCTTTAAGGAAACACATCCAGGAAGAGGTTCCACTCACTGAGTCTTGAAGGATAAGTAAGTATAATTCGAGGTGATAACACCCAATCTTAGGTTGTGTTAGTGGGTGGAGAGATGAGAGGAGGGGTATAGGAGAAGTAAGAAGAGACTCTGAGACTTATGACTGATTTTATGTGGGGTGATGGAGAGGAGGAGCTCAAAGATGGCTCCTAATTTCTGCCTTGGACTATGAGTTAAGAGGCAGTGCCTGTTCAGGAATGTAAGAACTAATAAAAAAAAAAAGAAGAAAAGAAAAGTTTAGAAGAAAGAGGAATAAGGATGATGCTAGAAATGGTCATTGCTCTCTTATTAATAAAAGGTCATTGCTACTTCACCTTTGTAGTCATTCTTCCTCCTACTGGCAGAGTATTTGACTGGAAAGGACTGTCTTAGTCCTTTCCAGTCAAATACTGGAAAACATATGGCTGCACATATGTTTCTCTCCTTTTACGTGGAGCCCATGGAGATGGGACTGAGGGGAGGAGTCTGAAGATGAGGTGCCCAGATCTTCTTCAAGGAGGGACTTGTTGCCTCAGTCCTCAGTCACGGGAAGTGTATTTGGCAAAGAGCCTCCAGTTCTCAGCCCCTTTCATGTATCTCAGCTGCCTAAAGCCACCCTGTCTGTATCTGGTGACTGAGTAAGAAGTGGGTATAAAAGTTTAGACAGTTTGCACTGTGGGAGACACTAAAGGAAAAATAGTCACTCCAGAGCACTCTGCTGGGTGAACTGACACTTTGTGGGATCTGATCTATGACACAACTTGATGTCATCCTCCGCCCCACCCTGTTTCCTCACCTTCCATTCCTAGGTGTAATCTCTGACAAAACTTCACACCCCCAAACTCCCTTAGTGTCTACTTCTGGAGAATCCAATCTGTAACACAGACAGTGCAGTGGAAATTATTTTCCAGCCTTTCAGCATCCCTGGGATTACACAAGTACTTGTTTCTCCAGGGATCCATGAAAGAAGGGGCTCAAAGATTGTATTTTAGAATGTAGTGGAGTAAGGGCCTGTAGTTATGTTCTGGTTGTTACTGGCGTAATAGGATGAAGTGAGGTTGCCATAATTTGGGAAGAAACAAATCTGAGCAAACAAGGGAGCAGTTAATTTTATGATCAGATTAAAGGTACTTCCGATGTCCAAGAGGGCTTTAGTTTAAAACCAATATATTACAGCAATTGTTCTAAATGGAAGCCTCCTTCAAATAAAAAATATCAAAGAAACCATGGGAAAGTTTGAAGCAAGTTTGGTTGCTGTGAGCTGGAACACTTTAATCTCTTATTAAATGAATGCAGTGTGATAATGATATAATGATACCTTGCATGTAGACTGCATATTTATTTTTCCCCAAGACATCCGTAAAACACTTTAGTGCAATGTCATTTTTCCTCCCTCACTTCTGACTTTCCTCAAGTGGGAGAAGGAAGACTAGAGGGAACTGAATCTTTAACAACTAATGTTCCATTTTTTTATTCAACTGCCTGCCCAATCCATCTATGTTATAGTTATGAAATCATAATACAAATGATTTTACTTCCTGTGTCTTTGACAGCCTAAGAAAAGTTGTCAGAATAAGAAATGAAGAGGTTTGTATGAGCAGAGCAGTGAGGGGTGTGGGGATAAGAAATAATTCTACTCGCTGCTGAATAATTTACATACAGAATAATCAACATGGTAGATCATTTGATCATCAAAATTTGATATTGCTTCCTAAGCTGTGATCATAATCATTAAAAAGCTATCATTATTGGTATTTGTGTATATTAGTAGTGGGCTTAGTAAGAATCCTGCTAAGCATTTTATATATACAATATTATTTATTCCTCATAATACTCCTGAATGATATTTTTTTCCCTCTTATTTAATAGAGGCTAAAACTCAAGTTCTGAGGGGTTATATGTGGCTGGTAAGGGACAGTACTGGGATTTGAATCCAGGAGGTATTTCACCCAAAGATGAAACTTAAACACAATGCTTACCGACTGCTTACTGACTCTATTATCCACAGCTGCTGTGCTGACTCTGCAGTTGAAACAATGGAGTGTGTGTGTGTGTTTGTGTGTGTGTGTGTGTAGGGGAATTACATGCTACTGAATTAGTCCCTAAGAGAAAAGCATGCTGAGTATGCTTAAAACAAAACAGCTTCACCAATAAAGCCATAGGCTTCCATCAAATATTCCATTTTCCCAGACCCCTGCTTCATGGAAATCTTTGGGTTTTCCAGTACGGCTCAAGGAAGATTTGACATCTTTAAGGATGACATCAAAAAATAAAGGCGTAACAAACAATAAACATTGCACAACTATGCTAATTCATGACCCAAAGGGAAGACAACAGGAAAAACCTAGAGTTTGCCAAATGGAAAAACAACGAAACTGGTGGAGACAGAAATGTTAATTCAGACTTCAAGATGATAAAAGACTTGTTACAAACAATGGGAATTGGAAAAAAAAAAAAAAAAGAGCTGTACTCAGCCAAATCCCTCAGATACATGTAAGCAACTAGCTCCCACTGAGATAGATGGATGCATCCGTTTCTTCATTTTAATGAAGACAATTAGACTTTGCATGTTCAAGGGCTCTCTGTGTTCAAGTCCTTTTCTAGTTGGTACTGATGAAGCAACTCATAAAAAAGCCAAATGCTTACACTGCAATCAGGGCCAGAAGTGGGCTCAAAATGGAAAGTGAATGGTTCAGTTTGCTTTGGGTTCAATACATCCTCTCTTAGTTCCTCAAGGGAGGGAGGGGGAGAATTCACAGAATAGCTGACCCTGTTTTTGGATTCACACTAGGCCATTATTAGTATGTTTGTTTAATATTGTTATCCTAGGAGCAATCTTCCCTAAATTGCAACCTTCTCCATCTGATATTATTTAGAACAATGTACAATTAGCCACATTTCTGCATGAAGAACTTTTCTTCAAAGCAAACATGATAAACTTTGGTAGCATGGTACCCCTACAAATAATGCTTGATTGAGGCTGCTTAATTTAGTAATTTATTTATCAGCTTAAATGATCCCAGTCATCTTGGCATATGTCAACATCCATTTGTTTTGTGAGTATATTGGGGTCAAAATCAGCATCTCATTCATAGAAATATTTATCTATACCCACAGATGCATCTGAGTCTGCATTTGATATTTCTTCATGCTAATCCACAAAGAAAATTTTCTTCTCTAATTAAATTGCTCTTATAGTCTTACTGGAAGATATGTTAATTTGTATTGTTCTGATGTAATTACTTTTGTTTATTTTAGTCTCTGACCAGATTTTAAACTCTTAAGGGTAAAGAAAAAGATTTCTATTTCTTTTATAATCTTGTCCTTTCCCCTTATCCCAGTTACCAATAAATGCTTTTTAAATTTTGCACCCTGCCGAAGTAGGTGTTAAATAAATATTTGTTAGATGGCTTTGTAGATTTGTGTATTCAGACAAATAGGAAAACAGGCTTAAAAGGAGAACCTAGTTCTAAGCAAGTTGAATTTTAATACAAATGAACCTTTGAAGCACACTGATTGCAGAGCAAGGACCCTCTGGCAATCCCAGGGGATTGATGAACTCTTTCTCTCAGAGGTATAGTCAAGTTCTAACATCAGAGGAAGCAAGCTTACCAGCATGATTGGAGGAGGCATTGGTGAGTCCATAAAATAGCCATTCTACTGAGACTCTCTCCTTCCTAATATCACTTTTGATATTTTGATTATACATATTTCCTATTGCTTCTTCCACTGAATTTTTATCACCATTGTTTCAACTGTCATGTTATCATATTACTTTAAATCTGTCAAGAGGGTGCCATATTTGTAGAATTTGCCTTGGAGAAAGAACTTTCCTCCAGCCCCCTCTCCATGGCCTCTCTATGAGTTTGCCTTTTCCCCTGAAACTATGAAAATTGTACTTTAAAGAAGATGTTTTACTGTTTAGGCCACACATCTTCCATTCCTTGTTAGAGTAGCTCACTGCCTCCCCACTTCTTTCTGTTCCAAAGTGACTTCTGGGCTGCTCCATTGGAAACTAGTAAAGAAAAAAACCATGGGTATAGTCAGCCTTTGCTGATTGATTATTTCATATTTGTGAGACAATTTTCCGTACCAATTATGTCTTTGCAGATGACAGAAACCATTTAGTCTAATGACCATAATAATTAATTTTCATTATGAAGCAGATTGGTTAATGATGCTGAAGCCCAGATTTCATTATAGAACTAAAACACAAAACTTGCCCACACTCCCAGAACATAACTTTCAAGTTTGTTAAATCAGGGAGTAAATGCAATTATTACTTCTCTTATAGAGTGAGCCGAGACAGAGTCAGGGTGAAAGTGGGAAGGCTTGTAGCAGTTTTTATTTCTTCATTGTGAAATCAGATGAAATTCTCAAAACATGTCCTCTAACCAGCAGCATCTGCATCACGAGAGCTTGTTAGAAATGCAAATTCCTGGGCCTCGCCCTAAGCCTACTGAACCAGAAGCTCTGGGGGCAGGGCTCAATCATTTCCATTTTCACAAGACTTGCAGGTGGTTCTGACACAGACTAAAGTTTGAGACCCACTGGTCTAGACAACAAAGAAGAGATCAAAAAGAAGACTTTCTTTTCTCTGTAGTGTTCTTTACTTAAAGTTTTTGGTGGGTATAGGTCTTTCCATATTCAGGAGGACCTCAACTAAAAAGCCTAAGAGCAATATTTGATATGCTAGACTTAATGATCTAACATTTGGATGTTAGATGAACAAGCTAGGATTTACAAAGATTCATAACTTGGGGTCAAGGGACTCCTCTAAGCACTAAAACATCCAACGGGTAGAATTCAATAGATGTATGATCTTAGTAAACTTGTAGGCAATTTTTGATGTATTTTTTCATTTTTTAAACAAATACTTACAGAGCAGCACTTTGGATCGAGACCTGTTCTAAATGCTGGGGTTTTAGCAGTGACAACATCTTTGCCAACATTCTAGAGTTGAGAAGTCAAGCACCCTATGAATAAACAAATCTGTAATGTCATCTGAAATGACATGCTATGAAGGTAAATGAAAGGTAATACGTGGATAGAGTGCAACTGGAATGTGAGAGGCTGCTATTTTATATAGCTGATCAGGCAAGTTCTCTTGGATAAGCAGAAGGGCAAGCAGATATCCCAGGGAAAAGCATTTCAGAAAAAGGAAACAGAAAATGGGATGATATTGGTAGGTGTATAAGCTGGATTTCAAGGAAAGTCAGAAACTTAGATAAGGCCACAAAACTAATAATGAAGACTGAATATACTGGATGGATTCCACTATGCTGTGCTCCTTCTTACTATATCACTCCAGAGGATAGTTATCTGGAAAGGCCTATGTCTCTGTATGCCCAATAGCAAGACGTGTGGCCTATACATCCTTGATGGCTAAGCTACTGTATTTTAACCCTGGCTGGGACTTTTGTTTGAACTGACCAGCTGTGGTTGTTCTTTCGGAAATGTGACTAACCTAATTACTTCAAATGAAAATCATGGTTCTGTAACTCTTGATGGTGTTCAGAGACAGAGCTTCCCTGTTTTAGCTGTTGTCCTAGGTAACAAAAAATTTGAACTGCCATTGGTGAGCACTTGCTGTGTTCCAAACACTGAGCTAAGTAAATCACCCACATTTCATCCTTTTGAAACTCATTTTCGTTTTTGATGACAATTGGAATATACTGGTGTGTAAGCTCCCTAAGGGCAGAAATTGTCTCTTTTTACCCCTGAATCCTCCTGGAGCAATGCTTGATTCATAGTGGGTACATAGAAGACATTTGTGCAATGAAGAGCAAAAAAATTAAGGAATGAAAGAATTTCTGTAAGACATTCATCTAGCAAGGTATTAGGTTGGTGCAAAAGTAATTGTGGCTTTTGGCATTTAAAATTTGAATCCAGTCTATGTAATTCCAAAGCTTCAACTACTATGTTGCATTGTGAATTAACCTGGAATGGAATGAGGGGGAAAAAGTAGAAACATGAAGATGGAACATAAGAAAGGCAGGGTGGGAGAAGCAACTAATGCAAAGCCCTAATAAAGCAAGAATATTGGCTTTCCTTTCCGTGGCTAATCTCATTCTAGACTTTTTGGGGCTAAACAGAAGACTGCAACAATGCCAGTTCCTTGCCCTCTAAAAGAACAGACTGAATTTGTCAATTCTACTTCAATAAAGCTGGAAAAAATAAAAAGAACCAGACTGGCAAGACTAACTCTCATGGAATAATTAGTCAGCAATGCAATAAATTAAGTGGGATGGCATCTTATTTCATACTGTCTACCCTAGGCCTTGCCATCTTTGGAAAAGCAAACATGAATCTCACACATTAGAGTACTATGTTAGAAACTGAAAATTGTATTAGTGTGAGAATGACCCGCATGATAGTTTTAATTAGTTTCACTTAATACAAATGGCCAACATTTCTAACTGGCTGAAACGTACTGTCCAAACGTAATCTAATGCTTTGAATGTGTGGAGAAGTCTTTTTAATTTTCTCTCTCATTTCCTCTGACCTCCCCTCATCTGCCCTTTTCTGCCCTTCTTTGTCCCCTTTTCTTCTTTCTTTTCCCCTTCTCTTCTTCTCTTGACTTTCTTTTGCTTTCTTTCCCTTCCCTCCTCTTTCCTTCACTTCCTTTCTGCTCCTCCCCGTTCTTTCTTACTTTTTAATTTTTAAAAAACATTTCCAAGTATGTGATTATAACCTTATATATTTTCTGTGGATTTTAAAGATGTAATTGTACCCACTTTACACATGAGAAAACTAAGTCATCAGGGATATTATATAACTTGTGAATTTTGTGGTGAAGATGGAAAAAAACCCCACATATCATAACTTCAAGTATCTTATGCTTTTTTACTTGTCCAGAGGTCCCACAGCAAAAAAATCTCAGGTTTAACCACAGGTACTGATTTACAGTATATAATGAATAAAAAGACATTTCTTAAAGTAAAGGTGAAAGAAAATAAAGTCCAGCTTGAAAGTTTTTACTGACTTTATATTTTAATTTAGGTAGTTCACTTCACTTTTCATCTATGGTATGGGAATAATAATGGATCCCCATATACCCACGACTTAAAAAGCTTTTCACAAACATAGAATTATATTTCAAAACATATCCTTGTGGAATTAGGTGACTTGGGTTCCACTGTTGTTACTCAAGACACCGAGCATCAGGAGGGCCTGTCTTTAGGTAGCATTTCCTGCTTTCTCTTAAGAGTTATTAGGTTGGTTCTGCTTTTTTTGCCAGTAGGTGGTACTAGCAATTTGTATAGTATTTGTGAAACTATTCTGATGTGGGGGAGGGGGAAGGCACGCTTAGATTTTTTGATGGGGGAGAGATAAGCTTTTTGGACTGTGATCAAGCTGGTGTCTTTACCTGGAAATATTCCTCTGGGTCCCATGGTCTGCCTACCAGGAACAGAATCTCTCATTGGTTAAAATGCAATGATGTGAAGAGGTTTGGTTTCAGAAAAGAAGAAGAAAAATAGGAGGAGCTCATGTCATGTCAGATTTGGTTCCCAGAGTAATTAGATTACTGATGGCTTCTGATCATGTGATAGTAGGCACCAACTCATTTTCTGAGGAACATGCTGTTAGATCAGATGATAACATTTTCCAAACAATGTTCTAATAATGAAGCTGTGTTTGAGAGAAGAGCAGCAAAAAAGAAGCAAGCTCATTGCCTCTCATATCTTAAGTGCTGCCATTGTCCTGGTTCTAACCAGGCTAACATTTTTATGAGCAGTTACTTCTTGTTGGAGACAATGTTCCTGTACGGTTTTGGAAGACACACACACACACACACACACACACACACACACAAACACACACACCACACACCCACACACACCACACACCACACACCACACACCGCACACACCCTGTTAAATAGCCAAGATATCTAAAGTGGACCATTTCAGGTGCAGAGTAGTTACTTTCCAAACATGTTTTAATACGAAGCATCTGGATTGTCAAAGAACCTTGTTAATTTATAAGAAGGTGGTTGCAACACTAAGTCCAATTAAAATGAATGGTCCCATTAACGCGAAGGGGAGTTAGCGTCATCACCATCACCTGCTTTCCTCAACCGCCACCCTCCACAAAACAAAATAAGAAATGAAACATGACTGCAGACAGTCTCATTGTTGCTTCGTCTGGAGGCAGGGTTAGGTGAAGTGGTAGAATTCTGAGTTAAGGGCCCTGCTGTAGTTCCCAACTCTTGCAGCCCAAGAGGCGGAGTTGGAAGCCAACCCTTGGCCTTGAAGGCTGTCACTCAAGTCTAATTCAATGACTGGGCATAAAACCCCAGGTGAGATAGGAATGCAGAGAGCTGCTGGAGTTTTCATTAGTTACTCTTTAAACCATGGCATTATTTAAGCCATATTATGTCTTTTTCTTCCTCATACATTAATAGAGCTAAGGATTATTTTGCCTAGTGCTTATGACATTTTAAATCTTGGTCCAGATTAGGATAACACTTCTCTTTTGGTTTTCTCCTGTTGGTGGGTGGGTGGGCAGGAGGCATCTTTATTTGCCTATCTGGCAGCACTATTGTAAGTTATATTTATTGACTGGAAACTTGGCAAGGCTAATATTTTTTCTTGGTAACAAAATACTACCCTCAATTTTTACTTACAAGGCTCCACAGCAACCAGGTGGAACATACATCATTAGCTTACTGAATAATGAATATATTTTAAACCATGACTTAAAGCTGTTCATTTATAGTATGTTAAACCAAAGAAAAGGTTTAATGCAAACCCAGCTTTCTGAAGTAGAATTGACTAAATCAAAATGAAGCCCTTTTTTTTTTTTTTTGGTCAACTTTACTGAAACTCATTCAACTTTCCAAGAACTAAAAATTAGCTTCACCTTGTCTGTTTGGAATTACTTACTGTCATCTGTTTCAGACGTTAAAGGACATGATTTAATATCAGCAATAAGGCTGCTCGTCCTCATTTGGCAGGTGTTAATTATTTAAACACTACTCATTTTCATTTGTTTCCAATCACTCGTTTGAGTGATTTGCTTTACAGGTTTCATTATGTGCTTTTCTTTGGAAAAAATAAAATAAAGAAGAAGACAGGCTGAAGCCCTCAAACTGCACCACGCAATCTATCTATTGATAGGTGGGGTGAGGCAAGGCTGTATTTCAAGTATTATGATCTTCATGATCTCTGCTGATGGAATATAATATACAATACATCATTTTTATCTTCTTTGTAACAAAAAGTTGCTGTAGGCACAAAGCCTCGGGTTCTTGCATGCTAATGATCCTGGCTTACTGGAGAAAACCTCTGCATTTCCTGATCTGTCAATTAGGAGTGAGCCACAGAAATCCAGAATAAGTGAAAATATAGGAGGGACATTTCTTCCAACAAAACTACTTCTTCCTTGTGCTCTGGGTATCATCTTCTTTGTCAGTTCTTGCTGCTTTGTTCTTCCTGGTCCGTGATGACTCTTGTTATAAACAACGCTGAGCTTTCTTTCCCCGCACCACTCAGATGCTTGTCAGAGCTTCCTCTGCTGAGAGGGGACGGCCCTGTGTTTGCATGTGCATATGTGGAAAATCAGCCTTGCACTGGGTAGAGATGTTGGTGTTGCTTGTGGGGCAATAGTCTGAGTGCCAGATTGAAAACTTTCACAAGACTAACATCTAAATTTGAGCAGAGGAGTAAGGAGAAGGAAAAAGAACTTTCACAACCCCTCTGGGAAAGGAGAAACTGACAACCCCAGGGGTTTTTTTTTTTTTGTTGTACACAGCAAAGTAATTTCATCTCAGTGTGAAATGGAAAAGGTGGGTGTTTGTTTAGATTGAGGCCATTCAGTAATGATTTTAACACTCATTGGAATCTCTTAGCCAAAGTATTCCAGGGACACAGTCTGTAATGAACACTTATTCTCCCAATTAAAGTTTCAGTCCCAATGAAAATGTTACCTGATATCTTCCTTCTCCTGTTTTCAGTGTTTCAGACTTTGCTCTGTTTTTTTCCTTCATGATTGGTGGCCTCGTTCATCATTTTTCCAGTGAATCCTTCTTTTGGCAGCCAGCCATGAAGCCCAGTAGACTGATCCTCCAGCTTAAGAATCAGGTTCATCAAACTTGTTTGCACTTCAGATTTGAAGGCCAGGAGAAGTAATTGCATTTCTGGATGAAATAACTTCGTTTCCTTGACCAAGTGGAACAGGGAGTCATTAAGAGTCTTAGTAAATAAAATGTTAATAAACAAAAGGCTTTAAATGTTTCAAACATGACTCACATATCTAAATTAACTATTATTTGGTTATCTGTTTCTCAACTCTCTGAGATCACTTCGGTTTTGGTGATAGAGGGATGCCTGTGGTTGAAGAGGTGGCGAGGGTATGTAATGGGAAATGCACTTTTTAATGATAAAGCACAGTAGCCCTGCTTGTCATTCTTCCCTGCACATGTAGCAGCCTGTGAACATAACATGTATGGCTTCACTGGAAATTGTCACAAGATTTTGTGAGGGTTGGGGCCTCATGTAGATGACGAAAGGATGAGAACTAAGGCCTTTGAAAATATTTCCACTTCCATTCTTATTCTTATTCATTTATTCAACAGTTCTTAATTGAATACACACTGTGTATTGCAGGGGACAATATCTGTTGAAATGAGACAGCTTACAATCTAGTGGATCAGACAAACCTATGAATAAAGAATATTAGTAAGTGTGCTCCATCAGCCACAAAAACAGTGTTTCAGATGATCCTGGGAAAAAGATCAGCTAACTCTTGGTGGATTTTAGGAAGCCTTCCCACAAGAGGTGGTATTTGAGATGGGCATTGAAATAATGGGTAGATGTTCATCACGTGGAGATGGTGGTGGGTGGGGGGAGAATGGTGCTAAAAGGCATTCCAGGCAGAGAAGAGCTTGAGACAGCACTGGAGCAAAGTGGCAGAGAGTGCTCAGGGTTTGGAGTAGAGACGGGATAGGCCCAGATTGTGCAACATCATGCTAAGCAGCTTAATCATTTTGCCCAAAGCATGTGTGATCCTGTAGAAGGCTTTATGCAGGGGAAGGCTAGCATGAGAATTGAGTTTTAGACGATAACTCTAATGACTAAAAAGAGAATATATTCAACAGGGGGAGAGAATGAAGATAGGAAAACACTGAATAAATTGAAATCAGATGAGCAGATGATTTGGACCTAATCTAAGGCATTGGCAGTGGGTGTTAAGTCACCCTATGAAGGGTCCAAGATTTTATTCCACTTGCAAGCAAATAAGTTAGTTGGCCCCAATTTTAGATACAAATACTGACAGAAGACAGAAGACCCCTGAATTACAGACACAGATGATTCAGTACTCACGGCAAAAAACAGCAGCTAGAGCTGCAACTTGCATCAGTTTCACATGTCTTAATCCCCACAGGATGACTCCATGAGGGTTGAGTATCACCTTCATGTGCAATGAGGTGCACCACAGCAGAGGACCCCAAATTTTGGCAGACTGAGCATTTACAGAGTTGTTAACTCATCTTCCCAGTCTCCCCTTGAGAAAGAGAGAGGGAGAGGTTACCCATTACCCTGGATTGTTAGCCAATCTTCTCTAGGAGAGAGGGGAAATTATCTTCTGCTTTATTAGCCAGGGATGTAAGCAAAAACCTCTGGGGAGGTGCATCTCTAAATCTCTCTGGAGGGATATACTATCTATGGCTTCCAAGGCTCTTTGCTATTTATACATGTCTTTTGCTCAGACAGCCCACTGTGTAGGACCATGAAAAATCCATATAGTTTTCCAAATGGACATGGAAAGGAAGGACTAAACAGATGAAATCTATGAAGGATAATTGTCAGAGGAAAGAAAGCCTAGAAACTGATTAGATGAGGCAGAGATTGGTGCATGAAACCAGGAAGGCTCAAGTGTGGCTGAGGCTTCGGATTTGATAGATCTGGTAGTAAGCAGGCAGTAAGTGAAATCTTTTTTTTTTTGGTAAGATGGCTGTGGTATCCTGGTAGATAGGAAGAACTAAGAGGTATGTACTACTTAACTCTTATTTTGAGAAACTGAATTCAAGAGGAACCTGAACTTGCCTAGAGTAGAGTTTCTAAAACATCTTCCATCTCCCAAATTAGCACAGTTGACTCAGCTGTCACTCCCATAAAGCAAACTTTTGACAGGCTCTGGAGATGTGAGAAGTAAAATGGTATGGAGTGGGAAGTGTCTGACTCTTTAGGGGCTTCCTATGCACTGCTGTACACTCTCTAGTGTCTGGGACTGAGAATTCTGGAATGCATTTTTCATTTTTGTGGTGTGGGTACAGCAAGGTGTGGTAGAAAAAGCTCTGGGTTAAACGTTAGAAGGTTGGGAGTTTGGGGTGACAGTCTTAGCTGCATCATTGGCCAGTCATGGAGGCCTAAGAAATTGCTGCGTAACTTGAGCTCTTTTCTCATTTTCCCCCTATTCTTTTCATATAGGAGAGACCACTGTCTTTCCTGTCTCTAAAGCTTGTGGGATGGGTGGGTCATGGCTTCTTGTGTATGAATCTTAGCTCCTTGTATGTACCTTCCTCTATTATATATGGAGAATTCTAGAAAGCTTGCACCTAAATCAATACAAGGCAAATAGAAGAAAGCACTGTAAAAACAGAAAGCTTCTCATCATCCCCACACTGGGTTTAAAACATAAGAGTTTTCCAGGGAAAATTTTTTTTTCCTTGGTTGAGATTTACTTTTAGGTGGAACCTTTATTTTTCTTTGCCATGTATGGTATTTAAAATACAATTTTATTACCCATGGTATAAAATAACTATATTATTTAATGTGCAGAGGTACTCTGTCTAATTTGTTATTAAAATGTCAATTATGATTGCATCACTTTAAAAGCTGGGTATTTAATCTGAGAAAATAAACTACATATGTACCCTCTTCCTGTGTTATAGGGATTTGGGGTTTAATTTCTTTTCTGATATATAACTACTGGCTGCTAAGTACATGAGACTCTACTTGATTCTAATGTAATAAATCAAACACTTGTTACAATTTGTCTTCAGAAGTTCACATGCTTTTCCTTTTAGTCAGCTGAAAATATTTAAAGCCACCGTTTATCTTTAATTTTTGTTCTTTTATATACTAATTGCATAGACCAGCATTGGGTGAGTTTATAATTTTGGTGTTGCTTGACCTTCTGAATTCGTGAATTTTATTACAGGCTTGAGCACCAACTGACGGTGGGAAGATTGAGGAAAATTTAGTTTGACTTCCTAGTTACGAGAGATTATGGCTAAAACAGCTCCATTCCAGTGTCCAGAGATCCCAAGAAGGATGGGGAAAGGTAGATGAGAGGAGAAAGAATGCTTCCCAGAGAATTGTGGAGACATATAACAATAATGTTGCAAGGTATTGAAGTAATTCTTTAATCCAGAGTGACAAAGAAATCAATCAACTGGACTCACGAAACGAGATAGTTTATCAGAAGTAATGTTGGGCAAGAACCCTGTTCTGAGTTGAGTCTTGTACTACGTCTGCTTTCTAGGTTGTACTATTCCTACTTGAGGTGAGAGGAAGAGGGCCAAAGAAGAGAAAGATAAGGAGCAGGAGAAGAGGTGTTAACGGAATGCAGCTCAGATTTCATTTCATAGAAAACAGATCAGTCAATGTTACGAGCTACTAAATGTGACTAGATTGCTTAAAAGTTAGTGGAGATTTAGAAACTCCTTGGGTTATTTCCTCTGAATTGCAGTAGATTTTTATACAGTTTTTACAGTTGAAGGCATGTTGGCTTGAAAAACTAATTGACTGGGTAATTTTGAACTGTTCTGTTTCACATCCGTGAAAAGTTAATACATTACAGCTCTTTTCTTTACAAAACAAAGTATTTTCCAAACAATTCAGAATTTTGATATTGCCCTGCCTTGGATATTACAGACAAATTCTTTGTGCTTGGGACTTAAAACGGCAAGTTGACTAGTTGCTGGAGTTGTGAGAATAATCACCTGAGTTCAAAACACCTGGGATCCTCATCAATTCTTGGGAAACACTGCCATCATTGTCCTTTGGCAGTGTGAGCTAATTGTAGAGTTACTGTGCAATAACCCTTTATTTAGTTCTAATAAAATCATAACCTCTTTGGAAAGAATGGTGCTTACCCATTGGATTCTTGCATACACTTAATAATTTCTACTTTAAAAAAGAAGAGAAATATAAACTTTCTTATATTGCTAACAGAAGAAAATTTATACTAAAGGGCTATAGCTAGTATATTTCTTGAGCAAGATTACACAGTGTATATTCATGCATGTATGTGTGTTTGTGTGTGTGTGTGTGTGTACACAGGTATGCTGCTGGAAGTGAGTAGGCATGTTGTTCTGAAAAGAATAAATAAAGCTTTAAGGGCCTAGAACCCAGAATTGTGTGAGGACACACATGGGGGAATGTATTCGGTTCTAGGGAGGACAGCTTGTCCTCATGTCATTTTAACATAATAGGCAGTAGACAGCATAGCCGAGTTTCCCCAAATGGCTAGTGCTGTGGCCTATTTTTTAAAATGTCATTGGACTGATGGATCATTAAGATGTCTCATGTGTTTAAAAAGAGACAGCCTACTGGCAAGCAAACACTTCTATTCAACATAGTGTTGGTAGTTCTGGCCAGGGCAATCAGGCAAGAGAAAGAAATAAAGTGTATTCAAATAGGAAGACAGGAAGTCAAATTGTCTCTGTTTGTAGAAGACATGATTATATATTTAGAAAACAGCATTGTCTCAGCCAAAAATCTCCTTAAGCTGATAAACAACTTCAGCAAAGTCTCAGCATATAAAATCAATGTGCAAAAATCACAAGAATTCCTATATACCAATAATAGACAGAGAGCCAAATCATGAGTGAACTCCCATTAACAATTGCTACTGAGAGAATAAAATACCTAGGAATACAACTTACAAGGATGTGAAGGACATCTTCAAAGAGAACTACAAACCACTGCTCAAGGAAATAGAGAGGACACAAATAGAAAAACATTCCATGTTCATGGATAGGAAGAATCAATATTGTGAAAATGGCCATACTGCCCAAAGTAATTTATAGATTCAATGCTATCCCCATCAAGCTGCCATTGACTTTCTTCATAGAATTAGAAAAAACTGCTTGACATTTCATATGGAACCCAAAAAGACCCCATATAGCCAAGACAATCCTAAGCAAAAAGAACAAAGCTGGAAGCATCACACTACCTGACTTCAAAGTATACTACAAGACTATAGTAACCAAAACAGCATGGTACTGGTACCAAAACACACACACACACACACACACACACACACACACACACACACATATATATATATACACGAATGGAACAGAACAGAGGCCTCAGAAATAATGCCACACATCTACAACGATCTGATCTTTGAAAACCTGACAAAAAGAAGCTATGGGGAAAGGATTCCCTATTTAATAAATGGTGCTGGGAAAACTGGCTAGCCATAAGCAGAAAACTGAAACTGGACCCCTTCCTTACACCTTATAAAAAATTAACTCAAGATGGATTAAAGACTTAAACATAAGACCTAAAACCATAAAAACCCTAGAAGAAAACCTAGGCAATACCATTCAGGACATAGGCATGGGCAAGGACTTCATGACTAAAACACCAAAAGCAATGGCAACAAAAGCCAGAATTGACAAATGGGACCTAATTAAACTAAAGAGCTTCTGCACAGCAAAATAAACTATCATCAGAGTAAACAGGCAACCTACAGAATGGGAGAAAATTTTTGCAATCTATCCATCTGACAAAGGGCTGATATCCAGAATTTACAAAGAACTTAAACAAATTTACAAGAAAAAAGCAAACAACCCCATCAAAAAGTGGGCAAAGGATATGAACAGACACTTCTCAAAAGAAGACATTCATGTGGCCAACAAATACATAAAAAAAGCTCATCATCACTGGTCATTAGAGAAATGCAAATCAAAACCACAATGAGATACCATCTCATGCCAGTTAGAATGGCGATCATTAAAAAGTCAGGAAACAACAGATGCTGGAAAGGATGTGGAAAAATAGGAACACTTTTTCCCTGTTGGTGGGAGTGTAAATTAGTTCAACCATGATGGAAGACGGTGTGGCGATTCCTCGAGGATCTAGAACTAGAAATACCATTTGACCCGGCGATCCCATTACTGGCTATGTACCCAGTGGAATACAAATCGTTCTACTATAAAGACACATTCACACGTATGTTTATTGCAGCACTATTCACAATAGCAAAGACTTGCAACCAACCCAAATACCCATCAGTAATAGACTGGATAAAGAAAATGTGGCACATATACACCATGGAATACTATGCAGCCATAAAAGGGATGAGTTCATGTCCTTTGCAGGGACATGGATGAAGGTGGAAACCGTCATTCTCAGCAAACTAACACAGGAACCGAAAACCACACACCGCATATTCTCACTCATAAGTGGGAGCTGAACAATGAGAACACATGGACACAGGGAGGGAAATATCACACACTGGGGCCTGTCGGGGGGTGGGGGCTCAGGGAGGAATAGCATTAGGAGAAATACCTAATGTAGATGACGGGTTGATGGGTGCAGCAAACCACCATGGCATGAGTATACCTATGTAACAAACTTGCATGTTCTGCACATGTATCCCAGAACTTAAAGTATATATATAAAAAATTACCTATTAAGGAAAACAACAAAAAAAATGAAAAAAAAAAAAAAAAAAAACCTTTACAGGGGAAGAAGACAGAGAGACAGAAAGAAAACTATTTACAATACTGTTTTGGAAAACATCTTTACCTATTGCAAATCTTTTAATCCTATAAAGGGCAATGATTTCATAGGTGGGCAAATCTCACTTCCTTGATAAAGCCTGTCCTGGACCCTTTGATGGTCCCCTTCAGTCTCTGATGTCCAGTAGCATCTGTGGTCTGTTTTACTTGCTCACCAAGGAATCCCATCACATTTCAATCTCATAGTTGCTCTTCATTTAAATCTTATGTTACAGTTTAACTTTGCCCACTTGTAAGTAAGCTCACAGTCTGGTTGAGGAGGAGACACTATCTCACGCATCTTGTTGTTTCTTAGCATGGCAACATGCTAAGAAATGTCTAAAAAATATGTCTGTTGATTTGATTTGTTATAGACTAACTTCAGTAGGGTTAAAGAAGCAATTTTGCTGCCTTCTGCAGCAGTAAACAGCCATTAGTTTCTTACTGTGAGGTTGCCTGAGACCAGATTTTCAGACTAAAAGTGAGTGTGAGCCATCTATCAAGGAAACAGAATTATTTAGCACAATAAACTTTTTAGTATACATTTGGCCTAGAGGAAATTTTTTGCCTATCTGTATGGCCCACATCCTTCAAATAATGACTTATTCCCTGTGTTTATATTCCTGGTTATCAGGAAAATCTAAGTCTAATCTAAAAAGGCAGAAAATGCTCTCTAAATGTGGACTAATGGTGAGTAAAATGCGAGGATAATTTTGAGAGCGTCTCTTAGAAAAATATCAATAAACATTCCAACATGAGTCCAGGGCTCTAGGACTTAGATCTTGGGGTGGAGGCTTACACTCAGCTCTGTAAATGATTAAAATTACAGGTTGCTCACAGCATCAACCTCCTGTGTGCAGAAATGTTTCTGCTCACAACATCTGCTATGGTGAGGAGAGGCGAGTGCTGCCATCCAGCGTGCCTCATGACCCTGGGAAGTTTCAAGAGTTCTTAATCAGTTGATTTCATGTTTTTAGGCTAATTCCATTTCCTACTCTGAAGACTGTGAGAAAAACATCAGTGCTTAAAAAAAAAAAGCTTAGGATTCTTGCTTTTATCTTAGAGAATGTGATTATTAATGGCTATTTTAGAAGTACTTTTAAATTTGGAGGCCCCTTTCCCTCTCTCCTTTTTTATTCATGAATCCTGAAGCTGCAACCAGTCAGCCTTCTCCCCTTTCTTCCAGACTCTTCCCTCTTGGTATTTCAGACCCTCAGGCAAGTCTTTCATCCTCTTTCTGTATGCTGCAAAATAAAGGAGCCAGTTTGAGGCCTGGAGCTTTTTGTGTGTGTCAAAGGAAGGGATCCAGACTTCTTTAATGCAGCAGCACCCATTGGTCAATCCATCTTACTCCTTTTCATAACCATCAGCCATCCCCTGACAAAGTCCCTTGGCGCTCCTTTCCTTGAAACCAAGGCCCAGGGAGGTCAGACAGCCTCTCTAGCTTTGCCAAGCATCACTCAGCCTCAGCTGAAGTAATGTTTACATATATGATCTTTCCATGCCATTTAAAATATGTAATGGATACTGTGAAAACAATAGGCATATTGAAGCTTCAATGCTGTGCGCAAATGAGAGAGATATTCCAATACTCATATCAGAGCCTAATAGGTATAATTTTGCTCATGATCGTGTAATGCGCAGCAGCTTTCCCCAGACTGCTGAGTAAAACAAAGAAGTGGTTGTCAACCTTTTCAGAATCAGATGTTAATGATATTTCGTGTCTTTGTTGAGTCTGTGGAAAGTAGCTACTGCACCTAGAAGGGAAATGACTTCCATACCAACCGCCCTCAGCCAAAGTCATTCGGACTGGGAAAGCTGGATTGAGTCCATATTTACATTTCGGAAAGAGGTGTGAAAGAAGATTTCAAGACAGAATTCACTGAGCGGCCTCCCATTTGCTTTCCCCTATGTTCAGTCTTATCAATGCCATGAGGGGTCTTATGATTTCCAACATATAGAAAGGGAGAACATAATGTAAACAAAGGGCCGATGTGTTTTGGCAAAGTAGGAAAGTGTTTTCTGTGTTTTGTGTATTTTTGGAAACCTCTGAAATCCCGAAGTCATACATCTTCCAAGGTTTGGAGGAGGGTTTATTCAAGCATCGCCTGTTCTCAGCAGCTTGGAGAGCCGTGACTTCGCTGCATCTTTTGTAGCAAGGAACGTCTCAGTCTTTTTCTCAGAGCCAGTTGTAAAGATTGGCTGCAGTCACTGAATAGTTTGCTTTTCGCTTCTTCCCACACCCTCCTCTTGCCTCACTACTGTTAGGTTTTCATTTCAACAGAATTATTTTTTCATTTGTTTTAAGGAAAGATTTGAATTCCAATTTCAAGTCCATTCAAAAGTAGGGCCTCTTGGTACTATGCTCCAGCTGCTGGGGATTAGGCCTTTTTTTTTAAGCATAATGTATATATATGTATAATTTTAATCTTAAATCTTTAGACATTGTACAACTGTTAAGATTCTGACAGAAAGCACTCTGAGGGTTGGACTTCCATCTTTTATGGAAGAATACAAGCCCCTCTAAAATTTTAAAAAGTAGAAAACAAACCAAAAATCACTTTTGAAATCCCAGTTTCACAGTGATAGTGATACATGTTTATATAAAGATATTCCTGCAGTTGTCCAAGTTAAAATCAGGGAATATGTCTCCCATTATGTGTGCTCACTTATGAAGACTATGTCAGTTCATCTCTGTAACCGTGAATATTTTATTACAAAAATTAAGTCACAAGCAACGTGTCAACGAATATGGAGCCTCTTATGTGTATAGATGTACCCATGTTAGAATTCCATGTAAGTTCTAAAATGCTTTTTCAACATGATTGTGATTGTACAACGTGCTGAGTAAGACCTTTTCCAGATTTGGTCCATTAATGGGACTTTGGTACAACTAATTCAATCATTTCAGTTATTTTAAAGTCTAATTCTGATTCCTGCATCTTACTGCCTTGCTACTCAAAGTAAAGTTTGTTAACCAGCAGCGTCAGCAGCACCAGAAGACTTGCGGAAATGCAGATTCTTGGACTCCAAATAAGACTTCTTGAATCAAGTGCCAGAGCTGCTGGTCTACCGACTACACCTGAATAGCAAGGAGCCAGTGGGTCTCAAGTTAGGTGTTCAGGTCATTTTCATTGTTAGCCAGCTTTGGAAATATGTCTACATTTTTTTGTGGTCAGAAGGGTATTATTTATATATGATTAAATAATCTAATAATATCCTCTGTGTTATAATGTGGTTTTCCAAAGAAACTACTTTAATTTTTAGGAGTGTGTTTTTGGCATAATCTAACTCTTAATTAATTAATTTATGAATTCCCAATACTGACTATTGGAAAGATTATGCAAAACACTTTGTACATTTACAATCCAGGTGATGAACAACATAAATGAAATACTGAAATATCATTGGAAATCTGAAATAATAAAAATTTCTAATAGTAATAGGTAATATTTATATATTACTGAGTATGTGCTAAGCATTCTTCTAAGCACATTACATATAGTAATTAAACCTTCCTGACACTCCTAGGAGATGTCTTATTATTATGCCCACTTTACAGAGGAGGAAACTGAGGCAAAGGAAGGTAGTGGCTTGCCCAAGTTCACTGGGCTAGAATGTGGAGGAACCATGATTGGTTTGATTGCCCTTTAGGTGGTGATTAAGCAGTGACTTACATCTGGGATTGGCCTTTGGTGGTCTGCATACCATTTTATTTTACATGTAAAGGTAATGAGACCCAGAAAAGCCACGGGACTTCCTTAACGTCCCAGATAAATTAGTGGTAGTTGGGAATATAGCTCAGGTCCCTTATAGTTTGAACATTTGTGTTTTATAACCTCCTTGGGAAATAGGCAGGTGCCCTGATGTCACACCAACGACGGCCCTATTTTGTCTCATTATTTCAAGGAAAAAGGTTGGTATAAGTGCAGGTGTGAATGCCCATAAATTGGATGCTTGTTGTGTGGCTGAATTGCTCCCTTTCTTTTTTATGCCTCTACTCGACCTAGTCTGGTTGAGTCCTGCTGCATTAGCCACCCTGATTGTGTTATTTGTTGACCGAGGCTGGAGAGCTGAGGCCATGTTTTCTTCTTTTTTATGACTCTGAGAATTACCATGGAACCTGACACATGGTAAGCCCTTAGGAAATCATCATGTGGACAGTGACTACTACTCATTACCACTTCAGGTATGTGATCCAGGTGGGGTGTGAGGCCCAGGTGGCTTGGGCAGGAATGGAAGGAATGAAGCTAAAGATGGACATGGGGAGACGAGGGGTAGTTTGGCCACTGGTGGTGTTGGCAGGGATTTGTGCACACAACGTTTAGGTGGTTTCCTATTTCTGCCCTACATTTCTTCATGTGTTTAATTTTTGCTTTAGTTGTAAATTCTGAAAGGCAGAAACTCCTTTTCTTTATTCCTTTGTACAGTGCCTGGCTTTATACCACACACAGAAGAACTGGTGAATGCTTGGGGGGACAATAATGAAACTATTAATCTGCACCTTGAAGTATTTATAATATTACCTTCTTCTAGACATACTGTTTATGAAGAATTTCATTTATTCATCTAGGTAAATGGATTAAGCACTAGATGAATTAGTGGTCAAGGTCACAGGGAATAATTAAAACACAGATGTTTCAGTTCTTACTAGTTTGTGGTTCTAAAATAAGTCACAATTACTTTTAATGATCAATTGAGCCCTACTAGTCCAAAGAGGGTATGCTCAGGTGTTTCCCAGTTATTTTTGGGAGTCTCCAAAGGGTTGGCCCATCCATCCTCATGAACCAAACTGTCAGCTGAAGTTATTGCGTGGCTCCTGCCTATTCTTCTTCTCCTGCTCTAACTTGCACTTTCCCACAATTGCTGTCTGCCAAGCTGCTTGGGGAAGCGTCGTGGCTGCTGTCTGGGATGTGAACACCGAGGGCCCTATCCATGCCAAGAGCGCTGCCTCCGGACACTCCCACTGATCACCCCTGGCTGGCAGCGGTAGGAATGCCTTGTTCTGCTCTCCAAGAAAAGTCATTAGAAAAAAAGGGTCTTTCTCTATCAAATTTACTTTTGAAAATGAATCTATTTTGAGATGATTATGATTCACATGCAATTGTAAGATATCATACAAGGAGATTTTACTTCATGGTTTCCACTGACACCACTGACAGGACAGTGGCCTTGTTACCAGTGGGTGGGGCTGAAGGTCCTGACCCTTTACTGGTCCTCCCTTGACACCCACATCCGTGTGGAAAGGGATGGCATGCTTCTCTACTCTGAGATGAAAGTCTATACTCTCCACTCGGCTTTTGCTGGTATGGGTAGTTTTTTTCTGTGGTGTTTGGCTGAAGTAGGGAGATTGTTGTATAAAAGTTTTCCGTTTCTCTAGGCTGCTCCTTTCAGTCTCCTTGACTCGAGACAATACGCTTCGTGGAGGCTTTTTTTTTTCTTTGTCTGCACTCGTTGATGTTTCTGGGTTGTAGCTTCTTTAGCTTCAATTCTGGGATATATGAGGTGCCAGGAAAGCCTAGGGTGCTCCCCAGCATGCCATTCCAAAGCCCCAGCAACTCTGCCATCTTTGCTCTACCTTTCACTGTTTTCTTAAGTTACTTTTATATATAATGTTCATGGTTGTTATTTGTATTAGTGGGAGGATTAGGGAAAAGTATGCCTACTCCATCTTTTTGAAAGTGGAAGGCTTTATTAGATACTAACACTTACTATAAAGATATAGAAAATTTAGCAAATTATTCATTCAATCCATTGATTTTTGGTAAATAGGCATTTGGCCAATTGATGCTTGGGGAGTTGCTCTAGAACTGTTACAATAGATATGAACGACTGCTAGGGAAGACTGGCTGGAAGAATTTGTAAGCTGAATGGAGCCGTGCTGGAATATTCTTTAGAAGATTCTCCTTGAGTGGCTGTAGAAAACTAAAAGAGTAGTAAGAATACTTAATATTTATAGGAATTTACAGTTACAAAGTGCTTTCTTCAATAGCTGATATGTTGCAGATTGGTATTAGCCCACCGGGTGTCTCTTTGTGAGCAGTAACTATAGTTTAAAATTAACAGTTTTGGCCAGGGTGCCGTGGCTCACGCCTGTCATCCCAGCACTTTGGGAGGCCGAGGCAGGCAGATCGCGAGGTCAAGAGATTGAGACCATCCTGGCCAACATGGTGAAATCTTGTCTCTACTAAAAATACAAAAATTAGCCGGGCATGGTGGTGCCTGCCTGTAGTCCCAGCTACTTGGGAGGCTGAGGCAGGAGACTCACTTGAACCCAGGAGGCGGAGGTTGCAGCAAGCTGAGATCACGCCACTGCACTCTAGCCTGGCGACAGCGAGACTCCATCTAAAAAAATAAAATAAATAACAGTTTTAATGGTAACTAAGACAAATTATGGGTTCTTAGATAGATCTTTGGGAATAAGAAGAGTTAACTAATGCTGAGTCATTAAGCAAACTGAATTATTAAGATTTCCTTTCAAAAGCAACCAACCAATTTGTAGTTGTTGACCTTTCATTTCCAAAGGCTGCTGCTACATCTATAGTAATGATTCACAATGTTGGATTTTACTGCAAGACCATAAAACTTATTGTTCCTTGAATAAAGTCACACTAGAGGTTGCAAAGCAGTGACCCACTAATTGCATTCAGTGCATTTTTACAGGTATTTCATACCATGAAGTGTTAAAAATGTTTGAGAAAGCATTAAACTCATTAGGTTTTGCATAACAATAAAGATTTCTGTCTTATTCTGAAAAAAACATATTGGATGACCTAGTAATGATTGACGCATCTTGTTATTCCTTTGGCCAAATGTAGATTTGAGCCTAGATCTGGCTAAGTCCAACTGGTCTCACTCATATGTTATCTGTTTCAATATGAATGAATAAGTTTGAATAATTTTCACAGAATGCCTGTGAAGTAGGTGCATCCCATAGATACAGTGCTGCAAGAAAAGAATATGCTATGAGATTTCCAGAATTATATCCAAAGCTGTTTTCTCATTAAAAATAAAAATATTTCCTGCCATGTTTCAGGGGTTATAATACAAGAACTAGAATCAGGAATCAATTTATCATCTTTTTAGTGGATCTCATAATTATTTTGATATTGTCTTATCTTTGTTAGTGCATTTTAAGTGTCAGCTACATGCGTCAATAGACTACGTGTACAACATGATCTTTAAATGAGGAACATGTTAAAGAAACATGTTTCTTTAAATGAGGTTTTTATTAGATTCATATCCTAGAAAAAATAATATTTGTTGGCTTCATATATGGTAAGCACTGTGCTAAGTTACTGTCAAAACGTACCTTACGGAATCCCCCAAATAATCTAATGTTTACATTGAGAAGAAGATTAAGTGATTTGTCCAAAATTTACACACAGAAAACTAAGAAAGTGAGTATACCCACAGCTTTGTCTACTTGGAAACCAATCAACTTTTCTTTAAACCTTTTTCCTTATTTTTCTTAATTTCTCCCTCCATTTCAGTTTAATTCGTTTACAATTTGTCCTTGATTGGTGCTATACACCAGTAAAGGAACCATCCCATGAACCATCTTTTGTAACTCAAGACTGCATTTCTTAGAAGGCAAATTGTGTAGTAGAAGTTGAAGGTATTTTTTCACAGATCCTACATTGATTTTTCTTTTTTCCTACTATTGTCCTTCCCAAAGCTCCCTATCCATCCCATTCCTTAAAATCCTGTGAGTTTGAACATGTCTGTTCTCTCTGTCATCACTGCAGTGTCTCAGAACCTCATGCCATATGTTTTCAGGCACATGAAGAACCAAGACATAAAAACCTGGAATTTGTCATTACCCATTTGGCCTCTGCTCCATCAAATCCAGTAGCTGGCCTCAAGGAGAGATCAGTCCTTGACTCCTCAAAAGAATCTCTTCTCTCCATTATAAATGTGGTTAATTGGAAAATTCTAGTTTTTTTTTTAATTTTTTTTTTTTTAGGTAAAAGGTTTTGCTTCACTTGGATAGGAACCAAGCCAGCCACATGGAAAGAAAAATAACTTGGTGAGTGGCAAAATAAGAAACTGTGATCCTTGTGTGCCTTTGGATGGCTTTTTATGGGATAAGAGTCACCAGCTCTTTGAACTTCAGTTTACAGCTCTTACAGTGGGAATATCCTTGGCTCTATTATAAGATTTGAGAATATAATGAATATGCACATGATAAGTAAATCCTTGTACCAGGAAAGGAGCTCTCTGGAATATTTCCCTTTCCTGTCCACAAAGAAATGTTGTTGACTGATCTGTCATTCTTCACAAAATTAGTGATTTCTCCTCTTCTCACTCCATGTACTAATCCATTTGTGAAAATATGTTGAGTATGTTAAAGTGTTAGATGATGGCCTTGCTGTAGAAACAAATTGGCCAACAAAAGCCAATGATGTTGTTTCCCATATTTGCCATTCCATCCCTAAGGGCTTGTCTTAGATCCACTGTCTCACGTGAGAACAAAACACACTACTAAGAAATATGGCACAGCCAACGATAGGATCAGAGTGAAGATATCAGCCAAATTTGGAATAAGAATTTTATTTATCTGTGTATTACTGGTGACAACACTTTCTTAAGAGAACAAAATACCAGAGAAGAGAGACACACATTCTCTGCTTAACACTGAGGCCAGTGGAAGAGGAGAGGGTCTGGCAGAACCTCTGGTGGAACTATTTAATAGGTATTATCTGTTGTCAAATATTCTTCTCCCACTTCGATGGAATAAAAAGAATATAGTCTCAGCCTTTCAAGAGAAGTGGAACAATGCTTGGCTGATATTGTCAAACAACATACTGGCTAAATTAAAAACTGTTGCATGTGTAAATGAATCAAGATTAATAAGCTGAAAAAATGTTTATTTCCTTTTAGAAACTACAGGAATATTATACAATTGTAGTTGTCATTCAAATACTAAAGTTGTGTGGGTGCTTCAACGTGGTCAATGAATTTGTTCAAATTGTCTTTCTAGAATGATTCAACTTGAAGAAGTGTCAGGGATTTCATAGTCCCCAGAATGGCCTTTGTAAACCTACTTTATTACTAACATGAGGGTTATATTCTTCTAATCATAGTGTGAAATACACTCCCCTGAAGAATACAATAAATCTTTTTAGAATGATTTAAGTAAGGATCATGTCTAGAAGCAAAGTAGTTAATAAATAAATGCTTTAGCTTCCTTGGGCCTTTGTGTTTCTATCAGACCCAGAGGAAAATACCACAGATGATGAGTAGACATGGGATACTGCAGTTTTGTGACAATCTTTTCTTTGTGTACACACATTTTCAGAGTATCTCCACCACCGAACTTAGGAATTTGACCAGAAAGTAGACAAAAAAGTGGAAAATGCCCTCTGGAGAAATTGTCACACAAGAAGTATAACAGAACCTCTGGTTCCAAAGTATGACTTCTTGTACCTCATTGGAAAAGGACTCCTAAACTCTATGTGTACCCATTTCATGATAAGATTTCATAGCAGTTCTGAAGCTGATTATTATAATAATTAGCCATTTATCTTTGTTCATTATTCATAGGTTTGCTATTTTGCTGAAGTTCAAGATTTGGTCATAATATAGCAATTGGTAAAATGTATAAAAAGTTTGACTAAATGTGTTGGACATGGAGCAGCAGCAGGAATTATAATGTTGGCCACACCTTCCCCCCAAAAAAAATTTTATGAAGAACTGAAAGAAGTGATTTTTAGTCTCTCTTGCATTAAATATGGGGTGGTGCATTCTTTGAGTCTTTTTCCTGATGCTGAGGGAGTCTAACCTATAGTCCTAATTTTGTCAGTTATTCATACCTTTAACAATCAGACAAATCTTTCCTCTTTGCTGAGACATCAAACAATATCAACATATTCTTAAAAATTATCAACATTGTGAGCAAAGTAGAGCTTCTACTTCTCTCCAGAAACATCTGTGACACAATTCGTGGAAAATCAACAGCTTTGTTAGCACACAGCTTTGTTAGCACACACAAAATTACATAGCATCTCCATCACCTTTAAAGAAACCTCCCTGATATAATTCTGTTAGGTCCCTAAGTCACATTTTCTCCTTTCTAAGGTATATATGAGGAGATATAAAAAAAGATTTTTGTACTTTGATTCAGATATTGTTGTGAGATTACAAATATAATATGAATGCCATTGAAGGCTGGTTCTTTCTAATGCTGGCCATATTGCTAACCTATGAGTGACCACTGGAGGGGTTAATTAATGGCCACAGTTTTAAAGATCACATTTATGTGATTTAATCACCTTTAAATGCCTGCAGAACAATTAAGAGATCTGTCCAGTCTCTTGAGGTGCTTCACATAATAAAACATTATGACAGGCTTAGGGATATTGGATTTTATAGTGTCTTTATACAAAATATACCACATTGGTCATCTCTAACTGATAAAGCTTCAATTAGTCAGGTTATTTAAATGTGAAATGGTGGCCTAATGGAGCTTTACACCTGATAATAGCCAGGCAAAAGAGAACATATGAATAACAAGATGTTTGCTCCACAGACAGATGATGGACAAGTCCATATCTTTAGTTTTTTTGAAAAAAATTTAGTAAAGTGGTAGAAACACTTTATTTGGCCTTATTTTCTTTCTTTAGCATTATTACTTTACTTGGCTAAGGCAAACATTCTGAAGACTAGTTTGTAAAGTGAAATCAACATGGTCAAAATTCAAAATTACCTCAAATTGATTAGTTTAGTTCAAACATCTATGCAGCATAATATTAATATATTAAACTAGCATTAGAAATTAATTCATTATATGTTCAAGAGGCTATGACAAAACCACCATCTTCATGTAATGGTAGTAAGGTCGTAAAACTTTTGGAAGGTGATTTGGAAATGTGTACCTCCAACCAACTAATTCCGCTGCTGGGATATTACATTAAGAAAATAATCCAAAATATAGGGGAAAGAACTGTATCTACTAATGTACGCATAGCAACATTATTTATACTAGTAACAACTGGAAATAAATTGAATCCAAAAACAAGTTAGTTTATATTATGGCAAGTCACATAGCTTTCAAGTCATAATTATGATGTCTATTTGTCAGCATGAAAAATGCTTTTCTCATAATGTTAAGTGAAAAAGTTACAGAAAACTATATACATACTGCTGTTACAAATATTATTACTAAAATATTTATTGTTTATTATTTATACAGATGTTTGCTTAGGAAAGATTTGAAGATTTTTAAAAGTTCATATACAAGAAAATAAACTTGAAGGAAACAATTATGTTTTGGGGAGTGTTTTATTTTTCATTTTTTAATGTATTCTCATTTTTATAAAGAAAATTATAATCAAAAATAAATTCTACTGTATACAATAACCTCACCTTCATTCCACAGACAGAAATTTAGATAGACGAAATTATATACAATGATGAGAAGAAGAAAAGAAAAAGAAGTTAAGTTGAAAGTTGAATGACAAAGTAGTGGATAAGGAAATAATATAAGCATGAAGAGAATATTCTAGTGGATGCCAGGCAAATATGGCAGATACCTAGATGGTCTTGAAATTCACTGCAGAAAGTTAAAATTTGGTGAGAAGTTAAATGGGGAAATTGTAAAAACGAACAAACACACACACACACACACACACACACAAGCTAGAAGATATGGTAGAAACGTGAAAATAAATTAGCAAGAGGGCAAATGGAGAGATGATGTACAATACATCACCTGATTCCCCTCCAGCTTTTTTAACAATTCTCCCGGCATCATCCCTGAATTTTGGTGAGTGCTGAGTAGTAAGATAGGTTATCAGCACTTAGAACTTGGGTTTAGAGCCAGAAGTCATCCCAAGGAAACTTGGCTGAGCAGAAGCCTATTCAGAGAATTGAAGATAGAAGGCTATTTAAACAAATTATAAAATATTGAGCTGAAGTAGTGGACACTTGTGAAAAGAACATTCATAGTCCACCATTATAACTTTGAAAGAGCAATGGTATCCCCAAAATAGCAAGTTACCCTTGAATTGACCTTGGCAGAGTTAAAAAAAAAAAAAGGCTGCAATTAAACATTCACTTTTTGGGACTTCATATAATGGTTTACTTGGTATAAAGTTTCAAGCTTTCAT
Organism: Homo sapiens; assembly: GCF_000001405.40. Taxonomy (NCBI): domain Eukaryota; kingdom Metazoa; phylum Chordata; class Mammalia; order Primates; family Hominidae; genus Homo; species Homo sapiens. The sequence goes on along the minus strand of NC_000008.11, from coordinate 116,333,040 downwards.
CTATTTACCATAGGTGTCTTCATATAATTAATAAGTAATACACATGTACTTCTGTATCTGTATGTTTATAAGAAGAAGGAAGTATTCATTGAAGTTAAAAGATTAGAATACAAGAATAAATGTATTCTTTTTTTTCGGTTTGAAATTGTTCATTTTTAATTGCTGTAGTTGCACAAGTTTTACATATTTATGGGGTACATGTGATATTGATACAAGCCTAAGATGTGTAATGATCAAACTGGGGTAATTGGGGTATCCATCACCTCAAGCATTTATCATTTCTTTGTGCTAGGAAGATTCCAATCCCACTCTTTTAATTATTTTGAAATAAAATAAATTTTTCTTAACTATAGTTGCCCTATTGTGCTACTGAACACTAGATTTTTTTTTTTATACTTTAAGTTCTAGGGTACATGTCCACAATGTGCAGCTTTGTTACATATGTATACATGTGCCATGTTGGTGTGCTGCACCCAGCAACTCGTCATTTACATTAGGTATTTCTCCTAATGCTATCCCTCCCTTCTTCCCCCACCCCACAACAGGCCCTGGTGTGTGATGTTCCCCACCCTGTGTCCAAGTGTTCTCACTGTTCAATTCCCACCTATAAGTGAGAACATGCGGTGTTTGGTTATCTGTCCTTGTGACAGTTTGCTCAGAATGATGGTTTCCAGCTTCATCCACGTCCCTGCAAAGAACATGAACTCATCCTTTTTTATGGCTGCGTAGTATTCCATGGTGTATATGTGCCACATTTTCTTTATCCAGTCTGTCATTGATGGACATTTGGGTTGGTTCCAAGTCTTTGCTATTGTGAATAGTGCCACAATAAACATACGTGTGCATGTGTCTTTATAGTAGCATGATTTATAATCCTTTGGGTATATACCCAGTAATGGGATGGCTGGGTCAAATGGTATTTCTAGTTCTAGATCCTTGAGGAATCGCCACACTGTCTTCCACAATGGTTGAACTAGTTTACAGTCCCATCAACAGTGTAAAAGTATTTCTCCACATCCTCTCCAGCACCTGTTGTTTCCTGACTTGTTAATGATCGCCATTCTAATTGGTGTAAGATGGTATCTCATTGTGGTTTTGATTTGCATTTCTCTAATGGGCAGTGATGACGAGCATTTTTTCATGTGTCTGTTGGCTGCATAAATGTCTTCTTTTGAGAAGTGTCTGTTCATATCCTTTGCCCACTTTTTGATGGGGTTGTTTGAGTTTTTCTTGTAAATTTGTTTAAGTTCTTTGTAAATCTGGATATTAGCCCTTTGTCAGATGGGTAGATTGCAAAAATTTTCTCCCATTCTATAGGTTGCCTCTTCACTCTGATGATAGTTTCTTTTGTTGTGCAGAAGCTCTTTAGTTTAATTAGGTCCCATTGGTCGATTTTGGCTTTTGTTGCCATTGCTTTTGGAGTTTTAGTCATGAAGTCTTTGCCCATGCCTAGGTCCCGAATGGTATTGCCTAGGTTTTCTTCTAGGGTTTTTATGGTGTTAGGTCTAATATTTAAGTCTTTAATCCATCTTGAATTAATTTTTGTATAAGGTGTAAGGAAGGGATCCAGTTTCAGCTTTCCGCATATGGCTAGCCAGTTTTCCTAGCACCATTTATTAAATAGGGAATCCTTTTCCCATTTCTTGTCAGGTTTGTCAGGTTTGTCAAAGATCAGATGGTTGTAGATATGTGGTATTATTTCTGAGGGCTCTGTTCTGTTCCATTGGTCTATATCTCTATTTTGGTACCAGTACCATGCTGTTTTGGTTACTGTAGCCTTGTAGTACAGTTTGAAGTCAGGTAGCATGATGCCTCCAGCTTTGTTCTTTTGGCTTAGGATTGTCTTTGCAATGCGGGCTCTTTTTTGGTTCCATATGAACTTTAAAGTAGTTTTTTCCAATTCTGTGAAGAAAGTCATTGGTAGCTTGATGGGGATGGCATTGAATCTATAAATTATCTTGGGCAGTATGGCCATTTTCATGATATTGATTCTTCCTATCCATGAGCATGGAATGTTCTTCCATTTGTTTGTGTCCTCTTTTATTTCATTGAGCAGTGGTTTGTAGTTCTCCTTGAAGAGGTCCTTCACATCCCTTGTAAGCTGGATTCCTAGGTATTTTATTCTCTTTGAAGCAATTGTGAATGGGAGTTCACTCGTGATTTGGCTCTCTGTTTGTCTGTTATTGGTGTATAGGAATGCTTGTGATTTTTGCACATTGATTTTGTATCCTGAGACTTTGCTGAAGTTGCTTATCAGCTTAAGGAGATTTTGGGCTGAGACGATAGGGTTTTCTAAATATACAATCATGTCATCTGCAAACAGGGACAATTTGACTTCCTCTTTTCCTAACTGAATGCCCTTTATTTCCTTCTCCTGACTGATTGCCCTGGCCAGAAATTCCAACACTATGTTGAATAGGAGTGGTAAGAGGAGGCATCCCTGTCTTGTGCCAGTTTTCAAAGGGAGTGCTTCCAGTTTTTGCCTACTCAGTATGATATTAGCTGTGGGTTTGTCATAAGTAGTTCTTATTATTTGGAGATACGTCCCATCAATACCTAATTTATAGAGAGTTTTTAGCATGAAGGGCTGTTGAATTTTGTCAAAGGCCTTTTCTGCATCTATTGAGATAATCATGTGGTTTTTGTCTTTGGTTCTGTTTATATGTTGGATTATGTTTATTGATTTGCATATGTTGAACCAGCCTTGCATCTCAGGGATGAAGCCCACTTGATCATGGTGGATAAGCTTTTTGATGTGCTGCAGGCTTCAGTTTGCCAGTATTTTATTGAGGATTTTTGCATCGATGTTCATCAGGGATATTGGTCTAAAATTCTCTTTTTTTGTTGTGTCTCTGCCAGGCTTTGGTATCAGGATGATGCTGGCCTCATAAAATGAGTTAGGGAGGATTCCCTCTTTTTCTGTTGATTAGAATAGTTTCAGAAGGAATGGTACCAGCTCCTATTGGTACCTCTGGTAGAGTTTAGCTGTGAATCCTTCTGGTCCTGCACTTTTTTTGGTTGGTAGGCTATTATTGCCTCAATTTCAGAGCCTGTTATTGTTCTATTCAGGGATTCAAGTTCTTCCTGTTTTAGTCTTGGGAGGGTGTATGTGTCCAGGAATTTATCCGTTTCTTCTAGATTTTCTAGTTTATTTGCATAGAGGTGTTTATAGTATTCTCTGACAGTAGTTTGTATTTCTGTGGGATCAGTGGTGATATCCCCTTTATCATTTTTTATTGCATCTATTTGATTCTTCTCTCTTTTCTTCTTTATTAGTCTTGCTAGCAGTCTATCTATTTTGTTGATCTTTTCAAAAAACCAACTTCTGGATTAATTGATTTTTTGAAGGGTTTTTTGTGTCTCTGTCTCCTTCAGTTCTGCTTTGATCTTAGTTATTTCTTGCCTTCTGCAAGCTTTTAAATTGGTTTGCTCTTGCTTCTCTTGTTCTTTTAATTGTGATGTTAGGGTGTTGATTGTAGATCTTTCCTGCTTTCTCTTGTGGGCATTTAGTGCTATAAATTTCCCACTACACACTGCTTTAAATGTGTCCCAGAGATTCTGGTATGTTGTGTCTTTTTTCTCATTGGTTTCAAAGAACATCTTTATTTCCACCTTCATTTGGTTATTTATCCAGTAGTCATTCAAGAGCAGGTTGTTCAGTTTCCATGTAGTTGTGCAGTTTTGAGTGAGTTTCTTAATCCTGAGTTCTAGTTTGATTGCACTGTGGTCTGAGGGACAGTTTGTTACAATTTCTGCTCTTTTACATTTGCTGAGGAGTGCTTTACTTCCAACTATGTGGTACATTTTGGAATAAGTGCGATGTGGTTCTGAGAAGAATGTATATTCTGTTAACTTGGGGTGGAGAGTTCTATAGATGTCTATTAGGTCCACTTGGTGCAGAGCTGAGTTCAAGTCCTGGATATCCTTGTTAACTTTCTGTCTTCTTGATCTGTCTAATGTTGACAGTGAGGTGTTAAAATCTCCCATTATTATTGTGTCAGAGTCTAAGTCTCTTTATAAGTCTCTAAGGACTTGCTTTATGAATCTGGGTGCTCCTGTATTGGGTACATATATTTAGGATAGTTAGCTCTTCTTGTTGAGTTGATTCCTTTACCATTATGTAATGGCCTTCATTGTCTCTTTTGATCTTTGTTGGCTTAAAGTCTGTTTTATCAGAGACTAGGATTGCAACCCCTGCTTTTTTTTTTGTTTTCCATTTGCTTGGTAGATCTTCCTCCATCCCTTTATTTTGAGCCTATATGTGTCTCTGCACGTGAGATGGGTCTCCTGAATACAGCACACTGATGTGTCTTGACCCTTTATCCAGTTTCCCAGTCTGTGTCTTTTAATTGGGGCATTTAGCCCATTTACATTTAAGGTTAATATTGTTATGTGTGAATTTGAGCCTGTCATTATGATGTTAGTTGGTTATTTTGCTCATTAGTTGATGCAGTTTCTTCCTAGCATTGATGATCTTTACAATTTGGCACGTGTTTGCAGTGGCTGGTACTGGTTGTTCCTTTCCATGTTTAGTGCTTCCTTCAGGAGCTCTTGTAAGGCAGGCCTGGTGGTGACAAAATCTGTCTACATTTGGTTGTCTGTAAAGGATTTTATTTCTCCTTCACTTATGAAGCTTAGTTTGGGTGGATATGAAATTCTGGGTTGAAAATCTTCTTCTTTAAGAATGTTCAGTATTGTGTCCCAGTCTCTTCTGGCTTGTAGAGTTTCTGCTGAGAGATCCACTGTTAGTCTGATGGGCTTCCCTTTGTGGGTAACCCGACCTTTCTCTCTAGCTGCCCTTAACATTTTTTCCTTCATTTCAACTTTGGTGAATCTAACAATTGTGTGTCTTGGGGTTGCTCTTCTGAAGGAGTATCTTTGTGGCATTCTCTGTATTTCCTGAATTTGAATGTTGGCCTGTCTTGCTGGGTTGTGGAAGTTCTCCTGGATAATATCCTGAAGAGTGTTTCCCAACTTGGTTCCATTTTCCCCGTCCTTTCAGTTACACCAATCAAATGTAGATTTGGTCTTTTCACATAGTCCCATATTTCTTGGAGGCTTTGTTCATTTCTTTTTACTCTTTTTTCTCTAACCTTGTCATCTCTCTTCATTTCATTCATTTGATCTTCAATCACTGATACTCTTTCTTCCACTTGATCAAATAGGCTACTGAAGCTTGTTCATGCATCACGTAGTTCTTGTGCCATGGTTTTCAGCTCCATCAGGTCATTTAAGGTCTTCTCTATGCTGTTTATTCTAGTTAGCCATTTGTCTAATCTTTTTTCAAGGTTTTTAGCTTCCTTGCGATGGGTTCAAACATCCTCCTTTAGCTCCGAGGAGCTTGTTATTACCGATCTCCTGAAGTCTACTTCTGTCAACTTGTCAAAGTCATTCTCTGTCCAGCTTTGTTCCATCTCTGGTGAGGAGCTGTGATCCTTTGGAGGAGAAGAGGCACTCTGGTTTTTAGAATTTTCAGCTCTTCTGCTCTGGTTTCTCCCCATCTTTGTGGTTTTATCTACTTTTGGTCTTTGATGATGGTGACCTACAGATGGGGTTTTGGTGTGGATCTCCTTTTTGTTGATGTTGATGCTATTCCTTTCTGTTTGTTAGTTTTCCTTCTAACAGTCAGAACCCTCAGCTGCAGGTCTGTTGGAGTTTGCTGGAGGTCCACTCCAGACCCTGTTTGTCTGGGTATCACCAGCGGAGGCTGCAGAACAGCAAATATTGCAGAACAGCAAATGTCACTGCCTGATCCTTCCTCTGGAAGCTTAGTCTCAGAGGGGCACCTGGCTGTATGAGGTGTCAGTTGGCCCCTACTGGGAGGTGTCTCCCAGTTAGGGGGCATCAGGGACCCACTTAAGAAGGCAGTCTGTCTGTTCTCAGATCTCAAACTCTGTGCTGGGAGATCCACTGCTCTCTTCAAAGCTGTCAGACAGGGACCTTTAAGTCTGCAGAAGTTTCTGCTGCCTTTTGTCCAGCTATGCCCTGCCCCTGGAGGTGGAGTCTACAGAGGCAGGCAGGCCTTGTTGAGCTGCGGTGGGCTCCACCCAGTTCGAGCTTCCAGGCTGCTTTGTTTACCTACTGAAGTCTCAGCAATAGGGGACACCCCTCCCCCAGCCTTGCTGCTGCCTCGCAGTTCTATTTCGGACTGCTGTGCTAGCAGTGAGTAAGGCTCCATGGGCATGGGACCCGCCAAGCCATGTGTGGGATATAATCTCCTGGTGTGCCATTTGCTAAGACCATTGGAAAAGCACAGTATTGGGGTGGAGTGTCCCGATTTTCTAGGTACCGTCCGTCATGGCTTCCCTTGGCTAGGAAAGAGAATTCCCCAACCCCTTGCACTTCCCGGGCAAGGTGATGCCCTGCCCTTCTTCAGCTCACATTCCATGAGCTGCACCCACTGTCCAACCAGTCCCAGTGAGAAGAACCTGGTGCCTCAGTTGGAAATGCAGAAATCACCCGTCTTCTGCATTGCTCATGCTGGGAGCTGTAGACTGGAGCTGTTCCTATTCGGCCATCTTGGGATATCAAGAATAAATGTATTCTGAAGGGTAATTATTTGGTCTCCTGATAGACTCTAAGCCCTGATGATATGAATGTATTATCATCTTCTTACATCTTTGTACTGCCTAACTCAAGGGTAGTCTACACTTTCCTCTATTATCCTACATCACATTTATTACTCTTGAGTTGCTTAGAATTTAGATTCCATTTCCACCAGTTTATTAATGTCTTTAAAATTGCTCATACTCACAAAGAACCATTAGTATTTCTTTTGTTCCTCTTTCTTTCTTTCTTTCTTTTTTCTAAATGTGTAAGCTCTCCATATTGTTTAGTTCTGGTTTTTTCTCCTGATTGGATAAAAACAGCTAATATTTAAAGACCATTCACTATGTGCCAGATATTGCACTAAAATCATCATTAGATGCTACTTTGAGTTCTTTCCCAGCCCAGATGAGAGCAAGGGGCCCTCTAGGTTTGGCTGAGGCAGTTAAACTGATTCACTTTCCCTTGAAACCAATTCCAGGTGTAGTTCCATAATATAAAAAAGAACAGAGGAGCTTGCTTCCACAAGGAAAATCATTTCAATTATTCATATTAGATGTGTTGTTTACTACAGAATCACATTTGGAAATTATATGAGAAAGGAACGTCTTTCATAACAAAGTATATGCCCTTGACTGTTATTAATATTTGCCTCTTTTTTTCCCCTTCAGCTCAGTGTGAAGTGGATTTTTGGTCATCAGGCAAAGAAATACTTTTGGCTTGAGTTATCTACTTATCTGTCCAACTGGTAATATTAACCAAGCAATTATCTTTGTGTTGTGTAGACCTGACTTAAAAATACTTTAAGAAGCATCATGAAAAGTTTTGCTATTCCACTGATAGAGGGAAATTTATTAGAGGAATTCAAAGACCACAAATATGGAAGGTGTAAAAATGATAACAAAAGACTTTTCTTGTGTGTCCACTTCAGTGTGCCCAAGGTTTGAATTGGAAGAAAGTAGAGACAGAAGGGGTGAATTGACATTCTACCCAAAGACATGTGGGGCTTATTCCAGGATAATATTTTAACTCAGCGTTTCATCTTCTGCCCTCTCTTGCCTCCAAGTTTCAGAATTCTCCGTCTTCTTTCTTCCTTTTATCTTTCTCCCATCTTCCTTTTCCCTTTCCTCCATTTTGCTTTTCACTGTCACTGAAGTCAGAGCAGAGCCAGAGTGTTATGACAATAGGCTAGAAAGAGAGAAGAGAGATACACCGGTGTTTTTATTCCAACTCTATATCTTTTTTCACTCTCCCTTCCAGCAAGTGTTGAATGTTAACTATGGAAAAGACACACATACACACACACACACACACACACACACACACACACACACATGCACAGCCTTATTCTGTGCCAGAGCAGAACTCTGAAAATTGCTGCCAAGTGGCCGTCACCCAAGAGACCATAGAATTCCTGGCACCAGGCAGAATCTGTGGCTGTGGCCAAGTGATTGTTGCTGAACTTACCTGTGTCGAAAGGTCAGCCTTCCAGTGCTAAGGCTGGGCACAGGCGCTAAGGCAAATTGGATTGTGAATGGAGGCCCTGAGGCATGTTCTGCACTTTGCAACTGGTCTGGCAGGCTCCACTCCTCCACCTTCTAAGTCTGCCACAGGCATGGGAAACACCTGGGCAGCGACAAAGGTGGTTAAGGCAGCTTCGCCAAGGTACAGTATCAACCGCCTTTGCTTTGCACACAAAATGTACGGTAATGACCACATTCTTAGCAGGCGATTTTCCAATACAGTGTCTTGATGAAAAAGCCCTAAATCTTTACATGAGACGTTGGCTTCAATACTGCCGCACTAAAATCACATGTTATTTGAGTAGATATTTTACCCATTTGTAACTCAAATATAAATTTTACCAACTTGAGAAACTATTAACGAATCAGAGCACAGCTTAGAAACTGTTTTGTGTGCATACTTCTCAGTGTGTATGTACCTGTGGATTATGGGTGGATTCACAGATTAAAAGAAGAATCATGGATTATCAAAAGGGATACATACAACCAAAGTTATTTAACCATTGACCATTTTTGTCCCTGTTTCTCCAAATGGAAAATGGATAAAAGAAAAAAATCCTATTTAATTTACAAGTCAGAGGAATGAGTGAGAGAAAAACTTCTTCAGGAATAAAATAGAAGCCATCAGATTGGAACTCCTTCAATGTCCTGTGATTGATTCAGTGGCCAGGATTGATTCAGTGGCCAGGTCCCCATCCTCTTCTCCTTCCCACTTGCTACTGTGAATGATAAATCCATCCTCTTCATTGTATCATCAAAGCCTAATGTCGCCACCATTCTTCTAGATCACCTATCTTTTTACCTCTCCTGGAATTGTATTCTATTGTGCTCTTCTTATTCACGTAACTTCAACATGCTTCTTCTCTTAAGTATTTAAATGTGAGTGAGTTTTTCTGAACTTCCAGGAAAACCTCCCTTCATTCTACAGCACCTTCCAACTCACTTTTGTCTTTCACTGCCAAACTCATTTGAGTGTCATGTACACTTACAATCTCTCCTTGGTTCCCTCTCATTCTTTTCTCAGAACACTGAAATCTGGTGTCCACTGTTACCATCCCACTGAAATTGCTTGTGTTAACCAGCAATTCTACTTGCTCTTATGAATGATTTCCATGACTCTCAGCCCAGCAGGGCACTTTGAATTTTTTGCTTATTTAATCATTCAGCATCACTTGGTCCTGATGACTATTCGTACTATTTGAGGCATTTCCTTTCTTGGATTGTGTGACACCACACTTGCAAGCATGTTTTCTGCTTCTCTGGACCTTTTTTCTTGGTCTTTGTTGCATATGTAATAGAAAGGTCACTCAGGTGGATTCTCAAAGATCTAGTATAATTATTGTAATCTATTTTTCATAAGAGGGTTAATGTGATTATCAGTTAAGATCTTTGGGGTGCTAGTAAACTTTTGATGCTGAATTTCAAGTCAGTTTATTATCATCATTAATTTATAGTAGTCTATGGACCTAGGAGGACCTACTGTTTGACTCCAAGCCTATTCTTGTTTCTCCCTACACCCCCCAGGAAATTCTGACTGCTTTCTCAGCAGTATTGTTTTTGTCTAATGTGATTCCTCATGGAACAGTCACAGGATCACATCTAATTTCATTTTAAAGTCATTGTAACAGGCTCAGTATGAAATATTAATGTTATTTTTAGTTTACATTTATTGAACACCTGCTATGTGCCAAGCATGTGACATTTTGAATTATCTCAAGTTTGTTCTGGTAAAAGATGGAATATAGAAACAGTAATTCACTATTCTAGTCCTTAGAACAAGTCTGGTAGAGTTATATATTCTTATCTTTCACTAGCACATTATCAAAGGTGGGATTCACTACCTTAATAATATCCTAAAACCGTGTTCTTTCTACTGTGCATACTTACATTCTTTGCTATAAAGAGCTTCACATTTTAAGATTGTTTAAATAATTAACTCACATAAACAATGGCTAAATAGTGGCTTCTTATTTGGTCCTTTCTATCCCAAATCATGATTTTAAATTTCTAGAGATGAAGTCAACATTAAAATCCTCAGACTCCAATTAAAAAAAATCTATTCAGGACTTCTGAGTTACCAGAAATATTTCCAAGATTTCTTTTCTGAATTTCTTTCTCCCATATTGGTTATTGGTTTTTGAGTTTGGCATGTCTTGGTACACACTGCCTATTACATCACTAAAATGTACTGCAAAAAGACAGCACACACTGATTGTTCTCCCCGGGGGCTGGCACAGTAATGAGATAGCAAGGACTCATGTGAAGAAGCTACAAGAGAAGAATAGGGAAAATTCACTTGGCTATTAGGCAACTAAGTGACTGGAGGTGGGGAGTGATTTTACCCCCCCAGGAATATTTGACAATGTCTGGAGATATTTGGTTGTTATAACCTGGGGAGTGGATACAGCCACTGGCAACAAGTAAGTAGAAGCCAGGGATACTGCCAAACACTGTAAAATACACAGAGCGACTCTAGCCTTCCTTTCCCCAGACAAAGAATTTTCAGACTCAAAATATCCATAAAGCAGAAGTTGAGAACCTCTGCTGTAGAGAAAGAGGAAAAAGGAAAAGGAAGGGTGACTTTGCAATTCTGTGTCTCTGTGATTCCAGACATGGAGATTTTTATTGAGAACAATTAGGAGCCCAGAAGTTTCTCTGAATTATTGGATAAGGGGATGAATCATTTCAACCAGCTTGAGCTTGAGGTTAATGGGAGAGACACAGCTGGCAGAACCAGTAGGCAGAAACGCTGTTAAACTAAAGCAAGTGCAAAAGGAAATGTGAATATAGAACTAATTCACCTTGGGGTGATAGTTGAGACCACAAAAGTGGTTGAAATGTTCAAGGACATGTGGGAAAAGAAGAGCAAAGGCATTTTACTGGTACTCTGGAAACATAAATCCTTCGCATAAATAGTGTGAATTTTTAAGTGATATACTGTAGGAATTATCCTGTTAAGCCCATCTGTTTCAACACAAGGAATCAAGATTTGAATACCAATCTTTCTAAAATAAAGGTTCCTGGACAGATTTAATTTTACTTGTATTAACAGTTTGCTTCTTTTATCTCAATACCACTATCTTCTATTTGAAGCAGAGGTTATCAAGTTTAGTATTTATTTTTGCTTAAGATTTCCATATAAAGATTATAAGGTGTCGATGGCAAGAGGGATTGAAGACACTTTAGCTGCAAAATCATGACCAGAAAAAAAGGGTATCTATAGAGAGCATGTAGTCTGGGCTTATTTTAAGTTTGTCTGCTTTCTGGGTTGGTTAAAAAGCACTTAATAGGTTCAGTTTATAATTGCTAAACATGGAAACATTGAAACACCACACCCTTATGTGACTTATAATAAATAGTGTCTTCAGCACAAATACATTTTATCAAAGCACCTAGAGACAGCCAGCCACACTGATCACATTATTAACCAATCACCTTCTAGCCCAGATTTACTTTGTAGAAGTTGTGGAGTAGGGAGTCCTCAGTCAAGCAACTTGCAACTGAATTATTTTAATGACCCAGCTGATGATCACTCCATTGCATCCCTTCCTCCCTCCAAAGCAAGACTCATAATTATATTAAGAAGTTCTTATTTATGGATGCTTGTAACTTTATCTGATCCTAGAAAACTAGTAGTTTGTTTGGAAATGTTGCTACTGAAAAATCTGGTGTGGGCAGAGAGTACACCCACTGGTTCTGCAGAAAAATGAGTTGGCATCAACTGGGTCTCTCCAAGGTCTTCAGGCACAGTGAGGTTTGGAGTTTCACAGATTGGGGGAACCGGTTGGATTCCTCTTAGCTCCCTTATAAAAATTTCTTCACTTTATTACTTGTTTATTGTGAGTATTCATGGCTTCATCTGCTCCATCTTTTAATAATATTTAGAGCTTTGTTAGCCATGGCCTTAAAAATAGTTTTAACCTTATTATTCAAATAGATGTCTCATAATGCTGAATAATGCATGACCACACATGCTAAGAATAAACTAGATAGTACCGTGAAATCTTCCACCCACGTTAATGGAAATGTATGGAATGCAAAACTGGAACCCAGCTGCAATGTTTTCTGCAGGGATGGCTCTTCATGTTGGTAGAGGAAGCCACCTACTCATAATTCATTAGAGGGGTCCGAAATGTTTGTGTGGAAATTTCTCCCTCAGGCCTGCCGTTGCATTTGAGATTCTCACCATTACAGTGAATTCTTTGCCTAAGACATCATTTCAGTAAGAGCATATTTAAAGTGCATAGAAACATCCTGCAAGGGTAGGAACACTCAACTGAAGTTTATTTTTATTTTAGCACAGATAAGGTTGTCTTTTTTTTCTAATTTTATCACTCTTTCTTAGAAAGTAGAGCTCTGAAAAAGTAGGAGTTGGGGAAATATTTTACCAAGATATGGAATCAGAAACGTTCAGGCATAATGGGCATTGCTAGTGGGGCCCATTGTGATGGTGGTAGATGGACGAGGGGGAAGAGAGTTGCTGTTGGTTCAAGGGTACTACATGAGGAAGCATGCCTTAGGGACACTGCCTTTAGAGACGTATCCTTGAAGACATTAATGTGAGTCATTTCTAATAATAGCAACATGAATGATAATATCAATAACAACAACTTCAAGTATTCTCCACTGGGTGTTAGGACCTAAGCTACATGTTTAACATTCATTATCTAATTTTCACAACAACTACAGATGAACAAGTTCAAAAAGGTAAAACCTACTTAAGTGTGAAGTTAGGTGGTGGAATTGGGATTTGAAATCAGGTTGATCTGATTCCAAATTCATGATACTAACCATTATTCATATTGTGTCTTTACTGTTTCTCCCGCTTAGCACATCTCCTTATCATCTCTTCAAATTTATGCTTCAGCTGTGTGTTCTATTCCCTGCCTAGGGTATCTTAATCCTCTTTTATATCTGCTAGAATATTTTTGTTTTTTGATGACCAGGCTACGTGGCAAAATATCACCTCCTTAAAAATTTTTCTTTAATGTGTGATTGATTGCATTAATTATTGTTATTATTATTTTTATCAACTCTGATTTTAAGTTCCATGGTACATGCACAGGATGTGCAGGTTTGTTACATAGGTAAACAAATGTCACGGTGGTTTGCTGCACAGATCAACCCATCACCCAGGTATTAAGCACAGGACCCATTAGCTGTTCTTCCTGATGCTCTCCCTTCCCCCGCCCCTGTGGACAGGCCCCAGTGTGTGTTGCTCTCCCCCATGTGTCCATGTGTTCTCGTTGTTCAGATCTGACTTATAAGTGAGAACATACGGTATTTGGTTTTCTGTTCCTGCACATTAATTTGCTGAGGATAACAGCTTGCAACTCCATCCATGTCCCTGCAGAGGGCATGATCTTGTTCCCTTTTATGGCTGCATAGTCTTCCAGGGTGTATGTGTACCACATTTTCTTTATCCAGTCTACTGTTGATGAACATTTGGGTTTATTCCATGTCTTTGCTATTGTGAAATGTGCTGCAATAAACATATGTGTGCATGTATCTTTATAATAGAATGATTTATATTCCTCTGGGTATATACCCAGTAATAGGTTTGCTGGATCAAATGGTATTTCTGCTTCTAGATTTTTGAGGCATTGCCACGCTGTCTTCCACAATGGTTGAACTAATTTACATAACCACCAACAGTGTAAAAGCGTTTCTTTTCTTTTTCACTGCAACCTTGCCAGCATCTGTTGTTTCTTGACTTTTTAATAATTGCCATTCTGACTGTCATGAGATGGTATCTCGTTGTGGCTTTAATTTGCATTGCTCTAATGGTAAGTGGTGTTGAGCTTTTTTTCATATTTGTTGGCCACATGAATGTCTTCTTTTGAGAAGTGTCTGTTCATGTCCTTTGCCCACTTTTTAATGGGGTTGTTTATTTTATTCTTGTAAATTTGTTTAAGTTCCTTGTAAATTCTGGATATTAGACCTTTGTCAGATGGACAGATTGCAAAAATGTTCTCCCATTTTGTAGAGTGTTTGTTCACTCTGATGATAGTTTATTTTGCTGTGCAGCAGCTTTTTAGTTTAATTAGATCTCATTGTCAATTTTTGCTTTTGTTGCAATTGCTTTTAGTGGTTTCATCATTAAATCTTTGCCTGTGCCTATGTCCTGAATGGTATTATCCGGATTTTCTTCTAGGGTTTTTATAGTTTGGGGTTTTACAAATAAGTCCTAATCCATCTTGAGTTAATTTTTGTATAAGGTGTAAGGAAGGGGTCCAGTTTCAATTTTCTGCATATGGCTGGCCAGTTCTCCCAGCACCACTTATTAAATAGGGAATCTTTTCCCTATTGCTTGTTTTTGTCAGATTTGTTGAAAATCAGACGGTTGTACCTGTGTGGTCTTATTTCTGAGTTCTCTATTCTATTCTATTGGTCTTTGTTCTGTTTTTGTACCACTACCATTACTGTAGCCTTGTAGTATAGTTTGAAGTTGGGTAGTGGCTTTCTTCTTTTGCTTAGGATTGTCTCGGCTATACGGTCTCCAGCTTTGTTCTTTTTGCTTAGGATTGTCTTGGTTATCTGTGCTCTTTTGATTCCATAAGGATTTTAAAATAGTTTTTTCTAATTCTGTGGAGAATGTCAATGGTAGTTTAATGGGAATAGCATTGAATCTATAAATTGCTTGGGGCAGTAGGGTCATTTTCACAATATTGATTCTTCCATGAGCATGGAATGTTTTTCCATTTGTTTGTGTCCTCTCTGATTTCATTGAGCAGTGGTTTGTAGTTCTCCTTGAAGAGGTCCTTCACTTCCCTTATTAGCTGTATTCCTGGGTATTTTATTCTCTTTGTAGCAACTGTGAATGGAAGTTCATTCATGATTTGGTTCTCTTCTTGTCTGTTGTAGGTGTATAGGAATGCTTGTGATTTTTGCACATTGATTTTATATCTTGTGATTTTGCTGAAGTTTCTTATTAGGTTAAGAAGCTTTTGGGATGAGATGATGTGGTTTTCTAGATATAGGATCATGTCATCTGCAAACAAAGACAATTTGACTTCCTGTCTTCCTATTAGAATATGCTTTATTTTTTTCTCTTGTCTGATTGCCTTGGCCAGGACTTCCAATACTATGTTGAATAGGAGTAGTGAGAGAGGGCATCCGTGTCTTGTGCCATTTTTCAAAGACAATGCTTCTAGCTTTTGCCCATTCAGTATGATACTGGCTGTGGGTTTGTCATAAATGGCTCCTATTATTTTGAGGCGTATTTCTTCAATACCTAGTTTATTGAGAGTTTTTAACATGAAGGGATGTTGAATTTTATCAAAGGCCTTTTCTGTATCTATTGCGATGATCATGTGGCTTTTGTCTTTAGTTCTGTTTATGTGATACATTATGTTTATTGATTTGCATATGTTGAACCAGCCTTGCATCCTGAGGATGAAGACTACTTGACTGTAGTGGATAACCTTTTTGATGTGCTGCTGGATTTGGTTTGCCAGTATCTGGTATTTGGTTGCACAGCTCTGTGCTTCAGACCCAAGGCCCTGGTGGCATGGGCTTGCAAGAAGATCTCCTGCTCCATGAGTTGCAAGGATCTGTGGGAGAAGTGTGGTTTCCCCAGGTTGGGTCATAAAATTACTCACCTCCTCCCTTAGCTGGGGGTAGGGGTTCTCCTGGTTCTGTGCTGCTCGTAGATGGGCTGTCACCCCACTCTGCTTTTCCTGACTCTCCATGTGCTGTGTTGACTGCCTAGTCAGTCCCAAAGTGAGAACCTGGATACCTCAGCTGAAGATGTAGAATTTACTCATCATTTTTTTTCTTCTCTGTGAGCGCTTCAGACTGCAGCTGCTTCCAATGGGCCATCTTGGCCTACCAAAGCTATTGCATTTATTATTACAACTAACTGGGGACACATTACTTTGTTCCCTGCCAGACTATTGAGATGGTTGAGACAGAAAAGAATCCTTTTTTTTAAAAATAACGTTTGTAGCCCAGAGCCTAACTTTATCATTTGAACATACTAAACAATCAATAGGCATTTGTTGAATGAATAAATTTGGTTATAAGTGTCCTATAAAAATGCGGAATAAGCAACCTTTATCCTAAATTTACCAAAAAATGATTAAATGATGTCCACAGGAATCTGTTGTAGAAGGCAGGAAATGTACATAACACTTTTAGAAATATTTGCTTTTTTTATTAACTAAGATTTTCATTCATTATCCACACAATTTTTATCCAACTCACTAATTTTATTGTGAATGGATAGTTGAATTATATTGTATGTTCCCAAGTGATGTAAAGATGGAAAAAATTATATACAGTAATGTGCTACATAATGTTTTGGTTGACAACAGACTGCATATATGACAGTGGTCCTGTAAGTTTTTAAAACTGTATTTTTACTGTGCCTTTCCTGTGTTCAGATACACAAATATTTAGTATTGTGTTAAATTGCCTACGGTATTCAGGACAGTAGCATGCTGTACAGGTTTGTAGCTGAGGAGCTGATATCATTTGGCTGTGTCTCCACCCAAATCTCATCTTGAATTGTAGTTCACATAATCCCCACCTGTAGTGGGAGGGACCCAGTGGGAGGTAGTAATTTAATTATGGGGGCTGTTACCTCCTTGCTGTTCTGGTGATAGTGAGTTCTCATGAGATCTGATGGTGTTGTAAGGGGCTACCTCCTTCACTGGGCACTCATTCATCCCCTTTCTTCTGCCATGTGAAGAAGGATGTGTTTGCTTCCCCTTCTGCCATGATTATAAGTTTCCTGAGGCCTCCCCAGCCCTGTGGAACCATGAGTCAATTAAACCTCTTTCCTTTATAAATTACCCAGTCTTGGGTATATCTTTATTTGCAGTGTGAGAACAGACTAATACAGTAAATTGGTACCAGGAGAGGGGTACTGCTGTAAAGATACCCAAATATGTGGAAGTGACTTTGGAACTGGCTAAGAGGCAGAGATTGGAACCATTTGGAGGGCTCAGAAGAAGATAGAAAACTGTGGGAAGATTTAGAATTTCCTAGAGACTTGTTGAATAGCTTTGTCCAAAATGGCAATGGTAATATGGACAATATTAGGTCCAGGTTGACGTGGTCTCAGATGCAGATGGGGAACTTCTTGGGAACTGGAGTAAAAGTCACTCTATCTATGCAAAGAGACTGGCAGCATTTTGCTCCTGCCCTAGAGATTTGTGGAACTTTGAACTTGAGAGAGATTATCTGAAACTGGAACTTATATTTAAAAGGGAAGCAGAGCATACAAGTTTGAAAATTTTGCAGCCTGATGATGCAGTAGAAAAGAAAAACCCATTTTCTGGGGAGAAATTTAAGCCAGCTGCAGGAATTTGCATAAGCAACAAGGAGCCAAATGCTAATTGCCAAGACGATGAAGAATATGTCTCTAGGGCATGTCAGAGACCTTCAGAGCAGCCCCTCCCATCACAAGCCTGGCCTAGGAGGAAAAAATGGTTTCCTTGGCTGGTTCCAGGCTGCCCCTGCTGTGTGCAGCCTAGGGACTTGGTGCCCTGTGTCTCAGCCACTCCAGCCGTGACTAAAAGGGGCAAAGGTACAACTCAGGCCATGGCTTCAGAGGGTGCAAGCCACAAGCATTGGCAGCTTCCACACGGTGTTGGTCCTGTGGGTGTGCAGAAGACAAGAATTAAGGTTTGGGAGCCTCTGCCTAGATTTCAGAGGATGTATGGAAACGCCTGGATGTCCAGGCAGAGGTGTGCTGCAGAGGCAGAAGCCTCATGGAGAGCCTCTGCTGGGGCAGTGTAGAAGGGAAATGTGAGACTGGAGCCCCCACACAGAGTCTCCACTGAGGCACTGCCTAGTAGAGCTGTGAGAAGAGGGCCACCATCCTCCAGACACCAGAATGGTAGATCCACTGACAGCTTACACCATGCACCTGGAAAAGCCACAGACGCTTCACGCCAGCTAGTGAAAGCAGCTGGGAGGGAGGCTGTATCCTGCAAAGCCACATGTGTGGAGCTGCCCAAGGCCGTACATACACCTCTTGTATCAGTGTGACCTGGGAGACATGGAGTCAAAGGAGATCGTTTAGGAACTCTAAGATTTAATGACTGCCCTATTGGATTTTGGACTTGCATGGGCCTCTAGCCCCTTTGTTTTGGCCAATTTATCCCATTTGGAATGGTGTACTCCCATTGTATCTAGGAAGTAACTAACTTGCTTTTGATTTTACAGGCTTCTAGTGGAAGGGACTTGCCTTGTCTCAGATGAGACTTTGGACTTGGACTTTTGAGTTAATGCTGGAATGAGTTAAGACTCTGGGGGACTGTTGGGAAGGCATAATTATGTTTTGAAATGTGAGGAGGTAAGATTTAGGAGGGGGTCACAGGCAGAATTATATGGTTTGGCTGTGTCCCCACCCAAATCTCATCTCGAATTGTTGTTCCCATAATCCCCACATGTAGTGGGAGGGACTTGGTAGGAGGTAATTGAACATGGCGGTGGTTACCTTCATGCTGTCCTCATGATAGTGAGTGAGTTCTCACGAGATCTGATGATTTTATAAGGGGCTTTTCCTCCTTTTGCTCGGCACTTCTCTTCGCTTCTATCAAAAAAGAAGAACGTGTTTGATTCCCCTTCTGCCATGATTTTAAGTTTCCTGAGGCCTCCCCAGCCATGCTGAACTGTGAGTCAATGAATTTATAATTTCCTTTATAATTATAAAGGAAATTTATAATTTCCTTTATAAATTACCCAGTCTGGATATGTCTTTATCAGCAGCATGAGAATGGACTAATACAGGAGCAATAGGCTATACCATACGGCCTAGGTTTGTAGCAGGGTATACAATACAGGTTTGTATAAGTACACCCTATGATGTTTGCACAATGACAAAATTGCCTAACGACTCATTTCTCAGAATGCATTCCTGTTGTTAAGCAATGCCTGACTGTGTACACACACACACACACACACACACACATACACACATATATTCTGATTACACCTTTGAGGATCTGTAATTATGAAACCTTTGCCAAAGGGGAACATACTATAATGCAAACCTATAAGAATGAGGAAAATAAAACGCTTGCCAATTTATTATCTGAGGAATCTATGAATAAATAATATGAATGCATATAAAAAGATACAAATATGTATCCTACAGTTAGCAAAACACCTTATACGTAACTTTATGGGAGACATATAGAGGTGCTGTAAGTGTGGGAAACACATCACACGTGATCCTAGAAACATAATGTGTAACATCAGCGAAACAAGTGGTTGCTTTTTGTGGTCCTGGGAACTCAGAGATATGTGTGTATTTCTTCATTTGTAAGTTTTCCTTTGAATGCTTTAATAGTACTGAGCTCTTTAAAAAATAAAAACAAGATAAATATATTCTTCCACCTATTTATACATTTTAAGACAAAAATTATGCCTGTTTTACGTATTTCAAAATCAAATATAAATTGCAAATGGAAATAGTTCCGAAATGGAGAAAATTTTATCCGAGAGTCATCTTGTCTTTACAGTTAAAAATCTAAAATGGGGTCTGTGGGATGAGTTTTAATAATTCTGCTAAGTCAAATCAGCCAAACTGAGAGAGAGAGAGAGAGAGAGAGAGAGAGAGAGAGAGAGAGAGAGAGAGTGTCTGTGAGTATGTCTCATTTTACTCTTTCTTAAGAGCCAGAAGTGTTGATAGCACAATGAGAAGCTTAGGATAGAAACACAGTCTGCATTAATGTGCAGACTGTTCTCTGGTTTTAGGCTAAACATTAACAGTCCATGCATTCATTCATTACATACACAATAATGAAGAAGAAACCAGTAGTCAGGCATATAACCAGGCTATGGATGCAGTTATGAATGTGCTATAAAGTTAGCTGTGAGGACTGTATAGTCTGAGGCATAGGAATAATTGTAAACCAAAAAATGTCACAAATATTCTAAGAAGTGTTCTGTAGGCACATCTGGTGCATTTTTAACCTTGGATCCCAGATGAATGTTCTACTGGAAACATTTTCTCAGGAAGATCCACTCAGTACTAATTGTTGTATGTTGTATCAGTGGTCTCCAACTTTTTGGCACCAGGGATGGGTTTTGTGGAAGACAATGGTCGTGGTGGGTGGGGGTTGTTTCAGGACAAAACTGTTCCATCTCAGATCATCAGTCATTAGATTCTCATAAGTTGCATGCAACTTAGATCCCTTGCATGTGCACATTACAAGAGGGTTCATGCTCCTATAGAATCTAATGCCACTGCTGATCTGACAGGAGGTGGAGCTCAGGCAGTAATGCTCACTCACCTGCCACTCAACTCCTGCTGTGTGGCCTGGTTCCTAACAGACCATGGACTGGTACTGGTCTGCAGCCCAGGAGTTGGGGATCCCTCTGTTATTTGATTATTTGCTGATTGTGTGAAAATTCTTTTTGTTAAAAGCAAGTGGCACCAGCAATTAACCTGATCTCAATGGTCACCATCAACAGTCATGGCATGGGGCCTTCCTAAATGATTTCTAAGTCATTTGAAGAACCTTGTATTTCTGATCCAGATGTTAGACCAGTAGAGACCACCAGATAACATAAGAAACAGGCTCCAGTTCTCATTTTATCTGAAGATAAAACATGTAAAGATCCTAGTTTTGCACCATTGTATGCACAGAGAGGAATGATTTGTCCCTTTCACTCTGTTTATCTGCTCTAATTTATGGGGCACTATTGTGTAATGATTATGCAGACAGCCTTAAAGCTGGACTTTCCATGTTCAGCACTTAGATCCACCATTTACTTGCTGCATGGCTTCAGGCAAGTTATTTAACCAGAGTCCATCTTCTCAACTGTAAATGTAAAATAAAAACTGAGAATAAGATTATTGTGTGGATTTAATTAATTGATGCATGCAAAGTAATTAGAGCAGTGCCTGGTACGTAGGAGTGCTCTTATTACATTACCAAGTTTTTATGGCACTTGTTTCTGCTGGGCCCAAAGAAGACAACAGACTCCTTAATATAGCACTCTGTACACCACTGCCACTTGGTTGGATTTGGCATGTGAGGTGACATTAATTTGTCATCTTCATTCTATATAGATATAAAAGATCTTTAGTTTTTACTATTATGAACCTGCAGAAATGTCCTCTGAAAATTCAGCTCTAAGCAGTTTTGTAGGACATTGCTCTTATTAATCTGTCTACTGTTCCTTTATTGGAAGGCACCTCATAACTCAAGAGTAGTATCCCTCTTGAACTCATTTGCTTTTTAACAGAGACTTATTGAAAGTATACATGGTTTCATAATCTTTAGGTAAAATTTTCTGATGGTGACTTTCCAGGCATCAGGATAAATAATGAGGGAGCTTGGATCTCCCAGGATGAGCTGAGACACTCACCAGAGATATAGTAGACCTGGGTCAGTTGCATCCCCTGGTTATTTGCAGGAGCAAATCTTTCCTGCAGAAAAGTTTCCCTGGTTCCCAATGAGGTACAGGAATTATACAATTAAGATGAAGAAATGAGCTCACAATCAAAGATCTTCAAATGTATGAGGCAGCCACTCTGATTTAGATTTCTTGAACTGATGGATAACATATTTAGGCTCCTAAGATACTTGAGTTTTTCAGACATAGTGTAGACATATAGTATATTATGTAGAGTATTATATGTACCAACTCTATATGTAACAAAGATGTTAAAATGCAAAGAGTTTGCTAATCAACAAAAATTTGTTAGAAAAAACACATTAAAATGAAAAGTGAAAAATTCTAAATATAAAAAACATTGTTGAAATCATAAAAAATAAAACCCAAAAGATTGTTAAGTAGCTTATTAGATCAAGGCTAGAATGAAAAAGTCTGACATAGAGAATGGAAGAGTAGTGATAATGGATGTGAATTCTCCAGAACTGATGAAAAAAACCCATAAATCCTCAGATTTTGAACCCATAATGTATCCTAAGCAGAATAAATAAAAACGAAATTCATGCCTAGACACATTTTTCTGAGATTACAGAATGTTGAAGAAGAAGGAAAAAAAACAACTTGAAAGCAACCAGAAAAAAAGAGCAATTAAACTAAAACAGGAAGTCAAATGACAGCATCCTTGTCAACAGCGGTAACAGAAGTAAAAAGACAATGGAATACTGTCTTCAAAGAGTTGAGAGGAAACAATAACTCTCAGCTTAATTTTATACTTAGCACAACTGTCATCCATGAGTGAGGGCAAAATTAAGATATTTTCAGAAAAATTAAAGTTAAAACTAAATTTACTACCAAAGTCCACCAAAACCATGGTTTGCAGAAAACTTTAAAGTAGGGCTTCCCAAATGTTTTGGTCTTCAGCCCTTTTCATGCACTTCAAAATTATTGAGGGGCCTAAAGAACTTTTGTTTATGTGAGTTGTAGCTATCAATATTTACTATATGAAGTTTTATTTATTTATGTATTTTTTATTTATTGTTTATCTTTTTGAGACAGGGTCTCTCTCTGTCACCCAGACTGGAGTGCAGTGGCGTGATCATAGCTCACTGCAGCCTTGACCTCCCTGGGCTCAGGTGATCCTTCCCCTCAGCCTCCTGATTAGCTGAGACTACAGGTGCATGCCACCACATTTGGCTAATTTTTGTATTTTCATGGGCAGAGATGGGGTTTCACTACATTGCCCAGGCTGGTCTTGAACTCCTGGGCTCTAGTGATATACCTGTGTTGGCCTCTCAAAGTGTTAGGATTACAGGCATAAGCCACCGCACCCGGCCTACATATAAAGTTTTAAAACTGAGAAATTAAAAATAATATTTATCAATTCATTTAAAATAATAGTAAACCTATTATGTGTTAATTTAAATGCAACATTTTTATGAAAATTATATATTTTTTAAAAATAGTGAGAATGACATAGTTTTACATTTTAATAAAATAGCTTTAATTTCTGTCTTAGTAGTAGACAGTGTAATTCACATATCTTGTTTACACTCAATCTCTTTTGATATCCTATGCCATGCACTTCTGGAAGACTTCATGAAGAGAGTAAGAAGGGAAAAGGCAGATAATTTTTTGTGTTCTTATGAAAATGGTTTTGACCTCACGGATCCATTGGTAAGGTCTCAAGCACCCGCAAGTTCTCTGTATCACACTTTGGGAACTTCCGTGTCTACCATATGCTCTGCAGGAAAAAGGAACATGATCCTAGAAGGAGATGTGATAGATAAGAAGTAACGCTAATAAGAATAAAGTGGCAAACATATGTAAAACTTCAAATAAATATTCAAAAATATAAGAATGATGTTTAATTGGGAGAGTGCATATAAGCATGAATGATGTGTGTTTAGAATAAGGAACAGATAGTAGTAATAATAACAACAGATGTTATTTATTGAAAACTACAATGTGCCAGGTATTATGTTAAGCACCATCATTTAATCCTGACACTAACCTTGCAACATAGCTACTCTTATTATCATCCTTTTGTAGTTGAGAAAATCAAAACCCAGAAAAATAAAGTAGCTCATCTATGGTAACAAAGCCAGAAAATGAAAGGGCTAAATGTGATTCTAAATCTTGCAGTCTGACTCTAGAGACTTCAGTGGAATACAATAATGTCTAAAGTTAGAAAAATATTAATAGAAATGTAGTGGTTTAACTTTGCTAAGAGGATAAATTCATATTTAACAGGTGCCTATTATGTGCTTAGTTTAATACTAGACACTATAGAGTATTTTAAAAGTCCCCATTCTAATGAAGTTTACAGTATTATGGCAATAAAACATCTTAGACAGATGGAAATGTATACTTTACAATAAAAAATCATGCGGATATAGCTATAGGCATTTCTAAGCAGTGACATTGTGGAAAAGGATTTGACATCATCTTGGAAGGAAAGTGGACTTGGATCAACAGAGGTAATAGAAAGGATTTCAGTGAACATTTGAGCAATGAAAAGTAGAATAATCATGACCTATAAAGGGAACTATATGAAACTTATTTGACATACAAATAATATTTGTTTAGGGGAAGTTTAAGTCAGGCAATACCTAAGTTTGGATCAGACTGTGGAAGTCACTGAATACAAAGATGAGCTGAGCCTTGAAATTCAGAGAGAGAAAGCAGAACTTGTGCAAAATCCAGTACTGTAAAAGTGGTAAATCATCTAAAGAAATAATTATTAGACAATGCTAAGTGATTTAATGTTGTAGAGACCATATTTGAACAATGAGAAGCCTGTCATGTGTGATATATAAAAATGAAAGTTATTATGGACATTTTCAAAGTTTGTGCTCCCCTGTAAACCCCAGATTCTTCATCTTTCTGGAGTTATAATAATCTCCCACCTGTGTGGTCTTCTGCATTTTTTTCTTCATTGTTATCAATTCTCTATATTCATCTGGTCACCAAATTTTCATGTGTGTCTTTGAGTTGGGTTTTATGTTGCTGAAAAATACTTGATGTTGCTGTCTTCAGGAAATAAATCCAGTGTGGCAAGGGAACAAATACTCTCAAGACCAGGAACAACAAGACCTTTTTTGGCCACTCTATTGATTACACATGACCTGAACCAGCTCTTTATTCTTCAATCTTTTCATCTCTCAACTGGGGAGAGCAGCCACATTAATACTAGATAATGTTGAAAAACATTGACTCTTTCTGATAAAGGAGGATTATTAGAAATCATTGACTAAAATCTCAAAACTTTGTATTGCTATTTCACTTTAAGTAGCACGGTGCCATACGTTGTATTTTAATTACTAACTAGATTGCTAAATGTAGACTGTAATTTGATAAAATATCTGTAATGTAGGCAAGCTACTATAGCTAAATACCCTTTCCATTTGCTTACACATATTGTATATATACACGTGTACCATATGCACACATATGGTGACTTGCTATATGGCTGTAAGACTTGGACCTGTATTTTCAGCAGTTCCATTTGTGGAGGTTCAGAACAGTGTTTATAGTAGTAAGAAACTTTGGCAAGAATCAAAATCTACAACTTTTCTTCCTCAGCCATTTTAGTCACAGGCATTCTATTCCTGACTCTGATAATAGTCATAGTTCACGTGGATATAGTGCTTTATTGTTCCTGAAACACTGTTGCATAATTTTCACTGGGGTAGTAGAGCACTTAAGCATGAGAACAAGGCCAGTGTAACAACAGCATGTGAGCAATGGGGGTGCTTTGAGGAGATATGAGATGAGTCTATGAGCTAGGCAGCATCTAGATTGCAGGACAAGTATTTGGTAATAAGGAGTTTGGCTAGTGTAATATATGCAATGGAAAGTCACTGAAAGGTTTTAAGCAGGAGAGTGACATAAATTAATTTACATATTTAAACGTCTCTCAGGGTGCTGCATGGAAGTAAATTATAGGAGAATAAGTAAGGGTGAAAACACAGAAAGCAGTTAGGAAGCTACTAAAATAGCCCAGCTGAGAGGTGGTGGTGGCCTGGATGGGTTTATCTTGAAGCTAATGAAAGGTCCCTTGCTTACATAGACCTCTTCTTAGGCTAGGAGAAGAGCCTTAGTGATGTATTCATGGGTCATATGTCTTCGTGATATTTGCAAAAACAAGACATTTTAGCTGCTAACTGTTAAGACAGCTGTTCCTTTCTATTCTGACTCTGCTACCCACCCATGCTTCCACTTGGGTGGGGTGATAGTGGAGTGGCTGTGGGTATTTTTGGGATCCTGTCAAGGGTGAGGTGAGTCAGCCATATATCATTGTAACTATGATTTGCAAAGATGCTATGGAACAGTTCCATTAAACAAAGAAAGTGAACTTACTTGATAATCTTTACATTTACTGGAGAGCCAAAGAAATATAGATTGGGAAGTAATGAGATATAAAACAAAGATATAAAACATTCAGAAGTGAATTATGTAACCCCCAAATTTTCAAATTTCACTAATTCATTAAGAGGAAGAGATAAATTTTGAGAAGTACAGTCAATCCTTTTATCTGTGGGTTTTGCATCCACAGATTTACCAATCACAGATCAAAAATATTCAGGGAGAAAAACCAACAATAAAAATTAATACAACAGGCTGGGCGCGGTGGCTCACGCCTGTAATCCCAGCACTTTGGGAGGCCGAGGCGGGCGGATCACAAGGTCAGGAGATCGAGACCATCTTGGCTAACATGGTGAAACCCCGTCTCTACTAAAAATACAAAAAATTAGCCGGGCGCGGTGGCGGGCACCTGTACTCCCAGCTACTCGGGAGGCTGAGGCAGGAGAATGGCGTGAACCTGGGAGGCGGAGCTTGCAGTGAGCCGAGATTGTGCCACTGCAATCCGGCCTGGGCTAAAGAGCGGGACTCTGTCTCAAAAAAAAAAAACAAAAACAAAAACAAAAACAACAAAACAAAAAAACAAAAAAACAAAAATTAATACAACAATACAATATAATAAAAATAAAACAATGTGGTATAACAATTAGTTGCATAGCATTTACATTGTATTATGTATGATAAGTAATCCAGAGACAATTTAAAGTATACAGGAGGATGTGTGTAGATTGTAGGCAAACACTATGCCATTTTATATGAGGGACTGGAGCACCCAGATTTTGGTATCTGAGGGGGGTCCTGGTTCCAATTACCAAGAGATGACTGAAACTGACAGTTCATTGATTGCTTGATAATCCAGTTAATGAAGAGGAGAAGATCATATAAACATATTCGTAAAATATTTAAATTTCTTGTTGTTTCACAAGATGAAAATAAAACTCCTAACACACCATTCTCAAGTAGAACATCAACAACAAACTGCTTAATGAGTTTTGCTGATTCAAAGAGTATTTAAGATTAGTCATTTAAATTAGTCACTAATCACCTCTGTAACTATGATTAGTCACAGAAAACTTGAAATGCTCCTAAATCTTACAGCTCATCTACGAAAGAAATGAGAAAGTAGTCTTTCCAAATTTGACAAAAATCTCTAATGTTTGCATAATACTACAATAACATGTATAGCTGAAATAAATACTTTAAGCCTTCAGTGACTGATATTGTTTGGCTCTGTGTCCCCACCCAAATCTTATCCAGAATTGTAATCCCCATGTGTCTAGGGAGGGAAGTGATTGGATTATTGGGGCGGTTTCCCCCATGCTGTTCTCATGATAGTGAGTGAATTCTCATGAGTTCTGATGGTTTTATAAATGGTAGTTTTTCCTGTACACACTGTCTCTCACCTGCCGCCATGTAAGATGTGCCTTCTTCACCTTCTGCCATGATTGTAAGTTTCCCGCGCCCTTCCAAGCCATGTAGAAATGTGAGTCAATTCAACCTCTTTCCTTTATAAATTACCTGGTCTTGGGTAGTTCTTTATAGCAGCGTGATATTAGACTAACATGGTGATTATCCTCAACTTGCCAGAAGAAAGATTGTGTTATCCATTGTCTTTATCAAAAGGTATTTTACAAAATTTTTGTCATATGAAGAGGTGATCAAAGAATATGCAGCCAAAGCATTCAGGAAAAATTATGGAGGTGTGTCAACATGTCAATTAATAAAAATGGTATATTATTTTTCTGAATTTTTGTAAAGTTTGCAGTATTTCAAAATAGCTTTAAAAATTTGTTTTCAAGCCTGTAATTTCTCTTCTCACTGTAAGTACATAGTATTTTTTAACCTAATTTTGTATTCTTAGCTTTGTATTCTTAGCCCTTTCTGTATTCTTAGATGTATTCTTAAATGTATTCTTAGCTTTTGTATTCTCAGCCCTTTCTTTAAATGTGGCCTCCCAAACTGCACAACCCTCAGGCCTCACAAAACCTAGATCTGCCCCTTAAACTTGGGTTGAGGCTGTACAGATGGAGAAACTGGACACATCTAGGGTGGATTTTGGAGGTAGAATAAATGCTTATAGGATTGTCTTATTTGAAGGGCTAGAGCCCATTTCTGAAGGGTGAATAAGTTAAAACTGAGAAACACAGTCAGTCTTCTAAAGTTATACAACTTGGAACTGGGTAACTAGGATTTGAATCCACGTGTGTGAGGCTCAGATGCCTCTGCTTATTGTCACATGCAAAGCATCATTTTCATTAGGGTGGTTCTGAAGTTTCCCTTAGACGAGGCCTACAAGGTGTTTCACATGGTGTCTGGCATAGTGTTGAGTGTTCTTGGGGTATTGTTATTATTCAGATGATAAGAGGTTTATTCTTCACATGTGCATGGTTTTTTTAAAATTGGGAAAATTTTATTTGTGCATTTGCCAATCTCTCTGCAGGAGTCAGGCCACTTTGCTGTAGGTTTCCAGTTTTTCAGGGAATAAAGGAATCTCTTCATTGCTCCTTACTTGCTACTTGTCAGCCAGCCAGCACCCAGTGCTAGGAGTGTCTGCTCACAAACAGCAGAGTCCTTTGGCTGACCGGCTTAGGAATGTCAGCAGAAACTGTACGTGCTCCAGTTGGGGTGTTGGTGGTACCCTCAGTTTTAAAAGAGATGGGAGAAGAGAGTCATATGTTTCCTAATGAGGCAAGAACAGGATTAACCTTCAGGACTCTAAAGAGGTTCTCAGATAACCTGATCTAGCTTGTTCAGAGTATATCAGGCAGATTTAAGGTGAGGAGTGAGGTGAGATGAGTCTAATTTTTATACAGTAGGAGCATTCTCGGAGTGATTTGTTTCAATGTCTGACACTTTTCTAATGCTTTTCAGATTTCTCGATTCCTTCTGTAAAACTTATTTTTATCATCCGTTAAATGAGAATAGAAACATTTTATCTCTTTGGGAACTAAAATTTCATTAATGCTTTTATTTTCTAAATGTTATCTTAATTAGTTCATACTTTATCACCCAACAAGCCCCTAATCCTCTTTTTGTTTTAAATTTTTATTTTTCATTTCAAGAGGCAAGAATTGAAGGCTTTCGGATAAACAGACACATGCTTAAATGTGAGCATGAGCTGGTTTTGCTGGGGGAAAATGTGAGCTCTAAAAACGGGGTGTTTTTCGTAATGTTCCATTCCACATCCATGTTGCAAGGACTACTGCTTCTGTTATCCCAGGCCACCACACCCTTAATTGATCATAATAAATCCTGTGGGCTCCCAGCTGCCAGTGGTTTGTCTGAAGAGATAGCAGCTACCCTTGTTAGTGTTTCATTTGCTGGTATTCTGCTTGCTGGGCTTCTGCATTAGGATAGTGCCTGATACAGATTTCAGTTGTAATTTGAATTCTGTCCTTTAATTACTCTTTCTCCACCCCCTCTTAAATAAATGTGGCATCCTCACATAAGGGCTGGAACAACTTCTTTTTCTTTCCTTCAGCAGTCCCACATCTCACTACCCAGAGTTCCATGTCATTTTGTCTCTGGGAAGTGAGACAAACCAACTGTGACTTTTTTCTTTCTGGGCCTCCCCAGTGCAGCACTAGAAATTACATAAGAGATGGGTCCATGAAAGCAAGAGGAATATTAAAAGAATTGAGAGATGATTCAGAATTAAAGTAGGATCCATAAGTGAGATTTTTTTGGACAAAACTTTATTTCTTGAGTTTCTTCTCCTGGTATAACTTTGTTTAAAACATATGAGATCAAGCAACATGGATTTTTAAAATAGCATTAAAAATTAAATATTTCTTGTTCAAATGTTATGGTAGTAAGCAAGTTATTTTAGGAATTGAATGGTGAACTTCCATTTTCAGGCTGAGAGGCCATTCGGTCTTTTTCTGGTTCAATACCAAAGAACAGTTCAATTTTTATATTGGTTCAGTACAAAAGTTCAAGACAATTCAATACAGAAATACAACTTTATTTTATATTGAAGCTTTTATGTCTTGTAACTGAAAAGAATAAATCTGGTTCTGAATTTCTAATGAAATTATGTTTTTAATTTACCCGATGCCCATCTCTAAAAATGTATACAAACACCCATACATACGTCAACATCATGTCTGTGTGCCCCTACAACTGTGTTTATATTTACAGAAACAAAATATATGGCTTTTTCCCCTTTGGTCTGATATCAGTATTTTTTTTTTTTTTTTTTAGTTACAGTTGAAGGAAAGCCCCAACAAGAACAAAAAGTCATGTCACTTTTCTTTTTTTAATGCAGTATGTGCAGACTGGCCATAGTGCTGCCTGCAGGCTCCATTCTGGTCCATGAAGAAATTAGGGAAGCCAGAGTTCTAGATCCCAGTGATAAACATCCTCCCTTTTCCTGTGATGGTCTTGGTTCAAGTGTGATCACTTTAGGTGAATGTGGAAATGACAGTAGGTAATCTTGCAGCCAATTTCTCAAGCTTTGCATCGCTTCTTCCATAGAAAACAGTAGAAGTTTTCTTTGTCACTGCTTTTCATTACATTAAATGGGTAGTGCTAGATTAATATTGTAATCTCTTAACCACAATAGGAAAATGAAGGAGTGGCCTGATTAATGCATAATTTATCATTTATTATGCCTTTGGCTCTGTCTCCCTCATCTCCCTTCTAGCAACCTCCTCAGGACAAGCTCCTCCTCCTAAATTACTGTATCCAAACATTTGAGCCTGACCTACTTATTGAAGAACATACCCAGAAATTTGATGCTGTAATTACTCCCAGAATTAGCAAAAAAAAAAAACAAAAAAAAACCCAAAAAACCCAAAGATAACTTGTTCATCCTACATCCCCTTATAGTAGCTGTTCAAAGTTTAAGCGGAGAGTAGACTTTGATGAAGTGCTAAGCCTTTTTGTTTAAATAAATAAATACATACATCTGTCCTTGCCACATCATCAGAAGCTTGATTTGGTTTCACAGTGAATGCAGCTACATGCCTCAAGTGACTGCTTTTAAACAATTAAGTCCTGACTCCACCTTAACAGTTTATTCATTAGTCACCATTGAACCTTTGTCCCTACTTGTCAGTATCTGAGAAAACATAACACTTTAGCTCTGGATGTGTACGCATTCCCTCCATCACTGGGATAATAGTTTCCTAACTCACGGCCAACCTGTCAAAATGGAAACTCCATATCATGGGTGGCGTTGAGAAATCTCATTCGAGCTATGTCTGGGTTACTCCATTTGTCCGGATGAAACAGAAAGCAGAAATCTGGTTATAAATAGTGGATTTTTTTTTTCAAATATCTGGGTATGTAACATCTTTTAGATTAGTGGTTTCCAAATTTTTAAATTATGGTCCAGTAAAAAGAAAAGAGTAAAAAATGTGAAGGGCCTCTATGGGACTGCCTGTTTGTTCTTTTGTCAAGTATAAAAGTAACAAACTGTCTCTACTTTTGCCACTATTTCGTGAAAGGAAGGGTATCTAAATACCAAAAAAGGCAGAAAAGTCATAATCTCAGATTCAAAGGAATTCTTTTAAATAAATACTTTTAGCTTTGTTGAAAATGCACTGCCTGGTTTTCTCATTTCACCGTAGACCTGTGAGAACGCTGTGCTGGAATGGCACAGGTCTGAGACGTGCTCTGGGGATATGGCTCTGTGTGCATTTGGTTGCCTGACATCTCAGCAGAGACCCTGGATGTCTGTCAGTGTAGGAGTTTTACCTACGTGTTTTTTTTTTTTCTTTCTTATCAGCACATTGGGATGGTTGCTTTATATCTCATGTGTTTCTGCCTACTGGGTGTATCCTCACGTGGATGGCTTTTAACTTCATGTTATTTCTCTGGGAAGATAACTCAACTATGCTTGTGGGCTTAGTGAAGATTACTCATTTTGAAACAGGATCAGCCTTACACTTACGTAGAGTAGGCAGTGGCTTATGTGGCATGATTTTTGAGGTGCTGAGAAAGCTTGAAAATAATTCTTCAACTCAGTTGACACACAGTCTGAAATCCAAAACATAGATCTTTAGTTTTGGGGACTCCCCTGGTGGCCCTCGTGACTCCTTTTCTCTATCTACACACTTCCCTTAAGTGATCCCCATCATTCTAAAGGCTTTCAATGCCATTGTTATGCTGACAATCTGTTATTTTTTAAATTGACACAATATTTGTACATATTAATAGAGTAATTATCCTGATTTGATCACGGACAACCTGTTTTTAAAATGGATCTGCTTTTGAATGGGGCTGGGTCGGGGTTGTTTTTATCGACAGGTCATGAGAGGTTTGCCATTGAAGGTGGTTTGTTACACAAAGTTCTCAAGAGGAAGGGGCATGCCATACGACACAGGGCCACACGCGCCACACCAGGGTTGGTCAGAAGGCAGAAGAAGCAAGAAGAAAGAATGGGCCGTAACCTTTATTGTGATTTTCATGGGAAGGAATGTGCAAGGCAGTGTAAGCAAGCTGAGCAGGTTTAGGATTAGACTGAGTAATTTCAGTGGACTCTGCACTCTAGGAGTGGTCTGTAGTTGTCTGCTATCTGGCCCTGGGTTGATAATGGCAGGGGAATATTGAGAGCGTGAAAAAGGAGATAGTTGGAGGTGTGGGCTCTGGATTAGCTGGTTTGCATGTGAAAGGTGTGCTCCACAGGGAGTCATTTGGTATCTCTAGGAATTAGCTAGCCCCAGGAGGGGCAGTCTATCCCTTGTCAGTGAGGCTCTGGAATCCAGAGCATCAAGAATACAGAAAGTAAGAAAATAGAGTTAACACACAGTCCCCCACACTAGTATCTGGCTGCCCCGACCTCCTTTTCATGCAGATTCATCTATCCAGCTGTCTACTTGGCATGGTCCCTTAGATGTTTTAGGGCATTTCAAAATTAACCTGCCATTCTGACTGGCATGACATGGTATCTCAATATGATTTTGATTTGCATTTCTCTAATATTCTCACTTATAAGTGGGAGCTGAACAACGAGAACACATGGACACAGGGAGGAGAACAACACACACTCGGGGGGCAAATGGAAGGAGAGCATCAGGATAAAGAGCTAATGCATGTGGTGCTTAATACCTAGGTGATGGGGCGATAGGATAGCGATAGGTGTGGCAAAACATCATGGCACAGTTTTACCTATGTAACACACCTGCACGTCCTGCCCTTGTATCCTGGAACTTAAAATAAAATAAAATAAAAAGTAATCTGCCTTTCAATTCTACCTCCAGAATATATCTTGTATTTATACACTGTTCCTCATAGCCATTGCCACCATGCTAGTCTAATTCAACACTTCTTATCTCATATTTAGACTTCCAGTCTTCTCAGTGTGGAGAAGACACAATGACAACTAACAATCATTAAACAATCTAAAAAAATCAACAAATGAATATAAATGCTATAGAAGTGTAAACACTATCCTATTCTTCCATTCTTCTTAATTCCCCCTCATCACTGTCCTGTAGCACAGGACATAATTTATTATGCAGTTACATGCTAGAGTAAACCTTTAATAATATTAAGTACAGCATGTCACTTCCTTACTTCAAACTCTTTAGGGTTGTAACATTTCCAACATGGGCATAATGAAACCCTCCTTCCTATCATGAGCTAGGATTCCTGCAGGATATGACAGCTGCCTAGCTTTCTAACCTCATTTCATGCCACCTTCACCCTCACTCATTATGCATCATAGCTTTTTTGAGGTTCTAGAACATTCTAACCTCTTTCCTAAGGAAGTTGGCAATTGCTGGTCGCTCTGTGAAAGTTTCCTCCTAGACTTTCTTTGTGTGTCTCCTTGTCTTATAGGTATCTGCTTAACAATCATCTCTTTAAAGAGGACTTCTCTGATCATCCTCTGTAACCACACCCCTCTGTCATGTATAACATCAAGTTTCTTTCTTTTATAATGTTTATATGGATGTCTGTTTATTCATTGTTGGTTTGTTGTTTATTGTGTCTTCTCTGCCTGAATGTAAGCTCCAGGAGGGCTGACCCTCATCTGCCTTTTTATTATTATAGTCCCATTGCCTAGTAGAGCCCCTTGCCTAGAATGGAGGTTTGATTAATGTTTCCTGGAAAAATAAATTGTTTGCACAGGCGCTCTTTTTCTCTCACAATTCTTTCAAAGTTCAAGGCACATCTCTTAAGAAGACATAAAATCATAATGAAAATTAGTTTATTAGTTTATCCCGATTGCATAAAAACAATATAATCCCAGAGAGTGGGAGGAAGAAGAATGAAAGATGGCCAGATTTATACAAAACGTATGAAGGTATGAAGAAAAACTCATGTTGAAATGTCTGTTTTGTGGGTTTTAGGTTTTTTTTTTTTTTTTTAAACTATCATATCTTGAAAATACACTGTGTACCAGGCTGTGCTAAATATTTTTAAAAATCACTTATTCATCACAATAACTATACAAAGTAGGTATTCTTCTCCTGATATTACAGATAAGGTTTATGAGGAGGATTTGTAAGATGACAAGTTTTATCTGGTTCCTAATTTAGTGTACTCCATAAAAGTAGGAGAGTGTAAGCTCTGAAGCCACAGAGTGAGCATTTTCATTTCTCACTGCACCATTATTAACTGTGTGACTTTGAATTACCTAGCCTCTTTAAAAATTGTTTTCTTGGCCAGGCACAGTAGCTTACAACTGTAATCACAACACTTTGGGAGGAAGAGGAGGGTGGATAGCTTTAGCCCTCCTTCCCAGGGGTTCGGGACCAGCCTGGGAATCATGGTGGGAGCCCTTCTCTACAAGAAAATACAAAAATTAGCTGGGTGTGGTGGTGTGCACCTGTAGTGCCAGCTACCGGAGAGGCTGACATGGGAGGATCACCTGAGCCTGGGAGGTCAAGGCTTATTTTATTTTATTTTATTTTAATTTTTTTAGTATTTATTGATCATTCTTGGGTGTTTCTCGGAGAGGGGGATTTGGCAGGGTCATAGGACAATAGTGGAGGGAAGGTCAGCAGATAAACATGTGAACAAAGGTCTCTGGTTTTCCTAGGCAGAGGGCCATGCCGCCTTCTGCAGTGTTTGTGTCCCTGGGTACTTGAGATCAGGGAGTGGTGATGACTCTTAAGGAGTATGCTGCCTTCAAGCCTCTGTTTAACAAAGCACATCTTGCACCGCCCTTAATCCATTTAACCCTTAGTGGACACAGCACATGTTTCAGAGAGCACGGGGTTGGGGGTAAGGTTATAGATTAACAGCATCCCAAGGCAGAAGAACTTTTCTTAGTACAGAACAAAATGGAGTCTCCTATGTCTACTTCTTTCTACACAGACACAGTAACAATCTGATCTCTCCTTCCCTTCCCCACATTTCCCCCTGTTCTATTCGACAAAACCACCATCGTCATCATGGCCCGTTCTCAATGAGCTGCTGGGTACACCCCCCAGACGGGGTGGCGGCCAGGCAGAGGGGCTCCTCACTTCCCAGACGGGGCGGCTGCTGGGCGGAGGGGCTCCTCACTTCTCAGAAGGGGCGGCCGGTCAGAGACGCTCCTCACCTCCCAGACGGGGTGGCGGCGGGGCAGAGACACTCCTCAGTTCCCAGACGGGGTCGCAGCCGGGCAGAGGCGCTCTTCACATCTCAGACGGGTTGGCGGGGCAGAGGCGCTCCCCACATCCCAGACGATGGGCGGCCGGGCAGAGACACTCCTCACTTCCAAGACGGGATGGTGGCCGGGAAGAGGCGCTCCTCACTTCCCAGACTGGGCGGCCGGGCAGAGGGGCTCCTCACATCCCAAACGATGGGCGGCCAGGCAGAGATGCTCCTCACTTCCTAGATGGGGTGGCGGCCAGGCAGAGGCTGCAATCTCGGCACTTTGGGAGGCCAAGGCAGGTGGCTGGGAGGTGGAGGTTGTAGGGAGCCGAGATCACGCCACTGCACTCCAGCCTGGGCAACACTGAGCACTGAGTGAGCGAGACTCCGTCTGCAATCCTGGCACCTCGGGAGGCCGAGGCTGGCAGATCACTCGCGGTCAGGAGCTGGAGACCAGCCCGGCCAACAGGGCGAAACCCCGTCTCCACCAAAAAATACGAAAACCAGTCAGGAGTGGCGGCGCGCGCCTGCAATCCCAGGTACTTGGCAGGCTGAGGCAGGAGAATCAGGCAGGGAGGTTGCAGTGAGTCGAGATGGCAGCAGTACAGTCCAGCCTCGGCTTGGCATCAGAGGGAGACCATGCAAAGAGGGAGACAGGGGAGAGGGAGCATCAGAGGGAGACCGTGCAAAGAGGGAGACAGGGGAGAGGGAGAGGGAGAGGGAGAGGGAGGCTTATTTTAAGTTCTGGGATACATGTGCCGGACGTGCAGGTTTGTTACATAGGTAAATGTGTGCCATGGTGTTTTGCTGCAACTATAATGAACACATTAATAAGAGCTAATGGATCAACCTCATTTGCAATCACATTTAAAGATAATGGCTCCTCTCAATTTCTGTTCTTTGAACTTTTTATAGCATAATTTTGGTATTAGGGTTGAAAAAGATTTCAGTTGTTTTCTCTCCTCCTACCTCCTGCCATTTTCCAGGTTACACAAAATTTCTCTTAATCATCTATTTCCTAAGTGTTTGTCCAAACTTGTTTTATGGGAACTCAAGTAATGTGGCTGCTCCTTCTCCTTTAGAAGCCAGCTCCAGTGGTCAGCAAGGATTGCCTGACGCTGTGCCTTCATTTTCTTTTTCATAATACAGTCCTAGTACTCTTAACCAACACCCTTTGTTTTTCCTTATCCAAAGTAATTCACTTCTTTCCTTCATGTTCGCGCCCTTTAGGTATTTGTAGACTGTTATCATGACCCCTCCATCTTTAATTGTCACTTAGGTTATACATATTTCGTCTTTTCATCTCTCCCCATAAGTCCATTCCCCCAGGCCTGTAATCATTTTGTTACTTTTCTTTGAGCCCTTTCCAGTTTGCTGCCTCTTTCTGGAAATAAGGCTCCTATAAATGACTGTATCACTACAAATGTATTCTCTGTAGAGGTCCTTGGAACCCCAGAGCTGCTTGGTTTGAGAAATGATACTTCACCAAGCCAACTTCACAATGAGATAGTGCATTTAAAGCACATGTTGGCTGGGCATAGTGGCTCATGCCTGTAATCCCAGCACTTTGGGAGACCGAGGCAGGCAGATCGAGAGGTCAGGGGATCGAGACCATCCTGGCTAACACGGTGAAACCCTGTCTCTACTAAAAATACAAAAAATTAGCCAGGCGTGGTGGCACGTGCCTTTAATCCCAGCTATTCTGGAGGCTGAGGCAGGAGAATTGCTTGATCCTGGGAGGTGGGGGTTGCAGTGAGCTGAGATCACACCACTGCACTCCAGTCTGAGCAACAGAGTGAGACTCCATCTCAAATAAATAAATAAATAAATAAATAAATAACAAATAAAAATAAAGCACGTGTTGTATTCTACTTTGTATTTGCTTTTGTACATGACTAATTGTCTCTCCTAGATTTCAAGTTCCTTAAGAGAAGCAATCACGCACAATTTACTTTTTTTGGATGGATAAATGCCTTAAACCTTGGCTGCATATTGGAATCACCTGCTACTCTTTAACAACTTACTGATGCCTGGCTCCCCTCCCCAGGCATTCTGAGTTAATGAATATGGGTTGTGACTTGGGTATCAGAATTTTTTAAAAACTCCCTAGATGATTCTAATGCGCAGCAAAGTTTGGGAACCACACTTTTAAAACAGGCACTTAGTAAGTATTTGGCAGGTGAATGAACAAATGAATACTGTATCTTTTCATCAATTAATACCTCCAAGTATCTCCAAGGGTAACTGTCTTCCAGCTTCCTGCTACTAAATAAGATTTATCTGTGTTTTATATTGATACTTCAAACTTTTCCAGATCGCCACTCATTGAATGAGTTTTTGTCAGAATTTCTAAAAGTCTTAGAGCAATTTTATCATGTGTCTGGCCTCTGCTTTCTGACAGCCTTCTCAGTTTAATAGAGCTCTCACATTTAAGTATCTCATTTCATACCCTTCCACATACTTGTGAATGAAATATCAGAACTGTTCTTCCCCCCTTTTTTCCATTCATGCATTGCTATAGCACTCAGAAACCCAGTGAAGACCTACTTTATCGAAATGGCTATAAGCTTTTGCAATAATTTCCTCTGGCAAATTTTAATTCAAGAGCACATGCCTATCCAGATGAAATTAGGTAATTCATATTAGATAAAATTTAAGGATGCAGTTTAGCATATTCATAAATATTGTGTCAATTCAGTAATAGATTTAAATAAATTAATAGACTATATTTTTTAGACCGGTTTTAGGTTTATAAAAAATTCAACAGAAAGTATAGAGAATCCCTATAGAGTTTTCTTTTTTCTGTCTTATCTGGAAGCTCAAGCATCATATTCAGGGAAATGTCCTTTGGATCTTCGGCTGATGCTCTAAATAGTAAGTGTTACATAGGAAAATAGTAAAGGTGACAAGAATATGAAATTGTACTGTGTTGGATTTTTAATTATAATGATTAGAAAAACAGGGTTTACCCAATGTGATTCGGAGTTTATTCTTTTTTATGTGGATCCTTCAAATATTTTCACTTTTAGCGCAATCAAAAAGAAGACAGCCAAAATGCAACTCCCACAGCAAGACCACACGAAACCAGCATTCTTATCCTAAGAAGGCTTCCTTTTAGGGATAGCCGAGTTGCTGAAAAACAGACAGGTCTCTAGAATGTGGGGCAGAGAGAGCATCACCAAAGGGGCAGCTTGTCAGAACAAGCAATTGACCTTTAGTAACTATACATTCTTGTCTTTACCACTGGAGAAATTCTTTCCTTGGGGCTTGCACAAGACTGAAAGGCCTGCAGGTAGCTCTAATTCATTATTTCTTTGTCTTCTACATCCTGCTTTTACCAAACACAGGCAGTCTGAAAAATCAAAGAAAACATATACTTACCGATTTTCCCAGCCCATCATGGTAATATGTTTGAGGTCGGAGAAAGGTCTGGGTTTTGATTAACCCCAGTAATGAACAGAAAGGAGAGAAGCAGGTCCAAAGAGATTCTCACTCAGCAGCCCATAGCACCAGAAAAATGATTTTCAGAAGTGAGGGCTCCAAGTAACCAGTTGTCCAATTACTTTCATTTTATAAAAGGGAAATAATAAAGTATGTGAGAATGACATCTTTATTAAAACTTGTGAAGGCATATTCACTAACTTTCCTGTGGCTAAAACTCTGTTTTCTTTACATTTCCATTAGTCAGCCAGGTATTCATCTACATGCCTTATCAAGCCACACAAGAGACCTGAAGCACTGTATATCTTTAGACTTAGAATATTTGTTGAATTCTTCCACCATTATGGTAAAAAGTACAGACAATGACAAAACTTTTCAAGATGCTTGCCAAAGGAAAACACCATAGTAACCTCTCAGTTGACATGTTTAATTAATGCAAAATCTGTTAATAATCAGAAAGAAACCATTCTAAAATATTTTTGTTCTAAAGGCAATAAATGAAGTACAGCAAAATCTCGAGTATTGGCAATTGGGATATGATGGTTAGCTATGTGATACTATAGGAAATTTTTGAGAAAGGACTTTTGGATAGCATTCATCTATGAAGTTATCATCTTAACAAAAGCAAGGGTGAGTTCATTAAACTTTGTTTACTAACCCAGTAAAAGCAGAAAAAGTTTATATTTCATATCATTCAAAGGGTGGTTTGGGGACTCTCTGCCTGGGTCTAGCCCAAAACCCACTGCAGTAGGGTCTCTTTTGGTGGTGTTGGAGTGGGAAGGAGCAGAAGTTGGCGTTATAAACATGATCCCTAGCTGATTCTTAGATGCCTTGGAATTAATCTGTTTACCAAACACTGAATGGGATGGGTCACAGTATGCTCTGCTCATTTTGCCTTGCTAATTGTAAATTGAATCAGAAAATGTAAATTAGAACTACAGAAAATCTGGTAGTGAATTCTCCTATGCTGAAAATTCAGCTTTAAATAATTACAGACACAAAGACTCCAAATTCTTTGCCTTTAATATTTTAGCTCTTGATCTAGCATGAATTCCAGACAATGAAAAAGGAAAAAGAATTAAAGGCAAATACTTTGGATAAAATTAATTCCCTAATGGTAAAATGGAATAGAATTAAATTCAGATCAACATTGCAGTTAAAGGTGCTTATTAATTGAAGTTTACTATAGATGCTTACATTTAAGCTAAAAATTCAGTTCTGTTATTTGAGTTCAGCTCTTTTTAGTTCCTCTCTCCCACTCTTTTATAAAGGTCTGGTTAAAAAAGTTTCAGGTATTGTTAAGGCGAAATAGCTCAATCTATTACACCTAACTGATTTTACTTTTTTCCTCTTGGAAGTGATACCACTATAGAATTTGACTGAACAAAATTCCTGCCTATTCCTGCCTCAGTGTATCATAGATAACACTAAAAATAAGAAGAATGCAGGCAAAATTACAGGGGGTTATTTATTCTCATTGAAGAGAAAAAAGATTCTAAGCAATTCAAATGTACCCAGAATGAGACTATATATTCATTTCAACCATCCAGCCATTGATTAAAACAGTTCAGAAATTTCAATTTTGAATTTTTTTGTTAAGACCAAGTGACTTTATTTGAACATTTTCCAGGATGGCAAACCTTTATAATTTGAAAGTGGCTTTGATTTGGGGGAATAACCTGATGATGTGGTCATCCATTTTAACACTTCTTTAACTGATCAAAAACTACATTGCAACTCTAAAATAATGAAACTGATTTTCCTCTATGATTCATAAATGAGTTCCAAAGGTGATTCCAAAAACAAAATTCTACTAATACTTTGAGCTTAAACAGTATTACTATGATTGACAAGGAATTTGCTGTGACAAAGGTGAAATAACCCTGGTCATGGAGTATAGGAACTCACTTAAATTGTAGCTCTGAAACTATTACCTGTGAAACTTTAAGCAGCTTACTTGCTCAAAGTTTCATTTTTTCCATTTCTAAAATGAAAATTAAAACAAGCTAAGCCATAGGTTACAGTAAGAACTAAATAAAATATGTGAGATAGTGGTTTATTAAATATAAACACAAATATGTTGTTATTGATAAGCATATTTATTTCTGAGCTGTTTGTTTTGAAGAACAGCTCCACTTGGATGAATGAGTTTTTCTGTCTTAAAAGGGTTCATATTTTGGTGGTTACTATTCAGTTACTTATTAGTAACTATGTTTATTTAAGCAAATATTACATATTCTTTAAAGTAGATTTCCAAAAATCTCCATTTGTCAGCACATTGGTCTCTCCTAGAAGATGCTGAAAAATAATAAAACAAATTTTTAAATATGGAATCTTAATTCTTCCATATTTGTTTCTATACAAGTAAATTGGAACGTTGAATTTCACTACTCAAGGCTTTGAGGAGCTAGTGTTTGTAATGAAGAACTGGTAAGTTAAGTGTGAGATATAAATATTTTTGATGAAAATACCATATTTATACCTTCATCCTAAACTTCAAAAAATAATCTTAAAAGACAAATTTTAATAATCTTAACTTTTAGTAATTATCATTTTTTTAAAGAAAATCAATCTATCCGTGTGTGATAATGGGAAAATGACATTATTAGTAATCATAATCCACAGAAAATTTTTGAGGCATTTCAGACAATTTTCTTCCCCATACATTTTTTTTATAAGTAGAGAAAATGTGGAATTGGCTGATTTAATATGAATCTTTACTACCTATTCTTTTTTGTATCACATCAAAGTTTTCAAATCCAATGAACGAAAAGAAGAAGGCCAAAAGAGGTTTGTTATCTCCCCAAGTAAAAAGCTTAGCCCTGAATAATTTTGGTGGCCTCTTTGAGATATCAAAAAGATTTTGACAATGTTAAATATAATGCTGAAAGCCTCAGTACATTCTCTTAATTCTTTCCTGTTTCATCTTGACATTACATGTCTGGTTCGGCCCTAGCTTTTGGGTAAGAGTTCAAGTGACATGGTTAAACTCTTAACCCTCAACAATGATGACTTTTCTACAAAGACACTTTGGCACCATGGTCACAAGCCCTACACATTTGATTAAGGTAATGACAAAAGCCACAGGATGGCGTGAAGGAAGACATTCAGGCTACAGGTTAGGGTAATATCATACAGTTAACAACACAACATATTTCAAATGCTCATGAATACCTTCTGAAAATTAATTCTGCATTAAATCTGTCTTTCAGCCTTGGTCACAAAACATCTTATTCTTTAGAATTCATTTTCCCCATCTTGCAGTCTCCTGTGCTTATTTCACAAGAATCAAAGTCAGAGACTCCCATGTGGAATCCATGCTTGTATCCCAAGTCAACAAAAAGTGAATCCAACATATTACTACTTATCTTTAAAGGAAGGAAACCATCATTTTAACCAGACATTTAAGGAGATATAATTTTTTTCTATCTAATCTAAAACCAGGAAAAAGGCAATGGAATGTATTGAGCTAATTTAAGAAATTACTTCAAAAATAAATAGATGGGTCAAAAAAGAGCCTGCTGTATTAAATTTTAATGCTCAATTTTCCAAATACATTCGTAGTTCTTTTTCGGGTTGAAATTTAACACACACTCACATATGTAAAATATATATTATATTTCATTAATTTTTGTTTTCTGTTTAAGATATTTTACGAGAACGGACTGTATTTTATTATCTTTTTGTCACTGGTGCCTAGCACAGTACCTTACCCAAACACACACAATAAATGCTCATTCTTTTGTTGAACTCATGTTTGTGTGAAGCTTTGAGAGGACACCAGCGAAGTTTCCCTGTCTCTGAATACCAACCTAAATACAGCATTTCCTGTCAACTCTGGGAGAGAGCTTTTTTTGTAGGACTTCGTCTGTCTACGTTTTAGTAAGTCTTGACAATGGTAGCAATGAATATCGAGTATTTAGTTTGTGCCAGGTTCTGTGCTAAGTCTCTCACCTATATTATTAATTCTTGTTAACCCTTTGAAATGTAAAGCACAGTTATTACTCCTATTATTCAGAAGAGAAAGTGAAAATTTGAATATCATGTTCAAAGTTACTCAGCTAGAAAGCTGCAGAGTCTGGGACTGTCTGTCTCCAAACTTCCTTGCAACTTAAGCATTGGCAGACACAGGATATCAGTGAGAGCCCAGCTTGCTGATAAGAAGATTAAAAAGTGCCAAAGATGTGAATCTTCACGGTTTTGTTTAAGCCACCCTGGATCTCCCCCCACTCCACAGCTGTGATGAGAGCCCACTGGGGGAAATAAACAGACTCATCTTTTCCTGGCATTGCCCTCTCCTACCTCTGGAAGCCCCATCCTGCTGCTTCTCTCCTTCAATGCTTTTTGGGCTTCTGCTCCTGGATCTTTGCTCTGCCGGCTTCATGAAGGCAGCTCCACACAGCAGTGATGCCAGACTCCCATGGTGATTAATGCTATTCTGTGGACTCCTAGAATTCTAGAAAACTTGTGTGTACCAGCTGGGGTGATTTTAATCTCTGCGAATCTAGTCTAGGTCTCTCTAGGTCTAGTGAGTGGACTCTTCCATTCTATCCATTCACTTCCGTGCCTGCTGTTTTAAAGCTGTTCTTACCTTACTTAGCTCCATAATCTCTTTACAGACATTTCTCCTCCCTCTCTTTCCATTCAAGCTTGACGCTTCTCTGAACATGTTCCTCATCATGAACATGAAGCTTCCCTTTTTCTCTTCCTGCTGATGGACAATTTAACCCCATAGCAATTTTCAGGCGTGAAACAGTTTAGATGGGACCTAGCAAGGGGTTAGTAGCACAGGCTAAGCGCTTGCCTGCATTACACAGCCGAAATTACCTGCCGTCCAGTAACTGCTTGTTTATGGAACAGCAGATACTATCTTTGCTTTTTCTAGC
This sequence comes from Homo sapiens, assembly GCF_000001405.40. NCBI lineage: Eukaryota > Metazoa > Chordata > Mammalia > Primates > Hominidae > Homo > Homo sapiens. The sequence continues at coordinate 116,289,398 of NC_000008.11, read as the reverse complement.
AGTCTCTATTTGCCAGGGCTTTCCCCAGCATCTCAGAAGTACAAATTCCTACTAGAATAAACCCTTGGAAGGGAACCCACATTTACAAACCTAATTTTTAAATGATTCAGTTTGATTGCTTGCAGTGTACATTTAAAACACAGACCTTTTGGGAAAATAAACTTCATGAATATTCACTTCTCTTTTGCAGATTCAGATGTCTCATTGAGCTGCTATGCACTTGACTTCTAGAGAAAACAAATGGAAATTAGTTGATGCATTTTGTCAGGATGGAAAAGTTCTACCTTTTTTAAAAAAAAAAGACAAAAAACTTCTTCAATGTCTCCAGCTTTCTTTATTTTTTTGTTCTTTCAGGCATTCTCCCTGCAATCAGAGGCAATTTTGAAGTGATTCTGAATTTAGATTTTCATACTCAGCAAAGCTAGATGCTATATTTTTGCATATGTGAGGTAGAATAAAAGTCTCTAAAAGTCGCCTGTGGCATACGTACTATCCCATTTAAACCTGAGGGTCAGGTCTACATGGATGATTTCTGTAGTTGTCACATGGTCCAGAGAGGTTCTGACGGGCCTTCTGAACCGTCCTCAGCCCAGTTCTGCATGGGACAGTGCCTGGCTGGGTATTGGTGGCAAGGCACTTTGTCATATCAGGGTTATTTTGTCTCTGTTCTGTAACCTGGGTTATTCTTCACATGGTTTTATTATTTTCATTTATTTTTATTTTACTTTTACCTATAAGGAATGAGATTATAATGAACACTAGGAATGAGTTTGAAGGAATCAGGAGATGTGTGGATGGTGAATACAATGAAAGTTGCCTTTTTATGTTGATAATGGGAAAGTGGAGTGGGGGATTTTGAGTTCATTGTTTGGTTAGAAGCTTCAGGACATTTCTAGCACAGCCCCCACCCTCTCTGAGTTCCTGTCTAGTAGGAACATTCCCATTCACTGTACCACATGGCTACTCTGTGTTCTTCATGTTCTTCACTCACTTTGTCCTGCAATACCTCTTTCTTTTTTTTTTCTTGATGGAGTCTTGCTCTATTGCCCAGACTGGAGTGCAGTGGCATCACTGCAACCTCCACCTCCCGGGTTCAAGTGATTCTCCTGCCTCAGCCTCCTGAGTAGCTGGGACTACAGGCAAGTGCCACCACTCCCGGCTAATTTTTTGTATTTTTAGTAGAGACAGGGTTTCACTGTGTTAGCCAGGATGGTCTTGATCTCCTGACCTCGTGATCTGCCCGCCTTGGCCTCCCAAAGTGCTGGGATTACAGGCGTGAGCCACCATGCTTATGCTTTCTTCATCAAAACTTGATCTCCGACTTTCTTGATTCCTTGCTTTACTCAAATACATAAATTAAACAGCAGAGTCATTGGTTCACTACTCCTAGTTGCCCAATTCTGTGGGCCATGAGGAAGTGCTGCACTACTTTCTGTCACTTTGGCCTGACGAGACACAATTACTTGCTATATTTCTCCAATAGCATGTTATTAATAAAATCATGATCTTCCTGATTATGTCTATAAGCAAGAAGGATATTTGAGCAGCAACAGAACATAGTAGATTTTTAAAATTTTAATTTATAGACTTTTTTAATTTTTAAAATTTTAATTTATAGACTTAGGTGCACATGTGCAGTCGTGTTACATGGATATATTGCATAGTGGTGAAGTGTGGGCTTTTAGTGTATCCATCACCTAAACAGTGTACATTATACCCAGTAGGTACCCCCCTTCCACTCTGCCACTTTGTGGAGTCTCCTGTATTTATTATTTTACTCTGTATTTCCATATGTACCCATTGTTTACCACTTATAACATGCAGTTTTTGACTTTTTGTTGCTAAGTCATTTCACTTAGGATAATGGCCTCCAGTTCCATCCATGTTGCTGTAAGAGATATGATTTCATTCTTTTTTATGACTGAGTAGAATTCCATGGTGCATGTGTGTGTGTGTGTGTGTGTGTGTGTATATACACACACACACACACACACACACATCTAGATATATAGATCTATACAGATGTATGTGTATGTGTATACATATCTAGATCTATACATATATACCCACATTAAATCCAATCATCCATTGATGCACACTTATGCTGATTCCATGGCTTTGCTATTGTGAATAGTGCTGCGATAAACATATGAGTGCAGGTATCTTTTTAGATCAAATGATTTCCTTACCTTCAAGTAGATTCCCAGTAGTGGGTTTGCTGGATTATAGTCCTATTTTTAGTTCTTTGGAAGCCTCCACACTGTTTGCCATCAAGGTTTCAGTAATTTACATTCCAACCAGTAGTGTATAAGTGTCCCCTTTTCTCCATAGCCTCACCAACATCTGTGTTTTTTTTTTTTTTTACTTTTTAATAATAGCCATTCTAACTGGTACAAGGTAATATTTTTAAATCAGAAACATGTTTCAACATTCCTGTTCAATTCTCCTCAGATATTAAGAAAGGTGATCACTGTAAATGTGCCAGGGCTGTGACCATCTTCATTCACTTCATCTGCTGTGAAAGGAGAGGCACAAAGTGTGATGACCACAGCATAACATTCCTTGAAAAGTGACATGCTTAATCCTAGAAATGGGGGATGTGCATTGTCCTTACTAATGGAAGCATGTCTCTATGGTGACCCTGGTGAAGGGAGGTGGCTGAGGATGGCTGGGGAAGTGTCTGAGTATTAATGCCTCAAACAAGCCTGAAGAAATGGAATGATGCCCCAGTAGCAGACACTTGGAGCCAATCTCAGTCAGAGGAACAGTGTGGTGCAAGTTCTGAATGGAAGATGCCTCAAAGGCCTCTAGGAACAAACAGAATTTCCTCTTCTATAAGCCCCAGAGATTAACAGCATGCCTGGATCAGTAGACTGGGAGCCAGAGTACAAATGTGGGTCTGGCATTGTCATTCCATCCCTGGTGATTGATCTCTGTGATGTTCCCTTTGCTGAGATGGCCCCTAAGTTAAAAGAGGCAGAGTTCTTTGGACAAAGACTCAGCTTCACCAGCACCAGGTATAACTGGCCTTTGATATGGGGGCAAATCTGAGTTCATTCTCACTTCATCACCTGCTGGCTGTGCAGCTTTGAAAGCATTCCTTAACCTCTCTGTGCTATTGTTCCCACTTCTGTAAAGTGAGAATAATGATCTCTGTGTACTAGGCTTGCTGTCGTCGTTAAGTCACAGGGAGACAGGCTCTGTGTTTGACCCTCTGCATTCAAATCTTAGTTCAGCCATTTGTCGGCTGTGTGTGATGTTGGCATCTGTCTCTAATGCTTAGTCTCCTCGTGTGCAAAAAAAGGAATGATGACTATATCTCAATTGTGGGGATTTTGCAAGGATAAAATGTACCAGTGCATGTAATGCTTTAACCCTGGAACTTTTTCAGCCAACGCTCAATAAACCTCAGCCGTTATTAACCCAAACAATATTAAGGGCTGGACTTATAGCCAGTGCTTACTACAGGTTAGTTTTTCTATCTTTAAAATATTCTCCATTCAGGAGCTTATTTATTTATTTATTTATTGCCTGCTAATAAAAACTTTTCTGACTAGGGAACTTCTTATAGATGCTAAGTTTGCCTTTGCTTAAGAGAATACATACTTTTTCCCTTGAAACTTTGTGACCCTTTTTCTGTGGGAGCCTCAGAGGTCAGCATCATTTTGGGATATGGAACTCTTTGTCCTAGATATTCTCGCACAAAAAAGAGGACAGGCCATGACTGATTTTTACCAGCAGTTAAAGAGAATTGGCACAAAGATTTGGGAGGTACGACAGGAAGAAGCATAGGCTGGAATCAGAAGAGATGATGGGTGGAATCTCAGCATCACCCGCTTTTTAGCTGTATGGCCTTAGGCTACATTTTTTTCTTTTTCTTTTTTTTAATTTAACCATCTATTTATTTGGAGAACTATAATGAAAATAATGCCTATATGAAAGGCTGATCAAATGAAGTCATTGATGTGAAAAGTTCCTGTATTCTGCAAACTATAAAGCACCATCCACAGACATTGGAGGAAATAAAAATCAAAAGGAAGCTATTTCTGTAACTTTAAGTTTCCAGAATAGAATAATTTTGGAGATAAAAGGGCAAATAAGCAGCATTGTTTTAATGAGTTGTGGTAGCACAGCAAATTGCTTGTTTAAAGGAATTTTTTTTTTTCAGAAAGCAAGGGCAAAGATCAGAAAAAAATAGGATTTAAATTTGGTTACTGCTAAAACTGCTTCTATAATTAAACCTTATATTATGATATATTGCATTTTAGAGACAGATCATGGGCAGGTATTTGGAATTTAGCGCATTTTCAACATTCCAAATAGGTCATACTATAAAACTTTAGGTACACAGAAGCAGACAGTGAGGAATGACATTTGATGTGGATTATTCCCTGTATGATGTCATGGCTATGGAAAAACATAGCTACATAACATTTCATTTCTTAGGTTGAGGGTATATAGAAATTGTTGTTAATAGCATGGGCTTTGGGAGTGCAGTAGACATTTTGACGCCTGCCAAATATTTTCAGGATTCCATATCCTGGACATAGAGTAAGATTGCAATTCCTGTTCCCTTTCCATTTGCCCACATGATTTGTTTTGTCCAAAGAGATGTGAGGAGAAGTTACTCTGGGCCACAGAATTTTAATGCATTGTTTTAGCAGCGACTAACCTAACTTATATCTTCTATCATTCTATCAATGATAAAAGAAAATAAAGCCTTTGGGAGGCTGAGGCGGGCGGATCACGAGGTCAGGAGATCGAGACCACGTTAAAACTCCGTCTCTACTAAAAATACAAAAAATTAGCCGGCCGCGGTGGCGGGCGCCTATAGTCCCAGCTACTTGGGAGGCTGAGGCAGGAGAATGGCGTGAACTCGGGAGGCGGAGCTTGCAGTGAGCTGAGATCGTGCCACTGCACTCCAGCCTGGGCCCTGGGCGACAGAGCGAGACTCCGTCTGAAAAAAAAAAAAAAAAAGAAAGAAAGAAAATAAAGCATGTTAATGTTGATGGCATCTAAATTGCATCCAAATACTAGGATCCTATGATTCTAATAAAATAGTAATATTAAAAAGAAATTTTATAAGAGACACTCAGAGATTCATTTTCTTTCATATAAAGAGATTGACAACATTGGAAATGGTGGCTGCTCTGTCAGCTGAGACTCTGAGTAACCAAGAAAAGCAGAGAACCCCTGCTGAGGTGGGATGGACCTCTGGTGTAAGGGGAAATGTACCTCTATGATTTTAAGCCAATGGGCTTTGGGGAGTCATAACCTCACCTATCCTGACACAGAGACTGACAGATGCATGTTTGGATCTTAATTCACCCACATGCTGTGTGACCATGGGCACATGACTTAGCTTTTCTAAGCCTCAATTTCCTCATCTGTATTACGATTTTATTTGTAGATTATAATAATGCCAAACTGATAGTTTTGTTGTGAGAATTAAATAAAGCAAGGTAGGTAAAGTACTTAGGATAGAACCTGGCATGTGGCAAACATTAAAAATGCATTTCTTTTCATTGTCACTATTTTATTAGAATGATAGGATCATAGTATTTGAATACAATTTAGATGTCATTGACATTAGCATGAGTTTTTAAAATCATTGATAGTAGATAGGTTAGTCAGCTGCTAAAACAATGTTCTTAATATGTAGTGAATGACTTCTTCTGAAATTGTACGATAAACTTGTGTGAATAGTGTTCCTAGCGTCCATCAGATTCTCAGTGGAGTTCACCCCCAACCAAGTGTTGAGCATCACTTCTATAAAGTCTCCGCTGATTCTGATTTTACAATTTCAAATGCCCTGCTATCCATCCACTAATTAGAAAAGGAAATGAAGTTAGCTTGGCCTGACCTTTTGCAGATTGCCTGTTCCTTTCCCTAATGGCCCTGGGTGTAATTTCTCAATGTTTGGAGGTGCCTCTCCCTTAGACAGCAGCTGTGTGACTACTGCTGCTGTAGGGCATTGCCTCATAGCATCTTCCAGCATTGGCTGTCTTGAGGCAGGAAAGCGTGTAGACAGCATGCTGGATAACTGGGGCAAGAGTGTCTGGTAATAAGCAGGAAGCAGAAACTGAGGCATTCTCAGGAAGAGGTGACATCAGGGAGGAGTAGATGATTGTAAGGAACATCTCAGAGAGGGTTGGATAATGCTGGTTCAATTTTAAATTGGCACAAAACCAAAGATGGGAAGTAAGAAAGTATTTTAGGGAGGGGTAGGTGTAGGAGTAATAGGTGGAGACAAGGCTAGGAAGATTCTACCAGCGGTACACCCACTTCTGTGAAATGGAGCTGGAAGGAAAGAAGGTGCAGTGAACTAGATAAGGTGTGTGATTAATGCCCCTTAGGATGACAGTGAGCGAACAGATGTGTAGACTTGGCCTTATTTGCTATAGAGGGAGATAGAATGGCCTTCAGGTTGCAGGATGAAGGTTACATATACGTGGAGAGAATTAGCAGAGATGGAGATAGTCACATGGCAGAGTCTTTCATTTGACATCAGTTTTTTTATTCTCCAAATATATACTAAGCCTGAATTAGATGCACTAGTTACTCTGCATCTGAAGTGGGGAAAAAAGAAGACCCCATCATGAAGGAACTCATATTCCGGTTGGGGAATACAACAAATCAACAGTGTCATTCTGTTTGATAGGGCAGATAATTCTGTTTTCTAGCTGATATCAGACATTACCTGATTTGCATCCCCAATTAGGAGTGTTTTTCTTGTTCCCCATTCTGTCAAGATAGCTGCTAAAGCTCTTTCATATTTTCATAAACATGTTTTTGCAAGCTTGGGCCTTGCTTTTTTGTTTTCCATTGAAGCCACTCTTTCAGGCCTGTGTGGACTCCTTTAAAAAAAAATTCTAAGCTCATTTAAAAAAAACTAGAAAAAACACTCTTCTTTAGATGTCTCCACCTTCACTTCCACTTGAAAACATAAGTGATTATGTTGCCAGAATTTTGGTTTTTTTAATAGTCTCTCATTTATCCCCTTTGGAGCTTCTTTCCTTTGAGAACATCAACCCAGGAAATTATACTCAAGTTTTCTCTAGGCATTTTGTTAAGGCCCACACTCATTGTTATTCACATTTAAACCCTCAATTGAAATACTCTTGTTCCTCCTTGTCTTTGCAGAGTGCTTTATGTTTTCTTGAGTTTTATTACTTTTATGACATCTTAGGTAAGGCATTTTACAAAAGAAGAACTTGAGATCTAAGATACAGACTTGGCTTTGTTTCCTGGGCAACAGCATCATGGATTGTTAGGAGATATTAATGAATAGCATCAATGACCTGGCCCAATTTCTGGTCGTCTGTGTTTGTAAATATCCACTTCTCTTTGATGCTTTGAAGGATAGTGGTATGAGAACTGCATATGTATAAGTTCAGCTATGGATATGAACAGATAGAAAGTCCGGCATGAGGAGGTAACCGCTTGAGCTAACTCTGACCCGAAGCTATGGATATGAATAAAGAAAAATGAAGGGCCTATTGAAATAATATTAGTACTGGTGATAGAAGTAAAGCAGGCAAGCTGGCAGGATCCATAGCAAGAACTATTGTTGCTCAAGTAAACAGGCACAACTAAGTAATTAATAACACATTCTCATAATTGCTTCCCAAATGGCCAAGGCATTTGGTTTTCTAAAACAGGATTCTGAGAGCTCTGATATATGTGTTCCATGACATATATTTGCTCATATTTCCCTCTCTCCCTGCCTTGTCTTTGAACTTCTGTACACAGAAAATTGTTTCATTTATTCTCTTTGTCTCTCTGTTTTTGGTGTTTTATTTGTAGCTTCTTCTCATCTCTTTACCACTTTACATGCCTGTTCTCCCACTTTGGACTTTAAAATTCTCTTTGTCTTTTTGCTGGGTCAGACTTCCATCCTTGTGCAACCTTGTGTCTCTTCAGCAAAAGCCCTCAGATTTCTACAGAGAGAGGAGTCCTATCAGATCCAGTAAGGAATCACTGGAACCTTGTGGGCCTTGAGGTTTGAAATGACTTCGAACCTTTCAGGGATCAATTTTTGTGTATGACTTGCCAAAAGGTTTTTATTTATAAGAGGGGGAAGGCATTTCTGCACAAAAGCTCAAAAGACTGGGACATCAAATAACTCTTACAAAACAACATTTTGATGAGTTAAGTGTAAATGAATCAGAAACATATGGATTGAATTTCCCTTAAAATACACATGGGTTTAAAAATTAAGGGGAAAACTGCTTGGCAAAGTTCTCTTTGGGTTTGGCCAAGTCTGATTCCTTTGAAAACTAGTTCAAGACATGATGCCAATCTCAAAATGCTTCTGGGTTCACACATCTCTGGTTCAAAGTGCTCTCTTCTCAGAATCATCTATTTCCCCCACTTTGTTCACTGTTGTCAGGACTGTGTTCCTTTAATAATCCTAATCAGAGTGACATCTAAGAACAGAAAGTTTATGTGAAAATCTCCTATTCAGGAACTGGTAATTACCAGATCTTTGTGGAGTGCATTAAATAGGCACATTAAGATTCATTGACTTCTCAATCATTTATTGAAAATCTATTATGACCAGGCACCTAAATAGCAAAGATGAGTCAAGTGTGGTCTCCTTACTTAGGAAATTCATAGTCTTTGGGTAAATCCGACTTATATTATGATAGAAGGCAATGAGAGATAGATGAATGTCATATGGGCCAGAGTCCTGGCGGGTCACAGAATTTACTCCAGATGGTTCATCTAGCTCTTTCTCCTTAGTGGCTTTCTATTTCACAGGCTTATGAATTTGATGATGAGTCTGCTTGCAGAGATGCAGATAGGGTTAAGGAAAAATTAACGCAAAAGACTATAGCAACAGTGGGTAACCATTGTCACTCTAGGGCTAAAAGAACAATGGTAAAATGGAGTTATTAGAGCCCAGGGAGAACCGGAACCGAAAGAGAGGCCACAATTTGGGACCTGTGGCCATGGATGGATGCAGCTACTGTCAGAGACACAGCATTAGGGCAGGAAGGGAACAGGAAAGAACTCAAAGGGAAAATCTGTGATGCAGTCAGTGGCATTGAGCAGGGCATAGAATTGGCCAGGAGATGGCCAACAGAGAAACTAAGGTTGATCATCATTGGCGTTGGTATGCAGTTGAAGGAGAAATCATTTCTGCCTTTGTGACTGAGTATGGCAGTGTAGATAGAGCCTGAGATGCCTTAACTGCACTTTGAAGAATGGGTTATCAATGTGTTAAGTGAATTTTGAGGGAGCAGAAGCATTTTAGGTGCAAGGTATGACATAAGAGAGTACAAAGCACAAAGCATGTTGGAGAAAGGTAACTAGTCCGTATTTACAAAAGGACTAGTTTGATGAAACTTGAAACTATAAAAGGAAGATAGTTGGAAAGCAGCCCCAGAAGAATTTAAATGACATGCTAAGATTGTACTTTATTTGCTAGATAAAGTGGAGCCACTGATGACTTTTGAGCAGAGGTGTAACTAAACCAATATAGTGTTTTAGGAATGTTAGTCTGGTAGCCTGTGTAAAATAGATTGAAAAAGGGGAAGTTTGGAGATCAGGCAACTAGAAGGCACTTTTTATAGTTCAGATACTAAATGCCAAGGGCTAGATGAAGGTGGGAATATAAAAAGAAGACCAGATTCCCTTTTGCTTTACACATCAGAATTTTTAAATTTTAAATAAGGCGTGTCTTCCCTATTTTTGAGGCCCTAGAGTAAATTTCTCTGTCCTTTTAAATCAGCGAATACACATAGAAAACTTAGAAGAGGGCCTGGAAATTTAGAAGCACTCAATCAATATTTATTATTATTGTAAAGATTCTTATTAAACATTAAAGTCTGTTCTGTAACTTATTTTAAAGGATCATTCTCCCCCAGCAGCCCCAAATTTTGGTATAACTTGAAACTAAACATTAGAATTTTTATAATAATAATATATGCCATATTTAAAAATCAAGCAATACTATAATGTGTACACTAGAATACAGCAGTTGCTGGCCCAGTCCTTCCTCACATCCCAGTTGTATCTTTCCATTGGAAACCATTTTTAACTCTTATCTGTTCCTTCTAAATACTATCCCTATACAAGTTGATGTCCTGATTAATCTACTTTGTACAATATTTATTAATTTCTTGATGATCAACATTTTAATTATGTTAAATCATAATCAGTAATTGTATCATCATAATTTGTAAATATTGTTTACTGCTGAGCCAAATAGTGTACCAGAATTTCATCTTTTTCTTATAAAGCGCTTTGTTTTTCCTGGAGTGTCTAACTGGGTCAGTTTTTGCTTGCCACAAAATTTTAATCATTTTCAAATGCTCATCATATTAATTGTTCTATAGAATTTCTCTTTCTCCTACAATCTACCTTTCAGTGTCTCAGTCCTCCTTCTCCAACTGGACTGGGTTTTATCCTAAGAATTCAGTTTTGATTTTTCTGGGATGGATTCTTTGCCTTCTTTTTCTGAAATTAATCCCCGTCCCCGCCCTTTCTCTCTTATTTTACTGCTAGAGCACTAGGACCAAAGTCCCAGCATTAGGACAAGTCCTAATGGGCTTACCAAGAAGAGAACATGGTAAGTTAATTTTCTGCTTATCTGCGTTTATTCTTTCTATTCTACATTTGGATAATAGCTTCATTGACTTTAGAATGCTTAGTCAATAACTTCCCTTTCCCTCTGAATTTTGAAGACAGTGTTGCTGATGAGAAGTCTGATGTCATTTTATTCTTGACTCTTTGCACTAAATCTGATTTTATTTTTTTTTCCTCTGGAAGTTTCTCAGGTATTCTCTTTTAGCATCCATGTTATGAAATTTCATAGTGATGCACTTTGTTGCAGGTGTTTGTTCACTCCTTATCCTGAGCAGTCAGTGAGTCTTTTTCAATCTAGACATTTTGTGTCCTTCAATTCTATGACATTTTCCTGTGATAATTTTCTTCCTTTGTTTTTCCATTCCTTCATTCTGGGATTAATATTAATTAGATATTAGACCACCTTCATTAATCTTTTAAATATTCCACCTCTTAGATTTTCCTGTATTTTTATTTTTTGGAAATTTCTTTTACTTTATCTGACTTTTTACCTTTCAAACTTCCTTTTAAAAATAGTATTTAAAATTTTGAGAGTGGTTTCTTGTTTTTTCAAATTTTTCCTTTCTCAAAGTATGTTTTTCTTGTGTAAGAGAGAAAAAAATTATCATATCTCTCTGATACATTAAAATCTTTTAAAAAGCTTTTTTCTCTCCCTTGATTTATTTGTTCTTCTATGTTTGCCTCCCTCTTTCATTTACTACAGTTGCCCCTCCTCTTTTTTTTTTTAATATAGGAGACTTTTCTTAAGTTTTAGCTGATTCATTCATATTTAAGACTAAGACATTTTACATTGTAGCCTATCCATATAGTGGCATACACCTCAGACATAAAAAAAAAGAATATATTACTCATACAGGGAACACCATCAATGAATCTCAATACCATTATGCTAAGTGAAAGAATAAAAAATACATACCGTACAATTCTAGTTATGGGAGATTTTTGAAAAAAACAAAACAAACAACAACAAAAAAAAACCTCTAGTGACAAAAGCAGATTAATAGTTGCCAGGAGCCAGGGACTAGAGGAAAAATTTGACTGCAAAGGGATATGAGGCAACTTTTGGGGTCATGAAAATGTTCTGTATTTTTACTGTGGTAGTAGTTATATGATCATATACATTGGTCAAAACTCATCACATTTTACATATAAAATTGATGAATTTTATTGTATGTGATCCCTCAATAAAACTGATTTAAAAAGAAATAAATTGAATTATTTGGGCCTGGAGATTGTTGAGTTGTGATCTTTTAACTGTACTTACCTTATGGGAAGCCATCCATTTCATTGGGTGTATCCTACAAATGGCAGTATGTGGAGGTCTTGTCTCCATAGCTGTTGAGTATTTTCAGAGCAAGAAACAATTGACTGGTATTTTACATGTGTCCTGCTATTCTGTATATAGATTTCCAATTATTCTATCTGTTTTAATTATTACCACTTCTCACTGCGTCCATTGTTTTTAAGTCTTTAGATTTTTTTCTTTTAATTTCCTAGATAAGCAATTTAAAGGCAAACCTAATTTGAATCTTGAGATATTTTCCTAAATCTGTAGGTAGTATAGATTTTCCATGAGGAAACAAAGAAAGAAATTAAAAGCTGAAGAAACTGTGTATCTATGTATATATCTTTTTATTTAGGATTTCACAAGCTATGGGATTGGGCTTTGAAATAATTCTTTTTAATCTCAGGGATTGCACAGACCTTTGCTGACATTTAATATTCGTGGAATGCACACGAAGAAGCACTGGCAGTATCTAAGAAAACACTTGCCTATGTTACAGTTTTGGGTTTTTTTTTCCCCTAGGCTATTATGTCTTTAAGATATTTGTGAAAATTATCAAATACTTCAAAAAGAAAAAGGTACAAAAAATAACAGCAAACTTCCATGGATCCATTACTCAATTTTAAATGATGCTGTCATTCACCATGTTTTCTTCAGAATTTTCATAAGATATAAAAGTACTTTAGATCTAGTTAAACCTCTACATAATTCATTAGTCCCTTTGCCTCACTTCCCCATTCCTCTGCCAGAAGTAACCATCCTTCTGATGCTGGTGTGACATCTTCTTATGGGTTTTGGTACTTTACAATAAATTATTAAAGACATGAGTAATGCATCTACCTTTCTTTTCAGTTTAAAAATGTACATGAATAACATCATAAGGTGTAATCTTTTGTCATTTGATTTTTTTTTATTCAATGTTGGTTTTGAATTTTTATCCTTGTTGATAGAACTAGTTCATTCATTCCAATAGCTGTAAAACAATCCATAGAATGAATACACCAGGGTTTATTATTCATTCTATTTATGTTTTTCAACTTTTATTTTAGATTCAGGGGATACACATGCAGGTTTGTTATCAGGGTATATTGCATGATGCTGAGGTTTGGGTATGAATGAGCCCATCACCCAGGTATTGAGCATAGTACCCAGTAGTTATTTTTTCAACCCTTGCCCTTCTCCCTATCTCTTCCCTCTAGCAGCCCCCAGTGTCTATTGTTGCCATCTTTATGTCCATGAATACCTAAGGTTTAGCTCCCACTTGTAAGTGAGAACATGTGGCATTTCGTTTTCTGTTTCTGTGTTAATTTGCTCAGGATAATGGCCTCCAGTTGCATTCATGTTGCTCCAAAAGACATGATTTCATTCTTTTTAATAGCTGTGTAGTATTCCGTGAGGTATATGTACCACATTTTCTTTATCCAATCCACCACTGATGGACACCTAGGTTGATTTCATGTCTTTGCTATCGTGAATAGTGCTGTGAATAACATGTGAGCATGTGTCTTTTTGGTAAAATCATTTGTTTTCTTTTGAGTAAACACCAGTAATGACATGGCCAGGTCAAATGGTACTTCTGTTTTAAGCTCTTTGAGAAATATTCAGACTAATTTCCACAGTGGCTGAACTAATTTACATTCCCACCAGCAGTATATAAGCATTCTATTTTCTCCACAGCCTTCCAGCATCTATTGTGTCTGACTTTTTAACAATAGCCATTCTGCCTGGTGTGAGATGGTATCTCATTGCAGTTTTGGTTTACATTTATTTCTCTGAAGATTAGTGATTTAGACAATTTTTTCATATGTGTGTTGGCCAAATGTCTGTGTTTCTTGAGAAGTGTCTGTTCATGTTTTTTGCCCATTTTTAATGTTTTTTGTTTGTTCAATTGTTTAACTTCTTAACATCAACTGTTTAAGTTTCTAACAAATTCTGGATATTAGACCTTTGTCAGATGCATTGTTTGTGAATATTTTCTCCCTTTTTGTATGTTGCTTGTTTACTCTGCTGATAGTTTCTTTTGCTGTGCCAAAATTCTTTAGTTTAATTAGGTTCCATTTGTCAATTTTTATTTTTGTTGCAATTACTTTTGAGGACTTAGTCATAATATTTTTCCCCAAACTCGTATCCAGAATGGTATTTCCTAGCTTCTCTTCTAGGATTCTTATAGTTTGAGGTCTTACATTTCAATCTTTAGTCCATCTTGAGTTAATTTTTGTATGTGGTGAAAGGTAGGGGTCCAGTTTCATTCTTCTGCATATGGCTAGCCAGCTATCCCAGCACTATTTATTGAATAGAGACTCCTTTCCCCATTGCTTATTTTTGTTGACTTTGTCAAAGATCAATTGGCTGTAGAAGTGAACTTTATTTCTGGGTTCTCTCTTCTTTTCCATTGATCTATGTGTCTATTTTTGTACTAGTACTCTGCTGTTTTGATTACTGCAGCCTATGTTTCCATTCTTTTGAGAGGATCAGCTGGGTGGTTCATATTTTTTTTGTGATTACATACAATGCCTCCATGAACCTTCTTTGTACATGTCTTCAGGAACACATGTGTGAAGGTTTCTCTAGCTTTGATTGTGCAATAGAATCAGCTGGAGTGATTGTGACAACACAGATTGCTGGCCCCTCCCTGAGACCTCCTGATTCAAATGGAATGTGTGGGCCCAAGAATCTAAATTTCTAACAAACCCTCAGGATATGCAAATACTGGTGCAGAGACCAAACTTTGAGAATTGCTGCACTAGGGTTGATATCCATGGGTGAAATTCTTGGCCATTGATGTGTATATGTTTTCCACTTTACTAGGAATTCCTAAACTGCTCTCCAGGGTGTTGGTACTAATATAGGCTCCCACCATCAGTGTATTCCTATTTCTTACTACCTTGCCAAAAATTGATGTTGTAAGTCTTTAAAATTGTCAATCCAAGTGATATCTCTTTTTATTTTTTTTAATTAATATTGACATTGGGTGTCAATATTTCTGATGTTTAATGGTCTTTGCTTTTTCTTTTCTGTGAGTTACATATACTTTGTTTTGTTCCCCTAGTAAGGCTGTTTATTTATTTATTATATGGTTTGATATTTATTAATTTTATTGTTTTGTAGAATATCTAAGTATTCTGATTATTAATCCTTAATCTTTTATTTTTCCTGTTGTTTCATATATATATATATATATATATATATTTTTTTTTTTTTTTTTTTTTTTTTTTTTTTGAGAGAGTCTCGCTCTGTCACCCAGGCTGGAGTGCAGTGGCATGAACTCAGCTCACTGCAACCTCCACCTCCTGGGGTCAAGCATTCTCCTGCCTCAGCCTCTGGAGTAGCTGGGACTACAGGCACCCGCCACCATGCCCAGCAGATTTTTGTACTTTTAGTAGAGGCAGGGTTTCACCATGTTGTCCAGGCTGGTCTCAAACTCCTGACCTCAAATGGTCCATCCACCTTGGCCTCCCAAAGTGCTGGGATTATAGGCATGAGCCACTGTGCCTGGCCTGTTTATGATATTTTTGATGGAGAGAAGTATAAAAAGTTAATGGAGTGAATATCAATATTTTCTTTTGTGATTTTTGCTTTTATAATGTTTAAGGTTTTTTCCCTACCATGATGTCATAAAGATATATCATATATTTATATACTAAACATTTCTACTTTTTTCATATTTAGTTTTTAATTTATTTGGAATTTTTAATTTATATATTTTATAAGGTAAAAAGCTGATTTTTGGAGGACCCTGTAGAAACAGAGGGTGTCTTCATTATATGTCCCGGGGGTCCTGGAGCAGTTCTAATCCTTGATCTTTCAGAAGAGGAGCCAAGATGGTTAACTAGACGTAGCCAGGAGGAACATCTCCCACCAAGAGACTGAGCTGTCAGGAAGACTGGTACATTCTGAGCAGATCTTTGGAGGGAAGGCATTGAGAGTGGATGGAAGGATGATGCAGACACTGGGCTGAAGAGGAAGGAAGCTGGGAACCCTGTACAGGACTACCGAGCACCAGGACTTGTTTCTGGCCCCCTGCAACTCCTGGGAAAGGGGTGAGTTGAACAGGTTAGAAGTGACCTGCTCTTGCCACTGATCTCTGGAGTCCAGGCAGCAGGAAACCCCATAACTCCCATGGAGAGCTAGCAGGGAGAGCTACTTAGAGTGGTGGTAAGGGCAGGACTCCAGCCTGTGCAGAGCCCAGAGGTTTGGTGCAGGAACATCTGTGATGAAGCATGGGCAGGGATGCCCATTCCTCAAGGCCTGCCATGCTCCTCTAGGAGATTTAAGCCTTAGAGGGACTGTCAAACCTGCACTGAGCCATGGCAGTCTTACTTGTGAGACAGAGTCAGTCTGATATGAGTGACCCGTCTGCTGGCCTCTCCCAGAGCCCTATCCTGGCCACACCTTCTTGCAGCACAGTCTTGGATGCCCAACCAGGGTGCTTCCCAGGGGCATTCATCATAACTCCTTCAGTGGCAGACCTCACTTGACCATGGGAGACCTCCAGCAGACTGGCCTCCATCGACACACACCAGCCCACCCACATTCACCACTCACTGCAGCCTCCCCAAGCCCCCCACCCACCACCTTGCTGCATTGTTAGCACACACTCACACACAGCCAACATCCACTGTTTTGCTGACACACACCCATATGTGGACCTTGCTTCCCCTCCCTCACCAGTATGCATGGCTGCCCACACCCTACTGTGCCACTATCATCAGCACAAGTATGCACCACATCCCCTCCCTACCCTGCTGACGTATGGGTACCTGGTCATACTGCAATTGTCTGCATGAAGGCATGCACAGATACTGGCCCTGCCTCCACTGTGCTGTGGCTGTGAACATGCCGGACCCCTACTACTACTACTTCTGTTGGAGTGAGTGCAAGCACAGACACCAGCAAGTCAGGCCCAGCCAACTCCCTATTCCTGTCCTTGCCAAGCTCCATGACTGTTGGTGCAAGCTGTATGCAGGAACATCACAGCCCTTCTCCCACCATTACCCTGCCCCAGCTGACATGTATGCAGGCAACCACACTACTGTGGCTGACAGCATGAGTGAGCAAGCATGGATTCCACTTCCCTTGCCCTGACAAAGCACTTTGTCCTGCACCATGCATCAGCACCACCCAACACACTAGCATCCATTCTGGCCAGCAGATGGGGAGCACCTTCACCCCTCCAGTGCAGCAGGTTTCTAATCTCAGCAGGCCAGAGAACAAAGCCAGTGGCCTGGTACCAGCCCCAAGAGTTAGAGCACACAGCCCTGGAGTGCTGAGCTGATACTTGGCTCCCTAAAGTCTTCCAGAAACAGAGTCAGTTGAATGAACCCACATTATTCCAGGTGAACTTCCAAAGACATCAAAGAAGATGAAAGCAAAAAACTCCATCCAGAGGACAGCAACTTCAAAGATTGAAGGAACATCAGCCCACACAGATGAGAAAGAACCAGAACAAGAACTTTGGCAACTCAAAAAGCTAGAATGTTTTCTAACCTCCAAATGACTGCACTAGTTCCCCAGCAATGGTTATTAACTAGGCTGATCCATCTGAAATGACAGAAATATAATTCAAAATATAGATAGGAATGAAGATCATTGAGATTGAAGAGAAAGTTGTAACCCAATCCAAGGAATACAGGAGCTGAAAGACAAAATGGCCAATTTAAGGGAGAACCAAACTGATTTAAGCTGAAAACCTCACTTCAAGAATTTCATAATACAATCACAAATATTAGCAGAATCAACCAAGCTGAGGAACAAATCTCAGAGCCTGAACACTGGTTCTCTGAAATAACTCAGTCAGACAAAAATAAAGAAAAAAGAATAAAGAAGAATGAACAAAACCTCTGAGAAATATTGGATTATATAAAGAGACCAAATCTATGATTCATTTGTGTCCCTGAAAGACAGGGATAGAAAGCAAGCAACTTGGAAAACATATTTGAGGTTATTTTCCATGAAAAATTTCACAACCTTGCTAAAAAGGCCAACACTGAAATTCAAGAAATGCAGAGAACACCTGTGAGAACTATATAAGACAAATATCTCCAAGACACATAGTTATCAGATTCACCAAGGTCAAATTGAAAGAAACAATCTAAAAGCAGCTAGAGAGAAGGGACAGGACACTTACAAAGGGAACTCCATGAAGGTAATGGTGGAACTTTCAGGAGACCCCTACAAGCCAAAAGAGATTGGGGGCCTATATTTAGCATTCTTAAAGAAAAGAAATTCCAACCAAGAATTTCATATCTACCAAAACTAAGCTTCATAAATGAAGGATAAATAAGATCCTTTTCAGACAAGCAAATGCTAAGGGAATGTATTACCAACAGACCTTCCTTACAAGAACCCTTAAGGGCGTACTAAATATGTAAAGGAAAGACCACTGGTCACCACAAAAACACACTCAAATACATAGACCATTGGCACTATAAAGCAACTACAAAAAAGAGTCTGCATAATAACCAGCTAACAACATAATGATAGGATCAAACCTGCACTTATCAATATTAACTATGAATGTAAACAGTCTAAATGCCCCAAGCAAAGGCACAGAGTGGCAAGTTGGATAAATAACCAAGACCCAACTGTATGGTGTCTTCAAGAGACCCATCTCACATGCAATGACACCTATAGGCTCAAAGTAAAGAGATGGAGAAAAATTTACCAAGCAAACAGAAAAAAGGAGGGGTTGCTATTCTAATTTCAGAAAAAGCAGACTTTAAACCAACAAAGATCAAAAAAGACAAAGAAGGGCATTACATAATGGTAAAGAGTTCAATTCAACAAGAAGACTTAACTATCCTAAATATATATGCACCCAACACAGAAGCACCTACACAGAAGCACCTAGATTCATAAAACAAGTTCTTAAAGACCCACAAAGAGACTTAGATAACCACACAATACTACTTGAAGGCTTCAACACCCCACTGACAGTATTAGACAGATGACTGAGGCAGAAAATTAACAAAAACATTTGGGACCTGAACTCAATACTTGACCAAATAGACCTAGCAGACATCTACAGAACTCTCCACCCAAAAACAACAGAATATACATTCTTCTCATGTGCACATGGCACATCTAAGATTGAATACATAATCAATCCTAAGACAATTCTCAGCAAATTCAAAATAACCAAAATCATACGAACCACACTCTTGGACATCAGCATAATAAAAATAGGAATCGATACTAAGAAAATTGCTCAAAAGCACATAATTACATGGAAATTAAACAACCTGCTCCTGAATGACTTTTGGGTAAACAATGAAAGTAAGGGAGAAATAAAAAAAATTCTTTGAAACTAATTAAAACAAAGATACAGGCTGGGTGTGGTGGCTTACACCTGTAATCCCAACACTTTGGGAGGCTGAGGTGGGTGGATCACCTGAAGTCAGGAGTTTGAGACCAGCCTGGCCAATATGGCAAAACCCTGTCTCTGCTAAAAATACAAAAAAAATCAGCTGGGCGTGGTGACACATGCCTGTAGTCCCAGTCCTACTCAGTAGGCTAGGGCAGGAGAATCACTTGAACCTGGGAGGTGGAGGTTGTAGTGAGCCGAGATCACACCACTGGACTCCAGCCTGGGCAATAGAGTGACACTCCATCTCAAAAACAAAGATACAGCATAGCCAATATCAGAGCTAAACTGAAGGAAATAAAGACAGAAGAAACCATACAAAAGACCAATGAATCCAGGAGTTGGTTCTGTGAGAGAATAAATAAGATTGATATAGCACTAGCTAGACTAATAAAAAAAGAGAGAAGATTCAAATAAACACAATCAGAAAAAACAAAGGGGACATTACCACTGACCCCACAGGTAAACAACAATCCCTTAGAAATGACAGCAAACACCTCTATGCACACAAACTAGAAAACCTAGAAGAAATGGATAAATTCCTAGGAACGTGAAACCTCCCAAGATTGAATCAGGAAGAAATAAAATCCCTAAACAGACCAAAAATGAGTTCTGAAGTTGAATCAGTAATAAAAAGTCTACTATCCAGAAAAAGCCCAGGACCAGATGGATTCAGAGCCAAATTCTCCCAGATGTAGAAAGAAGAACTGGTATCATTCCTACTGAAACTATTCCAAAAAAATTGATGGGAAGGGACTCCTCCCTCCCTCATTCTGAGGCAAGCATTATCCTGATGCTAAAACCTAGGAGAGACACACCAAAAAATGAAAACTTCAAGCCAGTATCCTTGATGAACACTGATGCAAAAATCCTCAACAAAATACTAGCAAACTGAATCCAGTAGCACATAAAAAAGATAATCCACCACAATCAAGGCTTCATCTTTGGGATGCAAGGTTGGTTCAACAGACACAAATCAATAAATGTGATTCACCAAATAAACAGAATTTAAAACAAAAACCACATGATCATCTCAATGGATGCAGAAAAGCCTTTCAATAAAGCTCAACATCCCCTCATGTTATAAACCCTCAAACTAGGCATTGAAGGAAAAGGTCTCAAAATAATGACCATCTATGACAAATCCACAGCCAACATTGTACTGAATAAATGAAAGCTTGAAGCATTCCCCTTGAAAACCAGAACAAGACAAGGATGCCGACTCTCACTGCTTTTATTCAACCTAGTACTGGAAGTTCTGACTAGCCATAGCATCAGGCAAGAGAAAGAAACAAAAGGCATGCAAATAGGAAGAGAAGAAGTCAAACTCTCTATTTGCAGATGACATGATTCTGTATCTACAAAACCCCACAGTCTCTGCCCCGAAGCTTCTAGATCTGATAACTTCAGCAAAGTTTCAGTATACAATGTACATAAGTCAGTAGTATTTCTATACCCAATAATGTCCAAACTGAGAGCCAAATCAAGAACAAAATCCCATTCACAATAGCTACAAAATGAATAAAATGCCTAGGAATACAGCTAACCAGGGAGGTGAAAGTTCTCTACAGTGAGAATAACATCACACTGCTCAACAAAATCAAAGATGAGACAAACACCTGGAAAAACATCTCTTGCGCATGGATATGAAGAATTAATATTGTTAAAATGGTGATCCTGCCCAAAGCAACGTACAGATTCAATACTATTCCTATGGAACTACCAATGACAGCCATCACAAAATAAAAAAAAAAAGAGTTAAAAATTCATACAGAAGCAAAAAGAGCCTGAATAGCCAAAGAAATCCTAAGCAAAAAGAACAAAGCTGGAGGCATCACATTACCCAACTTCAAACTATACCACAAGGCTGCAGTAACCAAAACAGCATGACACTGGTACAAAAACAGATGCATAGAGCAATGGAACAGAATAGAGAGCCCAGAAATAAAGCCACACACCTACAACTATCTGTTCTTCAACAAAGCTGAGAAAAAGAGGCAATGGAGAAAGGACTCCCTGTTTAATAAATGGTGCTGGGATAACTGGCTAGCTATATGCAGAAGATTGACACTGGACTCCTTCCTTACACCGTATACAAAAATCAACTCAAGATGGATTAAAGACTTAAATGTAAAACCTAAAACTACAAAAGCCCTGGAAGATAACCTAGAAATACCATTCTAGACATAGGCTTTAGCGAAGATTTCATGATACAGATGCCAAAAGCAATTTCAATAGAAAGAAAAATGGACAAATGAGGCCTAATTAAACTAAAGAGCTTCCGCACAGGAAAAGAACCTATCAACAGATTAAACAGACAACGTATAGAGTGGGAAAAAGTATTTGAAAAACTGTGCATCTGACAAAAGCCTAATATCCAGAATCTGTAAGGAACCTAAACAATTGAATGAGCAATAAACAAGCAACCCCATTAAAAAGTGGGCAAAGGATATGAATAGATGCTTTTCAAAAGAAAGACATACACATGGCCAAGAAGCATATGAAACAATGCTCAACATCACTAATCATTAGAGAACTGTAAATCAAACCACAATGAGATAGCATCTCATACCAGTCAGAATGGCTATTATTAAAAAGTCAAAAAATAATAGCTATTATTACAAAATCAATACTGCTGTTGGAAATGCTGGCAAGGCTGTGGATAAAAGAGAATTCTTATACACTGCTGTTGGAAATGTAAATTAGTTTAGCCATTGTGGAAAGCAGTGTGGCAATTTCTCAAAGAACTTAGAACTACCATTTGACCCAGCAATCACATTACTGGGTATATACCAAGGGAATATAAATCATTCTACCACAAAGGCACATGCACATGTATGTTCACTGCAGCAGAATTCACAATGGAAAAGACATGAAATCAATGATGAACTGGTTAAAGAAAATGTGGTACATATACACCATGGAATAGTATTTGGCCATAAAAAAAATGAGATTATGTCCTTTGAAGAAACATGGATGGAGTTGTAGGCCATTATCCTAAGTGAACTAATGCAGGAACAGAAAAACAAACACTTTCTCACTTAAATGGGAGCTAAATATTGAGTATACACGAACGCAAAAAAGGGAATAAAAGTCACTGGGGCCTACTTGAGGGTGGAGGGTGAGAGGAGGGTGAGGGTCACAAAACTATGTATCAGGTACTATGCTTATTATCTTAGTGACAAAATAATCTGTACGCCAAATCCCTGTGACATGCAATTTACCTATATAATAAACCTGCACATGTATCCCTGTACCTAAAATAAAAGTTTTTTTTTTTTTTTTTGAGATGGAGTCTCACTTTGTCGCCCAGGCTGGAGTGCAGTGGTGCAATCTCGGCTCACTGCAAGCTCTGCCTCCTGGGTTCACACCATTCTCCTGCCTCAGCCTCCCAAGTAGCTGGGACTACAGGCGCCCGCCACCACGCCTGACTAATTTTTTGTATTTTTAGTACAGATGGGGTTTCACCATGTTAGCCAGGATGGTCTCGATCTCCTGACCTTGTGATCTGCCCTCCTTGGCCTCCCAAAGTGCTGGGATTACAGGCATGAGACACCGCGCCTGGCCAAAAGTTTTTTTAATCTGATTTTTTCTTTCTGTTTGGAGAATCAGTTACTACCACTGTCATAACTAAATTTCCACATATTTTTCATCTGTTTTTAGACTACTTTGTCTATTCTGTTGATCTTTTCTCTATTTCCAGAGCCAATACCATACTTTTCAGTTACTCAAAATTTCTAGAAAATTTTAATATTTGATAGAGAAAGTCTTCTTACCTTGTTCCTCTTCTTCAAAATAATCTCATCCCTCCTTGGTCCTGACAGGGCTTAATTTGTCAAGTAGGGTTTACATTTCTGTTGGCTCTCTTTATTTGGAATTGAAATGTTTTTCTGTAGTATTATGTGTGCTTATTTGGAATTCATTCCTTTTTTGTAAAAATCTCAGGTGGATTTAAGAAAAAAAGACCAATGAAATAGAAATGAGAGAGAGAGAGAGAGAAAGAGATAGAGGGAGAGAAAGGAAGATTGAAGGTAAAAACAAAACAGAGAAGGAAAGTATGCTAGCCATTAAATCATAAGATTATTAGAATTAAGCATAAAACTTTCTTAAAACTTTTCTAATAAGGATGAAGAGGTATGTCTAATAAATATTTGAGTCCACTGACAGAAGAAAACACGTAAGTTTTATGATGGAAAACATTTGTATTCTAATACTAAACTCTGTCAGAAAAGTCTTAAATGAGGCATTTCATAGGAAATATTTTTAAATAATGTCTTGAAAAATAATTAATAATTACAGAAATGCAATTCCTATGGTGGTAGTAAATAATATTTTAATGTTATAAAACTTGATAGTAAATAGCCAACATTATATCATCTACCCTTTCCAGTGTTCCACCTTGATTCATAGATGGAAATGAGAATACTATCAAAGGCTTTAAGTAGATACGATTTTTCTCTAACTTGGCAGTTGGCAAAGTAGGGCCCTTGGGTCAAACCCATCCCACCTGTTTTTGCAAATAAAGCTTATGGGAACACAGCCACACCCATTCATCTACATATTGTCTATGGCTGCTTTCCTGTTCCTAATGGCAGAGTTGAGTACTTGTGACAAAAACCATATGGCCCACAAAACCGAAAATATTTACTATCTGGCCATTTCCAGAAAAAGTTTTGCCATCCCCTGGTCTAAATTATCATCTTTTAAGTTATTTACTCTGTATTTACTCTAGGTACATTCCCCCAACCTCCTTTATAGCACCTGAGAGTATAAACCAAACATGTAATGTGCACATGGTGGAGATGAGGCCCTTCGTCCACATAATATCTTGATGTCTTGACTCAGGAAGAGAATTCACTCTCCTCTCTCCACTCTTCTTACCCAGGGATTCCATCAACCTAAGAAAAAATAACTGAAGGAGCACAAAGATATTCCACGTTCTGAATTACAGAAGTCTTCTAATTAGCCTCAGCACCATGTTTTTGTTGTTGTTTTCTTTTACTATGCCTGGAAAGCAGTTCTGGCTCCTACCTTCCATGCCTCCCTTGGTCTCTTAGCCTTGGCTGTCCTTTCTGGACTCTCAATGAGCAGGCCATGGCAATTCTGAGATGGCACCTTTCTCTTCATCTGGGCTTAAGGTCTGGTCAGCCTTGTGATTTTTGTAACTTCCTTTCCCCATAGGCCCATTGCTGAATTCCTTTCAGCTCCCTGATGTTAAGTCAGCTTTGTTAAAATATTTTTTTAAGGACTGGTTAACTGAACTGTCACAACTCCAAACTGGCAATATATTCCAGTGGAAAAAGTAAAGAATTTAGAGCTAAAAATCCTGTTTTTGAGTTCTCAACCTTGACGCTTACCAGACAAATGACCTTGGGCAGCTTGCTTAAAACTCTGAGACTCAGTTTTCTCATCTGCAAAATGAGGATACTAACAATGCTTGTCACACCTATTAGGGTGATTGTGAGAAACAAATGAGATATGTGAAAAAAAATTGAAACTATAAAATTACACACATGTGTTCATCATTATCACCAGCTCTCAAAAGCTCTCTCAACAATTTTTCCTAATCTCTAAAGACATTTTACTTGTATTCAAGAATGAGTCCATTAATTCTCCATTGCATCCTATGTGCCAAAGGGCCTCACCATTGCTTTAGCATCTGTGTTTTTTTTGGGGAATGCCCTGCTCTTCTGGCACAGCCACTACACTAGGAATTACTACTCCTGGACCTGAGCATCTCATATCTGTGGTCTTTGGTAGTTTGAGGGTGAGGGTCAGATAAAAATGTTTCTCTTGTTTCTCACAAATTCCACATTTCATTTCTCATGGCCCTGGACCCCAAAGTGGTCCTGATCATGCTTACAGTCTCACATGCTCTTCAATGAGTTTAATTTAATTTCTTGCCCCATTCTTGTCTGAGCTCAAAAACGGAAGATGGAGGCAAAAGGGGGAATGGGGATAAAAATACTATTGTACCCCGAAACAAATACTTCCCAGTATCTGCATCCCTCCAATTTCTGTCCTTAGCACTCAAATTTGTGTCCAAAATTTCCTTCTTCCTGAGATTGGGTCTCTCTTCCCATCTCTATCCTGCCTCTCTTCTAACTCCTTTAACACCTAGGAGGAGCAACTGGTAATCAAATTCTCATTTCAGGATATAAACAGGGTCACTTGCATGACTGGGTAGGGTTACTCTCTATTAAAAGATATGCGAGGTTCTTTATTTTTTATTTTCATTTTTCATTCATGTCATTTTGAGCATGTGCATTGTTTCTTCTTCTATCTCCAGTATCATGGAGTAAGCTCAGGAGTAGTCAAATTACAAGATTTGGATGTGAGCTCAGGGGATGGCAGAGACCCTCATTGGCTTTTAGGGAAAGCTATCTATCACAAGCCTGCTTTACTAGAGCTCTGCATTGCAAGTTGGAATAAGGTTAAATTAGATAAGAGATAAATGAAACTCCTTTGCTCTTAGTGACTACTCCTTCTGTACCTAATTCCCCCAGGGCCCACAGACAGGAGGAGCAACTCAGATGTCCTTGTACCAGCAATAGCTCACATAGCTTATATTTATGCATTTATATAAATAAATGACTAGAGTGGTCACTGGCCCACTGGTTTCTGCAAATGGTTACTTTCTGTGTCCCAGGTTAGGCTCAACTGGGACACCGTGTTACAAGCTGTAATCCAAATTTTCTTTAATTTTGAACTAACTGCTTTCTACAGAAAGGAAAAATGAAGATTACAAAAAAAAGACCATGATATCTTTGCCAGATAAAACATAATTTGCTTTATTTTTCCCCTTTGCCCCATTAAGAGATTTATTATCTTCTATTTATTTTCAGCACTTCCCTTCATTTCTGGGAAGTCAAACCTGCCTAAATCATTATTGCATCTGAACAGAGTTTTACAGACAGATTTCCAGTACTGGGCTCAAATAATAGGCTCTACTTGGCATTTCATAATGGCCCTTTATGGCACATAGAAGGGCAGTTCTTCTTACGTGTTTCCTGAGAAGCAAACATGAGTGGCCCCAGGGGTCTAGAGGCATTGTCGAAAGCAGTCCACCACAAATTTTAAATTTCTTTGTGATCATATATTATGGAAAATTTGCATTCTACATCATGATATATCTGTCTTTCTGTATATACAAAATGCCTTAATATTTTAATTGACATTTCGGGCAGGTGTGCCATTTTTATCCTGGCACACTTGTGCTGACTACTGTTTACTGTTAGAGGGTAGATGCATCCCCAGTTTGAGATACATATGGCTTGTATGCAGGAAAATGGGACTTGAATCTTGATTCTTCCACTTTTAGACATCTGTGAACGTGGGCACTTACCCTCTTAAGAGTATAGATCCTTCTCTATAAAATGGGCTGTTGTAATGATGGAGTCCACAATTGGGGATTCTTTTTTTGTTAAGTAATTGCTCAATGTTAAAAGCGAAGGGCTGATTAGAACTAATGGGGAAGTCTGAACCCCAGAACATTTTGAAGATAATTAAGGGTGGACATTTTCATGAAACTTAAATTGCTGTCATTTTGCAAGAGCTACACTTTACCATATTTGTTCCTTGGGGATTTTTATAGTACTTTTCCTCATAGGAGTGCCCATCTTAGGAACAATAGTTCTCAGGAAACTTCTAAGACAGCTGCCAGCCCCAGGCTCTCAGACTTGCCTCTAGTGAACCCAACTCAGTAAGTGCTTATAAATGAACTTTTCTATTTCCATCACTTACCAAGCACTATGGTAGATGAAAAAATTGTGAGCTATGGTCCATTCTGTCAAGGATCTGAAGTCTTGTTGGAGGAAACCCATGAAGCAGTTTTAAGAATTCTTCAATAATAATATAAGAATATGTAATAATGCAATATATAAGAATATGATAGTGCACATATATCAAGGGCCTACTGAATAATTAGCACTTTTTTTTTTTTCTAATTCTCAAAATGACTCTGGAAGAAAAAGACTATTGTTTCTGTTTTGCTGATATGGAAATCAGGGGTCTAACTCAAGACTGTACCATGATGTGCCAAAACGAAAAAGTAGATTTAATAGAGTTATATGCTAGCTGACATATCCTACTGCACTGAGTTATTCTCTGTTAATGGACTTTACTCAAACTGATTTTTGAACTGGAGTATTTGGGGCCAAATGGAGATAAGAATGATGATAACCGCTCAGTTTCCAGAAGCAAAGCCGACGTGAGATATACTCAGTACTTGCTGAATTGACCAAAGAGGTTGATTGCTATAAAAACAAAACAAAACAAAAAATTCTAAACTCAGCATTATGGCTTACATTCTTCTTTGCATCACCTTCTGACATCTAGCATAGTGCCTGGAACACAGCCAAAGAGACAGAAACTATTAATGCTCACTTATATCCATGTGCTACGTCACCTTCCTCAGTCTCCTTTGCAGTTAGATCAATCACGTGACGCTTCAGGCTGATGGAAGGACTGAGATTGTTAAGAATCTTAACCACCTTTCTCTTTCTCTCTTCCCCCAGGGTTTTAGCCAGATGATACCAAAATGACCCCAGAACCAGAAGATGGCAGAGCCACAAAGTGAAAAATACTTGGGTCTCTGAATCATAGCTTGGAGGAGGGCTTCCTGGAAAACCATCCCAACAGAGACATCCGCATTAAACTTTGTGTAAACAAAAAATAAATCTTTCTTGTGGTAGGCCACTGAGATTTAGATTGCTACAGCAGCTAACCGATCTGACCAATACAGCAGGTACTGAATAAAACTTGCCATGCGAGAGACATTTGTGTGCTTCACATTAAAATAACTTGGGAAATTAAAAAAAATCCTGACGTTCAGATTAAGGACCAATTAAATTAGAATCTTTAAGGATCAATTAAATTAGAGTCTTTAGGGGTAGTATCAAGGTATCAGTTTTTTTTTTAAACTTCCTAGGTGATTCATTATATGGCCAAATTTGAGAACTATTGTGTTGTATCAGTGACAGTTACAATGTATGGTTTACGGATCTTGTTAGAAATAACAAATTATTAGATCTCTAGACCTTTGGAATCAGGTTCTCTTGGAATTTATATATTGGCAAGTTTTAATGGGGAGGGGCAGCAATTCTCAAGTATATTAAAGCTTCAGAAGTACTGTGCTACAATATTATGCTCTAGTGATTCTCAAAGTATTGTCTTCTGACTATAATCAGAGTTGTCTGGAAATGCTTCCTAAAAATGGATTTCTGGGCCTGATCCCAGGACTTCTAAATCAGGATCTCAAAATGTGGCTTGATACCTACATCCCTAAATAATTTTCTAGATAATTCTTGGTTCACTGGAATTTCCACTTATCAGTTACTGACACCATTGCCCTTTCCCTAGAATGTGCTTTCCCACAACTCCTCCTGCCAACCGCCAAGTCTCTTTGATTCCCACTTATAAGATTCAAGAATGGAAGGGCAATGATTTTCTATTTTTAATCCCTGTATTTTCTTTCAACAGAGAACTCCTCCAGTGCTCTCAAGTGTTTTACAGACCACTAATTATTAAATGTGGAAGCTCTGGAGCAGAGAACCTTTCAACTGAAATGATGACAAACGATGCTGGCTGAGGAGAGTCAGACCTGAAAAGTTAGGAATCCCTAAAATGACGTCAACCTATAATTCCTATTACAGAGCTCTGATTTCTACTGATCGTTTTAGGAACCATATCTACTATGTGAGAAAAGCTGCTGGTGGGCCTAATTTAGATGAAAAGCAGAAAGGCCTTAAAAAAGAAATGGGAAAGGAATATACAGAAGCAAGAAGATGATTGAAAAAAGATGGCAATTCATGTGGGTACATTGGATAGGGTCTGGTTTGGGGAGTGTGCTTTGGTTATGGCTAGGGATTTTGCAGGATAAAGAGAGAGACTCTATAATAGACCTTTTTGATCAGAGAAAATAAAAATCTCATTCTCTCCCAATTCCTCTTTTCTCTTTCTTTTGCTCTCTCATTTCTTGAAGTCAATGTTGGGAGGATATGTGGGTAATTCCTATGGCTACTAAAGAAGCTGACTCTAAAACTACAGACAGCAGTAGACTTTGTGCCTTCTGTTTTTGCCCCTATTTCATGTTGTCATTATTCTTTCATTTTTTAAATATCTACAGGTACTTGTTGAACACCAGTTCTGAGCTGCAGAGCAGGAGGCACAAGACGTAAACAAAAAAGTCTCTGTTACGGTCCTAAAGAAGCCAATCATCTAGAGAAATGTATGCACAGCAGGTCCAGCAGAATGGGCTTTGCGCTGATGAGGGAAGCAAGAGGAGAGCATGGCCTGGGAAAGGAGATGATCAGGCTCACTTCCCATTTCTCTGTGGAAGAACCGTGGCAAACACAGAGTCAACTCACAACGTTCATTGGAATTTTTCCCACTTGACTCCTTCGCAAGTTGGAATAAGGAGTTTGGAAAGGGAGGATTTCTTCATATAAAAATGGTCTGGGTATATCCACGCAAAACTAAAGGGAGTGGAAGAGACCCTAGGTCTACACATTTGATGGGATAGATCCTTCGGGCTCAGCCTCACCTGCAGGTACTGAAGGAAGCCTTAGTCTGCTATACAGAGCACTCTGCACCATGGGGAGAAGATCAATATGCTAAACTTGGGTACTGGGCCTAAATCTTACGAAGTGACCTCAAACCTAGGAAGGTAAGTGAAACACAATAATGGGCAATATGCAGGCAGTTGGGCCAGGAAGGCCCTAGTCACTCTGTTAGAGTTAAAGGTTGGTTTCTTGTCCCTGGGAAGAGGCATGAGAAGGAAGCTGTATAGCATGGTAGCTGGAAGTTTGCAATTTGGAGTCAGGTGGACCTAAGTTTAGATCCTCACTCTATGGCTTTACCAACTACATGGCCTTGGGCAAATTACTTGACATGTTGAAGCTTTTATTCCTCCATCCTGAAATAGTTACAATGTGTACTTATATGCACACATCTATACACACATATACACATACATACTTTATAAGGTAGCTGTGAAGAGTAAATGAGACAATGTCCTTAAAGGACTTAGCAGGGTCCCTGACTCAGGATGAAAAAACAATTATCACTACTTTTCATGAACCATGTAACCCTTGGTGGCTAAAAGTGAAGGACAGGGATATGGAGAAAATATGCCTGAAATACTCTGCAAGTTATAAAAAAATGACGAAGAAAGAGTCCCAATTTTCCATAATGCATAGAACCATAACACACAAATGAGGCAGAAACCCAGATACCTTAAACAGGCACCCACACAGGAGCATGGTGACAGTGAGGATAACTTATTGCTGGCCCATAGCAGTGTGGTTGGAAAATGTGTAGAGTTTGGACCCAGATTTCAATCCTATATCTGTACTGTACTAGCTGTGTGACAGCTTCAAGTTACTTAGCTTATAAAAAGGGAGAGCATAGTGTGGAGATAAAAATGCTTGCCTTTCATAAATTAAGTGAAGAACAGACACAGAGGCCTATGAGGCGGTACATGGTTGAAACTCACAAAGTGGCATTATCACTGAGCAGGAATGGGGCTGAGCCTCCATGGGGGCATCTACTTTCTCAAGCCTTGGGAAGAGAAGAGATGCAGCAGCCTGCAAGGCAAGGAGAGTTGGCTTTAGTACTTAGAAGTAACTAAAAGTTAGACATTATTTTTGTATTTTCCAATGCCTTCCAGGGTTCTCAGTATATGCAGCAAAATTTGTCAACTGCTATATTTAACTTCCTTGAATATGCAAACAGCTTGGATTCCACACCATGGTGAAGGCCATACACTACTTACAATTCTGACTTGGCTTCCCTGTGTTCTCCACTGTATACCTAGCTTCAAAAGCGATTCTTCATCCCTACTGCCTCCCAAGTTCAAGTTCAGTCTCCAGTATATCCTGTTAAGGGCACACCACTAAACAGTGCTTTTCTTTCTTTTTCTTTTTCTTTTTCTTCCTCCTAGCTGACACAGGGGCTTAACAGATTAATGCATTAGTCCTTAATACCTTCTCCTTCTAAGGCCTGGTTCAAGTCAGAGCTCTTTGATTAGCACTAGCTCTTCCAGTACTGTACTGAGCTAGTTTGCATCTCAGTGCTTCTGGCATTTGTTCCTGAGAGGGAGGTGAGAAGATTAAAAAAAATAAAAACAACTTACAGAGTTTGCAAGATCACATCATCTAGTGATAAACCATTTAAATGTTCACATTTTCTGACTGGGCAAATATAAATGATCAATTTCCCACACAAACAATTTATTTAAGAAGGGAAATATATATGTATGTATATAAATACCACTGCTGGTGGGTGCTAAAGAATATGGTTTATTTCAGCAATAGGTTCTTGAAACTTAGTAGTTTCACCGAATTATTGGTGTAATAAATCCCAGAGGGGTTTGTTATAGCATTAACCGCCCACTATGTACTTCAAGCTATTAATCAATACACCAGCCATTAGTTACTGGCAATTTATGATATTTTAAAGATCACTAAATATTTTTGGTTACAATTTCTTTCTATCTTTTTTCTTTTTTTTGCTGCATTTATAAGAAAGATAGACATCTTTAGCTGATCAGATGTGTTTTCCCATGCAGAGTGTCACTGGGATTTAATAGGCAGAGATTTACTCAGGAAAAAAATATTTCTGTAAATCAACCAGCCAGAAAAATATCCTTCTAACTATTGAAGAAGGAAAAGTGAAATGTGAGTGTTTCATATAGTGACTCTCCTGCATATATATGTCTTCTTCCTGGGCGCCTTGTTTGTAAATGCTACTAAGAATGGCAAATGGATGACTATAAAACTGCCTCCTGCAAATGTCCTTAGTGTAATTTGAAGGCATGCCATTTTGTAGGAAGTGTTCCCCAAAGACACGATCCTCTGAACCTTGGAAGTTTTTCTTGTCTTAATGTTTGCTTTTTTTATCTGTACTTGGCTCTGTTTCTTTCCATACACTTTGGCATGGTCTCTGTTAGAATAACATGGAGTTTATGCTTAGCTTGAGGTCACATTGACTATCAAACTGCAAATCAACAGGGCAAGAAAAATGGCTGTTCAGCCCTGCTTTCCAGAGAAGAGCAGCAAGAGCAGAAACTTCATGTTCCCTGGGCAGCAAATAGGCAGGCCATTTCTTATCATGAGGGAATTTCCTCTTAAAGAAATGTTCAATAGGTGCACATGTGCTAATTCTGTGTTATGCTTTCCAGTCTCTAAATTCGGTCAAGTAATTAAGCAGTTGTTCTCAGGTGGAGTTTATTCCTTCCCTCCTCTGACTTTTTATTCTAAATTTAATTCATAATCACTTTGGTGGATTATGCCACAGGACAATTCCTTTATGCCATATTGGTAGCTGAAGTGCTACCTCTTTGAATAATAGTAATATTAGGCAGTTGGTTAGAAATGGTACACCTGATATCTCTTAGTATTGATGGTCTCTTCTTCCAGTGGGATTTAGGGAGCTACTGCAGTTTCTTTAATATTCATTTCAAGAACAAATCTATTATGAATTTATCCACCCCAAAAATTAAAAATGAAGTTAGCAAAAATGATTTTTTTTTTTTTTTTAGTTTCCTAAGTTAATTTCTACAAAGGCTTTCTCTCCTTCGTTATTTGGCTCAATGACTCAAGACTATCTATGTCTAGTTTCTTCTGGAAGAGAAAGTTTGGTTTGTCTCACTTTGCCATTAAATTGAAAACACTGAATAAATATTAATAATAATACATTAATGAGTAAGAAATCTTACACAGAATTAAACTGCCACCAGAGCATTTTTTTTTCAGGCTTTCAAATTCGGAGATAATGTTACCAATAAGAGATAAGATTGGTGATAAAGGATGGACAACAGGCACTTAAGAAACTCACATAAACTTGAAACATAATGCTTATAGAGCCACAGGTTATCCACAAATTGGAGGGCAAGAATGTGGGGGAGGTGGAGGAAACTGAAAATCAGCGTCTAATATCTTCAGTTTAGAGTCCTGAGGTCAGCAGGTGTAATTTGAAGCAAATGCCCCAATTTGCATCTCATGGGATGAAATACTGACCCAGCCCCTGAGGCTTAAAAGGAAGTGATGGATTGTCAGGGTGGTGGTGAATGGCTTGCAAAGTTCTCCATGTTACCAGATGTTTTAATCAGGATTCCCCAGAGGGAAACAAAACTAATAGGAGATAGCTATTTTTATAGATGCAGATATAGGTATATAGGAGGAGATGTATTATGGAAATTGGCTCCTGTGGTTATAGAGGCTGAGAAGTTCCACCACCTGCCAACTGTAAACTGAGAACTAGGAAAGCTGATGGTGTCAGTGAGTCCCAGTCCAAAGGCCTCAGAACCAGGGGTTCCAATATCCAAAGGCAGAAGAAAATGGATATCCCAGATCAAGAAAAAATGGAGAGAATTCATCCTGCCTCTATCTTTTTGTTCTGTTTAGGTCCTCGATGGATTGGGTGATGTCTGCCCACATAGATAAAGGTGGATCTTCTTTACTCAGTCTACTGATTCAAATGCTAACCTCCTCTGGAAACACCTTCACAGACACACTCAGAAATAATGCTTTACCAGCTATCTGGACATCCCTTAGCTCAGTTAAGTTGACATATAAAATTAACCATCACACTAGAGTTTGAGCCTTTAAGGAATCACTGACCCTGGACAAATGTTTTACAACTTTTTAACTTGCTGTTCCTCAGTTTCTCCATATATAAAAAGGTGGTATTTGCCATCATATTGAATTTTTGGGAGGGCTAAGTTATGGCCACATCTATTATATGATGTTAGTTTCAAGTATTTACATAATTCAATCATAAGCACCAAGACTAAGTTTTAACATTTTCATTCATTATCCTGAGCTTTTCTTCTATTTTCTGCCTGGCATACATTTTCTTAAAACTGTGGCATAACAATGATCTCTTAGAGTATCAAATGTGATATGTACATTAGTCTGTTCTCTCATTGTTATAAAGACATATCCAAGACAGGGTAATTTATAAAGAAAAGGGGTTTTAATTGGCTCACAGTTCCACAGCCTGTAAAGGAAGCATGGGTGGGGAGGCCTCAGAAAATTTACAATTATGGAAGAAGTTGAAGGGGAAGCAGGCTCGTCTTACATGGCTGGACAGGGGGAAGAAAGGGAGAGAGGACGTGCTACACACTTTTGAACAACCAGATCTCACAAGAACTCACTCACTATCATGAGAACAACACCAAAGGGGAAATCTGCCCCCCATAATCCAATCACCACCTATCAGGTCCTGCTTCCAATGCTGAGGATTACAACTAGACATGAGATTTGGGCGGGGACACAGACCCAAAGCATATTAGTATATTCATGTAACATCGCCTTCATCTCTATCTTATTCTTATAGGCTAATCAAAGCTTTATATTTATTGCATTTATATTTTGGACTTTGACAATCTGAAATAAACCTAGGGGCATCCTTTT
Organism: Homo sapiens; assembly: GCF_000001405.40. NCBI lineage: Eukaryota > Metazoa > Chordata > Mammalia > Primates > Hominidae > Homo > Homo sapiens. The sequence continues at coordinate 116,254,741 of NC_000008.11, read as the reverse complement.
TAAATCATCCAGAGAAATGATCAAAGTTGACTGATATCAACCCTTCAAAAGGATTTCAATAACCCTGCTAAAATATGTTTTTAATTATCTATTCTAAACCTGTGAGCTTTACTTTCTTATGCAAATTTTAACAATAAGCAGACATACAAATTAAGTGTGGACATTTAAGGAGTATTTTGATTTCAATGTCTATTTAAATCATTGCCCATTAATAGTTTATACTAAGATAATTGGACTACTTAGGGAAAATTTGGGGAAAAAAATTAATCTTTCCTTAACCACAAATACTACCGAGGTGTTTGGTTATGCTGCAGCCCGCTTTATTATTTAGATTAATTATTTTTACCATTATTTATTTATTTTTAAATATCTAATCCTGTCTTCCTTCTTATTCAGTTTCAGTCAAGGATTTTTAAAAAATAGTCTCTCACATGGAAAAATCCTTCAACTTTATTAGCAAGAAATTAAAATAGTGAACTGAAATTAAATATCCACTCTCAAACTTAAGTTTAATTGAATTTTCTTTTGTATTTATAGATTAAGTATATTTTGAGTCCCTTATAAAATTCCTATCAATAAGATTCTTTTTTCTTTTCTGCAGGGCCTGTGCTTTCATCTTCCCTGTGTATCTGAATGTGGAGTTTTTTTCTTTTGCATTAATAGTATATTGGTTTTTTGACTTCTGGTCCCCTTAAGGACCCTTCACTTCAACCCTTGTAGTACATAAATCAACTTTTACTACATTTTCTATCAAGTCCCTGCTAATGCTTTTTATTTCTATTCCTACCTGTGGCATGTATAATATGACTGCTTTACATTTTTTCTCCTATCTCAAATGGATTGTACATATAAATGGAAGTCTGGATTTGAGTTTTCTTTTTTCATTAGAATACACATAAGCTTTGTAACAAATCTGGTATGTTTTAAATGTGCTTTCCTGAACGGTTAGAAATGAGCTTCTTTCAGCTTGTTCAGATTAAATTAATTTTCACTGCCTCTTTGTTTCAGACAGAATTTTCTTTAAATAAAAGCATCAAATGAAACTAGAAATACAAACCAACTATTCTCTGTAAGGAAAAACAATGGAATTATAAAAATGCAGTCATGAAGATGTCAGATATGTTCAAGGAGATTGGGAGCAAAAAGTGACAGTGTCCCTTCCCCTTCCTATGAAAAAATAAAATAAATAAAATAAAGCTTAGCAACAACATCACAATATTGTAACATTAGCAGAGATTTTAAGGCCAGGTGCGGTGGCTCACGCCTGTAATCCCAGCACTTTGGGAGGCCAAGGCGGATCACGAGATCAGGAGATGGAGACCATTCTGGCTAACGCGGTGAAACCCCGTCTTTACTAAAAATACAAAAAAAAAATTAGCCGTGCTTGGTGGCAGGCGCCTGTAGTCCCAGCTACTTGGGAGGCTGAGGCAGGAGAATGGCATGAACCCAGGAGGCAGAGCTTGCAGTGAGTGGAGATCGTGCCACTGCACTCCAGCCTGGGTGACAGAGCGAGACTCCGTCTCAAAAAAAAAAAAAAAGAGATTTTAAATTGAATTTTAACAGGAAGTTACTGGGAATTTAGCATTCAAGACATTAATTGCCCAACTCACTTAGATTTGTTAGATTCTTCTTTCCAAATCCTTAACTTCTATTTTTTAAAATAGTTTGGTTATCGCTGTTGGAGATTAAGTAGGTTGAGTGCAGAAAAAGTAAAGTTTTACTGTAGAGACCAAAATGCCCATTTTTTTGATGCCCAAAACATGTAATCACAGGTCATTTGAAGACTCATGGAGACATGCGAAATAGAAGACAGAATTACAAATGATGCACTGGAAATATAGTCCTATATTTCTCTGACTGCTTTCAGGAGTATCCCCTGCATTTTTTAAATAAGTACTTAATAACTTGTTTCAGTATCCTTATAAGATTGAGAACAATAGTAAACTAAAAATAACATTTAATCAGAGCTACTCAAATACTCATTTCAATTAGGCTACTTACCCAGTTGAGAACACTCTAAATCTTTAAAGATGGTGGAAATTTTGAGTACCTCACAACACACTAACCCTCAAACCTATTCCTCTTGCTGTCTTCATTTCAGCAAATGTCACCTCCACTCTTCCAGTTGTTCTTGCCAAAATTCTGAATATAATCCTGAATTCCACTCCTCCTCTTATATCTGATATCCACTCTATTAGCAAATTCCATTTTTTCTGTCATCAAAATATATCTAGAATTTTTCCCGACTTCACAATATTTCCTTCTACTTGGGGATTTTAGTCGAAACAATCATCATATATGTATATTTGCAACAGTTTCCTTACAATTTCCCCAGCTTCCATACTTGGTCTCTTGTTCTCAAACCAGAAGCCACAACAATGTGGTTAAAAATAAATCCAATCATGTCTTTCCTCAGCTGAAAACCTTCTGATTGCTTCCAGTCTCAGAGTAAAAGCCAAAGTCTTTATAGGTGGTTCCAATATATGAGTTTCCTGTATATGAGTCCTTTATATGAGGACTACATGTTCCTAATTACCTATGCCTCCACTGCCTCTCTGACCCATTTCCTATGAATCTCTCCCTCATTCCCTCTACTCCTAGCACTCTGGCCTCCTCGCTGTTGCTTTAGCACACCCAGCATGCTCCACCTCAGGGTTTGTACCCTTGACTTACACAAGTGAACACCTCTTCTGCCTGATATTTGCAAGGTTTATCTACTCACTTCCTCTAGTCCCCTGCCTAAATAACAGAAAGTCTTCCATGATTCCATCCCAAAATAGTCATCCTCATCACCTCACTCTCTAGCTTCCATATCTGACTTTATTTTCCTTCATGGAACCTCTCTTCTCCTGATATCTTGTGTCCAGAATTGTTTTTTTCCGGTGGGTTCTTGGTATTGCTGACTTCAAGAATGAAGCTGCAGACCCTCACGGTGAATGTTAAAGTTCTTAAAGATGGCGTGTCCAGAGTTTGTTCCTTCAGATGTTCAGATGTGTCCAGAGTTTCTTCCTTCTGGTGGGTTTGCGGTCTTGCTGACTTCAGGAGTGAAGCCGCAGATCTTCACAGTGAGTGCTACAGCTCTTAAAGGCGGCGCGTCCGGAGTTGTTCGTTCCTCCCAGAGTTGCTCATTCCTCCCGGTGGGTTCGTGGTCTTGCTGGCTTCAGGAGTGAAGCTGCAGACCTTTGCGGTGAATGTTACAGCTCATAAAGGCAGTGCGGACCCAAAGAGTGAGCAGCAGCAAGATTTATTGTGAAGAGCGAATGAACAAAGCTTCCACAGGGTGGAAGGGGACCCCAGCAGGTTGCCACTACTGGCTGGGCTGGCCAGCTTTTGTTCCCTTATTTGGCCCCACCCACATCCTGCTGATTGGTCCATTTTACAGAGTGCTGATTGGTCCGTTTTTAGACAGTGCTGATTGGTGTGTTTACAAACCTTTAGCTAGACACAGAGTGCTGATTGGTGCATTTACAATCCTTTAGCTTGACAGAAAAGTTCTCCAAGTCCCCTACCTGATTAGCTAGACACAGAATGCTGATAGGTACGTTTACAAACCTTTAGCTAGACACAGAGTGATGATTGGTACATTTACAATCCTTTAGCTAGACAGAAAAGTTCTCCAAGTCCCCACTCAACCTAGAAGCCCAGCCAGCTTCACCTCTCATTATGTATGTATTTTTTCATTAGCTGTCTTTCCCCACACCTAATTAGGATGTAAACTCCATGACTTTGTTTGTTTACTGCTATATTTCCAGCCCTTGAAACAAAGCCAGGCCTAGTCAAGAAAAATTTATTGAACCAACCTCTCACCTATATAACTGATAAATAATAGTTTATTTTAGGAGCTTAACTTTTCATAAACCAAATTTCTTAAGTAAACTGCTATTGAAATCTGCAAAAGAATGAGTAAAATGGTGGATATTTTGTGTTACATACTTGGGTCCTTTTTTAAAAGACATCTTAAATGAAAAAGACAGTTATAGTGTCAGTGTGCCTGGAGTTTAAGAGCAAAGAACAATAATTATTTCTATTACTTTGTTGAGTAATTGTCATATGCTAGACACTATAAGTGTTTTTATGTTTTTTGTATTTTATCTTATTCATTTCTCTCAAGAATTATATGTATGTGTGTAATTTATAATATTTATAATATATTTATAATTTAATTTTATAGATGAAAGTAGCAAGAGGTCAAATAACTTTCTCAAAGTCATACATTTGGAGTAGAACCAGATTTATCTGATTCCCAAATTTCCCACTCATTCCACTGTACTATTCTGCCTGTCATCAAAGAGAAATATAATTATTATAAAACTTCACTCATCAATTTCAAGGATATATTCTTTATTTCTAATATTTCTTTCTGAGTTTCTTTAGTAAAGGACCATACTCTTCTCAGCGGAATCTCACTATTTGCCTATGATTTGACTGGCCACTCTGTTCTGCCAATGATAAATTGTGATGTCATGCCACATGCCTTGGGTTTTGCATTGAGAAAAGGCTATCAATTCTATCGGTTAGCTCTTACAGTGTAACAAACCACCTTATAAAAGTCATGGATTAAAACATTAAGTATTTATTACTACAGCTCACATCTCTGTGGGTCATCTGGGTGGCAACTGATCCAGGCTAATCCAGGCTGAGTTTACTATTCATCTGCAAGTCAAGTGTGGTCTCAGCTCTAGACTGAGCCTAGCTGGGTCAATTCTGTTTCACGTATTTCTCATTTTCTAGACATATCTTTCTCATGGCAATGGCAGATGTACAAGAAGGCAAGCAGGGATATTTTTATAAGACTACATAAGTATTTGCTGTTAATGAAGGCCATTATCTTAGAATAGTGTCCTTTGATTTATCAGTACATCTGAGCAACATGGCAGCTGGCTGGGCCCTAAGTGCTTGATAGCTACCAATGCCCATTGCTTGTTTATTGCTGGGTAACCAGGGAAATTTGAGAGGCTGATCCCTAATCCGTGCTGTACTGTATTTACTGTTGGATATTTTAAAAGCTTGAGTAAAAATTTGTATACATGACAGAATAGTGCTGTGATGATGCAAAACTTTTGAGGAATGAAAGAAAAAGTTATACCTACAATATGTGTGATATGGTACAAAAAAGAGGATGGCTAAGAAAGGACTCAAGGCAGAAAAGGGAGATTGAGTTAGGTTGTGAGCTAAATTTGGAGTGAAAGGATAAAGAAATATCAACTCTTGGCTTTCTCTTTATACCTCCTTGGAATTCTCAAATATTTTGGAGCTTGCACGGGCCTTCTAGACACACAAGTGATGGATTCCCTAGTCACGTTTTTGGCTGTCAAAAAAAAAAGGCTAATACCAGATGCGGGAAGGATTAAGGACTTTAAGTTTCATATATAGCTATAACACATTTTTTCTTAATCTTTTTGTAGTTGACTTTCCCAAGATCACATCTTTTTTTTTAACCGATAACTGACTGCTCCCATCTAACTTTTTGTTTTTGTTTTTTTCTATTCAAATACATCCTTTTTCTTAATATAACAGCCATATCTTTTCCTAAACTAGTTCCTGTTTTTCTTACCTGTATAGTATTCCATTTGTGGCCTACATATCAAGAATTTTAAGTTGTATTTAATAGAGGGCCCAGTAACTCCTGGTGCCAGCCATTTAAGCTCATTTATCATTGCTGCAATTGTCCATTTATGGTTATTAGTGACCTTGGATAAGGATATACCATTGAATTCCCTGGGTTCTGAACACACTTCTTTCGGCCCCAATTGATAGCAGAAGCTCTGGCTCCTCATGGTGACTAGGGTCAATCACCTTGCCAATTTGATCACTCCTTATTTATCAGCTTTCCCACCTGCATGAGGAGCCCCAAGTGACCAGACAGCAGTCACAGCATCAGGTTAAATGAAACTCCTGCTTTGCTCCCTGTTGGAAGAATTTCCCCCTGGGAACTTAGATTTCAGTAGAACATAAAGTTGTGAAGAGATAAAGACAAAATTCTTCCAATAAAGTCACGGTTGAGGGCATGCATTCCTACTTCCACTCCTCGGTTCTCGTGCCCATGCATTGTAGCTCCTGGAATGCAGCACCACCTACAGCTTCATGGTTTGCTTCCTGTATTATACCTTAATCAGACAGCATCCCAAACACACAGGTTGTATGGCCCTCTACACTGAACCTTAATAGGCCATTTTATCATTCTGTTGAGCGGCCTTCTTTCTGGATATTGTGGTGACCTGTGATCATGAGCCTGGTATCTGTTGTAGAAGATCCTGAGTATATGTTAAGAAAGATTCTGAATTGCTAAATCAAATATTTCATAGGCCCTCAAGTGGTGGTGCTGCCAGAAGTGCTGCTTGCAGGGAAGGCAAACTTATATGCAGAATAGGTATAAATTCTAGTAAGGATGAATTGCTGTCCCCTCTGGACTAGAAGGGATCTGATGTAATCAAACTTCCATCAACTGGCTGGTTGATCTTCTTGACAAGTGGTGCCATATTGAAGGTACAGCTGCTGAGCTGTTGGGCATCCATCAATTGAATCACCTAAATTCATCCTGGTACAGATTGTTGGACCCATGCATAGTCTCCATTCTTGCCACCATGGATATTCTCTTTATGGGCTGATCGTACTAGCACTGGAGGGGGCAATGAGAGAGGCCATCTGACATTTGCAGGCTGAGTCATTATGCTACCTGGTTATGGGCACCTTCTTTACAGTGGACATGCTCATTGTCAGAAGACAAACATATCTTGATGCTTTGTGCCCAACATAGGTTCATTTACATTGCATCTTCTCCACATTTCCTTGCCTCACAGATGATCAAATCTTGTTATTTTCAGGTCCCTTACAAATCAACTAAGCTATTTGCCAGTGCCTCAAATTATTTTCCTTCCATAAAAAGTGAATGACCAACTGTACTGCTCGCAACTCTGCTCACTGGGTAGATTCCCTTTTATCATTGTCCTCCAGGGCCATGCCAGAGTGGATTGTAGTGAAATAGCTGTCTAATTTAGTTCAATGTTAATATATTGTGATCCAGGTCTAGGTTCTTATTCTTCCTGAGTTAGCTGGTTTTAGAATATCACCCATGAGACTATAGGTTTAAACTGAAGGAGAAGCTTTAGGTGGCCTGAGAGTCAGTCGGCGTGTAATAGTTATTTGTGTCTTCTGGATTTGCTCAAGCCCTATCCCATCAAAAAATAGACTGCTGTTGTGCCCACCTGAACATAAGATTCCCTAGATCTGATTACACTCAGGTTATGATGGGCAGTTGCATTTGTATGGTCACTTAGTGTCAAATGATCTGGTACTCAGTCTCCACCATAGCTGCTTTTAAAATTGCAAATAATTCCCTACTGCTGATGGCATGGCCTTGTGACAGAACCACTGGTGTCTGTATAATACATGCACCAAGATTTGTCAGAGACTCCACACAACATCCATATATACCTCCAGCACTATCAGTTTGCTGGGTCAAATATCTTTAATGGCAGAACAGCTTGCACTATAGCCTGGTCCAATTGTTTAGACCTCACTTGCTCTTGGCCATGTTCAACCCTGCAAGCTTTTTGAGTTACCTGATAGATAGGTTTCTCCATGGCCTTTTCTACTCCAGAGGCTAGGAAACCATCTGAAGGATTCTATCAGGTGCTAAGAATATTTATTATAATCTTGCATCTAGAGACCAGGCAGATACATTTAGATTGGATTCAATTATGACCCATACCATTCCAGTGCCATTGCTACCACATAGGCCCATATTTTACCCTGTGCTCCTCAACCCAATTCAATAGTATTGAACACCTTACAGTGTTGATGCTATAACACGGCAGGGGTTGCCATCAATTAACAAGGGCTTATTGCCATCTGGCGAAGGAAGGGAATCATTTTTGAATCCCGTCCTGACTGTCTAATTTTGAGGGCACTCCTTGTAGCAATGGTATTAGCCTAGGTTCCTCCAAAACACAGAGCCCGAGAAAAGGTTTGCGAGCAATGTTTCTTTTGGGAAGTGATCCTCCAGAATGAAGTCGAGAATGGATTGAAGTGAAGAAGGAGGGAAAACCAATCTAAGAGTATTTGACCAAGGTGATCACCACCGTGGACGCCTAGGCCTTGATCGCCCAAGGGATTTCTGAGGAGCAGTGCAACACACTGCGGCACCATCTGTCAGAAAGACTGGCAGGTTTTAGAAGTGATTTCTGTTTTTAAAAAATATTTTAAATTTTAATTTTTTTCATAGACATTATCTTTTAAAGTAGTTTTAGGTTCACAGAAAAATTGAGTGGAAGGTACAGAGAGTTCCCACATACCACCTCCTCCCACACATACATAGCTCCTCTCATGATCAGCATCCCCCATCAAGGTGGTATGTTTGTTACAATTGATTTATACAGACTTATATTGGTGCATCATTATCACCCAAAGTCCGTAGTTCACATTGGGGTTCACTCTTGGTGTTACACATTCTATGGGTTTGGACAAATCTATATTGACAGGTATCCACCATTATAGTATCACAAAGAGTAGTTTCGCTACCTTAAACGTCCTCTATGCTCTGCATATTCATCTTTCCTTTACCCCAACCTCTGGCAACCACTGTCTCCTTCATATTGCCTTTTCCAGAATGCCATGCCATATACTTGGAGTTATTCCTGTTTTTGTGGGTACGATAAAGACATATGGGTTGAATAACAGTATACTTAGGTGGACTTGTAATAATATGAAAGAGAGATCGATGTCAACCTTGAACTAAGTAACCAGTGGCAGGTCTTAATATTCTGCAATATCACAATATTCCATAATGATATGTTTGAAATTATAATACATACTTTTATACAAAATAGTTGTTGAGTATCTAAATTGGATGACTGAATCAAGAATTAGTATCAGGAAAGTCCAGCCTCTCCAAATTTGTCACTATTTTTCATTCTTCTCATCTCTCTGCCTGCTCTTACTTGCTGAAGCAACATTGTCCAATAGAAAAATAATGTGAGTCACATAAGTAATTTCAAATTTTCTAGTAATCATGTTTTAAAAAAGTAAAAAGAAACAGATGGAATTAATTTTAATAATTTACTTTATTTATTCCAAATATATCCAAACTATGATTATTTCAACATGTAACAAACGTAAAAGGTATTAATGAGATATTTTACATGCTTTTCTTACTAAATCTTTAAAACCTGGTGTGTATTTTACACTTATAGCACATCTCAACTTGGACAGGCTGCATTTCAAATGCTGAATAGTCATTTGTAGCTAGTGGCTAACATACTGGACAGCACACTGTAGAATGTCCTTTATTTGTTCTCAGCCTTTATCTGCTCTTTGGTTAATTTCTACTCACCTTCAAGGAACGTACCAAATATTATCTCTTCTTCAGAATCTTTATACTCTTGCCTTTTTATCTCCCTCCCTTACAGATCCTAATAAAAACAACAGCAAAAGTTTGTCTGCTTTTTCTATATGTTGTCAATGTACTTTTTTACTTATACCAATCACAGCACTTAGCATCCTGATTTATAATTCTTTGTTAACTTATCCATTTTTTACTAGACTGTGAGGTCCTGGAGAGCAAAAATTGTGTCTTTCATCTCTATAGCACAGAATCTCACTAATTTTTAAAATTAAACAATTAAATGGAGTAAATATAATAAGATGAATTGAATGCATGTAAGTATAATGGGACTAGGTCCCTAAAACCAACTCCATAAATACAGAGTAGGAGGAATGTAGTTTAGAAGCACTCTACTTGAATAAGATTTAAGGAACTTAGATTTAATTATTAGCTCAACAGGAGCAAACATTTGTATTTTACCACTCAAAATATGAATGTTCACTAAGTTTGTATTAAGAAATGTAATGGATAAAGGCGAAAAGAGGACCTAGATTTTCCTTCCAACTAGTCAGACAACATATAAAACAATACTTTTGTGATCCTGTTTTCAGAAGGTTATAAATAAACTAGAATGAGGAGGAGAAGACTTAAAACCATCTCATCTGAGCAATGGGTTCAGGAACTGGAGATGTTTAGAACAAAGACAGAATGATCCAGGAAGATGACATTTCTTCGAAATACTTGAAGAGCCATCACGTAGATTAGAAGATAGATTAGACTTGTAGGCTTCTGAGAAATAAACATTAAATTTACTAATGTAAGCTACAAAGACTCAGATTTTACCCTTACATAAGCAAATAACTCTTATGACAGAGTTTAAAATGAAGCCTGACTATCTAAGAGGTCTTTAAAAATGTCTGAATGAATGAATAAATGAAGTGAAGTGAATACTGACCCCCTTGCAGATAGGGGATTTCTCTTTCTACAGGGTATTCAAGTACAGGCTGAATAACAATTAGGACATGGTATAATGGGAATAGATGATGAGAATAGATGAACTTCATTCTTCTTTCCAAGCTATGAATTCTTCTTTTCAATAATTTTATTCACTCTAAAGAAAAACAGCATTGCTTTTACACAAGTCAGTGTTAACAGTGTACATAGCTAGTTGTGTATCCGTCATAAGAAACTCTCCAACCAAAACGATGTCATTTTTTTTTTTGAGTAATTTTCACTAGATTTTTGCTTTTGGAACACTCAGTTGGTTAAAAGAAGTTTATGATCAGTGTTTTCAGAATACATTTCGGGGCATGAAGCAAACCTTACCCTAACAATGCGTTATTACTCATTTATTTTTAGCTATTAGTCATGGAATGAAACAACACAGGTGCCCAGATGAATTCCTGGGCATATAAATGTGAAATCTCTGCCTCTGAGAGCTTCCAGTCTAGATTGAAACAATTGCAAAACAGGAAACCTGAGCTTTACCACAAGAGGATGAATGGGCATCATTGATTCCTTAATGTGTGACCTCTTCCAAACAATTGTGCTTTATTTATTCAGAAAGCTTCAACTAAAAAGCAGCTCAGGGCATATTTTAGCCCTCTAAAAATATAACAGTCAGTATCACAAGTGTTGCTTCAAATACATGAAATTTGCTGTGAGAATTAGGAGTCATCCTTTTGCCTTCGTGTTTATTATCGTCAATCAAGAACTTTCTCTGAGTGATTCCTGTGTTTCAGGCGCAGGGGAGATGCAGATGATTAAGACATTGTTCTTGACCTAAACAGAGCTTACATCTACAAAAGACAAAATATACTAACATGAAATGCTTATTAGGCATCCGCCACAATGTTCATGCAAAATATATTTAGATTCAGACAGACCTCTTTTGAGCTCTACCACTCTTTGGACTTTGGTCAGTTTTCCTGTTTTTCTGAGCCTATATTTCACTGGTAACCTGAAATTACCTAACTAGCATGGTTGTTAGATGATTTGAATGAGATCCAGTAGGAAAGACAAAATGCAAAAATACAAAGTATTGTTTTAGGTGCCAAATGGGTAGACTAGATCAGAGGTTGGCAAACTTTTTCTATAAAAAACCAGATTGTAAGCATTTTAGGCTTTGCAGGCCACATGATCTCTATCCCAACTACTCAGCTTTGCTATTGTAGCACAAAAGCAGCCTTAGACGATATGTAAATGAATAAGCATGGCTGAATTCTAATAACATTTTATTTATAAAAATAGGTGGGAAGGTTTATAACTTACTGACTCCTGGACTAGGTAGTAAGGACTCTAAAAGTTAAGAGGAGAGAATAACTATCAAAGAATGAGCAGAATGTCTTCAAAGAGGAGAGAGAATGTTTTCTTATTCGTTTATTTTGGACTTTGTTTTTTATCCAAATTACATATGTTCAAAGTATAGAGTTAACTCTATCCAAATAACGCATGTTCAAAGTATAGAGTCAACTCATTCTGCATGATTTACGAAGAAAAAAATGTTTTCCCCATTCCCTTGTCTGAGAGCCAATCATTTTCAACTCCTTTAGCTGATTCTTCTAGTATTAACTTCCAAATCCCTAAATAATATAGATATAAATTGCTCTTAATTGATTTTCAGTTTCAGGTACTATCTAGTAACTTTCTATTGTGAAAGACAGAGATTCCCCATCTCCCCAGACACTCCTAACTCCCACCACATAAACACTCTTCCTGTCACTCACTCAACCTCCCAGAATAGGTACATTGTAATTTTAGTTAGATCAATATTTAGTATTTACATGGTTATTACTATGTACGTGATTCATTCTTGAATCATATAGTAAATTATGTTTACTTAACCATTTTATATAACATTTTGTCTTCGCTAGATTTAATAATTTCCTTTCTTAGTATTCTTTGTATGTACTTATTACTAATTCATCCATAGCCTCTTTGGCAGTTATCTAATTATCTTCATAAGACATTCACATGCATCAGAAACTGACAATTGTATCTCCCTGAAGAAGAATGACCTGAAGCAGTAGTTCTCAAGTTGGTACCTTCATCAGAATACTTGAAGGGCTCATCACGACAGATTCCTTGGCCCCAATCCCAAAGATTCAGGTGTTTTGAGATGGTCCTGGAGAATTTGCTTTTGTAAACAGTCCCCTGGTGATTCTGATGTCAGTTCATGCACTATACTTTGAGAAGAACTGAGGAGCCTGAGCCAAGAGCTTCATCCCACTGCAGTCTGGACAGGATGCTTTGTAGAAATCAAATGCAGCCACTGACTCTGAGACTACCATTCACCATCATTTGGGGATTTCCATGCCTTCTTTCTGGTGTTGCTATTTACAAATTCAAAGCCATTCTGAATCCTGATTCCTTGTATGTGATCTTTAGATAACAATGCCTAGCATTGTCAAATCAACTTACAATGTTAGAGTATTTTACCTTCTCTATATGTGAGCTCATTTTAGGGAAAGAACAATGTCTCACTCATCTTTATATATTTCCCATGTCTGGCACATAGAAGCACTCTGAACAAAGTGCTTGGCTGATGATTTCTCTCCATAGATTTTTATCAAAATATTTCTTTGTTTTTAGTAATCTGAGGAGGGGATTGTTAACAAACAGCTCCATGAATAGAAAACAGATTTGCTTAAATTTTGCATCTTCCTTCTGACCCATAAAGGCTACCTTATCCAAGTTTGTCTATGTGTATTTTCTTCTTTAAAACTTCCTCCTGTGTGTACCTAATTGATGAGCACATATGTAGTTGATACGTATGTACTGATTGTTTTGATAGATATATATTCTTTCAGAGCCCTGGTACCACACTTCCTATCCTACAGGAGACTCCTATATAGAGTTTGTTTTCTCCTAAGAGATAAGTTCCAACTTTGTGAAAAACTGGATATGAGAAATCTAATCTTTAACCTCACTAACTGTGTGCACTTTGAATGTCACAGTTTCTGGCCAGATACAATTTCCCTCCCCACTACATAGACACTGAACCTTGTTCTAACTGCAGTCAAACATCACAAGTTATTCAACTTTTCCCATGCCAAAACATGGTCATCTGCTGGAAACTATATGGCAAGACATTATACACAATTTGCCTTTTAGGCCAAACAATAAAATTTATTTTTTCCTATAATGCAATTAATGGCAAGATCCACAGGCACCACATGGATCCCTGTGAGTCTTATAAAGGCGTTCTATCTTTCATCCATTCACCTCAATCTCAAAGCTTTATGTTACATCCAAATTCATATCCATAATAAACACCAACGGTAGACTAATTGTATACAATATCAACTTTAAGATTTTGTGCCAGAAACAAGTTACTATACTTGCTTTCCCTTTCATGTACAGCTTGTGGAGCATGTCCAACACACCTTGCATACAGAATGATAACATCTTACACACCTAGCAGCAAGGGAGTGGACCTGTATGTGGGAGATAATTGAGGCAAGTAAATGATAAACATGGTGATAGAACTGTCATTACCTTCCTCAAATGGAAGATAAATCTATGAGTGCAAATGTCATATGTTGAATAAGTGAACAATCATTCTGTCATCCATCACTGCCAATGCCTTCCAACTTATCTGGATTTTATTACAGCTGAATCCATCTTGTGAGTTATATAGCAGTTTCTTAAAGATGAAATTATGTGTTGCAACAGGCCAAATGTGTTTGCTGTAGGGCCATCTGTCTTAGTAGTTCTTGTTCACACACTAGCTATTTTTTCATATTTAAGGATATTTATTGCATATAAATACCCAAAAGTACAAATAACAGGCAGGAATATTTTAGACAAACCCATGACATATATCAAAGTTTTAAATGAGACTCAAACAAGAGGGCAGAAACTCTCTGCTGGGTGTCAATAACAGATCTTTCCATCTTACCCAGTGTTTAGTGGATGGTGATCAGGGTTTCCAGTTCTCTTAAACCAAGGTTTGGCATGATGGAATGGAGATAAATCTGAATATGACATTCTTTCCAATGGGGCAAGATTCGTTTCTTTAGAATGTGTGAAATTCCAAACCTATCCAAATTTCATCCAAATAAGATCTGAAAACAAAGAATGAGAGTATCAGAATTGGAAGGGAACTCAGAGTTCACTGCATATAAAACTACTTCTTTTAATGTTTGAAACTCTTTTAAAGCATTGAGACTTATGATTTTCCCAGCCTTTAGTTAAATATTTCTCATGGTGGAGGGGCCTTCCTGAAACTCTGCTATGATATTTATGCTGTGTTTGACCCTTGGCCATTCACATTATTCATATTTATCAAATATTTGCAGAAGTTTTCAGACCAGAGTATGCCATTGACTATACACTGGTTACAGGCTGTGTTGAGTAAACTTACAAAGTGGGATAAAATATGTTTACAAGGTTACATTTTCATTGGATACTTGTGCTTTGAAAAATGATATTCCCAATAAAATGAGCAGAACTAAAGTCATAGCACAGTGAATTGTAACTTTAATTAATGTTTGTTTCTTTTCTTTTCTTTATTTTATTTTATTTTTTGAGATGGAGTCTTGCTCTGTCACCTGTCACCAGGCTGGAGTGCAATGGCACAATCTCGGCTCACTGCAACCTCCGCCTCTCGGGTTCAAGCGATTCGCCTGCCTCAGCCTCCTGAGTAGCTGGGATTACAGGCAAACGCCACCACACCCAGCTAATTTTTGTATTTTTAGTAGAGACAGGGTTTCACCATGTTGGCTAGGATGGTCTCGATCTGTTGACCTTGTGATCTGCCCACCTTGGCCTCCCAAAGTGCTGGGATTACAGATGTGAGCCACTATACCTGGCCTTCTTTTTTAAAAAATATAAAATGTATTGAAATTATGGCAGGTACTAGAGCTATGTCATAAAATCCACAGCCCTTCTCTCAAAGAGTAGCATGAATGACATAAATAGAGAGTTCATAGTGTTACAATGTGTTGAATGAGAAAGCACAAGTTACCATATGGGCTCCTCACACAGTCTGTGGGAGAGTTGGGGTTAGAGAAGACCTGTCAGAGGAGCTGACAGCTGAGTTGAGAGCCAAAGAATTCATAGGCATTAGCTAGGTAAAGAAAGGGGCCTACTCATCAGTATGATTAATTTATCATCATGGTATGGGATTATAAAGAATGATGCTGGATTTTTGTTTCTCATCTTTCCTGACATATCTTGGAATAAATCATGCTCTGCTTAGTATGGCTCATTAGGGTAAATGATATCTGGTTGACCGACCAGCATAGATTCTTTTGATACCAGCACAAGTGTAGGAAACAGCCAGCATTTCTTTGTTGGTATTCCTAGTGCCTGTGGCCTCCTGTCTCCCCCTCTCACTATAGAAGTGGGATATGACTCAAGCTGGGCCAATCAGAACCACATGCCCCTGACCCCAGTAAGTGTTCAATGATGGGTGCATGACTCAATCTAGACCTGTAAGACCCGGTCTCGGGACTTTTCCTAGAACCACTGCGAGGAACATACTTTCTCTCTCTTGGGGTGCTAAGCTGGCTGGTTGGAAGCCTGGTGTGGGTGGTCATCTTTGCACCCCTTGGCAAATGCTTAACTGAGAAGGATGCTGATATACAGGAAAGTAGAAATTAGCAATGGCGAGAGGCAGAATACTGATTTCATGATTGGAGCATGAATCCCTCTGTGCTTTCTGAAGCAAGCTCAGTGTTTGGGATTTTCACATTTATAAATCAATATATTCCTTGTTATGCTTGAGCCCATTTGAGTTGGGTTCCTGTCACAGGTAACCAAAATATCTTGCTCAATACGTTTGGTTACTTTTGATGTGGTTTCTACTCAGTTAGTGCTCGGGAATGCAACAATGATTAACTCATTTTTATTCTAGTAAATGAGGGAATACAGATAATCAGAGCAATGAAGCACTTCTCGAAAAATGGTCTGTGGTCAACTGGATGGGATAGAACAGTGGAAAGACTATGCTCAGGAGAATTGGAATCTCGGCTTATCACTTATTTTAGGGTGAATTTGGGGAAGTCATTTAGTATTTGTAGGTTTGGAAAAAACTTGGCTCTATGCATCACATTTATAACCTGAGTTTCCTGTGAATAACATGTGAATATAAGATCATATTAATAGTATATTAGCAGCACTGCCCTCTTGTATTCATTCATTCATCAGGAAGCTTTAGTACTGAGAAAGCAGCCCTCAAGAACTGCTAGAAGTGCTCCCAGGTTGTAGTACACCAGCTTACAAGGAAGTCTCCTTGTGGATACTGAGACACTCCAAATTGACCAAAGATAAGAAGTGGTGAAATAAGCAAGAAATAGCTACTATCATTTTTGTTACTTTCTGTTGGAGGAAAGCTCAAACAGTATAGCTTAGGCTGAAATATTTTCCATACATTTTAGTATAACAGATAATTTAATCTTTATTATGCCTCTCTCTTCTAAACCAGAATAATTAGCTGGGCTTTACTGGGTACTTATTATGTGTCAAGCACTGTGAATTAGTGCTTTATATCAATTAATTCATTTAATTCAAATGACACTACATGGTATTATTATGTATTATTAACCCTATTTCACAGATGAAGTATCAGAAAGGGTAAGTAACTTGTCCAAGTTTACAGGGCTAATAACCTAATAAGTGGTAAAACTGGAATATGAATCCAGGTACGTGACCCTCAAGGTTGTACTGTATTTGATATCCCCTTCCTAAGATGGTGTGAGTTCATAGGATTTGGTTTGGCTGGATTTGGTAGCAAGATACTGTGGATGTTAGCATTCACCATTGCCTTCAACGACTGAGGCTTTGTTTCTGGACCAAGATGGTTGGGTCTGCCTCCTTTAGGACATGTTCTCTTTGAAGAAGATCTTCATGAACATACACAAAGAGATTAATGGCAAGGGAAGATGCTGTGATCAGTCTTATCTACCCATTACACGTGATCTGGGATACCTGAATCTTAGAGCCCATCTGGGGCCCTTGCTAAGCAATCCTGGATGGCGGGTGGAGAAGAAACATGTATGAGTATCTGCAATGTTCCCAGCTGAGCCTCTTCTCAAACTTGTGAATAAAAGAACAGCAAAGGAAATATCTTCTTATTAATTGGGTTTACAGAAGTGTTGCCCATTCGTTGTGATGTCAATAATTATGGGTCTTGAACACTGGTTTCCTAAGTGTGAACATAGGTCAAACTTTTCTGATGTATTACTAATGCTCAGATTAATCCACTGACCCTGGTTTTTATGTATATGGGGATGTATTATGTACAGATATTTTCTGGTGCATAGAAACACTGCTGAGTGGTGATGAAGGCTTTACTTCCTCCTCCAGCATGCCAATTTACATCTATTTAAATGTATTACCCTAAAAAATCTTGCCGTATTAGCAAAGTCATCTCTGACTCTTCTCTCTCACCTTAGAACTACTGTAGTTCTTATAGCCTAGGCCAGAGTTTCTTAACCTCAGCAATTTCAGCACTGATGGTATCTGGGCTGGAATTCTTTATTGTGGGGATTGTTCTATGTATTGTACGATATTTAGCTGTATCTCTGTCTTCCACCTCCTAATGCCAGTAGCACATATACCCTTAGCTGTGATAATTAAACATGTCTTCAGGGCTGGGGGCAGTGGCTCATGCCTGTAATCCCAGCAGTTTGGGAGGCTGAGGTGGGCAGATCACGAGGTCAGGGGTTTGAGACCAGCCTGACCAACATGATGAAACCCCGTCTCCACTAAAAATACAAAATTTAGTCGGGCATGGTGGCGCATGCCTGTAATCCCAGCTACTCAGGAGGCTGAGGCAGGAGAATCACTTGAACCCAAGAGGCAGAGGTTGCAGTGAGCCGAGATCACGCCATTGCACTCCAGCCTGGATGACAAAGCGAGACTCCATCTAAAAAAAAAACAAAAAATGTCTTCAGACATTAGCAAATGTTCTGGAACAGTAAAATGGCCTCACTTGGGACCACTGGCCTATGTCAAACAATTTAGTTTTAAATACACATTCATATAATTTTCTAATTGTCATAATTATTCATATTTCCTCAAGAAGATGGCATATATCTGAGGCAGAAACTATGTTTTGTTGTATACCTTCTGTTCTCCCAAATGTGAAGGCAAAAGGAAAAAGGAAAGGCAACTAATATTTGCTGTGTGCCAACCTTGTGACTGAATATTTGTAAGTGCTTTGCATGTGTCATTTCATCAATTCATTCCATAAATATTTATCAAGTGTCTACTACTATATGGCACTCAAGAGACTGTGTTCAAATCCTGGCTTCTCTGCTTAGTGTGGTCTTGGGTAACTCAATCTCTCAGTGCCTCAGTTTCCTCACCTATGAAATGGGGGTAATAATATCATCTATCCCATGGGGCTGTGTGTTTTATGGGTTGAAAGATATGGGCTTATGTTCTAATGTGGTCTCACACAACCCTCATGAAATCTATATGCTAATATAATAGCCCCATGTAACAGGTGGGGAAACTGAAGCTCAGTGAGAGGAAGTTATTTGCCGAAGGTCACACATCTATTAGGTCCCAGGGCCAGAGTTTGAATCCAGCTCTTTCTGGCAACAAAGCCATACTGAGTAGTGAGTATGTTCTCAATGCCCTTGATGATGACTAGACTGCTTATTTTCCCTTTTCATTTATTTTTTTCCCTGTTGCTTTTTTTTCATCTCTCTTTCCCAAAGACTCTTGGTAACCTCCTTTAAGTTTTATGAGTAGATTTAGTTTCACCAGAGCACATTACAATGAATACTTGGGGATAATTATTTTGCTGTGACCACCCTGCTATCTCTGCTGATGAACCGATCCTGGTCTTCAGATATATGAAATTTCATTGAAAATGAAATGTCCACAGTGATTCATCTTTGCAGCAAATGGGTAATGTGTACTTTGGGGTTTAAAAATAGAGATGAGTCAAGAAAATCATATGTTTCCTATTTTTAAAAAACACTTTTCAAAGATTTGGGTGCCTCTCCACCCCTTACCATCATATTAAACATGATGACCATAATTGGGGTACACATCCAAACAGAATCTAAAATAGCTCATTCCTTTCCAATTATAACATTTAGAAATGCTGTTTATCAAAATAATAATTTCAGCTATTTCTAGTCAAATTTCATGTTGGCTCAGGGACTCTCCAATGTCAATATTCTTCATCCTGGGCTATCACCACACAGAATGTGGTGAATGATTGAATGATCCTATAACATTCTTCCTTGCTCTTTCTCTCTCTGGATGTGGTAATTGAGGCACTGGGGTCATGAACACTGACTACCTTCTTGCTAAATGACTCTTCTGTTATGATTTTCCTGGGACTCAGCCCATGTGAATTTACGTGCTCTACTTCATAGTGGGTGTGGAGGAGGAGCAGCCAGCAATGGTTAGTCTTCAATCTGAAAACTTGCAGTGAAAACCCTATGTTTTGTACCTCTCAAGTCAGTTCCCTGCTTTAGCAGGAAAACTGGCCTGTTGGCTGGTATAAGTTCTATGTCCTTAGCTCACCTTGATAACAATGAGATGTTGATTTTCAGGTTAATTGGAAACAGTTTTCTGTATTTTAATGAAATGTTATCAAACTGTATCCTGAAAAAACATGCTGTGCAAAAAAAGCTTGCTTTTTGGTGGCAAGGTGGAAGACAGAAAGTTCCCAAAAAATTCTTTAAGTTAAAATATATGCTTTGTATTTGCAATTGAATTTTTATTTGAAAAAAAAAAACCCACTTCATTTTCAGTGACTTTACATGGCTATCTTTGTGAACAAAAATGATATCCAAAAAAAGAAAATAAGGAAGAAAAGTAAGAAGAAAGAAAGGATGAAAAAAGAAAAAAAGAATGATTGAATGAACAACAGCAAAGACAAACCAAACTTTGTAGCTGTATTTTTGGGGCCACCTATATCCTCTTCTTGGGACTGATCTTCACTTCCACTGAGGACTTGGAAATGTTCGCTTGGGTCTATGTGTGTCTCTGTGTGCTTCTTTCCTCATGCTGCAAGACCTACCAGGTTTTGGAAATCTACCTCACTTTCAAGTCACACTTCCAACTCAAGGATCTGCATAAAGGCTCCCAGATCTGCTCTCCCTTATATCCCAGGATCAGTACCTGGCATATTAAAGCAGGTGTGTCAGTAATGCTTCAATATGGCGGCCACCACACCACTCTGCAGTTTCCTAGTTATAAATTTACTCTCATCCCATGGTATACATTCTTAAAGGTGGCTCATCCACTGCCAAAACTGTTTGTAGAATAGACAGGCAGTATTGTCCCTATTCTGCCTCACATGGAGAAAACATAATCTTGTCTCTGTCTTTGCCCTGCCAAGTCTCCGTATGTATCTGGCACATTTAATGTGTTTACTATCAGTTAACAACATGAATGTGCCTGGAATCCCTACTTTATACACACAAACACACACACACACATTTGTTAAATAGGCCAAGAAAACACCAAAGCTCCAACTGTGAACAGTCAGTTTTGTGAGAAACACACTAATTTTTAAAAGGCACAGGAACTTCAGAAGGTTGATTTTGAGACAATATGACCTTGCTCTGCTTCAGGAGAAATAAGACTGTTAGAAAGAGGAGCTAGAGCTTGACAGTGAGCAAGACACTCATGGCAGAGAATGCTTCCACCAGCTGAAATGCATCCTACACTGACCTTGATTTTTCTCTAGACTTTTCTATTACGGTGCCTTTCTCCTCTGATATTTCCTTGCCCTGAAGATCCAGCTAAAATTCAGTTTCCCCCAAGATCTTCTATGAATAGTTGTTGTTTTTCCTTCTCTGAATCACCACTGCATTTTGGGCTTCTTTTGTGGTAACTATGATGCTCTTTTCTGGGTTTTTGTGCACTTGACTCCTTAGCATTGAGTTAAGGGATTGTGTCTTTCTTGCCTTTCTTGGAATCACATTTCCTAGCACAATGATAAGAATACTTATGGCTTCTTAATACATGTTTATGGCATGAATGGAAGGAGGGACTTGATACTTTATTTTAAATGTGGAGGGTAAGGATGTAGGTTAAGAACGTAAATATTGACATTCGGTTTTGGGTTCAAGTACCACCAGCTCTGTGAATAAGGTTGGGAGGACTAGGAGCAGTCATTGAGAAAGACTGAAAATAATAATGCTTACCTGTGACCTCCCTAGGATTACTATGTGAATCATGTGAGTTAATGTAGGCATTGCAGTTCGTGAACTATACATTGCAAAGAGATTTAATACTCGACTTCATACTCAATAGGTCTCCCTGCACTGCATTTGTCTCTTCTTTCTCATTAATGCTAACAAGAATATTTCCTTTGGTATACAAATTTAGTACAGGTCTACCAACAAGCGAATGATAGGTTAGTGAGTAGATTGGTCACTGAGACACATGTATAAGAGTTCAGGTCAGAGCTATGGTACATGCAGTGGCTCTGTTAAAGAAACATCAGTCCTCATATATGTATATGTAGGCACAGATGTTTCAGTGTTGAGCTTTTAATATACTCCCCTTTATACAAGTGAAATAACCAGTCTTACAGTTCCATAAATCTACCAGGTCTTCAATATGGTCTTGATTCAATCAATCAATAAACTGAAGGAATAATCCCTTTTTGTGATTATTGAATTGTTGAGGGTGTTTTCTAGTTTGGAATAGACTAGGTATAACTTCTCTACATTTCAAAAGTGTTTTTGAGAATCAAAAGAAAGAATAGAGTAAGTGCTAAAAATAATTGACAAATGATTGAACCTTCACTTAACCATAGCATCAGAGACGCTCTCTTCATCACTGGAGAGAATATTCTTTGAAATCCCTTTTCAAGAGTGAAATCAATAATGTCTACGTAGAAACAGAAAAGGAGAGAATTCAGAACTAAACATCCTCATTGAATCCACATACCTAGGCTATTTCAGTGTACATTAAGCCTTATCGGTACCATTATACTTCATGATGTTTGCAGCCGCAGTTTTTTTTTAATCTAGTTTTAAAAATAGAAATCCAAATACAGAGGGCAGAGAAAAACTCCCTATTGCATCAGTATGAACATTTTTATAGTTTTTTTTTTTCTTTTGGCATCCTGATCTCTTTGAAACTTCTCTCCTCTCTACTTATAGGGAAAATACACGTACTAACAGCCTGGAGGAATTATGAAATGTGCTTTGCACAACTCTCTGTGGCCTCAGGTAACAATGTAAATGAACCTTATTAGACAATTTTTTTTTCTGTACATGGGAGGAAATTATTTTTAAATGAGATTTTTTTTTTTCTTTTGGATTCAATAAAACTGCTCGTCTTGAATGAAGAAGAACCACATGAGAAGGAATTAGGACATGTTACAATTCAGCTGCTTGAGTCAGACGTAAAAAGAAAAAAAAAACCTGGCATTTCTGAGGTGGAAAAAGCTAGGTCTTGCTTGGTAGGAATCACAAAAATAACTGCTGAAAATCCTCAAACTTTCCAAGAGAAACTTCTTTAAAAGTTATGTGTAACTAAAAATAGGGGGATTATAATGGAAGTCAGTGTGCGTGTGTATGAAGTCCCAGAGCAGCCTAGGAGGCGTGGGCTGGAAACTCAAAGTTTGTGATATTAAATCTGTCCGCAGATTTAAATCTGTTGGCTGGAAGAGCATTTAACTCGGAGAGGTCACCTGTGTTCTTTACTTGTAAAATGGAAATCTCAAACAGGTCTCAATGAAATGAACTTTAGGTTTATCATTTAGCTTCCAAGAAAAACCCACTAGCTACACAAAGGAATGACGACAATTGTCTTGAAGGGCTGTAGAAAGCTTGGCTCATGGCTGCGGTGGCTTTGAACAATGTAATGCAATCCTAAAGTGGTAGAGACCTCATCCTTGGGAGCATTTGTTTCTAGACCGAGATCTTAACTGTGGTCAGACCTTGAGAAAACCTCTAACTCAACATGACTGGGGGGTCTTCTAAAGGAAATAGCAATACTTCACCACAACAAAGAATGTGTGAACAAACACTGTTCTAAAATACAATGGCGCCAGGGGCTGGGCGTGGCATGGGGGTGTAGCAGAGGAGGGGCTGGGAGTAACTGCTTAATGGGTACGAGGTTTCTTTTGGGGATGATTAAAAACCTTTTGGAACTAGATAATTCATTTATTAAATGTAAATTTATTTAATAAGTGCCACTGAATTGTTTACTTTAAAATGGTTGATTTTAAGTTATATGAATTTCACTTTCATCGAAGAAAATATATGTGTGATTCAACTTAGAAGGAGCTTACTCAATGCAATTTAATTGCGTCACTGCTGGCAGATATGTGTAAGGGTCTTCTAATGATTTTGGATGGAATGGCTGCAATTTATAATTCTGTTCCTTTTCAGAAAAAAAAAAAAAAAAAAAAAAAAAGGAAGGCCTTAACAGCCTTCATTGGAAAAGATGCATGGCTAAAACAGAGAC
Organism: Homo sapiens; assembly: GCF_000001405.40. Classification (NCBI taxonomy): domain Eukaryota; kingdom Metazoa; phylum Chordata; class Mammalia; order Primates; family Hominidae; genus Homo; species Homo sapiens. The sequence goes on along the minus strand of NC_000008.11, from coordinate 116,231,019 downwards.
AGATACACATTTAGAAGATGAGGTGATTTTTTTTTTTAAACTGGAGTTGTGTTTTGTTTTTGTTTTTACAAATAACATAATAATTGCTTTTTGATTTTAATTTGCAGAAATGGAACTTAGCAGACAGAGGGAACAAATGAATAGGCAAGTTAGAGGTTGAAATTTAACCTTTGGTGTTTTGATGACACACAGCCCTTCTGAGGCATCTTGACTCATCCTCATTTCAAAAAGCACTCGATTGAAAGGAATGTGGACTCAGAAAGAATTTAGTACGATTGAAAATTGATTGAAGAGAGCTTCATCAGCTTGCCCTACATGCCAGGACATAGTCACTGCATTCTATACTGCCCCTTTCTTTTTCATTCTCCAGTGTCCCTTCTTTCTCAAGCATACCCTCAATCCATTAAGTAAAATCACTAATCTCCCTTTTGAACCTCTTCCTTGTTTCTTGCTTCCATTGTCGTTGAATGCTTCAGTGAAAACATTCCGGATGTGAGATGTCATACCAGGTCAGGACCAGTCAAGGAACCAATTTCTGCAAATACATCAGTTGTTTCTAATCTAATGATGAGGTTCACACCCAGCATCCTCCCATTTGCTGTGTCTCTCTCCAGGTGGAGCTCCAGACTCTTGGGTGCCAGATGATTAAGACTTGCTTCTAGCAGGGGTTGGAAGCAGCTGCTCCCATATCAAACCTCTTTTTCTCTCAGCCAGTTGCGGCAGAGTCTACACCCAGCTGTGAATCTCGGTGCCCACTGGCAGCTCTCATCTCTACCGACAACCTTTCATCTCTATTCTCTATAAACTTCTCTTAATATCTGCTTGTTAAACCTGACAGAATGGCATTAGAACAAAGGTAACCTGGGCTGCTGCAATGCTGGCAGCATCATCTGTCAGGCCTTTTTGTTTCTCCCTTTGATAAAGTTTTGCCTGGCTATTATTGTCGAGGCCTTGTTGGATGGTTCTGAGGCCTCAGAGCAGAAAGGCATCCATCTGTTGCAGAAAGCTCAAAGAGTGATGCAGTCCTGGGGCATATCCTGAGTTGAGTCATGTATTTCTTCCCCCAAATTATTCCCAGTGACTATCAAATCAAACCTTTCCATCTCAGCTTATATAAGTACTTGAAAACCTTTTGAAATAGAACTCTTCAACTTGGTTGTTCTACTTAAAAATCCCAGAAGCAAGATTTTAGGAAGTTGCAGTAAATGGTCATAAAGATGAGTTGCTTTTTAGGGGTGTCTCAGAAAAAAATAGCATGAAGTGAAGATGAGACATTAGATCTTCTCATATAAAAAATAAACTATTTGTGCTATAGCATGACATCTCCCTCCCTCTCTGAAGCCCAGCTGGCATATGAATTGACATGATCAGAGATCAGAGTGCTGTCTGGACAGACAGAAGGGAAAGCTTTGCAAATCCATATTGCTACCAAGAGCCCATCCTGTCTTCAGACAGGTTAAGAGCCCTTTCTAAGAACAGGGCATCATAACTGTGGCTAACTCCAGTTCTAAGGTGTTCTCTTCAGGAGTAGCGACTGGCTTTCCACCTGCCGTCTTCCTACAGACCTGAAGAGGTTGGATAAGGACCATGGAAGTGGCCCTCTAAAACTTATGTAGCATAACCCTTGCCAGAAGGGTAGGTACATAACACATACCATTGCCATTTGATTTGGAAGCATAGGCAACAAGCCAAAGCAGAGGAAGTGGCAAGTCAAAGTGTCCCTCCTGGAGAAGGGCATCAATAATTTACATTTTCCAGACTAGCCTTTAAACCTTTGGAGCCTGGATGCTGTGGCTCACACCTGTCTCAGCACTTTGGGAGGCTGAGGAAGGCAGACTGCTTGAGTCCAGGAGTTCAAGACCAGTGTAGGCAACATGGTGAAACCCTGTCTCTACAAAAAACAAACAAACAAAAACAAAAAAACAAAACAAAACAAAAAAAACAAAGAAATTATCCAGGCATGGTGGCTCATGCCTGTAGTTCCCGGTACTTGGGAGGCAGAGGTGGGAAGGCCACCTGAACCCAGGAGGTTGAAGCTGAAATGAGTGGTGATGGCGCCACGGCATGCCAGCCTGGGTGACAGAGTAAGATCCTGTCTCAGAAAAAAACAAAAAAACAACAACTCTGGAGCAGCCCCTCTGCCACTTCCCAGTCCCACTGCTGGCTGAGAAAGGATTCCATAGTAGTAGCTATAGGATCTTGATTCACATAGTTCTCTTACCTTTATAACTGAATTTTCCATAGCTGCTTGTTTTAACCAATGTAAAGGCATGTACTAAAATTGAAATGTTCTTTGTGATCATCTCTGCCTTCCCCTACAGAACCTAACAGGTCAGGATCACAGTGAAATCTCCAAGAATATCATTGCCACCTCTTCCCTGGCAGAGGGCATCACCTGGAGATGAAAACTCAGAGTGTTGCTTTTAGCTCCTTACGTGTGTCTTAACATATGGGGCACATTTGTAAGAAAGAAAAAGACATTCTTTCAAGAACTGTAGGTCATCGCGTTGGGAACAATGCTATAGCATAATATTATTTAAACACAGTTAATGTTGGCCGCAAGTTCGAGAACAAACAGATGAGATGCCTGGTTCTCTGCTCCCCCACACCTATCCTCCTCACAAGCTATGCCAGGGAGAGACTTCCCATCTCTAGACTTTTCTCCTTATAAGGTGTGGTTTTTGGCATGAAGAATTCTGCTTGGACATGGAAGACTCCAAGCACTAAATCATGTCTCCTACTCCCTGCTCCCTGACAGCAACTGTGCCCAGGTCCAAAAGGAGAACTGCGTAGGTGTGTCCTAATAGGAGACAGTGTTCCTACTCTAATTGCCATAAAAGCTTTTGAAGCCATTGTCTGGTGGATCTAAGGAGATCGATCCTGAAGGTGTGAGCTCAGAGCTGCAAGTCAGGAGCTCAGAGTTGTAATTCTTGGGTTGGCAATGATTCATTGTAGGGCCTGAGGCAAACCCAGTCATCTTGTTTGTGCACAAATTTATTTGTCTGCAAAAGTTCGAGAAATTAACACACAATTTCCTGATGAGGATATTATATGGTTAGGCATTAATAATCATGGCATATAAGTTTGATGGAAAGCAACCCCAGGGATTTGATCTGCTTGAAGCCTTTATGTATTCTTTGTAGGCTTTGTTATTCTTGTTTCCAAGTCTGGACTTTCCTCTTTGGAGGTCTTTAAGTCCCCAGTAAGGAAATTCAAGTTCCCTTGAAGTTTTGTTCTAATTTTGGGAAGCACAGATGATTTTTTAGGACTGTATGACATGGTGGTTTTGCTAAAGAGGTCTTCTCACCTACTGCAAAGACCCCCTGCTACCCTTTAGGACCAGATGCCATGCAGGATGGGAACTAACTTCTGTGGTGGGACCACGTTGTCTCTGAACCCATCTGTGTAAAAGCTTCCTGTGGTCTTGAGTCTTGGCAGAGCTATTGCGTCAACCAAGAAGCAACATAAAGACATCCGCCTTTGTTGATGCTCTTCTTCTGTGTCTGATGAAACAACCCTTTTGGGGATAAAAAAAGTCAAAATGAAAAATTATGTGTCAATAAATGGAAATTGAATGAATGTGTTAGTATTAATTTGTTACATTTTACATGTGCTCCTCTGAAGAAGTGGTGTTTATATTCAGGCCCAGCTGCAGACTTCCAGAAAGCTAAAGTAAGAAGGGACCCAAGAGAAATTGATCCAGCAGCCCCCACATGGCTTCTATCCCAGTCGGATTCTCCTGATTTGCTTACTTCTCCTTGGAACGCAGTGCAATTCCTAAGTGCTCCAGTCTCTGTGTGGACTGGCCTCTGCTCTCTGTCTTCCATATTTTAGCTCTCTTGAGTCCTGAAGCACATTTCTGTCTCATCTACTTAGTCCTGCTGTTAAATCTCTGCCACCATGCCTGTCTCTTCAGCTCACTAGATTTTACACTCGTTAGCCAGTGGCTGTGAAAGGAAATGACAGCAGAATTTCTCATGGGCTTGGCTCCCATCCAGCATGGAAAACGTACTGAGTTGATGTCTCCCAGAGCCATCTTTAACTCAGGTGTCCCCATTTCATTGGGATCAGCAGATTTCCTACATCTGTGGTGTATGACATTGTAAAGAGTTCAATCTGGAGACTCATTTTCCCCTCCTGTGTCCATATTCCGTGTTTAAGCCAAGGAGTCTCCCCATAGATCTCAGGCTGAAAAAGTGCAGATTGTATCAGTGCTGCTTTAGCAGTGCCCTGTGGAATAAGACACCTCCTGCTCAATGTTCCCTGTACTGCTTTTAAGGTGTGAACAGACGACCAGGATCTGTGAGCTGACAACCATACTGTGTGAGCACCAGAGTTGGTGAGTGGAACTTTGCTAGTGGCTTGGGACTGGAAGAAAATGATGGAATACAGGCATTCCATTGTTATTTATTCATTTGCTCAGTCTTTCATTCACCCAACAAGCGGTTACAGAACTCCTATTGTGCTGAGCACAGGTTGGTCATTGAGATATGATAGAATAGCATTTATTGAGCGCCTACTGAAGAGTAGGTCCTGTGCTAACTTTGAACCTCCCACAATCATAAGAGACTGTGCTATGATTATTTCCACTTTAAAAAGAGGAAATTGACACTTAGGGATGTTAATGTCACATAGTCAGCAAGTGATGGAGCTAGGATTTCAATGCAGACAGTCTCACTCAAATTCCTGAGTTCTTAACAGCTGTGCTATACTGCTTGAATACAAGATTTTGGCTAGACGTTATAGCAGATAGCAGATAACTATGACACAGTTTCTGTTTTCTAAAAGTTAATGATAGTAGAGGAAGCAAACAATCGCTGCACTGCCACTTACAGCTATATAATCTTGGACATATTACTTCTCTCTGCCTCAACTTCTTTGTCCTTAAAATGGGATCAATAATAGTTTCTATTTCTTCTGTTTTTTTTTTTTTTGAGGATTGAATTTTAAATGAAGGTTAAGTGTTAAATGCAGATTATGTGTTGTAATATAAAATAGGCAGTGTTTTGATGATCTGAGAATTGTTAGCTATTATTGTTTTTACTACTATTCACTATTAATAAGTAACAATATTCATTGTGAGACAACTGTATACTAGAAAATATGTTAATCACTTAGGGATCTATAGTGAATGGGATATATAGTCTGGGTCCCCCTTTACACTTTCATTTGCGTGAAGGTAATGAAAACTAAGTCTAACAGTAAGGAAATGAGAGCCCTTTTGGGAATAGTTTCTGCTTGAGACAAAGAACAAAATGTTGAGATAGTCAATAACTTCCTTAACTCCCCCAAGAACAAAAGAGCAACATGGAGGTTGGCCCAAAGGGGAGAGAACAAAGAAGCTGCTATAGTTGGCTTAGGGGAAGTTGTTTGGGAGCAGCTAAGAAGGAAGAAAAACAGAGAAGAGCAGCAGGCAGGTCTGGGACTCCCCGGGTGATTTCATGGTCTTTTGTTGGGGACACGGGCCACTTACATCTTCCCCATTTCTCTAGTGACCCCAAAGGCATCCTGAAAGCTCATTGATAGGTTTCCCTGTCCTTCTTGGCTAGAAATAAATGGAAGGTGGAAGGGCAGAGGGGCTCTTGGGACCCTGCTGCCCTTTGGAAGGGCAGCCCCAGCTCTCCATTTTGCATTGTGAATCAACTCCATTGACTAAAGGGGCAGAAATCAATTTTGTTTTTCTATGCCTTCAACACAAAGAATACGTGTGTGAAGAAGGCCGATACAATACAATCTGTTAGGAGGAGATGGGAATCTGCAGATTTATTTGCTGTGTTCTAAGCACATGCTATGTGCAGAAATACAAATGCAAGGAAGAACAGTTTCCATTCTCAGGGAACTCAAATCCTTTCCTTCCCACTTCCTTTGCCCCAGAGGTGGACTTACTCCTTCTCTTTGGCCTTGCATATAATATTACCATGGACACTAGTTGGTCCTTCCCCCTAAAGATTCAATGATTTGAAGAATGAGACTTAGAAAGCTGCTTTGCTTCTGAAAGTAGAAATGTTTTGGAGCAGAAAATAAAAGTAGAATTTGAAAACTCTTTGTTGAAGATCTTAAAACTTACTTTCGTTGTTTTGCTGGTGGCAAGAATCCTGGAGTATGATCAAATTGCCTAGAAACAATGAAATGACTACTTATTCTTCTTACATCCTCACAGTGACATGTCCCTTTAATTGTTGCAAAGAGAAGTTAGAGACGCAGGGCCCCCTGAGCCTGAGGCAGCACCACCACCACCACCAGCATGTCCTGCCTCTTCCCCTTAAATTCTTGTACACCCCGAAAATGCACTTTATTTTCAGATTGCAAAATAATCAAATAGACTCCCCCTTTTCAGGAAAGAACACCCTTTCCACCTCCCACAACTTGCTTTGTTTGGAACTGTTCATTCCTGGCAGTGATATTCTTACACCAGGAAAGAATGAGGAAATTTCACTGTCTTGGTGAAATTACCTCATTTGGGAATAATTGGTATTCACAGAAGAGATGCACATTTTCATCCACCTAGTAATGAACAAATTAACAAGACACCTACTGAGTTGTGTTAACAAAATTACCAAATGTAAAAGGAACTAATTACTAGCCACTTCATCCAGACAAACTCAAAACTGCATTCATAATGGGCTTTGTGTCTGACTTGATGTAGACTGTGGGGAAAAAGATTGAACAGGTGTCTGGTGATCAAAGACTCTGTCCTTGGTGATTGCTTTGCAAGTGGTGCCTGAGTCTCAAGACGGCTGAGATTGCTTCTAGAAGTCCTTCTTTCTCACTGGTGAAGATATCTGCAACTTTCTCACTTTTTTTCAGAGACAACTGATTGTTCTCTCTGAAACAATTGCAACCAAATCATATGGAAGTGAATTTTAGAAATAGTAATCTTTTAGGCCGGGCCTGGTGGCTCACACCTATAATCCCAGCAATTTGGGAGGCCGAGGTGGGTGGATTGTTTGAACCCATGAGTTCGAGACCAGCCTGGGCAACGTGGAGAAGCCCTGTCTCTACAAAAAATACAAAAGAATTAGCCAGGTGTGGTGGTGCACACCTGTGGTTCCAGCTACTCAGAAGGCTCAGGTTGGGGGATCACTTGAGCCCCGAGAGGCAGAAGTTGCAGTGAGCCGAGATCATGCCACTGTAGTCCAGCCTCGGCAACAGAGCAAAGAAATCTTTTGTGGAAAGAGGCAGCAAACTGCCGCTGTGATTATGGGGTCAGCTAGCCAAATTCACAAGTGGACCATGGCCTAGTGCCTGAAAGGATTCTTAGGAAGATTTCTTAAAGAAAAAAAGAAAGAAGGTAGGGCTATCATGTAAAAACTGAAATGTTGGTGTTTACTCACATCATATACTTCTCTTTTTAAATGATGTTTAAAACAGACTGGTGGGAGTTTTTTAGATTAGACAATTGTTTGGCCCCATCTTCATGAATTAAATCTAATTGCATGTGACAAAGATATTTTTCTTTGAATTTATCATATCCCTCCAGAGAAATCTGATGTAATTTTTAAACAATTTATTTTACATTAAATATTTCAATAATTCAACTGGGAGGTAAAGGAAAAAGTAGATTATGATAGACATTAACATGAATTAGAAGAATAGAGGAAGCCTTTACTCACTTCATTCATCTAATCTTCAATTCCACAAGTATTACTAATTAGCTAATAAAGTAGCCAATAAAGTTCTAAATGCTGGAGATAGAACAAGAAACAAGACAAGTAAAATCCCTACACTCAAACAGCATGCATGCTGAATGGAGCAAGACAGACAAAAAGAAACAAACAAGGAAAAGAATTAAAAAGATGATTTCAGGGAATGATAAACTGTATGAAGTTAAGGAAACAGGATGTGACAGAGTAATGGGGTGGTGGTCAGAGAAGGGTTGGAGCTATGTTCTTCCAGTTTGCCCAGTTTCCACTAGTCTAGATTTTATATGGGAACCACTTTGAAGAGCCAGTTCCAAATTCCTTACTAATCGCAGATTCTTTGATTAGATGTTCTGTGCTTTGTCATATTTTCATTGCTCAGCTGTATGTGCTAAGGTGTTGATTGTTCTCACTCATCTATACACTATATAATAAATCTCCCCCAGCAGCATCTGCCTCTAGGAAACCACTGGGATATCTGAGGAGAGGGTATCCCTGTTTTGCTAGATGGCAACATACTGAGTGGACCTCAGCATTAAGGCAGAATTACATGAGCAGCCAGCTCCAAGTGAGTACAGGTGGAAACAGAGTCTGGTGTCCCAAGAAGGAATCTCTCATCAGTGTTCCTGCACTCAGGGTAGGAGTGTGGTAGGAATGGGAGCTGGACCGAGACCTGTGCATTGAGAGTCATCAGGGCTTAATGAATGTTTGTTGGATGTATTACTAAATGAATGAATTGTTCAATTAATAAATTAAATATATCTATAATCTTGGAAATTTTCTCAAATATTAGAAGGTGGAGTCAATATGTGCTAGCAGAAAAGCCAACAACAACAATGACACACACACACACACACACACACACACACAGCTCATACTACTAAGTTTTCCAAAGCATGGTTATAAAATTACACTAAGGGCCTTCTCTGAGTTGGCCCCATAACAAGGGTTTTGTGTCAACATTTTTCTTTAGATGTTGCCTTTGAGACTTAACTCCAAGTGCTTTCTATTGCACTTCTAAGACTATGTGTGGTGTCTTATCTTTTACAGCTGGGGCCATTCCAAAGGAAAGCAAATATAGGAATGTTAGATCTTCTTTTGGATAAAGCTAGGAGATGAAAGTAGGAGAAAGTGGCATTATTAAAATTAGAAAACCGTTTAGCAAATTGGTGACTATTGTGAGGTAGGGGAAAGAGCAACAGATCAGGATGGAAAGTGCTGGCTGGTGACTTTGGACAAGTTTCAGCCTCCTCGAAGTGCAACTTTTAAAATATAGAAGTTGCTTTATGTTAATTTTCAAAATCATGTCTGTTTAGAGTCTCAGGGAAAAGAAACAGGATGATTCCTTGATGAAATGCACGACATCTTTATGCCTCTTTAGCAGAGGTTCATGGTGCACATTGGCACTGAAAGGCTCTGAAAGCCTTGTAATAAAAACACCTGTTTTACTTTGTTTAAAATTTCCACATTTTCCTTTTGATAACTGATGTATTAGGGAACCATTTTTCCTAAGAAACATGATTTTAGAGTAGTGCTCAAAACTCTATAACTGATATTAGTATGCACACATGCACTGCAAACCCACATCTCCTTCATTCCAAGCATTTCTCCCCCATTCTCTTGCTTTACCGAGTCACTTGCGTTTGAAGTTCATTCTAAGTTCAATTCACTTCTTTTACAAAGTCCTTGTTGGGAGAGAAATCTACCCTGTTAAAACTCTTAGCAGGAGTCACAACTTCCTAAATGTTCCAAAACCCAGTCCTTCCCAACTAAAAATCAGGGTTTTATGTAAAAACCACAGGCAAGGCATAGGAACTCTTCCTGTCTGTTGGTGTTTTTGCTAATTTTCTGGTAATAGGGTTGCCCTTTCCCTTATTATTCTTTTATACATATATAGAGGACATACAACTAAAAATATGTGTAAATAGGTGCAATTAGCTTATGTGCATAACTCAGCCAAGGATACTGCAGCATTTTGAGGGTTCTCCTGTATTGTAGCCCGTCTGGGCTGCTATAACAAAATGCCATAACTGGGTAGCTTAACAACAGAAATTTCTTTTTCACAGTTCTGGAGGCTGGGAATCCAAGATCAAGAGGCCAGCAGGAGATTCAGTGTCTTGTTGAGGGCCCACTTTCTGGTTCACGATGGCATGTTCTTGCTGTGTCCCCATATGGTGGAAGGGGAGGGCAGCTCTGTAGTGTCTCTTTTTAAGGGTACTAATCCCACTCATAAGGGCTTCACCTCATGACCTAGTCACCTCTTAAAGGCCCCACCTTCTAATACCATTGCATTGATAATGAGGTTTCAACATAGGAATTTGGAGGGGGGGGACATCAACTTCAGATCACAGCATTCTGAAATCTGTTGGTTTTGTGATATGTACAGGAATCCTTTTCTTCTTCTCCTTTACCCTTTTCTGACTTGGTCACCACTGAATTTTTAGTTTTGTTTGTTTGTTTATTTATTTTTTGAGACGCAGTCCTGCTGTATTGCCAGGCTGGAGTGCAGTGGCGTGATCTTGGCTCACTGCAACCTCTGTCTCCTGGGCTCAAGCAATTCTCCTGCCTCAGCCTCCTGAGTCGCTGGGATTACAGGCACATGCCACCACACCCAGCTAATTTTTTTTGTACTTTTTTTAGTAGAGATGGGGTTTAACCATGTTGGCCAGGATGGTCTCGATCTCCTGACCCTGTGATCCACCCGCCTCGGCCTCCCAAAGTGCTGGGATTACAGGTGTGAGCCACTGCGCCCAGATAAATTTTTAGTTTTAAACAGTTACTGGCAGAGAGTTGATAGATGTTAGCAAAAGATTGTGGGATAAATGAGTAAAGCTAAGGAGGGAAGAGTGAAGGAAGGAAGGAAAGATGGAAGGAAGGAAGGACGAAAGAAGGAAAGAAGAAGGGAAAGAGGGAAGGAGGGAAAGGGAAAGAGGGAAGGAAGGAGGCAAAGAAATAAGGGGGAAAGGAAGGAAGGAAGGAGGGACAGAGGAAAGGAAGGAAAATGTGGTCTCATTTTCTTTACTATTATAATCTGGGTGGTTCCTGCCAATTTTTAGAATTAGCATTCTCATTTTACATTGTACTATGCTATACACTGGAAGGTTTCTGCCATCAACCTAGTGAACCTTTCTTTTTTTCTTTCAATTATCCCATGGATATCTGTTTTTTAAGCTGGTGGTGGTCACTTGTTACCAGAGAGTAATTGTTACTTCGAGAGTAGCCACAGGCTGATCAATAATATGCTAATACTTTTGGAGAGATTCTGCTCCAAAAACATAATTGTTAAAAATTGTGTTCTATCATTTGGCTTGAAGCACAGCATGTAGTTGTCACAAGAGGACATTTGCTCCGGGGGTGAGTGTGACATTGATAGGATCTAATTTTGCACCCAATACAACAGATCGAAGAGCATCACTACTTTGCAAACCTTAAGTTTTGTCTGCTGTGTGGTGCCTATTTGTTGCCAGATTCTAATTTCCTAGTTTGCTCTGCCAAAACTGGCAGGCTAGCAGCTTTTCAAAAAAAAAAAAAAAAAATTAGGCAGAGGACATGATTTTCTGTAGCATATGATGAAAGCAGAGGATATAATTTTCCATAGCATATGATGAAAGCTGGAAAAAAAAACATGAAAGTACTAAAATCTCTTTATACAAATGCAGAGACTATAGGAGGTTGGCAAGAAGATCACTTTAACTGAGGGAAGGAGGTTATGACTACATTTAGATAAACAAAATCTGCTGAGATCATATCAATTGCTACAATACCATCCTTAAAAAACAATTACTGGCCGGGTACGGTGGCTCACGCCTGTAATCCCAGCACTTCGGGAGGCCAAGGCGGGTGGATCACGTGAAGTCAGGAGTTCAAGACCAGCCTGGCTAACATGGTGAAACCCTGTCTCTACTAAAAATACAAAAAATTAGCTGGGCGTGGTGGCACATGCTTGTAATCCCAGCTACTTGGGAGGCTGAGGCAGGAGAATGCCTTGAACCCGGAAGGCAGAGGTTGCAGTGAGCCGAGATCATGTCATTGCACTCCAGCTTGGGCAATAAGAGCGAAACACGAAACTCGGTCTCAAGAAAAAAAAAAGGTTAATTACCATAGAAGGATTGGATAAAGAAAAAAAAATGAAGAGATGACGTCTATATCAAAGTTTTTTTTACAAATATTAATGGGACATTAATTAGCATTGAGATAAGCCCTAAGTTGAATTGTGGCTTATGAGACAATAGCATTTCAAAGCCCTGAAATACATTGCCTGCTTCTGAGTGCTTCAAATGTGGTAGATGCTACATTCTTCAAAACATGGCTAACACCAGACATTATTTCACTTATTTAAAATTATTTGGATTTATTTACACATCAAACATATCAACTCCTGGGCTTTGTTGAGGATACAAAGATGCAAAGAATAGACATGATTTCAGCTCTAAAGGATTATGTGAACTATCAGAAGATTCACAGACAATTCTCATACAAGGCAGAATGGGATACTTACTAAATGAATGGTACAAAGAAAATCACCAGGAGTCCAGAGAAGGGAAAGTGTCACTTCTTCCCTGTGTAATCAAGGCAAGTGCTTTTGTGAAAGGTGGAATTGGAACTGGGCCTTGCACATCTTGTAGGATTTCCAGAAGAGGAGATGGGTCCGAAGAATTAACTGCAGAAAGGCAGTGAATGAACAGAGATGACAGAAAAGAAAAACACTGTCTTCTCTACCACGTTCACTTCTTCTCTGTTTTTCTTTTTACAGCTGCTGACAGCATCATCTCTACTGGGACACCCAAGCTGGGGATCTGCAAGTCATTCATGACTTTTAATTTTCCCTCACTAATCTAATGGGTCCCTATATTTTGCTGACTTCACTTTTTATACAGCCAGCAATTTGACTCTCTTCCTCCTCACTGAATCTGCCTTAGTGAGAATGTCATTACCTTATTGCTTATATTAATGCAGATGTCTTTCTCTGCCCTCCTTGTTTCCAGATTGTACCATCATAATCAACCCTTCATAGGGCTTCCTATCAGAGCAGAGGTTCTAATGACTCTCTATTCCCTGCAGGATGAAGTGCAAACTCTTTAGTATGGCCTGTGTTTTCCATGACTCGCCCCTGCCTACATCCATGGCTTCATCTACTACCTTTCCCCTCACAATGGTCTCTCCTTAGTAGATAGTGAAATATTAGTGTACTATTCTTTTTACATGAAAATGACATAGTGAAAGAGAAGGACTAGTTTAGCCTGTCTTTGCAGGAAAGATTGAAGAATAAAATAATGACATACTTTGAAGTTAACAGACATGGATTTGAACCCTAGATTTGCCATGAAATGTCTGAATGCCTTTGGTCAATTTACATAATGGCAGAAAGCCTTACAAATTCCTAGTGAAGATTAAACTCAATAACGCGGGCAAAGTGCTTAACAAAATTGCTGGAACATAGTACACCTCTACATGCTCAATAAATGGGAGTTAATTACCTTTTTTACCTCCCCTTCCCTTCCCAAATAGTATGCATTACCTTTTAAATTTTAAATTGAGAAGTTTACAGTTGAATTAAAAAATGCAATGAATCACACAGCACAAGAAAAAAAATAAACTTGAGTATTAGGAGGCAGTTACTTTTGTTAAATAAAATAGTTATAATTTCTCTTGAAATTAATGAAGTAAAATGTAATAAGTCTTAGATGAAGAAATGCTTCAAGCTATCTGTAGCCAAAAAAAAATTCTGAAAAGGGGTATATTAGTCCATGGTCACACTGCTATAAAGAACTGTCTGAGACTGGGTAATTTACAAAGAAAAGAGGTTTAATTAACTCACAGTCCCACATGGCTGACAGGCTTCAGGAAACTTACAATCATGGCAGAAGGTGAAGGGGAAGCAAGCACGTTTTACATGGCAGCAGGAGAGAGAGAGAGCGAGGGGAAGTGCCACTCTTTTAAACCACCAAATCTCATAAGAACTCACTCGCTATCTTAAGAACAGCATGATGGAAACCACCCCCCATGATCCAATCACCTCCCACCAGGTTCTTCCCTAGACATAAGGGGATTACAATTCAAGATGAGATTTGGGTGGGGACACAGACCCAAACCATATCAAGGAGTATAAAAGGGATAGATTAAAAACAAGGTACATATTTAAAATAATGAGGGACAAAAATGCAAGGACTAAAAGGATTATAGTGAAACTGTTATTAAGAAGAAAATTTTTCTTAAAAATATACATTCCTAAAGTTAAATAAGAAAGACCATGGCAATATGATGAATATAAACTGGCAAAAATCCTGAACATTTATATAGTTAATTTTATTTAATCAAGAAAAATATAGATACAAAAGCCTACAATTAGAAATTAATGAATAACTTTTGGGAAAAGAAAAAATAATGACAAAAAATTCTCAGCCAAGTCTTGAAATATGGAGAGTTAAGAAACCGTATGCATCCAGAGGTGAGAGTTGGCTATCACTTACGGAGCTACTTATAATTACTTGTGAATGTGTCTGAGGACTGGAAGCTCTCTAAGACCAATGGAAAATGCAAGATTAGCTGTATTTAATCCTGGTATGACATCAATGCCTGGTGAAATTAAAACACAGTGACGTATGTGTTCAGACAGATGCAAATACATTAGAAATCAGTGTGACTGAAAATACTCTGGAAGTAAATTAGGCACTCTTAAAGAACTGGATTGATTAACTTTTTTAGGCTTTTAGAGTCTTATGATAATAATAGGGATAGCCAATATATATTGACTATTTGCTGTGTGACAGGTACTGTTCTAAGCACTATTCATGTATACATTTATTTAATTCTTACAATAGTTCTGCAAACACAGGCCATCTGTATCCATGAGTTGCATGTCCACAGATTCAACCGACTGCAGACTGAACATATTCGGTGAATAAAAAAGGGCATCTATATTGAACATCTACTCCCTAAACAATATAGTATAATAATTATTTACATAGCATTTACATTGTATTAGGTATTATAAGTAATCTAGAGATTATTTAAAAGATAAGGGGGGCTGGGCATGGTGGCGGCTCAGACCTGTAATCACAGCACTTTGGGAGGCTGAGGCAGACAGCTCACCTGAGATCAGGCATTCAAGACCAGCCTGACCAACATGGTGAAACCCTGTCTCTGCTAAAAATACAAAAATTAGCAGGGCATGGTAGCAGCATCCCAGTTACTCGTGAGGCTGGGGCAGGAAAATCGCTTGAACCCAGAAGGCAGAGGTTGTAGTGAGCCAAGATTATGCCACTGGACTCCAGCCTGGGTAACAGAGTGGGACTCTGTCTCAAAAATAAAAAAAAAAAAAAAGATAAGGGGGATGTAAGTTATATATGCCATTTTATATAAAAGAGTTGAGCATCTGTGGATTTTGACCACAGGGGATCCTGGAGCCAATCCCCAACAGATATTGAGGGACAGCTGTTTACTACTATCATCTCTGAGTTATACAGATATGAAAACTGAGGGAAAGTGATAGGGAAACTCATCTAAAGTTAATAGTGGCAGTTGCGCAAGTACTTACTGAGCATCATGAAATGGTGCAAATCCCTTCCACATTTTTGTGTTTGGCACTGTGCTTAGTAATGAGGATATCCTGATTTGAACAACTGAGACATAAATTCTGCTCTCATGAGATGAGAATCTACTTTCTTTTTTTTTTTTTTTGAGACTGAGTCTCACTCTGTTGCCCAAGCTGGAGTGCAGTGGTGTGATCTTGGCTCACTGCAACCTCTGCCTCCCAGGTTCAAGCGATTCTCCTGCCTCAGCCTCCTGAGTAGCTGGGATTACAGGCACCTGCCACCATGCCTGACTAATTTTTGTATTTTTAATAGAGACGGGGTTTCACCATGTTGGCCAGGCTGGTCTTGAACTTCTGACCTCAGGTGATCTGCCTGCCTTGGCCTCCCAAAGTGCTGGGATTACAGGTGTGAGCCACCACTCCCGTCCCAGAATCTACTTTCAAATATTAGGGATAGAGCCCTCAGGGGCTAATGTAACAGCTAGCTACATTCTGCTTTAATACATCCTTGACATGACATAAGCACTAGTCAGGCTTCTGTATATGTCATTAAAGTCCTTCCCATCTGATGGAAGGCCATTGGTGATGTGTAGATTTAAACATTCTCCAATGGAGCTCAAAATCTTAAAGCCAGAAAATTAACATCAGATTCAAGACTTGGATGTAACTAATTTTTATGGAACTTGAAAGACACACCAGAAGGAGTCCTTCACGGGTGTAGTCCACTAAAATGGCCAACTTTGGAGTCAGACTATTGTGGTCTGAATTCTAGCCCTGCTCTTTACTATCTAGGTGACTGTGGCCAAGTTAATCAACTCTTCAGTAAAAGAGGGAAAATAATAGGCACCATCTCAGAGAGCGGTGATGAAAATTAAATGAAATATTAGAGGTACAGAGCAAGTGTGGCAGGCATGCTGGTGATCATGACAATGACACTGTTCCTGGTGGTGATGATGACAATGGCATCAATCAAGGAAATGGAATAGAATAGTTTGTCTGTTGACAAACACACGTTCTTTCCCTTCATCCTTCCCCAAAGCCAATTGCCTAATATTCAGGGCCTACATCCTATAACACTTGCAACCTGCTCTAGTCTATGTACCTAGCATCTTTGAGCAAAGGTAGTCATGCTAAAAAAGCAAAAAGAGCTGGGTGAGGTGGTTCATGCTTGTAATCCTAGCACTTTGGGAGGCTGAGGTGGGCAGATCATCTGAGGTCAGGAGTTCAATACCAGCCTGGCCAACACGGTGAAACCTGTCTCTACCAAAAATACAAAATGAGCTGGGTGTGCTGGCGGGGACCTGTAATCCCAGCTACTCAGAATGCTGAGGCAGGATAATTGCTTGAACCCAGGAGGTGGAGGATGCAATGAGCCAAGATCGTGCCATTGCACCCCAGCCTGGGCGACAAGAGCAAGACTCCGTCTCAAAAAAATAATTAAAAAAAAAAAGCAAAAAGAATCACTATTGCCCTAAATTTAGTGCACTAATGCACTAAATTCATTATTTCTTGTACTCAAGTCATACACTAAATATGTTTAATCTTCTCAACAACTGCCAAGGAACATTCATTCAGATGACTTAAGAAACAGCTAGAAACAGGTAAGAGCAAGAATTTGAAACCTTGTTTGACCCGAAGTCCACACATTTTCACCTTACTCTGCAGTAGGAAGCTGAAAAGATATAACCAAGCACATAATAATCATTTATTAAGTGTAGATCAGGTGCTAAATCAGAACCAGAATATTAGAGACCGCACTGGCCCTCTTTGCAGGGACAGAGTGACAGAAGTTGTGAATGCAGCTAGTGAGTGTAAATGTGAAGTTTCTGGACATACAAAATAACCTTTCCCCCTTTTCATTTGATATGCTATTCATTTAAAAAATGATATTAAATTTAAAAAGCTTGTTTCCATATATTTATTAATTATTAATAATTTAACAATTTTGTTATTAAAATAGCAATTTTAATAATAACTTCTTAACTGGTAATTAACTGTTAATGCCATTGTTCTTGAGGTGCCTGGGCTTCCACTTCTTAATTCATGTATACCCTTCCTCCCTTCATAAAAAGGCTTCCTTCCTCTGTGGAATAAGCTTGAGTATCTTATTTCTGACTTAGTGGAATTTGGAATCTAACGACAGGTAGGAGAGGCCAAGATGCTTCCTCCTGTTCATTTTGTACTTCACCAGCCCTAGCTCTGAAATCGATTATTTTTCTAAAAATCCCTGGTTCCATTTAGCAGAGAAGGAGAGAAACTAAGGAACCAGAAACTGGGTGTTTAGGGTGATCAGCACTACTGGGGGATTGTTGTTTTGTGGCCCTCTCGGGGGATAGAAGGAAAAGTAAATTTCTTTTTATATGTACACACAAACATACATCTATATAAATATACACATATACCCTTAAACCTGTAAATATTTCTTTATATATATGTACATATTTAAAAAACTAGAGAAGGAAAAGAATGGGAAGAGAAGAGGAAGAGCAGGGAACAAGGGGCAAGTAGAAAAAATGTTAAACAGGATTTTAAAGTGTAAGTAATAACCAATTAGTATATTTGGTTCACGTGCTTGGGATCAAGTTTGAATTGCACAAGGGAAATAAAAAAAAAAAACGCAGAGAAAGTGATTGGGGCAAAAATGTGACTTCTTACTGTTAGAGCTATGTCAAGGCAAAGAAGTATCACAAAGAGGACTTTTTGGCATAGATTTCAAAATATATACATACTTTTGAATAAAACTCAAGGCTGAATATACACTTTAAACCAAAATCTTTCAAGGGATGAGAATTTTGTGGTTTCATTAAGATATTCCAAAATGTGAAAGTAGTTACTTGCCCAATTTGAGTAGCTCTTTAGAAAAAATTCACTAATTTTTTTTTTTATTGGATGCAGTTTATGTGTAAAGCTTATGGGAGGGGTGTGGGGTGTGTGTGTGTGTGTGTGTGTGTGTGTGCATGTGCATATGTGTGTGTGTAAGTGTGTATAATCTTCATGAAAAACAATGACAGAGTCAATCCACAGCAGAAGTCAGTGCTTTCTAGGGTTCTAGGGTTTCTAGGGTTTCTAGACCTATTTCTGTAGGCAGCAATAGGTCATGGTGGTTAGAAAGAGCTACGAGATTCATCCTTAGAGTATAAAGGTACAGCCATTCAGAGGAAGCCATATGGACTGACAGGAAAAGGGCCCATGACAAAAATATTACTAATAACACAACAGCAACTGTGTTTTTGTGTATGCATGTGTTTAGAAAGATGTATGCAAATGTAAACAAAACACATTAGTTTATTTTATCTAAAGCATAAACAAACATTGCCTTGTTTGGCAGAATCTGCAAAATGCATATTGCTCCTTTTGGCTTTTTTCTTCACTACAATAGAAGTATGTTTTGTATTAAATCCATTGTTACTAGGAAATTAATCCCCAAATATGCCAGCGTGGCTTTCCATAATATTAAGAATCCCTATTTCAGATGAAAAAAATACAGCCTCGGCTAAACATATCAGCCCCTGGAAATTAAAAAGAAAAAAATGAGTAAAGTTTTCCCTTAAAGTTGAGTGCAATGGACATGCAAGAAAATGCTAGAAGAGTTTAGTGCCATAACTCGCTGGGAGGCTGTTGGTCTAGGGGATATCAAACTCTGTATGCATCTAGGAGACATTACCATGAGGCATCAGACCAGGAGTGGTTTGCTAAGGTTGTTTGCTTGTAAAGTTATAGAAAGAAGAAAAAAGGAGACTCTATGATCATCTGCTACTGTCTCTTAAAATAAATCCTCTCAGACACTAAATTTTTTTTGATAGAGTAACTGAATTAGCAGATAAAGGTATTGTGGGTGACACAATCAATCTTGACTTTAGTCAAACTCTTGGTAAAGTGTTGCACAGGAATGAGCGTAATCATTAAGTCGGAATGGGCCAAGCCAGTCGCCTGCTGAATGACCTCTGGGACTTCACAGAGAATACACGATGAAGGAGCACAGGCCTTGAGGAAGAACAAAATAAACGATCGTGCTATTCTCAGAGCAAAGTTCTAGGCTCTTCTGGTCCTTCCAGGGATGGAGCCATGGCTAAAATGCCCAAAGTTTCACTACTGAGAGTTGGCGTGAATTTATGAAACTCCAGAGTTGAACTTATGGAGTTCTAAGGATGCCTTTTCATCTTTCCCCCATGCAAGTGTACAAGTTCCATGAAGGTAGCAGCTTTATCTGTTTTTCTCACTACAGTATGCCCCATTCTAAGAAAAGTACAAGACCCATAGAAGGGGTTTAGCAACATTTGTTGACTGGATGAGTCATTATCACAAATGTCAGTTGAGTGCTTATCAAGTATCATGTATTGGATGCTGACCTATGTGTCACTTTCCTCTTTTTGTGTGACTAGGGCAGAATGATAAAGAAAGAAGACTCAATTCAATGTGGTAGTGCCTTCTTGGGCAAGCACACAAGAGTTTCTTCCTGATATTTCCACAGTGGGTAGAATAAAGACCCTTCTACAGTCACACCATTCATTCATACGAGGCCAAAATTTGTTGTGTGGTAGGGTCTGGTAAGTAAGGTTGCTGAAACTTGCCTTAAAAAATTCAACCAGGTAAAATTACTGATGTTTGCAGTCTTAGCCTGCACATTGTTCCTGATGCTGTGCACATCCCTAAAACCTCGTGATGGGAAATAGGAGCTTCAATGACTCAGGACCAGAAATTGATGAGCCTTAGAAATAATGCTGCACTGGAAAACACGGAGCCAAAATGATTGGGAATTGTGCAATAAGGTAAATAATCTGAACAGACCTGGAGGCTCCAGAGAAGAATTTACGAGGTTATGGTTGCAGATATCATCCAAGTGAAGGACAAGAAAAACTCATCTCTGACATTGATGATCTGGAAAACAGAAATAGCAGTCAAAATTGAAAATAAGCTGGTGTCCTGAACAGGAAGATAGATATTTTCTTACCTACCAGACTGCTGTGAGGTCCTTGGGTTGTTTCCCTTTGAACAGAAACATTTTCCAAAATGAAGAAAGCTATAAGGAAAATGCTACAATCCTAGTGCACTATGTTAATTATGGCCTAATAAGAATATAATACCAACAGCATGCCAGAGAGAAATCAGATTGCAAACATCAGAACTCCATTGTCCAAGTATTTCCAGACAGTTATCTTGGCATTGGCCAAACTCTGGGTTTTGGTTAGAATTAAGAATAAAATAATAGAAGGAGGTCTCCTTTTGGAGGGTCCTCTGTTAGACCAGATTTGATTTTTCTTTAACACCTTTCTTATGAACATCTTGGAAATACTAATTAATTATTTCACACAACAATCCTGTGAGTTAGTAATGCAGCCCTTAGAACCTCAGGTTGAATGAACTGAGGAATCAAGTAGAAATACATCTTATTAAAGGAGACAGAAGCTTTTCTATCACCAATTTCCTAAGAAAGTGTTTGGAAAAAAACCTCCAGGAAATTCCTAAAATGGTATATTCAGAGTGATATAAAAAGTTGATAACATTCTTGTCATCGTATTTAAACCTGTAGGAAAACATGCTTGGGATGTAATTTTTACAGAACTATAGAACTCTCCTTCTGTTCTTGATAAACCCATCTACGAATCTTTTTTATATTAGTTTTGCTTCTCCTGATCATTTATTTACATGTCTTTGACCAAAAAGAAAAAAGTCTCGTAATTTAATATATTCTGTTGTGTGGCCACATCTTATGCCAGAGGGTTAAAACCTGGAGAAGGAAAAGTTGCATTCACCGGGCTGGGCTCCAGTGAGGATTTTTCTTTCTTTCTGTGGCCATGTGTGCTTTGTCCATCTATAGGATTTTAGACCCAAGTAAGTAAACATGGTTTGGAATAATTTATGTGGAGCATGTTTAGTAAATGACTAAAATTTACTCCAGATTGGAGAGATTTCGAAGGAAGACAACAACCATTCTCTGTCTGGAGTTTCCCTAGTGAGCAGTAGGTAGGAGGAAAACCATCCAGCCATCCTACCACTGATCTGGGGTCAACTGTATCGGTGTGCTAGGATCTGGTAAGCAGGATTTCTGAATGCTGCCTAGGATGTTTAACCTCAAAGACACAGTGTGATCTTCCTATTCATTAAAATCCTAGTGCCCCCACCCCTTGGGTCTCTGTAAGTTCTTGACTAGGCAGGAATGACTGGTCTATGTTTGACACTTGTCACATGAAGTGGAGGATTTGAAAATGTAATCAAATACTCTCAATACATCTTTGGAATAACTGTCATTATGCAGCCCTGAATACTAGTTCCCAAGAGTCACTTTCTTTCTTGGGAAAAAAGTGATACTTTTTCTATGTCTGTCTCTGTCTCATTTCTCTGTTTCTAAACACACACACACATACACACAGACACACATTCTTATTTAGACCCCGATCTTGAGACACTGCATGTAAGACCCCATCTAAATGAATCCCTGCTTATATTTGAGGATGGAAGCCAAGCAAACCTGCGTTAGAAGTGCAACTGGCCAATGGGTTGTCTTTGGCTGCTGCCTAGACAGAGCTGATTTATCAAGACAGGGGACTTACAATAGAGAAAGAGTTTAATTCATGCAGAGCCAGCTGTAAGGGAGACTGGGGTTTTATTATTATTGAAACCTGGATTTGTATTATTACTCAAATCAGTCTACCTGAAAACTCAGGGATTGTGGGTATTTAAGGGTAATTCAATGGGTAGCAGGTAGGAAAGTGAGGAATGTTGATTGGTCAGGTCTGAGATGAAATCACAAGGAGGCAAAGCTCTCTGCTTGAACTGAATCAGTTCCTGGGTGGGGACCACAAGACCAGATGAGTCAGTTTATCAATCTGGCTGGTGCCAGCTGATCCGTTGAGTGCTGGGTCTGCAAAATATCTCAAGGGCTGATCTTAGGTTTTACAATAGTGACATGTTATCCCTAAGAGCAATTTGGGGAGGTTCAGAAACTTGCAGCCTCCAGGTGCATGACTCCTACACCATAATTTTGAATCTTGTGGCTAATTTGTCAGTCCTGCAAAGGCAGTCTAGTCCTCAGGAAGGAAGGGGGTTCGTTTTGGGAAAGAGCTGTTATCATCTTTGTTTCAAAGTTAAACTATAAATTAAGTTCCTCCTAAAGTTAGCTCGGCCTCCACTGAGGAATGAACAAGGGCAGCATAGAGGTTAGAAGCAAGTTGGAGTCAGTTAGGTCAGATCTCTTTCACTGTTGTTATAATTTTCTCAGTGATAATTTTTGCAAAGGCGGTTTCGGAAGTCAGCCTCTGGTGTTAGTTACCTTGTTCCAACGTGAGCGATTCTTTTTGTTGTTTTGTTTTGGGGGTACATGTGCTGGTTTGTTACAGGGGTAAATTCCACATTGCTGAGGTTTGGTGTATAAATGATCACCGTCACCCAGGTAGTGAGCATAGTACCCAACTGGTAGTTTTCCAATGCTTTAAAAGGCCCCAGCTCTAAGTCCCTCTGCTTCTGGATCTCAAACCCTACTTTAGTTGGGATCCCAAGGAAATCAGACAGAAGACCTTAAAACAGCCTAAATGACTCTCAGAGAATCCTAAAGTCTTGATTCAAGTACATTCTGTGAAGACTTTTACGACCCAAATTTTATCATTAGAGGTTGAATAGCTCATATCTGAAATGCTTTGGGACCAAAAGTGTTTTGGATTTGAATTGCTTTTGAATATTGGAATATTTACAAATACACAATAAGATATCTTGTGAATGGGACCCAAATCTAAACACGAAATTCATTTATGTTTCATATATACTTTATACACGTAGCCTGAATATAATTTCATATAATATTTTAAATAACTTTGGGCATGAAAGAAAATTTGTGTTAGATAATTATGTATGGATTTTTTTTCACTTGAGACATGTTGGAACTCAAAAGTTCTGGATTTTGGAGGATTTCAGATTTTGGATTTTTAGACTACAGCTACTCAACTTGTAACTACCAGTTAAAAGTCTTCAGTTAAAAGTCTGCAGTTAAAACCCTTGAAAGCTACCTTGTACACAGATAGGTAAACTAAAGAATAGTTTAAATAATAATAAACTATATAGATAGTTTAAATTTTTCTACCAGTAATTAAATATTTTAACTCTAGACTTGAGACATTAAAGAGTTAAATATATGATCACACTATAAATATTCAAATTCAACTCACTGATGTGTGGGGAAAAGGCATTTATATTAAGAATAATTTCTGTAAAGTTTTTAGTACCTCTGGGTAGCATGCTAGAGTTTATCCCCCAGAACCTTATTATAGCTATTTTAAACCTACTACTTTGGCAATTATTTTAAGAGAATATGAGGAGTAAAACTCACAAAGATAGTTGTCTGTGTTAAATTCATTTGCATTTCATTTATGTTCTATTTTGTTTGTTTTTTCTTTTGAACTATGTTATTTTCAAACTGATGTGTACAATTAACTCCATTGTCCAGATTCCTTTGAATAAGACCAGCCAATTTGCATTATTATGCTATGCAAAAGTGTTTGTCACTGGCATGGAGTATCTTGTTCTACTCTGTGACAACATAGCAAACATGTCTTTCTCTCAGTCAGTGGTAGTGCTTTAAAACACCCAAGCTGAGGCTGCCCATGGGTCTGACATACTTCTGAAAGAGCAGAAGCCAGCTCTGCTAAAATTGGTAAAACAAAAAATGTCCCCAAAGACCCAATCAGCTCAGTTCTTCTCTTCAACTCCAAAGAGTGAAACGGAACACACTCCGAAACCAGGGAGGCGAGAAAGCACTTCTTCCGTGGCTCTCCCAGTGGGGAACCCTTGCGTTCTGCCATCAAAACCCACAAAGGGAAGGCACAGGCTGGAGAGTAGGCAACATTTTTACTCTCATTAGACTTGTGCTTAGAAAATAAAGGGCTCCAGACCTTAGCACAAGAAGAAAAACTGCACAGTCAAGAGTACAGACTTGAAAAGCAGAATCGTTGGGTTCAAACTGTAGTTCTGGTATCATGAATGAGTTCCTCAATCTCTCTGTCTCTCAGCTTCCCATCTGTAAAATGAGGATAATTATAGGATCTACTGTCCAGGGTTGCTATGAGGATCAAATGTGTTAAGGTGGATAAAGCACATAGACTAGGGTCAGGCATGGAGAAAACACTGCTCAGTTTTTTGTAAAAAATGTAAAGTGACATAGATATAGAATACTCACTAACATCTTTCCAGATAATTTGAAACTTTGCCCAATGTTTGATGTTGGTAAAAATTCAGATTGTATAATAATGAATGGGTGTGTTCAATCCCCATCTCAATTTTGTAACTCTATAATATATTTTAGTAACATCCTTTATCTAACTTCTAATTCAGCTAAAATTGAACTGAAACACACTAACAGAATATTCTCGTAGGGTATTATAGAATACTAGAATATTTTTGGCTTACTCTCTCATTGAAGTTTGATAAAAGATTTCTTGGTAGTCACCAACTAGAAATAGACCATGCTCTACGTTACGCGGAGTTAATGCAAAGCATTAAAAAGAAACGCGATACCAACAATAAGTGAGAATGTTCCCATTTCCTTTTATATTAAAAAAACTTTCCCAGTACCCTTCCCAAGTTACCTTGACAACTGCTACATATTATTATTTAGAATGCCTGGTTCTGAATCTCTCAATTATGTAATTCACCACGTAACTTCAAACACATGCTGGCACAAATAAAAGGAAACTCAGGTTCACCTTATATCATCTGAATACAAGATAGTTTCTGATTGCTTTACTTTTGCAGTTAGATTTTATTGTGGCTACCAGCTGGAAATATCCCATGCTTTGCTTTAATCTATAGGGTCAATATAAGCATAAAGGATACCAGAAATATTTCCTCAAAGCTATATATCCTAGCAACCAAGTCTGAATTTTACCATAGCATCTTCAGTAATTAGAAGTCAAGGGAGTGACAGTCACTTAACTTCTGAATCTGAAATTGGCCACAGTGGAGAGGGCAGTAATAATCATGGTCACTGGGTACTGAGAAAGGTTATAACCAGTATTCACAATCAAAAATGTTCCTGGAGGAAAGAAAGAAACTTTATTGGAATATAAATATAACATAACTTTTGTTCTAGAAATGTCATCTATTACATTATCAGTTATGACAAAACAAAACATACAAAAAATTTCCCCTATGGTCAGCAGTGTGTGAAGCTTTAACATACCTTTCTTAAATTGAGAGATCATAGACAGCCTCCTCCCCCAACCACTGCTTAAAGTATCCAAATATGCTTATGGTTTATTGATTCTATTTTAAATGAGTTTGATGAATAATAATTTAAAATGTGTGTATTAAAATGCTTATTACATTTTGTAGTTTAAAAGCCCACTCCTTTTTGCAGGATTCTATGTTATCAAGTTTAAAATTATTTCTTTTTTTACTATCTATAGAAATAAGAATGATTGATTCATTAAATTATGATGGTAATAACGGTCTAATAATAACAGCACTGGCTACTACCGGGTTCTCATTGTATATTAAGTATAGTAGTAAGTTGTTTACTCATTAACCAATTTGATTCCCAGATCAATCCTATAAGGAGGTACTACTATTACAGTTTTATAGATGTAAAACTGAGACTTACAGAAGTTAGATGACTTGAAGTTGACATATCTGATAATGCTAGAACCAGAATTTTACTGGCTCCAAAGACTCTTCATATATATATATATTATATATATGAATATATATATTATATATATGAATATATATATTATATATATTATATATGAATTATATATAATATATATGAACATATATATTATATAATATATGAATTATATATAATATATAATATATGAATTATATATAATATATATAATATATATTATATATATTATATATGAATTATATATTATATATGAATATATATATTATAGATTATATATGAATTATATATAAATTATATATTATATATGAATTATATAATATATATTATATATGAATTATATATATTATATATGAATATATATATTATATCTATGTATATATATTATATCTATGTGTGTGTGTGTGTGTATATATATATATATGCCTGCTTAGGAGGTATTAAATTCATACCCGTTTTCTTTAATAAAAATTTAATTATACTCAGACTACATTTTAGCTATATTGGTACTTTGTAAGGTAAACCTTTAGGTATATTGGTACTTTGTAAGGTAAACCTGAGAAACAGCAAGAAAATCGATTCTGGATAGAAAAAGTTTATTCATCTCTTATGGTTCATTCTCCAAGTGCAGTTTAAAATGCCTGCATAACTAGCTAAATTCAACAAGCCTTGGAACTTGAAATCAATTGCTAATCATACCTTATCTCTTCCAAATTTTGAATCAATTGATAAATACGCATGGAATTTGATAGGGATCAATAGACTAGACATACTTCAGAACTTACTTGAAACCAAGACCAGATACTAGTTTTGTGCTCTTTCTCCTTGAGTTGAACTTACTCACTTGGTCACAGACCCGCAGGGCAGGACAAGCCTCTTAGGCAGAGAACACACTGACTAGGTGACAGCTTGCCGAGTCAGGGCTTTATTACCAATGAGCCTGGCCTGCACCACAATTCTTCATTCCCACCAACCAGATGAATCTTTCTTCCCTCCTCGTAGAGCAGGGAGTGACACAGGAAAAGATAAAAGCTGAAGTTACTTCAAAAAATCCCAGCCAGGTGTGGAGGCTCATGCCTGTAATCCCAGCACTTTGTGAGGCTGAGGCAGGCAGATCACCTGAGGTCAGAAATTCGAGACTGGCCTGGCCAACAAGGTGACACCCCATCTCTACTAAAAATACAAAAATTATCTGGGCGTGGTGGCAGGTCCCTGTAATCTCAGCTACTCAGGAGGCTGAGGCATGAGAATTGCTTGTACCCAGGAGGTGGAGGTTGCAATGACCTGAGATCGCACCACTGCACTCCAGCCCTGGTGACAGAGCAGACTCCCAAAGTTCCTCTTTAGAGAAAAGCAGTATCCTTGGGAAAGGGAAAGACATCTTCCCCAACAGAAAACAAATTTAAAAGTTTTATTCTTACTAAATTCAGAAGTTTGCAATTGTTTATTTCAGTGTGAAACCATTTGTGTAGTGATTAATTGTAAAAATTCTGAAATCAGAGAATAAGGGCTTAAACGCTGTCAATCTACTTCCTAGCTTAAGTCAGCAATTATCTTGCAGTCTCCATCTCTTCATCTCTACTTCTCAGAGTTGCTGTTGGTCTGATGACTGATCATACCTTGAATATAGTATTTATGCACAATCAACATTCAATACACAATGCCCTTATTAATAATAAATAAAAGATTATCTTGGAAGCACAAGAGTCTTGCTGAATCAACTTCAACTAACATATTTTGATTCCTACTCTGCAAAAAACTTAGTATTATATTATTTGATCTTCCTTAAATCCCATGTGCTAGGTTTTGATATCTCTAATCTCAGTAGATGAACTGGAAGCTCAGAGAGAATAAATACCTCATTTAGTCCACTCGGCTAATAAGCAAAGTTGGGATTCAAACTCACGTCCTCTAAATCAGTCTAGTTGGCACTACCTGATCCCATTCAACTTATTGTTTCAACTTCTCAGTTCCTGAGTCGGCCTTGTAAAAGAAATATGAAATTATAAATAAACATTTATAAAAATCTTTGTGATTTAGGAGCATATTTCCCTAATAAGAAGCACAGTCTCAAAATATTGTTTGCAGCCACATACATCTATGATCCTGTCCCAGTGATTTTATTGTTCCCAGAGATATAAAGATAACTAAGTTAAGTTTTTATCCTTGAGGACCTTTCAATTTAGTAGGTTAAGTGCACAGTAATAAACATTCTAACCTTGCCACGAGATCCATAATAAATGCCACTTTTCTCGCCAAGATTTTCCTAATTCTGCAAAATGAATATATTCAAGAAAAATCTTTAAATTTTTTTCCAAATTTTAATTATATACAAGTATATGAGTAATCTTTCCTCATATATTTTAAATTTTAGGGTCAAGAAACTGGTGTCATGGGGATGGTTAACGGGGTACAAAAATATAGTTAGATTCAGTGAATAAAATCTAGTCTTTGATAGCACAATAAAGAGACTACAGTCAGCAATAATTTATTGTACGTTTTAGAATAAATGAGGGAGTATAATTGAAATGTTCATAACACACAAAAAGGATGAATGCTTGAGGTGATGGATACCCCATTTACCCTGATGTAATTGCTACACATGCATGCCTGTATCAAAATATCTCATGTACCCCATAAGTGCATAAGCCTACTATGTACCCATAAAAATTAAAAAGAAAAAAAAGAAGCTGGTGTCATCTCTAGCTTTGCTGAAGAACCACCTCGTGGAATGCTTTCCCATAATATGATTCCAAAATACTTGTTGAATTGAATTCACTATAAAAGACTTCATAAGATAATTTTAGAAACAAGAAAACAACTACAGAAAAATAAAACAGTAAATCAGCTAAAATCTGGGCTAATATACTTTAAATTAACTTATCAAACTAGGAAGGAAGTGACTACAACAAATAAAATGATTCATCTAAGATAAAATATTCAACAAATAAAAATTATTGCAGTTTGGGGAATTAACTATGACTTTCTTTTCTTCTAAGGTCTTAGTCTGAAGCCATCTCAATTTTGTATTTGGTGCAGGAAATGCATTTATCATGGAACTGTTGATAGGTTTAACTTTGGGGAATGGTATGGTGATCTCAGTCATTCCCATTGGGAATGAGATTGCTTCATGAAAGCTAAAGTGAAAATGGGATGATGCTGGACTGTGGAGGAGAGAAGCCAATACAGAAAGTCCCGAGCATCATCCTCCAGGTTCTATGAGGCACAGCTGCTTTCATAAGGCCAGGGGGAAGCTCCTAGACTTGATGGGGAATTCAGGTGGAAGCAGCAACTCTTGGGATCATGGATGAGTTTTGAAATGGGAAATTTTATTTATGTTCTAATGATTCATGCTTCCTGAGTGGTGATAATATATATATTGCAGCACTCATTCTCATCATAGCTATCAGTGGGATGCTCACATATGGGTTACTTTCGTAATAGATCATTATGTGTACCTCTTTACTACAGAAGAATCATGAGACATCTCAAAAACTCATTTAAAGATGATATATGGGAGTTTTCTTCAATTGGGTGAGTAATTATCTTCCAAGTATAATATCTTTGTTGCCATAGTTACTAGGTCGCTGTACGTAAGCACTAATAAATGTTTTTTTCAGGATATACTATTAATTGATTTATTCATTTGTGGTAATTCACACAATTACCATAACACCAGCTGAAATTTAATGATTACTTTTTAAATAAAGTTGCATCACAATTGGTTTAAAGAATACATGTACAATAACAACATAAAATCTGACTTAAAAAATCTTTTGTGGGAAAACATATATAACATAAAATATGCCATTTTCACTATTTTTAAAGGTAACATTCAATGACATTAATTGCATTCATGGTACTGTGCAGCCATCACCTCTATCAGTCAAACTTTTCCATCACTCCAGAGATTCTGTAATGATTAAGAAATAATTCCCTATTCCCCCCTCCCTCCAGGTTCTGGTTACCTCTAATCTGCTTCCTGTCCCTATGAATTTACCTATTCTATATATTTCATGTACGTGGAATCATATTACATTTGTGGTTTTGTGTCTAGCTTATTTCGCTTACCATGTTTCCAGGGTTCTTCCACGTTGTAGCATATGTCAGTACTTCATTCTGACATTATTTGTATAATATTGTCAATTACAAGTACTTCATGGTATAATTTCATTTGTCTGTGAAAACAACAATAGGGATGAGTATTACAATAAGCCTATTTTGAGGACTAAGAAAGTGAGGGTCAGACAAAGTAAATGGTCAGAGGGGTTAAGTTACTTACTGTGAGGCATGGGTGCATGAGCTCAGATCTTCAGACTCCAAATCCAGTGCCCTTTCCACTCTGCCATTGTCATTCGCTTCTTTCTTAGATACTCTGTACACTTATTTCCTTTTTGTCACTTATTTTCTTTTTGTACACTGACATCATGTGTATGTGTTTCCTCCTATGTTTTTAGTCTACTTCTAATTCATTACTGCCAAGTGACTGGTGGTTATAATCCCAACATGCCACCCATTTTTAAAAGAGAAATGGTTAGCTAAGAAAGAGACTGGTATGGCCGGGTGCGGTGGCTCACGCCTGTGATGCCAGCACTTTGAGAGACCGAGGCGGGCAGATCACAAAGTCAGGAGATTGAGACCATCCTGGCCAACATGGTGAAACCCCGTCTCTACTAAAAATACAAAAATTAGCCGGGCATGGTGATGCATGCCGGTAATCCCAGCTACTTGGGAGGCTGAGGCAGGAGTATCCCTTGAACCAGGGAGTTGGAGGTTGCAGTGAGCTGAGATCGCACCACAGCACTCTAACCTGGCCACAGAGGAAGACTCTGTTGCCAACAAACAAACAAACAAACAAACAAATAGCTTGCTATATGTTTTGCTCAGTTATCTTTAGAAAATGTGATACACATTGCCTGTACAAACACTTTGAGGTAAACAGTCATCTCAACTGGTACCAGAATATAATTTTTAAAACATATTTTTAAAGGACATGATGAACACTTAACACATGCTGTATGATTCTATAGAATGCTGTAGAGCCCCACAGCTGTATGGTAGAATACACTTTGAGTAAAGTGGGATATTAAACTTGCAGGAGGAAAAATCCAAAAGGTGTATTAATATTATTATGTCATAATATATAGGAAAATGAATGCAATATGCACAGATGCATAGAATGGGTCATTTGCTTTGAAGTTCTTAGTGAAGGGTAACACTAGTTGTTTTTGGAAATCTCATATTTCTGACTTAAAAATGATATTTAGCTAGCACCCTATTGAAATATTTCCAAATTTTCCGATAACGTAATTGTTATGATTCAGAAAAGTGCCAAATGTAACAAAAGTAAAACAAATATAAAACTAAGACTCGCAGCAAATCTATTGTTTAGATTTCTTGGAGGAATTATCATGAATTATATGGTCAATGGGATGGATTTGAAAATGTAATTGATGAACTCCTTTGAACTAGGCTCAATGAAAAATAGAGAATTATGTTGCATCCTATCTAATTGCCCCCGCCTGTCTGGCTTATTTCACTTACATAGTGTTTTCTAAACTAACACTTCCCTTTCTACTTTTGACTGAGGGTTTCAACTCCTTAAAAACAACTAGGCATAAACTGTGGATGTCTATCTGTTGTGTGGTGCTGTTGTGAGGTGGATAGGTGAAAAGGAAAAGTCAAGAGAAAGGAATGGGAGCATTAATCTGTGATTCCAGTTTTTATAAACTTCACTTGTTCAGAGAGTTAAAGAAGGAGTAGAGGCTCTAAACTTCTCTACATAAAGCCTGCTAAACATCAACAATTAGACATATTAACCTCTTAACAGGATTTAAGAAGGCATGATCTCCCAATGAAAAACGCACAGAAATCAACAAAGGAAAAATATGAAAATGAGGAGATTACAAGCCAAGAAGGAAAGAGATATAGTAAGATAGTGAAGTTTTGCAAGACTTTATAATGTGGTAATACTATTCACCTCCTAATTGGTGCAGTAAAGAGCATAATTGACAATGGAGAAAATGAATCAATGATGCAGAGAAGAGGTGAGAATTTCTCTCAAAGTGCAGAGGAGAGACTAAAGTGGTAAGAATAGTGAGTGAGAACAGGACCAATATGGCAAGCAAATATGGAGATTGAGATTCAATTTAAAGATTAAGTATCCCTGAGGAAGAAAGTTGAACAATCAGAATAGAAACACAAAGAAAAGTCATGACTGAATAAAACGTCCAGGAACTGGAATAATTCTTAATTACAGAGTGACAAATCTTACTTTATTTGGAGTGAAATCAAAGTAAACAAACTGATATGGGAGTACTGGGAAGGGAAGAGCATCCCCTTTAAATGATATGGAAGTGGGGAAGGAAGTGCTGGGTAAGTGGTGGCATAGTTCCTGGCTAGAGCTCCAATCCGCGGACCTAGGACAGGCACTCCTGCATCCTCGCCCAAATGTTGCATTTCCCAAGACCACCCTGGCCAGCCATGCCCCCATCCTATGTCTATAAAAACCCGATACCCTAGCAAGGCAGACTCAAAGGCAGCCAGATGTCAGAGGAGCACATCAGCAGAAGAAAACACAAGTGGCCGGTAGAAGAACACGCCGACAGACGAACACACTGACAGACACTGGCACACTGGCACACTGGCAGGCCATTGACCAGCGGGATGAGGCGCAGTTTGGCTGGGGCAGTCAGAGGAGAGCTGGGGCTGTTGAGTGGCCCAACTCCAGGGGAAAACCATCTCCCTTTTGGGTCCCCCATCTGGGGAGAGCTACTTCTACTCAATAAAACTTTGCACTCATTCTCCAAGCCACGTGCGATCTGATTCTTCTGGTACACCAAGACAAGAAACCCTGGGTCACAGAAAGCGACAAGGTCGAAGGTCTAATTGAGCTGGTTAGCACAAGCCGCCTA
The DNA here is from genome assembly GCF_000001405.40 of Homo sapiens. NCBI lineage: Eukaryota > Metazoa > Chordata > Mammalia > Primates > Hominidae > Homo > Homo sapiens. Next base: position 116,198,319 of record NC_000008.11, on the reverse strand, counting down.
TAGACGGCTACTAAAAGAGTACCCTGTATCACGCAACCACTGGGCCTTCAGCTGTAAACATTCACCCCTAGACACTGCCGTGGGGTCAGAGCCCCACAGCCTGCCCGTCTGTATGCTCCCCTAGACGTTTGAGCATGGGGCACTGAAGCAGTGAGCCACACCCCCATCGCACACCCTGCAAGGGGGACAAGGGAACCTTTCTCGTTTCAATAGCACATCAAAAGAAAATCAGATAAAATCTTTAAAAAAAATCTTTATAAAGGAAGATTTCTATAATACCATAAGTAGAATAATATATATAAATGGAAAAAATTCAGACTGATTTCATACATTTCTCCCGTAACCACAACAGCTATGAAAACACAAAGACATGACTATATAAACTTAAAGGAAAATAATTAAAACAGGATGTTTTCAGCTATATAAGGTAGAGGTACTCTAAAATGTCATTTTGAGATTGTAGTTCAGATGACTGAGAAAAAATATAAAATTAAGAAATAAAGAAAGAGGAAATCAAAATATAATGGAACAAGTGGGCATACAATTAGTTAAAATATGGATATCTGAACAATTTTTGTACACTTAACTCCATAAGGAAATAAAATAATTATTATTGAAAAAAAGCTTGGTAATATAAATATTAATGTAAAGAAAATTGGGGTCCAAAATTCTAAGTTATGTAATGCAGTCAAGAGATGGGATGGGAGATTTGATGGGCAGTAGAAGAAATGTGTGGAGGAGATATTCAGATGTACTGTTTATGTCTGATTTTGCTCATTTAGGAAATACATGTTAAAAAATGTTTCCAGAAATTCCAAAAGCAATTATAAGTAGGATTATAAAAGAAACCTGTATCTTCCACTCACTAGAAAATATTTGAGCAAATACAAGATGATCACGATTTGTATTAAGAAGTAGATTCACAGGGAGAAAGAACATCATCAAATATTAATAGTTGACTCTGGATTGTGAGCTTATAATCTTCACTTTTTTTTCCTCTCAACTTCTCAGTATTTTCTAAATTTTACTTAAGAGCATTCATTACACGTATAATCAGTCAAGTCAATACACATTACTTAAAATATTTCTAGAGGGGAACTTCAGAGAGAAAGAGAGAGCATCCTAGGCAGAGGGCCTGAGTTAAGAAGAGCGTGGCCTGCTCGAGGGCCCGCATGAGGCTGCTAAGTCTGGAGTGAATAAAACTGGGAGAGGCTGGCTCCAGAAGAGGCCATGGAGCAGCAGCTACGTCACATTAGACCTGGCAGGCCACATTGAAGATTTGGGTTTTGACATTAAAAAGAAAAGGGCTATTGAAAATGCATGATGAGATTTGTGTTTTAAAAGATCATTTTATCAGTGTTCGCCCTTCATTCAGAAATACCAAGAATTCTGGGAATCCCTCCCTCAACCTTGTAGATGTGATATGTCTTTAAAAAGCAGCTAGCAGAGCATTATAAAGATGGAGACTGTGACCCTCCGAAAACAAATGGGTCTCTGTGAATGTGTGTGTGTGTGTGTGTGTGTGTGTGTGTGTGCTTCACCACGTGGTGAGCATGAAGGAGGGCAGGTGGTATCAAACTTGCGAAAGATGAAACTTTAAACATGTTTGTAAAATATTAGGTAGCAAAATTTTCTCTTTTTCTGCAGAATTCTTACTCTCCCTAACCACAAATTCCTATGTCATTATTTCCTCTCCCTACCTGTATCATTTAACAAAAATGACTATTTGCATTAGAGTTATATTTATATGACTGAATCCCTTGGACTAGTTTCTTTATTTCATTAATGACAAAATTTTAAGGCATTTTGCATTTTCACAGCCACACATAGTGGAGTGACTTAGATAAGCAAACTAAAATGAAACAGAAAAGCACAGCTCTTCACTCTTCTAGGTATCTTGTTTTTGCTCTGGCATGTTTGGGGTCCTGGAGTATTACACTCAGGGGTGAAGAATTTACAAGATCAAAGCGGATTATTTTGCATGTCTTATGCTCTTGCATTTCTTTTTCTCTTCTTCTATTACAAAAAATGGTTTGTAGGTAAATATCGTCTCCGTGGCTAAATAATAGCAAATTGCCATCACAGCCCATTGCTAACACTGCCAACATAGCCCCAGGGTTTCAAGACAAAATCAGTTATCTCTAAATCAACAAAACTTAGCTCCAGAGGAGGGTGATCTGGGAAGCTTTTCTTTTCAGTTCTCTCATATGTTTTGTTTTAGTTTAATGTGTTTGTCTGGATAGTTAGACACCATGGTGACAGGGAGTCATAGGAATAAATAGAAATAGACGTTGAAAATAACTAAAAAATACAATTAAAATATGGGAAGACTATGAATGACACTAGTATCGGAGGACTCTCTTTTTTTTCCCCAGGATTCAGTGAGGGAGAAATTAAAAAGGGACTCTGTGGCTGAGGTGGGAGGATCACGAGGTCAGGAGATCGAGGCCATCCTGGCCAACATGGTGAAACCTCGTCTCTACTAAAAATACAAAAATTAGCTGGGCGTGGTGGTGTGTACCTGTAATCCCAGCTACTCGGGAGGCTGAGGCAGGAGAATTGCTTGAACCAGGGAGTCGGGGGTTGCAGTGAACCAAGATTGCACCACAGCACTCCAGCCTGGTGACAGAGCGAGACTCCGTCTCAAAAAAAGAAAAAAAAGAAAGAAAGAAAAAAAGAAAAGGAACTTTGTGTGGGATAGACAATTTGGTGAATAATTCTTCTAACAGTGTTATCTTGTTGACACTAGACTAAGAGAGCTCATTAGCATGCTGAGACTATTTAATGCTAAAAAAATAGTGCTTTTAGCTTTTGCTTTGCTGGAAATTCCTTACATGGCAGCTTAGCCCAGCATTAAAATAGTGGGAAGCCAGTTAAAATTGGGTAGTGTAATATGGTGGAAAGAGAAGAATCTTTGAAGACTAGAGTTTGAATTTCATCATCATCTTTTGTTGCTTATGTTGTTAATCGTCTGTGAGGCTTAATTTCCTCATTTCTAACGTGTTCCTAGTAACGCCTGCCTCAAACATTTGTGGTGGATCAAAACACCAAACTTAAAGCTTCTACCATGGTACTGGGCACAAAGAAGCTGCTTAATAAATGTTCACTCCATTTCCCACTTCTTCATCCTTATGAATCATTTGGGTTTTGTAAATTTATCTGTTTACTTTCATTTAATGTTTTCTGTAAATATAATTATAGATACACATTGAGGTGAAAAAATACAAAATAAAAGGTCCAGTGTACGCTTCACCCAATTTCCACTTGGTTTTATTTAGTAAAATGAGTGCCCAAGAAGAAGAAATGACAGTCAGCCTACTTTGTTTCGGCTGCATGATGGTTGTCCTACAGATGTCAGAATTACTGTTGGCTGTCTCTCTGTCCCCTGCCTCTCCAAGGCCAGTCTCCATGCTAGAAAGTCCAGGGCATGAATATTCCCATCTCTCATAAATGCAGTCCGGCTGTGTCCATGTGAAAACACATGATTAAAACTGATACAATTCAGATCATTTAGCTTTAGGAAGGGAAGCATGCAAGAGCTCAGAAATAAAAGAACCACGTGATGCTGTCCAGTAAAACAAAAACAAATAGAAATGCAGAGAGACGATCCAGCCAAAGGTTTCAACCTTTGAAGAGGGGTTGGACATGTGTTTCACCTTCCTGTTAGATATGAGTCCTGAAGTGGAATGCATTACCTGTTTTTGTGGTTGTAGAAAAAAATCAATAAAATTTTTCTCATTATTCTAGCTCTGAGTTGCAATGAATCCTGATGGAGTGGTGAGGAATAAACTTACTTTTTCCTTGTTATTAGCCTACTGATGCTCTCGCTGGCCATCATGAGGGAAGGGGGCTGGGAGGAGTTTATAATGAAGGCTTAGAAAGCCACGGCATACAATGCTGTCTCTCTCCCTGGCTGCTGTAGCAGACAGAAGTCTTTCATTTTATGTGAGTCGCTTCTGACTAATGTGATTTATCCAACAACATGAAGAGTATTTCTTTCTGACATTATCATAAATAATTTAAATTAATAACACTGTACAGATCTTGGGAAAATATGGCAAACAGAAATTAGGAGTAGCCATTTTCTGAACTCTCCTGTAAATGCCAAGCTATTCTCAAGATGCTAAAACCAATTCAGAATCCAGTGCTGCATGCAGGTAGTTTTCATTGTTCTATCCTTCATACTTCTTGCATTTTTTGAGCATTGTATATCACTGCATTTTCTGATATTTTTGCTGAGAAAGAAAACAAATTTAGATGTTCTGTTTTAACTTTGCACATAAACCCAAATCCTCAAATATCATGTCGTCTTATTCTTAATCAAAATAAAGCTTTAGGAGTAATTTGTGGGAACAACATGCAAGCTAATGGAATGTTAGAAAAGTTTGTTCTGTAAGCTTGGGTTGATGCCGTTAGCCTCAGGGTAGAAGGAGCCTATTCTGGAATAAAAAGGCATGCAGCCATACAGATTCCTGGTACTGATGTCCAAAACCAAACTGAATGCATAATGACAACAGTTTGCTTCTTTGGATGAGCTAAAGTGGCTTTCTAAACATTGGGCAAATTTCCTTGGTTGAGTAGGAAGAATTCAACTTGGGAGAACTCCACCAATCAATTGGTCAACCTGTGTGTGTTGAGAGCCTACAATGCATTTTTTTATGCTTTTCTCAGGGGTGTTGGAGGTTCTCGAAGGAGAATATCATGATGCTACTCAAAATAATTTACAAACTATTTAGTAAAACTGAGCAAACATCCATGAAAAGTTAGAGAATAATGAAATGCTGATGTATGCTACTGACTTTTAAGTGTAATAGGAATTCTTAGAAAGGTAGGGTCAATGTATGTAGAAAGAGCTGGGAAAGGTTTCTTAGAAGAGATTTGAGCTGAGGTTTTAATAATGAGGTATAAAGGAGGAAACAAATCACAGGCCAAGTAAACAGTATGCATTGCCATTGGACCACAATGCATATGGCAGAAAGAGACAAATGAAGTGCATGGCAGGAAGGAGTCAAAATAAGGATGGAAATGTAGCGTGGAATCAGACTATTTGGATTAAATGTAGCAAGAGGGAGAAAGCGGATGAAAGATTTTGATCTGAGGAGTGGCCTGATGGAAGCTGCAGTTTACTATATATATACTAGCAATTGTGCTTAGATGCATCCCATGATGAAGTTAACTTGAGGTTGGTCTTTTAAAAACTTCTTTTTTTTTTTTTTTTTTTTTGAGATGGAGTCTCCCTCTGTCACCCAGGCTGGAGAGCAGTGGCCCAGTCTCGGCTTACTGCAACCTCCACCTCTCGGGTTCAAGCGATTCTCCTGTCTTAGCCTCCTGAGTCGCTGGGACTACAGGCACCTGCCACCATGACCTGGTAAGTTTAGTATTTTTAATAGAGACGGGTTTTCAATATTTTGGCCAGGCTGCTCTCGAACTGACCTCAGGTGATCCGCCCACCTCGGCCTCCCAAAGTGCTGGGATTACAGGCGCAAGCCACAGCACCCAGCCTAAAAACTTCTTTAAAAAAGTAAGGAAACTACCCTTTCTCTAAAAGTAAGTGAACTAGTGTGAAGGGGTTAAGATTTATATATTTCAACTTGATCATCAAAGCCCTAGTTACTTAAGTGTCAGAAAAACATCACAGGCATTAGTGTCAAAAGCTTTCAATAGTATGGGTTTAGTTTTGATCCCTGGATCTGCACTTCATATATGTTTGGCTTTGGCCCAGTAACATAACTTGTGTAAGCTGCAGGTTCCTCACTAGTTGTGGTAGGTAGAATTTTAAGATGACCCTCAATGATTCTCATCCTCATATCCTCATATAATTCCTTCCCATTGAGTATAAGCAGAACCTATGAATAGGATGAGGTCTCACTCTCATGATTTTGTTACATTATCTGGCAAAGGGGATTTTGCAGATGTAATTAAGGTTACCAGTCAGTGACCTCGAGTTAATCAAAAGAAAATTATGTAGATGGGCCTAACCTAATCACATAAACTTTAAAAATGTGGAGCTAGAGGTCAGAGACAGAGGAATCAAGAAGATTTAAAGTGTGAGAGAGATTCTTCTGTTGGGCTTCAACAATTTGGCTTCTGGGTTTTACAGCTTCAAAAACAAGCATAGAAGAGGACCCTGAGCCTCTGGCGAGACCACAGCTCAGGTTGACACCTTGATTGCAGCCCCATGAGACACTTAGAACTCAGTTTATACTCTGCCCAGCATTCTAACCTACAGAATAGATGTTGTTTTAAGCTATTGAGTTTGTTGCAATTTGTTCCACATCAATGGTACACCAATGCACTGTTTTTTGTTTTGTTTTGTTTTGTTTTTCTCCCTAATTCCTAGTGTTCTTATGGCCTAATCTTTTTTTTTCAATTTTATTTTATTATTATTATACTTTAAGTTTTAGGGTACATGTGCACAATGTGCAGGTTAGTTACATATGTATACATGTGCCATGCTGGTGTGCTGCACCCATTAACTCGTCATTTAGCATTAGGTATATCTCCTAATGCTATCCCTCCCCCCTCCCCCCACCCCACAACAGTCCCCAGAGTGTGATGTTCCCCTTCCTGTGTACATGTGTTCTCATTGTTCAATTCCCACCTATGAGTGAGAACATGCGGTGTTTGGTTTTTTGTCCTTGCAATAGTTTACTGAGAATGATGATTTCCAATTTCATCCATGTCCCTACAAAGGACATGAGCTCATCATTTTTTATGGCTGCATAGTATTCCATGGTGTATATGTGCCACATTTTCTTAATCCAGTCTATCATTGTTGGACATTTGGGTTGGTTCCAAGTCTTTGCTATTGTGAATAGTGCCGCAATAAACATACGTGTGCATGTGTCTTTACAGCAGCATGATCTGTAGTCCTTTGGGTATATAACCAGTAATGGGATGGCTGGGTCAAATGGTATTTCTAGTTCTAGATCCCTGAGGAATCGCCACACTGACTTCCACAATGGTTGAACTAGTTTACATTCCCACCAACAGTGTAAAAGTGTTCCTATTTCTCCACATCCTCTCCAGCACCTGTTGTTTCCTGACTTTTTAATGATTGCCATTCTAGCTGGTGTGAGATGGTATCTCATTGTGGTTTTGATTTGCATTTCTCTGATGGCCAGTGATGGTGAGCATTTTTTCATGTGTTTTTTGGCTGCATAAATGTCTTCTTTTGAGAAGTGTCTGTTCATGTCCTTCACCCACTTTTTGATTAGGTTGTTTGTTTTTCTCTTGTAAATTTGTTTGAGTTCATTGTAGATTCTGGATATTAGCCCTTTGTCAGATGAGTAGGTTGCGAAAATTTTCTCCCATTTTGTAGGTTGCCTGTTCACTCTGATGGTAGTTTCTTTTGCTGTGCAGAAGCTCTTTAGTTTAATTAGATCCCATTTGTCAATTTTGGCTTTTGTTGCCATTGCTTTTGGTGTTTTAGACATGAAGTCCTTGCCCATGCCTATGTCCTGAATGGTAATGCCTAGGTTTTCTTCTAGGGTTTTTATGGTTTTAGGTCTAACGTTTAAGTCTTTAATCCATCTTGAATTAATTTATTGTATAAGGTGTAAGGAAGGGATCCAGTTTCAGCTTTCTACATATGGCTAGCCAGTTTTCCCAACACCATTTATTAAATAGGGAATCCTTTCCCCATTGCTTGTTTTTCTCAGGTTTGTCAAAGATCAGATAGTTGTAGATACGCGGCATTGTTTCTGAGGGCTCTGTTCGGTTCCATTGATCTATCTCTCTGTTTTGGTACCAGTATCATGCTGTTTTGGTTACTGTAGCCTTGTAGTATAGTTTGAAGTCAGGTAGCGTGATGCCTCCAGCTTTGTTCTTTTGGCTTAGGATTGACTTGGCGATGCGGGCTCTTTTTTGGTTCCATATGAAGTTTAAAGTAGTTTTTTCCAGTTCTGTGAAGAAAGTCATTGGTAGCTTGATGGGGATGGCATTGACTCTATAAATTACCTTGGGCAGTATGGCCAGTTTCACGATATTGATTCTTCCTACCCATGAGCATGGAATGTTCTTCCATTTCTTTGTATCCTCTTTTATTTCATTGAGCAGTGGTTTGTAGTTCTCCTTGAAGAGATCCTTCATGTCCCTTGTAAGTTGGATTCCTAGGTATTTTATATCAATTAGGACAAGAAGAAGTCAAATTGTCCCTGTTTGCAGATGACATGATTGTATATCTAGAAAACCCCATTGTCTCAGTCCAAAATCTCCTTAAGCTGATAAGCAACTTCAGCAAAGTCTCAGGATACAAAATCAATGTACAAAAATCACAAGCATTCTTATACACCAATAACAGACAAACAGAGAGCCAAATCATGAGTGAACTCCCATTCACAATTGCTTCAAAGAGAATAAAATGCCAATGCACTGTTAAACGCAGATGATGAAAATACTTCAGTCATCTTGAGAAAATTAAATGAAATAATAAAAATACTGAAGGCAAAATGCTTAACACTGTGACTGGTAGTAAATGTACAATAAATATTAGCTATTGTAATACTTGTTTTTATTATGTATTTAGGAATAGCAATAGGATTAGTATAAATATATTCTAAAATTTGTTCTCTTAAAAGAATGAGTCCCGGTCAGTATGTAGATGGTGATAACAGTGTTTCTGGACTCCCTGAGTACATCTGCTGGTCAGATCGATCAACCACTTTGCCTGTTCACGTTAGGAAACTGTTACATTACTCCAGTTGGCAATATGTAGCTGATTGTTGTGGGTGGAGCAATAGAGCACAATCCTGAATGCATTAAAATCACACATACATAGCGCTAATTCATTTGACATCATCAAGAATCAATCTCTAGAAGCAGGCATTAATACAAGTTGTTAACACACAGCATTAGCAGTTCTACAAGTCAAATGACATTTACAGGAATAATATTCATGAACTAAGGAGTGAAATTTAAAATATTTAGCAATTGCTATAATACAGGCACTGCAGACAGCCAGTATGGCTATCCTGCAAAACTGAATCTTAACTCTGCATTCATTGCAGAATCTTAATATGATCATTCAGCATTCAATGATAACGAGTCTCCATTTTGGGTCAGCTGTATGATGGATGACGGGTGCTCAAGACTGACTTCTTTCACCAAGGACCTCATAATCTATTAGAAGAGAGAGAAAGAAAAGGAAGTCACTGATGACAATGCAGTGATGGAAGTACTTCAAAAGAAGCACATGCTGGAAGCTTCGGGTTCTGACAGCAAAGATACAGAAAAGGGGCCCCTTAGCTGTCTCAGCTGAAATCAGCAAATAAAGTGCTGCTTGGAGCTTGAATTCATTCTGGAGACCAGCTAAGTGGGAATTACTCAGACTTTGTTGGAGGGGTGAGTATTTCAGGCAGAGGAGACAGCCTGAGTCAAGTTGGCATGAATGAGAAGGGTATATTTGCAAAACTTTGTATAGAACGGTTGGAGTGGAACAGATGTTGAGGCTAGATTATGAAGGGACACATTAAAAAGTTTGTCTTCATCTGATGGCATGAGACCATTTTAAATATGGTTCAGACCAATTAAAGTTTCTATTTTCCAAAACAAATCTAACAGTATTGTGGATAGTGCATGATAGTTTAGTGGCAGGCAAACTTGAAAGCAGGAATGCCAGTTAAAATAGCATTGTGGTAATACAGGAAGAGCAGTGATGGCTTGAATCAAGGAAATTCTGGTGGGAATGTAAAAAAGAGGATAATTTAAAGAATTACTTAGAAATAGAAGCAAATGGAGTTAGTAATTGATTAGATGTAGGGGTAGGAGGCATGCAGAAAATTAGGATGACTTTCATATTTTGGGGTTGGTTGACTGTGTAGATGATTGTGCTATTTACTGAGGTAGATAATTCAGAAAAAGAAAGATAATGAGGATAGGCATGCCATGTTTTAGATGCCGACGAGAAAGCCAGATGGAGGAGTTCATGAAACAATTTTAAAAATTGGTTTGGAATGCAAATAGAGTCAAGGGTATACATTCAGGAGTGCAACAGACATTTGGTAATGGCCTAACCAGCATCAATTCCCTCTTCTTTCTTAATAACAACACTCAGATTTTATTTCGGGTGGCCATCCTTTCCCCATCCAGTCCATGTCTTTGGAGGAAGTTGACAGTACTCCAAGGTCTAGGACTGTGACCTGATTAGCCTAAACCAATCTGGCACATTCCCCAAAGGTGGCTCTTCCTACTACGTCCCTCTTTCCTTCCTTCCTTCCTTCTTTCCTTCCTTCCTTCCTTCCTTACTTCCTTCCTCTCTCTCAGATATCTATATCTATATATATAGATAAATAGATGATATATATAAGAATATATAGGTATATACACATACATATACATGTATATGCTTTTGTGTGTGTATGTATATATGTGTGTGTGTATATATATATGTATGTATATATTCTTTTGTTCTGTCATTCCTCTTTCTTTCCATTCTTCTATTTACAATCTGTGGTGTCCTAACTAGTATAGGGTATTGTTAAATACTGTGAAGGGCCCGATATTTTATCTTACTTTAAAATTAATAAGTTAGTTTGTCACAATTTCAAGGGTCATGGATGCTGATAGAAGACATGAAACTCCTGAGTCCAAATGAAGGGTAGTTTATTACTCACACAATAGCAGTAGCCAGAGTACCATCATGGGATAACTTAAAGCATACCAGATGGCAGCTATACAGTCGGTGGGTTGCATCTCAGGAGTAGAAACCCGAGCTTAGGGAGCCTAAATCTTTATGTAGAAGGAGACACTGTATCTACGTTCCAAGGCTGGTCACTGTTAAAAGGATGGTTTTATACAAAGGGAGGTGAGTACCACTCTTCATAAGACATGAAAGAATATGAGAGGCTTATGGAGAATATCCTCCCAACAAGAACCCTCAGTGTTTAGATGATATCACTCAGGTTGAGTATATAGAGTATATACAAAGTTTCGGAATGAAAACTCCAGAGCCAGTAGCATTTTAAAGGTAGATAGAAGAAAAGAAGCCTATTGTAAACGGTGAGAGGTGGCAGCCAGAGAAGAAGGAGGAAAATCAGAAACCAGAGGAACGTTCTGTGAAGAGCTAATGACCATCAGTGTTAAACACTCCAGAAAGGACAAATGAAGCATGTCAGTGGCTTTGGCAATTAGAAAATGAGCCCAGCAAGTCAGGATGGAGTCCAGATTGCCATGAGAAGAGATGCTTCTTCCAAGCAGGTTGGCCCAGAGAGTGGGAGACACTATAACAGGCACATTAGAGGAAAGATGACGAAGTAGAGGCGAGTTTCTTTTTCAGGGGTTTCCTTTCTCTTTGTGAAAGAAAACACATCATGGCACTATGTAGACAGGTTGAAAAGTGCAATCTATGTGGATGCATACACAACACTCAGTCAAGGTAAGCGTATGATTCATACTCCTCAGCATTCAGGTACAGGAGGACATCGTGAGGCAGAATGCCCAAACCGTTCTTTAGCATTTGGGTACAGTGCAGGTTGTGGAAAACGCATGGTCTGTGGAGTTAAGCTGACTTGTATTCAAACACAGACTCTGTAATTTACTTGCTCTGGGATCCTTAGCCTGAACCTAGATTTCTTCATCTTTAAAATAGAGCTAATTTGAAACGAATTTGGGGGTTGTTAAGATCGTATAAAGCACCTAGCAGAGGGCCTGCCACGTTAGCGGTAATTATTTTTAAAAAGTGGAACCTTTTAAACCACTTTGAGGGCAAGAACTAAGACCTCAATGGAATTATTATATTAGCCGCTGCAGAGGCCGTAGTGACAGTTTGGGACTTGAGATTTAACTCATGTACTGCCATTTCCCCCAGACAGTATATAAGGGAAGGAAAAAATATCCTCAACATTGGTCTCATATATATCATTGCCACTCCCAGGCATACTAATCAGTTATTTTAGCTTTGTTTTTTTCACTATAACTATTATTTCATGTTTTAAATTCATTAGCCAAACTGTGTATTCTTTATTCACCTTAGATAAATCATCCTTTGCTCAGAGAAGACATTTGCGGCTATAGTACCGGAAGTATAATAGTAATGTGCGGCATGCTAGTTTTATATATTCCCCAAATGCTTTATTTTTTTTTAATTTTAGAGAGGCTGGTGGGAGGATTAGGAGGCAAACTGACAGTTTAGAGGCCTATGTAGGCACTGAATTCATTTTTTACTGTTTAACATATAAAAGTGATTATATTAAATTGAAACTAAATGCATTGTTATGGGACATTTACGACATCTCATTTAAAGAATTGCGGCGAATCCTTCAGAGAACACTGATTTGCAACCACCAGCTTTTGTCATGAATGCAACCTTCAGCATGGTACTTGCTTAGCAACTAATTAAGGCAAAAAGATAAATAGGAGGCTTTTACATTTTTAATTTAAAAGCTTCCAAATATAATTGTTGTTATTGCACTACCAAAGTATGGTGCAGCAGTCTGCATTTGAAACCTCTGAATCTCATTGTCATAATTAATTTTGTAAATAAAAAGGCCTATGCTGGGAGTAGGAGACACATTATTTGTTGTTTTTTCTTAACATAAGTATGGTGCTGGTTGTCTTTGCAATTAAATCATATTTTGGTGTGATTTTTCTCTAAAATGAATGATTAGTTATGTCAATAATTTTGTCCAAATATGATTTAGACTTTTAAAAGTTCAATTTTTAACAATCTTGCCAGCTATAATTTAAAATCTCTTTGTATTTCTGCCTTACAATTTTTAAGGAAGATAGAATCAGAATTTGGGTAGTCTTGAATTGTACTGAGTTAATTGTGGGTGTTCTTTTACTCATCAACGTAGATGCAGCATTTTCCTTCCCTCTACTATTTTTAAGAGAGGAAGCATGATTTGGTTATTAATAGTCATAATATCTTCAAAGCCTGGCTGCTTCCTCAGAATATATGTGACCTTGAGTCTATCCCTGAGACTCTGAGTTATGAGAGGTAGACATGGTTCTACATCTACCTAAAAGAAATGCTACGAGTAATACGCAGAGAGAAGAAGCAGGATGAACACCCAACTCAACACTTCCATCTTACAGTAGAGCGAACTGGCATCCAGAGGTTGAATCATCTATGCCCATACTTAGGATAGAAACAAGATTTACTGATGTTTTTGTGCTCCAAGTCCAGTGCAAATGGCACTATATAAAATATATGTATGGAATGTCTAAGGTTATTCTGAAACTATGAATATAATTTCATATTCATAATTTTCAAAATGAAGCATCTGTTTGAAAAAAAATGGGAGAGTAAATCACATAGAATTTTTGTCATCTTCTTTGCTCCAACATTGGGTGCTTAGAAATCCTGAGTTTTCAATTTGTTCTTCATTTTGGACGTTTGTTGTCAATTAGAATTCATCTATGGTGTATAAAGGGACAAATAATGAAGTGTTTAATAAACCAATAGCCAGCGCAATTAAATCAGAATGACGTCTTTATTGAGTTCTTAAAAATCCCATTAACATGATTGAAGTTTTAAATGATCTTCTTAAAACTTAGTTCATTTCCTAATTACTATGGCTGTTTTTGACAAAGATGAAATGTCCTCACGTCTCCCCAGAACAAATACTTCAAAAATCTTTTAAGATTGATCAAGAGTTGATGAGGTAGCATGCCCCAGATTCCAGGACAACTCTTTCCCGATGACTGAGGTTGATATAATCTTCCTAAGAAAACCAAAACCTCAACATGACTGCATTTATAGTACCCATGTTGTCTGTACTATTTTGGAATAACTCATTAAAACACAGTGAATGGGCAATAGAAAGTTAAATATTAAGCGATATTTAAATGAGAACATAAATATAGCTATGCATTATTCAGCACCAAGATAAGCTGATATTCAGATCAGCCAGAAGGTCACTGCCCCTTGGTGATAGTCCTCTCAAACTCAGGCAGTATCAGTTCTTTATAATGAAGTCAGCTCTTTGCAGAAGCAATTTGCATCCTGGATAGGGAAAAGGAACACATCATCTGTTTTCAGCATAAGCACATTGTGCTGGTTTGATCTCTTCCAATGTGCAATGTGATGATTAAACATGCTGCCTCCAGACATGCATATTCAGAGTTGGCTTTTTCTGGGAATTCCCTTCACCAAGGAGACCACAAAGGTATCTCCTAATAGACTCCAAAATCACAACCCCTCCACTGTGCTAGTGGAAATAGATTAGAGGGTTGGTTCTCTTATCTGACCTCTCACATTCTTCTGTGCCCTTGCTTGACTGGGAGTACGAGCCCTAATCAAAATTAACAGCCCGTCTTGAAGTTGGGCATGTTAACACTATTAAGCAGAGGTGGGAACCCAGGAGGTAAAATCTTCATGGCTCGATGCTCACACAGTTTTCAACCAGTTTCTGAACATAACCCAGTTGTGCAATAGTTCCTCCCAGCTCGGATTGAGTGCCATGCATTTGTTTGTAGTTCTCTGTGCCCTACTTTATAACAATGCTAGCTGGAATAATTGAGGTGATTATTGCCAAAGTCTTTGTGACTTTTGTAGTTAGATTTTCTTTAAGACATGGAATTATTCTTCCTGTAGAGAGCTTAGATGGATGGGTTTAAAAAAATAAATTATAGATTACAAAACGTTTACACTCTAGTATAATGTCCTCAGTGAATTTGAATATTATAGCACATTAAATAGCACCCCTAAAAATCGGAATACTTCCAGAAATCTCCAAAAGATATTGGTATTGTATGACCAGTCTCATGTTTTTGAAATTGCTTTTTCTCCCTCTCTTCCCTACTACTAGAGCAATTATGTGAGTTGCTTGTCCCCCAGAGGTAATACGAGAGGTGAATCACTCCTTTTTCTTTTTCTCTCCCACAGAGGTGATGAAGCTTTTGCCAATTGCCAATGCTATAAAGCCCAAAACTTTGGGAAACTTTCCAGTCTGACAGTTACATATAGTATCACTTTCCCTTAATTTGAATATTGATTAAAAAAATAAGAACAGTAGATCAATAAGAGTTTACATTTATAAAGCATTTTTTCCAGTTGAAAAAAATTAGCATCTTTAAAAAAATCTCACAATAAATAATCCTGAGGAGTAGGTTTATTCATTTATTTATCAATGAATATTTACTTATTGAACCACTGAGCAAGAAGGCGCTGGGGTACAAACAGTCAATATTCTTATGCACTTCTGGTCTAGTAGGGGAGAATGACACTAATCAAATAATTACACAAAAAATAACATTACAAACTGTGACTGGAAATGTGAAAGAAAATTGCACATCATGTAGTAAGGAGAATCACATACAAGCTGGGGAAAAGATATTAAGGAAGAAAGAGAATTAAAGATTCAAAGAGATTAAATATTGAGTACAACGTCATCATGGACTCCTCTCATTGATTCAAACCAGACTTTCCAAATATGAAGAGGGTACTGGTCCATTTTTGCATTGCTGTAAAGAAACACTCGAGGCTGGGTAATTTATAAAGAAAAGAAGTTTAATTGGCTCACACTTCTGCAGACTATACAAGCATGGCACCAGCATCTGCTTGGCTTCTGGTGAGGGCCTCAGGAGCTTACAATCATGGTGGAAGGCGAAGTGGGAGCAAGCACATCACGTGGTGCGAGCAGGAGCAAGAGAGAGGGCGGGCAGGTGCTACTCTCTTTTAAACAACCAGATCTCATGTGAACTCAGAGCAAGAACTCACTCATCACCAAGGGGATGCTAAGCTCTTCATGAGGGTGCTAAGCTGTTCATGAGGATCCATCCCCATGATCCAAACACCTCCTGCCAGGCCCCATCTCCAACAATGGGGGTTATATTTTAACATGAGATTTGAAGGGGACAAATATTCAAACCATATCAAAGAGCAAACAGAGAATATGACATTATGATGGAGTTTCTTTATTTTATGGTGGCACAGTTATGTGTTGCTGAACAATGGAGATATAGTCTGAGGAATGCATTTTTAGGTGATTTTGTCATTGTGTGACCATCATAGGGTGTACTTACACAAACCTAGATGGTATAGCCTACTATACACCTAGGGTATATGCTATAGCCTATTGCTGTTAAGCTACAAACCTGTACAGCGTGTTACTATACTGAACACTGTAGGCAAATGTAACATAATGGTATTTGTGTGTCTAAATATATCTAAACATAGAAAAGGTACCATAAAAATATGGCATAAAATGGTCCACTCATATAGGGTACTTACCATGAATGGAGTTTGCAGGACTGAAAGTTGCTCTGGGTGAGTCAGTGGGTGGTGAGTGGATGTAAAGGCTTATGACTTTACTGTACGCCATTGTGGACTTTATAAACACTATACACTTAGACTACGCTAAATTTATTTTAAAAAATTTTTCTTTAATAATAAATTAGGCTTAGCGACTACAACTTTTAAATGTTTAAAACCTTTTTGACTTTTTTGTAATAACAGCTTAAAACACAAGCACATTGTAAAACTATACAAAATATTTTCTTTCTTTATATTCTTATCCTGTCATCATTTGTCTATTAAATTTTTTTTTTATTATTATACTTGAAGTTTTAGGGTACATGCGCACATTGTGCAGGTTAGTTACATATGTATACATGTGCCATGCTGGTGCGCTGCACCCACTAACTCGTCATCTAGCATTAGGTATATCTCCCAAAGCTATCCCTCCCCCCTTCCCCCACCCCACAACAGTCCCCAGAGTGTGATGTTCCCCTTCCTGTGTCCATGTGATCTCATTGTTCAATTCCCACCTATGAGTGAGAATATGCGGTGTTTGGTTTTTTGTTCTTGCGATAGTTTACTGAGAATGATGATTTCCAATTTCATCCATGTCCCTACAAAGGACATGAACTCATCATTTTTTATGGCTGCATAGTATTCCATGGTGTATATGTGCCACATTTTCTTAATCCAGTCTATCATTGTTGGACATTTGGGTTGTTTCCAAGACTTTGCTATTGTGAATAGTGTCTATTAAATTTTTTAACACTTTTTTGTTAAAAATGAAGACACAAACACATGCATTAGTCTAGGAATACACAGGTCAGAGCCATTACTATGACTGTCTTCTACCTCCACCCTTGTCCCACTGAGAGGTCTTCAAAAATAATAGCATGTGTGGAATGGTCATCTTCCAGAATAACAATGCCTTCTTCTGGAATAACTCATGAAGGACCTGTCTGAGGCTGTTTTACAGTTAACTTTTTAAATACAAATTGAGGCCGGGTGCAGTGGCTTACGCCTGTAATCCTAGCACTTTGGGAGGCCCAGGCGGGTGGATCACCTGAGGTCAGGAGATCGAGACCAGCTTGGCCAACATGGTGAAACCCTGTCTCTACTAAAAAATACAAAAATTAGCTGGGCGTGGTGGTGGGCACCTGTAATCCCAGCTACTCAGAAGGCTGAGGCAGGAGAATCACTTGAACCAAAGAGGCGGAGGTTGCAGTGAGCTGAGATGGTGCCACTGCACTCCAGCCTGCGCGACGGGAGTGAGACTCCATCTCAAATATATATACTCTATATATACTCTCTCTATATATAATATAGTACTCTAAAAGAATGATACAAAGTATACTGTAGTAAATACATAAGCCACTCACATAGTTGCTTATTATTATTAATATTATGTACCCTACATAATTTATGTGCTATACTTTTATATAACT
Source organism: Homo sapiens (assembly GCF_000001405.40). Lineage (NCBI taxonomy): Eukaryota > Metazoa > Chordata > Mammalia > Primates > Hominidae > Homo > Homo sapiens. The sequence continues at coordinate 116,180,694 of NC_000008.11, read as the reverse complement.
GACAGCATAGTAGGTTTGTTTACACCAGCATTACTGCACATATGTGAGTAATGCATTGCACTACGATGTTATAATAGTAATGATGTCACTAAGCAATAAGATTTGTTCTGCTCCATTATTATCTTACGGGACCACTGTCGTATATGCAGCCCATCATTGTCAGAAATGTCGTTATGCAATTTATAGCTGGTACAAATTAATTGGTACAAATTTAATTGGTACAAATTAATTTTTTAATTGGTTCAAATTAGTAAATAAAAATAGAATAGTCATTCACAAAATGATCGATAATGATAAATTTGCTGTAATAAAATTGTATCTCCAAGCTTTCTTTAGAAACCTAGAATGCTACCCTTGGTCTATTTCAGAGAGGCACTTTCATTTGGATTGTGGTATCAGTGGAATTCTTAAGACATGGTGAGGTATCTTGGGGGAGGGCATCTTAGTCCAATTTTTCTGCTACAAGAGAATATCTGACACTGAATAATTTATACTTACAGAAATTTATTGGCCCACAGTTCTTCAAACTGGAAATTACAAAATTGAGAGACATCTGTCAAGGACCTTCTTGCTGTGTCATCTCATGGTGGGTGGAAAAAGGGCAAGAGAGAGCAAGAGGGGGCCAAACTCATCTTCTTATAAGGGCACGAATCCCGTCCTGAGGATGGAGCCCTCATGGCCTCATTACCTTTTAAATATCTGGTCTCTTAATACTGTTACAATGGCAATTAAATTTCAACATGAGTTATGGAAGAGACAAACATTCAGATCACAGCAGAAGGTAATAAAATGTGTAATTACATTTAGTAATAGTGCCATTGTAGAAATTTTTCAGATAAGCACTTTTGTATGTTTAGACTAGCTTCAAAATACATACTGCAAATTACAGAATACAGAAGAATCTCATAGTGGATTTGCAAGTAAAATCTGAGAACTTAAAATTGTTTCACAATGGAAGACCAATAGCCTATACAGTTAGATGATTTATTATCTTGATATTGGCAGCCAAGAGCTGTGGAGTGTGTGTATGTGTGTGTGTGTGTGTGTGTGTGTGTGTTTATGTTGAAGTAATTTTTGTCTGAAGCAGAAAGAGTCTAAAGAGCAGGGCATGAACCTGGCAGATGGTATCTAAATCCTAGTCTCAGTGCTACTGCCTCTGTGAACCTGGGGAAGTTTATTTATATCTACCTTATGTGGTTATTACAGTGATTAAATGATAGATGTATAACAAACTTAGTTTACTCTTTTTCTATGATTTAAATATTAGAGGAGAAGGTATTTCTTTATAACATATTAGTTTCGTAATAATGCATTATACATTTAGCATTCATTAATTTATCTAAACTACTTTTCACCAAGTCATTGGCTGAACAACCCTGGGATAAATGAGTTGTACAAAATCACTACCAGGTGTGGCTTGTTTCTGCTAGGCAAGATTTTAGGAACAGAGTGGTGTGCCAAGATGGACATGAAAAAGTTGTGAAGGTATGGCTTTTGTTCAAGGTTCTTGTTCTACCCTCAGAAGTGCTCAAGCCGTAAGAAAGTAGTTATGTCTTACCGGATGCTTTTCCTGTCTCCCCAAGAGAGCATAGGAGTCTATAGAAAAAACATTTGAGACTTGGAAGGGTATTCTCTCTCTCTCTCTCTTTTTTTTTTTTTTTTTTTTGAGATGGAATCTTGATCTGTTGCCCGAGCTGGAGTGCAGTGGCATGATCTCGGCTCACTGAAACTTCCGCCTCCTGGGCTCAAGTGATCTTCCCACCTCAGCCTCCTGAGTAGCTGACACTACAGGCACGTGCCACTTGTATTTTTAGTAGAGATGGGGTTTCACTATGTTGGCCAGACTAGTCTCAAACTCCTGACCTCAGGTGATCCACTGGCCTTGGCCTCCCAAAGTGCTGGGAATACAGGCATGAGCCACTGCGCCCGGCCGGAAGGGTATTCTTATAAAGAGCTAGGTGATAAGGGTCATATCTAATTTCATTCTATTTTCTTCCTCCAGATCTCCTATTCACCTCAATGAGCTCTGTGTCCATTACTGGATCCTCCTCGTTTTGTATAAATTGACTGATTACACATTTCACTCAGACCCAGGAAGTCACATCTCCATCAGTGCTTCCTCTCCAAGTAACTGGATCGTGGGGCCACCTTCATCTTGTATTCTAATCTGTTAGAATTCCCTTGTTGCCTGATTTTCCCTGATTGATGATGCTTAGCTTGTGGGCTTTAGCCCCCGAGTTCAAATGAAGTAATAGAAAGGGCATTGGGTTTAGAGCTAGAAGACAGTTTCATCAGAAGTTGTGGGCAAATAATTTTACATCTGTAAGTCTTGTTTCTTTCATTTCTAACACAAAGGTAATATTATGTACCTCGAAAGATTGCCTTGAAGATTAAATGACTGACAGTTTGTGCAAGTGTTTGGAGCATGGCAGACAGCCTCAAGTATTTAATTGAATTTCAGTCTTAGTGACCTCCCAATATACAGTCAGACTTTCCCAGGCTGACTCTTCTGCTCTGTATTTTATCATCTTATGAAAATTTGTGTTACTCCTTAAAATCATCATCTTCAAATAACCCTTATTAAATATTATTAAAATGTAAGAAAAAATATTTTAAAAGTCAATCCAAATGTGGTTTTGCTGAAATTCTTTCTCATCTCCTTATACCTCTAATTGTTTTTTTCCGATCATAATGTCTTGTTTTAAAATAGCATATTTTGAGTGCCATTAATGTTCCATGGAGAAACTAGCCAATTAATTTTTACCATAAACTTTCATAATAAATAAAGAGCTGATAGAATTTCCCTTGATTTGTAATGGAAAACACTGAGCTGTCAAGATTTTTAGCAGGAGATTATTCCTATATGAAAAATTCTTATTTAAAAGTGGTGCTATTTACCAAGAATTTATACATTCACAAAAGAGTTGTCATCTTCAAAATAACCACTTTATAAAATTCTATTCTTTTTAAAAATTACATTGCTTTTACATTTCCTCTGGTTTTTTTTTTTCTTTTTAAAAAAGTATTTAAGCAGCACAAAGAAATCTTAATGTTTTGTAGTCACATGGAAGTTTCACTAAAACAAATGAATAAGTAAAAAAGCAGTATTATTCTGCCAAACCATTTACAGCCATCAACAGTTTTTGTTTTGAATGATTTTGATTATTACAAAATATCAACTTTGATTTCAAAATTTTATAATGGACAATATTGACAGAATCTAGAAGACCATGTAAGGGACAGTACTGAAACAGACATTTCGAAACTATTTTGAACAATGTTATCATTAGTGGAATAAGTGCCTCGTTTCCAAATTGGACTACACTGAAGTGAACAGCACTCATGGGATTGTATAAATCATAGTATTCTTGTTATTAAAAAATTAATCACTCTATAGTTGCAGCTCAGATAACAATTGGTTTTCAGTTTAAATTTAAAAATCAGTTAATTATGTAATTGATCATATTAAATAATTAAGTTCCATGGAGTTCTGAGGAATACATCAAGTCTTATTCTTGAGAGAGTGGTTGAGGGTGGAGATGAAGGTCTGATATTGGGGAGGGTCTTGAGCACTTTCCAATCAGAGTTCACCAAAGCATTACACTTTTATCTATTTTACTTATTGGGCCCCAGTAAGAGAATTTAAATATTATATAGAGTTTCATGACTTAGGGTTTGAAAACAATAAGTTTTACTGTTACCTCTTTAGAGAGATCCAAATGTCATTGATTGCCCGCATGAGAATCCCTATAGAGACCACTTTAAAATTGGTAGTTTATGCTTCATGTCAAAGACAAATCAAAATTATCTCATAGCCCCAAATAAATACAATGTAAAAATGAAGATGAATCTCTATACTTTTTTATTAACCATCTCAGTGGGTTAGGAGTCTCTCTTACCTGACTATAATTCAACTATTAAGCACTGTTGACAGATTGGTAAAAAAAGAGCCCAATGCCAAGGAAAAAAAAAAAAAGGAATGATGGGTTATGTTTGGCACATAGCAGGAGATCTTTTAAGTTGAAACTCGCTCCCTATTGGGGAACGATATTGGCATATTTTTAAGTTTTTCATATGGTGTTTTGGACTTGACTGACTCCTTCCTTCCTTCCACCCTTCCTCTCTCTCTCCCTCCCTCCTTTCCTTTCTCTCTCTTTCCTTCCTTTCTTCCCTCCTTTCTTGCTTGTTTTTTTCTCTCTTTCTTTCTCTTTCCCTTGCATCCTTCCTTCCTTCCTTTCTTCCTTCCTTTCTTCCTTCCTTTCTTTCTTTCTTCCTTTCTTTCTCTCTTTCTTTCCCTCTTTTTCTTTCTCCTTCCTCCCTCCCTCCCTCCTTTCTTTCTCTCTCCTTCCTTCCCTCCTTTCTGGCTTCTTTCTTTCTCTTTCTTTTCTTTCACTTCTCTCTTTCTTTCTTTCTTTCTTCCTTCTTTCCTTCCTTCTCTTTCTTCTTTTCTTTTTTCCTTCTTCCTTCCTTTAACTTTCTTTCCTTCCTTTCTCTTCCAACTTTCTTTCCTTCCTTCCTTTTTCTTTCTTTCCTTCCTTCCTGCCGCTACTCCATTCCTCCCTCCCTCCCTCTTCGTCCTTCCTTTTTTCCTTCCTTCCTTCCCTCCTTTTTTCTTTCTTTCTTTTTTCTTTTCTTCTCTCCTTCCTTCCTTTCTCTTTCTTTCTTTCCTTCCTTCCTTCTTTTTTCTTTTCTTTTTTCTTCCTTCCTTCCTTTTTCTTTCTTTCCTTCCTTCCTCCTCCTTCCTTCCTTTCTTTTTCTTTCTTTCCTTCCTCCCACCTCCCTCCATTCCTCTCTCCCTCCCTTCTTCCTTCCTTCCTTCCTTCCTTACATCCTTCCCTTTCTTGCTTTCTTTTGCTTTCTTCCTTTCTTCTTTTCTTGTTTTCTTTCTTCTTTCTTCTTTTCTCTCTTTTTCTTTCTTTCCTTCCTCCCACCTCACTCCCTCTCTCCCTCCCTTCCTCCCTTCCTTCCTTCCCTTCTCTTTCTTTCTTCCTTACTCTTTCTTTCTTTCTTTCTTTCTTCCCTTCCTTCCTTCCTTCTTTCTTTTTCTTTCTCTTCCTCATTTTTCTTTTTTGTCATCTTTTTCAGAAAATAGAGAAACATCATCTTATAGCTATTGCTGCTACAATTTTTAGGCTACCAAATGCTGGCCCCGTTGGACCATGGTCTTTTCCCAATCTACTTATAAGAAAACCCAATGTAACAAGTTTGTTGCTGGACATAATGGCAAGAGTGTATTGGTGTCTACAGCAAAGAGAAAGTCAGTGTTTGTTTGTTTAGTGTGAGTTTTATTGCCTCCAGAAACGGAAAGTTACTTGGTTATCGTCAGAATCCATCTTACACAAGTAGCTAGAGTTTAGTCTCTTCTCCCATGCCACTCCCACCCCACTCCCTTCCTTGGTGAGTGAGTCTTATTAACTCTAACATGAAAGGTATAGAGGGAAATATGTATTCTTTTCCAGAAGGCAGTGGCTTAGACAGTATTTTAGCCTAAGTGGAAAGAATAAAGGATTTGGAGAAAAAAGTATCTGGGTTAAAATCCTAACCAACTACCTTGCAGAGTTAGTGTGAGACTGAAATACTAAAAAGGACAGACAAAAATAAGTGGCTGCTGATATTATCTTGTTAGGAAAAAAACATCCTTTAAGACTCAGGAGGATAACATAATATTAATATACATGAAATGTCTAAGTACATTTTGGTAGTATTTTTATGCATCTGCTTTTAAGTCAGGTATTTTAATGTCACATTAAAAAGCCCATGACAAAACCTATAATCCTCAGTCATTGTTTTAGTTAGTAAAAACATTTAGTTTTTCTTTTTTTCCGTACTTTTTTCTTTCGTTCTTTCAAGCATCTATTTTCTTACTTCCGTGATTTGTAGAGAGGACTTTTACAGGGAGGAAGAAGGAGGGTATAGTGGTATAGACTATGAAGGGCTAATGTCAGAATAGTTTCTAACTGTATTTTTTTTTTCTATCTTCTTCATCTTTTTTTTTTTTTTTTTTTTTTTGAGATGAAGTCTCACTTTGCTGCCCAGGCTAGAGTGCAGTGGTGGGATCTTGGCTCATTGCAACCTCCGCCTCCCGGGCTCAAGCGATTCTCCTGCCTCAGCCTCCTGAGTATCTGGGGTTGCAGGCGCAGGTCACCATGTCCAGCTAATTTTTGTATTTTCAGTTGAGATGGGGTTTTGCCATATTGGCCAGGCTGGTCTAGAACTACTGACCTCAAGTGATCTGCATGCCTTGGCCTCCCAAAGTGCTAAGATTACAGGCATGAGCCACTGCGCTGGGCCAGTGATTTCATAACATTTTTATAGTCCCCTTTTTGCTTAAACCAACAGATTAAGTTGCTTATGAAAATTCAATTGATAGCCACTCTCTTCCTAATTTGACAATTTCAAAAGTTTCCTGGTTTTAACTTTACCAACCACTATATTCATCTACACAATACAAACAGATTTGAATGCACGATGTCATCTTGTTGGGCTTATTAATACAAATATAAATACATTCATAAATAAATTATATTCCAACTTATACCCAATAAAAATATAGTCTTCTAAAAATTAGTAATATAAGACATACTTCTAATACATTGTGTTTATCCGACTTTCTGAAGATAAAACTCAGTGCTGAAACAGAAAAACATTTCATCACCTTGAGTTGGTTGATTCTTTTCCCGACTCTGTGATGCTTCAATATTAAAGCTCATTTAATAAGTTCTGTTTGGACACTACGTTAACCCTCAGGCCACAGAGTATTGGCAAATAGTTGATTTCGTTTTTTCCCATTGGCATGGCTGCCTTTCACAGCAGCACTCCCTCCCTTTCTTTTGTTTAAATTGGCTGCAGTATTTCTTGCTTAAGGGATTTACCAGAATGTGGCCATACCTGGGATTGAGCTAAAATCAGGATAAAGAACTGGGAATGGGAAGGCTATAAACTGACCACTGGGTGGGTAACATCATTCTTTCAACTCTTCAGAAAAACACATGCACACCATGAGCTCTGACTTTCAGAGGCAGAAAAATGAACGGAACATATGGTAAAGTTAAAAATTAATATTAATAAATGGAAAAGCTATTTCCCCAACCGACATTTCATTTTAAGATTGTCCTCTACTGGGATGATTTATTTGACTCTCTAATCTACTTGAAATGGGCAACAGGCTGAAAATTGTAAAGAACACTCAAAGCAGAAGCAAGAAAGCAATGACTATAGTATCTAAGAAGTATGTAGATTCAAATTCTTGTTCAAAGGGTATTTACAGTTTGCTAAAGAGAGCATTAGTTCACTCTATTCTGACTCTCAGATTAAATAACAGATAACAAAATGCTTAAAAATAGAAGACATCATTATCATTTATTTATGCCTTTATTTGCAAACTTATTAAATTGAGAAGGAAAGGGAAAAGGGGATCTAAGCCATGGAACAGCTAGGGCAGCTCTGAATGTTTTATAAGAGTTTTATAAGAGACTGTGTCAAATGCAGCACTTTAAAATTCAATAATAAATACTATAACTAGACCCATTTAGACTTTTTTCTCTATCTACGTGGTATCTCATAATGTTATGAATCTGAAAGCAAGCGGTGGAATGATTAATTTGGTGGTTGTTAAGATGTTTAATTTCAGCCTTCATTGAATCCATCAAACATTCCCTCCCTCCCCTTCTTTCCACCTGTCTCCTTTTATATCATTATAAACAAAGATTTCAAACAAGGTAGACAATTGTCCTTTCAAAACTTTTTATGTTGTTGTTGTCTTAGGGTTTTCTATTTGATAATCTATTGGCTAGAAACTGAAACTGATTGATTGATGTGGCAATAAAAGTGCAAAAGCAAGCAAGCTCTGGTCATTGCTCATTAAAAATAGTTGTGTAGGTGCAGTACCGGTAGTATATACTGGCCATAACCTTATGCTATCACTAATTAGTGTTTCAATAAATGTGTTTATTTGCACCTAATGTGCTATGCCAGCAGTACTCAAAGTATGGTCCAGGGGCCCCTGGGAGTCTGCACAATTCTTTCAGGGTATCTGTGAGAATCTCCTTTTTCATTCTCATTCTCCCACAAGTAAACAATAGAGTTTTCCAGAGTCTACATGAAACTTGATGGCATCATCCTTCTGATGGCTAATGATATGTGTGCTTGTGGATTCTTGCCATTAAAATTTTTCTCAGTTTTAATTTTGAATATAGTTAACATTGACAGTTATAACCTACATAAACAAAATCTCTTTTGAGATTCCCCAACAATTTTAAACATGTAAAGGGATTCTGAAATCAAAGACTTTGAGAACTTCTGTGCTAGATAACACATTAGTTGAAAATAATACAGAGTAAGTAAGGTGTACGTCTTCCCTAGGCTGCCTCTTTCTAATTTTTGATATGACAGCCAAGGAAGGAAGAACTACTCAAGTATATCAAGTTCAGCCATCCATTCAGTTCATTCCTCATCATTTGGGTTTGACTGCTGTGTTTATGGAGCCAAATTCTATCTGCACTCGGTATTTTAGAATCAGTGTTTCTATATAAACTGAAATGCCTTGTGAAGGGTTATGCCAAATTTGTATTTCTCAAGAACTGTGTACAAAATGTCAGTGTCCACATGTGCATTTATGAGAATATGCTACTTGTTAGTGATGACAATTGGCCAGTTGGAGGTTACAAGATAAATACTCTTACTCCTTTAGCATGTGCTCTGATGAAAAACAAAGAAATCAAATAAATATATTGATTACCATTTAGCAATATGTGTTAGTGTAATATGATTATGAAATTTAAAAGTTGGTATAATTTCAGAACAAAAGAGATTAAAAATAAAGTCCTAACAGTGGAATTATATTTTTAATATTTTGATAGGCATTAGAAGTTTTTGTTTGTTTGTTTGTTTTAGACAGAGTCTCATTCTGTCTCCTAGGCTGGAGTGCAATGGCACGATCTCAGCTCACTGCAACCTCGGCCTCCTGGATTCATGTGATTGCCCTGCCTCAGCCTCCAGAGTAGCTGGGATTACAGCCACCTGCCACCACACCTGGCTAATTTTTGTATTTTAGTGAAAACCAGGTTTCACCATGTTGGCCAGGCTGGTCTCGAACTCCTGACCTCAAGTAATCTGCCTGCCTTGGCCTCCCAAAGTGCTGGGATTACAGGCATAAGCCACTACCTCCGGCCGGCCGCATTAGAAGTTTTTATGCATTTTATAAATGAAACTTAAATATTTCATTTAAGGGCTAGTTATATCTTGCCTTTCACCAGTGTTTATTGATCAGGGATGTAATGTGTATGCTAGGCTTTTTGAATACACCAATAAATAAGACATATTTTTTGCTCTCAGAGAGCTCACAATTTACAACACCAAATGCATAGTGACCTAGAAGCAGAGATTAGAAGTATTTAACTCTTAAGCATCACTTAAGAAAGTTTCACAGAGAAGGTATGGTAGATGTAGTGATGACAATGGTATTCCATATATAGAGGGTTTCATACATGAAGACACAGATATGGCAAAATAATGGGTGTATAATAGAAACATCAAGAAGCTATACATTATGTGGGTAGTGGCAGGAAATAGTTTAGAAATTTAGTTTGAGATTAAATTGTAAAAAGATTTGCTAGGCCATTTTAAGCAGTTTGAAATTTATTTAATCATTGGCAAGAACTGCACATCCAAGAGTCTGTGTGGGCCAGGCAAATAATGTGAGCAAAGTGTTATGTAAGTGCCCTCCTTTGATTTTGTTTTGTTTTCTACTTTTGAAACACATAGCTTTCTTGGTCTTTATTATAATGCTGCACTGGAATCAGTATGAGAGCTATATGTTAGCATTTCTTCTCAATCTGGAGTTCAGTGATTTCATGTTGGTAGCTTCAAACCTGGCATGGTGAAAATATTTGCACCATAGAAATCAGCAAATGCAACCCATCAGAGCTTCTTTATTTGTTTTGTTTTGTTTTGTTTATTGTTCTTTTGAGAGCCTGTTCACTAGTAAAACACTGCTTCCCCACTTGATAAACGTGAAGAGTAATATTTATCTACCATTCAAAAATTGAACAAACAGCCCAGTACGTGGCAACTGACAACCTCAAATTTGAGAAAACTTCATGGGCCTAAAAGAAGACAGTTGCTAGGTAGCTCTCATCTAGGTAGGAAAAGGGGCCCCATATCTTCAGACCACCTCAATTTAATAAGAAAAGACACATATCTATATATATTGAAGTAAAACCTCCTAATTTGTCAGTATTTAGAAACTAATTTTACGCTAATAGTAATAAATATCAATAAACTAAATTATAATCTGATTATAAGCTTAATTATACTTTCATTCACGTCGGCAATGAGAAGTCATTGAAGGTTTTTAAGCACAGTGAAATAAAACGAAAACAGGGTTTTTATTTCAGAAAAGCTGGTCTGGAGGATGTGTGGAGGACAGGTTGAAAAGAACAAAGACTAACAGGAACCTCAATTATGAGGATGGTGGAGACGGATTCTACAGCATCAGTAAGAATCAGCATGAGTGCAGAGTTACAAATTTTATCTCTACATAAGCCAGTTACATTGCTGCTTTCCAGCAGTGGCCTACACATTTCATCCTGGCAAGCTTTTCCCATGGGCACATTGGGGTTTGGTCAATAGAATGAACAAGGACCGGTTTTCTCATCTGCAAGAAAAACTTTCAGAGCATATACCCACATGATGGAGGGCCAGTATGTTTATCTTTATAAAGAACAGTATCAATATCGATTCCATTGCTAGAAATCTTTGGAAATGGCAGAGCAGATGCTAGCATGAAAGATGTTGCCTATATCAAGTTCATTGACATATTTGTTTTCCAGATTTAAACCCGGATATTGGCAGATGACTTTATCTGTGCCACATACCTGGTGGCTATATTCCAACAGAATGAAATATGTGAAATGAAACAAAAGTGCTTTGAGTGCCTTGCAAAGTCAATGCAAATGGGACCTTGGCACGAATTTCCCTAGAAAGCTGCCCAAATTCCCCATCGTTTCTTCCTTCCTTGCAGGTTTGGGTAAATAAAATATTTATGATTTGGTAATAAAATCTTCTAAATACTAAGCCCTTTCATATGTCCACAAGGTGTGGGAATCTTCAGAGGAACTGAAAATACCAAGACTTAGTCAAAGCCCTTAAATAGGATTGTGCTCCTCTTGAGTTTCCTCTTGATGTTGCTCTCAGTCTCCAAGAGTCAAGGACAAATGCAGTCTTTTGTTTGATTTTCCTTTGGGGAAAATATCCAGACCATTTGCATGCAAAGAAATTTTCCCTTTTGAAATCATTTGATTTTTTTTTTTCTTCAAATTCGTAATGAGTGAATTCTGTTGACTACGTGGTCAATTTGATCAGCCATGTTGGTTTTTTAAACTGTAGAGGAAATAGCAGCTGCATGTGTCACTGTTAATCTTTGCCCATTGCTGTGAATCCTTGACGTGACCCTAACTCTTTCTCAGCTGAACACAAGGAACATCATACAAATTTCAGGACACCTCCTGTTTCTCTCGACCCCAGACTGCTCCAGCCTTTCAGGCTCTCAAGCACTTCTCTCTATGCCTCAGTTTTCTGCTGTGTAAAATGGGGAAAATATAGTAGTTATTGCATGATGTTGTTGTGAGAATTAACTGAGAAAATGCATGTAAAATGTCTAGCAGAGTGTTCAGGACATAGAAAATATTTGATAAATATTGATTATTATTACTACTGCCATTGCTGTAGTTGTTGATGTTGTTTTTACTCTAGGTAAAATGTTCAAGAGCAAATGTTAGCTAACTTGGACACCACGGTCAAATGCCAAAGGGAAACAGAGACTTTGGTATTTTAGCAGGATTATCTGATAATATCTTTCTGTATCCCTTGCCCTGATCCCTGCTTGGTTCCCTACTACCTGCATCTCTTGGTGCTCACAAGTTCTTCATTTTGTGGAGACATTGGGGAATTGAACCTGGTACTGTGGCTATTCCATTAGGCTATACTCTTGCTCTGGAACCCTCAAGATTGGGGACCTTTACTTATAATGTCCCTCATCTGATATTAGAACTGCTTACCACTTAATTAACGGCATAACCTGCACATAAGCATGTCTCCTTTTTGCCTATAATTCTTATGTTATAACCTATCCCCATCTCCTGATATTTTATTCAAGGTCATCTCCTTTGTGTCACTTTTAAACATCATCTGTCCTGGTATATGTATACCTATCACTGCTTCAGCCCTGGTATTTCCCCTAAATTCCTGCTCTGCCCCTCTCCATTTGCTAAGAAGCACTTATTCACCCTTCACTTATAAGAGCCCTTCATTCAAGGCCAGCACCAGGGTTAAACGTATTCCCACATCCCTGGGGATGACTTTCACTTCTACCTCTGATTTCACAAAGTCAGGAGAAATAGCCTGGCTCTTTGAGTTTGTGTTACTATTCTCTCTGAAGGAACTTGAGCTGATTCTCTAGCTTCGAAGTGCTCTTCTTCTACTGCAATTAGGTGTATGCCAATACAGTTCTGGCCGTAACTATGCAGTGTTAGCATCAGACTTCACAAGTTTAAGGGCTCAGTCCTCCTCAGGACTGCCCTCATTTCAGATGCATCTTGGGGGAGCACCTGCCCTTCTGACTAGCTGTAAATTTGGGCTTGCCATGACCCCTTCATGGTCAATAATTCTAGCACTCTAAAACAACTCACAGGAGCCACTAAAAGCACTATACTTATAATTACAGTTTTAATGCAAATGAAACATACAGGATGAGGTCTGGAAGGGTCCCAGCCACAGAGCTTCCATGCCCTCTCCATGGAGTCTCAGTACATTACCCTGTTCACCTATCAGAAATCTCCTCTGAGCCTCAATATCCAGACTTTGTCTTGGGGTTTTATGAAATAGACATGCTGAGTATATTGTTGGTCACACACTTGAACTCAATCCCCAGCCTCTGTCTCTTCCCTGGGGGTCAGGTTGGCCCAAAGTTCTGACTTTCTAATCCAGTGTTTGGTCTTTCTGATGACCAACCTTCATCTTAAAGCTATCTCAGGGCCACCAGGAATCACCTCATTAGCATAACAAAAACTACTATGGCTCAGGAAATGCCAAGGGTTTTTAAGACTGCCAAGAACTAGGGACAAAGATATATTCTTTATTATACCAGAGAACTTTTATAATTTACCGTTTCCCTCTATGGATCCCAAGCAACACCTTAATTCTCTTCCACCTTTAGGCAAGCTCTCAGTCCTAAAACGTTGTGGAAACTGTAGGGGAAAGTAATATCTTTGCAAGGCTCATGGCTGAGGATCCTATAGTAAAGACAGGTTAACAAGAAAATAACATAGAAATTTATTTAACATAAGTTTACATGACACAGGGCCCTTCAGAAATGAAGATCCAAAGAAGCAGGACAATCTGTTTATACTTAGGCTTGATGAAGAAGTGGACAAAGGGGTTATGATCTAATGGTAATAAACTAGGGACACTTAGCAAGGTCTGTTTGCTTGGATTCTTCTGTGAGTCTGTGTCATCAGAGATAAGGACATTCCTTTCTTCCCGGTATAGGAAGGTTGGAGAATTCTTTTACAGCTTGCTTCAGGGGTGGGGGTGGAAGAGGGTCAGAGAGAACTTCCTGATTCTGCTATTTTATCAAATGCCATGGTGCCATATTTTGGAGTAGCATGTTCTGAGTCCCATCAACATTTTTATCTGTCTTCTCTACTCAAGATTGTTAAGCTCAGTTTCCCAGGAAACTGACCATCAGTCCCCAAATTTTTGTTGGCTGATTTTTCTCTGAGGACTATTAGAGTCTTTTGGGAATAGAACTCATGGTGGACTATTCAGATAGCTCACAGTTTTCTAGACACTTGCAAACTAGGATCCCCTTAAGGACCTTGCTACACAGGCAGAACTTCTATTTAAAGTAGGTCACTTCAATTTATCTTATGCCAAGCCATCAGGCAGAGTTTCTAGGTAGAACACCATTGTTTAGAGGTACAGGTAGGCAATTAGACACATGTCTGCATGCCTGCCAGGGAAACCTGGCTTAAATCTCAGGAGCTAATGTAAAATACCATAGACCAATATGTCCAGACAGTTATACTGTTACATGATTAATAGACATTTTTTCATCACCCTCCAAAATGTATGTTGGCTTATTTCTCCCATGGAGCTAGAAAAATAAATTCATTTGAAATTTCGAACATCATGTGCCTATTTCACTAATCCAGGGAAAACTGGCAACCTTTTTAGAAAATTAGCATCCAAAAGAAATTTTGATTTTTTTTTTTAGGATTTGGAATCTAGTTGCAGGTTATTTTTACTCATTTGCTCCAATTTATATCTAGTGACATGTTTGAGTGGTCCAAGGACACCAGATGCCATTTGTTAAATAAATGATACCCCCTGACTCCAGAAGAATCAGTAACCTCGTGTGTTTGAGCACTTAACTTCGGAAACACATTGTTTACTCTGACCTTCCATAGGATCAGGTTGACATATGGATGCTTAATCAAGTATTTAAAGCCAGCATAAATAACAGGGACTTTACATATGTAATATCCATAAGCTTCCAGATTTATTTTTCAAATTTCTTATACTAGAATATCTAGTAAAATTTATTTAGGACATACTTTAAAATTTAACACTTTAACCTTAGTTATTAAAGAGATTTGGGGAAATTATGCAAAATGTGGTATGTAACTCTGTGGTAATATAAGCAGATGTTTTACATATCTACATATTTCTATTACGTATTTGTAGAACTCTAGAGTTAAATGAAATTTCCTTGTGAAATTTCAGAAACATTTGTGCCCTTCCTTCCTTCCTTCCTTCCTACCTTCCTTCCTTCCTTCCTCCCATCATTCCTTCCTTCCTTTCTCTCACTTTCTCTTTCTTTTCTCTTCCTGCTTTAATAAAAATAAAAAACATGAATGGTAAAAACCTAAATTTTCAGTACCAAGGTCATAGGTGTATAACACCAAACAAAAATGAAGATATTAAAAAAATTAGGAATGAACATTAAAAATTTCCTAGAATTGCTATATCACAAAACAACAAAATCTTAGATTTGAAAGAGTTTCCTGAGCCTTTCCCTAAATACAGAAATTTATTCTATAATAGGATCAAATGAGTTTCAAACTTTAACTTGCCTTTGATAATAAATTTGCCAACTGAATAAACAGGAATATATTTTTACTTCTAGGGTAGAAACTTATCAGTTTTGGCTTTGCCTAGTAGAAGATCCTTTTGTTCATACATTCAAATATTTTCCTTTATGCATTTATTAAAAATGATAATTTTTGTTCAGAAAAGGGTGCTCTTCTATTTGTTTTCTGGCATTTAAAGTGAATACCTTTATCAAACTAGCTCTAGTGAGTTTTGAAACTAAAGTTTTAAAGAAAAAGGACACTAGTAAATCACTCATTATGGAAAGCTGACATTTTTAGGATATAACATAAATTTCCAAAAAAAAAAATAGATGTATCTAATAGTAAGAATCAAGTAGTACTTCAATTAAGACTGCTATTTATATAGTTTTTAAAACACTAGCAAAAATGTCACATATGTAGGAGGAATTTCTCTAATAATAAAACATGAACACAGACATTTGGAAACCTGTATCAGTGCAGCTTAAAACCGCAGAGAAAGAAATATACCTCCTCCCAGCCCTATCCTCACATGTCAGTTTAATTTCACACCATTTCATTTTATATGTATTTATGTTATTTTATTGTGTGTTTAACATGTTGTTAGGTGTTGTGGAAATTAACATGTAACTGCAAGGATAGACACTAACAATTATTGACCATATACAATGAACCAAGCACTGCTAGGTGCATCACATAAATGTCTTATTGTTCTCATTTTATGCAATTAGAACCAGTGAGATTAAGTCACACGAGAACAGGCACACAGCTGTGAGTGACAGAGATATATTTCTAACCAAGGCCTGTTGTATTGCATAGCTCTCTTTGCACATTTTTATGTGAAATACTTTCCTTGTTCAAAAGAGGCTTAAAGTCCTATTGGCAACATCACAATCACACATGAAACCATCAGAGACACAATCAGATCAATTGCTAATATGAATGGTATTAATTAATATGCCAGTTTATTGAAGAAAAGACATTTTAATGAAGTATTTTTATATTTAACTTTCATTGTCTCAAATTGTCTTTTAAAAACCATAATTGCTATAACTTCTTTTTACTTAAAATTCTCAGTGTAGAATGTTTGATGCTAAAGAAAGGTACAAGGCAGAAAAATACAAATCACCCATTATCTCACTACTTTAGTTGATATCATTGCTGATATTGTTTTGTAGTTATCTTATATTCTTCTAATTTTACTTCCATCTAAATATGTCTATGCAATGATGTGCAACATTTTGTCCATGAGAAGTTTTGCAGGAGGAAAGCAGTAAAAACAAAGAACGGCAAGTGTCAGGAGTCCTGGATAAGAAGGCCTGGAGTTGCAGGCTCTTCTTTGGGTGACTTGGAAAGCCTGGAGGATGAGGGAGGGAAATATGCAAGTCACTTCTGGCCCCCTGGCCAGAATGTTATGGTGAGGAGAAGGAAATGAACAGGCAAGGAGGGTGGGATTGAGAGTTTGGGGAATAAAGAGAGGGAGTTAGTGTTAGCTCCTACCCTAACTGGGGAGCTCTGGGCAAAGGGACAAATGTCTAAAGAAAAGTGGTAATAAGCTTTGCAGTGCCATGAATGGCCAACAAATCTGTATCAGTTAGCAGTCTCCAGAGAAACAAAAGCAGTAGTATGTGTGTATGTACCTATGTATATGTGTGTGTGCACATATGTACATGCATGTGTGTGTGTGTATACATGGAGAGAAAAAGAGAGAAGGCAAAGAGATAGAAAGGAGAGAGAGGGATTTTAAGGAACCAGCTGATGAGATTGTGGAGGTTGTCAAGTCTGAAACTCGCAGAACAGACCAGCAGGCTAGCGACCCACAGAGGAGTTAATGTTGCAGCCTAGAGTCCAGTGCAGGCTGGAGGTGAAATTCTTTCTTCCTTGGGGGACTTGGTTTTTTCTTAAGGCTTTCAACTGTTTAAGTGAGGCCCACCCACATTATGGAGAGTAACTGACTTATCAAAGTCTATTGATCTATTGATTTAAATGTTAATATTGTCTTTAAAATTCATTCACAGAGACATCTAGACTGGCATTTAACTAAATACTTAAGTTCTATGGCCTAGTCAAATTAACACCTAAAATCCACCATCGCAGCATCTTTTAGATCAAGGCTTGTCCAGCCCACAGCCCACAGGCTGCATGCGACCCAGGACAGCTTTGAATACAGCTCAACACAAAATAGTAAACTTTCTTAAAACATTATGAGATTTTTTTGGCAATTTTTTTTTTAGCTCATCAGCTATTGTTAGTGTTAGTGTATTTTATGTGTGGCCCAACAAAATTCTTCTTCTTTGAATGTGGCCCAGGGAAGCCAAAAGATTGGATACCGTTGTTTTATGTAGTCTTTGAATGAAAGGTCCTTTAGAACCTGAACCATGTCAGGCACTGTACTAGATGCTGGTTATAACAGGGATAAAAAAAAAAAAAACAGAGTCCTGCTTTTAAAGTGCTTACGTTCTTAATAAACCACATAAGACATAAATAAGTCAGATTTCAGATTGTGAGAAATGCAATGAAGGAAACAAACAAGGTCATGTGATGATGTTTATGATCAAGCTTCTAGGTGGTTGCAACTTCAATTACTCATTTCATTGTGACCCACAAAACATGCATTTATATTCCATCCCAGTAGTAAACTGATAGTTCACTAAAGTAAAAGTGTCATTAAACTCTCTATATTCTCTTCTCATGTGTGTATGTGTCTATGTGTGTGTTGAACACATTCTGGTCATAACCATTAATTGATTTCACTCTCACACATGAGTCAACGAACTCCGCACTTTATCCGGAGGGGTGAGGGAGATCCCTCTGCATAGGAGACATTTGAAGTGAGATATAAGCTTAAGGAGCCAACCAGGGCAGGACAGCCAGGTGGCTGGAGCTTATTGATGGAGGAAGAGAAGCCAATGGGGCAAGGTTGGGGGCTGGGCTGGAGCCAGGTCCCAAAGATTCTCTTTTATTCTACATATAATGAGAAACAATGATATGCTGTTAAAGGGCAGTGATATCATTTGTATTTTTAAACAGTTGTTCTAGCTGCTGTGTGAAGAAAGATTGTCACAGGACAGGAATGGAAGCCGAGAGGCTCATTGAAAATTTACTGCAGAGTCCATGTAAGAGGGTTAGAGTAGGGATGCTAATGGGAAGTGAACAAATGCAAATATTGAAGTAAATACAACGGCCTCAAGTAAGAAACTTTGGAAAGAAGAAGAAAAAAGGAAGCATCTGAGATATTGGACGATATCTAATTAATGCTATTGTCTAACTTGTCAGTGACAATACAGGTTAAGGTACTAATGAAAACTTCAAGGATTCTTCTTCTCCCCCCAGACTCCAAAGTCCAGGTTACAAAAGGCCTAAGTACCTTTTGAAGATAAAGTAAACTAAGGCTTTTAAGGATAATTCAAACTAGCAAGTGAGGGGAGACTGGATGGGAAGATATTTCCAGACCTCTAGATTATCAAATAGATGACTCTGATCACAATACAATCATGAGTCACTTAACACTAAGGGTATGTTCTGAAAAATGCATCATTAGGCAATTTGGTCATTGTGCAAACATTATAGAGTGTACTTACACAAACCTAGATGGTACAGCCTACTACATGCCTGTATGGTATGGTCTATGGCTCTATGGTATAGCCTATGGCTCTTGGACTACAAACTTGTAAAGCATGTTACTGTACTGAATACCCTAGGCAACTGTAACACAATGCTAAGTATTTGTACATCTAAGTATTTGTACAAACTTGTAAAGCATGTTACTGTACTGAATAGGCAACTGTAACACAGTGCTAAGTATTTGTACATCTAAATGTACTGTACTGAATACTCTACGCAACTGTAACACAATGCTAAGTATTTGTACATCTAAACACAGAAAAGATAGAATAAAGATCTGGTATTATAATCTTATGGGAGCACTGTCATATATTTGGTTCATTGTTGACCAAAATCTTTTTATGTGGTATATAACACTGTGGTATATATAACTGTGTATATAACACTGGCATTGGTGATGATATTTTACTAAAGGCAATGGAGAAATGTAACTTTATTTTATGTAAATAATTTTGACCGCTTTCTACTTGGGAGGTCTCTCTCCTTTTGTCTTGAGAAGTCATTATGTTAGATCAGTTTCTTAATATCAGTGCAGAAAGGCAAAGTTCAGTATAAAATTATTCTAGTGTTGAAATGGTGATCCAGAAAGAAGCATTTCTACATACATGATCATTAAGCTAGTGTTTGTTTGTTTGTTTTATTAGATGGAGTCTCTGTCTGTCACCCAGGCTGGAGTGCAGTGGCGCGATCTGGGCTCACTGCAAGCTCCGCCTCCCGGGTTTACGCCATTCTCCTGCCTCAGCCTCCCGAGTAGCTGGGACTACAGGCGCTCGCCACCAAGCCCAGCTAATTTTTTGTATTTTTAGTAGAGACAGGGTTTCACCGTGTTAGCCAGGATGATCTCGATCTCCTGACATTGTGATCCGCCCGTCTCGGCCTCCCAAGGTGCTGGGATTACAGGCATGAGCCACTGTGCCCGGCCTAAGCTAGTGTTTATTATAGATGACCTAATGTGTGTCTGTGGGTGCATAGACATTACATTGGAAAATGAGAAATTAGAATTTTCAGCAAATATCGCAGAATAAGCTTTGCTTCTTGATTAAAAAGCCAAATGTGAAATGATTGTGAAAATATGAAACATAGGGTTCTCTATAACTAATTCTCCCTCCCTTTATAGCTAATTCTTCTGCCTTCATCCATCACTTTATTAGGGAAACAGCCTCCGAGCCGGCTTCCCCATCTCAGGTAGCTTCGAATCCATCCTTTGCGTTGCTGTCAAGGTTATCTTCCAGGAAAACAAAACACCCGGCCCTTGCCTTCAGGATAAGTTTCAAACATTCTTAAGAATTTGCAGAGGTGTTGCAATATTAAATTAGACAATGTATGTAAGACATCCTGTACAGAGCCCAACCCATATCAACATTTTCAATAAATGACAGATTATATTGTGATTGCTACTTTTAAAAGACTAAATCAATATTCTATTTGTTTATAAAGTTACCGAGGATCTAGGCAATTCTGGCACAAAGGCATTCAAAATTTTCTTTAAAAAAATTAGAGGAAAGCTATAATTAGTATTCAAGAATACATTCAAAGTCTGAAAGAAATTAAGTTGGGCTTTAGAAAAATCAGGGGGTTTAAAAAGCAAATAATATTTTAAATGTAATCTGCAAATGGAGGAAAACCTAGTCATTACTATTCATAGCTGTTGCTTTAGAAAATCTGGAACTTTTTTTTCCCCAACTGATAGATTTTTTTTAATTTATATGTAAGGTTGCCTCTGAGATCACATTATTTTAATGGTTGTCATTATTATTATCCATTTAAATACAGAGGAATTTAGCTTGAAGAGAAACTATAAACTTTCTTTATTTTAATTCACATTCTGTACAGGAAAATCATGACTTGCAGGTTCAAAGGAGAAAGCCTTTAAAAGGGCTTGTAAAAGGCCTCATAGGCTTCTTGGACACCAAATAGCTCAGCAAAACAGCATTATGATGATTTAAATGTAAATGAATTAGAAACATATGGATCACATTCCCTTGGAAATACACATGGGTTTGGAAATTAAGGGGAAACTGCCTGACAAACTGCACTGCACTTTGCTTAGCACAAAATATTTGAATAATGGGTTGAATATACATATATATATATTTTTTTCTCTCCTAAATTCTGAAGGCCATAGGTTTGTCCTACAGATATATTTTAACAAACCCCGTGGGTCTTGAGTTCTTTGGCTTTGAGAATCGTGTTACCTGTCAAGGCCAACCCCTGCCCCCATTGCTCCTGTGCCCTTCTCTGCACCAGGCATGTGAATATGTGGCTATTAAAAAGGAGCCAATTTTGAGAAAATGGAAGAAACGGGGTGCAGGGAGAGGATGTTACTGATTTTTTTCTCTTCTTTTTCTGTTACCTTTTTGCTTTTTCTTCATCTATTTCTCTTTAATCTTTTTATCCTTCATTTCTTCTTTATTTTGTTATCTCTTTTCCCTATCCCTACGTTTTGCTCTTCCTCTCTTAAGCACAAGAATGGATAAAAACAATATGCTTATAAGGCACAGCTTGTGAGAGGGCAGAGGAATGAATCATCTGGATTACCCACTGTTTTGTAATGTCTTTTCTTCAAAGTTACCCACCATCAATTCCATCAGAGAACAGAAAACTTTGAAAGGCTTCCACTGTGGATCATTTAGCTTTTACCAGGGCATAAGGGGAATTACTTCGACTTTTTCTGTTGTGTTTTAAGCAGTTTAGGGTCTCTTGAAGGTAGCGTTGCCTCAGTTGAGCTTATTTTTAAAAGGTAATTTATCCTTATTAGTATCAATTCCAGGAATAATTAATTAATTTCTTTAAAATTAGTTGACACATAGAATATCAGAGGCCAAAGGCTAATTCATTGCTGGCTTGCCTGGGTGAAAGCAGGTGTCACAGTTAACAGAATCTGGCTTTTGTGTGTGTGCTACCAAATATACTGCCTCTTGATAAGCAGCTACAGAATTGATAGTTAAATCTATCCTCATGGATTTGCTTCCCATATGGAACTAATTGCCTCTGGAATAGTTAAAGCCAAAAGATCTCTACAATTTCAAAAGCTTCTCTTATCTTTCCTCTTGCATGGCTGTTGACAGGAGTGAAACACATCTATCCTCATTTATTATATTGGTCTCATCAAGTGAGGACGTGTTGTTGGGGGACTCTTACAGAACCAGATGGTCCAAGTTGGTCTTTTATGTTTCAAGCATTTCCCCTCCTCAGTTTTAAAAGTCCAAACAAGGGTTTGTCCTGCATTTGGGCTGATCTTCTAGAATTTGTTTACTTAAAAAACCCAGTCCGGTGTCTTGCTATTCCTAAACAACCCCCACTGAGGATCTGAATATTTCTGTGTCTTTCACCCTGTTTCATACGACCTCACTCACTTTTTCTTTTTTAGTGCTCTTAAGAGGCTGAGGGATGATGAGCTTTTCTGACTGTCTGGACCCTGACAAAAGGTTCTTTTCTCTCCTGTCTCCATTTCTACCACAGGAGTATCTCCAGATCTTTCCCAAAAAGAATAGGCTAGAGACCTCTAAATTCTAAATCTTGACAACTAGTAATATCTTTCTTGCTCTCTGATTGAGGTGTATAAGGCAGGGCTTGACTTGATGTTTCTTCTCTAAACCACTGAGGAAAATAGTATAGAGATAAATATGTAGTCATCCGCACTGTCATTATTATTGTCTTTATTGTCATCACATTAGTTAACATTTCTGGAACACGTATCTGTGCTAGGAATAGGCACCTTAGATGTATAAACTTATCGAATCCTGTCAACCACCTTAGGAATGCGGTCATTTCCTGCTACAGAAAAGAAAATGAGAAATGGGGAGATGCACTGTCTGACGGAATCTTCAAGCTGAGAACAAGTATGCTAAGTTTTATAAAGGCCAGAGGCATAGGGATTACATAATGAGCAGGCCCTCACACACCACATCCTTAACCCACCTCTCCTCTTCCCAGGTCCGAGAATAGGTAGAAACACTTTTGGAGAGAGAATCTCAGCCACAGGAGCCTGAAATCATGGATGAGAAATACTACTTGGGGAGAGGAGAATATCTCCTTGGCATACCTCTGGCTGTGCTACATGGGAAAAATAACCTGCACCTTCTGTGCTGCAATTTCCTCATCTGTGAAATCAGGATAATAGGGTGCCTTCATCATAAGACTGTTGTGAAGAGTCATACATCATACATGATTGTTAGAACAGTATCTGTGGCTAAGTCAGCCCTATGAAGAGAAGCTAGCTATGAAATTATTATCCCACCAAGGAATGTTCCAAAATGCTAGGGCATGCATTGTTCTTACATGGGAAGAAAACAAAGTAGTGGATCACTCCAGATTTGATATTCAGTTTCCTAATGAAAATTTCCTCCTTAGTAAGCCACCTCATACTGAATGCCACCAAATCAATTATTTTTTTCCATCAAACTGATCAATTCTTCTGCATTTCCTACCTTAATTGGTGGCATTGGCATATTTGAACATAGTGGTCAAAGTGAGAAACCTTGGAGTTAGCCTTTATTTCCCTGCCCTAAAACAACCAGTCATCAGAAATTGTCTTGATTCTACCACCAGGGTATCTTTTAAATTCCTGCCTCTTTGTTCATAGCCACTGCCCTAACTGAGCTCATTGGATAGCCATCAAGCAGCAAGCAGCCTTCTCCCCTGCATTCTATATAATGTGCCACTAGAGCATTAAACAAATAAACAAAAAACCTCAGGTAATGTTATTCTTATAAATAGCTACCCATTTCTAGAGAATGAATTTCAATCCCCTTGGTATGTACAGTATTTCTATCTGCCTTCTCTAAATACACCACGCATATATTTCCATGCCTCTGGGCCAATGGCCATACTTTGTCCTCTATCTGAAAGATCTTTCTGAGAGAAGACTAAACCTTTCTAAGCTTCAGATCCTTAATCCCCTCAATCCCCCACCCCGAAATAATTATACATAGCTCACAGCAAATGCTGTTGTTAGAACGAAGTGAAAGAATGGGTCTAAAGTACATACTACAGTGTTTGACCTTGCAGTGTGACCTTAGGTAATTTTTTAACTTCTCTCTGCTTTATTTTCACTTTTATAAGGTAAAGACAGTACCTATAGCACAGAAAATGCTTTGGGAGCGGAATTAACTAACCAACATATGTAAAATGCTTGCAATAGTGGTTGTTATTCTTGTCTTATTTTTCTTATTATTTGTCTAGCTCAATTATAAGATGCCATTGATGCTAATTTGTGCTACTGAGTGAGAAGGGTGTGGGGGAAATTTATTGCAGTTTATAATGTACATTTTACAATTCTGAAAATAACATTGCATCAGAACAGCACAATTTAAGGCAGAGCCCAAATGTCATTGCTTTGTGGAGACATCCCCAGGCTCTCTGTCTTCCAGTCGGCCAACCTATGCCCATCTTCTGTTTCCTGAGAAGTTTGTCTATATTTCTTTTATAGAATTATCTGGATATGTGTCTGTGTCCCCACTAGAATGTGCACCAAGAGTTTGTGCCATGTTCACTTTTTATTCCTTCTCACCCCTATTATCCTTTCCTGCAGCCCCAGATGCCACCTCTGTGCCTGGCAACCAGTAGGCATCTAATAAATGTTGACCGAATGCATTTTGAATTGGGTAATGAGCCATTGTCCCACCTTGGTGGCTGCCTTCACGAATACCTAAGGTTTAATTGGGACGGGAGCCATGTTGGATGAGCTTCAGAGACCAGAGTGTTGTCACAGCAGCAGGGACCCCACAAATTTGGCTCCTAGAACATTTTGACAAGAAAAATGTCTAAGTTTCAAGATACCTGAGGGTTTATTGCCTGTTTTCCTCAAACACAGTCAGGCTTTCATGTGGTCTTACACTTGCTTATTGATACCCAGAATTTTTCTTGTTGGGCCAAATGTGGCAACATATTATTTATTTGACACTGTGGTAATCCATTCAATTGGATGGAAAAGAACATATTAGTCAAATGAAACTGATGTCTCGTAGCCATGCACACTCACCCAAATAATCTGCCCCTGGATCCTGTTCACGGGCCGGTTCTCCAGCTGCTTGACGTCGAGCCATATTCTCGCTCGGGAATTTATTTTCCCTGGCCTTGCTGGGATACTAAAACCAACTTTCCGATTCAGCCTCAGCCTCAGACTCCAACCCCTGGACAATAGCAATACTGTGTGATGACTACCGAGGACAGGCTAAGAGGGATGACTGTTTTAATAGCACTTTATGACTCCTCAAGATGGACTGGAAACATCACCACAAGGAGAAAAAAGGTATTCGCCAAGGAGAGGGGACGCCACTGTAGTCAGAATCTGAGCTGGAACCAAAACCACAGACAGAAATAGGGCTGAGGTCCTACAGTGTAAATTCCAGGAACTGGGGAGGAAGCTTGAGGACATGGCCATCAGGGTTTTCAGAAATGTGCTAATTGTGCAATATTCACAACTAGTGAAGGAGAAATGATAAAATCACAATAAAAATGAATGACTATATCCACGGGCTAATGGTTTGGGGAGAAATCTTCGAACACTGTAGGAATAAAGGAGAGGCATTTGGTAGCATCACTCTCATGATTATCTTTCCATTTTTCCATACCCTCCCTTCTTAGCGTTACCACTCCCCCTCTTACCCTCTCCCCCCACCCCTTCTCTCTCCTTCTCTTTTCTTCCCCTTTCTCTTTCCTTCCTGTTGGAACAATGAAGCACAGTAAGTCCACAGGGTCCGTTTATGGGAGCCACAGGGTGCTTTGTGATGTTCCTATCTCTGACCAAAATATTAAAAATGGGTATATGAACCTAGAAATGCATTGATCAAATGTAGCTTTCATGTTGGGTGATCAGAAAGCCCAACTCTAATTTTAAGCTTTGATTCTGAACTATAAGCAGCATCTGAAATTCATTTCAAAAATGGCTGGGGAATGAAGCAGGATCCTGGTAGAAAAATTCTCACTTCTTATGAGCCAACAAGAAGTATCTAGTCTTTAGCCAAGGGTCAGCAAGTGACTGTTTCAACCTGTGTTCGGCAGGAATGTTAATATTTAGGAGTTCTCACTTAGGTCAAGTCCGAGGGGATGTCCTAACTAACACACGTGAGGAGCCCTGCCATGCCAGGGCAGGCTGCCAAAAGTTCTCTATTCAGGCAAACCCAAGGACCGCCTGGAAGAAACACTGTCTGACTTACCATTATTTCCCAGAACCAAGACTCTTGAACAATGAATACACAGGATGCCTTAAAGTTTTGGAGCTTGCAACCTTATATAGCAAGGAACCCATTCTGGAGTAAAATTTTTAAAAAATATATGCCTATGAAAGGACATATATTTCATATGCATATTGAATATATGCATCAATATGCAATCAATTGGCTGTTTCTTTCTATATTTGTATTAAGGGGGATTCAGAGGTTCTATGAAGACCCTGTGGGAAGAAGTGCCATAGTAAATAAGCAACACCTGACATTACTGGTATGGGTGGATGTGTTTCATATCGTCTCAGTGAGTTTCATTTCCCTCAGTGGGGAAAAGCAAAAAACTTTTGGATATGATACTATGGGGTATTAATCAAATATGGTCTGCTCAGTCTGGGAAACTATCTCCAGCTTCTGTGAGACAGTAGGTTGTAAGAAACTGAGCAACGTCAGTCATGAGTTGTAGTAACAGTATAGTAGTGCAGCAATGTATGGTACAACGTTTTCAGTAGAAATACTGAAAGAATAATACACTTTCGGAGCCTACTAAGAAAGTGTAATAACAGTAAGGAGAGAGCTCTGCTCATTTTAGAAACACTGTCCAGAGAAATCATCCAAGCCAGCATCCCAGCAAAGGGAGAGCCGTGCAGCCGCCAGTGAGGAAAATGGCAAATCAGCAGAGATCTGTTCTCCTGTAATCCTAGATTTCTGTTATAGCACATTATCTTCTAGGGAGATCAGACAGGTACAGAAATTATTATAAGGTAGAAATTGTAAGAGTGTCACAAGGACAGATTAATTGGTGAGGGTCCCAATTCCTTCCTGGTAACGTTTGTAACTGACTTTGTACATGGGACAAATGTTTTGCTTACTACTGTAAAAGTAAGTCATTTGCCATTTTGCCACCCAATTGTTCAGGTGGTAAGTAAGCTTCCAAAGTGCTCTGTGTATTCATAAACCTCTCATCCTACGTTAGCACTGATATTGGTAGTGACGAATCTTCTGAATAGGCAGGCTCTGAATTTCGCTAAATCTGTTAATTGTCATGAGATTTGTAGAGTTTAAAATCTGTAGTGATCCTGCATCAGCACCAGGACTTTGAAAAACCAGTGTACCTATCCAGTATGGTTAGACATGATGTGGGAAGCCCTTTTTACTGTTTCAAAGAACGAACTAGATTTCGTAGATTCAGTGAGATTTTCTAGCCTTCTTCATTTCCTTTGTTACCCAGCAAAATGACTGATTTTCCCGAGGCAGCACCCCAAGCTAGTCTGACAGAAAAGCTGTTAGCCGATCTAAGAAGAATGGGTTAGGTGCCATGAGAAACTTCTCTTTTTTCATCCTACCTCTTACCTAGCTTTCTAGGTGTGTGAGAGCTTGTATATGTGAGGTTGTCAATCTCTTAGAGAAGTCCCTCTTATGCCTGATACATAAAATCCTGAACAAACACTGATTTTGCTATGATTTTTCACTCTCAATTAGACTTAGCTGGGAGAAGAGGAAATTCACACCCTTGAATTTGCACTGAAACTTTAAAAATTGATTCACCAGATTTGAATAGTTTGTCTAACCCATGATGGTTTCATAGTTTCTGTCCTGAAAGCTGCTGAAGTCACATGGTACTATATCACTTGGAAGATGTTGATGACTCAAAGCCATTGGTTTGTAAGATTACCCACTCCTGCTTTTGAATTTATTTTGCTTACTTTGATTGGTTTTAATTTAAAAATGTTCTTCCAAACTATATTACCATGTTGGAAAATGTGTTTGAAAAGTCATCTCTTTCCTTTTCTTCTAAAAACTGCATAAATGAAGAAGGGATTGTTTCATTTTGAAAAACATGTTTTGCTTTACTTTGTTTACTATTTGTCATTTTATTTTCTGCCATCCTTGGAAACTTTATGAAGCATCAGGGTGATACTGGGCTCTGCAACGATGTCAGAGGACCCTTGCATTTATAGAAGTGCTGACCAAGAAGAAAAAGCAGGAGGGTAGGAATTATTCAGAGGACCTGCTAAAGGCTCATTGAAATCTGGGAGCAGGGTTTTACCATTCAAGTAATAAATTATTGCCTTTCCACTATTTTACTTTGAAGGTATTCATCATTTCCCATCTGCCGACAAAGACCAAACTTCAAGTATTAATAAGTAATAATTGTTGAAATAGCTGTAACTTTTCAATTTTGCCCATATAGGTAATAATCTTTCATACATTTTAATACATCAGTAATGAAATCTTTAAACAAAGCTTCACAGTTCATCTGCTTGCTGAAAGAAGAGGCTGTGAAGTACTATTTAAGAATGTTTTTCTTTTTGCAAAAATGTCTTCATATGTTTTCAATCAAAGCAAGCATACAATTTTAAAATATTAGAATATAATCTCTCCAATATAGCATACTTTCAAGAAAGGTGATATATAAATATATATATATGTATGTATTTTATTTGTAGATGACTTTGATCTGAGAAAGAAATGTATTTAACTTCAATAATAGGCCACAATATAATAATATCCATAAATAAACACTTAATATTTCTTATTTTACGCTATAAGTAAATTCTCAAAGTAACTATTTGAATTAAATAACTTATTCTTAGACATTGATGTTCCTGTTAAATTATTCTCTATTTTTAAAAAATTCCACATTTACCATGCACTCCATACATCTTCAGTATTTGGGACATTTTCAAAAACTTCTGTTTTTATTTATAAAACATTTGTTCATAATATTATAATTAGAAGCATATACACTGTAGCTTTTCTTTGAAAACGCTTTCCTTTTTAAAAACTTCCAGCACGGAGAAAACTTTCCATCACTTCTTTTGCTTTAAACTAAACAATCGAAAAGGCTCCATTTTCAATGTGATCTGTGTTGTCTATCCCACAGAAACATTTGTGAGTTCTTTTTATTCAGCAAATAGAGTTTTTCACATAATTTTTCACATCTCACCATCAGTAACCTTGCAAAGAAACAGATATCTGTACAGCTGTCACTAAGATAGTTTCATTTTTAATCTATAGCATATTAGTTTTCCATTTCACTGAACTCAAAGGCAAGTTTGGACAAAAAAAAAACTATGGATTTTTAAAGGTCATTTCTATATGTGCATTTTGATGTCACCTCAGACTTCAGAGATTTAAAACAAAAATCTCCATTTTTCTTTCCAATCTTGCTCTCAGCCTAACTTCACTGTTTCTATTGCTAGGGCCAGCATTCTCAATTTCCAAGCTATAAACTGGGTGATTGTGATGGTTAATACTGAGTGTCAACTTCATTGGATTGAAGGATACAAAGTATTGATCCTAGGTGTGTCTGTGAGAGTGTTACCAAAAGAGATTAACATTTGAGTCATTGGGTTGGGGAAGGCAGATCCACCCTTAATTTGGTGGGCACAATCTAATCAGCTGCCAGCAAATATAAAGCAGGCAGAAAAATGAGATGGTGTTGCAAAAATAGATTAACATTTGAGTCAGTGGGCTGGGGAAGGTAAATCCACCCTTAATCTGGTGGGCACAATCTAATCAGCTGCCAGCAAATATAAAGTAGGCAGAAAAATGTGAAAAGGAGAGATGGGCTTAGCCTCCCAGTCTACTTCTTTCTCCAGTGCTGGATGCTTCCTGCCCTCGAACATTGGACTCCAACTTCATCAGTTCTGGGGCTTGGACTAGCTCTCCTTGCTCCTCAGCTTGCAGACAGCCTACTGTGGGACCTTGTGATCATATAAGTTAATACTTAATAAACTCCCCTTTATATATAGATATATAAATATATCTATAGATTATACATATGTATTATATATATAAATATATCTCTCTTTTGAGTTCTGTCCCTCTAAGAGAACCCTGGATAATAAAGATTTTGGTACCAGGAGTGATTCTAGAGGAACAGAATACTAAGTATGGAGTTCTTTCATTGGTTTTGGGGTTTCTAGAGTTGGGTGCTTAATATGCTTAGATGCAAAAATCCTAAGGACTCTACTTCTAATAGTATGGAGAACACTGATTGTGCTTGGCGTGAACTGTTTAGAGAGTTATGCAAAATAAATGCATTTGACACTCCTGATTCACCACTTGTGAGAGGCAAGGAGTTTAGTGACTCTATAGATAATACCTTTGACCATATGTGGAGAACCAAGGAACATAATGAAACTGCTTGGTTGCTCCTAAGTTCAGTGGGCAAAGTGATGAAAGAAAATGATGAACCCAGGGATTCTGTCTTCCAGCTTCGGAAGCAGATACTGAGCCTCAAATCTGCTAAGATTGCCCTGAATGAGAGTCTTATCTCCTGTAGAGAAACAGCTGAAATTGTAGAAAATCAGACATAAGCTCTTGTCGTGCAAGTGGTTGACCTGCAATGAAAAGTGCATGCGCAGCCTCACCAGGTGTCTACTGTTAAAATGAAGGCATTGATTAGAAAAGAATGAGACCCTGAAACTTGGAATGGGGACACGTGGGAGGACCCTGATGCAGGGACACTGAGTTTGTAAACTCTGATGAACTTTTTTGCCAGAAGGAACAGCTTCCCCATCCCAGGAGGGGCAACATCCTCTCCCTGACCCATGCTGCCATCAGCCTTTCCACCTTTGTCTCAAGAGATAAACCCTTCACTGCCTAAGGCAACAGTGATGGCCTCCCCTGAAATGGTTCTCAGGCAAGATAATGTTAATTCCACTCAGAAGCCACCCCCAACATCTCTGTTTGCTTCTAGACCTATAACTAGGCTAAAGTCCCAGTGGGTCCCTAGAGGTGAGGTTGAGAGTGTGACCCATGAGGAGGTGCACTACACTCGAAAAGAACTGTTTGAGATCTCTAATTTATATAAACAGCAATCTGGAAAACAGACATGGGAATGGATATTAAGGGTAGGGGATAATGGTTGAAGGAACATAGAATTGGGTCAGGCTGAATTTATTTATTTGGGCCCACTATGTAGGGACTCTGCATTTAATATTGCAATTTGGGGAGTTAAAAAAAGGTTCTAATAGTTTATTTGCTCAGTTATCTGAAATATGGATTAAAAGATGGCCCACTGTGAGTGAGCTGGAAATGCCTGATCTCCCTTGGTTTAATGTAGGGGAAGGGATTCAAAGGCTTAGGGAAATTGGGATGGTAGAGTGGATTAGTCACTTTAGACCTACTCATCACAGCTGGGAGGTCCTTGACCAATGCCTTGTGAAATATATTTGTGAGGGCAGCACCTGCATCTTTGTAGAGCCCCATAATTGCTCTGTTCTATATGTCAGATCTAACAGTGGGAACCGCAGTCACTCAACTACAAAATTTAAATACAATGGGAATAATTGGATCTTGAGGTGGCAGGGACTAAGTGGCAGCACTCAACTGTCACAGGCAAGATGGGTGTAGCTACTGTAATGGACAGCAGAGGCAAAGTGGCAATCAGAATAGTCTGACTCGTGTAGAGCTCTGGCATTGGCTAATTAATCATGGTGTTCGTAGAAGTGAAATTGATAGGAAGCCTGCTGCATTCCTACTTAAATTATACAAACAGGAAGCTTCTAGGTTGAATGGACAAAAGCCTAACTTGAATTATAAAAACAGAATCATGGCCCCTCAATCAATTTCCAGACTTGAGTCTGTTTACAGACCCAGAACCGCTTGAATGAAGGAGAGGCTGGGTCCCCTTAAGGAAGGACCCTACTATGTTACCAACAATTTATGCAGTGAATCTTTCTCCCATCCTTCCCCAAGGAGATCTCCAGCCTTTTATCAGGGTAACTGTGCACTGGGGAAAGGGAAATGATCAGAAATTTTGGGAACTACTGGACACTGGCTCTTAGCTGATGTTGATTCCAGGGGACCCAAAATGTCACTGTGGTCCCCCAGTTAAACTAGGGGCTTATGGAGGTCAGGTAATTAATGGAGTTTTAGCTTAGGTCTGACTTACAGTGGGTCCAGTGTGTCCCCAGGCTCATCCTGTGGTCATTTCCCCAGTGCCAGAATGTATAATTGGCATAGACATACTTAGCAGCTGGCAGAACCCCCACATTGGCTCCCTGACTGATAGGGTGAGGGCTATTATGGTGGAAAAGGCCAAATGGAAGCCATTAGAGCTGCCTCTACCTAGAAAAATAGTAAATCAAAAATAATGTTACATCCTTAGAGGAATTGCAGAGATTAGTGCCATGATCAATGACTTGAAAGATGCAGGGGTGGTGATTCGCACCACATCCCCATTCAACTCTCCCATTTGGCCTGTGCAGAAGACAAATCGATCTTGGAGAACCAGTGGATTATCGTAAGCTAAACCAAGTGATGACTTCAGTTGCAGCTGCTATACCAGATGTGGTTTCATTGCTTGAGCAAAGTAACACATCTCCTGGTACCTAGTATGCAGCCATTGACTTGGCACCTGCCTTTTTCTCCATTCCTGTCCATAAAGCCCACCAGAAGCAATTTGCATTCAGCTGGCCAGGCCAGCAATATACCTTTACTGTCCTACCTCAGGGGTATATCAACTCTCTGGCTTTGTGTCATAATCTTATTCAGGGAAACCGTGATCGCTTTTGGCTTCCACAAGATATCACACTGGTTCATTACATTGATGACATTATGCTGATTTGATCCAGTGAGCAAGAAGTAGCAAACACACTGGACTTATTGGTGAGACATTTGCATGCCAGAGGATGGGAAATCAATCCAACTAAAATTCAGGGAACTTCTACCTCAGTAAAATTTCTAGGGGTCCAGTGGTGTGGGGCCTGTTGAGATATTTCTTCTAAGGTAAAGGAGAAGTTGCTGCATTTGGCCCCTCCTACAACCAAGAAAGAGGCACAATGCCTAGTGACCTGAAAGGCTGCCAGTTTTAAGTGGGGTTCAGAATAGGAGAAGGCTATGCAACAGGTCCAGGCTGCTATACAAGCTGCTCTGCCACTTGGGCCACATGACCCAGCAGATCCAATGGTGCTTGAGGTGTCAGAGGCAGATAGGGATGCAGGTACCCATAAGTGAATCACAGCAGAGGCCTCTAGGATTTTGGAGCAAGGCCCTGCCATCTTCTGCAAATAACTACTCTTTTTTTAAGAGACAGCTCTTGGCCTGTTACTGGGTTTTGGTGGAAATTGAACATTTGACTATGGGTCATCAAGTCACCATGCGACCTGAACTGCCTATCATAAACTGCGTGCTTTCTGACCCATGTAGCCATAAAGTGGGTCATGCACAGCAGCATTCCATCATCAAATGGAGGTGGTATATACATGATTGGGCTGAAGGCACAAGTAAGTTACATGAGGAAGTGGCTCAAATCCCCATGGTCTCCACTCCTTCTCTCCCCCAGCCTGCACCGATGGCCTCATGGGAAGTTCCCTATGATCAGTTGACAGAGGAAGAGAAGACTAGGGCCTGGTTCACAGATGGTTCTGCACGACATGCAGGCGCCACCCAAAAGTGGACAGCTGTAGCACTACAGCCCCTTTCTGGGACATCCCTGCAGGACAGCAGTGAAGAGAAATCTTCCCAATGGACAGAAATTTGAGCAGTGCACCTGGTTGTACACTTTGCATGGAAGGAGAAATGGTCAGATGTGCGATTATATACTGATTCATGGACTGTTAGCCAATGGTTTGGCTAGACAGTCAGGGACTTGGAAGAAGCATGACTGGAAAATTGGTGACAAAGAAATTTGGGGAAGAGGTATGTTGGATGGACCTCTCTGAGTGGTCAAAAAAATGTGAAGATATTTGTATCCCATGTGAGTGCTCACCAACAGGTGACCTCAGCAGAGGAACAGTTTAATAATCAAGTGGATAGGATGACCCACTCTGTACACACCACTCAGCCTCTTTCCCCAGCTATCCCTGTCATTTCCCAATGGGCCCCTGAACAAAGTGGCTGTGGTGGCAGGGATGGAGGTTAAGCATGGGCTCAACAATATGGACTTCCACTCACCAAGGCTGACCTGGCTATGGCCATTGCTGAGTGCCCAATTTGCCAGCAGCAGAGACCAACACTGAGCCCTCAATATGGCACCATTTCTCAGGGTGATCAGCCAGCTACCTGGTGGCAGGTTGATTATATTGGACCTCTTCCATCATGGAAAGGGCAGAGGTTTGTCCTCACTGTAATAGACACTTACTCCGGATATGGGTTTGCCTATCCTGAACACAATACTTCTGCCAAGACCACTGTCAATGGACCCATGGAGTGCCTTATCCACCGTCATGGTATTCCACACGGCATTGCCTCTGACCAAGGCACTCGCTTTAC
This sequence comes from Homo sapiens, assembly GCF_000001405.40. Classification (NCBI taxonomy): domain Eukaryota; kingdom Metazoa; phylum Chordata; class Mammalia; order Primates; family Hominidae; genus Homo; species Homo sapiens. The sequence goes on along the minus strand of NC_000008.11, from coordinate 116,146,550 downwards.
AGCTAAAGAAGTGCGACAGTGAGTGGGCTCATGCTCATGGAATTCACCAGTCTTACTATGTTCCCCATCATCCTGAAGCAGCTGGATTGATAGAAAGGTGGAATGGCCTTTTGAAGTCACAATTACAATGCCAACTAGGTGACAATACTTTGCAGGGCTGGGGTAAAGTTCTCCAGAAGGTTGTGTATGCTCTGAATCAGCATCCAATATATGGTACTATTTCTCCCATAGCCAGGATTCACAGGTCCAGGAATCGAGGTGTAGAAGCGAAAGTGGCACCACTCACCATCGCCCCTAGGGATCCATTAGCATACTTGCTTCCTGTTCCTGCGACATTACATTCTGCTGGCCTAGAGGTCTTAGTTCCAGAGGGAGGAATGCTGCCACCAGGAGACATAGCAATGATTCCATTAAACTGGAAGTTAAGATTGCCACCTTGACACTTTGGGCTCCTCCTACCTTTAAGCTAGGAAGGGAGTTACAGTGTTGACTGGGGTGATTGACCCGGACTATCAGATGAAATCAGTCTACTACTCCACAACGGAGGTAAGGAAGAGAATGCATGGAGATCTAATGGGGCATCTCTTAGTATTAACATGCCCTGTGATTAAGGTCCATAGAACACTACAACAGCCCAATCCAGGTAGGACTACAAATGACCCAGACCCTTCAGGAATGAACGTTTGAGTCCCTCCACTAGGAAAAATCCACGGCTTGCTGAAGGCAAAGGGGACACAGAATGGGTGGTAGAAGATGGTAGTCATCAATACCAGCCATGACCACGTGACCAGCTGCAGAAATGAGGACTGTAATTGCCGTATTTCCTCCTTTTTAAAAAAATGTTTGTGCATGTATACGCTCGTACTAAGAAAATATCATCATCTTATTTCCTTTCTCCTTTATCATGTGACATAAGATTTATTGCCTTCATATCAGCATTTAAGTATTGTTAACTTCATGTAATAGTATTTGGGTTGGGGATTAGTGCATTTCCAGTTGTATGCAGGATAGTTGTATTACATTAGGCATAATTATGACCTTATTATTGTCTTTATTTGAAAATTATGTATAATCTCAGGAGCTATATATGGGTTCAAGTTGACAAGGAGTGTATGTGTGTGGGTTAATACTGAGTGTCAACTTCATTGGATTGAAGGATACAAAATATCGATCCTGGGTGGGTCGGTGAGGGTGTTTCCAAAAGAGATTAACATTTGAATCAGTGGGCTGGGGAAGGCAGATACACCCTTAATCTGGTGGGCACAATCTAATCAGCTGCCAGCAAATATAAAGCAGGCAGAAAAACATGAAAAGGAGAGACTGGCCTAGCATCCTAGCCTACATCTTTCTCCAGTGCTGGATGCTTCCTGTCCTTGAACATCGGACTCCAAGTTCTTCAGTTTTGGGACTCAGGCTGGCTCTCCTTTCTCCCCAGCTTGCAGACAGCCTATTGTGGGACCTTGTGATTGTGTGAGTTAATAAGCTCCCATTATATATATGTACAGTTCTGTCCCGTATAGTTCTTAGTTCTGTCCATCTAAGAGAATCCTGACTAATACAGTGATCAACTTTGAGTTAGAGACCTTGCTCTTTTTTTCATGTCTAGAGAGTCTCTGTATACCTTTTGATTGTTTTCTTGCTTTGCTTTCTAACTCCACACACCCAGTGCAATCTAGGTGCCTATGACATCCAATATGTACTTTGTCATTATCCTCCTGTCCACTTTTTCTGTCTTAATTTATTTTTCTCTCCAGTTTATTCTACCAATCAAATGCATGCAAAGCTATGTAATGCACCTCCCTAAGAATACCTCTTTCCTGGTGCCTCTCCCTTTCTCGGGGCCCTTTAGTAACAGTTTCAACTTTAAACCCTTCAGCCAGATTGCTCTATAGACTTACTTGCATACTCTATTTTCTTACATAATATTAGTCTTAGCACTAATATTTACAGAAAAGACTTCTGAGTCTTTTTATTTTGTTAGGTACTGGGCTAAATACTTTAGCTACATTTTCTAATTTAATCCTTGCTACAATCAGATAGTAGACATTATGTCCATTTTTCATGCCAGAAAACTGAAATTCAGGTGCATTTGCATAGCTCACACAAGGCTAACAGTCATAGAGATAGAATTTATACCGAGGGCTTAACTAAAATCTGTGTTCTTTTTTTTTCTTTTGCCACAAATTTTGCATTCTTAGCTAACACTTTATAGTGCCTCCCACAGACCTTTGTCTTTGACCAAATGATTCTATTAAATTTCCTAAAGTATGCCTTAAAGTTTTCCATCAACATTCTTTTTTTTTCCACATCATTGTGCCTAGAATGCCATTCCTCCTGCCCAGTGAATTGTCATCTATTTTTCAAAGCCCATCACAAACCCTACTTCCTTTTCAAAAATTTCATCTCACTATCCACCTATCATAGAAGTGGTTATATCCAATCCAAATTCCTACATATATTAATACTATTCAATTTGTTAATTAGTTTTCTACTGCCCTATGTCAGATTTACTTGGCCCTATGGTAGTATTGATACTTTTTTGTTTGAATTTATTTTTTGCCTGCTCTTATGTTGTAGTATTTCTCCAACCATATTGTCAGTAGCTTTGTCTTTCTACAGTTTCTTACACATAGTAAGAGATAGATAAATATTTGCTGATTTGATTATTTAAGAAATTCAGTTAGATTGGTTGTCCAAACTGGTTGTTCTGACTGTACTGATTAAGTCAGCCATGGTGAGGAAGTTGGTTGTTTATACAAACAATGCCATGGCTATATTGTGATTTTGGATGCAATTTAAACATTCATCTAACAGAAAAAAATATATATTGAGTAATAAAATTGGGGGCATAAAGATTAATTCTAAAATTCAAATATTATGATAATATCATGTTTGTTACAAGTTGTTAAAAGAAAAACTTAGACAAATTAAATTTAACAAAGTTTAATTGAGCAAAGAACGATTCTTGAATGGGGCAGCCTCCCAAGCAAGAGTCAGCTCAGAGAAACTCCAGCACAGGCATGTTGTAGAAGATTTATGGACAGAAAAAGTGACATACAGAAAATGGAAGTGAGGTACAGAAACAGTCAAATTGGTTAGAGCTTGGCATTTGCCTGATTTGAACATGGTTTGAAGAGTTGGCTGCCTTTCATTGGCTGAAACTTGGTGACTGGCACAAGTGCGGGTTAATCTGTTTACAAATCCAGTGAGAATTCAGTTTACCATTTATAAAGAAACCTTTAGGGCAAATTTAAAATATGTAAGGAGCCAACTTTAGGTTAAATTTGGTTGAACAAAATCAATAAGTATACATATATAAAGGCTTCAAAAAATCTGTGAAGATAAAAATCAACAAATATTAAACAGTAATTGGTAGATCAAAGAGTAATTATCTCTGCATTGCTCTTGGACTGTTTTTAATATGTGATTTACATTAAATCCAAATTGCAAGACACGAGATGACACCTTCCCCCACTTCATCCCCAACACACTCAGCTATTAAATCTCTATCTCACTGTCACTTAAAATCATGGGACGTTATTATTGGAAGATTCCATTATAGACTCTGAGTCCAATCTGTTGCTCATTGGAGAAAATGTCTAGGAAACGTCCTTGCCATGCTGTGATTCTGTCATTCTGTCATTCAGCTTCTCTCTGAACACCTCTGGGAACAGGCAGCTCTGTGCTAAGTTAGCCCTGACAATTGTTAGGCATTTGTCATTGTTAAACCAGCTCTTTCTGAAAATAAGCCTCGGTCATCCTCTGTATAACGTTTCCCCATTTCTTTTAATTCTAAATTACAAGGTTTCATAATATATTAGCTAAAATCAAACAAACCTCAATTTTTCCCAATACAGTTCCTTTAATTATTTGAAGAAATCTCCCCTGCCTCTTCCTAATATCTCTAATCCAGACCCCTTTCCCTAGCCCAGCAAAAAAATCTCTAGTTCTTTGAGCCAGCAGTCCTTTGACTTAGTCTCCAGATGTCTCACTATCCTGGCCTTTCTCATTTGGATATTCTCCTCATCCTGAGACTACAATAAGCCAGATGTGGCCTGAGGAGGGCAGAAACCCTGAAATCATAACTTCTCTTGCATTAGAAATGTTATTTCTGTCATTGCAGCCTAAGTTTGCATTAGCTTTTACAACAGTAGCATTATACTCATGGGTTCTGCTGAACTTGTGGTCTAAAGCCCCAGGCCTTTTTTTTTTTCCCCTAGGAAGCACATTTAAGCCATGTATCTCTCATCCTGTCCTTATGTAATTAATTTTTTTTTTGAAACTGTGCAAAGCTTTTTCCTTTATGCTTTTGTGCCTTTTATCGTGTTGGACTCCAGAAGTGCATGGTGGGACAACGGGAGAAAACCACAAGATTCTTGGCTGCTCTGAATGCTGAGAATCTGGAATGGCTTTGGTGAATTACAATAGGAGTTCTACTCAATAAACCCAAAACCCTATGGATATTAAAAACATAAAAACAAGCAAACTGAAAAAAACTCCAAAAGCCACTTGCTGGTGAGAACTGCATTTTACCTTCCTTAATACTAAAATTGGAAGATGAGGAGGGAAAATACCTAAATCCTTGGTAGTTGAGGCCTCCGACTAGGACAGTTTTTCAGTCTTCTGAAAGTTTTTGCCTTCATTCCAGCCTTTCAGTTAGTAGGAGACCTAGTAGATGGGAACATATTTAAAATATGCAGAGTTTTTTCTGGGTTTCTCCTTCCCTGAGCCAATTATCACTTGTTCAACAGCTTTCCCTTTCCTCCATTAGCACATAAGTTACCTTTTGCCTCCAAACCATCTGGAACTCAAATGACTTTCAACTACCTGAACTCTCAAAGCACTTGTTGTTTCCCAGAAACCATTCTCTTCCGACTGGGGAAAATAGTGGGGAGCAGGGGAGACAAAACACATCTCTATTCCGAAAGACCAGGCCAGATCATTGATAAAAGCAGCCTTTTTCTTAACAATTATGTGGCGCTTCATACCCACAGCGTCTTATCTTTCCCTCCGTTTCTCTTTCTTCTGTTGATGACTTTTTAGATTTGCTTTTTCTTTGGGGACTGCAGCAGATGCTGTTGGTACCTGTATTTGTTTGCTAGGATTGCCATAACAAATGCTACAGACTATGTGGTGGAAGCAACAGAAATTTGTTTTCTCATCATTCTGCAGGCTAGAAATCCAAAATCAATGTGTCAACAGGGTTGGTTTCTTCTGAGGCTTTTCTCCTTGGCTTGTGTATTAGTTCGTTTTCACGCTGCTGATGAAGACATACCTGAGACTGGGTAATTTTTAAAGAAAAAGATGTTTAATGGACTCAGTTCCACGTGGCTGAGGAGGCCTCAAAATCATGGCAGAAGGTAAGGAAAGAATGTGCCTACATCTTACATGGCAGCAGGCAAGAGAGAATGAAAACCAAGTGAAAGAGGAAACCCCTTATAAAACCATCAGGTTGGCAGTGCACGGTGGCTCACGTTTGTAATCCCAGCACTTTGGGAGGCCAAGGTGGGCGGATCACCTGAGGTCGGGAGTTCAAGACCAGCCTGACAACATGGCGAAACCCCATCTCTACTAAAAATACAACAATTAGCCATTGTGGTGGCACATGCCTATAATCCCAGGTACTTGGGAGGTTGAGGCAGGAGAATCACTTGAACCCGGGAGGCGGAGGTTGCAGTGAGCCGAGATTGCTCCACTGCACTCCAGCCTGGGCAACAGAGCGAGACTCCATCTCAAAACAAAAACAAAACCATCAGATCTTGTGAGACTTACTACCATGAGAACAGTATGGGAGAAACTACCCCATGATTCAATTATCTCCCACTGTGTCTCTCCCACAACACAAGGGAATTATGGGAGCTACAATTCAAGACAAGATTTGGGTGGGGACACAGCCAAACCATATAATCTTGTAGGTAGCCACCTTCTCCCTCTATCTTCACATGGTTGTTCCTAGGTGTTTTTCTATGTCTTAATTTCCCTTCATGTAAGGACATCAATCATAATGAATCAAGGCCCACCTTAATGACCTTATTTTACCTTGATTATTGCTTTGAAGACCATATCTCCAAATACAGTCACATTCTGAGGAATTGGAGATTAGAATTCCAACATATGAACCTTGTAGGGGACACAATTCAGTGCATAACAGTACCCCCAACCAGATGCACTTCTCTGGACTTAAGCACTATTTCCTAGCTTCTTTAAGCTTCAGCTTCTGCTGCTAACTGATCACAGCTTCTTCCAGCATCCTTCTCTGAAGAATGCACTTGGTTGACAGGAGCTGCCTAGCATGAAAATGTCAGGAAAGTTGAGAATGCCTCTCTCAACTCTGCCACAGTCAATTTTGTCAGATGGCGGGGAGAAGGGAGGTTGCAGGGGGTGCAGTAACTTTTGTAGTAGAATTCCTGCCCCAGAGCCCCCCCTGGGATCAGAATGAGGCTAGACTTCTCCTGTAACCATCTCTGCCTATCTTTTTTTTTTTTTTGAGATGGAGTCTCACTCTGTCACCCAGGCTGGAGTGCAGTGGTGCGATCTCGGCTCATTGCAACCTCCGCCCCCCTGGGTTCAAGCCACTCTCCTGCCTCAGCCTCTCAAGTAGCTGGGATTACAAGCGTCTGCCACTGTGCCTGGCTAATTTTTCTATTTTTAGTAGAGACGGGGTTTCACCATGTTGATGGTCTCAATCTCTTGACCTCGTGATCCACCTGCCTTGGCCTCCCAAAGTGCTGGGATTACAGGCATGAGCCACTGCGCCCGGCCTCTGCCTATCTTTAATCTCATGTCTATCCAGATTTTTTCATTATCTTGCAGGTTCTCCTGAGAACACTTCCATTTTACATTATTTGCATACAAATCTCCATTGCAGGTTCTGCTTCTTGGGAAAACAAAGGCAGACTCCTGCTTTGGTATTATAGCACTTGTTTAAAAATTAAGCACTGCAAAAGAGCATTCAATTTAATTCAGCAAACATTTACTAAGGATGATCTACAAGGCTGAATTTATTCATTAGATGAGAAGCTTCTTGAGGGCAAGGATGAGGTATAATTGACTCTTTTTCTCTAGTGGCTAGCACAGTGCCAATCTCAATATACGTATTTATTGAACAGTGTTCTGTTGTGAAGGCATTATGATGAACATGATGCAGCCTCAACAGCAAACAAGTATACAATTTTCTTGGGAAAAACAAACATGCTCCAACTCATAACAAATCAAGCTTGAATCTGGAAAGTGCATAAAAAGCAATATGCCAAGTGCTATGGTGGCATGGAGGATCAAAAGCATACTTTCAATTAGAGGAAGATTTCATGAATCTGAATGAAATACACATGTGATCTTAATAGAGAAGAGAAAATAATATTGCTAGCAGCTATTAAATGACTGGTACATGCTAGACACTGTGTAAATTTCTTTGTAAGTATTATATTTAATATTTGTGGAATATCTATGGTATAGAGATTATTATTAGCTCTATCCTACAAAAATATGTCTTGAGACATTAAGTAATGTCTCCTAGCTGGGAAGTAGTGCAGCACAGATTTAAACATATTCCTTTGGGGAAGGATATTGCAGGAAGGAAGAATATGATGAGCACAGATAAAGATTCAGAAAAGAAGTCTACCAATATGAGCTCAAGTGGATGCGATAGGTAAAAAGCCTGAAAAGAGAAATTGGGACCAGGTTATGAGAGACTTGGAATACTATGCTAAAAAATTGGACTTTATTTTATAAACCATGGGGAGCATCCAGAAGATATTTAATTGGAAAGTTGGCTGATAATACTTGTGTCTTAAGAAAATTACTCCAAAAGAAGGAGAGAAAATGAACAAGTACTTTAGCTTGTTCAAAGGAATATGGGTAAATCAGTACATTTAAATGTATGTATATTCCTTACGAACTCTTTTCTACCTAGATTTTACTGTGACTGACCCAATATATCTTACATTTACAAGAGATTTTTTAGGAGACTTGATTTCCCATAACTTTAATATTGTGACACTCCTTATTTGACTTTACTATCTGTGCTACTTTTTCCCTGCCATCCTTGAAATTTTACCTATTCATTTATTTTGGTAAATAGTATAAACCTATCTTAAAAAATGGCAAATGAGAAGTATGTTTCATGACACCAAGCAAAACATCTTACAGATTCTCTTCCCCTATGTCCATGGAAAGCTCATTCTAAGTATCCTGCCAATTATCCCTAGTTTCTCATTTTATCCTTGCAAACTGCCCCAAATCTCTACACACTCTGTTTCTCGGTCCTTTCCTCCCACCTTTCAACCTTTTCAATCTAGTGTTTTCAGAGCCAGTGGTACTCCAGCACTTCTAAAGCAAAAAAAAAAAACCCTAATCTTTCTTGGCTCTTTCTGTTTTTCTCCCCATTTGTTATCTAAAATCGAGGAGAAATCTGAGGATAAAGAAGACAATAATTTATCATCTTTGTCTCTCTATCTCTTTCTCTCTCTAATTTATGTGTACTTATTTTGTAATAACTATCGAACTATTTGCAGCCCACCACTCCTTTTCAGTTAAATGGGTCCTGGCAATTGGAGAGACCTGCTTTTGCACTGGGGCGCAGTGGCTGTTGAGCTTCACATGATCAAGGGATGAAAGTCTGAACAAGACCGTAACTATTTGTTTTTTATTTTTATTTTACTCCTCGTAAAGGCTTCTCCATAGATGCAGTCACTTAGGACCACCACATTCTTGAATTGCTTGTTTTAGAAATTAAAGGTTACTGTTAATTCAAAAGGAACTAAAAAAATCCTGAAGTTTAATGACTGCCATTAGTACCTCCAAAGGAAGATTCTGCTTTCTTTTTCCATGTATGGGGATGGTTTACTGCATCTCCGGTGGTCATCAGATTGTCAGTGACCATGGTAAAACTTCCAGTTTTCCCAGCTGGGAAGGCTTAAAGAAATTGTGATAAGGCAGCCGCCCCTCATATTTCTGTGAAGAGCAGGCATTAAGGAAGGTTTTTATTTAGTTTCTGTGCCTTGCATTGTTTAGCCAGCCACCTGATGTTTCTGTCATGTTGCAAATCTGGAAAATTACTATTTGCTGAAATTTTTCACTGCTTCGATTTATGCAGAGACATAAGACAGTTTCCTGAGTCTGGAGTATTTCTGATTACAAGAAAGAGAATCTGACTATGTTTGATTTCAAGTCCATTCAGTCACATTTTTAAACTGCCAATTTTTTTTTAAAGCTTTGTCACTTAATGTATTGACCCCACTTCATGAGTTAGGAAAAGAAATAATATAACAATGATCATTTATTTCTCATGTGGAGAAATTGAGTCTGATAATCCAAGTGGTCTTTTTGAAGCTACAGAAGAAAGTACAGACTTTGGAAGATAATCATGGATTAGAAAAAGCTGTAAAGAAGGATTTTGTGCATATTTGTTGCTTTATAACTAATTCAGCCTTAAGAATGATTTTTCTGATTTAGACAACTCTCCTTTGACTACGTTAACCTAACTATTCTACATGCAGCCCATTTTATAGTGGACCAAATGAGCAAAACTCTCTACCTTTGGTTCTTTTCCTTTGTAGCTCCCACAGTACATTGTTACTATTTCGGTTTAATCATGACCACACAACTTGAATTTACTGGTAGGGTTGCCAAATAAAATGCAGGACATTCTGCTGAATTTAAATTTCAGATAAGCCATGAATAAATTTAGTAAAAGTATGTCCCAAAAATGTCATGGGAGATACTTATACCAAAAATTATTCATATTTTATCTGAAATTCAAATTTAACTGAGTGTTCTGTATTTTTATTTGCGAAATATGGCAACCATATTTACTGGGAGAGTGATAATTTCATGTAATTTTGTTCTACTCAATAAATTCAGCTGCATACATTTAGCTGTTTTGTAAGTTTTTGTACAAATTTAAAAATTAGGAAAAAGTCTTATTTTAGACTATATATTCCAATTTGTGATTTTGATTAAACAGCCAGTATAATTAAAGTTCTTTTTAAAAATACATGGCGATTATCTATTTACCTGTTGTGTTCTCTATCTGTTGATGAAATAAAAAATGGAAATCTCACTCATTTTTGTACTATATTATATTGGTACGTAGGATGAGCTTGATAAATTGTTTAATAGACTGCATAATTACCAAATGGTAGGTTGGCACAGCAACAAAAGTGTGTGTATGTGCATGTGTGTATGTGTGCATGTCAAAAGTGTCTAGCGTTTTTGAATGCTAACTTTGCATCAGCACTCTGCTAAGAGCACAGTGCCAAAACCTTAGTTCTTATTACCTTTTTATGGAACAGCCTTTCATTAAAGGATGTTTTAAAACCAATCAAAGGCCATATCTGAGAGTGTATCAATCAATATATGAGTCAGCTAGATACTACATCCTCCCTTTGTTCTTCTTCTTCTTCTTTTTTTTTTTTTTTTTACTTTTTTTATTATACTTTTAGTTCTAGGGTACATGTGCACAATATGCAGGTTTGATACATAGGTATACATGTGCCATGTTGGTTTGCTGCACCTATCAACTCATCATTTACATTGGGTATTTCTCCTAATGCTATCCCTCCGCCAGTCCCCCACCCCACAGCAGGCCCTGGTGTGTGATGTTCCCCGCCCTATGTCCAAGTGATCTCATTGTTCAATTCCCACCTATAAGTGAGGACATGCGGTGTTTGGTTTTCTGTCCTTGTGAAAGTTTGCTGAGAATGATGGTTTCCAGCTTCATCCATGTCCCTGCAAAGGACATGAACTCATCCTTTTTTATGGCTGCATAGTATTCCATGGTATATATGTGCCACATTTTCTTAATCCAGTCTATCATTGATGGACATTTGGGTTGGTTCCAAGTCTTTGGTATTGTGAATAGTGCTGCAATAAACATACGTGTGCATGTGTCTTTATAGTAGCATGATTTGTTGTTCTTATTTATTTATTTTTGAGACAGAGTCTTGCTTTGTCACCCAGGCTGGTGTGCAGTGGTGCAATCTCAGCTCACTGCAACCTCCGCCTCCCGGGTTCAAGTGATTCTCCTGCCTCACCCTTCCGAGTAGCTGGGGCTGCAGGTGTGCACCAACATGCCCAGCTAATTTTTGTATTTTTAGTAGAGATGGGTTTTCACCATGTTGGCCAGGCTGGTCTCGAACTCCTGACCTCAAGTGATCTGCCCGCCTTGGCCTCCCAAAGTGTTGGGATTATAGGCATGAGCCACCGTGCCCTGCCTACATTCTCCCTTTAGAGAGGCTCTAAAATAAAATGTCTTAGTAAAAATTACTCATATATTTCATGTGCTTTCCTCATATCTCTGTTACCAAATCTTCATTCCTGAAAGTTAGTATGTAACCTAGTTAGCCAAAATAGTGACAACCATGGCACCCACCACATACGTTCTTTTAGAATCTTGTCTTCCTCGACCAAGAGGCAGAGCCTGTGTCCCTTCTTTCAACCTGTGCAGGCCTTGACTAACAAAGTATAACTTAAATGACAGTTTATGATTTTCTACGAAAATGTTCTACTTTGCTCTTTTGACACTCCTGCTCTTAGAACCTGGCCAGATACTATGCTGTGAGTAAGCCCATTCAGCCTGTGGAGATGCCTGCATGGAAACGAACTTCTGTCCTTGGACCCTTGCCCTGTTTTAACTGCCAGCTAGCTGACAGCCAGCCCTAACTTTCCAGTCATGCAAGGGAGTCATCTTATAATTGGATTCTCTAGTTGAGTCCTCCCAGCTGAAACCATGTAGAGCAGAGATGCACCCTGTCCAAACTGTAGATTCATGAGGAGAATAAAAAATTATTGTTGTTTTAAGTCACTTTGCAGTGGTTTGTCATTGTAGCAATAGATGACTAATAAAGATTTTGGTACCTGGAAGTGGGGTGTTGCTGTAACAAAACCTAAAACATATGGCATTAACTTCAAGACCAGGTAAAAGGCAGGGGCTTCAAGAGCCTTCAACAGATTGTTAGTGAAGGGGGTCCTTGAGTAGAGAGTTAGCAGGAGCCTAACTGGCCTCAAGGAGACTGACAATGAGGAGACTAACTTAAAAGAAGTTAGAAAAAAGGAGTGTGTAGTGACACAAACTTTGGCAGCTCTGTAGTCTGGGGAAACTTGGAAAACAGGAAATGAACTCAATCATGTAATGATTTCCAGACAAAATATAGTAAGTATCACCTGGCTTCATCTCACTGCCTGTGATAAAATGCAAAAGAGAGAGAAATGAGCTAAAGAATACACTGTTAAATAGAAAGGATCCAGGACTTGATGAGTTTAATAATAAAACTGTTTCTCATTCTTGGCCTCTCCAGACAGAAAGTTCTAAATTAAAAGGCAAAAGATTTATATGATCTGAAGATAAACCAGAGTATAGCAAGTTCTAAATTGAAAAGGACCTTCAGGTCCAATATCAAATCCAGGATAGGACTGTACAATTCTTTGATAAGACCTCACAAAAATCTAAGACCCTGCCTCCTAGACCCTTTAAGAGAGAAAGCAGATTCCTTAGGGACCTGAAGGGTGTGCTTTACAAATCATCCCTGTAACCTAGGAGGGCTTCTAAGAATCTGAGGGTGTTTGCCCACAAGGGCAAGAGCACTGAGTAGAGAAAGAGCTAACTAAACAATATTTTTGGATTTATGGCTCTGACTTTAGTCTAATGGAATAGGTTCATAAATTGATACATAAGCATCCCACAACATTTCTAAAAGAATTATATGAGCTTGTTCTGAAAACCACTGAACAATATAAAATGAGAAAAGGTCTTTGGCAGTGAAATTTTTACATGCAGAGGACAGGCAGAAGAAACTACTCAGCTGCAAATACAGGCAACTTTTTATAGATATATGACTCAAATAAACAGCCAAGATATCAGAGGGTGTAGCCAAGAGGTATGAACTCCCAAGGAGTAGGAATGGGCTTTAATCAAGGAACTGATAACACATAAGGGGCTGGATGTCAGAACTGCAATGAACCCATATCTGCAATCCACCTTTTGTTTTCACAGTTCAAATGGGGGTGTCTATAGATGTTAGCCTATGCCTGCCTCACCATCATATATGGGGCGTGGAAAGGGCCAACAAAGTGGCTCTTTAGTTTGCAGGTCTTTGTATTGAGAATAATGATGCTTAAGAAACTGTACCCAAGGCTGCACCTGAGGAGCTTCATCCACATCTGGATCTGATTTAACTCCTGACATCCTGGACCTCTTGCCTGAACCCAAAGCCCTAGTAAAATGAGGCTTTGGGGGATTCTTAAAGAAATAGGTGAGTGTGAGAAAGCTGTAAATTGTGGATAAACAGAGGGCTGTGGAATATTGTATTTCCCAGAGGTAGCCACAACCTCCCTTGTTTCATGTGGTGTTTTAGAACTTCAGCACTCCATCATCAAATTATCCAAGATGAGCCTATGGCCCCTCCCTTTGAGCTTGGACAGGACTTTATGATTGACTTGACCAATGAAGTATAAAGAAATTTGCCCTATGCAATTTCTGAGGGTAGGTTATAAAAGTGTCCTGCTTCTTGGGATGCTCATTCCAGACACAGCCACAATGCTATGCAGAAACCCATGTAATCCATACAGGAAAGTGCTTCCGCCAGCTCCCAGGGCTTCCCAGTTAATACTGAATGGACCCAAAACAAATAGATTTCACTGAGCCCTGCCCAATTTGCAAGTTCATGATAAGTAAATACATAAATAAATAAATAATAAATACATTTAAGATTTTGTTTTAAGTCACTAAATTCTGGGATGGTTATGCCCCAATAGAAAACTGATACACCATATTACAATGATGAAATAGTCTGGGTGTTTTCAAGGTTTCTATAGCAACATATTTACCAACCAACTTTTCGAATGAATGAGGTCTGTTTGCATTTGGAAAATGTTATGTATCCATATTTTAAATTATTTTAATTTTTTATCAAGTACTACACATGAAATCTTTAAAAAGTCAGTGACAAAAGGATTTTAATACAGATTAATGTTTACTGCCCCCTCCTTCACATGTCATTTCACTTCTCAGTTCAATCTCTTTCAACTCTTTGAGTTATTTCTCCTGATATCGGCCACCATATTTCTAAATAATATTCATGAACTACTATTTCTTGGCTCATGAATTTTAGTTATTAATAAATTTCTTCATCTTTAGGTTAATGGAGGATTTTACCTTTGTGTTAATGGAGGATTTCTGATACTCTAAGATTTTACAATGATTTGCTTACATTAATCACTTTTTTCCAATCAGTCTCATCCTCCCAATAAAATCATATAACAATTTTGCTTTAATACATATTCAATGTATACATCAATTACAACGTGGCAAATATTCAATGTCAAGCCAAGTAGAGTACTACAAGTACACATTGTATTTGGAAAGGAATTAATAAAACTGCTCCTTTTTCAGTTTCTTAACTTTTTTAAAATATCCGACAAAATCTACATACTCCAATAAATCTGTTAGATGCTTCACAATACAGGTTTTCACAATTTGTTTGTGAAAATTGGCTACACCCTTTGGGATCTTGGCTGTTTATTTTAGTCATATATTCTTTTCTATAAAAAGTGGCTTGTGTTTGCAGCTGAGTAGTTTTCTTTTTGTATGTGTTTGTGTGTCTCGTGTGTGTGTCTGGGGGATAGGATTTTTGCTGCTGTAGTGTTTAACAAGCAATGAATGATGAATGACAAGGAAGAATATGTCTCAAGTTTGGAATGGTGTTTTTTGGAAGAAAACTTATAGGCAGAAGCAGAAGTGAATTATGGTTCCTCTGTTGGCCACGGCCTTCTGAAACAGTGCACCAAGATGTGTTATGGCCAGATATCAGACTTCCAGAGAGGGAAACTGGCCTTTGAATTACAGTGAGTTGTAGTTGAGTTGAATTATAGAGGAAACATGATTAGGGAACCATCAGCCCCTCCCCTGCTATGTTAAGGTACAATGGTCCAAGCCTTGTGGTTGCAGCTATATGACACAGTGAAGCAGTTGCTTTCAGCTGTCATCTGCCATCCTACAGTCTACTAGTATAGTATTTAGCCATACCAAATTTTCACGGAGCGAGTTTAGGTGTCTAAATGCTCCCATTCTGTAGGATGACAACTTTTTCTCTTGTCACCACCTTGCAGGGAATCTGTCTTTCACAATCTATTCCTTATTTCTCCCCTTGAAACTTCCTTCCTAATATGAAATGGTTCTATTTTAGATCTTCTGCACAGCTCACTCTCTCAGACTCACCGCTGACATTACCTTGGGAATCAACTTATCTACTCCCTGGGTTGGGAGTCACTGTTTCCTAGATCCCGTGTTCTTCTCTTTTTTGGACAACTCCCTCATTTTGGTGGAATATATCCTACAGTAGCTGCTCACAAAAGTTTACACGGGAGGAATTTTTTTTGATCCTTTATGCATTTGAAATTGTCATTTTTCTACCCTTGCCTGATGGACTGAATGACTAGAGCATTTTAGGTTGAATTTCATGTCATTAGGAAGTTTTTAATACATTATCATATTCTATTTGTCAAGATTGCCCTTGAGAATACTGATATCAATTGGATTCCCTAGGATCTGTGACTAATTTTTTTAATCCCTAGGGATGTTTAGGATATATATTTTTACCATTTCTGATACTTTAAGACTTTACAATGATTTGCCGTTGTTTTTCTCACTTATTAGTCTGGATGTTCAGTAGAAGGGTTATGCCCTTCAGCATCAAAAAATTTTTTTATATTATTGCTTTGAAAATTCCCTGTTTCTTATCACCACCATTTTATCTTTTGTGTGAGATCCTATTTATTGGGTGTTGCATCTCCTGGACAGGAGCTTCTAATTTAATTATTTTCTTTTTTTTATCATCCACCTTCTGTTTATTGTTCTACTTCTGAGAGAATTCTTGATTTAGCATTCAACCAGTTCTATTGAATTACTAATTTCAGCTATCACACTTTCAAGTTTCAAGTATTTCTTCTTTTTCTACAATAGTTTCTTTTTGGATGCCATAATATTCTTGTTTCCTTGATGCAGCATTTTTTTTTTCTCTATTGGAGATCATTAATTCTATAATTTTTGAAGTTTTCTTTGGTTCCCTACATCATCTGTTTCTTTTGAGTGCCTGGTTTTTCTATTTATTTGTTTTGGTATTTGTGATACTTTCCTCAAATATCTCGTCACCCTTGACTATCCATTCATGTCTAAAATTGGGCACTTAAAAACGAATTGGAAGCACTGTGGGCTTATAGGGCAGTTAGGTAGCCAGTGGGTTTTTTATTGATTTTATTGATTGTTTTTCTCCAGGGTAGTTTCATCAGAAAAGATCCTACAACCTTCTATCTGAAGAGCATGAATAGCTGCTGCTTTTTTGGAGTTGGGGCCTTTCAGTAAGTACTTAATTCCCTTGTTTTCAGTATTGAATTTAAATAACCTGTGCCTAGACTAATGAGGCCAGGGCCTTGCTGGTTCAATTTCCCTTGAGCAGTGGTTTTCAAGCCTTAACATGATCAGAATCTTTCGGAAGATTAGCCAAGACACAGTTGATTAGACCTCAACTCCCAAACTTCTGATTTAGTAGGTCTGGGGTGAGGCCAGAGAATGCACTCCTAACAAGTTTCCTGATCTGTGGCCTGGGGACCACAGTTTGAGCAACATTGCTCTAGCACATAATCTTCTTGGTTTTTTTTGGGTGGGGGTGTTGGTAGGAGAGAGGGAGTGAAAAGTCTCTGAATGCATGGCATAGTGGTCTAACTTATAACACTGTTAGATATTCCCTCTGTTTCACCATCTCAAGCTTTCCTCCTGATTTCAGTAATATCTGTGCCATCTAATTCTTGAGACCTTCTAGAATGTTTTAGGGGTAAATAAGCAAACTTCTCTTTGGCCCAGCCCCTTCTCCCTCTTCTCAGCCTCTCTCAGGAATATTGGATTGACTTGCATCCTCTCTGTTTGGTCTTTTGTCATCTCCCTTTCCAATACCCCTTTCCATCTTTATATTCCAAAGATAAAGATTACCAAGGGCCTCTTTTTCATTGATGGTGGAGTTGGAGTGTCTTCTTTTTCTTCTTGTTGTTTGGGGTGTTATTTTGAGAAGAATAAAGAAAAGAAACTTTATTAGCATTGCTTTGATGGGGTGTTATTTTTTAATCAAATAACAAGAAACTTCTTTATTGTCTTGATTTGAGACAGATAAATAAATCCATAATATTTTGATTCTTGCTAGTTTTACTTTTAAAGAGTATTTTTGTGAGAACTCTATTTAAATGGGTGGCAGCATTTAGAAACTGGAAATTGATGCTATACAATAACTTCTGGTTAATCGAAATAGTCCATTGACAGCACAAAATATTTATAATTGTCCAATAAATCGTTTGTACTTAAGAAGGATCTAAACTTTGCACTAAAAACTATAGCTAAAGTGATGATGTTTGTCCTTCTATTTTCTTGAATTGATCTTGATCTTATTTTGCCAGAAATAAGGTTATTTGGTTAATTTTTATTAACCCCAAATTTCAAAGAAATGTAAAATGCTGTCTTAAATAGCTAGAGCCCTGCTACTTAAGGTAGTTGCCAGTATACATAAATAGCTATTTACATTTAAGTTACTTAAAATTTAAATTTATTTCTTTAGTCATACTAACCTCATTTTTGTTAGTCACACATGGCCAGTGGCCACTGTAATGAAAACCTTAGACAAAGAACATTGCCATCATTGCAGAAAGTTCTGTTAGACTTTACAAACATAAAGTCTCCTATATTTACAGAAGGACAAAAGAAAAAAAAGGAAAAGAATGATGACTTTCATTTTCATTTTGAATGAAAACAGTCTTTTGTCAATCTTACACATTTTACTTAAGAACCTTAGTTTGAAAATATCAGTGCCTTCAATATATGCCCCAAATGGCCAAACACATTTTTAGCTTGATAGTGGTTATGTGGGAGATGGAAATGATTTATGCCAAAATGCAGGACGGATTTGTGTTAAATCATTTGCATGCTGTTAAGGTGGAGGAATGCTCATGGGGCTGCAACCCACCTCACCCATTTTCCTATCTGTTTAGTGTCTAAAGAAGACATGTTGAAAAGCTGAGCCACTGCAGGTGTGCTTTGTCAACTGGGATTCCAGCTCAGAGTTTCTCAGATCAACACAGCGTGTGGCTTATATGCAAAGTGCCTGCTTTCAGTTGGGAAGTGTGTGTGTCAAGGATAAATGGCTTGTTCCAACGCAGAGCCACACACTCATGGATTCTGGCTGTGTTTGTTGACCTTCAGATACCAATTTAATTCTTTATTGATTAAATAAACATTAGAGGCTATTTATTGGGTCTCAATTAGGAGCTGTTATCCTAGCCAAAGGATGATATATATGTTTTTTAATCCTGTGGCTAATTTTTTAAATGTTAAAAAAAAAGTCTTCTTAGACCTGCCAATGAAAATAAAACATTTCTAACAATTACTTACTCATAAAAAATATGCACAGGGAAACAAAATTTCATTATTTCAATATTATAAAACTATTCTTCTGAAGCCAATAAGCGGAAATCATTTAAAAAGATAAGTAAGTAGATAGATAGATGGTAGGTTGAATTGTTGATTTGGGTATCAGCAACTTAATTGCATTAATTATCTCCTTAATTTTGTTAACCACATTAATTAATTAGTGACATTTAAATCTTAGATACTTAAATTTTCTCTTTTCAGTTATCTGGGAAGATGATCCCAGAATAATCTCCCTAAAATGTGTGCAGGTTTTTTTTTTTTTTTTTTTTGCTATATAAAACAGCTGGCTGCCCACATTTTGTTCTATACTACCTAGTTTGCTGCAAAACTGGAGATGTCTACCTAGATTTGTGAATGCCTGGTCTTGACCTAAGGCTAGCTTAGGTATTACTCTGATGATTTTCTGGAATAGGTGGAAATCATCTCTCCTGCAGGTCATCTCTAAAGAGCTTTACCCTTCCCTCTCACCTTGTTTGCAGGGACATTCTCCTCAGTGAATGGGATGACCAGGCTGCTAAGATTTAGGGGGAAAATAATCCAGTAAGGCTCACTCAAAATCAATTGGAATTTTATAATGTAGGTACAAGTTAGCTACAAATCAGCAAGATAACATCATGACAGAATTTAAATTTATATAATCTGCTCTATTTTAATAAGAACTTATCTGTTTTTTTTGTTTCTAGAGCCTATAGTAATAGGCAAATAACAGAACAAAATAGACATCATAACAATAATGATCATCACTGAATACTTGATATGTACTAAGCACAGTGTCTCATGCTATGTACATAATATATTAAGTGCACTTAGAACTTCTAGTTAATCTATTGAATAAAGATTGTTATTTCCATTTTACAGAGAAGAACAATGAAGCTTATTTTAGCACCTGGACCAATGTTCTAGCTAGTAAGTGAAGGTATTCAGTACCCAAATTTGTCAAACTCTACAAACCTTTCTCATAATGACTATGCTAGGCATTCAGCATAACTAGTGAATTTAGGAGGGACAGGACTATGGAGACTTGAAATACCCTGTGGGATAGAAGTTAAACAGGTTTATATATGATCATTTTTTAAATTCTCAGGAAATACAAATTTTCTAAGAAATATAGTATATTCCTGATGTATCCCAAGCACCTACAAGAGCAACTGGAACATAATGAATATTCAATGAATAAATTGACTTAGGGTCACTATATAACTGTTACAACTTGAGATATTCTGAGAGACCTTTAAAGCTGATACAAAGTGTGCCTATTTTTACTTGCATGAGACACATACCTTGGTCTATGCAATTACTGTGCAACTCAGAGAATCTGTTCATGTACGTGTATATACCTTCTCCCATCATATTAGATATAAATTGGTGACTTTACAAGCTCTCTGTAGGACAATATGTATGGCATTAAAAGACAATTCAGTCTATAATTAGTAGGGACTAGTAAATTTAGGGACTCATATTGTTGAAAAAGAGCAAGTTTATTGGTATGAGTCTGTAGTAGATATTTCAATTGTCCTCATTACCTCAGGACAGTATTTTACTTTGCCTACACCTTCCAATATTCTTGAAAACTTGAACTATTCTCTAAAATAAGGTGAACTGATTTTCAATAGAGACAATAACATCCTGAATCTATCCTCCCCTTGGTTAAACGGTACCTGCCAGAATCTTTTGGGATCAGGATCATGTGTCTCCATGATTATTTAACAACTCTTAATACACTGGAATATTTTACATCTTAGTTGTATATCAATTTCTTATTGTTCCTTTAACAAGTTACCACAGATTTAAAAGTGATTTGAAATAACATCAATTTATTGTTTTATAGTTTTGGATAGCAGAAGTCCTAAATGGGTCTCACTGGGCTAAAATCAAGATGTGTTATGGCTGTGTTGTTTTCTGGACACTGTAGGGAGAATCCCTCTGCTAGCTTCTGTCAGTTTCAAGTTCCTATTCCTTGTCCCATGGCCTCCTTTCCTCCTCAAAGCCAACAATGACCAGTCAAGTCTTTCTCATATGGTGCCACTCTGACACTGACCCTTCTGTCTACATCTGCAATTAAGGAACCTTGTGATTATAATGGACCTGCCTGGATAATTCAGAGTAATCTTTCTAGTTTAAGATAAGCTAATTAACAAACTTAATTTTATCTGCTGTCTTAATTTCCCTTTGTCATGTAATGTAGCATATTCACAAGTTCTGGGAATTAGGACATGGACATCATTGGAAGGCTGATATTCTGCCTACCACAGAGAGATAACAGTATGGAGTTATTAAGTAACATACTTGCATGTAAATCCCAACTCTACATTAGCTGTTTGATCTTGGGCAAGTTACTTAATCCCCTTGAGTTGCCTGGATGGCAAAACTAAGTTAATAATTACTACTAGTCAGGATTGTCAAAAAGATGCTCTAAGTATTGGAGAATTTGGGAGTCTGACACATGAAGAATTATCTTGTTTAGTGTGTCATCCTATTAATATTTGAAAAAAAAATCCTTCTGAAATGCATATTGTAGGTTATAGAACGCTTAGATATCCTTTATTCTTCTCAGGTGAAAGGAGTGAAATTCACCCACTTATCACCTTCTTTATAGCTCATTGCCTAGTCCTGTCTCAAACATGATCACTGAGTATGGGCCTATTATCTGTCTTTTTCTTCATCAGTTCACCATGAAGATACTGCATTGTGGCACAGTCCTTGAAGAGACAAGGTTAGTGAACTTGCAACAGTTAGAAAAAAATTGATGGATAAATTGTGCTGACCAAGATTACCATTAAAGTTCAAGAAGGTGATAGATCTATAAAGAATAGTGTAATTGCTGAAACCTTTAATGCAACATAGAGTGTATTGAAAGAGACTTTCAAACAAAAGGAAAAACATTAGCAAAAATGAAAAGTAATGGATGAGAGACTGAACATGGAATATAGGAGAAGACAAGCGGCAGGAAGGAAAAAAGAGCTCGCTGACAGAGTAGAGGCTATGTTAAAGTTATAAAGAGCACTGTGTAACATGGAATATAGATGTGTGTTTTAAAGAAACTTGAAACAAGGTAAGAAAGTCCAGGGAAAAATAGACACTGAAGATTATTGATTAGAAGTTAATAAAGGTGAGGAAGTTGAGTTTGGAAGGAGATGAACTTGTAGGCACCAGAAATAAGTATGGAACTTGAGTCATAATTCCTTCCTCTACTAAATAAATCAAAAATTGATATACGCTAATGCATGAATAATCGGAGGTAGATTCTCTTTCTTCTCTGTCTCATTCAAGCATTTCTACTTATATCAGAACTTTTAGAGAAAGAAAATTTGATCCATTAAGAGACTAAGAGGTGTCCTGAGAGATATGAGCCTTTTATAAAAATCACTATGAGGGAATATAAAAAGAAGGTAAGAGAGATATTTATTAAACAAAACAAAGCAATCACTGCCCTTGAGATGAATTTGCTCTTTGCAACCCGATGTGGTACATATCTGTTATCTTTAATTCAAGTGTCATTTCTGGAAAGAGTGTATATTTATAGAATTCTGCTGACTAACTGGTGAATTTAGAAAAATAATGCACTTCTGAGATCCTCAGATTTCTTCATTTTTAATATTGGACTCATGCTCATTACCTAATAGGGATTTTATGAGGATAACTACAATCTGAATAACTTATTTCATCAGTGAGACTGGTTCCTAAATAATTACTGGGTAGTCTAAGCAAGAAAATAATTCATTGGAAGGATATAGGGCAATTCACTTGATTGAAAAGGAGAGCAAATGAGGGCAAGTCCAGACATTTAAGGAGAAAGAACAAAAAGTTTGTGTTTTCAAGTGGTTACCATTGGAATATCTCAGTCCTACATGAATTCTGTCCTTATATCACTCTGTTCAGAATCCAAATTCCTAGGGGAAACAGGGTGTCTGATGAGCCCAATGTCAAAGCAAAAATTTCACTGGACAAAATTAAACAGGCAAAGAAGACTTTATTCGAGGACATTGCAGCAGGGGAGAGACACCAGAACTGAGTCTGAACTCAGCTTTGCAGGAACAAGGGCAATAGGGTTTTTAAGAAATGGGGTGTAAAAAAGAACTGGAATTTTAAAAAAGAACTAAGGTTTTAAGAACCTCTTTGGAGATTATAGGTTATCTGTTTACTAATTGGCTTTCCCCAAAAGAAAGGTCAACTTTCTCTTATTTTCATGGCAGGAGGTGATTTTACAACATGGAACAAGGCACCCACCTGAGTTAGGCTGCAATCCTCCCACAAAAACAAGGAAATAAATAGGGGCACTATCTCTTTTGATGATTATGTTTCAAAGGGTTGGCTCTCAGGTCCTAGATAGACTTGGGTGTAAAATTGGCAAGAGATTTTAAAAATATATCTATATCAAAGAGACATAATACAATGATAAGCTTTCTCAGGAAAATGCTCTAAGAAAAGAGAAAGGTTGCCGGGCTTGGTGGCTCAGGCCTGTAATCCCAGCACTTTGGGAGGCCGAAGCAGGTGGATCATTTGAGGTCAGGAGTTTGAGACAAACCTGACCAACATGGTGAAACCCCATCTCTACTAAAACTACAAAAAAAATTAGCAAGGCGTGGTGGCACATGCCTGTAGTCCCAGCTACTCGGGAGGCTGAGGCAGGAGAATTGCTTGAACCCGGAAGGCGGAGGCTGCAATGAGCTGAGATCATGCCACTGCACTCCAGCCTGGGTGACAGAGTGAGACTCCATCAAAAAAAAAAAAAAAAGCTGGGAAGCGAGGGAAGTTAAGGCTGTCTTTGTCAACAAGTGCAGGCCAAGAGTCTGCCTAAGCACCTGGATTAATGGTTCCACCAAGACCCCTTGGAATGGAGAAAAGAGTCATTCTCAAAGAGAAAACTGAGATAGGGTCTCTCTCACACACACACACACACATCAGGGAAGGAATGGTGGGTAGAACATTATTAATAACAAAAATGTGCCCAAGACTGTGTTGAAAGCTAGAAAAGCAGTGCAATGCTTAATTGTTTTAAAACTTAGTTAGAAACCCCCACCCCCCCGCAAAAAAAAACAAAACAGATAAAAGAATTAGCAAACAATTCGAAGGCAATGCAGAAACAAGGGCATATCCTGTAAAATTGTGCCACACCATAAACAATCCTCTACACAGACTTGCATTCAGGGGAAATAAAATCCAACCTCAAATGTGAAATCGGAGACAATTGACATCTTTACTGCAGCTCCTTAAGCTTGCCAGACACAGGATGATATTGCATGACACAGAGCAACAGATCTTTAAAATTCTTCTCCATCATCCATCTCCCTCAGTGTGTCCCTTGTCATTCTCGTGTCCCGAAGTTTCCCAGAATGCTTTCCCTAAAACTTAGCTTTTTTTTTTTCCTGGAGACAGAGTTTCGCTTTCATCACCCAGGTTGGAGTGCAATGGAGTGATCTCAGCTTACTGCAACCTCCGCCTCCCAGATTCAAGCAATTCTCCTGCCTCAGCCTTCCAAGTAGCTGGGATTACAGGCATCTGCCACCACGCTCAGCTAATTTTTGTATTTTTCAGTAGAGACGGGGTTTCAACATATTGGCCAGGCTGGTCTCGAACTCCTGACCTCAGATGATCCGCCGGCCTTGGCCTCCAAAGTTTCTGGGATTACAGGTGTGAGCCAGCATGCCTGGTTCAGGGATTAAAGGTGTGAGCCAGCGGCCAAAACCCCCCTTTTATTGATGATCTCTCTCGCTCTTTCAATTTCTCCCATCCTTCTCTTACACACACACACACACACACACGCACACACACACACACACTTCTACATCTATTTGTTTCTCTTCAAAGTATTCTCTGCTTCTTCTAATGCAGATTTTTCAGGTCTTTTTAGCTTCTCCAGTTCTGTTTTGTCTTTTTTTCTCAACACTTTATTCTAAAGAACAGGCAACAACATTTCTCTTAGAAGTCAGGGCAGTGACATTTGGCTGCAAATCCTAATCCTATTGATGTTCCCATCACAAATGTGAAGGAGCATCCTTCAAATAGTATGTATGTTTGCTGAGGAAAGTCAGGCTGAAGGGTTATCGCTGTTCATCATATCTCTTCAGTAACTACTTAACAGAAACTGGTACAATAATAGTATTTATTAGTTTTACTTTTCTAATTGAATTGTTGAAAAACAGAATTAGTCAAAGTGTTAAGAAATACGTGATTCTTCTGCAGGTACAAACAAGTCTATAAATGTGTTTGGCAGCGGTAAAGCAGTGCTCAGGAGTTGCAGAAAGCTTTCCAAATTAGCAATGGAGAAGGGTAGCAAAGACTCGAGTTCCTCTAGTAGTGCCATTGCTATTTAGTTCCCTAATCCGAGTGGAATATTAAAAAATCTGGCAGGAGAGACAGAAGAGAGAAGAATGAAAATGAAGAAAGAGGAAGAAAGGGATTTGAACATGGCCGTCATCGCCACCATTCCAGACTTCTTGCATGTCTCAGACACCAGACCAGGTTGTTGGATTCCAGACTGTCTGGATAAATACTGGATGTGTGGTAGCATGTGCTAATATGACCCCTTTACCTTTATTTAAGTATCCATAAAAATGCTTTTATAATAAAAATATCATCTTGTTTCAAGTGGGTATTGAGTGGTTTAGCTATCAAAGTTTATATGGCATTCTAATTACAGTGTTTCTTTTCAGTAAAACTCTATTAACGTATTTTTCAAGAGACCAGATACTAAAACCCTTTCAACAGGTTAAAAGTAAATTCTTAGGATGGAAAATGGAAAAACACATCGAGTGAACATAAAATATTAAAAGCTTGCAAGAGAAAAATTTCTGGAGAACTCCTTCAGATATTTTTATGCTACATAAACATGAAAGATAGTCCTCAGAGTATGTGTATATAGTATAAAACTCTGATATCTAAGAGTTGAGTAGACAGATGTTCTTTCTACTGACTGCAAATACTCCTCAGAGCATAACAACTGAAAGATCAATGTGAAACACTTTATTGTGGCACAAATGCAAAAGAACCGTGGCTGGGAGCCATTGTTTCACTTTTCCAGTAGTTGTTAGAAGCTTTTGTGTGTTCTCCTCCCTGCATCAAAAGCCTGAAATCTCTGAGCTCTAACGATAGATTTACATTGGGATTCAAAGGACAGCCAAAATTCATCAATGTTCTCAGGTTGCTAATCACAGAAACGAATTTAATGCAATGAAACAGACAAGATCAAGATTGTAAGTGTTTAAGGCCCAAAACTAGAGCCTCTAGGACTAGTTAATACAGTTTCTATTTTGTTCACATTCAGGCTCAGGAAATTGTGTCTCATGCATTTGGAAACATTACCTTGGAAACATTAAATAAAAGACAG
The DNA here is from genome assembly GCF_000001405.40 of Homo sapiens. NCBI lineage: Eukaryota > Metazoa > Chordata > Mammalia > Primates > Hominidae > Homo > Homo sapiens. The sequence goes on along the minus strand of NC_000008.11, from coordinate 116,120,757 downwards.
GAAACCACATACCAGCTGAAGAAAAGAACCAATTCCTGCACAGGGTCTGTGTAAAGGTGATGCCTGACTCCAGTCTACGAGCTCAATCACCAGGCAAGGGCATCTGATAAACTGCAAACTGACATTAGAAACTCTGAAGGCTTATGTGGGGACTCATTTCCAGCTCAGGCCATGATTTCGTATGATTCCACTTTTGCATAAATTAATCATAGAACTATAATGATTTCCGGCTAGGGTTCCAATTTTAGAACCCAGTTCCACCTTCAAGTCTGTACCACAGATCTTTATAATGCAAGTGGAAGTATTTGAAGGAGCTGACAGCACTAACCTCAGCCCAAAATGTTTGATCTGCTTTTAATCTCTCTTCTACTTAAAAGTATTGCTCTCCAATTGTCTCTCTCTTGCCTGCTTGGTGGTAGATCTCCCAAAAGATGTATAGTTTCGGTGACTTTGGCAAAATGCTTTTATGCTTTCCCTCTTACATAACAACCTAAAATTGTTAGATCTGGATTCAGTTTAAAGGGCACAAACTACAAAAACGACAGCAACAAAAAAAGCACAAAACAAACACACAAAAACGCCAGAAGGAATTATTTTGATTCCCTTAAATTTCGTCATACATATCAACAGACATCTAAAGAAGAAGAGTCTACTTTCTTGATCATTTTTCTAAGTAAATATTTTCAAATGCAAAAGTCTGTCTTATACAAGAAAATCTCAAATTGTTAGCTACTTCTGAAGGCATTTAGACTAAATTTTATTTTTTAATTTTTATTTATTTATTTATTTCATAATTATTGTTATTATTTGAGACAAAGTCTTGCTCTGTCACCCAGGCTGTAGTGCAATGGTGTAATCTTGGCTCACTGCAATCTCCACCTCCCAGGTTCAAGTGATTCTCCTGCCTCAGCCTCCTGAGTAGCTAGGATTACAGGCAAGTGCCACAATGCCCAACTAATTGTTTGTATTTTTAGTAGAGACAGGGTTTCACCGTGGTGACAGGCTGGTCTCGAACTCCTGACCTCAAGTGATCCGTCTGCCTCAGCATCCCAAAGTGCTGGGATTACAGGTATGAACCACCACACCCAGCCTATCATTATTTGATATTTGGTGGCAGGGGCTTGGGGAAGAGGCAGAGGATGGTGAAAAACAACATTTTTTTTTATGACTGTTGGTAAGTAGTTGTTGAAAAAAGTAATCTACCTCAGGGCTGAGGCTATTGTCATTAGCAGTGTCTGAAGTCTTCATGTTAACTTCATGTAAAGTCTTCCTATTTCACCCAACAGAGTGCTGTACTTTCCCTGCTCTCAAGTCTCCTCCCATATGCTCCCAGTTTATGGGGATGACTGCTTGCAATATTTTCTTCTTCATTAGCCAGAACCAGACCAACATGAAAAATGTCCCACGTAATTTTTTTCTGAGTGAAAGAAATGGCTGAAGACACTGTTTTGTTGCTGTTCTTGTTTGATGTTTAATACTTATTCACCAGTGTTAACAAGGGGACAAAGAGGGGGGCACCCTCAGACACAGCTGCTGGGAGGGCGATTGTTACAAACTTTTTGTAAGAAAAATAAAATGTGCAAAAGCACTTCCATTTTGTTGAATTGATCTTAGTAGATAAGAATGTTCACAAAAGTTATCTCATGAGATTTTTTTTTTTTTTGAGACAAAGTCTTGCTCTGTTGCCCAGGCTGCCTCTGCCTCCTGGGCTCAAGTGATTCTCCTGCCTCAGTCTCCAGAGTAGCTGGGATTATACGTGCCTGCCACTCCCAGCTAATTTTTGTATTTTTAGTAGAGATGGGGTTTCGCCATGTTGGCCAGGCTGGTCTGGAACTCCTGGACTCAAATGATCTGTCTGCCTCGGCTTCCGAAAGTGCTGGGATTAGAGGCATGAGCAACTGCACCTGGACTTATAAGATATTTTGCATATTGATTTTAATAGCAAGAACTTTGAATAAGCCAAATGTTAAAATAAGGGATGAGTTCAATAAATTTTGACACGTTTATGCAACAGAAAAATTATTGTTAAATGATATTAAATGACAGAAAGTTCTGAAATGACATATGCCTACAGAAATATTAAATTCTGTATTGCTTGTTGATGAGGTTCATATACTATTTATTATTAATGATTCTGCTATGTGTGTGTATGTTTTTCCCAAAATGAACCTCTAATTTAATTTTTTCCAAAACTAACATATCTAAAAACATCTTTAAAATTTGTCTAAGAGGTCTAGAGGAGGTAAAACTCCTGGTGGGGCTGGCTGTAGGAGCTATAGTCAGATAAAAGTAGACTCTGAAATAGAAGTAAGGGCAGATATTTGTTTCCCTGTTAACTTTTGCAGCTACATTCATATTCATCAGACATGACACCATTAGGCCAAATTTACACAGCACATCGTAAAGTGGAAAGTAAGCAAGTAACTAATTAATCTGTTCTAGAAAGACAGGGAAGAGAGGAAGTAGTTTACCCAAAGCCCCTTCATTGCTGATAACGGTCTTCATGAGCAATGTGCTAATCTATTAGTCTTTGCTCAGCTTTATGTTCTTTATATAATGAGTTTGTTTTTTTGTAGTCATCAAATTAAGAATTGGCAATCTTTTCCCTATATTTGGCTTGTAGAAATTTTGTTCTGTTCAGTTTAAGATATGTGCTGAAAAACTTGCCCAAACATTATATCAGTATAAACAGATTAATAATACTAAAGATTTAGGAGTTTTATGGTTTGGCCAATTAATGTTGAGTTTAAAGCAATTCTAAGCATTGCACTATCATATACGAACATGATAATTGCTCATTAAACATTTGACCATCATCTGCCAAATTACCATCTACTCTTTTGTAAAAATGCCTGAGGTTTTAAAATATATTTCCACTAAAAGAATAGACTGCACACATCCCATAAGATGAACCTGAAAAATAATATGGAGCAGATTATGATGGCAAAAAAATGAAGAAATCATGGCTGAAGCTCCAACTGGACTTTTTAAAGAAACTGTTAAAAGCTTTTGTACATTAGAAGCCACTTCGTTAAAAAGCCTTGAGTTTGTGAAACTTAATGATAGCTTTTGTAAAAGAGATTTAGAATTCAAAAATTATTTTAAGGTGGATAATCACTGACAGTAGCTTGGATTGTTAGTGCTTATGAGTAAATTTCAGTAATGAAATTTGCAACAGCAGATGAAATCGACTGGATAATGGCAAGCACTCCATTCCACTTCAACGTGCGTAAGCTTGGTCTTAGAAAACTAGTACATGAACCTATAAACAGAGATGAACATACACACACACATACACACACAGCTAAGCTCCACGTGTGAGCTTTTGACTGAGAACAAATATAGCATGTTTTAGTCTCAAGTTTGCACTTAACCTCAATGTATTTATTTAAGTAAATATGGTAAAAGATCCAAGCATATAATATCTTGGCAAAACTTAGAAGGGAATATCTGGGTCAAAACCTCATAAACATATTTCATCTGATTTCACACCCATAAAACAGTGGTTTAGAAACCATGCACAACAACCAAACACCAGTTGTGCCTTCAAGATAAGTTTTCGGCAGTTGCTAATAAAGGATCCTGTGATCCCCTGACTTGCAGCATGGTTACTGTAAAAACTTTTAGAGTACAAACAGAAAGGGTGGAAGTACTTTTTGTATTCTCCATTTCTGTTTCTTTAAAGCTCTGGGCACATTTCCTCTCTCTCCCCCCTCCCCCTTTCACTCTATCATTCATGGAGATATACAAAAAAGTTCTCTTACTTTTTGAGCCTTTTATTACCTTGGCCAACAGAGAGAGAAAGAGAGACAGAGGCAGAGACACAGACAGAGAATGAAAGATAGGAAGGCCCATTTAAAAAAAAAATTTTTCTTTTGATAGTGACTTATTGTTTAGAACTTTTTAAGATCAACTTTTAAGATCAAGATAAGCAATAAGGTGGTCAAATAAACAATATAAAGTCAGGGACACCTTCCTACTCAAGAAGGATTTTTTTTCTTTTTTACTATTTTACATATACTCTTGAAATGAAGACAATGAACTGCAAAAAATAAAATAAGAATTGTAACACTGCATTTGGATAAGCATTCATCAGAACTAGGGTCTCTGTAGGAAATAATTACCCAAGAATCTTACAATATAAAGAAGTCAAGGCTTATGTTAAATAGCAACAAGCATCTCAAAAACTGACAAAAATGAGTCAAAAATCCATTTAATAGATGTTCATGTATTTTACAACATTTAAATGATATTAGGAGAATTTTTTTCTCAGCATTAGATAATAATATAAATAGATATATACCTGTCCAAATTTTAGTTGTCTCCTAGTCTTTCTGCTTTGATTTTTAGCATCCTGATTTCTGATTTCTCTACTACAAATCAATGCAAGCAAACTTATATTTAGACCCAAAGAAGAGAATATTTCTATTCCCACACTTTGAAAAAGGGAAACATTTGCTGTTTTTACCCACTTCCTCCCCCTTAATTTTGTTACACAATTTTTTTTGTTGTTGTTTGATTGGGTAAGGGCACTTGTGTGTTAAGTCAAGGGAATTTGTTAAAAGTGAGGCATCTGGTTACTCTAAGATCAAAACCAAATCTTCTTTTGGTCTCAAGTGAAGAACTATGCAGTTTGGGACTCACTGTTCTTAATTCAATTACAGTCCTCTTTTTATTTATTTGTTTCTTAAATCGAAGGCAGAGTACAACACAAGACAGACGGGGGGAAAAATAACAAAGGGAAGATCGTACTCTGTAGGCTCTTAAGAGATTTTCCCCTATGCTTCAAATCAAGAACTGCTTCACCCCAACAGCTGAAGTCAATTTCACCAGTTATGGGGAACGGGAGTCTTTGTTACTGGGAATTGCATGTTAAGCTGCTAAGTCTGTACTTACAGGCTTGCTCCACCTTCTTTAAATTTTGCAGTGCTCTTACAGCTCCCCAAACTAATTGTTCCTAGCCATTAGACAGGAGAACGTAAACCCCTGTTTACTTCCATTGTTTGATTTTTTTTTCTCTCAAGGCACCTAATTCTTTATTTGCTCTAAATCACCTGACTTCATTTGGGTCCATAATAGGTAGTTCCCTCAGTTGCATGCCCTTTTAAACCTTGCTAACATCCTCCTCAGAAAAACAGGCTTGAAGTGTACTTGTAGAATAGTTTCATTTTATTTTTAAGGAGAATGCTAAAAGATTGCAATCCGTGCTAAACTCTTGGTATGTTTCTTGTATTTTCTTTTGCTGAAAAGAGCATCCATTTTAAATAGTTTATAACCAGACACAATGGATTTGCATTCCAAAAGATTAAATGGATATTTACTATGTTCTGGACTCAGTATTTCCAAACTTTTTTTGATTGTCTACTCCATAAGTAAACATTTTAGCATCTATAATGTATATTTGTTTATTTTTATGTTATATATGTACTTCTATATAAAGTACTATAAAGCATTTACAAAAATAGAAAATGGAAACTGATCATGTATATATATGTATAAGAGAAATTCTAATATTTTTGCTTACACAATTATGTATATTTTTCATTTGTACATATCTCTTAGGCAAGAACACAGCAGCTGGAGACCAATGCTCTAACCCAGCAGTTTCCAAACTCCAGCATTTAAAACCCTCTTCAAACACAGATTCTTAATCCTATAACAGCTTCTGAATCAGTAGATCTGGAGTAGCACCCATGAATTTCTGTAAAGCTTGCACATAATGGGCCATGCTTTGACTAATACAGCTCTAATCTATGATATGATTTCTTGACTGGACCACTCCAGGTTCAGCTTCACTTGTAATCTTTTTCAGAGGCCTAAAATAATAGGACTTGAATCCATTTGACCCAGAGTGTATATATCAGTCTTTTCCATCCTCCTTGGAGAATAATTTTAACATATCCAAATAAATATGCATTAAAACTTCCCTAATTCAGACCAACTGGAGAAGGGGCCATCTGAATTCACTGAAAGGTGGGTCTCGAAATCCAACTTTACTGTTCTTGACTCCACAAAATAACTAGAGGCAACTGCTGAGGATGGGTTATCTGGAAAAAACCTGAAGATTTATGAATTAGATTAAAGTGCAATGGATAGCATAGTACTGTATTTAAATACAATTTGATGCCTTCCAAGTATTTTGAAAAGATTTTAACTTTAGTAATTTGAACATCCTCTGTAATATTGTTTACATTTCTTGGAAACTTGCTTACACAATTAATTTGCTTAGCAAACTTATAGGTCATGGACAATTCAAAGAAAAATGAAAGCCCTAAGGGTGTGCAAAGATTCCAAATGTATCCTGTCCTAGTGAAATTTTATAGTATTTTCGATAAAGTGAACATACCCCAGATTTTATATGCTTTAAAATTCGGTAGATGAGTCTTTCTGAGCTAAAAGTAACCCACTTGATAATCGATTATCCATTTATTCTACAAAGCATATTATGTACCTGTTATACACTATTAATTCAATTAACGGTTCTTTTTTTTTTTCTGAAATCGAAGGCAGAGTACAACACAAGACAGATGGGGGGAAGATACACTGTGCTGTGCATCACCGAGGGATAGCTGTATCAAAAGATTATACAAATACGTATAATATCATAATGATAAAATAGCTAAAAGAAGTATATATGATGCTGTGAAAGTGCAACAGGGGTAAATGGCTTAAGTGACTCCAAGGGAAAATGTGTACTGTGTCTTTCTAACCTTGTGGCTTGCTCTTAATTACTTGCTTTATGGGTATCTTAAAAAAGGTTAGGAGTCCATGGACAAGCGGCATGAAGAAACAGAGCATCATATTCAACAGACTTTCAATGGATGTCCAGAACCACTGTGTATATTGGTTCCTATATAGGTTCAGGTCAGCAGGATCAAGTACTATATAGGTGGGGGTGGGAGAGGCTAAGAGAATGGTGAGGAACTTTAGGCCAGCAGTTGGCCAGCTGTATTTAGTTTAAGTATTAAATAAAATGATTAAAGAATAGTGAAATGGTTTGGATCTGTGTCCCCATCCAAATCTCATGTTGAATTACAGTCTCCAGTGTTGGAGGTAGGGCCTGGTGGGAGGTGATTGGATCATGGGGGGCAGTTTCTCATGGTTTACCACCATCCCTCTTGGTGTTGCCCTGGTGAGAGTGAGTTATCACGAGATCTGGTTGTTTACAAGTGTCTAGCACCTCTCCCCTCTCTCTCTTCCTTCTGCCATAGCAATGTTAAGATGTGCCTACTTACCCTTTGCCTTCCGCCATGATTGAAAGTTTCCTGAGGCCTCCCCAGAAGCCATCATGCTTCCTGTACAGCCTGTGGAACCGTGAGTCAATTAAACCTCTCTTCTTTACACATTACCCAGTCTCAGATATTTCTTTAGAGTGATGCAAGAATAGACTAATACAAATAGGGTTGAATAACTTCCTTGCCAGTCAGATCCTGAGTCTCATGGCAGTTATTGACAGATCTGTACACCCTTGCCAAATTTCTTTCTGGGTGACTGTGCCCTGCCAATTTTACAAATAAGCAAACTGTTCTTGGCATTTCGAAAGGTCCACTGTTCTTAGCATCCCTTTCCTAGTGCTCATGCTGATGAGGTCCTCATCCTACACACTAAAACCTCTTAAAGATCCTCAAGTTTTAGCCAGGTATGTGCACAGAAGGCATTATTACTCTTAATTTATAATAGAGTAACATTTTCATACTAATCAGAGACTTGCTGGCTTTAATTACTACACATTATTCCATGGGAAAAAGAAAACACTCAAATTTTAAAATAAGATGTTAGCAGGAGTGTGATAAGTGTTTCATTTTTAGCTGCTGGTCTACTAATAAAATAGGTTTGTTTTGGATATTTTGACAATTTTTCCATTTGTATTTTAAATCTGACCTCAGCACAGGACTTTTTAAGTTGAAATAGATATTCATTAAAATGGATTCTCTTTTTCCATCTTCTTACAGGAAAAAAAATATATCAATGTTGCTTTTCTTGAGGAAACTGCCTTTAAAAAAAATTATTTGCAGAATGTGGTTTGTCCTTTAAACCACGTCTCCTGATTCCTAAACTGAGGTCACTTTGTTATAATGACTCACTGGGTTTGGTAACATTCATTACGATAGGGATTAGCCAGTTTACTCAAAACAAAGGAAGTATAATAAAGTCTGATTAATAAACTAACAGACATTGGTTTCCCTCTAATCGCCCTCCTTTCTTCCACTGTAGTTTGGGAAAGGGAAAGGTGCCATCTTCTTTGTGGAGGCCTTACTAGTAAAAATGTATAAACTTTGAAGTGTGCGTGTCTGATAGATTCTTCCTTACATAACTACTATTCTTATACTACATAACTTGGCTAACTTTCTGATTTAATTCTGGAAAGAATACAACTTTCCAACTAGTTAGTGGCTTTTTCCTAATTGATAGATTCTTAAGTTAATAGAATCTGTATTTTTTGTTTTTGGTAGAAATCTAAATTGCTATCAATATTCCTCAGTGGAGCTATTCTTTACTCCCCATACCGCACGGCAACTAATATTGTGTCTCGGAAATCCAAATCATCAGAATGACACCAGCCTGTAGAACTGAAAAATGAGTCACATATGCTAATTACAAGGTTGTAAAGAAGGAAGAAAAAGTGACAATTCTGTATATTTGTTTATCTCCTGCCTTTAGCCAAATGCTACACCATAATTAATGACTGAGCCATTGAAATACATAATTCACCACCTCACTGTTGACTTCATCTTGTTTCAAACTTGGAAACTCAATGTAAAAATCAAACAAACAAACAAAAAACAAAAAACAAACAAACAAACAGACAAAAACAAACAGTGTTGGCCAAGTGCAGTGGCTCATGCCTGTAATCCCAGAAATTTGGACGTCAAGGAAGCCGGATCACTTGAGGTTAGGAGATCGAGACCAGCCTGGCCAACATGGCAAAATCCCCATCTCTACTAAAAATACAAAAATTAGTCGGGCATGTTGGCACTTGCCTGTAGTCCCAGCTACTCAGGAGGCTGAGGCAGGAGAGTCACTTGAACCTGGGAGGCAGAGGTTGCAGTGAGCCAAGATTGTGCCACTGCACTCCAGTCCGTGTGACAGATCAAGACTCTGTCTCAAAAAAAAAAAAAAAAACCCAAACCAAACAAAAAAGACAATGTCATCGATCAGACAAATCATAAACCAACACAAAAAAGTGTTACAAGTTATCAGTAATTTGAAGACTAAATATTAAATTATATAAGGATATGAATAGTAACCACAATTATAGGTTGTAGCCTGGCTTGGCTGGTGTGTAGAGCTTAGGCTGGATTTCATGTGATGGTTCTTTGATGGGACATCTGTCAATCTGTTCACTGACAGCATCAACTTGGCTGACCTGAATGACTAGGCTGATGCATCCTCCTTCCTTCTACAGATCTAGGCTTGTTCCTCCTGAGACTACTTCTTTGACGACCTTATTTGAGAAAGAATTATTTTTTAGTCAAAGGTGAAATGGGAGAGAGTTCCCTGACCCCCTCGCAGGACTTGCAACAGAGGTGCGGCTCACTTGCTTGGCTGCCATGTGTTCAAACCTTTTATGGGATGGGGAGCGTGCAGACAGGCAGGTGCAGGAGCCAGGGTGAGCACTTTGGGCTGCAGCCCCATGTAGCATCTAGGGGTATATTACAATTCATCCTCTTTTAGCAGTTGCTGTCCACAGATGGCTAAGTGTTAAACCAGCTCAGTGGAGAGTCAGGGTGACAGCCTTTTACACTCTGCCCTCTTGGTACCTGGGTCCTTGGTCAACATCCAGGAAGAATCAGGTCATTTGGACTTGAAGAATGGTGAATGTGGAGATTTTATTGAGTAGTGGAGATGGCTTTCACTGGGACGGATGGGGAGCTAGAAAGGGGATGGAGTGGGAAGATGATCTTCCCCTGGAGTTCGGCCATCCCGCAGCTGATCTCCTCTCCAACCATCTCCAGTCAAACTCCTCTCGATGTTCAGATGCTCCTTCTCTTCTCTCCTTCTCTACCAAACTGCTCTGCCACTCTGCCACTCTACTGCTCTTCTGCTTCTCTGTGCCTCTGCTCATGGAGCATGGGGTTTATATGGACACAGGATAGGGGCATGGCAGGCCAGAGTGGTCTTAGAAAAGGTAACATTTGGAGATGAAAACAGGAATGCCTATTCCCATTTAGGGTTGTGGGTTTCCAGGCTTGAGGGTGGGGCCTTTGCCAGGGAACTTGTTCTACCCAGTATTTCCCTGCCTCTTGTCTGTATCAAGGAGACCAACTAAGTGTACTTTCCTAATAAGAGTATAGGCTTTAAAAATTTTGATTAAGTCATGCTCTTGGAAAAGTTTTCATTTGGAATAAACAGTGGGCTCTATTTTTTTCTAACTTCAGAATTTTTTATGCAGAAAATAAGGCCATAGCTGAGAGACCAAGTAGAAACAGTGATTTTAGATAGGCCACCCCTCCAGATAATGGGAGCTCTTTCTTCCCCTCATTACTGTTTCAAAACTTATAGTTGAACCAAACCTCGTTGTCTTCCTGGCTCAGTCCACAATGATGTGTACTTTTCCCCACTGAGTGCTAAATAGAGAGAGGGAGTAGGACTGGGTCTGCAGTTGCAGGAGGCACCGTAGCATGACTTATAATGTACCGTAACAGACAAAAGAGAAAGAGAGAGTGGGGAGACAAACAGACAAAATAGTAACTGCATGAGAGAAGCCATTTGTAATCTGAGTATGTTTATGAAAATATACATTCTTCAAAAATAAATAATAATTACACAGTTGTTTACTCTGGAGTTGGATTGGACTTAGATCTTTCACCACAGCAGGCCTTGGTTTATGTCCTCATGACACTAATCATCCAGATGACTGACTTGATTTTTTTTTTTTTAGTTTTCATTCAGTTTTGGCATCTCCTAGAAATAAAGTGTGTTCACACATACTACAGAAGTGCAATTATATAGCCATTTAGTGAAACGGAGTTTTTGTTCAGACTTTCCCCACAAATATTGATGAGAATACCTTCCAAGAAGAGGATGCATTTTGGTCTCAGCACATTAAAGAAATAAACTCTTGGCGGCAATCTCAATTGGAAAATTTTGTTAATATGACTTCATAAGCATATTTTGCCAAACATATAGAAACAGACACAACCTTGGTCTCCTAATTATATCTGTGTATACAAAGCATAGGCACATTGCTAATTTGCAGCTGCTGATCATTTCACACTTGACCCTAAGGCTGGGCAAATCAACTTACTGTCAACTGGGAAGTCCTCTTACTCTTCTGTCAATATCTGGTCAGTCTCATTTTCTGAAGTGTGTCCACAATTCTTAAGATTTGGGAGCTTTTCTAACTTTATGTTTAATTTTATAATTCATTATATCATAGATGAAGAATTTCAATTTTCCTTTTGATGATTTTAGTTCTATATACACAGGTTTATATATTGAAATGTAAGGTACATTTAAACCCTTTAAAATTATAGAAGGATTGTTATTTAGGCTTGTGGCCTTAAAAATCAGTCTCAATATTTATGATGAGTTTGATTGAATTTAGTTTAAATAATAGATTTCATTTGAAAGTTACCAAAAAAGGCCAACCTTATGGAACTAAATTATTTCTTATGGAGAATTCAAGTTAATTATTGCAAATGAAATATATTTTTAAAGTCCCTTTCATAGAGTTTTATTCAGAGGTACACACATGAATAGAGGTCAATTCTAAATTTTTCAGCTAACTCCTTGAGCCTGCCGTATCAGAATGTCTTATGAAAAATAACTATTTGTATAATTCACATTGGTATCCCAATGATAACTTGAGAAGACTATCACTTATCAAAAGAATCTAATGAGCTTATAGCTCTTAACTCCTAAATTAAATAATGTCAAATTTAGCTTATTATAATTTGATTTTAAGGCCCACACCTATTTTACTATGAAATTACAATGACATGTATAACAGGTTTATTGAGAAGTCAACTCACTGACGTGTAAATATGAAATCGTTTAACCACTTTCCTGAATTTTTCTGGATAACAGGCAACTAGAGACGCCTGGTCCAATTCAAACTTTTCTCAGCCATTTTGGTTATGGGACACTTTCATCTAGTGATTAATACTCAGTTCACTTTATTTAAAAACATTTTAAAATTAAATCTCAAGTCCAATTCAAAGCTCCACTCCTCTTTATCTAGTGTGGCATACTTGAAGGTTAAGAGAAAACATGGTCTCATTGCTCATCCTCCCTCTTAGAAGAGACACTAGCTATTTCAATATTGGTGACAGAAAGATGAGAGATGGGTGGCATTTGTATGTGTCTTTTATTGGCAGTGGGGAAATGTTTTTTTTCTTTTGTTAGTGGTGGCTTCTGACATTGAGGTGATCTGTATGGATTCTGCACACAGATAGTGTTTGTGGTTTTCTTGTTGAGCTCAACCCAGTCCACTCCAACTTCTCCCTCAGAGGGACAACTATGTGTGCCTTTAGCTGTTCCCAAGGTACATATCCCCAATATTTTCTTCTTTTTGGGTGTCCCAACAATTGACTGGGCCTGGAAAGCCTCACAGCTCCTTCTCTTTCAAGTGTCTTTTTAAGTAGTTCCACTGGGATCAATGTGGCACTTTCTTGTGCCCTCCAAGGACCACAGCATGCTGAGATGGTGTCAGTTTGTACTATCCTTATCTTAGGCTATGCTACAGTCCTTTGAAACTCAGCTGGAATATGTTAGCCAACAGCCTAGGGAAGAAGTAGGTTGGTTGTTTATATTCAACTGTTCCTCCCCACTTCGGGGGACACGTGAAGAAATAGCCCCTATTGTCCACTGTGGGGTTAGAATGTTTGAGAACAATAATTTGATGCACTCCTAATCTCTCAGAGCACTCTTTCAAGAACTGTCTCTTCCATGCTCCCCTGTAGAGCTTCACAAAATGAGCTGTGTTGTCCAGCCAGGGAATGGCATGCAGGTGTCTTTCCAAGCAGGGCCTCTGTTCTTCATGAGTGACTCTTCCAGAGCCTCTCTCACTTGGCCTCCATGAAGCTTACTCCTTTTCCAGTCTTCTGTGTTCATGTTATATTAACTTGGGCAAAAGGGGAAGGCTACATCCTCAGAAGTCAGTAGCCCTAATTAGCTTTCTGGCTCTAGAATGCACAGTACATAGTGCCATGTTTCTTGGCTTTGGTATTAAACTATAATTTTTCAAAATATGAAAAGTCTCAGTCAACATCTGGTTATACAAGTTTCTATAAATTAGGCATTAAAAACACCCTGATTATTTATTTTTTGGAGAATAACAACAACTTAAGTTTACATAGACTTATTTCCAATAGATTAACCTCATCTCTACTAAAAATACAAAAATTAGCCAGGCGTGATGGCACGCACCTGTAATCCCAGCTATGCGGGAGGCTGAGGCAGGAGAATCCCTTGAACCTGGGAGGTAGAGGTTGCAGTGAGCTAACATCGCGCCACTGCACTCCAGCCTGGGCAACAGAGCCAGACTCTGTCTCAAAAAAAAAAAGAAAATATATATATATATAGTGTTTGATCTTTGCTTACCTGCAAAATTGGAAAAATGCTTTCTGGTATATTTTAGCTTCTATATTTAGATATCTCATTGATCTCAAATTAGATAGAGAAGAGATTAAAGTCTCTCTCTCTCTCTCCTTTTTTTAATAGAAATGCAATTCTTTCAACAACATTTGTTGAAATTTTTATTCTTTCCCCGTTGAATTACCTTGGGTGCCTTTGTCAAATGTCAATTGATCGTGTAAGTATGGGCATATTCCTACATTTTTTGTTCTGTTTCATTGCTGTATTTTTCTCTCATTATGCTACTGTCTTGATGACCATAGTTTATAGCAATTTTAAAATCAGACTTTGTATCTGTGAACTTACTAAAGTTATTATAGTTATGCTGTGAACTTACTGAAGTTATTATAGTTATGCTGATTCCTTAGGATTTTCTACAGAAACAACCACGTTTTCTACAAATTAAAAGAAAAAAAACTTCTCTCCTTAAAATCTAGATGTCTTTTTCTTTTATTTGCCCTGTTTCACTGATTAGGGCTATCTGTACAATGCTGAATATAAGTGTGAATAGAGGAAATATTTGCCTAGTTTCCAGTTTTAGGAGGAACATATTTCATATTCAACATTTCACCATTAAGCATAATGTAAACGCTAGGTTTTTTATTAAAAATGCTCTTTGTCAGATTGAGGATGTCCACTTTATTATTTTTTAATTGTAAAAAAGCACAACATGAGATCTATCCTCTTGACAGATCTTTACATGTATAATACAGTATTGTTGACTATAGATACACTGTTGTACAGCAAAGTTCTAGAACTTATTCATCTTCTTGACTGAAACTTTAAGCAATCCCTGACCCTCAACCCCTAGCAACTATTCTATTATCTGCTATTGATCACTCTCTAGTATCTTCAAACTGATTATTTTCATTCTTTCCTGAGTTTAAAATTACTATGTATGGGAAGGTTAGTGTAATAAAAACTGCAAAAGCATTATCTAAAGCCTCAATGCTGTTCACGTAGCCTCGTAATTTTTTTGACAACATTTTAATACACTGTGTTTCATTTTCTTCTGCCAAATGTATTTTCATTTTATTTTCCCTATTTTGTAGAAGATAAGGCTTGATTTGAAAGACAACGTGATTTTCCCAAATCTAATGAGTAAATGCTGAAGGAGTTAGAAGTAGAATTTTAAAAATGGAAACATTATCAAGTTCTTCTGTCCCAGGGATTTTGCTCAGTCAGTCCTCTGTGCCTTGCAGGCTGTGATCCCTACTGTTAATCAATGTCAATCTAATCATTTTGGGTATCATTTTAAATATTATCTTCTAATCTAAATTATGTCTAGATATATTACTTTTTCTCATGGTACCTTGTCTTTTTTCATTTGTATTCCTATTATAGGGAAGTAACTATTTCCTGCACATATATTGGTTTTACCCATGTCTCTCTTTTGAGACAGTAAGCAGTAAGAGAAAACCAATAACTGTCCTGCTCATCCTGTGTCTCACTCAGTGGCTGGCATAAATGATATATTCAATAAATATTTACTGAGTGAATGATTAGGTCAGTAGTCTTTCTGCTCTATGATACTATTTCTGTGTCAAATATAAGAACTGATGCCAGGCATGGTAGCTCACACCTGTAATCCCAGCACTCTGGGAGGCCAAGGCAGGCAGATCACCTGAGGTCAGGCATTCAAGACCAGCCTGGCCAACATGGCGAAACCCCATCTCTACTAAAAGTACAAAAATTAGCCTTGCATGGTGGCACACGTCTGTAATCCCAGCTACTCGGGAGGCCGAGGCAGGAGAATCGCTTGAACCTGGGAGGTGGAGGTTGCAGTGAGCCAAGATCGTGCCACTGCACTCCAGCCTGGTGACAGAGCGAGACTCTGTCTTAAAAAAAAAAAAAAAACAAAAAAAAAAACAACAAAACAAAAACAGAACTGAGGCAAAATTCCTAGCACACTTCAATGATCAGCTGAAGATGAAAGCCAGGATTCATCAATTTATTTCACAGGCTATTTTAAGACCTTATCATATTAATTTTTATATCTAGGATATTTTGAGATGCTACCTTTTTCTGTATCTTTTTGAGACACATAAAGGACTGAGTTAGACCCGGGAAGAACAAAAGAAATCTCTGTTTATTTTGTAGGTTTATAAATTTGTCATTAAAACCATTTTAGGGCATGTAAAATTTAAAATTTAATTAAGTATAATACACAAAAGCCAGTATTGAGTGGTGATAATTTTTTAAAAGCAAGAGCTTTTAAAAACTCAGTGCAGTAAATAAAACTTTGATAAAAATTTCCTTTGATAAAGAACTTCTAGAAGCTGAAATGACAAAAAAATTTAAGTGCTATGAAAACAATAAAATTTTAAGCTTTGATTGCTGTGTCAAAAATAACACTGACTTCTAGAATAGGAGGGACTTTGGCAGATTGGTTGATTGGTGCATATGTGCTGGTGACCGGGGAGGACCATTCTAGCCAAGGAGCTCAGGATACAGACATTTGAGGAGATGAATGTTTGAACTGAATTGCAAATTATAAAAGGGCCCAGCCTTGTGAAGCTCTTTTGGGAGTTTTCCAGGTGGAAAGAAAGGCTTAAAGGCCTCAGTTCTCAAGCAAACCTGAAGTCTTCAAGAGACAGAAAGGTTAGTGTACCTAGATCCTAGAGAACAAGAGTGGTATTAGATGAGCTCCAAGAAGTAGGCAAAATTCAGATCATTCAAGGTCTTGCAGGCGGTCCTCAGGAGTTTGAATTTCCAAGGGCAATGGCAGCAGAAAAGTGGCTCCATCTTCTTGCTAATCCAAAATAAAAGGAGAGCAGAATCAATGCAGTGGGCAGAGCTGGACTTCGCACAGGCGTGGTGGATAAACACCTTTTGGATTTTTGCTGGTATCATTTGAGGTCCCCAAGTCAAATATTTCCACAAAAATAATTAAAACATGAACTACCAATTACTTCTGGGTCTATAATTCTTGGAGCACCTTTATGGGCACACTCTCCTTAATTTCTTAATTTTGGCAAATTGATATTAATTTTATCCCTGACTTATAACTGAGGAAAGCAAGAGAAAAATTGAGGGATTTATACTGGATTCACTAATTTATTCAGCATCTATTTATTGAGCACTTACTAAGTGGCACTGGAACAATTGGAAGCAAAATAATATAACTTCTGCCCACGGAGAACTTTCATTCTAGTAGGGAAAACGACAATAAGCAAATATGCATACATAGTGAAACGTCATATAGTGGTACACACTCAGGGAAGAATAAGGCAGGGTAAAAGGAGAGAAAGTGGTCAGAGGAGGAGCTATTTAGACAGAGTGGTTCAGTAAGGCTTTTTTGACAAGATGATCTCTGAAAAGTCATTTGAAAGAAGGAAGGTTGGAGAAGGAAGAAGGAAATCATATAAATATCTAGAATCTGAAACCAACTCTTTAAAACCTAAACCCAATGCTTTTGGCAAAAAATTATCTTCTGGCTATTGAGGTCAAAAATCTCACCAAAGGGGTTGCAAAACTTTATAGTTACAAATTCAGTTGGTAAAAATATAACATCTTTCTCTTGAGTCTCTAATTCCAGTTCAAGATAATTTAATTACTTCTGATTTCATTCAGTCACTTTAAGGTTAACCCAGTGTTTCAGAGGCAAGTAGCTTTACAGAGTGTTGCTCTCCTCTTCTTTTCTTTCCCTTTCCCCAGATAACATCAGGTTCTGGCAAAGCTAAGATACAACATGGCACCAGAGGCACACAGCATCCTCTGGTTCTCCGTATTCTCTGCTGATTCGATGTTGAAGGTCTGGCTTTGTCCTTGCTGTGTTTGCTGCTGATGGCACAAGTCTGTTCTCTTGGCATGAGCAAGACAGGGAGATTGCTCCTTGGGAGTCAAGTCACTCTTTCTGCTGATCACACCGATCCTGCAGACCTTGTGAAGTTCATTTGTGACTTCTGTCTCATCTCAGTCTGGAGTTTTCCACTCTGCAGTCCTCTGCTACAGAGTGACTTGGCCTCTTGTGCCCTGGGGAGCTCCCAGCCAGCATCCTGAGCTCCCATCAACTTCCTCACGGGGGCATGAAGAGCTTTTTGGCTCCTCAATGCCATATTATAGCTGAGGAAGACTCACCCCTGGAAATGGGCCAGGCTGGAAGTCTCTCTCTTGATCCTCAGCTTTCTTCCTTCCAAATGTACCAAGGCGTCTTTTTTCTTTCTTTCTTTCTTTCTTTTTTTCGGTAAGTAAGTGAGAAATTGCTGTTAATATTACATCAGGCTATCTTGATTTTTGTCCTGTTTTGTTTTGAAATGCTCAGAGGAGACGAAACAAGTGTTCTTCATTTAGGAGGGCTGAACTTGAGAGACAAACAGTTTTGCTTTGAACTCCAACAAAGATTTGACATGGACAATAAATAGCCAAAGCCTGGAGGACCTGGGCCACAGAATGAACCATGGGGAAGGGTGCTGTCGACCTGTTAAACAGGAATCATTGTCAGAGTGTCATTTGAGAGTTTCAAGGAGGAGACTGTGAGTGGGAATGTTTCTTTAAAGGAAGGGGAAGCCATTCGTTTTGGGCACCCATCCCTCTTGATGGAAGAGGAAACCGGAGCATCATAAATCAGTGTGGATAGAAGGATTAAACAGTGATGTAGAAATCCCATAAGTAGATAGGATGATATTTTTTTAAATACAACATGGTAGACACACCTGTTTATATTGGCCTTTAATAAATCTGGCCTTTGTTTTCTGGGGCAGATTTTGGGAGGGTGCTTATCATGACTTGACAATGAGTAAAGGGTTAGGAAGAAGAAATGTAATTAAAGGGTTTAGGTATCACTTTAAGATGTAAGTGAATGAAATATAGGTGGCACTTATTTTTCTCGGTGAAGTATGCATTTCATAAAATGTAAGCAATAAAATGATAGATATTAATGGACACAGTGCAAAATTTTGGGCCTTATCAATAAAATATCTTGTTAAGTATGCTAGCTTACTTTTAAACACTTGGTTAAACAATCATTAACAGACTGTTGACAAATAAAACTTACTCTCCAAAAAGCATTAACAGGTAATTATGTAAAAGGCCACAAGATTAGTGATGTGAACAACTAGGTCCTTCCTGTTTTATGACTTGTTTCTCCAGCAGAAACCCCAATGTAAAGTTTTGAGTTTCAAAGTACTTAAGCATATAATTAATAAATAAACACTTGATTTTTTTACTTATAGCAAGTGAACTCAGTCCACGGTAGTAGTGTAACATGATGGGGGGAAATCATAAAGATTATAATTGTCCCCTTTCTTTTGGTTCAGAAGAGGGTGAGTTGAGGGAGATAAAGGAAGAGGGAGGGGAGAGAAAGAGAGAGGAGAGAGAGAGAGAAAGGAGAGAGAGAGAAGAGAGATTGTCTTTGTTTACTGGATTAATAGATGTTGGTAGATACATATTAGAAAATTCTCAAAAGAGGAAAATCTTCCTATTTAACAAAATGGTGGAGCATCCTGTAGTGAGTCTGGAAAGACATGAGGAGGAAATGAGCCGGAGAAAACTGGCTGTAAAGGAAAGAGGGAAAAGCTTGGCTAGAGGAGACTGAGAGCAGAAAGGAAAAGAGAGAATGAGAGAGGCACGTTATTCCTGTGGATTAAATTGTGACTACCTTTTATTCTCTACTTTGTCTCTAAGAAGTGTAATATAGCCAGTAAGAGCAAGGCTGATCTACATTAAAAATTTAGGTTTTACTTAACCTCTCTAGGGCTCAATTTTTACATTAATAAAATGTTGTTTAATAATTGTACCTAAGTCATACAGTTATTTAGAAAACTAAATGAGTTAATAGATGGAAAGCACTTGAACAAGCCTGGCATATGGAAACCACTGAATAAGTTTTAGTCTAAATTAATATAATTACTTTATTTTTATTGTTGTTTCCTCTGCCAAAACAAGAGAGAGAGAGAAGAAAATCAATACATTCTCAGAAAGGATTTGAGAAACAAATTCACATTGAGATATTAACTACTAAATATTTTTAGTGGATTAGCATGTAACTAGAACCAATAACATAAGCCAAATTACTCCTTCTCCAGTGAAGTCTGTCAATTTTGTTTTCAAGGGGATGGCTCCTGAACTCCCCACAGTCAACTACTGGGGTTGTCTTGCTTTAAGTCCAATCCTTCCGTAACTTAAATGAAAATTCGGTCTTTCAGCTTTTTTACTTTTTACTTCGAACTGATTATAGATTCTCAGGAAATTACAAAATATGTACAGGGAGATTGTCTATCCCTTCATTCAGTTCTCCCTAATGGTAACATCATGTATAACTATAGAATGGTATCCAAACTAAAAAAATTGACATTGGTAGAGTTTATAGCACTTATTCATATTTCATCAGTTTTTCTTATACTTGTGTGTGTGTATGTGGTGTCTGTGTGTCTATAGTTCAGTTCAACTTTATCAAGTAGATTCTTACAATCACTACCACAATTAAGATACAAAACTGTAGCCACTCCCACCCTTTTTATCGCCTAACCCCTAATCCTTGACAACCACTAATCTGTTCTCCATCTCTATAATTTTGTTATTTCAAATATGTTATATAATTAGAAGCATATAATATGTAAGCTTTTGAAATTGAGTTTTTTCACTTACTGTAGTTCCCTCAAGATCTATCCAAGTTGTTGAATATATTGCTAATTTATTCCTTTGTATGCCTGAGTAATATTCCATGGTATGATTGTACCACAATTTGCTTATCTCTTTAGCATCTGAAGGATATTTGAGTTGCTTCCAGTTTGGGACTATTATGAATAAAGGTGCTGTGAACATTTGCATACAGGTTTTTGTGTGAACATAAATCTTCATTTCCCTGGGATAAATGCTTAAGGGTGCAACTATGGTAGTTGTATGTTTAGTTTTGTAAGACACTGTCATACTCTTTCCCAAACTGGCTGTACCAGTTTTCATTTCCAACAGCAACGTGTAGTGATTCAGTTTTACAGCACTCTCACTAGCATTTGTTGGTATTGATCACTATCTTTTATTTTAGCCATTTAAAAAATGTGTGGTCATAGTCATCATGCTTTTAATTTGCACTTCCCCGGTGGTTAGTACATTAAATATATTCTCATGTACTTATTTGTCATCCATATATCTTTTTCAGTGAATGTGTTTTCATGTTTTGTTTTCCTATTTTCTAATTGGACTTTTTGTTTACTGTTGGGTTTAAGAGTTCTTTATATATTTTACTTATGGCTGGGCATGGTGGCTCACACCTGTAATCCCAGCACTTTGGGAGGCCTAGGCAGGTGGATCACGAGGTCAAAAGATCGAGACCATCCTGGCCAACATGGTGAAACCTCATCTCTACTAAAAATACAAAAATTAATTGGGCATGGTGGCATGCACCTGTAGTCCCAGCTACTCAGGAGGCTGAGGCAGGGGAATCTCTTGAACCCGGCAGTGGAGTTTGCAGTGAGCCAAGATTGCACCATTGCACTCCAGCCTGACAACAGAGCAAGACTCCATCTCACTCTCTCTCTCTCTCTCTCTCTCTATATATATATATATATATATTCTACTCACTAGTCCTTTGTCAAGTATCTGTCTTGTAAATATCTTCTCTCAATTGGTAGCTTCCATTTATTACCTCACAGTTTTTTTGCAGAACAAAATATTTTAATTTTGTTGAGGTACAAATGTTCAATTTTTCCTTTTGTGGATTATACTTTTGATATCAAGTCCAAAATCTCATTATCTAGCCATAAGTCCAAAAAGTTTATTGCTATGTGTGATTTTTTTTCTGAGAGTTCTATACATTTACATATAAGTCCACAATCTATTTTGAGTTCATTCTTGTGTAGGCATAAGATTTAGATTAAAGTTCTTGGGTTTCGGGTTTTTTTTGTTGTTGTTTTTTTTTTGCTTATGAATATCTATTTTTTCCAACAGCATTGTTGAAAAGGCTGTCTTTTTTCTTCTGAGGCTGGGCCTTGCTCTCTTGCCTAGGCTGGCATGCAGAGGCACGATGACAGCTCACTGCAACCTCAACCTCCTGGGCTCAAGTGATCCTCCCACCTCACCCTCCTGTGGAGACTACAGGCATGTTCTACCACACCTGGCTAATTTTTCCTTTTGGGGGTGGGGGTAGAGATGGAGTCTCACAATGTTGCCCAGTTGGGGCTGCCTTCTTTCATTGACTAATATTGATAACCTTGTCAAAAATAAGTTGGTCATACATAGATTTATTTCTGGGTTTCATTCTTCACTGTATCTATCCCTCTACCACATTGTCTTGTTTACTGCAGCTATATAGGAAGAATTTACCTCAGGGAAGGTGATTTCTTCCATCTTATTCTTGTTTCTCAAAATTGTTTTAGCTATCCTAGATCTTTTACATTTCATATTAATTTTAGAATTAATTTGCAAATGTCTACAACACCCTCACTTGAATTACTGTTTTGAAGCCATACATAAACCAATGGCAGACTAAGTACTTTGTTTAAAATCACATAGATAGCAAGAGGCAAAATTGGTATTTGTACTTAGTCTGATCCAGAACTCATGCTATGAATAACTGCCTCTCCATATGATATTGTTCCCAAAGACCAAGTTTATGACAAGTGCCTCTACTGTAGAGTTAGACACTGTGTGCAGGATAGTGGAAGGTTGGAGCTGGGTGAGAACTTATTCTAAATTTGGATGCTAATATTGACTAAATGTGACTAAATGTTATACTTCGGGACACTTTTTATCCATTCAAAATTTGCCTTTAAGTGATGACCACTGAATGGTGTGAAATTAAAAGAAACATAATGGTCAGCCATGTCTTGTTTTTAGGATGGATTTGAGCTGTAAGTCATGCTTGTTAATAAGTGGCTTACAATGTATGTCTTAGTCCATTTTGTGCTGCTGTAACAGAGTACCAGAGACTGAGTAATTTATAAACAACAGAAGTTTATTTGGCTCATAGTGCTGGAGACTGGGAAGTCCAAGACAGAGGGGAGGCATCTAGTGAGGGAGTTCTTGCTGTGCCTTCTCGTGGCAGATGGCAGAAGGGCAAGACAGCATACCCATGCAAGACAGAGAAAAGGGACAAAATGCATCTTTTTTTTTATTAGGAATCTACTCTTGTGATAACTAGCCCACTCTTGCAGTAGCAGCTTTAATCTATTCATATGGCACAGCCCTCATGATCTAATCACCTCTTAAAGATACAACCTCTCAATTCTGTTATATTGGGGATTAAGCTTCCAACACATGAACTTTGGGAGACACATTCAAACCATAGCAATGTCTTAGAGGAAAATGTCTATATATCATGAGTCAAATGCTCTATCACTAAGTATATTACCATCAAAGCTGAAGAACTTGTTTTCCTGTAAATATTTAATTTTAGATTAAAATTAAAGCTAATTCCTCTAAACGTTTCTTTCAATGATGTGCTGGGCAGAAATTTCTGTGAGTTTAATAATGTAGCTTGTAGTAGAGGGTGTTGGTGATAGTTTGAAGTCTAAAGCACTTGTTTCAGGATAGCAGCAGCACTTGTTTCTACCTAGCAGCTTCAGGGATTTCTAATTGAAGAATTAAATACTCACTATCCATTTCATTGCATTAAGTGAAACAGACACTAGAACAGAAGCAAGCAGCAGTGCGTGTACTTGGCAAAGATGGTATGTGTATGTATTTGAAAATAATCCAGCAGTTAGAACCTTTTGCAGTTTGTACTTTTGCCCACTGTTGTAAATACAGTAGAGCATGCTGTCAATGTTTTATAAAATGCAAATCTATGAATGTTTTTTATCTGCAGTAATTTAGCTTGGGCATAGAAATCAAACAGGGTAGTTAGATTGCCTCAAGCTAGTGGTGAACCTCTGTAAGCTACATTTTTCCTTCCCATATTAGCATGTTTTGATTCTGAATTGACTCCTAATAATGTTTTGTGTCTGCTGTGTGACTCTTGCTTTGAGCCTGTGTTAGGATAAGGCTAGGTGGAATAACAAATAAACACCCAAATCTTGATGATTTAATATCATCATATGCATTTCTCACTCATGTAAGTATTCCAGAGCATGTGTTCCTGGTGGGGCAGCTTTCCCTAAGCAATGATTCAAACACCCAGCATCCTTTCTTCTTCTTGTTCTGCCATTTGAAACACATGGCTCTTGAGATTACCCTAGGATTATCTTCATGGCAGAAAGCCAGAAGGAGAAGAGAGCATAGAGAAGTTCTTGTGGTAGAGCCAAGCCTGACAAGGGACAACCTCACTTCTCCCTGTATTTTTTTTAAGATACGCTAGTCACACGTGCATAGAAAACTGTAAAGGAGACAAGATAATATAATAAATATATATGCTGGGTAAGAGCAAGAGTTGGGTTTGGGGGATAAATGTTCAGACTCTACAACAGAGTCAAGGATGCTTAAACCTCCCAGGCACCAAGATCTTACACCTTGTCCACTAATGTTCTTTGCTCCATGATTGGTATAGTAGTTAGTTTATAAAAAAAGAAAAGATGTGAGAGTGGGTACATACATTGCTGGAAAATTCAGTAACCCCCTGTTTCTTTCATGTGTTAAATCTGTTTGTTGTTCACAATCAGTAAACAATAGAACAGATCACTTTGTTGAAGCTCTGCATTGTTTCAGGCCAGTAGAATTCTGAGAGCAAATCTTCCCACTTTCTACACTGACAAAACATCTACAAGATCCACTCTGGAAGGGATTAGGAGCACACAGGGAGGTAATTTCAAGAGTAAGAGGTTATAGAATAATTACATGCATTAAAAATAATTTATAATAGGTCAGAAATTTTGACAATAGGGCAATTCTGTAATACTTGATGACAATTAGTCATACATTTTATTGTGTTAGCAAAGAAATAAAGATAAACATATGGTATTTTGTTTAACTTATGATCAATATAGCTTGTAGAAATAATTAACAAAATAAAACTGACAATAGTTACAACTTCTCACTGTAAAATTTTCTGTTAACTAAAAATTGACTGACAACTCTTGTTGACAAAATACAGATCTGCAAAATTTGGCCTTGAAAATAATTGACTTCATCAAAATAATAGTCACCAAGCTAATTTTAAAACAGCTAAATATATCACCAGAAACATTGAATTCCAATAAAATAAATTATTTTAAATTTAAAACTTCTTGATAAAAGTAACATAGTAAATTGCATTAACCCTTGTGGTGTTAATTTCAGTTGAATCAATTGTAAAAGAAAAGTACAATGTATAAAAAACCATTAAGAAATTAAATTTTGGCTTACTATGGTTTATAGCGGAAAATATTTTCCTGATAAAATTTCATCCATGATGTTATAATTTTGATTTGAAAATATACATTCATAAATGCAGTGTTGGAATATCATGAGGTTAAAATATTGGTATCAAAATCTCCTGGGTTGTTTTTGTCTGCAAAAAGGAGTAATGTATTAGGTTGGCGCAAAAAATGGCAAAAACTGCAATTACTTTTGCGCCAACTTAATAATTTTGTTTTCATCACAGAGTTTTTAGGAAGTGTTTTTTAAACTTTAATGTACATAAAGTCATGGGGAGGCTTGTAATTTTTTTGGGGGGCAGAACATTTTCATTTCCAACAGTTTCCAGGTGATGCTGATACTGCTGGTATGGGAACACACTTTGCATACTCTCTATACCATTTTTTGGCATACTAATCTTTGAGGTGCTTTTTCTTCCAATAGCCAACACCTACAGCTCTTTGAGACGACTGGCCTCAGGTTGCAGCACTCTGGCTTACCTTTTCACATAGAGATCTAAGGTGCCTGGTAATTTATATCTCCCCACCCTAACCCCTTAACATAGCCCTTAACCAATGGGCTGCAGATGTCAGGGTATAAATACTACAAATCCTGAGCAAGACTACAGTGAACTGTGCTTACACTATTTCCGATGTTCCCTGTGAGATAGAATCAAAATTAGTTTTACTGAACACTTGGCAAGAGATGTTTGAGTAGAGTGTTGAGAACAAAAGCTTGTCTGGAGTAAGTTTGAGAGAGTTTGGGAGGTGAAAAAATGAGAAGCTGTCATGGACAACTCACGCAGGACATTTGGCTATAAAAGGGAGGAGAGAAACCAAGCAGTGCTTGGTGGGGGAAATGGAGTGAAATAGTTATTTTTTGAAAGGTAAGAGATATATATATAGCATGTTTGTATGTTGCCAGGATTTAGTAAAGAGAGATAATATAAGGATAGAAAGACAGGATGTAAACTCAGAGCAATGATGTCCTTGAGTACACGAGAGGGAAATGGAGTAGATACACAGGTAGAGAGGTAGCTTTATATAGAAGAATCAGTATTTCATCTATTAACCATAAAATGCTTTGAGACAATCTAGAAGTCTTTTTTCTCTCACCTCTCATATTGTATTAGCTCCTATATTCTGCCAATTCTCTCTTCTTAATATTTTTTGAAACTGCCTGCCCTTTCTTTACACTCCCACTGTCATAGCCTTAGTTCAGACACTCATAATCCTCACCTAGATTTTTGCAGTGACATCCCACATGGTCTTGTTTCCAGTCTTACTTGGAGTATGTTCGAGAGAGATTGGGTGGTGAAAAAATAGGAGGCTGTCATGGACAACTCACTTGGAGTATCCTCACCAATCCATTCTCCCATTCTCCATGTCACTAGACATCTTTGTTAGATGCATGTCTTAGTATCTCACTTTCCTGTTCAAAATCCTTCATTTGGTCTCCAACTGAATGAAAATTTTAGTTTATTGGCTCCAAACACAAAGCCTTTCACGGTCTATTTACTGATTATGTGCCCGGTTTCTTCTCTCACCACTCATCCTGCTACCCTTTGCAATCATGTAACTATGAGCCTCAAGTAGTTCCTCTAAATGTACCACACAATCACATACCTCTGTCTTCACATTTTTGTTCCTTTTTCTCAAAACACTCTTCTTCCACATGCCTGTCTGGACAATCTTTGTTTACCTTTCATACCTCAGCTCACAGGCATTATTCTTCCTGTTAGTCAAGTGAATGAATTATGCTTGAATGTGTAATTATGCTTGAATGTGTTGATTATAGCAACCAGTCTAAATTCTCAATTTTCTCTGGTCAAACACATTTTCCAATTCGAGATTTGAAAAATTTGTCCCAGAGAGTGGTAGATGGTTAGTTCATACTGAAGTGTGAATCAGACTTCACCTTACCAGGGATCATTTACATTTTTCTCAAAGGAGTTTGAAAAGTAAGCACAAAACTGTGCTGAGGAGTGCTCACTTTTTGAAAGTTTCTGCCAAGCGATAAAATCCATGTATTCAAGAGGTCTTGGAAAGACATCTCTTGCCTTTACAAGTCTGCCTGCAACCCACTTTCTTAGGGGAAGAGAGCATGATCACTAGAGGGAATAGGTATTGGATAATGCTCCCAAACCTTTGGAATTGAGAGTACAAGGGAAGGTGGAGACTTTGCTACAATTTATTGATTTATTTTGGCAAGTACTAAATAGGGAAAGTTGTACCTGTTCATACCAGCAGCTCTACAGAGTGAAATGTGAAAAGTGTCTAGAACAATAATTGCCACCACAAAACGGAAGTGCTATATTGCTTCAAGGAGCAAAGTCAGAATAACTCCTGAATTTTCATTCAACTGATGCTCAGAATCAGACTCCAATAAGGCTTTTGCTGGGGGCAGGAGGTGGGGGGTACCTAGAACTATTGTCCTACAGATGGGATACCAGTGGAGCTATAAAAGGAAAAAGCTGGAGTCCAGCCCCAGGGGGTAACTGAGAATCCAAGGAACATAAGAGAATGAAGAAAACAAGACGACAACAAGAAAGATGTTGGGGAAGCACCCAGACCATTACAAAACTTGCCAAGTGCCACCGAATGTGACAAATGTAATATGTGAGCTTGTAAATGTTACGGGGGGAAGCAGTTATGATATATCTGAAAGCCTTCATAATGGTACCTTTTGCCAAAGGCTAACATTTTTAGAAAGAGGTTATAAAGCAACCTCTTTAATGATTGTACTTTCTTGCAATTTCTTTGGGGAAGGGGGTTGTTTCTCCTTAAAGTTTTCAAGACTTTGGTTTTAGAGCGTATTTGCCTTTTAATGGTTTGCTGTGACTGCCTCTTTAAGAAATGTTTTTGCTGTTACTGCTCCATTTTAATCTTTCACTTTGTATTAACAAAATCAAAACCAGCACAATTAGATACCTCCTGATTTTGATTTGTTTTAATACTAAGAGAATGTTTGAAATGGCACAAGTGGTGGGGGAAATACTTCAAGCTGTGGTGGCTGCAACATTGGAGTTCTAGAGGCAAACATCAAAAGATAGCTTGAAAGACAGACCAAAAACATCTAAACCAATAATTCTTTACATTTGTGTTTTTTTTGTTTTGTTTTGTTTTATTGTAGTCTTCACAATGAAAGCAAGAAGATCATGTAGAGGGAAAAAGAGGCTTTTAAGTTCATTTCAATCATACAATTTAAAATGAAATCAAATGGACTTTGTCCTTGGCCTTGAAAATGGACAATCAAGCCACATATCTATAACTCAAAAAAATTACTTACTAGACTATACAGGCAACACTCAGTGCCCAACTGTCTCTTTTTGTTAGAATAAATGAAAAAGAAAATGAGCAAGACTCAGAAAACAGGATTATAATTAAGCTACATTGATCCAAAAACCCACCTTTTCTATTTATATACTGGACATCCTGAAAAAAGATTGAAAGGCTAGAAGCAAACTGAGGCGAGATCTGCAAGTAATAGTAATTTGGCCACAGAGGGCAATAAATGAAATGAATAAATGTGTCTTTGCAACATCACAGCAGTCAGAATCAGCAAGAAGTGGCTGCAATTGTTCACATGTGGACGGCAGTATCAGAATTATGAAACGGCTTGCAGGCATGGTGGTTCATGCCTGTAATCCTAGCATTTTGGGAGGCTGAAGCAGGAGGATCACCTGAGGTCAGGAGTTCGAGACCAGCCTGGCCAACATGGCAAAACCAGTCTCTACTAAAATACAAAAATTAGCCAGGCACGGTGGTGCACACCTGTAATTCCAGCTACTCAGGAGGCAAGAGCCAGAGGCTGCAGTGAGCTGAGATGAGATTGCGTCACTGCACTCCAACCTGGGTGACAGAGCAAGACTCTGTCTCAAAAAAAAAAAAAAATAGAATTATGAAACAGCTAAGGATGCATTGTTGAGTGTTGGAAATGTTACCTTTGTTCTTATTCCATTTCAAGTCCAGCAGCTAAATAGAAATTCTACTGTGTTACACAGCCCTAGTGCCTTCAAGGAGAATGCTCTTAGGGTGAAATCTGGGTGTCTCTGTTATATCTGATTTTCCTGTCACCATTCATTTAGATAGATTTTCATGTTACTGAAGCACAGTAAGAATTTGGTTTTCTGCAAGAGGCTCTTATGGTCCTTTTATTAAATAAATAAAGAACAGCCACTGGGCATGCTGGGAAATGTGTACATTCTGCTGTCTGCGGGATAAAATAGTGAACAGAAATGATGTATGAAACATCAGCCACCCCACTCTCCTTCTCTGTAGGGCATCTCAGTCCACCAGTCTGTCTCTCCTCTTACTCTCACCTTCAGAATTCCAGGGTGTGGGGTGGGTGAGTGGAGACAGAGAAAAGGGGAGATTAAAAGAACAAAGTGGCCCGGCGCGGTGGCTCACGCCTGTAATCCCAGCACTTTGGGAGGCCGAGGCGGGCGGATCACGAGGTCAGGAGATCGAGACCATCCCGGCTAAAACGGTGAAACCCCGTCTCTACTAAAAATACAAAAAATTAGCCGGGCGTAGTGGTGGGCGCCTGTAGTCCCAGCTACTTGGGAGGGTGAGGCAGGAGAATGGCGTGAACCCGGGAGGCGGAGCTTGCAGTGAGCCGAGATCCCGCCACTGCACTCCAGCCTGGGTGACAGAGCGAGACTCCGTCTCAAAAAAAAAAAAAAAGAACAAAGTGTATTAGGAGACATGTTGCCTTAGAGTCATTGGATTCACAGGACCCTGGAAGTAGTGTTCTATATTGAAGGGCACTTTCTTTTATACTGTATATACTGCAGACAGAGCCAAGAATTTCCCTGCCAGAGCTCCCTCCATCCCATTATTATGCAGAGGTATCCAACGAAAGGAAGCATCTGAATTTCTAGAGATCTAACAGGACAATCCTCCTCTACCCCAACTCAACCTAAACTCTTCATCCCCAGTTTATACTGTCTAACCAATATCTGAACATGGCAGACTTTATAATTTTTCTGTTTCATATTATTAAATCCAGAATCGTTTCATTTGAGTTTCATTAAAAGGCTGGAGTTAGCATTTCCTTTAAAAGGTTCCAGAATTGGCCAGTTTGAATGTCAAAACCTTTCTCTGGTTATCAAGCATTTAATCATGATAAATAAAGGCTCTGCTTTTAAGTCACTGCACCAGCATACTTCAGTGACACGCAGAAACTTCAAATAGCAGGGAAATAATCTTCCACGTCTACTGAAACAACATTTCCAAAAGAGAGGATGGGATTGCAGTCACTAGTGATAGCAGTAGTGGGAAAGCTGGAGAGAAAGAATAACTAACAATAAAAGTGTATGACAAGGAAGAAGGCTAGTTGTTTCTACAGAAGAAAAGACTAGCTAAAAATTTTCTAGACACAGAATTTCCAAAGGTTAAATTACTGTGACACCTTTTCTGTCCTGAAACTTTACGAATTTTCGTATATTGTTAAAGAGACTTTCTGCTGTTAGTCCTAGCCTGACCATATAGTTTAGGGGTGGGGCAGTGACCACATAGGAACACATCGGGAGTTTAAACCAATCATGCTATTAAAATAATTTCCTGAAAACGCACATGCGTCACCTTTCATACAGTGTATTTGTGAAAGTGGTTATTGTCAAGGAAAGCATTTGATTTCTAACCAGGCAAAGCAAGATGTGTAAAACTTAGCAGCCACAAAAAATTTCATAATGCTAAAGTTTCACAGGCTTGAAAGTTTAAATACTTCTAAATATCATGCAGTTTTCTTCTAAAATATTCCATCTTTTCAACTAGAGTGAAATATAGAGAAAGGCTTAAAACTCAGCATTAAATTATTATCCTACTATATATATATACCACACTATATATATACATTTTTTTCTATAGACCTCCTCTGTGAACAAATCCTATTATATACTTTCATTTAAATGTTGAATACTCTCATTTACAAGGTCTAGAAGAACAAAAGCTGCAATCACTTATTGGGTCTCTCTCTCTCTGTACATATATACACACCTTATTAAACAATTTTAGTAGGTAGACATTACTATGCTCATTTTACAGATAAGAAACTGAGTGAGATTTGCAAAGTTTGAGTAACTTGCTCAGCTTAAGTGATTCAGTATCCAAACTTGGATCTATCTCTGCTATTCTGCCAGAAGTGAACTTCTTAAAAAATAAGTTTCATTCCCTTTATGGCTAAGAGATTCACCTCGACGGATCCTTGAGAAAACTTTGCTTTTTCCCCCCCATTTGTCTTGATTTGCTTAGCCATGAAGAACTCAAATAGCAATGCCAAGAAAACAGTGTCTAGGTCATTTATTGGCAGCTATGGCTTTTGGTTTACTGCTTCCTGCTACTCACTCTTCAGCTACTCCAAAGACAGCCAGTGGGTTCTGGCTCTCACTCTACTTTCCCAGTTCCTCTGATGCTTTTGTAGCCCTGATTGAAACTAGCAGCTCCATGGTTACCAGGAAAAACAAACGAGCCCCAGAGCTTATACCAGCCCTGGGAGCACTTGCCGAACAGATTTTGAAAAGGAGTGAACTCAGTATAGCTGCAGAGTTCCATCTGGAAATTGGCACTGATGGTAACATTAGCAGCATGTCCTGCCTGTCTTTAGAAAGCCCAAGGATCCTGCAGTACCTGGCAAATATTCACTCACTCTGGACCCCTCTCAGAAACATGTGAGATGTATTGGTATTATGATGCTTATTTTACTGACGGAAACTCCCAAGCTCATGGAGAGAGGTTAACATGTGCAAATTTCCATTTGAGGGTCAGTCAACTACAGAGCCGAATTAGAAGGGCATTCTTTTTTCAAAAATCTGTCCAGTTAAAGAGAGCGTCTTATGGTTTCAAAACTCCGGGGTTGGCTTAAAAAAAATTTAAAGCCTCAACTAGAAGAACAAGGAAATATGAAAGCCTGTTTAGAATATTATATGAATAAAAATAGTAGTGTATTTGGAATAAAAAACACTAGTGTACCTTATTTTTCTTGAACATTATCATTCTTGTTAGCCTGAGGCACCTGGACACAAAACACATACTGTTGTGCAAAATCTTATGAGATTTCTTAAAGAGAGAATGATGAGTAATTAGATTACTGCGAATGTACAATTGGGAGTTAGATTTCTTTCTCTAGATATAGATCACTCATTTAGTCGAACAATCGGTAGTTAGATAGATAGCTAGAGATATGTTTCTAAGAATAAATAAGGAGTTTTGGAATACTGAGGGACCCAACAATCTATTGTCCAAGCATAATTTTATAAAGATTATTTTCATATTTCGGTGAGTATTTTATTAACTTTCTAGAGATGAGTTCGGGCTTTGAGATCCTGAGTTCTCCTGCACTCTGGAAAGTTCCCAGTGGCCTGGCAAGGGGTAGACAGAAAGACTAAATGACCTTATGACATTTTTGGGAACTTAATTTGCAGGACTAAGTTCTAAAAGATGTGGTGTAGGTGAGCAATAAATGTTATGCTTTTTGAGTGTTTACTGTGTTTAATAATAAATTGAATCAAATCTAATCAAATGTTAATAACTTTCCTTTTACCTCGCAATAAAATATTTGTATTTGTATATTTTTTCCAGGTTCAGCTGAAATTGTTTTCCTCTTCCTGTCATTAAGTTAGAGATCCCAAAATTGCAAGAAACTCTGCACGTAGTGGGGTGGTTGCTAAACCTTTTTCATTAAGCACTGCATCTTACAAATTTTTCAAGACTACATCCTTAACATATGAATATTTATTTATAATAAATAAATAATATATAGTTAGAACAATAGAAAAATTAAAGAAAGACAATGACAAATATTTTAAAATAAATTATATCTGATTTTGCTTATTAATAAAACATCATTAATGACAGTGGATGTCAATTTTCAATGGACAATTTCTTTTGCCACTGCCTTCTTATCAGCGTTTATTGTTTTATTGTTTTAATGTGTCAGACATGGAGCTCCTTGAAGGAACTGAGGGAGTACCAGCTCTGTCATTTTCTGGTTATCTTCTCGAACTTGTACTTTTTTTTTCTTTCTTTCTTTTTGAGACAGTGTCTTGCTCTTGTTGCCCAAGCTGGAGTACAATGGCGTGATCTCGGCTCACTGCAATCTCTGCCTCCTGGGTTCAAACAATTCTCCTGCTTCAGCCTTCTGAGTAGCTGGAATTACAGGCACCTGCCACCACTCCCAGCTAATTTTTTGTATTTTTAGTAGAGACAGGGTTTTGCCATGTTGACCAGGCTGGTCTCGAACTCCCGACCTCAGGTGATCCACCCGCCTCGGCCTCCCAAGAACTTGGGTACATTTTTAGTACCAAATCAATTCACAGTTTCTTTTGCAGAAGTTCTTTCAAGCCACTTGCTTATTTTGTAAGTTGTTTTTGAAGACAAAATGATGTCATTCACAAATCATCGTAGTACATACTGGGCAAAAAAGGGAGGCACCGCATCAACCTTTCCACACTGTGGACTTCCCATTCTGTCCCAGGAGACAAAGGACACCTTTTTCTGCATGGTAAGTGAGCAGCTGAAACAGATATGGAGTAGAAACATGGGCATCAATCCATACTTTAAATATTAGTATATTAGTAAAGCTAAATTCCTTTTTTAAAAAGGTTTTATATATATATATATATATCCGTATATTAATGTAAGTTCATATATTTTCATCCCACATCTCAATGGTTAATAACACATATGCTCATTCTGAATTGCAGACTTCCCACCCTACATTGGAGACCAATCCCTAAATGTAATAACAGTAATGACATCAGTAGTACTGCTTATAAAAATAATAACTACTGTTTAATGAGCACTTATTAAGTGCCATGCACTAAGTTAGGCAATTACATACAGTCAATTTTTACAATGTCCCCAGGCAGTGGTTTTATTTATTTATTTATTTTATTTTGAGATGGAGTCTCACTCTGTCACCCAGGCTGGAGTGCAGTGGTGCTATCTCAGCTCACTGCAACCTCCGCCTCTTGGGTTCAAGCAATTCTCCTGACTCAGCCTCCTAAGTAGCTGGGATTACAGGTGCCCACCACCATGCCCAACTAATTTTTTTTTGTATTTTTAGTAGAGACAGGGCTTCACCATGTTGGCCAAGCTGGTTTTGAACCCCTGACCTCAAGTGATCCACCTGCCTCGGCCTCCCAAAGTGCTAGGATTAGAGGCCTGAGCCACAGTGCCTGGCCTATGACTATATTTATAGAGGGGGAAACTGAGGCTTAAAAAGAAAAAAAAAATAGTCCCTGAGTGGTTGAGTAATTTATCCAAAGTCACATAATATTTGGTGGCAAAGCAGAACCAGGATATTCTGTGCCCCATGAGACCATTTTCTTTCTGAGCAAAGGAGAATCTAGCAGAGAATATGTCGTTTTCTCATCTAGAATTACCTTCAAGGAAAGTCAGCCTTTTGTGATGTCTGAGCCAGGAATCCTGACCCTTTTAAGGGTCCCCAGTCTATCGTTTGCTGTTGGTATTCATTTAACAGAGATTAAGCTTTACTTTCACAATTAAAAAGATGATAACATCCAGACCGACTCATTTGTATTAGCATGCAAATGAGCAATACCCGATAGACCCTTTGTTGAGAACAGTGGAAAATGGGGGACCAGAAAGCTCTTGGGTACATGAAGATTGGCAGAAGTGCTGGAGAGCCGAAAAGGGCTCAGAATGGAAGATTTGGATCCCTAATGCCTATTTCCCACTTTTGCCTCAAGCCAGACTTACAAAGCAAATATGTTGTAAATTTTATGTCCTTTTATATCTGCTTTCTTTCCCTATGTTATTTGTCTTTCTATGTAAACCACTAGTCACCCTGGATCACTGTGACTCTTTTATCAATAGGCCATCAGCCTGCTAGGTTCTGTGGTTCTGTGGTTTCTCTGCTGTGTTTTCAGCAATTCTTCTTGCTCAGTTTGTTCCCCTTGTCATCTGCCCACAGGAAGGGTTCTTCTAAGTTTAGATTCAAATTAATTTACATTTCCCACAAACCTGATAATTGTCTTATTTCTCTTATAAATTATTTATACTGGAAAGACTGAATCATAAAACTGGATCCAAAAATAATGTTATTTTCATGTGTTGATTTTTAAATGGATGCATAGATCATATTTTACCCCATATGTATAGAGAGAGAGATATGTATATGTATATGTTTTCTGTTTCTATTTTTGTTTTCAGTTTGCTTTTGTCCATGTGGCTCCCTGGTCTTTGTATGTGATTAGAGAAGACATGGCATTCCTTATTCTTTATATTCATCTATCAATCAAAAGCATTTTTTAATTCAACAACTTGTCATTAAATGGTCCATTACAGGCCAGTAGGGGAGATACGTATATATACACATATATATATTCCCTGCATTCTAGAGTGTTTCTAGAGGTGATGATAGACAAACCTATTGTTATACAGCAAAGTCCATTGAATACTGAAGGAGAAGGACAAAGTCCTCAGTTTCTGGAAGGAAGTAATCACATTGATTGGGAAGACTGAATGAAGGTGAGACGGATAGGCTAGAGGTACCTTTTGGCACAACTGTCTAGCTCTACATAACTACTCCAAAACACAAAGGGCTACTTTCCCTACATAGTGATCCTGGCCCTTTGTCTTAGAAAGCTGATTCAAAGATGGGTATCTGATCCAAGCTGGAGCCATCAGTATCCCTTCTTCCATACTTTGGAATTTTTAACTAAGAAGCAGAGACTTGGAGTTGTCTGAGGGAAAGCCACATAATCATGCGGTTGTTTAAATATGCGGGCTGTCAAGCCAGTTTGAGTTCAGTGCCTTGCTCTGCTACTTTGTAGCAGTGTAGTCCTGGGAAATTTATGTAACCTCTTTGTCTTTAGTTTTTTGTTTATGTAGAAAACAGGAAAAATAATGTGAACTTTCTCATACAGTTGCTATGAAGTATAGATTAAAGAATCTATTGAAAGTGTGAGCCGGGCGCAGTGGCTGACGCTTGTAATCCCAGCACTTTGGGAGGCTGAGGCAGGTGAATCACCTGAGGTCAGGAGTCTGAGACCAGCCTGGCCAACGTGGCAAAACCCCGTCTCTACTAAAAATACAAAAACTAGCCGGGCATGGTGGTGTACACATGTAATCCCAGCTACTCAGGAGGCTGAGGCAGGAGAATCGCTTGAACCTGGGAGGCAGAAGTTGCAGTGAGCCGAGATTGCGCCACTGCACTCCAGCCTGGGCAACAGAGTGAGATTCCATCTCAAAAAAAAAAAAAAAAGAAAAAGAGAGATATGCTGTATATTCAGTTAATATTTGTTCTTAAAATTATCATGACTCCCATTGTTATTAAAGAGCTATCTCACAAACACCATTGGTAGGTCCATGAAGCACCCCTTTCATCAGGGATTATTTTCCTCTTCCTGCCATCAGCTCCTCTTTGGGTCTTTCAATATCCTTCTCCATGGAAGACAATAATAATAACGTTTTGCTTAAGTTATTCTGGTTTGAATTATTGTTACTTAAAACTAAAAAAAAAAAAAACTAGATCTAATAAGGTAGTAGAGTATAACAAATTTTTCTTCCTCTTCCTTATTTCCTTTCTTGCTATCATTATTATTGTTATTGCTTGTGGTTATTTTCAGGAAATTAAAAAAGAAATTAATTCAATTCTCTCCACAATTTGATTAGATATGGATATGAATTAGCAAAATTTATTATCACTGTAAATTCTGACACAGATGACAAAATAAAATAAAAAACAAACAAACAAAATCAAGATGGTTGCAGATGACCTAAATCTGTAATGGAAAATTAATAAATAAATAAATAAATAATATATATTATATTTATATACTATATTATAAATATACCATATTATAGAATATGGCCACCAATTATATACATTTTGTATATATAAGCATATATAAATATATATTTATATAATATAATATATAATATATATTATATATTTTAAAAGGCATATAGAATATGGCCACCAATTATATACTTTTATATATATAAATATATATATAAGCATATATATATAAGCATATATAAATATATATTTATATAAATATATAATATAATAGCATATTTATATATGCTTATATATATATGCTTATATATATTTATATATATAAAATGTATATAATTGGTGGCCATATTCTATATGCCTTTTAAAATTAGAGGCCTCCATATGCTACAATTACACAGAAGTACTACATTATTTAGGAAGAGAAACATCCAGCATTCAGAATGATTCAAATATGACTGCCTTTGAAAAGGCAGGGGAGATATAGCTATATGATGAAAAATACTAGATTAAAAAGGATTAATTTCCACACACACACAGAAGTCATCAATTAAGTCAACCTCATGGCTATTCTTATGATAACCCAAATCACTGGTTATTATGACTTCTAAAGAATTTTGTCCTAGAGAACACACCCTCAATAGTTACATAGACACCTACACCTTGAAACTGCACTCTGGTTGGATGTATATAAAGTAACCACTTTTTATGAATTTAATGATGTATTGCACAATCTATAATTCATTTATGAAGTAATCCAGTTCTGGCTTTATCATACTCTGGCCCACAATTTTATTTTTTTCTTGTTCACTCACTTGTCTAGCCTAGCTTCTGTCTTGATCAAACAACAAAACAAAATAAGAAAACAGAATAAGATGAAAACAAAACAAAACACAATAAGAAATGAAAAACATGGACTTGATACTTATTAGTAGACAATTCTTATTGAATAAATACTCCAGAAGAGATGCTCCATTTTAAGAATTCTGGCTGTTAACAAGATCAGCAATTATAGTATTGTTAAGACTCTTTCTTTGGCAAAAGAAAGAAATCCACCTTAGAGGAGTTTACATTAAAATAGGATGTATTAATATTTGTGATTAAAAAGCCAGAGGGCTTCCCTGATCTCCCACTGGATTCAGGTGGTGAAATACGGTCATCAGAGCTGTCTCTACGCTGTTCTGTTCTTTTGTCTGCCAGAGCCACCTTGCCTCACTCAGTTATTTAGGCTTTTTGGGTTCTTGCTGCATAGACGATAGTGAAATGTTGTCTAACAAAGGGTTGGGCAGGGAGACAGGTGAAGGGATAAAATGTAGTGACAGAGATAGATGGTGTGTACCTTGTTTCTTTTTTCCCTTCATTCTCTTCATTCAGTCACATATTATAAATATGTGGAGATTATATAATAAAAATTACTGCCGTTAGTCAAATGCTTCCTCAGTCCCAGGTCTGACACTAGGTCCGCAGGGAGAAGCGAGAGGGTTCACCCTTAACCAGGACCTAGAGAATTTGCCATAGGATGTCTAGTGAAGATTATCCGGACTTTAAGATTGTTGTTCACGTTTTTATCACACAAATTATGCATGGATCTAAAAGGAAACAAATTCTCCCATAATACATTTCAAAGTGAATGCTAGAACAATACAAAGCAGCATGTTTTTGCTAGAAATATATATATGTATATGTATATATACATATATTAGACAGAGTTTCCCTCTCATTGCCAGGGTTGGAGTGCAATGGTGTGATCTCGGCTCACTGAAACAACCTCCACCTCCCAGTTTCAAGCGATTCTCCTGCCTCAGCCTCCTGAGCAGCTGGGATTACAGGCGACTGCCACCATGCCCAGCTAATATTTGTATTTTTAGTAGAGACAGGATTTCGTCATGTTGACCAGTCTGGTCTTGAACCCCTGACCTCAGGTGATTCACCCGCCTTGGCCTCCCAAAGTGTTGGGATTACAGACATAAGCAACTGCACCTGGCCTCCCTCTGTTTAAAGATGTAGTTACCCTGGCATACAGATCTCACTCTTTTCGTCACCCTTTTTTCCAGGAAAATTAAGCCGTAACTTCCTTGATGTAGCTACGAGTTTCTGTAGAAATTCCAGATACAGTATATATATATATATATATATATATATATATATAGAGAGAGAGAGAGAGAGAGAGAGAGAGAGAGAGAAATAATAATAATAATGATTATAATAATTTGTTTATGTTTTAAACTTCCACCTAAAGAAAGGAACTTTGATGGCAATCTATGTATAGGATGTCATATTTTACATTAGATTTTACAGCTTTTTATAGTCTACACAGTTTTCAAAATTTTATGTTTTGCTTTCAAACAAGTGTAGAATATACCATTTAAAACCCAAATTTATTTTATACTAATACTCAACTGGTTGCTTTCAAAGTTCCACAAGTTATGTATGACTCTAAAAGAAAACAAATCCTTCCATAATACATTTTAAACTGAATGTTAGAACAATTTCAACAAATATGAAGCAGCATGTTTTTGCTAGAAAATAAAAATATTTTTACTTTGTTTAAGGATGTGGTTACCCTGGAACACACATAAATCTCTTTTTAGACAATAACTTACTCATAAAGAAAATTTAGAGGGAGATCTTTTCCTCCATGGGAAAAATATCCTGATTTAAAGTACTTCAACCAAAGGAAATTTCTCCAAGTTAACCAAACTCAGGGCATCCAGCTCGCAAGATGGTTAATTTTCTAAAGGAAATTTCTTTTCCTTATATGGAATTCCTGTTGCAAATGTATTCAGGGATTCAAAGGAACGATTTTGACTATCTGAATTCATCAGTAGCATTTTATCTGTGTGACTATATCTTTATATTGGGGAAAAACAAACAAACAAAAAAAAAAAAACAAAAAACAACTTATCTCCTGCCCCCTAAAAAAGGAATTTGGAACTACATAAAATTTTTTAAATTCTTAATTTAGGACTTTCAGCCTTTTTTGATAAAGCTGTCAAATATTACTTACCTTAAAACAGCAACATGATATAGAAGAGATGAAAGCCAGACCAAGGGCAGCCTTGCTATGGAGAAATTTAAATATTCAGCACCATTATGCAGCATAATCTGTCCAGCTGGTTTAATGACCAGTATATATTATGACCATTCCTTTCAACCTCTTGTGCTGGGCTGCATGGATGCATAGAATGGAGTTCTGTAAGGCTGCCTTCCCTGCAAGGAAGTGTTGATTCGCTTAAGAATATTGTACAGTCAGAGCGACTGTATGAACCCAGTTGAATGTAAGTCATGTTCTAACTTGATAGTAATAAAAGATACCATGTTAGGATTTTTTAATGAATTTCTTCAATTTATGTCCAGGTTATACATTTCAAGTACAAGACTATCTGAATAATTCCATTTATAATTTTTCTGGCTTCACTGTGTACTTCTCTCTCCCTACCACACCCACCCTTACCCCAGCTAACTGACCACAGGAAGGGCTTGGATTTGCTATAAACATAATACTGATCACCAAATATGTGACCAATATAGACAAATATGTAACCATCTACTTGTTGGTTACCCTTTATTATCACACTGTGCAATACTGATGGTGCACTAACCATGTGTCAGATTAACTTTGTTGTAGGTTATATTTGGATATAAAATGAAAACTGTTCATGTATTTTCTAACTTAGTGGTTCCTTGTTCAGATAGCTCTGTTAACTGGTGGCAACTTTAGAAAATTAGAAGAAACCAATGTAACCTTAAATATTAATTGGCTCGATGTTTCCAACCTCATAGGCATTAGAATACAAATTCCCACAGGGAAGAAATTTTTGTCTGCTCTGTTACTATCATTTTCTCAAAACTGAGCAGTTCCTGGGACATAGTATGTGCTCAATAAATATAGGTCAAATGAATAAATGAACTACATGTAAGAATTATTTTGTTTTATCAAGATCCATATGGAAAAGAATTGTGAGTAGATGCCATGAAAATGTCTTCCCTAAAGGTCATGTAGAAAATATGCTAGATTGAAGATAAAATATTAGTTTCATTTCATTTGCCAACCTTGATTGAGTAATAGTGATTTTATTGGACACTAAGTTGAGAAGGATTCTGTGGGTCATCCAAGCTCAGTGGGAAAGTGTGCCGTAATGATGTCTGCTGTGGGAGGCAGTCATGATCCATATAACAAATATTTGCTATTCCTGAAGTGTTTTCTTATCTTACTTGGTATATACTATTCAGATTTTGCCATTCTTAGGAAAGTTTCTCATATAGTTGAATTAATACCATCCATTATAGATACATATTGATCCTAAGATTTACACATAAATTAATTTAATTTCCTCTGCCCTATAAGTTTCTGGCATGTTGACAAAATCCAGAACAAAAAAACTATCTCTTTCTAAGAAAATTTGTTATAGA
Source organism: Homo sapiens (assembly GCF_000001405.40). NCBI lineage: Eukaryota > Metazoa > Chordata > Mammalia > Primates > Hominidae > Homo > Homo sapiens. The sequence continues at coordinate 116,079,795 of NC_000008.11, read as the reverse complement.
TACCTGTGCTCTACTAGAATGTGCAAGGCATTATATGATTCTATTCTGTGTTACCAGTTTTAGGAGAATATTAACATAACACTCTTTCACCTATAACACAGTTCCAGGCCTCCAGCCTCATTTTAGCGTAATTCCAAGGTTCCAGGGTAATTGTCCAAGTCTTTTGAAAGCTGCTTTCTTGCAATGCATTTTCTCTACATTCTTTGTATTTGCCAGAATGAACAAAACTGATTTTTGTCAGCTGTCAAATGGAGCAAAATGTCAGAGGGGAAGAAAAAAAAAAAAGCTTTTTCCATACGTACTTTCAATTCTTATAACAAAAGTAAACGATTAGGCCATTGGTTGTCTGCTCTGGGGAGAGGTTTATGTTTCCAATATTGCATAGCACACTCATATCTAAGCAGATTGGAAACAGTGCTAGAGTCAACAGGAAGATTGGCAATTTTGCTTTATTCAGATGGAGCCAATAAGCTATTGGCACATCGGGAACAGCAGCCTGAAAATTCTAAATATTTTAGAAGTGGCCTCCCTCTTAGGTGGTATCCACTGATTTGAACAGGCTTTTTTGGCATTTCCAGATGAATTGTGGGATGTGCTGTTGTTAAATTGCAGGTCATGTTGGTGAGTCTGGGGCACACACACACAGCCTGTCTATTCCACTGCGGGACTTGTTCTGCCAGCACTTCTCAGCTTTGACCTGCTAAGTGATTCAGACTGTTTATTTAATCACAAGGTTGAGTCTCCTTTAAGTTAAAAAAAACTACCACTTAGGCAAAATATGGCAGATAATAGGGTGGTTTATAACCATCTTAGCCTGTAAATTCAAACCAATATTTTTTTTATCAGAATTAGATCAGTCCTGCCAGTTCAACTTTCCCTTAGCAAATGTTATTTCTATGACACTCTAAGTGTTTTTATTTCCACTGAAATTGACTCAGACTACATAAAGCTACAGTACATCTGCACATTTTTGATATGAAGAGAATTTTTTTTAGGACCTATCTTTAATTTGTGTTTTAATTGTACCATGTAGTAACATAGCTTCATCCTCCAGAATGGTCTCCTTCCCCTTCATCTCCCACAAGAAAAAAAAAATAGCCTTTGGGAAATCTCATGGACCCAAATGGTGAAAAGATTAACCTAGAATCCAAAGCAACCTGATCTGCTGCTATTTCACTGGCCTTTATTTGCAACAGCACATAATGTTTATCTCACAAAAATGGGCTCCCTGTATCCCAGCCAGTCAGTTATGTTGATTGTGAAGCTCAAGATTTTTACTGTCCTGGTAAGGCAGCCCCAGATGCTGGGCTTGTGGCATATAAGTAAATACTCCCTAAGGGTGGACCTAATTCAGGTGTTATTTTATTGGCATTGGAGTTTGGATCCTCATTCTCTTTTGCTCTTATGGATGAAGGTAGTTACCCAACTAACTCTCCTAGTCATTGCTAATGTGCTGGTATGTTTCAGAATCATTTGGGGGTGCCTGTTGAAAATGTAGAATGCTAATTCTTGCCTCACTCCAGTGCTGCCTAATAGGAACCATAACTGCTGCTTTTAGCACAGCTTCCTGGGTTCTTAAGAACTCAGGATCAAGAGAAAGATCTAGCTGCAGCTTTACCTAGTATAAACCAATATTGACCTCGTTTATACTCAGGACTGGTGTTCATTCGGCCTGCACACACAGGTACAGCTAAAAAAAAGTTGTTAAAATATCCAAATATTTCCAACCTAATTGCTAAGGGACCACTTCCCCAGGTTTTTTGAATGCCTCATTTCCATGCCAGCTTCTTCACTGGAATCCCTCAGGCCTCCTTTCTCCCCACAATCCACCAACTGAAGGGTTAACACCATGCACAGAAATTCCCTTCAACTCAGCTTTCTCACTGGGTCTTCTCTCTCAAGATTTTATTCTCATGGCCATAACAATCAAATATTTGGTGGTTAATCATCAGTTCCATCTCCTGGTCATATTTTCTTCTGAGCTCTAATCCCAGAGAGCTAACTGCCTGGTGGGCATTTCATTGGCACCTCTGTAGCAAATTAAAGCACAACTGTGTCAAAGAACAAATTTGTCATCTTTCTGCCTAAATTCAGCTCCTTCCTCAACTTCTATCCTGATTCCCGATTCTTATTCATTCTGCCACCATTGCCTAGACAACTAAGCACAAAACTGAGTCATTCTTGACTCCCTGCTCTCTCCATCCAATTAGTCATCCAATTAGTTGAATTTTACTCTAAAATTTATCTTACATCCATCATTTCCTTTCCATTCCCACTGCCACCACTTCACTGCAGACTCATTGCCTCACTTTTAAATCAGCAATAATTTCCTTCAAACTTTCCTTCATCTTTTTTCCTAATTTTTTCCTTCATGCCACCTCCAGATGAATCCTTGTGAAATATTTTGATCATGTTATGTTTCTATTCAAATCCCTTCAGTGGGTCACTTTCCTATAAAGAAAGAGCCAAATGTCTTGAACTGGCATGTAAAAATTATATTACTCCCGAAAAACTGTCTTAGGTCTCTCTAGTCTTTTGTGGCAGATATTATATTAGATATTACAGAATTGAACTACGATTCATCTAACACATTTGACTTCAACAGACAAGGGCTGAAGTGATGCGGCCAGGATAATAATCCAGTTTTCCTGACTCTTTCTTCTACACTATGTTCCTGCCAACCCCCCCATAGAAACTGCAGGCCTAGCTTTGCCAGATATCTCCTTTGGCATCTAGTCCTTGATGTCTTTCTCTCAGGGATGATGCATTATGTTTTCTCTTTCCATCTCCCTATTGCTTTTACGAAGACTTGTTCTGATTCAATTCTGCCCTAATCTTTCTTTTTCTCGTTACATTAGGGACCTTATGTCACCTTTGAGTTGCCTAGTTGAAATTGGATTTAAGTTTTTGCATTTCACCTCAAACCACAATACTTCCTCCCTCACTCTCTGAGCTGAAGACTTTGTTTTCTGTTTTATTGGAAAACATTGGGCAATCTTAAGAGGACTTCTATACTACAGTGGTTCTCAACCTGGGATGCACCCAAGAATCTTCTCCATACTAACAACACCAAAAAAGACAAAAATACAAACAAAAAATCAATACCCAGTTTGGAACCCAAATCAATTAATTAAGAAACTCAGGTGTTAGGTGTGTATAGGGGGTAGGCATTAGTATTTTAAAATATAATCTAGGTGATTCCCATGTACACTCAAAGTGAGAATTACTGTTCCACAAATTCTCATCACCGTATTTATCCACCTACCTGTATCTCTTCTCACATACTCTACCTTCTCTTTGGAAGAAGTCTGTGCTCAAAGTTGAGGCCATCCCCTCCACTTGTTTACAAGATCCCATTGCCACACATCTCCTCATAGTATCACTCCAACATCTAGCCACTCTTCTTCCCTTCTTATCAACATAAAAATATTCTGCGGTTTCCCCTATTTGGGAAAATAATGAACAAACTGACTCTCTCTAATTCTCTGCTCTATTTTACCACAAAACTTTTCTGCATCCTTACAAGAAAATTATTTTTTAAATTGTCTCTAGTGATTTCCATGTTGCTAAAACCCTATCATCAATTTTTAGTCCTTATCTTCCTTAATATTAGTATTTAATTCAGTTGATCACACATTTTGCCTTGATACACTTGCTGACTTTGGGTTACAAAACCCCCGTGCATTCCCAGATCTCTTCTTGTCCTACTGGCTGTTCCCTCTGCTAGTTCCTTCTCTCTGTCTCTAAATGTTGGAATATGCTAGGGACCAGCCTTGGGCTTTTGTTCTTTATCTACACTTATTCCATTGGTGATCTCATCCAACTATTTTTTTTAAAAAAACTTTATTGTAGTTTAATTGAAGTAAAATAAACTGCACATATTTAAAATGTACAATTTGATCAGTTTTGACATATGTATACACCCGTGAAATAATAACCACCATCTAGATAACAAACATTTCCATTTCCCCTCGAAAGTTTCCTTATGTCTCTTTATAATCCTTGCATCCCTTCACTCCAATCTACAGGGAATCATTGATCTGATTTCTTCACTAGGGATTAGTTTGCATTTTCTAGAATTTTACATAATTGGAGTCATGCAATATATACTTTTTTGTCTTGGCTTCTTTCATTCAACATAATGATTTAAAAATTCACTCATGTTGTTGTATGTATTAATAGTTGATTGCCATTTATTGCCGAGTAATATTCTATTGTTTGGATAGGCTATAATTTATCCATTTAACCATGCTAAAACTGCTACAAGGATTTCGTATAAGTCTTTAAACATATGTTTTCATTTCTTTCAGATAAATACCTAGAAGTGGAATGGTTGTGTTGTATATTAAGCGTATGCTTAATTTTTAAAGATGACTGCCTAGCTTTTTTTCACTGATAGCATGAGAATTTCAGTTCTCATGTCCTTGCCAAGACTTTAAGACAAACTATGGCCTGAGGTATCTTGTTTGCCACCTGTTTTTGTAAATAATATAGCTATGCTCCTTCATTCACTAATTGTCTATAGCTGCATTGATGCTACAGTGGCAGAGTTGAATAGTTTTGACAAAGACCATAAGGCCAATGAAACCTAAAATATTTACTATCTGGTCCTTTTATTCAAAAGAAGTTTGCTAAGCCCTGCTTTATATGGTCTTTTAAAAAATTTCAGCTATCTCAATGGGTTATCGTAGTATCTAATTGTGGTTTTAATTTGGTGACTAATGAGATTAAACATGTCTCCATGTGGTTGTCATTCACTTATCTTCTTTTTTAAAATCTCTGTTTCAACCTTTTATCCATTTGCATTTGTTTTTCTGTTTTCATTTATTTCTTATTAAAGTATAAGAGTTTACTCTCTACTCTGGAGTCAAATCCTTTGTCTAATATATGTAATGTGAATATTTTTCCTCCAGTTAGTGGCTTGCATTTTGATTTTCTTAATGACAATTTTCATATGATAATAGATTTTAAATTTAAGAAGGTCCAATTTATCAGTTTTATTTTTATGGTTAATGCTTTTAAAATATCTGTCTAAGGAGCTATCAACTATGCCAAACTTAAAATGATTACATCCAAGTTTTCTTCTAGTTGTTTTATAGGTTTATGTTTTACTTTAGGCCTAGTGTCTATTTGGAGTAAATGTTTGTGTATGATGTGAGGTAAAGGTTAGCATTTATTTATTTATTTTTGCTTATGGAGGTACAGTTGATCCAGCAAGATTTATTGAAAAGGCTTTTCTTTCTCAAGTGAACTTTCCTCTGTCAAACTCTGTCAAAAATCAATTTACCATGCATATATGAGTCTTTTTCTAAACTTTATTCTACTCCACTAATATACATATCTATCTTTTGGGCATTATCAAAGTGTCCTGATGATGGTAGCTATATAATAAGCCTTGAAATTAGGTGAAGTTCTTCTTTTCCAAAATTGCTTTCACTATTCTATACTTTTTGGATTTGCACACATGCTTTGGAACATTTTGTCATTTTTAACAAATGCATGCTGGGGTTCTGATTGGTATTATGTTGACTTCACATAACAAATTTTGAGAGAATTGCCATGGGAACAATTTTGAATCTTTCAATCAATGAATATCACATGTCTTTCTAATTGTTTAGCCTGTCTTTAATTTCTCCCAACAATACTTTTCTGTAATTTTTAAATAAAAGATCTTAGATGTCTTTTATTAGACATATGCCTAAGTAGTGTTAAAAGAAAAACTTCAGTCAAATTAAATTTAAAGGAGTTTAATTGAGCAATGAATGATTTTCAAATTGGGCAGCCCCTAGAATCACAGCAGATTCAGAGAGACTCCAGGGTGCCTCATGGGCAGAACAAATTTATAGACAAAAAAAGTAAAGTGACATTCAGAAATTGGACGTGAGTTACGAAAACAGCTGGGTTTGTTACAGCTTGGTCTTTGCCTTATTTGAACACTCAGTTTTGAACACTACACTAGTAGTTTGAACACTCAGCAGTCTGTGAGTGGTTGAAATATGGCTGCCGGGATTGGCCAACAGTCAGCTATTATTACAGGTGCATACTTCTAAGTTAGGTTTTCAATCTTGTCTACCTATTAAGTTAGATTGCAGTTCATCCACAAAGACTCAAATATAGAAGTATGGAGTCCTTTTCAGGCTATATTTAGTTTGCTTTAACAATTCCCCCCTTTTGGCCATTTTTTCAATTTTGATTGATTGACCAAAACTTTAGTAATTGATGTCACTATCACCATTGTAAATGTACTTATTTGGTCTTGCAACTCACTGGGAAACAGAACAGTGAGTTTTGCAAAGGTAGGAACAAGGACTGAGTAGAGGGTAACTCCCTATACTGGAATGCCCTGTTTACAGGAGAAAAACAAAACCTTGTTTGTCCTGGTCTAGGATCTTTGTGTTTCTTTAAAGTCTTAGTGTGATTATGTCATATTTAGCATGAGTGACTCCGTTTTTGTTTGATTTGGTCTGTTAGGGCCTAGTGCATGAGCTCAGTCCAAAACAATGGCCTCCCATAATTTTGCTTTAAAAAATTACCCGCTTTTTGGCCAGGTTTTCACTTAGGTGAGAGTGTGACTAAAACTTAGGGCCTTAGTACCACTCTCAGTTGACATCATTTTGTGTTTCTGGTCACAGCATGTGATTCATAGGTTACAGTGTCCTCATGATCACACATTTCTTTCAACTCTTGTCATTCCAGTTGAAGACGCACCATTTGACATTCTAGAGATGGCCGCATGCAAACATTTAAAACCTTTGAGATAATACAGTGCACCAGGGAGACTATTATGACTATCAGGAGGATAAAAACCAAGAGTTTGGCATATGCTTCTTACCTGGGGTTCCCATAAACAAAACCACCTAAAATCAAGTACTTTAAAGAATGAGCTAGATGAAGAGTCTACTCACTTAACTAAGCAGACTCTTTGTTAATCCTCTACAACTGAATCTCTATAATACCTGATTTTCTCCATAGGCCATAAGTGTCAACAGGCACACAGATACTTTTTTGTTTAGCCAGTTCTATTCTTTAGCATAACTTTCACAAGAGAATTTAAGGTCTGTGGTGTAACCATGGCATTTACAGTAGAATCTGCTATAGAGCCTATTATGAGGGATACATTTCTAATCATTGCCTCTGTTATTCCAAACTTTGGAAAAAGGACCTAACAAATGATGTCCTTCTCTTAGAGAAGAGCAAAGGCCTCCTTGGCAATGTTCTCTTTAACTCATGATGTGGGTTAAGAGGAGTGAATTAATGTTAACTTTCTGACTGATTATGAGGGAATGTATGTACCATTAAAGTTTCTCACCTACATTGGACCTTCATCTTTTACCTATCAAAGTATAAGATTATCTATGTATAAGGCTGGCTGCAAAATCCTTTACAAATAAAAGTATACTCCATAAGTGCACACAACAGACCCCCTTTTTTCTTTTTTCTTTTCTTTTCTTTTCTTTTCCTTTCTTTTCTTTTTTTTTTTTTTTTGAGATGGAGTTTCACTCTGTCACCCAGGATGGAGTGCAGTAGCACCACCTCAGCTCACTGCAACCTCTGCCTCTGCTGTTCAAGTGATTCTCCTGCCTCAGCCATCCGAGTAGTTGGGATTAGAGGTGTGCGCTACGATGCCGGGTTAATTTTTGTATTTTCAGTAGAGACTGGTTTTTACCATGTTGCTCAGGTTGGTCTCGAATGCCTGATCTCGAGTGATCCACCCGCCTTGGCCTCCCAAAGTGCTGGAATTACAGGCATGAGCCACCACACCTGGCCCCCTTTTTCATTTCTATTGTTCATAGAGGCATAAACAAGAAAAAATATTCAAAGATAAGAGTCTCTTAATAGAAGAAGTCTTGATTTGTGATTTTGGGAAAGCTGTTCACATCAAGGATGCCATCTTTTTCTTGGAGAGACTTCCCTGATTAGCTTTACCTTAAGGATTCCAATGGGTGTACAGTTCCAAGAGTGTGGAAGGACCCTTCTCATTTGCGAGATTATGAACCCAGAGTTCAAAGTTCCAAAGTTTTGCTGCAATGTGGATGGCAAGGACAGTCTTTCTCTGACATTCTCAGAAGATCCAGTCTTCAGGTTCTAGATTGGGAAGAGGTTGATTGTCCATAAAAGAAACTTTCTTTACCTGGTAAAAATACACTGTGGCATAATAACTTAGTGTTATAACATTAGCCTTCTTGCATGGGAGCGCTTTTATACAAACAGAAAATATGCATTGAAAATGACAATTGAGTGAAATTCCTTTATAAAATGTTTAAATGGCCCATCAGGTGACCAAATATTCTAGAAGCTTTGATTGTTTTCCCAGGAATACAGGACCAAACATTGGTTATACACTATTTTAGCAATTTATAAGTCACCACACCAATACATTCAATTTGGATTATTTTATCTTTTTTATGATGAGTCGTGGAATAAAGAACTTTTAATAACAAAAGCTTTAACGACTCAGGAAGGACAAGGTGGCCATGCTGATTCTCCAGGAGTCCATGCTTAATTAACATTAGATTTTTTACCTTCTTGTATACCAGTTGGTTCTCCAAATTAGGTGCACAGCACTGACAAATGATTGGTTATCATAGGTAATTTGACTTAGACCATGGAGTTCTTCAAAATGTATATCTAAACAATTTCAGTATCAGCTGATTTAGCATCAAAATCTGGTAAAGTATTTTCTTGGTATTTAATTTTTGTTCTACTGGGATTAGCAGTTTAAAAACCCAGTCTGTCTTTTCATTAAAGTTCCAGGAATTATTACCCTGTTCAAATAATATAATTCCCAAGTTATTAGAAATCTGTATTTAAGAGTGCCTTTTAGGGTCCTTTCCCTCCTTCATGAACCTACCAAAAGACACCATATTCTAGGATTTTGCATGCTTGTGAAGTTTCCAGAAACTGCATCAGCATTAAGCAAATAACTGTGGAAATGACTTTAAATAGTTATAGTTAAAAACACAATTGACAATGAAATTTGGTTATTTCTGTGGTCTACAATAACATAATAACCATAATTATGATCAATAGCATATACTCAGACATATTAGAATTTTAGAAATCTCATACAATTTTAAGACATATATTAATATGATTCACTAAAATATACCCTGAAGAAGATTAAAACTTTGTGTATTGTTGGCAATGCTTCCCATGAAATTGAACATGTCAAATAATTCTGTTTACCTCTTTTTTGGATGCTTCAGAGGCTATCTGTAGCATCTTAAAGTTAGAGGTCAGAAAAGACAATTTTGAAGCTGAAATTTGATTTTGGGAAGCCTATTAAATATGTTAAAGGTTTAAAATTCTTGATAATGTGAAATACAATTCCAGGTTACCATAATCATTCATTTAGCCAAAATGATGACTCAAAAATTTTTAAAAAGGCAAAAACCTTTACCATTGATAGAGGGAAGACAGCTTTCCAAATAATTTGTCTCTTGTCTTTCCTTTCTTTTTTCAGCAGTTTATTCAAAAGGCAAACAAAAATCTTTCATTATCTTTTAATATTACATGAAAATCTTGTTCAAGAGAGAAAGCCAAATTTCACCCTTGTATTAGTGTACTATTAATGTCAACCTTGATTTTTAATTAAACCTTATAGACAAATCTTTCCAATCTTAATCAATTTGACCATAAGGTGAGATTCTCATAGACCTTGTACTCTTTACAAATTTTTGCTAACGAGCAGATAAGTGCTTTAAGAAAATGCTGTTTGTGTTTTTATTTTGATGTTCAATTTATGGAAAAAAATGGAAAGACTCTTTTAAATTTAGTTAATATGTTCACACACAGAATGTTTTTTAAAGGATTAATTTTTACAAACCTTTAACAACTGTTCAAACTTTTAACTTATTCTTTTCTAATTTAAAAGAATTTAACCCTCTAAACTAGGCAAAAATTTACATTCCCATACCTTCTTGTAATCTTTCACCAAAAACACATTTCATTCTCCTCACATACCTTGCGTGTAAAACTATTTTTTTAGTAGTTTTAATCACATGTGATAAAGGTAACTCTTAGCAACTTTTTTTTTTTTTTTTGAGACAGAGTCTTGCTCTGTTGCCCTGGCTGGAGTGCAGTGGTGTGATCTCTGGCTCACTGCAAGCTCCACCTCCCAGGTTCACACCATTCTCCTGCCTCAGCCTCCCAAGTAGCAGGGACTACAGGCGCCTGCCACCACGCCCGGCTAATTTTTTGAATTTTTAGTAGAGATGCGGTTTCACTGTGTTAGCCAGGATGGTCTCGATCTCCTGACCTCATGATCCTCCCACCTCAGCCTCCCACAGTGTTGGGATTACAGACGTGAGCCACCACGCCCGGCCAACTCTTAGCAACTTTTACTTTCAGTGCATCCATTTCCTTTCATTAATCCTTTCGCAACTTACGCAGACCATCTACAACATGCTTGGACTTTCTGACTTGTCCTAAATATACTTCTTTTTAAACAACCAGTTATTTTACTTTAGGACATTTTACCTGAGTAAAGGATGGGATTGGGTTAGAAGCTTATCCTTCAGGAAAGTCCCTCATGGTTAAAAACGGATTAAAGATGACAGGGCCCAACTGGGGACAAGTTTGAGTCTTGCCAGTTCAATATTTGGTGGTAAGTTAATGGTCCAAAGAAGGTAAGCTGAACAATCTTCAAAAGTCTAAGAAGCAGTTTATGACCTTAAAGCACTTAGCAAACCTAATATTTGACCTGCCTAATTTAGACCAAATATCTCTATTTTACCAATAATCATTAAACCTGTTTTTATTTCCCTGAGATTACTAAAATTATATGAACTAAAAGGCATTACACTTTTTATTTTTCTTTCAAAATTTCAATTTAAGCACTTACTTTTCTTAAAGCCAATTAACTAGCTGGGATTAATCGTGTGTGCTATGATGCATGTGTAGTATGTAACTACACATACAGAAGATTTAGTAGTTGTAAGGTTTTTCATTTGCCAGTTTCTACATTTTTTCTTAATTGGATTACTGGCTTCAGGGTGGAGTTCTTGGAAGAACAGCACCAGGAAAGCCTGCAGCTTCTAGGGCCTAAGAAGCAGGCACAGCTAGAATGTAAAAACAGATCCCCAAAATTAAGGGTCCCCATTTTTATACCAGATCCTGGATACCAAAAAGAACGGAGCCTTAGATTCCAAGAGAGATCTATCCATTTCCAATTCCTGTTTTTTGGTTTTTTTTCCCCACAATGGGGTCTGGTGCCTCCTGTTTGTCTCAAGGAGTCCCAGGCTGTTACAGCTTGAATATCCACTTTTAATGAAGCCAACTTCTAACTATAGTACTTTTTTGAAAAAGTCCTTTTAAATCTTTTATTACTCAAACTTGCCTAGGCCAAATGGCTAATATTTCTGTGCTCAGGGAAAAGAAAATTTAAGATAAGTCATGGAGGGGAAGAGAATCAACAAATGGTAAAGGTCATGCGGATATCAAACTGGAAGTACTCATTTCCTAAGCTGGGAATTGAACCCTGAACCCGGGCTACCATTGTAAAAAGAGAAAGCAGGGCCACATAGTGACAAGGTCAAGTTCCCAAGGATATGATTGACGAGTTTGCTGCACCGTCTTGAACAGCAGGCATATGGGGTCCAGGGCATGCATTTTATCCTAAGGTATCCCTCTTTATGACAGAACAATACAGAAAGACACACAAAGCACGCCAGATTTAGTATAGCTTAAGATCAGCCTCAGAATTCTTTTTTGTATTAATCAAAACTTTACAGAGGAGATAAACAATGACGTTTACCATTCATTTAACCAGTTTGCACAGAGAGAGAGAGAGAGGCCAGAGTCTGAATGGTAAGAATTTTTTACCCTTTTGCCGGCATGCCAGGCTTCTGGGTTCCCTTTCCCTGAGCAGCCCTAGTGACCCTAGGAAAATAATCTTTTTTTGTTGTTGTTTCATGGAACCACAAGCAAAAGCCTCTCAATTTTGCAAGTTGCCACCCAAAGGATTGCATGGGATAACCCAATTAACATTGTTCATTCTGGCCAGAGTAAAATACATGTGACAAAACATAGATGTCAGCCACTCTGCTTAGCACCAAAAATTGAACTGGCAAGACTCAAACTTGCCCCCAGTTGGGCCCTGTCATCTTTAATCCATTTTTAACCATGAGGGACTTTCCTGAAGGGTGAGCCTCTAACCCAATCCCATCCTTTACTCAGGTAAAATGTCCCCCATTACTTATTCAAAGTCAGCCAACCTGTGCTGCAGTCTATTTCCTTCAGATTGGGATTCCCATGCCTAATGTATAAGCCAAGAAAAACTTGTCTTTTCAGAAATTAAGATCCCATATCTACCTAATATATTGGCTTTGCTCTCAGGTTCCCTTAATTAACTTACTGAATTATTTTTCTTATCTAAGCACACAAGGAAAATGAAACAAAGGGGAAGAATGCAAAAATCCCCTTACATTTTTAAAAGCCAAATTTTACACCTCCACGATGTTATCATTTGTTACCAGTTTCTTTCTGACCCAGTCAGATGTAAGAGGTCTTTAACTGGATCCAAGCCCATTAATTACTGGATCAAATCCATTCCTGGACCCAGTCCAGCTTCTGTCATGACTTCCAAACCCAGTTTAGATCAGAAATTTGCTCAAAGAAATTTGGAGAGCTCAAACCACAAATCCATGGAGCTCTGAAATCCAAGAGAGAACTTACCCATGATCTCCAGCTGCTCTGAGAGATCAATGGACACAAGTTGATCCTGTAGGTACCTTGCATGTTCACTCAGTGCTCCTGGAAGTCGTTAGAAGCTCTATTTCAGACCCCACTTCTGACACCATCTGTTAAAAGAAAAATTTCAGCTGAATTAAATTTAAAGGAGTTTAATTGAGCAATGAACAATTTGCAAATCAGGCAGCCCCCAGAATCACAGCAAATTCAGAGAGACTCCAGAGATGCCTCATGGTCAGAACAAATTTATAAACCAAAAAAAAAAAACAAACAAAAATGACATACAGAAATTGGAAGTGAGGTACAGAAACAGCTGGATTGGTTACAGCTTGGCGTTTGCTTTATTTGAACACAGTCTGAACACTCAGCAGTCTATGAGTGGTTAAAGTATGGCTGCTGGGATTGGCCAATACTCAGCTATTGTTACAGGCAGGTACTCTTAAATTAGGTTTTCAATCTTGTCTACCTATTAAGTTAGGTTGCAGTTCATCCATAAGGACTCAAATATATATAGAAGTATGGAGTCCTTCTCAGGCCATATTTAGTTTGCTTTAATAGTAGGTAGCATGATAAATTTTTTTTTGCCATTCCTATACATTGCATTAGTTTTGATATGTTTTCCAAATATTTGATGCTAATATATAGGAGTGTAATTTATTTTTGCATATTAACTTTATATCTTGTGAACTGTTTGTGTTCATTTGTTAGGTCTAGTTTTTATTTTGAAGATTTCGTGGGCTTTCCTAAAAAAAGAATCATATCATCTGCAGATAAGGAAAATTTTAATTCTTAATTTCTGATCTTTACAATTAGAATTTCTTTTTCTTGCTTTCTTGCAATGACTAGGACTGCCAGTATAGTGTTAAATAAATGTTACAAGTTAGCATCCATGCTTTGTTCTTGCAGTGTTTCAATTATTTACCATTGTTGATGACATTAGCGACATTAGCAGTAAGGTTTTCATAACTTCTCTTTAATTAGTTTGAGAATGTTTTCTGTCATTTCTAGTTTCCTTAGAGTTTGTTTATGAATAGGTGTTACATTTTGTCAACTGCTTTTTCTGCATCTATGGAAAAGATCCTGTTTGCCCTTTAGTCTGTTGATACAGTGAATAACATCAATTGGTTTTCAAATATGAAACCAAATTTACATTCCTAGAATAGAATGTACTTGATTGTAGTCATTTGAATTTTTGTATTTGTATGTAATGTTATTTTTCCTTAGCTGCTTTCAACATCTTTTTCTTAATCTTTGTTTTTTTGCAGTTTATGATGTGTCTTGACATAGTTTTCTTTGAGTTTACAGTATTTGGGATATGCTGAACTTTTGAAATCTATAAATTTATATTTCATCAAATTTGGAGAGTTTTTAGCCATAATTTCTTCCTATTTTCTTTATTGCCCAATCTCTCTCTTTTCCATGGGACTACCTTACAAATGCACAATCAGTGGATATTGTCATACACATCCCTGAGGTTCTGTTGATTTTTGTTCACCTTCATACATTTGTTTCTCTAAGTTTTGACTGCTTTTGATATTCTACCTGCTTTTGTTTACTTCTTGTTGTCCTCAGGAAATTGTCTGTAGCATTTTTTCTTTAGAGTTTTTAGTTGTAATCAGAAAAAATGTTGAATTGTAGTGGATTTATGCTGCCCCAGGAAAACCATACCTCCATTATAGTTGTATGGCTTTAAATACCATCTTATACCTGAGACTGCCAAATGAATATACTCAATTCAGACCTTTCCCCTTCAATTCCAGGTATTTGTGTCCAATTATTTGCCTGACATGTCTAACTTTAATGTCTAGTAATCATTTTAATGTAAACTACACAGAGCCCCTAATCCACCCTCAATCCCTAAAACCCGCTCTTTCATCCCTTCGGTTTCTTTGGAGTCATCTCTAACTCCTTTCTTTCACATGCAACGTCTGAACCATCAGAAATGCTGCTTTCTCTGTTTTCAAAACCTTTGAATATTTCTGTTACCCACCCCTCACTATCATCTCTGCCCAATCCATTAGCATATCTCACTTGGATTATGGCAGTTGTAGTCAGACTGATCTCCTGCTCATAAATGTTTGTTGAATTAATGGTTCGCCAGCCCTAAATGCCTAAGACATTTGCAGAATATTTAATTGCTGGGACTTGGCTTTTAGTGTCGACAAGTAAATGACTGAAAAGGTGAACATCACTTTCAGCTTCTTGGATCTGGAGTTATAAATCAGGGAGTAAAAAATCCACAATTCTTACTAAAATAGGTTGGGACTATGTCCTAGGGCTCAGCCTAAGTGATACTCCTGAAATAAAAGTTCTTTAGTAAAGATGTCTTCATATAAATCATGTGTTATATTTGCCTTACTCAGAACTGGGCCACACCCCATAACTGGGAGTGTATAATACCCCTGAGTGGGAAGAGCATTTAACTAGAGTCTTGTTATCAAATATTTTTCAACTTTCTTTGGTGTTTGGGAAGCCTTGGGCTATTTGATTGACTTGTGTATTTATTAGTGACTCTTCGTAAGAATAGCTACCAATTGTATCAATAGAAAGCTATAAGGATCCTTAGAGAATTTTCTGAAGTTACATATGCCCATTTACCCACTGTCTTCCTGTCCACTAATACCAACATTCTGGCATGTCCTCCAGAAGGAATCTCCTAATCTCTGAGAGGTGGAAACATTTGGAAAACTTCCGTAAATAATTTTTATAACTATAAAAACCTTCTTCCCTTACTCCAAACAAATTGTGCACCACTGGTGGTAATGGTGATTTTTTTTTATGGCTTTGTTCAATTGCTTACATATATATGTAGAGTTGCCTTTTTTATATTAAATTGTAGAATCCACAGAAAAAACATTTATGAAATTTATGTGCAGAAAGACTGCAAATATTGGAAGATTTTATGACCCACTATACATGATAATGACAGTTCTTATTCTTTCTTTTTAGGGAAAAAATGTTGTTTTCCTTTTTCTTTTTTTTATTTCTTAGTCTCCATAAAGAGATACAAGCTTACCATGTTTGCACTGGGATTTTTTTGTCTTCATTTATGCATTTATTTAATCATTCAGAAATGTGTGGTTGAATAACAATTTTTATAATCCTAAAGACCATAAAAATCAGAAGTGAAGATAAAAGGTAATTATTTACCCCCACCTCCAATCCAGTTAAAGAGCTTTTCCTAAGAGTATATTATCTATTATACAAGGTCACTTCCTCAAGTATCTTTAAGTTTTCTGGCCTTTTTTATTTTTGACAGGAGGATGAGTTAGGATAATCTACCTAACATGAAAAATAATTTAAGAGCAAACAAGGGATTCAGAACAAGATTGGGTAATATATTTTTAATGGAGGAACACACTAGTGCACATAAAAATTAGGGAGGATTATATGTAAGTAACAAGAGTAAGAAGCAGCATTTGATTTTAATTTTGAAGGACAAGAGCAAAAACATTTAAAAAGCTAATCTAATTTTCTACCTTAAAATAAGAATTATACAACAATTTTTTTTTTTTTTTTTGAGATAGAGTGTTGCTCTGTCACACAGGCTGGAATGCAATGGCATGATCTCGGTTCACCACAACCTCCACCTTCTGGGTTCAAGTGATTGTCCTGCCTCAGCCGCCCAAGTAGCTGAGATTACAGGCACAGGCCACCACATCCGGCTAATTTTTTCATTTTTAGTAGAGACGGGGTTTCACCACGTTGTTGAGTTCCTTACCTCCGGTGATCCCCTCGCGTCGGCCTCTCAAAGTGCTGGAATTACAGCTGTGAGCCACCATGCCTGCCCATTCTTTTTAATAAATAAAAATTCCATGTAGTTTAAAGAGCGATAAAGGAGGGCTGGGTGCGGTGGCTCACGCCTGTAATCCCCGCACTTTGGGAGGCCGGGGTGGGCAGATCATGAGGTCAAGAGTTCAAGACCAGCCTGACCAACATGGTGAAACCCTGTCTCGACTAAAAATACAAGAATTCCCCGGGTGCATGCATGTGCCTGTAATCCCAGCTACTTGGGAGGCTGAGGCAAGAGAATTGCTTGAACCCCGGAGGTGGAGGTTGCAGTGAGCTGAGATTGCACTCCAGCCTGGGCGACAGAGTGAGACTTTGTCTCAGAAAAAAAAAAAAAGAGAGAGAGAGAGAGATAAAGGAATGAAGCAACTAAGAGACTAAAGAAAAACCAAACTAATAATATCAGAAGCTGATTAGATTAGTGAAAGGAATACTAGACATTAAAATAAGAAGACATTGAAATCAAGAGGAAATGATATGGAGAGAATAGGAGAGAGGGAGAGCTTGAAGGCAAAGAAAGAAGGAACAAGAGAGCAACCATCTCTAGCCAGTTCTGCTTCTGATTTTCACATCTCCTCTGGAGGAGCTCTTTTCCTCCAACCCCTCATCTTACTCTCAGTCCTGCCACTGTTTCCCACCAATTTTCTTTACTAACTTAAATTCTATCAAAACAAACTCAGTCTAAATCTCTAGGCTGCCCATCTGTATTTCAGCCAGCAACTTTTAGGATCTAAATTAGTAATGATTTTGTCTCCTCTAAAAGCTTGAACACCGCAGTAACTGGGTTAGTTTAAGGCTTTGGTTGTACTAGATTATCCAAAATAAAGAGTGTATTGTCATTAAATCAACAAAGGCTTCTTTGAAGTCTGTGAGAGAATTTGATGGGAAACCACAATTCTTGATTATTAGGAAGAATCCTATACAATAAAACTTCTCTTAAAATCTATTATATGCTCACTTTGTTCTAGTTACAGAACATTTCTCTTTTCCTTACCACTTAGTTCTTCTAGGCTTATAACTTCCTGGAAAACCCATGTGAGAAATTCCAAAGTGCTATGTTTATAAGAGCTGTGTTCACAGGAGCTCTGGATAGTTGTTTAAATGTATTTGGATTTGAATGTTCACACCTGTGAATAAGCTCAAGCCAAAAAAACAACTATGAGAATCCAGAAACAAGGAAAAGCAGTTAAAAAAAACTGGAGCCTTCCATTTTTATTGAAAATAAGATTTTGAAATTGGGGATTGGGATCAAAGATGAACCATCATTTTAGAGTTTCTTTTGAATGTAGACCTGTGTATAGATCCATTCTAAAACCTGCAAATCATTTTGAAACTTTATGTAGATATAGCCCATGTCGTAGTAATTGAATACAATTCAGATGAATACTCAAAGACAAAAACACGGCTACTGAAAACAATCCAGTCTAATATTCTTTCTTTATTAAAGGTCAAGTGCTTAAAAAATTAATGTACTATACAGCTTCACTTAAATAGGACTAAATAAAGGACAGATTATAATCTAGATTGTACATGTGTAATGTTTGATGATTCATGTATTTAATTAAATCAGTTAATTAACTTTATCCATATGCACACATATAGATGTACATATATAGCTTTTGAGCTCATATTTTGAAACACTACCTTGGGACTACAAATTAGAGATTACTATGCAGAATTCTGTTTGAATATTTAGAAAAAAACAAAATAGCTTCTATTAAGAACACTATAATTTAAATATTAACTTTTAATGTTTTATTTTTAAAAGTTGTATTGAAATGATTATTTAGTGGTAATAACAGAGATGGAGACATGTAAATCAGTTATATTTTCAAAACAGAATTGTAAGATTTGTGATGTATTTTATCTGGGTATAGTTGATGCAGCGGGGATATAAAAATGATGTATTAGGTTCTGGCTTGAACATTTGGGTGGATGGTGGTTCCATTTAATTAGGTGGGAAAAACTAGGGAGAATAGTTCAATACTTGGAAATATGGAGAATTACTTAAATGGAAACTAAAAAACACACTAGTTCAGAAAGAACACACTATACAGAAAGTTAATTTCTGTATGGTGACATTAGTGATCTGGCTACCTATCACTTGTCATGTACTTTACTGAACATTTTATATACATTATCTTTTTCAACTATGTCAACAATCCCATAGCTTGATAATGTTCTTTATATAAAAGAAGGCATCAAAGCTTGGAGAAGTAAAATAATCTGCCTAAGACTAGTAAATAGTGGAGCAGAATTCACATTAAAATTTGGTGGACATCAAAACTTACCTTCTTAGTGATTAAGCTATTTCAAATATCATAGTAAAAAAAGATAACATGCTACTCATCTATATTAGTTTAGCTTACAGATCAGGAAGATAAACATAGTTACCCATTTATGGAGAAGGGAAAAAATTATTTTTTGACAAAGAAGGATTTTCATGGTAATTCTGGGTAGGGAGAGACCACTAATACCTATCTTGAGCTTAAAGAAAACTTGATTGATGCCAGTTACAAATCCTGTGTCACAACCAGCGAAAAAATAGAACAAAAAGTCGAAGGATTCTCTTATCTACCCTTGATTAGACCAACAATCATAGTTATGCTTTAATATTGCTCACCAGAAATTAATTTTAATATGTCGGTTAATAAGTTATGTCACTTAATTCTTAAATTAGTATTTGAGTGTGATCTGAAGAATTCTTCAGAAAATAATTATTTCGGAATTCACTGGAGTACAATCATGAATCCAGATTGGCAAATCTCTGGCTAACAGATCTGACATTCAGCTCTTTGCTAAAACACATTTGCTGAAACTAATAAAGCAACATTGATTATTGAGAAGCAACTGGGTCTGGTGAGGTAATAGTACTTAATTTGCCATCTGCATCTATTAATTGTTGGCTGTGAGACTTTGACAATTAACTTACAATTTTTCAGCCTCTGCTTTTTTGTTTGTAAAACAAGGATGATAATTCTGTCTTGCAATACCTGCGAGGATTAAAGAGAGTGTGTGTACAGCAAATGGTAATATAATTATAATTAATTGTTATTATTAGAACAAAGATCACAATGACAACAATAATGGTAATAATTATTATTATATCTCAGCAAAAATGTGCCTAGGAGAAGGGACTCTGGAATCAGAGAATTTTTTATTCACAACTCATTTTGACCCCTAAATCATCTATAAAATGATGATATTATCCCATCTTCACAGGATTATTGTAAAGATTATGTAAATTAATCAATAATTAAGTTATTAGAGTCATGTCTGGCATTTAGAAAGTGCTCAATAAATGTTGCTGTTGGTATTTTTATTGTTATGTTAGAAGTAAATGTAACAATTTTATCAATAATAAATCTTAATAGAAAATAGCCATAGAAAAATTACTGTTAATGATAAATGGTAAATTTCTTTCTTTTCTTTTTCTTTTTTTTTTTTTTTTGAGACAGATTCTCTCTCTGTCGCCCAGGCTGGAGTGCAATGAGTGCAATGGTGTGGTCTCGTCTCACTGAAACCTCTGCCTCCTGGGTTCCAGAGATTCTCCTGCCTCAGCTTCCCAAGTAGCTGGGATTACAGGTGCGTGCCACCACACCTGGCTAATTTTTGTATTTTTAGTAGAGACGGGATTTCACCATGTTGGCCAGGCTAGTCTTGAACTCCTGACCTCAGGTGATCTGCCCACCTCGGCCTCCCAAAGTGTTGGGATTACAGGCATGAGCCACCACGCCCAGCAATACATGGTAAATTTCTTTAAGAAAAATCTTAGAATTACCTCTTAAACACACCTCACTAGTCTTGGTGAATCTGCCTCAATTTCCATGACAGTGACTAATCTTTTCCATGACAGTGACAAATCTTATTTTGATGTTTTTCAGTTTCCACATTTGCTTTTGTCTTTAATTAAATTATGTAAAGGAATACACATAAAAGTGCTTTTAATGCACTAAAGAACAAAATAATTTAAAAGTATCATTAAAAGAATGTTAAAAATTATAATGAAACATTCTATAATCTATTTATCTATATCGATTTATCTATCTGTCTAACTGCCTATCTTTTTTTAAATGTTGAAAAGAACTTTCATGTAGCATATTATTCTGTACTTAAAATAATGATGTAAAAGGAATAGGTGATAAGGCCGGGCACCCTGTCTCTACTAAAAATACAAAAATTAGCCAAGAGTGGTGGAGCATGCCTGTAATCCCAGCTACTTGGGAAGGTGAGACAGGAGAATCACTTGAACCCGGGAGGCACAGGTTTCAGTGAGCTGAGATAGCACCATTGTACTCCAGCCTGGGTGACAAGAGTGAGACTCCATCTCAAAAATAAAAAATAAAATAGGTGATAATTATTACCCCCATCTAATGACAAAAAGAGACTAATTAAAATTTTCAGGCTTAGAAAACTCACTGAATGGCAGAATGTTGTTTGCAGATCCGCATTTCTAACATGCTTTTCCTCAGAGTGAATCTGCTTTAATTCATATTTTGCATCTGCCTTGAGCCTTCCATCCTACCTACTCATTCCATTTATTTAATTTTTTCATTCATTTATTCATTCTGTTCATTCAACAAATATGCATTATAGCCATCTGGTATACCCAAACCATCATAGATATGGAAAAACTTATCAAGAACAACAGAATAGGAATCAGAAGACCTTGGTACAATTCTTGGCTCTATTGTTAACTGTCTGCCTGATCTGAATCTTCCCCATATGGATGGATAGTCAAGCAGGATCTTAAATCAAACCTAGCAATCATGCCATCTCCTTCTTTGTGAAACTTCCCAAGAACTTCCTATATAAACAATTATTCTGTGTTTCTATCTCCTATCTCATATACAACCTGCTTCATGCTGCATTGCGCAATAGTACTTGCCCTGCGTGAGCTGGATTTTCACAACAGCAGATTAGGAAAGTGGGAGGAGAATAGGCAGGAGGAAGGAAAGGCAAACCAGACAGGAGAATAATATGAGTAATATGTGGAATTGGGACCCTATGAGTCAAGATTTTTTTAAAAATTGCAACAGAAGCCCTACTCAAACTGGCCAAATAGCATCTTTGTGTTAGTCAAGTTCTTGTGGTTGCAAAAAGCAGACTTACTCAAGTGTTCTCAAGTAATATAAAGATTACTTTAGGAATATAGGTGGTGTGGTAGGCACAATAAGACCCCTAAGGAAGTCCTGTTCCTAAACATCAAAAACTGCAAATATGTAATGTTGCATGAAAAAGGGGAAGTAAGGTTGCCCCTTTATTAAAGAGAATTAAATGGAATTATGGTTGCTAATCAGCTGAATTAGAGATGGCGAGATTGTTCTGAGTTGTCTGCATAGACCCCCCCATTATCACAAGGGTCCTGACAAGTGAGAGAGGGAGAAGAGTCACTGTCTTGGTCAGAAGGAGATTTGAAGATGCTCCACCACTATCTTGAAAGAAATGCAAAAGGCCATGAGCCAAGAAATGCGAGCTGTCTCTGGAAACTGCAAAAGCCAAGGAAATGAATTATTTCCTAGAGGCTGCAGTTGGAACACACTCTGCCAACACCTTAATTTTAGCCCACTGAGGCCTATTTTTGACTTCTGATCTCCAGAACTGTACGATAATAAATTTGTGTTGATGTAAGCCACTAAGTTTATGACAGTTTATAGTAGCAATAGGAAATCAATATAGGTAATAGTAAGACTGCAAGCATCTAAGCCATACATCCAGGCATGATAGAAACTCAAGAACAATGGGATGGCCCAGCCTCAAGAAGACCAGTCTCCCTGGGTTTTGAATGTAGAACAGTTTCTTCAGTGACTAAAAAGTCCTTTGAGATCCAGCTCTAGGTATTGGTTTATCTGTTGCCTTTGGTATAGAAGAATTTTGTAGATAACCTTGTTCCTTATCAATAATATGAGTTTGTCTTTCTGTGTTGGTGCCTTTCTCTCAATGTCTTTCCAAATCTAATCCCAGTGCCAGCCAGCCACCTCACCCTTTCCTCTGCTTACTCATTGATTGTGCTGGCTACAGGCCTTTGCTGCTTGCTTTTGTCAGTCTTTTAATTTGTACTCTTCTCTACCAATAGCTCTCACTCTCTCTCTCTCTCTCTTATTATGACTACCACCACGTGAGGGACTCTCATTAATTCACTTAATCAATATTGGTCATAGAGGGCAGAGCACCGGTATCAGGCAACCTCAGCAGATGCCAGCCAGTTGCTTTATTGGCTGCTCTTGGATCAGACACCTACCAGTGGTGCAATCATCTTGGCAGATGGAGAAGTGCTGCAAGTTACAAAACGTGGCCACTGAGGGAGCTTACCCAACAGGGACTCTGTGTGTGTGTGTGCACGCACATGCACATGTTTGATGCTTGACACTTAGAACAAAGTAGACACTCTTCTTTTTATTATACTGATTAAAAATATGGGTTTTGGAATGGAACACCCTGGATTCATATCTTGGCTCAGCTACCTACCAACTGTAAGACTTCAAGCAAGTTGCTTAACTACTCTTAAGTTCATATTTTCTCATTTATAGAATGGAAATAGCTTTAGTAATGACTCATAATTGTTGTGAGGATTAAGTGAAATAATCCAATTAAGGTGATGCACATATAATTGATTCTCAATAAATGCCAGATGCTATTGTTATTTTTATGGCGTATGTTATTTTTTCTTGTGAGGATTAAATGAAACAGTTTATATTCTTTACTGCTACATGTGACAGTCTTGTCTCCTGAGTAAATCATATAATTCTTGGAGGCAGGGGATGTTATTTTATATTGCTTTGAAATCACTCAAAGTAACTCATGCAGTTTGTTATATAGATGTTGCCCAATTTATTCCCTCATTCAGTCAATATTTATTGAGCATCTATTATGTTCCAGAATCTATAAGTAGACACAGAGGTGTGAACATTAATAAGATATCAGATCTGTCCTCAACGGACTCCTCAATGTTCACTGTGTTAGGGAAAAAAAAGAAAAGAAGGGATTGTGGAGATACATGAGAGGTAGACTCAACTAACCCACTTGAACTTTGCAATAGAAGAAAAGGAAGCCACAGAGATGTTATGACCTTACAGATCATCAAATTCAACTCCGTATTTTTATAGATGATGAAACTGAGTTTACATACACCTGAATCTTTCCTTTAGGATCAGTGTGGACTCTTTTGCCACAGCCCATCCAGGAGTATGTGAGGACCTTGGATTCGTTTAGAAACAGATGAGCTCTCCCTGTAAGAATCTGTCAGAGCCCAATGCATGGTATATTATTAAAAATCTACTTGCCAGAGAGTGTTTGTCCAGCATGGGCCATCTTGCCATTAGCTGGAATTATGAACACTAGGCCAGCATCCAATGCTTCAAAAGCTCTGAGATGTGGTTTGACATCTCAGTGTCTTTTCTGTTAGAAGAAGATGCTATAAATGAGAAACTTTTCCCAAGTCTGACTAAAAAAGCCAATACATAATCATGGTGACTTTCTTCAGTCTAGCCCATGGGTATTATAGCACAATCATTATTTACCCAGAGCCAAAGTATTTACCTACTATGCTCTCAAAGAGACCATAATAGTCTAATAATCTTTTGGTTAGTTGTGTAGCTGAAGGCTTTATTCACTTCTTTAAAATGTGTTTTTTTGTTTTGTTTGTTTTTGTTTTTCACCAGGCTGGAGTGCAGTGGCGAGATTTCAGCTCGCTACAACCTCTGCCTCTTGGGTTCAAACGATTCTCCTGCCTCAGCCTCCTGAGTAGTTGGGACTACAGGTGCGCACCACCACACCCAGCTAATTTTTGTATTTTTAGTAGAGACAGGGTTTCACCTTGTTGGCCAGGATGGTCTTCATCTCTTGACCTTGTGGTCTGCCTGCCTCAGCCTCCCAAAGTGCTGGGATTACAGGCGTGAGCCACTGCGCCCAACCTAAAATGTGTTTTTCAAATCAGAGTGCTAATATGATTATCATACTAAGGAATGTTTTATATTACCTGTTCATTCAATTTGTATGGATAATATAACTTTCATCAAAACCTTAACATTTATTTGCAGATGGTATTAAGATGTTATGTAGCATACCTCTCACAACCTTGCATTGACAACACTATAACATAATTCCTTATATGCTAATATCATCTGAGATATTAGGAACTCTTTGACAGGAGAATCCCTCTTTCTCTCTGTCTCTCCCTCTCTTATTTGTATGTGTATATATACACACAATTAGAGATTTAATATCTTTATCTCTCCAGTCCCTAATGGTATCTAGCACCTAGCAGTAGGGTCCCAATAAATGCTTGTTGAATTGTACAGAATATGTTAGCTTTAATTAATCACTAATTCAACAAACATCTGTTATGCACCTATTATGCCTGGCACTGGTCTATGTGTTGAGGATACACTGAATGGTAAAAAATAACTAATCACTGTCTTCACGGAACTTAAGCCTAGCAACTTATTTTTAATAAAGCCCTAATAATGCCATTTTACAAACAATTCTTAGTTATATGACTACCTTTGAGGGTCAAAAAAGCCATGAATTCAGAAATTTTCTATTCGCACAGTGTTTCCAATCAAACCGAGTTAATAACAGTTATTTCAAAGGTGGCTTCCAAATCTTGAAATGTTAGTTGTAGAATTTAGAGCTCCATGTCTACTATTTTTAATGGCTTTCTGCCAAAAGTAGCTTAGACTAATTGGGAAGGGATGTGTTCTTTTCTTGATAAGTGAATTACTCTCATGAATGATAATGGGAGTTATGTGTGAACATGAAGAAAAACTTGACCTTAATACTGTGGATTGCATAATAGCTTCACAAAGACTGCTTTTATGATTGATTGTCTCTTCGTAACTGGGTTCCATCTATCAATATGATTTGAGAATAGGATTGCTTTTTTATCCTGAATAAGACTCTCAAAACAAAGACCAGCTAATTATTTGAAAATTCCAAAACACACTTCAGGATAGTGTTACAGAGTGAAAACACATCCATTTGGATATCCCATAGGAGCTCCCATTCATTAATGTTTAAAACAGATGCTTCAGTGAGCAACATATTTAATTAAATCCAAACCTGTTGTTATTATCCCAGAAAATATTATTATTAACACAAGTGCCAAATGGAATTCACAGCAACTTCTGGTTTAAGTTTGGAAGATATTTTATTTCTAAAGGAAATAACTTAAAGTAGAAATGACCACAATTATCTAGATAGATACATTCTCTTCAACTCAAGGTCATGATAGTTGTGAGAGTTAGTTAATTGCTTGGCGTCATTGCTGCTTTGATAGAGTGACTGAGCAGCCCAGCTGGCTGGGCAGGCCACATACATCATTATAAAATGCTGGAATGTGCACATGAAGTAGCTATCTCTGCTTTTAAAATAGAAGAAATGAAGAGGAAAAAAAGTCTTCAAAGTTTATAAGATGGACTTATAAGATTGGCGGTGTCATTAATTGCATAATTGCTTTCTTATGTGGTTCTAATAAAAATTATTTGAAGCCTAGAAAAGTCTAGCAGTGAATTGTTTAATTTAATACACAGTTATAACAAAACAATTAGTATTTACTTTAAACTCTAAATGGTCAACAAAAAACCTCAAGTAATTATAGTCATAGTGCTTCATAATGAAATAAATGTGTAATTAGTGACAGATGGGACTTTTAAAATTTAAAACATAGAAAAAAATAATATCACCTGTTTGGGTTATTTTCTTTTTACATGAGTGAAATTAGAATTTTTGAAAATGAGGTACAAAGAGAATTTTAAAAATTAATTCTATCTAAATTAACATAATAATCTTTGTGTGTGCTTCATGAGTTCTACCAACGTTCTTTAAAATGTTTGGTTTTCAATCCCGAAGATTGGTCTGAGTCATGTCATACCAACTATTTCACACTGCTTTTAAGTGAACAACTTGAGGGCCCAGGTGTCTTAGATCTTATAAGCACCATTTTATTTGAGGCTGAGTTTTAACAATGGGATGAAATTTTAGGTTAAGTTAGCAGAACTTGTTTTGTACAGTAATTTCTGTATTCTTACCTATGACTTTTTTCTGTGCAGATTGAAGATGCATGTTTTTCTATGGCTTATCAAATTGCCTGAACCATGGCTAAAATAATCAGTAGAGTCTCATCTTGTCAGTCTATAAGAGGAGCACAGATTGCTATGATTCTTTTGATTATGTTTTGAGCCCATGCTGAATATGCACGTCTATACATGTTCCACTGGCACTCACTTGCAAGGCGCCGTGCGTTTTTATCATCTCATTTCTGATGTTAACTAGATTATGACCTGCTCTACTAAAGACATCCCATTCTTGTTCTCTCTATTCGTAACCCTCTTCTTGGCCATATAACTGCAGTGTGCCTCAGTGCTTGTCTTCCCATCCATATCAAGTTAGCTGTCAATGCAATGATCATAATTAAATAAGTTCCCTTTTTTGATGAGCTCTCTTTTGTAATTTTAGTCTTGTAAAGAAATGCATTGTGAGACTTTACCCAAAAACTATAATTGGAAATATAAACTTATACTGCTGAACCGTGAATTCCTAGAAGACATGACTCACATCTTCATTTTGTATCTTTAGAGATTCAGGCGCAGTGGTAAATTAGTAGGTGCTTAGTAAATGTTTGTGGAATTATATGTTGGTCTATGCCATGGATCATAGAGTAGGGAGTGGAGTGGCCTCATACTTTAAGTGAAAAACATAAATGTATGGGAAATTTCAGGTATTTAAAAGGATCTAAGTAATCAAATAACAACATTTCTTTCCCAGTTGAGTTTGGAATCAATTAGTAGAAATATATGGGGATCAGCTGGATTTCAAAATATCAGTTTTATTATTAAGAAACACTATGAAAATGTTATTTGTGTGGTTAAGTGGATTTGCTAACACTCTATTGTAGAAAACATAACACTCCAAGTTACCATCACCTTCTACTGGGATAGGCTTCTTCCTGCATAAGATCGGCAGGCCAGAAGTTTCCTTCTCTGCAGATGGCTGGATCTGGAAAGACCCACAATGAGCAATGCCATGTGAGTCCAGCCTGTCTTATCAATCTCACTTAACAGATAAATGAATTAATGTTCCTTCACTGGAGAATAAGGATATGGAGAAAGATCAGAAGTAATGTGTAAAAGAAGTTTCTCAATTTAAAATCCCGAGTAATGAGAGATAAGAATTTCCTTCAATGTTCTCTCACTTTTTGTTGTTGTTTTTGCCCATAAACAGGGGTGTGGCTTTCCTATCAAGGTCCTTAACCCATCAAGATTCAGCAGTCAGAAAAGTAGCAATGTAATTGTTATTTTTATTATGAACCAAAGCTAGCCTGCAGAAGGTGACTTAGGTTTGTGGTCTGCTAACATCCTCCTAAATTAAATGTTCTCCACAACTGCAAACTCTCCCACAGAGGGAGTGCCTTACCATCTGGCAGCAGATCAGGATGCAACCTTTCCTAAGTCAGATGAGAATTCGGAAGATTCTGATACTGACACTTTCAAGAGTCAGAATTCGGCAGAGATTAATGAATCACTCCTCCTCTCTTAGCAATAAGTGAGAAAAGGAGTAGAAATTAGCCAGAAGTGTTATAGTGGTTACGTTCTACTGCAAGAGAACATGAGGAGTCAGATACAAGTGTTTTTAGCAGGAGCCAAAGAAAAGTTTTAATCATAATCAAAACTGGCTTACAGAAAGGTCACTCTGAAAAATGTATCTGGAACAGGCAGTATTGAAGGCCGAGAGAAGAACTAATGGGTAAATAGCAATTGAAATCTCAGGATTGGATGGGATGACCCAGAGAGTATGTAGAGAAAGAAGTGAATAAAACAGAAGACAGCAGAAGATGAATCCCCAAGAAATGCAAATATTTAGAGCATAGCTAGAGAAAGAAGAATCAAGGAGCCCATAGCTGGAGAAAGGGGAAGCTTTCTCAGCCTCCTTGGGCTTCTCAGAAGCCAAGAGTTTGAAGAAAAAAACAGAAGGGAATGCACAAAGGAAGGAGGGGCCAATAGTGCAAAACCTTCGATGGCCAAGTAAGATGATAAGGATTGCAAGTCTCCCTGGGGTTGAGTAACCATCGAGGGAATTAGGAACATCTGTAAGAATAGTGTCACTGGAATAATTGGACCAGAAGTCACATCGTCTTGTATATAGAAGTGTGTAGGGGTTGAGCAAGTAGAGCTTGTTTCTAGAAACTTGAGTATAAATGAAAAAGAAAATGTGATAATGAGATGGCAACCTCAAGCCCAACTGGCCACAGCCCTAGGCTACATTCTGTAACAGTTTAATCATTAATTGAAATGATTTTTGCGCTATGCCTGATTTCTGTATCTCTTTCAATTCGCTCTAACCTCTGGTAGGGTTGGGGCACTGGGGAGAATAGTGATATTAGTTATTAGGCACTTCCAAACTCAAACAAAGAAAGGATAAACTATGGATTGAAATAATTTATGTGTGGGAAGAAGTTGAGGAAGGAGAGAGTTTCAGCCCGAAGGCTTCTATCTTTTCTTTGAAGTAGGAGGTAAAGTCAGCTACTGATGGAGCTGGAGAGAAAGAGTAGGTAGGAGGCTAAAGGAAAGTGATAAAAATTCAAAAGAGATTCTGTGTGAAATGGTAATGGGAACTGACCAGGAACAAATAGAAGAATTTCTTGTCATTATAAAGTGCCTAATTAAAGTTTCATTTTTAAAAAAATCAGTTAATTTTCAGTGGAACCAATGTACATAAATTGGGAAATGACTCTAAATTCAGTCATCTTTCCAAGAAGAAAATAATTTCGCAATTGAGACTCTTGGCTTCTGAAAACCTATTTTTTTTTTCAGTTCTTTTACCATTTTGAACACTTAGTCAGCTTCTTCTCTAATCTTTAATATTGTTCTCTAGGGACTTATCATCAACCTTATTTTGTGCCTGTACACTCTCTTATTAGTAGATCTCATCCACTCCCATGGCCTTGGCCTAAATGCAAACGCCATCAAAACTTAAAAGTTGAATTCTGGCCACATTGATCAATTGCCACATAAGCTCTGAAACAACAATTTAAATGAAAACGCTACAATCCAGGACAGAAAAAAAAATAGTAATTAGCAATGGGTGCTGGGCATTCTAAAACCAAATAGAAAAGATTCACAGTTACATACTGGCATATGATCCACGTCACTGCTCCCCTAGTAATTGCTACGTTTGTCTAGATCTGCACTATCCAATGTGATAGGGACTAGCCACATGTGCCTACTGAGCACTTGAAATGTGGCTAATAGCCATATTGAGATGTGCTGTAAGTGTAAAGTGCCCACTGAATTCCAAACATTTTAAATTGAAAAATAGTTTTAAAATATTATTAGTAATTTTATACTGATTAAATGTTGAAATTATAGTATTTTAAACATACTATGTTAATGTACAATTAATTTTATCTATTCCTGTGTACGTTTGAAATGTAGCTACTAGAACAAAGAAAATTACATGTATTGCTCATTACACATTTCTAGAGTACAGTGCTGGGCTACATGTAGCTACTTATTCCATATTCCAGTTGAACCCATTTATGCATCCACAGTTGCAGTTAGCACATTTTACTGAAACTTTACTAAATACATAGACTGCTTTTTGGTAATCTAAGATCTGAACCCTCTTCTTAAATTACATGAATTTCTTGATAAATAGCTCTTAATTTGGGTCCTTCCTCCAAAGTAAGTCTAAACCCCAGATACTTTCTCAGCTTCCTCTAGTTAAGGAATCAGCACTTAATCTATGCTCCGCCAATGAGATGCACCTCCTCTGTATTTGGAACTGAGAGTTTGTGAAGCAAAGAAGCAGTGACCATGGGGTCTTTTTGCTGGTGTTAGAGAAGGCTGAGGATAAAAGCCAACACAGAGGAGGGAACAGCTGCATTGGTTTCCATTGTCCATAGCTGACTGTGGTGTAAGCTGAGGTGTCTGTTCTTCAGAAAAGCTGCAGCAGGGCTCACCGGACTCATTTTTCACTTGAGTTTTGTTCTGTTTCTGGATGTCAGTTTTTCTTCTTCCTGCTAGTTTTCTAAGCCTAGTCTTACAGATTTCTGTTACCTGCCCTAAATTTGTTTCATTAATCCCGCTTCTTGATTAATCCAGAATAGGCTTCTGTGCTCAGTAACTAAAAAAATATATTTGGCTTATTGTTTCCGTTATATTCTTGAATAAGAGTAAGACATAGCTAAAGAAAGAAGAAGGAAAGATGTTCGTGGTAGAAGACATGTTGCTGCGAGAGCACTCATTATAAGACAGAGGCGAGAAATGCCATGCTTTGTGTGAGAAACTACAGGAGACTGGAATTAGCAGTATAGCACGTAAAGCAACATGTACTGAAGTGCAGAAGCTGCCCGTCAAGGATAGAATCATAGAGGATGTTGCATGTCATGCTAGGAGGTTATTCTGCAGATGATGAAGAACCATTGGCATATGTTAGGCATAAAAGTGGCAAGATCAAATTTGCAGTAATCATAGATTGCCTCATCAGTTAGGATTGATTTGGTTACAGTCAAAGAAAACCTGATTAAAGAAGTTTAACCCTTAAGTGCACACATTGCACTCATAACAAGAAGTCTAAATGCAGTCGGTATAAGTTGGTACTGTGGTTCAATAATGCTGATAAAGTCCAGGGCCTTGGCATCCTTTCCCCCTTCACCTTCCTTTGTGTGCTGGCTCTTATCCTCAGGCTGATGGTTCATGCTCACAGATTGGTCACTCCATGCACCACACTTACCCCAAACATCTAAATTAGGAAGGCAGAAAAAGAGATAAACTACTATCCCCAAGCTACTGTGTGTTTTATCAGGGAGTAAAGCCATTCCCAAAACTTTGTAGTTGATGTCCACTTATGTTTCACTGGGGGGGCGGATCAGATCACCTAACCACTCCTAGCTGAAAAGGAGGCTGAGGAAATGAACATATGGCGAAAAATAAAAATAAAGCAGAACCACAAAACAAAAAAACACTATAAGAAAAAAATTGGCACACTCAACATGAGTAGTTTAAAGAGAATTTAACAAAGGAAATATTTATAATGATATGATTGCAGTTACATTATTCTGTAATCACTTGTACTCTTTAACCAAATAAATGTACAGTATTGGGCATTTGTGAACCAATTGCTTAGGTGAATTATCATATGGTCATCCAAGTCCTTACTATTCAAAGTGTCAACATTGTGGAGTGCTTGTTAAAATGTGAAATCTCAAGTGTCACTCCAAACCTTCTGAATTAGAATATGCATTCAAACAAGA
Source organism: Homo sapiens (assembly GCF_000001405.40). NCBI lineage: Eukaryota > Metazoa > Chordata > Mammalia > Primates > Hominidae > Homo > Homo sapiens. The sequence continues at coordinate 116,048,066 of NC_000008.11, read as the reverse complement.
CCCTCGTGTGATTCATAGAGCAATAAATTTAGAGAAGCACCGATCAACATCACACTGAGGGCATTAAACAAATGCAGAACTTCCTTGAGGACAGCTCCCTTCCAGATTTTAAGGAGAAGCTGTCTCTACTGTGCCCTTTGGAAGCAATTTAATATATTTTCTCTGAGCTTTCAGACCATCATTCACTTTTAAAAAAATAAGTTAACTGGCTTAATTTCCCCCAAGTTTCATCAGACCTTACCAGTCTGTATGAAAATATTCTCTCCTTTCTCCAATCTGGCAAATCCACTGGAGAAAACTGGGAACTGGCTTGTGGCCATTCTATGTGCAGAGCGCGCCACCATTTTCACTACAGAAAGCCCCATTGTCTAGAAATAATAGTGAGGTTTTGCCCACAGCAGAAATCTGCATTCAATCCCAGGAGTGGAATTTTGCTTAGAGCCAAATTCTCAAGTCTTCTTAATTTTGGTGAAGATATGTGTTTTTGCAAGTGCAAATTCATGAAATTAAAGCTGGACTTTTCCTAGCTTTCCTCTATCCAGTGTTTTATGACAGGAAGGACTTTTGAGTACTTTTTCAAAATATCAAGTGCCAGCAAAGCTACGCCAGGTTTGCTGTTATTCTCACCACCTAAGTCTTTGTGAAAGGTTGGCTGGGAAACAGAAGGATATCACTGTGAATTTTGACAATCGTCCAGTGTTTTCCAGTCAGGTGCAGTCAGTGGTCCAAAGGAACATTTCCCTGGAGAGAGCCCTGTACCTGAATCCCACAGGCCAGTGGGATCCCTCTACTCTCTGGTCCTCTTAGTAATATTCTCCTAGCTTCTGCCTTGTATCAATTATACATATGACCCTCAAGATAAATAAAAGAGACCAGGGAACTGTGAAGACTGCCAAAGCATCTGATTTTTTTTATTCTATTAAAGATGTGAAAAGTGGCTTCACTGAATAAAACACAAGTTAAAATGACTGCAAATACACTCAGTGGTATGGACTACCATTTCATTATTACAAGCAACAATTCAATTGAAAAGGTTACTTTGACTATTGTTTTAGTTGGAATGATATTTGTTTTCACATTCCCAGTTGCTAAATGCAGACAGTCAGAATTTCTAACAATAGTCACAGTATGTGGCTATTACAGCAGTGTTCTTGCCTGAAGTAGGTGGTGTCAAAATAGTTGCAATCCCAAAGGTAATTATCCTCTTCTATCTTACTCACTGTGTTTAATGCTCTGATGCAATTTATGCAGTCAAGATATAATGTATTTCACTACACTGCTATTTAAGCTGGAAATATGTTTTAAAACTTTATATCATTGGACAGGCAATGAGTTTTTAGTACAGAAATGAGAAATGACATTTTTGTTTGTTTTGAAAATGTTTAGTTTGTCCATTAGTTTATGGCAAATTTCTGCTACATCAAAGATATTTTAGGAATTTTTAAGTGAAAGTCAACTGAAGCTGAACAAGCATTTTTATTGTGTAGTTATTAGGAAAATGCCCTTATCAGGATAAATTTAAAAAATGAGTTAAATGAATCAAATGAATAAAGTAATTATCCTGAAATTAAGAAGCCATGTCTGCATAGTATAAGAATTTCAATACATCGATTTTGTATATCTAGTATTCATTTCCATTGCTATTCTTTTTCCTGATTACTTCAAAATAAATTTCTTTAAGCCACTGACGGTGAGGAAAATATCTTAATCTGGTTTCTGAGCAGCCACTGCCCCATATTCCCAAATTCTAGACCTACTTTGAGGTTCTTGGCTTTCTCCTAAATCTCATCTGGAGAAGCCACATGTTTCCTGTGTGTATCCTCATACCATGTCTTTGCTATTGTGAATAGTGCTACAGTGAACGTGCGAGTGCATGTGTCTTTTTGGTAGAACAGTTTGTTTTCTTTTGGATGTATACCCAGTAATGGGTTTGCTGGGTCAAATGGTTGTTCTAAGTTCTTTGAGAAATCTCCAAATTTATGCTGTCCACAGTGACTGAACTAAATTGCATTCCCACCAACAGTATATAAGGATTCCCTTTTCTCCACAGCCTTGCCAGCATCTGTTGTTTTTTGACATTTTATTAATAGCCATTCTGACTGGGATGAGATGGTATCTCATTGTGGTTTTGACTTGCATTTCCCTGATGAACAGTGATGTGGAGCATTTTTTCATATGTTTGTTCGCTATGTGTATTTCTTCTTTTGAGAAGTGTCTGTTTACCCATGTCTTTTACCCAATTCTTGATGCGGCTTTTCGCTTTTTGCTCATTCAATTGTTTAAGCCGCTTACAGACATGGAGTCAATGTAGGTGCCCATCAATAGTGGATTGAATAAAGAAAATATGGTCCATATACACCATGTAACACTGAGCAACCATAAAAAAAATGAAATCATGTCCTTTGCAACAACATAGTTATAGCTGGAGGCCATTATCCTAAGTAAATTAAAGCAAGAACAGAAAACAAAACACAGTTTGTTCTCACTTATAAGTAGGAGCTGAACACTGGTACTTATGGACATAAAGACAACAATAATAAATAGTGGGTACTACTAGAGTTGGGAGGGTGGAAGGGGGACAAGGGCTGGGAAACTAACTATTGCCTGTGCTCAGTTCCTGGGTGATGGGATTATTCATGCCCCAAATCTCAGCATCGTGCAATACACTCAGGTAACAAACCTGCACATGTACCCCTTGAATTTAAAAATATAATAACATTTGAAAAAAGAAGAAAATATCTACTTAGTTAGTATTTCTGTGTATGAATAAAGAAAATGCTATCAAGAAAGGGTTATCTACGTTATATCCAGAAAAGAAGAATGATAAGATTTTAGTGGTAGACTTTCTGCACTGTCCAGAGAAGGGCATATTGGCTAAGTATTTGATCTACAATATTTGGCATTCCAAATTGTCTGTCAGTCTCATGTATTTAGTTATCATGAAACAGTCTCTGACTCCAGTCAATTCTGGATGGAATGACCACAACCACATATGATCTAGGATGCATTTGATGTACTGCAAAAAGTAGATTGTTACAATCAGATATGTCTGATTTTTGTCACCTTTGTTATTTATCAGTTGGAAACCTGGGCACAATTACTTAATCTGACCAAGCGCTTCAGACCTTGAACTACATGTGCACTATATATATATATAGTTTATATATATATATAAACTACATGTGCACTATATATATAGTTTATATATATATATATATATATATATATATATATATATATATATATATATAAAAATATCAGTTCTCATTGTCTTTTTGCCTTGTCTTTAGTGGAAATGAATACACAGGATTATCATAACCTTTGGTGATAACTAAGAAAATAATCTTGCCAATTTTTTGATGACTGTCCTCTGTTTTCATATAGCAAGCAAAACATACATCTACTGGTGTATCTACCTTACTATGTTGAAAGTGTAGAAGTCATTAGTCATTATTGATGGTTGCACAGAATCAAACTTCTTTCTTATGCTTAAGAAATGTATATATCTTGAGGAAACCAGTATCTACTGTACTATAGAGAGGGAAAGTGACATGTATTAGCTTACCCAAGCTTTCATGAAGGTAGTGTGCAGGCATGCTACCTAGGCTCAAGCAATTGGTTGTACCAGCCCAAGAATTGCAGGACTACCAGGAACTCTCTCGGCATTGTTGTTAAAAACATTTCAAACACCTGGGGTCACAATGGCAGAGAAATGGTGGCAGAGGGACAGCAGCAGTGTACTGTGCTAGTGGGTCTAGAAAAGGGAATGGTAATAGTTACTGTTGGGGATGGTGGTAGTGGTGTCCTCGCCAGACTGGTTGTTGTATGTGATTTTGGGCATTCTTTCTTCTTATATGGCCTTAATGTTGCTTTCTAACAATTTCTTGAGGAACCCATTATTGTTTTAGTAAACTTCTATTTTGCATGAAAGAAAAAGAGTCGTAGTTGGTTTCAGTCACTTGCACCTAAGAGCTCTGGTTGATATAAAATAACATGTTTATGTTTTGGTCCCCTACTTAATTGCTCTTCCTGAGTATAGAGTCTTGTCTTATTCATCTGTGTATATCTGATGTTTGTCAATATCTAGAATAAAAAGGGAGTCAGAATTGGAACCGAACTGAACTTCACTTGCTCCTTTCCCATGCTAATTAAGCAGCCTTCTAGTATAATTTAACGTTTCCTGCAGATTTGCTTCCAGAAGGGAGCAATGTATTGAGCAGCTGACATAACTACTAAGCAAACCTGAATACTCATACTTCTCCTCCTTAACAATTCAGTGACATTCTGGTCAGTATCCGATAACTGCGCTTAGCATGAATCAGTTCCCAGAAATCTATTTCTTTAGAATGACACTAACAAAATCTCATTTCCAGGGCTACAAAACTGAGGTCAGCCTTAGTCTATGAAACTACCACCCTGTTAGGTATCACTTAAGTGGCCAATCAACGTATTTTAATAAGATTTCCAAATTAGGAAATCTCTAACTTGAGCAATACCATCTGTATCTGTTACATTTCTCATTATTTTTCACCCATTTTCCCATAAATATTTTCCTTTTCACTTTTACCACTCTTTGGCAGAAATAAAGCTGGGTAGTTGGAAAGATAAAGACATATTTATCCTTCAATTGCATAACAAAATGCTGCACTATTGCAAACACTTGAACTGTCCCATTACTGTGATTGTAGCAGGAATTGGCTGCCAGCAGAATTTTAAAGAGAGGGGCAAAACATAGTAAGGCAGTTATTGACCCTACTCCAAAGTACTGCATTTAAAAATAATGAATTGATGTAAGTTTCCCTCTGCATGTGGGTGTGTTAATCACAGAGGAAAGAAGAATTGATTATTTGAAATTACTCTTTGGGGCTAAAACTTATTTTAAAATTCTGAGTGGGACTTGCAACTTTTTGTTTAGAATCATCAAAGAGTTTTGAATATTCATTAAAAGTTATACAAATATTTAAGGTCACCAAACATTTTTTATCCACATTTAAACTGCCTATATTTCATGAACAATTCATGATATGTGAAGCACTTTACAGTTTGCAAAGAGCTTTCATATGAATTTGCTCATGTGGGTTTCATAACAGTCCCATGTAATAACTAAATGTATTAGGCAGGCCGTACATGTACTAAAATGTTATAACTTTTTCCCTGAACCTTTTGTTCTCTTGGTGACCCAGGAGTCATGATAACATCCATTCACACCTTCCTATTTTCTCTATCCATTTGAAAATATTCTTGAGGTTTCTAAGTAGAAGTTGGTTCTTTGGTTTTATGCACATGTACTGAGCATGTTCAAGAAGTCTCTCCATCTTGGAGGAAGAGTTGAAATTATTTTCCACTTCTACTAAAATGTGTGGCTATCGCTAAACTTTACTAGAGTCAAGAGATTTGGTTTCTGTGGTTTTCTCTTTAATGCTATCTTTCTCATATGGTCCTGAGCAGATAGCAGTTAACATGAGCAGTTAACAATAGCGAGTATGTCAGACTTCTTAAACCACAAAGGAAAATTGCCTGTAGGTTAATAAAGAATGGAAGATTTCTGTATTTTATTGTCAGGCGAGAAACTGAGAAACCAGTAATTGCTGAGCAAGAATTAAGTAAGTTGGCAGAAAATGTGATGTAATGCCTTCAACAGGTGCAGTTGCATAAATGATGGTCCATTTTAATGGATCTGACCTTTGGTTATAAAATTTAGACATTTCAGTTATAAAATTATATAATTACCTTCTTAGAATATAGAGATGGGAGATAATAAATAATATGTCTTATAATTTGACATTGTGATAGGTGCTTTACACCTTTTACTAAAATTATTCCTCATTCCAACAATAGTAAATATGAGATGAAGAAACTGAAATGTTTAGCCACATACCAAATGCTATACAATTAGTGGCCATATTGTAAGAAGGAATCAGTGGTGTTTAAAATGATACTTGCTTAAATGGTGTTCCTGGTTAGGGGAAACTACTTCATCCAACCAACGTCCATTATTTTAATTGAATAAATGCAAATAATTGTGATATTTATGTCAACATATCTGTAACATAGCCTACTAAAGTGCTATATCAAGGGGCTAGTAGACAGAAGCCTGGAAATTAGCCTCTTCTGTCATTATCTTGAGCAAAAACTGTAATTTCTGTTCTGGCCTTTTCTTTGGTGAAACAGAAATCTTTTCCTTAAAAGTATGGTTATTAATGAAAAAAATTCAGTCTCTGGCAAGGATGTTAACTGAGAAAAGGGAATCAGATTTACTATTATTTGACTTTGGAAGATCTTGGGACATGTAATGATAAACCAACTAACCTGCTTTTAAACTAAATTTCAGTCATTACAGCTTTGAAGATTCAAGCCTTATATAACACTGATGAAAATAAAGTAAGGCTAGTGGATGTATCAAACATTCCAAAGAAATTCAGTAGAGAATGAAACTCAATTGAACATATAATAGAACAAAATTGAAGATCTGATATTGAAATATCAAATAATTAATACTTTAAGGAAAACTTCAAAGGCATAGCCCACTTGAGGATAACAAAAAATAAATGTAACCTTGTTATGACTGTTCCTGAGACTGTATACATGTATTGTACATTGGTTATCGCCAATAGCGAAATTCAAAGATTACGTTTGTCAATAAGATTCTATTCATATCCAATAGTATATAACATAATAATTTATCAAATTAAAGTCCATTGTCTTTAATAAAGATATCTAGCTAACATATTAATAAGCCTATATGTTTTCTATAAAACATGTCTTGTGCAAGTAAACAATATTTCGTGATGTAAATAACTTAAATGAAGATGGAACAATACTAACATCACTAGCATTAAAATATGCTTGTAAATTTGACTTAATGATTAACTTTGTGCAGCCAGAGAGGAATCTATTTACCTGTCCGATTTTGATTGTAGAAACAGAAGGATTAGAATGAGGGAATGCCTGTGGGGAGAAAATTGGGGAGGACTGTAAGGTGCTCTCAAATATTGACCTTCTGGTGGTGTATGACTTCAGCTCTAGCCTTAACTTATGGAAAGAGAAAAGCTGTTTCCATGACGGTCGCCATAAAACACTGTAGTAAATAATAATGCCACTCTGGTGCCCAACAGGAGATTATTCTCTCCACCGTGAAGTACCTTGGTACTTCAAGTCCTCAAGGAACACAGACAGCACAACAACATGGCAGACACCGCTATAGAGACTCCCAAAAATTAATGACTGAAATGTTGCATGAAGCTGGAAACTTTACATTAATAAGTGAGGAGAGGTGTGAAAGGAGTAACGTGACTCCCTTAGCCCCCATCAACTTGGGACACCTAAGGAAACACACATTAAATTATAAAGCTTAAGGTAGATTGCTATCTTTAAGGAGATTATCACGTACTAAGTTCAATCCATCTTCTAATTAGTAAAGTTATGTTTTGAATATTTGCCATGTATTATTAAATTTGAGGGCATATATAAGATGGCTTGACTTAAAATGAAATATGTGTGAAATTCATCTTTGGGAAATCTACAAGGTATGCATTGCAGAGAAGGTGATCATCCTCAAGAGTGTTTACAAGCACTGATTTGAGATGGAGCTGCTTCCCAGATGAGCTATTCTTGTACTTACATGCAAGGGTGAATTATAGTGGAGATTTGTTCATTTAAGGTTATTGTATTTTCCAAACAATATTGAAGAAAGCAGAAACAATGAATTATGAAAACCTAAAAATTTATAATATACCAGAAGTTTTCAAGTCTGGCTGTGTATCAGAATCATCAGAAGAGCTTTAAAGATGCAGATTCCCAGGTTGTACCACCATTTAATCTGAATCACAAGGTCAAGTGGGGCTCAAGTATTTTTGTAAAAATTCCCCAAGTTAATTTTAATAGCTTTCCATCTTTGGGAATCATTGGTATAAATATAGAAAATATGTGGGAAATCAGAGAGAGAAAAAATCAATAGAGGTTGGAATTGTCAGATAATTCTCCATTGAAGAACTGAGATTTGGAGGTGGTATAACAGAAAGGATAAGATCTGAACCAGGGGCAAAGTTCTAAACTATACAGAATGAAGGGTGCATTCACACCAGCAACTATAAAAAGCAAACCCCCAAATTATAATGGCTTAGAACAACAGAAGTTTATTTTCCTGTCAAGTAAAAATACACTAAGATATTCCTGGTTGGTGGACGATTTAATCATACTGGAGTTCAGAGGGTTCCAGGGCCATCCCTATTTTTTTTTTTTTTTTTTGAGATGGAGTCTCTGTTGCCCAGGCTGGAGTGTAGTGGTGAGATCTCGGCTCACTGCAACCTCTGCCTCCCTGATTCCAGTGATTCTCTCACCTCAGCCTCCTGAGTAGCTGGATTTACAGGCACGTACCACCATGCCTGGCTAATTTTTGTATTATTAGAAGAGAAGGGGTTTCACCACGTTGGCCAGACTGGTCTAGAACTCCTGACCTCAAATGATCTGCCTGCCGTGGCCTCCCAAAGTGCTGGGATTACAGGCGTGAGCCACCGCGCCCTGCCGGCCATCCCTATTGTAATTCCATCATCCCTTAGGCCTTATCTTTTGTATACATTGAATGAATGAAAGGTGCACCTGCTTCTTCTAACCTCTGACCTGAAAGAGATTCATATTACATCTGCTTACATTCCACTGGTGAACATTAGAGACATGACACCCCTAGATGCATGTTGGGGTGTGAGGTGGGGACAAGAGCCTGCAAATCATTGTTCCTGAATGGACAGTTGCCTCTTGGTAACACAGCATCAGAGCATAGATTTGGGTGCACAGCAAATCACTTCCGTGAGAGTGGGCAACACATTCTGTATACGAATGAACTGTCTTAGTGCTATTCTGCTACAGATATTAACCTTAGTTATGTGCATTTTATATTTTTGTGTTACTCTGCGTTTCTGCATGACCACTTCTTCTCATTTTCTACTTAGGTGCATGAGCTGGAACTTATAATATTGATGTGCTTATAAACATCCTTCATCAGACCCAAGGTTTGAATTTGAGTGTGTGTACTTGGCTCCTGGAAGTAATTAGCCAATGGGCACACTGTCATCTTGGGTCATTTCATCCCCACAGGAGGGACTGAGCCACTGATGTAAAAGAAGATGTAGCCTGAACTCATTTGATTATTTTAAAATCTTGTTTTTCCATTACAAATAGAAAGAGACAATAGAACCAGAAGGAATTCAGCTAAGGAAACATTCAGTGTTTATATGACCCATTTGCATGATAATGGAGTAACATTTATGACAATGGCCAAAGGAGGGTCCTTCCAAAAGGAAAAGATCTGAGAAAAACAATTTCCATACACAGAGTACCAAGCAAGAGAGGGCATAAAACCAGGAGTTCAAGCCCCCTGAAGATATAAATTTTGTGAGATAAGTAGGTGTGTGAAGAAGCTAAAACTATTTTATTTCTTTTGTTACACATTTGATTTGTGTTAAGAACAATCGGTACTCTCACATAATTAAAGCAGTTCTGACGTTTTGGTGTGTTTGATTTTTTGGGCTATGCACAGAGTGTTCCTACTGTCTTTGTTAATATATTTTGAATAAAGATGGCTTTTATATTCGTTTTGACCTTGTGATACTACCTTGATTGGAACAGTAGTGCATAAAAAGATAAAGGAACTTTACAATGATCAATCTTGGCTACTAATGAAAAAATTGCTTATTGCCAAAAGGATAATGCGTTTTGCACTACTCTAAATTGAGTGACAGTTTAGCCTGTTAAAATTATTTTTGTAGGGGCAATGTGGCCTGAGGAAAAATCTGTTATCCTGTGGTTCCTGTGGATATGAGCATATTACTCATGATCTGAGAATGTTTTAGGAAAATAAAATTAGTGACATTTGTCAATATTAATCTATTCTTCTCTTTTTTCTACTTTTTAAAGAGGAGAACATGGATATGTGATTTTAAGAAAAAGAACATTTAATTTTTTAAAAGAATATATTTGTCTTTGGGATGTATTACATTTTTTTCTTCCAAGAATACTTCCTGTACTGAGCATGTTTTGTTTGGGATTAAATTAAAGTAACTGTTAGCTATTCTTTTATTCATAGCATAACAATTTGGCAAGTTCACATCTAATCTTCAGAACATGGCAAAGAAATTTTTAAGGCCTTTGGGTGGCCAAGATTGATGTCATAAATTCCATACACAAAATTCAGGCACTTCTTCATCGGAGATCATCACAGGCCCTCAATCACGGTTTATTTAATAAGCCAAATTTAGCAATAATTATTGTATCTATCTATTGTGAGAGGGGAGAAAGTTGATTAGGCAGAACCAAGAGACGTCTCCGCCAAAAATTCAGAAACACAAAGGTACACCATGACCTTAGAAAGTTCAATCATCATTTATTCAACAAATACTCCCTGACTGTGCTCTGTCATAAGCATAGAGTCTAGAGCAGGAAACAAGAAAGGTATGAGGCCTGACTTTTATGAATTTCATTCAAAAGGAAAGACAGACATTAAGCAAGTAAACAAATAAGCTTGTAAATCCAGTGGTAATAAGTGTTATAAAAATATATCAGGGTAAAGGGTTATATAGTCATTAGAGGAACATTCCTTTGTTTAAAGTCATCAAGAAATGTTTTCCCTATAAATGGTATTTCCGCAGAAACAATCCCACATGGTTATCTTTGAAAGATCTGGTAGAAAGAAAAAAGTAGCTGGCATAAAGTCATCAATGACATCCCTCCCATGACAAATGAAGACAGGAAGCTATCGAGGCTTCCATAGTAATAACCCAAAAGTCAGAGATAGTGTGTCTTTTGTCATAGTTGCAACACAGTGGGGTGAGGAGCAGTTACAAGATTTTGCATCATAGGAAGTCTCAGTTTGGACCACATAGTTCCACACAAAGCCACCCAGAGTAAGGAGAGGCAATACAAAGCCAGACACAGGAGAGATCACACTGAATTCAGTGCTTACCAGAGAATATCACCTGTGCTTATGTGTAAATGCTTCACAAAAAAAAAAAAAAGAGAGAGAGAGAGATACTGCCTTTGTCTTACAAGTACTTGAAGTTAGGTAAATGAGCCCTAAGAAAATCCCTAGAAATTATCCAATAATTGTCATAAAGTCCTGAGTCATCAAGAAAAAAATAAATCAGGCTGAGTCTGTGCTATTTGAAAAAGTAGGGAATGTGATAATCCATTTTATTAAGATTTTATCCTCTGCAGAATGATCAATTTCCTGAGAAATCTCCATTTCCTGGGAGTTCTGATCCCCGTGATTATACAGATATTTGTGTTCCCAGAACGTTCTGGTAATGAGGAAGGATAGAGAGCAGTTTGCTGAAAGGGAGCTAGAATCATTTTTTTTTCGTTATTAATTGAAGACCATATTTCATTGTGATTTCCTTAGTTTTTACCACATGTCCTTTTTCTGTTCCAGGATTCTAAGCCGGATACATCACATTTGTTTGTCACATCTCATTGGGCTTCTCTTGGCTATGAAACTCAGACTTCCTTGGTTTTGATGACCTTTACAGTTTTAAGGAGTCAGGTATTTTACAGAACCCCCTCTACTGGAATTTGTCTGGTGTTTTTTTGTTTGTTTGTTTGTTTTGTTTTGTTTTTTTTAATCAGACTGGAGTTATGGGATGTAGGGAGAAAAACCACAGATATAAAGTGCCATTCTCTTCATACCACATCAAAGGTGCACACTAGCACCTTACTGAGGTAGGACTTGTGAGTTTCTTCACAACAGAGTTATTCTTTTCCTCCCTTTCCATTGCTTATTCTTTGAAAAGAAGTCACTATGTGCATCCCACATTTAAGCAGTAATGAGTCGTGTTCCATCTCTTTAAGGGTAGGGTATCTATGTAAATTTTTTTGAATGCTTCTACTAGGGCTATTTGTCTATTCTGTCTCATATTTATTTATTTATTTTCTTATCTTAGTATGAATGTATGGGTATTTATTTTATACTTTAAGTTATAATCCAATTTTGTTGATATTGTTTCTCAAAGTTTTACAGCTTTGGTTATTGGGAACTCTTTCAGAAGGCTCCTGTGTCCTTTTGAGATAGCCCTATCAATGTAAAAAAATAGTTTTCAGCACTTCTTTCAGTATAAAATGCCCCAGACTTATCTTGCACATTTCCTGTCCCAGTCCTAGAAGGAGCTATGTCACCAAGGATCATTGGTTCTTTTCACTTAAGAATGCTATTAGGAACCAAGATCTGAATAAATAGGTGGTGTTTCCAGAATTTTTAATTCATACCCTATCGGGACACAAGTTTATCAGCTAGAGTAAAGTGATTACTTTGCCTTTGGTCTTATATATTCCTCTCATGTCTAAAGCTATCTAGGTCCTTTCCCATCATCACCTTCAGTGACGTCATTTCATATATCTATAATACAGTTATTTTGTCATATTCTACATTCTGCATTCTATTCTTGAATTCCATGATCTCCTAAAGGATATTTTAAAATTTGCATCAATAAGATTCACTCTTTGTGCTTTAAAATTCTATGCTTTTTTTTGTTTGTTTGTTTTTTATGGAATCTCACTCTGTCACCCAGGCTGGAGTGCAGTGGTGCTATCTCGGCTCACTGCAAGCTCCGCTCCCAGGTTCATGCCATTCTCCTGCCTTAGCCTCCCGAGTCGCTGGGACTACAGGCACCCACCACCATGCCCAGCTAATTTTTTTGTATTTTTAATAGAGACGGGGTTCACCATGTTAAAGTTCTATGGGTTTTGACAAATGCATAGACTATCATACAGAATGGTTTCACTGACCTAAAAAAAAAACCCCTGTGCTTCACCTGATATCTGATGCTCTCCCCACTTGCAGAATGCCTGGCAACCACTAATATTTTTTATTGTATCTCCAAGTTTGCCTTTTTCAGAATGTCCTATGGGCTTATACAGTATGTACCCTTTTCAGACTGGTTTTTTTTACTTCTTAATATGCATTTAAAATGTAATATGGTTTGGCTGTGTCCCCACCCAAATCCCACCTTGAACTGTAATAACCCCACATGTCAAGGGTGGGGCCAAGTGGAGATAATTGAATCATGGGGGCAGTTTTCCCCATACTGTGTCATGGTAGTGAGTATGTCTCATGAGATCTGATGGTTTTATAAATAGAGGTTCCCCTGCATAATCTCTCTCTCCTGCCTGCTGCCATGTAATATGTGACTTTGCTCCTCCTTTGCCTTCTGCCATGATTGTAAGACCTTCTCAGCCATGTGAAGCTATGAGTCAATTAAACCTCTTTCCTTTATAAATTACCCAGGCTTGGTTATGTCTTTATTAGTAGCATGAGAACAGCTAATACAGAATGTATCCATAGTTTTCGGTGGCTTGACAGCATATTCCTTTTTTTTGTCATGGAATAATATTTCACTGTCAGGATATTTGTTTATTCATTCACCTAGTCAGAACATCTTGGTTACCCGGTTTTTGGAGATTATAAATAAAGTTGCTCTAAACATTTATGTGTAAGTTTTTGTGTGAATATAAGTCTTTCAAATCAGTTGGGTAAATACCTAAGATTGTAATTGCTAAATTGTATGGTAAAACTATATTCAGCTTTGTAGGAAATTGCCTGTCTTCCAAAGTGGGTGTACCATTTTGCATTCCCAACGGCACAGAATGAGAGAACCTATTGTTTCACATTCTTACCAGCAATTAGTATACTTATTTGTTTCAGACCTCAGTTATTCTGATAGGTGTATAGTGGTATCTAATTTTTAAGTTCACATTTCTAATGACAGTGTTAAACATCTTTTCATATGCTTATTTGTCATCTGTGTATCTTCTTAGGTGAAGTGTTTGTTCAAATTCTTTGCCCATTTTTTTCTCCTCTGGGCTGGATGTTTACTATATTGTGTTGTAAGAGTTTTTTGTATATTTTGTATACAAGTCTTTTTGCAAAAATTTCTCCCAGTATTTGGGTTGTCTTCTCATTTTCTGAACAGTGACAGTCACAGTGTTGAAGAATTTTAATTTTAATAAACCCAACTTGGCCATTCACTCTTCCATGGATTGTGTTTTTGTGTTGTACTTATCAGGGTAAACTTGTCCCTCCAGATTTTGAAGTGGCAGTTTGATTTATTGGGTCCCAGAAAGATCATTGATTTTTCATTTTGTCCAGATTTTTTACTTGTAAGGATGGAAGTGATGACTTCTAAGCTTTTCACATGGCAGAGCTGAAAACTGAAGTTCTCTGAACTAAAAAAAATTAAAGCAGGAATAAAAATTTAAGTGGGGCTGGGCATGGTGGCTCACGCCTATAATCCCAGCGCTTTGGGAGGCTGAGGCGGGTGGATCACAAAGTCAGGAGATCAAGACCATCCTGGCCAACATGGAGAAACTCTGTCTCTACTAAAATACAAAAAATTAGCCAGGCGTTGTGGTGTGCACCTGTAGTCCTAGCTGCTTGGGAGGCTGAGGCAGGGAAATCACTTGAACCCAGGAGGCAGAGCTTGCAGTGAGCCGAGATCACGCCACTGCACTCCAGTCTGGGTGACAGAGCGAGACTCTTGTCTCAAAAAAAAAAAAAAAAAAAAAAAAAATTAAATGGGTGGGCTAATCTTCAACATGGATCATTCGCACACACTCACAAAATCTGAAACCGGTTTACTTCTAAAATGCATGTAGTCTCCAATCATCCTAATTTATTTTCCTTGTAACAATTATGTACAAGTTGTATTTTCTAGTTGGTTCTGTTATTTCACTCATTGCCTTACTCCACTAGCATGTGAGTATGTAGGAACAGAGGCTGTATCTATCTATTTCATCCTTCAATCCCTAGTGGCCTAGATCAGGAGCTCAATATACATGAGATCAGTTATAAATATGGACAGCAGTTGTGGATGATATATTACAATTACCAATATGACTGCCATTCTAAATATAAAAGAAAATGAACAAATCCATGGAACGTATTCTCTTTAATCAATCTCATTTACCAAATTAGTCTTTTTTTGGTTTTATAAATATTTTATACAATACACCATATTTTAAAAGGAGGCCTGATGCGACAAATATTCCCGTGGACTACCAATGGTAAAATGCACTGATTAAACAAACTATTAACTTTCTGTATTGGTGAACTCAAAACGATGATTCATGGTTTGGCTAGTGTTTCTTACCATTTCTATATTAACTTAGCATTTCGGTTTGTGTTCATTGCAATCTAAAATAACTTGGATATTTAAATATTGTGGTGTCTTCTTTCTGTCTTCCTTTATGTAAGCTCCATGAGGCCAGAATTTAGCTGTTTTCTTCCTACTCCCTATCTCCAACCATATAGAATGATAATCACTAAATCAATATTGGTTGAATAAATGAGTCAATAAATCTGAAATAGGGATTATATGACTCAAGTGTATAAACAGTTTGATAAACTCACTGAGTATTTTTCACTTATATACAGATATGTTGACTTGTATTTTCATTCATATACCACTGGCAGCAACTTACAAGATTGCCTGTTTCAAAGTGAAACAAATGCCGTTCCTTAAAGAATTTAAGGAACAGTATTTGTTTTATATAGGCATACCCAAAGGAGTCCATTGTAACCATGTCATTTAAAACTATGGACTTAAAATAAACTTTCCTTTTTATATATTTTTGTGTGTCTGCATTAAAAATACAATTATTTAATGTGGTATAAAAATATTTAAGCTATGTTTACTAAATGTATCAAAATAAGAAAATATTTAGAACCATAATCTGGTTAGTCTGAAGGTCACTTGAAATAAATATTTATTTGAACAGCTTTCTAATAAGTCTCATTTTCTTTTGTTGTATCCAGATACCCTTGCATGTTTTAGGTGGTGGATGAAATTATCTTATCTGCAGCAAACCTTGGGTCTTCCTGTTTAAAGTAATTTACAATACATGCTTCAATATCAAATTCAGGAAGGAAAACATACATTATAATTAAAAGGAACAAAGACAAATGTACCGTTCATTTCAATAGCTGACTGATACTTGTGGAAAACATACACAATGAAATCGGTAGATAATATGGACAATTACCTATATTTTTTTATTCATCTGCCAGAATATACGTGTGAGTGCTAGGCTTCGAAGTCGCTGAAAACTTTACCCAATACTTATAAAATGCCTTAGCAGATTACATTGTATGAATCTGTAGATACCACTGTACCACTGTGGTACAGTGTACACTGTGCTCTACTGCAGGCATTCGATCTTCTTAGATCTTTTCACATACTTCGTTGTTGCATTTAACCTGAACAGATTCAATTGATATTATTTGTAAAAGTACCACAAATTGGTTTTGAAAGATTAGAAATTTCAACTTTACTATTTTCTTATACTCACATGAAAAGAGACTCAGTGACAGAAATCTGTGACCTATTGAAATAGAAACCATGAGTTTTCCTAGTAACTGTGTTTTGACAAGATACACACTGCATGATGAAAAGAGTTTTGCTTCTCTCCAGTATATTTGCTTGAGAGTGGCACGTGGTGTTGACATACCATATGTTTCTGGGTTCTAACAATTTTTAAAAATCACATAGTGTGTTCATCCATGAGGTGAAAGCAACCATCTCACTCAAGCCCATTATACAAATTAGAAGTCTTTGTTCTTTTCATGTTTCATTGGTAGGCATTAACATAGACACTATGAAGCTAGAGCTGGAAGTAATGAAGTGAAATTGTTCACATCATTACTTTAAATTGAAATGCAGGCAGTTCATCTACATAGAAGATACGAGACTCTTTTACCTTAAATATTAAAATACTGAGTATCAAACTTCAAACAACGACAACAAAAACCCGGTACATTTTAAAGCAGTTTTTTTTTTTTTTTGACTCAAAAGCTGTACCTGTATCATAATTTTTGAAAATCCCTTGTATTTTTCTGTAGTTGCTTCAGTCTCTAATTGGAGCTTCTGTCAAGAAAACCAACATTTTGAACAGAAAGTATATCCTCATGAAGCAGACATAACACTTTATTTTTATCTGTTACTAGAAATTAATTTTAGACTCGTTATTAAAGGGAAAGGAGGTATGCAGCATTAGTCAATCACTAGTGATCCTGCATTAGGGGAGAAAACCTGAACTAACCAATTATCTACCATCAAACTAGTTGTGTTTAAAGAAAGATCATGGTCCTACATAGATAAATATTTTAAAAGATAATATCTTAATAATACCAACTTTTTTGTCTGCTTCAGTGTAAGAGGATGTTAGGCGAAAATATGGCATTTTGTAACACAAGCTATTTTAAAACAGATGGGCTGTGTCAATCTCCAAGACAGTTTCTGCACTTGTTCCTATAGAAATCATAAATGTGCCAGGAACTGTGGGGGTGTCACACTAGCAAAATGTAATAAAACTTAGGACATTTGTCATTTTATGAGACTATAATAGTAATAATTGTGCTTCTTAAGTTCTTTCCTACTAATCAAATATGCAGAGCTGATAGTCAGCTCTTGAATCTTTTTGAGTGTGTGCTTTGCAATTAGTACCCACTGACAGAATCATAGAAATATGCTCCATCCACCACTCTAGTTTTACATATAGGGAAACTGAGGCTCAGCTGATTGCCTTACTTCCTATTTCACTGAGAAACTAATAGAAATAAGGAGGAGAACTTTCACAAATTCCTCCACCACATCTTCCTAGCTACCAGCCTTGCACCTCCAGATGTGGCCTTCCTGTTTGACACCAGAGATGAACTATTCATTCTCCTATCTAAATTCAGCCATTCCACTTGTGTGTCAGATCTTAACCCCTCTTGCCTGTTCAAGGGAAGCACTACAGCAATTCTCACCTCCCTTTCTGGCATCATTAATCTTTGCTGTTTACTGGGCCATTTCATCAGCATATAAACATCCTGCTATTTCTCCCATCTTAAAAAGGAAGTAAAAGAAGTCTCTTTCTCAATAGATTCATTTTACTTGTCTTTCAGATCACCATATGTTCTTAGTTTTCCTTCTCCATTGCTTACTGCTCTATTATAATCTTTACGGTTAGATCATTGTCTGGCTCCCTGAACACTTACATGTTGGAGATCTACAAGGCTTGGACATCGGTTCTCTCTGCTCCTACATTCAGGCCCTATTTCTGTCATCTGGTCTTACAGCTTTAAAGATCATCTGTATGGTGACAACTCCGATATTTAAATATCCCAACTCCTTTTCTATGGAAGTTCAGTCTTGGCATAACCGAATGCCTACCCATCATGTCCAGTGGGATGTCTAATATATGTCCCAAATTCAGCATCCCAAAACTTAAGTCTGTTTATGTTTCCAAATAGCTATTCCACCACGTTCTTATCTTTCTCAATAGACAACTACCCTATCCTTCCAGATACACAGGACAAAAAATTAAAATAGCTTTCAACTCTTTTATTTCTCTTACGTACCACATTCAATCAATCAGAATATTCTGTGGCTTCACTTTCAAAATTTACCCAGAATCCAACCATATCTCACAATTACATAAATACTAACCTAGTCCACATCTCCATAGTTCCTCACCTAGACCTCTGTAACTTCTTTCTAAAAGGTTGAGCCAGGTTTAGAGATTTTTTTTTTCCCCATGGAAACTCTTTCCAATACAACTTTCAGAGTGATTCTTAAGACATATGCAGATACCATCATTTTTCTACTAAAATTCTTTTATAACATTCATTTTTTAGAGAATGTATAATCAGAAGTCCATATATACATATATGCAAATACATACACACAGGTGCACACACACACACACACACATAAAGATATGATTAAACTATACTACAGTATACATGAAAGTCCAGGGTATTCTCAAAGCGCATGCATAATTACTTAACTGAGTTGTGGAGGGACCAACTACTCTGTGAATTGCGAAAAATAGTACCATCTACTCTGTGAATTGAGAAATGAATGGGTGTTATTTCAGGGACTGGGTGGGTGAGGCGAGAAGCCTGAGGGATCAGCACATGCAAACACTTAACATATTGAGTTTGTACCTTATGTTGAGCACTGTTTTAAGTATAGTTTACATCTATTTATTCATTTAATCTCAGCAAACATTTTAAGTAAGTAGTGTTATTATCCTTATTTTATGTATGACACCTAGCTATTGGTAGAGCGAGGATTCAGATTTACACAGTCACTCTTCAGGGCTCAGGCACCAAACTACTGTCATTAGAGAAGTTGGTGAGACCTAGATTCTAGAGTGCCTAAAGGTCCAAGTTAAAGAAATTAGATGGCCGGGCACGGTGGCTCATGCCTGTAACCTCAGCACGTTGGGAGGTCTAGGCGGGCAGATCACGAGGTCAGGAATTCGAGACCAGCCTGACCAACATGGTGAAACCCCGTCTCTACTGAAAATACAAGAATTAGCTGGGCATGGTGGCATGTGCTAAGTAATCTTAGCTACTCAGGAGGCTGAGGCAGGAGAATCGCTTGACCCCAGGAGGTGGAGGTTGCAGTGAGCCAAAATCACACCACTGCACTCCAACCTGGGCAACAGAGCGAGACTACGTCTCAAAATAAATAAATAAATAAATAAATAAATAAATAAATAAATAATAAAGTAAATAAATAAAAGAGATTAGACATTGTCCTGAGAGTCATAGGGGGCATTTTTCCTACTGTGAACCAAATAGTAAATTAAGAAAATGAACTGAGCAAAAGACATCTCATAGTGCTATTTTCAGCTTAATAAATTAAGTTGCCTAGTCCTCGTGTGCCTAGTCCTCCTAAATTCCAACTCCTTGTCCTCATTTCGAGCTAATTTTCTCTTTCCCCATATCTCCTACCCTTGAATCTCACCTAAACTATGCTATGAACATTCTTGAAGACATATTATTCCCAGAAACGTGCGCCCACACGCAAAAACTGCATAGATTTTCACAGTTTTCATAGTCTGGATTAATAGTTCAAACTCTAAAATCCTATAACAACTTATCGTTTCCTGATCCACCGAGTTACGTCTTTGTTTATTTCCTCTTTCTAAGGAAGATTGATTTTCTTTTCTATATAAGAACCAATCATCAAGCACTTAGTGTATAGTTTGAATATCATAGGTCTGGGAAATTTCCTCTAAATCTCATCTTTCTTGCCAAATTGGTATAAATAAAAAGTAATATGTTATTCAGAATGGTCTAGGTTTTGCTGCATTATCAAATCTCTAATCTTATGGCATTATATATCAGGGATATATATATATAAAAAACATACCAGGGATATATATATATTACATATCAGGGATATATATATATATATATATATATATATATATATATATATATTACTTATCAGGGATATATATATATATATTACATATCAGGGATATATATATATATTACATATCAGGGATATATATATATATTACATATCAGGGATATATATATATATATTACATATCAGGGAGATATATATATATATATATATATTCATTTTATGCAAAGGCCACTGTGGGTCTGGTCTGGTGACTCTGATGATCAGACTGTTTCTATCTCATTATGCTGAAATCTCAACTGAGGCTTCTTGTTTGCCATAACAGGGAAAAAGAGAGATGGAAAATTCACCTCCAGCTCAAAGATGTTTCACCTGGACCTGGAATATGTCGTTTCTGCTTTTACTCCATTGGCTAGAATTAGTCATAGGGCACTGACTAACTTTAAGGGATTTAGTTTGTCATATGGGGCAGTCACTGGTACTTTCACAAATCACAATACAAAAATGAAGTGATGATCAATTCATCTCTCCTCTGGCTCTTACTGCATTGTATGATAGTTTTGTTTGTTTGTTTGTTTTGAGACAGAGTCTCGCTTTGTCACCCAGGCTGGAGTGCAATGGTATAATCTTGGCTCACTGCTATCTCCACCTCCCAGGCTCAAGTGATTCTCCTGCCTGAGCCTCCAGAGTAGCTGGGATTACAGGCATGTGCCACTGGGCCCAGCTAATTTTTGTATTTTTAGTAGAGATGGGGTTTCACCATGTTGGGCAGGTTGGTCTTGAACTCCTGAACTCAGGTGATCAACCCACCTCAGCCTCCCAAAGTGCTGGGATTACAGGTGTGAGCCACCACGCCCAGCCGGTAGTTATGTTTTAACATGTCTGTTTCTTCATTAAAACTGTGAGCTCTTGGAGGGCAATACTGCATGATTTTATCTTTTTTTTTCCAGTTTCCAGTAAAATTAAGATAGATTTAATTAATGCTGTTAAATTGCATTTATTGGACATCATATGTGTTGTAGGTTAGGTGCCCAGGAAAGAGACACTGAGATAGAGATTAGTGTTGAAGAAGTTTGTTACAAAATTCTCTTGTGACAAGCAAACACGGAGGAGTGAAGACAGCACTACTGGGCAGCGGGTGAAGTTGAGCTTTGATATTAATTTCAGTGGAAGTCTCAGCTGACCCCACAAGGAGCCCGAAGGCTGAGATGGTCTTTTAGAGTTGTCTCAACTTGGGGCCATGGGTCCAGTTTTATATCCCCAAATCAGCCAGTCATTGAATTTGGCTTCCACAGAGAAGAGGGACATGAAGAGTTCCTCTTTAGTTGAAAGTAACTCCCAGAGTAAAAGAACTGGAGTCCTAAATGGGACATGTGGGCAATGCGGCATAGCGTCAACTACCGTTTAACAAACAGTAAGGGCACTTCACTGGACAGTGTGTTTGAACTGTCCTATGTAAATAATTAATACATAGTCTTACAATTCTAATAAAACAGGAATCATATCCAATAGTCTAATGGACCTATGTTGTTTAAAACTAGAAATCACTCTACTTGACAATTTGGGGCTTAAGAGTTTTGTGACTTTCACTTTGTTATACATCAAATTCTAGTCTGATTTTTTAACTATACATTCAGGACTAAATGTAAAAATTGTTTTCTAAGTGGTACACAAAAATTTCACGTTTTCATCCTGACATGTATTTACATCCACAGCTATTCAGTTGTGTGGGCAACTTCAGCCTCTGAGTTAGGAACTGGTTTTATCACTGCTTTTCATCTATTCAAAAATAGTTTATATGAGCAGAAGCTAATGTTTAAATAGAATTTATTCAGCAACATAAAAGTGTGTTGCACGAGCAGAACCAGAATAGAGTAATAGTTAGCTTTTTAATAGGCTCCAAAAATGAGAATAAGTTAGGATTGTCTTAACATTTAAACTGGCAGTACTAACGTTATGAATGTCATACAAATATTGTTTTGTGATACCACATAGTTTATTTAACTTTTTTTTTCCATTATGTCTTAGTCAGTTTCAGGCAGCTATAAAAATGTACCACAGACTAATGGCTAATAAACAACAGAAATGTATTTCTCACAGTTCTGGAAGTTGAAACTTTGAGATCAAGGTGCCAGCATGGCTGGGATTTGGTGAATTCCCTCTTCCAGGCTGCAAACTACTGACTTTTCTTATATCCACACATGGCTAAGAGATAGCAAGAGAGTTCTCTGGGTTCCTTTTATAAGGGCATTTGTTCCAGATAGGCTCTGCTCTCATGGCCTAATTATCTCTAAAATCCCCACATCATTGGGGTAAGGATTTCAACATATGCATTCTGGGAGAACACAAATATTCCGTTCATAACATCGTATTTTTTTTTCTTCTATCTTTAAAATGGAGATTTTTTTAAACCTTGAAATAAGACAATATATGGTGGGTAGGTTATGGACTCTTCAAAATATCTCAGACTGGATTTGTTTTACAAATATGCCCGAGACCTTTTCCTGTGCATATTCACATAGAAAGCAGATCTATTATAAACACAATTGTTTACCTTGAGCTAGATAGTATTTCACTTTGAGAGCAGGTGAAATAAAAACAGCAATAAAATATGCCCTAATGGAAAAGTTGCTTGCAGTGCTTTAGGAGAAATGGATGTTTGAACAAGATAATCTACTAGTTGCAATGTACTATAATAGATACCGATTCAGAGTACCATGGGAACATATTATAGGAAACAGAAAATTCTGCATGTGGGAGTGTTAAAAAAGGTGAAGTAGCCAATTTTCCATGTAATACAGAACTTCAAAATTTCAGTGACTTATGATAACAAATGTGAAATTTCATATTCATAGTTCTGCAAGTCAGCGGTGGTTCAGCTGATCTGGGCTTGCTATGATCGGCTGGACTCCAAGCTTCCTGTCATGATCTGGTCTGCTCCATGTGTCTTTACTCTTAGACCTGGCTGAAGGAAAGTGACGACTGAGGTGTGTTCCTCTTATGACAAATTACAACGACGCAAGAGGACAACACAAATCACATAAGCATGTTTAAAGACTCTGCTCATGTCCCATCCTCCCACTAACATTCCATTGGCCAAAGCAAGCCTCATGGCCAAAGTCAACATTTATAGGGCAAAAAAATATGCCCCACCCTCACTAGTGGGTGGTACTGAAAAACACATGGGAAATCCATGGATGCAAATTCTACAAAGGGTGTATGATTAAAGATTCAGAAGCAACAGTCCAATCTATCACACAGTTTCAAAGGAGAGTCAATATATTTGATGTGGTCTTAAAGGATGAGTAGGAGTTTACTAATAAAACTCTAAACCCAAATCCACCATCCTGCTACTGACATTAATTTGCTTAGTTTGAAATTGGCTTATTGAATTGTGTTATATCCCCAAATCAGCCAGTCATTGAATTCAGGCTTCCACAGAGAAGAGGGACATGAAGTACCTAACATTAAATTGCTTAGTTTGAAAATGTGTAATTGATTTATTCTTGCCAAACAACCACACCTCAGAACAACTGATGCTTGTTTTTCTTTAATGCCCTTGTCCAACTCATTTATCTAACCTCTGACACTGGTCAAGCTCTAGATAGATTCCTGTCATCCTGTCATCCATAGCTTTTTAAATGACGATCTACAAAGCCTTCTCTTGCCTTTGAGACTGCTGTATCTTATTCCTAGGTCTGCGTAGCTTTCCAGCTTTCTCTCCCATTGTTTGCAAATCTTTGGAAGAACTAGTATCCCAGTTTTCACTCTGATTCTTTCTTGGAGAGTTGTGATGATTTTTTTTTTACATGATACTTCTGCCACTCTTTTATTACTCACTACCTGAGTAAATATGCTGTCTTTTTTTCTTTTCATATTATAAATAATTATACTTACTTATTTTATTTGTGCATAACCCAAATATCTCTTTACTCTTTAAGATATTTGACAAAATGGACTTACAGCAAAAATATTTGATTCAGTAAAGTCATCTTTTTTTTCCTATATACTAGTTGAATATAATACTGAATCTAAGAGGTAAGAATAATAAAATGAGGTTGGTTCCCTCTCTTGTATGTTCATTGAGTTCTCACCCATTATTGGTAGTTACATCTTAATCTGTGATTATTTGAAGGTAAATAAGAACCATTTCCTATTCCATTTCAAGTCTTTGTTTTTCTTAAGAAAAATCATCTTTTTAGGAAGAAAGCAGTTAACTGAAAGAATCAACTCTCTTGGAAGTAAGGGGTTAACAGGAATTATAATAAAAGCATTATAAAAAGAAAGGAGAAGCTGTATACTTGAGATCAGCAACCAGAAGCGATCACTGAGATTCATGAATGTAAGAGAAACACTTGCATTGCCAAGGATTAAAAACTGTTGTCGAGTTCAGACAAACTATTAAGGCATGTGTAATGTGGAAGCACAGAACTCCTGGTAAGAACTAGCCTTAGGCAGTATTCCCTTTTAAAACAGAGACTACTTTATATTATGATTCTACAAATGAATGTTGTCTAAATATTTTTGTTAATTGTGGAATATTTCATGATAGTAAGGCTCATCAAGTGTTGAAAATGTAGTGATTCATTTGACATTGAAAAAAGGAAGTACATTTGTTTTAAGCTTGAAAATTAAGGCTGTCTGCGTTTGAACTACATTCACACCTTGGAAATCAGCAGAAATCAAGGTCCCTCAGCTTACATGGGTAGGCAAAGACTTTTCCTGAATATTTTACAACATAGCTAGAAGAAACATAGGATTTTAATTTTTTTTTCCACCAGTGTATCCTCAGTGCTTTACACAAAGCTGTGCGTATAAAAGATGTTTAATAAAAGATATCTTGAACAAACATATTTTTCAAGTATTCATGACA
The DNA here is from genome assembly GCF_000001405.40 of Homo sapiens. NCBI lineage: Eukaryota > Metazoa > Chordata > Mammalia > Primates > Hominidae > Homo > Homo sapiens. The sequence continues at coordinate 116,023,007 of NC_000008.11, read as the reverse complement.
TGCAGATCTCTATGGTAAACACTGGAGCGGATAAACAGGAGAAAGGAGAACAAAATTTTATTCATTCAACTAATATTTAGTGATCAGTTATGCACTAAGATCCGTTTTTATATACTTATTTTATTTTTTAATTGACATGTAATAGTTGTTCCTATTTATGGGGTACATAGTGATGTTTTGATATATATAATGTATTGTGATCAGATAAGGGTAATCAGTCTACGGCCGTACCACCCTGAACGCACCCAATCTCGTCTGATCTTGGAAGCTAAGCAGGGTCAGGACTGGTTAATACTTGGATGGGATATAAGGATAATTAGCATATTCATCATCTCAAACATTTATTATTTATTTGTGTTGGGAACATGCAAATCCTCCTTCTAGCTATTTGAAACTATATATTATTGTTAACTACTGTCATCCTACAGTGCCATAGAACATTAGAACTTGTTCTCCTGTCTAGGTGTAATTTTGTATCCTTCAACATATCTCTCACTAGGGATTGTTTTAAGTGTAGAGACACAGCATTACCAGTCAGACAGAAAAAGTCCCTGATCTCCTGGAACTTATACTATGTTGGGTAGGACAGATATACAAACAACCAAAAAAAGCAATAGGTAACAAGTCAATATCAGATAGTCTGTATCTAGAGCTATAAAGGAAATAAAGGGAAGGAAATGAGGGTGAGAGGGGAATTCCTATTGTGCAGGGGCTAATCAAAGAACACCTTTCTGAAAAGGTGACACAGAGGTGAGATCTCTGCAATAAGGAGGCAGCTATTTCAGGAGCTGTGGGGAAAAGTGGTTCAGACAGTTGAGCAAGTGGTTTTGACAGTGGTTCAGAAGGTAGAGCAAGTTCAAACTCACTATGACAGGAAAAAGAACAAAAGAAAGGCTGATGTGGCTAGATGATATGAAGTGTGGCAAATGAGATGAGTCCAGGACCATGATATTATAGCCTTGTCCTAGAAGCAAGGATTTTGCACTTTTAGTACAATGAGAGATTTGGAAGGGAAGGGGCTATGATTTCATTCACAATTAATTGCAAAAGATCATTCTAAGTGCCTTATTGAAAATAATCTGGAGGGAGGATAGCTGAGTCCTAACAACCTTTAGACATCAGTTGCCATAGTGGAGGCCAGAGATGATGATAGCTTGGGCTAGGTCACAGTGGAGATAGATTTTAGACGCGTTTTAGAGATATAACTGACAGAGCTTGCGGAAGGATTGGATGTGGATGGAGAAAAATTAAGTAATTGAGAACAGACTCTATGTTTTAGGGTGGTAGATCTGGGTAGATGAGAGGTCATTTTATGAAATGGGAGAACTTCCTTACTGAAACTACTTTTGTTGCGGGAAAGTGAGAAATAAATTGTTAAAGAAAGTTTATAGTCTATCTATTAAAGGACACACATATACAAACCACATATGCACACGATCCTAAAGATGAGCTAAAAATAGCTATATAAGGTGTAAAACACTGAAAGAATGCAGAGGAAGTTGTTAATTCTCACTGAGTGAATCATTTCACATGTTTGACTTTGTGTGCCGGAATATCTAACTCATAATTATTTAAATATCAAAAACATTTAATTACTTCACATTATGTAAAATCTAAATTTATGTGTTTAAGGTAATCATTCCATAATATCAAAGAGTTCATTTGGTACTTTTCATGGGTTTTCTGTCATGGTCTCAGGATGGCTGCAGCTCTAACATCATGTTCTTGTGTAACCAAACCTCAACTAAGAAAAAAATGTCTAATTTTCATTGACTTTTTGTTTTAATCAGGGAAAAATTTCCTAGAAGCCCTCTAGATGACACATACTACATCTAATTGTTTTGAGCTGAGCCATGTACTCACCTCTAGATCAATTACTGATTAAGGGAAACCAAATTAACAATACTGGTTAGTATCAACCATAGTTCAGCTTTCGTGTCTGGGGTCATTGCTGTCTAACAGTAATAGGGATTATGTAAGTGAAAAAGAAGGGCTATTTGCCCCACTGGATATGTTAAGAGATCCATGTTAAGAGATTCAGTTTTTCATCTGGGTCTTCAATGATGAAGGGCAAAGTCATTATATTTGCAAGCTCACTACATTCCAGACAAAGTAGAATGCCTGGCAGAGTAGGCATTCTATGAATACACATTTTTTAAGCAGATATTCAATACATATTTGTTGAACAAAAACTATCACTTATAAATGAAGCAAGTGAGAGGTAAATAACTTGTCCAAGCTAATTCACTAATAAAAGTTAGAGCAGGATTCAATCTCACATCATTCAATCTCATATCTCATACCTGTTCCAATGCCTGAAGTCTGCTGATTGAAGTACATTAATTTTCAGTAAAGTCTAGTCGTACGTTTGATCACACAACCCTAAAATGAAACTAAATCTAAGGTTGAAGAAGTGGGGAGCTTCTCAAATGAGGTGAAGAAATACTAGGAAACTAGCCACATATCTTTTAATTTCCTTTTCATTCAACTACTTCTTCATTTGCCTTTATCAGACCACCTGCATACCTACCTCTCAAACTACTGAAACTACAAAAAGCTTTTTATATTCCTTGACCTTTACAACCTCTTAACATGTATCTCAACTTCATCCTGATCTCTAGTTCCTTGGCCTTTCCCTATTTTTCAGTGTATCTGTCCTATTTTTTTTTTTTTGTCTTTGTTTCTTTCTTCAACCTAACCAGAACTTGTGGTCACCCTTGCCAACTATTCTGTCACAGGAAAACCTACTTTCCTCACGGAGTGACCTTTTTCTGGATCAATTACAAACCTATGTCAATTGAATTTCCTGTCCATTTCTTCCTCTGAAAGAGCCACTGAAAATGTTAAGAAAAAAATGATGTAAAAATGTTGCCTCTATCTATTGGAAATTGATGGTCCTTATCTGATGGCATCATTCAGTCCCATTCAACAATGTATTTGCTTGTAACTCATCCCCAACTCCTCTTATTTCCTAGAGGAACTCCATAAAATCTTCTCTTTTTTTTCTTTCCTAAAGTCCCCTTCCTTAGGGTACATTGGGATGTGACTTGGTTGGTTGATGAAATATTAGTGGAAGTAACATGTGTCACTACATGTGGAAGTTTTAAGAGCCATTCATGATTCATTATATTCCCTTTTTTGGGCTTCAGTGATCATTTATGTATGTGTCAAGAGGGAAACTTCATAAGCCTAGTCCCTGAGTAACTATGATAATCTCTATCCTCTCAGTGACTTGTTTTGTACATGAAGTGCAAATCTGTAATTACTGTGTGAAGCCACTGTAAATCTGGTTGTTTGTTATCACAACATAATTCAACACATCCTGACTGATACATCCTCCTTCTAGAGTTTCACAGAGCCCTTTCCTTGAAATTTCTGCTTCGAGTTTTGCCATTTCATTATCTTCCCATCCTCAGGCTACACTTTTGTGTGTCTACTTTTCAGTCTTCATGACAGGTTCCCCTTTCTCTGCTCAACCTTTTTCACTGTTTCCTTCTGCACAATCACCCTGGGTCAGCACAGCTACCATTACTCCTTCAAATTCTATCTAAAACTTTGTAACTCCAGTAAGCAACTCTCCCCAAATGTCCAGATCCACATGTGCAAATGCTATAGGAATTTTTACCTGGATATTTTCCTCAACCTCACTTTTTCTCTAATTCTCACTAAAGAAATTCTTTCACGTGTATTCCATCTCTTTGTAAATGTTACTTCAATCCACTCATATTTTAGACTAGAAATCTGGAAATAATTATCATTTATTCCTCTCAGTCACTCCAAATAATCTGCAATTATACAAATTCTACATCTAAAATAGTTCTTTTATCTTCTTCTTTTCCTGTTCTCCTTCTGGGCCTGCATGGTCCTGAGCCATGACCATTTCAACAGCCATCTGAAGCCTCCTCCACCCCCATCTAAGCCATACACTGCTACCAGACTGATATTTAGAAAATATTTTTTGGTTTACATGATTCTTATAGTTTTAAAAAATGGCTCTGAAACTTTACTGCTAATAGCACAGAAACTACATTTCCAGCATAGCATAAGAAACCTACCACAGATTATTCATGTCTAGAATCATCATTCTTTATTCCTCTTAGACATTGCAATCAAATTTGTGTAAGCAGACGCTTATTTTTTCATACATTTGTTTATGGAATTCCCTCATCTGGAAGGACCTTTACTTCTTCCGAATAATCACCACTGAAGTCTTTCTTTAATGTCTTCTTCTCTGTCAAAATGAATCATTTCCCCTCTGTGTTTTAATGATGAGTTATAGATAGTATGTACTGAAAATCGACATCTCTATTAGTTTCCAAGGGCTGCTGTGACATGTTCCCAAAAACCTGATGGCTTAAAACCACAGAAATGTATTATCTCAGTGTTCTAGAGATAGGAACTCAAAGATCAAAAACAAAACAAAACAAAAACTCCACAGAGCTATGTTCCCTTTGAAGACTCCAGGGAAGAATCCTTTCTGTCTCCTCCTAGCTTCTGGTGGTGGCAATCCTGACATTCCTAGGCTTGTAGACACATAACTCTAGTATCTGCTTCCATTTTCACGTGACTTTCCTCCTGTATGTCTCCTCTGTGTCTCTGAAGTCAGATAACCCTCTCCTTTCTCTTACAAAGACACCAATTATTGCATTTAGTGTCCACCCTGATCCAGGATAATTTTCATTTTAACTTGATTGCAGCTGCCAAGACCCTATTTCCAAATATGGTTTTATCCACAGGCACTGGGGGTCAGGACCTGAACATATTTGAGGCAGGAGGAACACAGTTCAATCCCCTACGCCACCTTTTGGCACTATGCCGAGCACTTACAATGCATAAGGTTGAACCATATGAAATTGCCATTTTTCTAGGTCAAAAGGAGTGGATTCTTGACAATTTCATATGGTTCAACTTAAAACTAACACACCGAATTTTCATGACATTTCTATCAATTGATACCATTATTATTACTATCATTTTAAAGGGAGGGTCCTGAAGAAATTAGTAAGTTGTTCAAGGTTGTATAATTAGTGAGAGAGACAAAAGTCAAACCTACTGAACCTAACTCCAGCACCCACTCTATTCACCATTATAATATATAAGTTCTCCTTGGCTGCATTGAATCTTGCTATGTGCAATTCTGTTATATTATTTGTCACAAAATTTATGTGTATATTCTCCTGTATTCTATTATCTGAGCTGTTTTAGGAAGTCCTGTTCACTGCATATTCCCACACTATACAGAGTGTATGCCATTAGATAGAAAACGAATGTTCTTCAAAAAGAAAAAATATGTAAATGAATGCATGGTCGAAAAAATGTTTGATCCCTTAATGACAAAAGAGAAGATACCTGGGAATAATAAAATTTCTTACTATCTGTAGCTGTTTCATTTTATTAAGGACAATGTAGTAAAGACAGAGAAGCTATTGGAAGTTCAGCCTTAGTTTTGGGTGACAGAGAAGTATCCTCTGACTCTCATTCTGACATCATCCCTGTCTCATTGTCGGCTTCAGTTTTATCACTGGAAGTATTGCGCTAACCCTGCCTTATACTTAAACGACATTTCAGCCCAGAATAGGCTGAAATAAATTGATTATTTTCTCCCACATGTGCAGAGCTGCTAAGCTTCAGCATCTGAAACTGTTTCCCTTTCCTTTGTTAAAAATGTCAATATGTACTGTTTAAATCTCAACATCAATGGAAATATTTTTTCTAATTAAAAGATATGAACTAGAAGATTTACTGTGTAATTATTTAATTAAAAAAGCATTGTACCCTTAGATATAATAAGCTGAAGGAGCATCACTCCCATCATTACGATGAATAAGAGCCAGGTTAACTTTACATTTTCACAGCTTTGGTGAGCCCATCAGACAGCTGAGGTGGCACACAAGCAACTAGAACAAATCCTGAGGTGAGATAAGCCCTTGCTCAGAATTACCTGGGGTAGAGACAATGGAACATTTGACAAAGGCTGAATGCGGGCTGGTAGAACTGTGATGCTCCTGTGTACTTGAGAAGCTAGTAGAGGCTGTACCTTTCTGCAGGTTCTTTTTCCATGAATTCATAGGGTGCTCACTGCAAATACCAAAAGAGCCTTCAGAAAGCTTTCACTGTGATGTAAAAGTAGGGGAGAAGAACAAGAGTTACACAAGGAAGGCAAGAAGCACCCCAGGATTCTTCTTCCCCATGCCCAGCCACCCTCACCCCTTCCCACGCCCTATCTCACTTTCGAAGTGCAATGTGGTGTTGTCTAGCAACAACAATCCTCATATCCAGATCAATCCAAACCCACACATTAAAGGCTTTGCACAGGGAAAGGCATACTCATTTTCAGGAATAAAATCTATTCATTTCATTCTGTAATGCCCTTTACGAGATGATCAACTTTCAACAAAAAACTATAAGGCACACAAAATGTCAAGAGAAAACATATTCCCAGAAATCAAAGCAATGATCAGAATTAGATTTAGGTATGAGACATTCATTAGAAATATCTGACATGGAATTTAAAATAACTATAAATAAAATGTTGAAGCTCAAATGTAAAAGGTAGACATCAAGATGGATAATTTCAACAAACAGATGGAAACTATAGAAAAGAATCACATGGAAACGCAATAAAAAAAAAAGAAACAAAAAGCAGTAGCATACAAGGAATGCCTTCAATGCACTCATCTATAAAGTCAGCACAAAGGAGAAAAAGTGTCGATTTGAAGACTAGTCAGCAGAAACTACCCAAACTGTTAAAGGAATACAAAGCCCCAGAATATCCAAAGCAATGTTACCATGTCTAATCTTCTAATGTACGTGTAACTGGAATCCCAAAAACAGAAGGGAAAGAGAATGAGGCAGAAGAAATACTTGAAAAAATAATAGCAGAGAATTTCCGTAAAGTAATAACAGACGACAAACTACACTTCCAAAAAGAAGAAGAAGAGGCATATCACACTTAAACTTAGGCATATCATATTTAAACTGTTGAGAACAAAAGACAGAGAAAATCTTGAAGCAAATAGAGGAAAAAGAAACATAGCATACAGAAGAACAAGAATTATGGCAGACTTCAAGTCAGAAAACAATGAAATGACAAACTTAAAGTGGTAAAAGAAAAAAAAAAGCTATTAAGTCAGAATTCTATATCCCAAAAAATTATCTCTCAAAAATGAAGGACAAATACATATTTTCCCAGACAAACAAAACCTCAGGGAATTCAGTTGCAAGAAGTCCTAGTCTCCAAGAAATGTGAAAGAAACTTTTTTAGGCTAAAGCAAAATTATGTCAGGCTGAAATTTTGAACTGAACAATGAAATGAAGATTTCTAGAAAAAAACAAATGAAGGTAAAATAAATTTTATTTTCTTTATTTTTGATTGGTATAAAAGATAACCTTCTAAAGCAAAAATAGTACCAAAGCATTTTGATTTATAAATATATAAAATTAAATTGTATGATAAAATAGCACAAAGCATAGAAAAGAAAAATTGGAGACATATTGTCGTAAGTCATATTGTAAATTTAAAGCAGTATATTTGAAGGTAGACTCTGATTAGTCAAAAATGTTTATTTTAAACCCTAGGAAAACCAGTAAAATTTTTAAAGATGTAAATAATTAGTCAATAGAAGAAATAAAATGGAATAATGGAAAAATGTTTAATTGACCAAAAATTGGAGGTGGAGCAGAAGGAGGAAGAAGAGGGAACAAATAAATTTCCAATATGTGTACAATCACACAAAAATTAAATAGGCTAAAAACATCATTAAAAAGACAGAGGTTATCAGAATGAATGAAAAAGCAAGACCTAACTGTATTTTGTCTACAAGAGACCAACCTTAAATAAGATGACAGACAGGAAGTGAAAGGATGCAGAAAGGAATACCACACTAACAACAACCAAAAAATCGCTAGAGTAGCTATATTAATAGGCAAAACTATGAACCATTTAAACCTAACTGGCATTTCTAGAACATTCCACATATGAACAGCATAATACAGATATTTTTCAATTGTAAATGGAACATTTGCCAATATATTGTGTTTTCTGGGCCATAAAGCACACATTACAAAAATGAAAAGCATAGAAAATATAAGTAGAATATTTCTGGACCACAAAGGAATTTAACTAGAAATCAAGAACATAAAGGTATTTGGTAAATCCCAAAATATTTGGAAATTAAACTGTACAATGTAAAATAACAAGGTCTAAGAGGAAGTCTCAAAGGAAATGAAGAAATGTGTTGAACTAAATAAAAATGAAAGCACAACATGATCAGAATTTGTAGGTTGTAGCTAAAGCAGTGCCTAGATGGATGTTTACAACAATCAGTATTTATGTTAGAGAAGAAAGGTCTCAAATTATTTCATGTAAACTTTTACCTTTAGAGTCCTGTAAAAAGGGCAAATTAAATCCAAGGTAAGCAGAAGGAAGGACTAGAAATAAGAACACGAATTGATGAAATTAGAAAAATAATAGGAAAAAAGAAATGGAACAAAAAGATTCTTTGGAAAGATCAATAAAATTTAAAGATCTCTAGCCAGACTTATTCCAAAAATAGGGAATAAGATACAAATTACCAATATCAGGATCCAAAGAGGAGACAACATCACAGATATGAACATGGTATTAAAGAATACTGCAAAAAAGTCTAATGGAATACCAAAAAGAAAAGGAAAGACCAGGAAAACTTGGTCTGGCAAGGATAGGAATCAAGTGATGTTTCAAAACATATATTACTGGTAGGAATACAAAATAGTACAAACACCTTGGAGAACTTATAAAGTTAAATATTCATATGTGATATGACCCAGCAATTCCACTTCTAGACATCTGCTAAAGGAAAATAAAATTTATGTTCACACAAAAATTTTTCTGTGAATGTGTATAGCAGTTTTATTTATAATATAATATTTGTACTATAAATAGGAAACAAGATGTCCTTCAACTAATGAATGGATATAAAAAGTATGGTATATTAGTAACATGGAATACCACTTAGCAATAAAAAGGAACAAAGTAATTATTGATTCATGCAGGAACAGGGGTAAATTCTACATGCATTTTGGTAAGTGAAAGAAGCCAGAAAGGTTACATAATGTGTGATTCCATTTATATGACACTTTCAATCACACAAAGTTATAGGGGTGGAAAACAGACTGATTGTGGCCAGGGGTTGAGGGGTGCAGGGTGAGTCAGCATGAGGGAAATTTGAGGCAATGGAATTGTTCTGTATGGCACTGTTGTACTGGCTACATGACTCCATACATTTGTCAAAATCCATATGTATTGGTCTACTAGGGCTGGTATAAGAAAATGTGTATACTAGAGTTTATCATGTAGAGAAATATATTGTGGGGAAGGGGGATCAGAGCACTCACTTTTGAAGAAAGAAGTCACATAATGAAAGAGTGAAAGCTAGAATGGACCTTGTGATTCTGGATTGGAATTGGGGGTATCGCGGATTTGTTTTAGTAGACTGGATTTAATAATAATAATAATAATAACAACATGTATTATCCTAGCTCTGTCCACTGACAGGGGCTAGAAATTATAATACCTCAGTAATAGTGAGCTATATGTAGCATTTAAATTTTGGTTTATAAATACCATTCTCCAATAAAAAGAACCAAGGCTCATTGGAGAACTGGCTGACTCTAGTTTGGGGTTGGGAAAATAAGACAGGCCTAGTATGGAAGTGCAAAAAGAAAGAGGGAAGGCAGAAGGCAAGGAAAAGAAGGAGAAAGAGAAGGAGGGAGAGACACATGGCAACTAAATGTTATGTGAGATCCTTTGTTATTTTCCAGAACTGAAATAGAACATTAGTGGAAACCTGGTAAAATCCAAATAAATTCTATAGCTTGGTCAACATATTTTTACTAGGATTAATTTTTTAGTTTTTATACATGTTCTATGGTTATATAAGATATTAACACAAGGGCTAGGGTATATGGGAAATTTCTATACTATTTTAGCAACTTTCTGTAAGTCTAAAATTATGTCTTCTATTTTTTTTAAGTTAACATTCACGTGGAAAAAACAACCAGATACGGATTTGAAAAGACAATTTATAAATCAGAACAGATTCTTCAGGGCTGCCATTCACATAAGGAATGAGTTCAGGGAACTATCTAAAGTCTGATCATTTCAAGTGTATAAGGTAAGAATTCTAGGCAGCAAGGTAAACTAAAGGTTGAATGGGTGATTAAGAGCGTGTGAAGACACCATCCTTGAAGAACTTGAAGGATGGGTTAGATCATCAGCTGTATAAGAGGGCTAAGGCCTCATTCTTCAGGAAGTATGACAGTACACTATGCATGTTCTGTTTTGTCCACATAGAAGGCTTAAGAAATAACTTCATGCTGTCCTATGATCTGTGTATTTTCATGTGGATTAATGGAAGTCCACATAATTCTACTAAAATATATCTTTTAAGCAAAATCTGAGCCTTGGAAATGTTGTAAGGAAGCATACATCAGGAAATTTGGGTTATGAATTAAATAAAATGCACAAGATTTTACTTTTTTTCCTTATTCATTACAGTCCATTTTAAGCTCAAGTGGTTTCCCATCTGGACCAAAAAATTGCTTTGCTGAAATTTTAATATTCTTTTCCCTGGTATTATTTCATTATAATTCATTTTCATTTTGGAGAGGTGTATGATCTAACAGATTAGTAAGCACACTGATTTGAGAGAGATAATGTGTAAAACAATCTCAATCTTGGTAGAAGCTACTGATGGATTAATCTTGATAACCAATGGTTTGTGTGTGCGTGTGTGTGTGTGATATAACAAAATTTTTCAATCTTTGGCATTTCCCAGTGTGATTTTACTCAGGATTATGCAGTCTGATTCATTGAGGAAAAGTGCACCAGGGAATAATAGGATTTTTCAGCAGAACTTTGACACGAGAGTTGAGGGGATATTCCGTTTCTCATTCAAGGGGCAATTCCATTAACCATCTATTTTCTTTTCCACTGTGCTCTCTCTTAGTCTCTTTTTCTCTGCTATTTTTTTTCTTGGAAGCTTTGCAGCTGAAACACAGGTGGGCGAGTGTGGAGGTTTTAGTTTCCTTTTCAGGGTTTCTTCTACATTGCTTTAAATCTCCACTGATTTGAACAGCCTGACTGATCATTTTACTATTGACGTCAGGAGGGGAGACAAAGGACTAGAAAAACATTGAGAGGCAAATTATTAAAAGTAACTTTCGCTGTATACAGAACTATGTTGATGATTGATTAATAACAATAAATATAATTTTCAAATCACTGCACTCATTATTTAAATTTATAATATCATAGACCTATGGTTGACTGAACTTTTTGTTTTTCATCCAGATAACTTACCAAGATGTTGTAGTTACATGCTTAGGACAAGGAAAGAAATGTCAAAGATTGATGAGTATAGACAACAGGTAAAGGGAAAGGAAGAAATAGTTACTGCTTACTTCAAAGTTTCTTACTATAATTATACAGTTTGAACTGAATAAGAAATATTCATTTAACAAATACATATTGATTACTTACTATGCATGAGGCACAGCGATGCTATGCAGATCAGATAGATGATGTTACAGAATTCTTTGAACCATTCTCTTAAGGATTATAAGTAGGATATGATTTTTTAAAACCTTCCAAATTCCACAACCCTTGATAGTCCATGACATTTCCCACGTTCTTCTCATTTCCAGGAGATTATATTTTCATTGCTCTCTTCACTTTTATATCCTATATCCAGTCCAGACACAAAACTCAGCCCCATCAGCAGTCTCTGCTATGGATTCACTTCTATGAAGCTTTTCATAAGTTCAGTAGGATTTACAACAGATTTGGAGTCATAAGAAGTGGTTACATTTTCTACTAAGTAGATCATTCTCTTCTCTTCACCTCTTTTTTTTTTCCTTTGCAGAGCAAACACATTAAGATGCTTAACTTTAAAAGGGCTCTCCATTTAAACTCATCATCCTTAGAAGGTAGTTGGGATAATAAAAGGCATAATAAGAATAAGAATAATGACCATTCTGTCACACGTATTTCCCTTCTGTGTTTTCCATTGCTACTACCCTGCCCATCCACATTGCACTTCTTCCCAACTTCAATATTACACTGTCCTGTTGAATTTTGATCACTTACAGAAATATCACATGGAAAAAATACAGGTAATCTTACCTCTGAATTAATATTAGTTCAAAGGGAAAAATATGAATTATTCTAAATTCACAGAAAGATTGTTCACATCCTGAAATAAACTGATCTCTCTCAACAGTTTAATTTTTAAAAGATCTAGTCATGTGAGTGGAATACAAAGTAATTTTTGTTCATATTTGGATTTCTAATATGTTCTCATCCAATCTTTTGCTCTCCACTTCTATCAAGTGTAAGTCTTTTGATTTTAAATAGCAGGCACATAGAAAAATGAAATGAGAACAATACAGCTTTTACATCTTTTAGGTGACATGTTCCATAAACCTTAAATTTGATGAAAATTTTTGTGAGTTTCCACTGTCATTATTTGAGTCATTCTAATGACATAAGAATTGAAATTCAGAAAAGTAAAATCATAGCGTATTAGAAAAAGTGTCATTTACAAAACTGATGTTTAATATATAAATTCAACCAGCTGCCCCAGACATCATGATTTAACATAATGACTGTAGGTTAGACATGAACCACACCTACGTAATTTTCCTAGTGATTTGTCTATATTGGTTCCAATTGGATACTTCAAGGATTTATTAGACTTGTTTTAATACTATTTAGGTGTTTCACATAGATGAACAACCCTAGAGAGGCAGTAAGCAAAATATCAGTTTATACATTCAAAACACAAGTTAATGATAACTGAAATTATTGTGTGATCATAAAACTATGGTAAGAAAGGTGGGAAGGATAAAATAAGAGGCCAATTGCTTTTCTATTATATGTCACAGTAGAGAATGTTACAAGTACAACTGAAAATTTGTTAAGAATACAAGAAAGATGAATAAAAACTGAGTAGCCAAAGAGAAAAATCAGTTTTTCACACATTTCAAATACTTGATTGCCAAAGGAAATTTTAATAGAGATGGGAAGCTAACTTTATATCATTCTTAGTGTGGACATCATTTGGGATATTAAAATATTTTGCAATATATTCAAATGAAGAACACCATTTAAAAAGGAATTATTTTAAGAACTACCATTGGGAAATATCCGTGTTACCTTTAGAACTTGTAATGTTTATGCTCATTTCCCTGAAGTATATGATAACATACTGTAATGAATACAATATGGAAAGAAAATAATGCCTCATTTTTATCTAGATTTTAGTCAAATTCTTTGATTGAAGTTGTTGCTTTTGCTGTATATGTGGAGCCTATGTTACACTAGCCATCATTAAATATTAAATAAGAAGGCTTTTTTTTCTATGAAAGCTGTGGGCTCAGTCTAATTGCACGTACTCAAATATTGCCATTGCTTCACACATTGATGCTCTCAAATGGGTAACATGGATCCAAGCCAGAAAACTGTTGGCTCTTTTCAACATAGTTCTACTTGCTAAGGAAAAAAAATCATTTTTTCTCTACAATCTTAAATATAAAATTTGAGGATCTTCCAACAGAGTCCTATGTCTGCGACTGAAAGAGGCAATGTCTTTGTGAAAAGATAAGTAACCGATAAGTTAACTGTGGTAAACCATGAAAAACAAGCATGATACCTCTTTTCACATAGTTGATATACTTTTCTTTGTTTATTTTCATAGGCTTCATATTTTAGAATGGTTTTAGGTTCACAACAAAATTGAGAGGAAGGCACAGAGATTTCCCACATATCCCCTACTCCTACGCATACACAGTATCTCTATTATCAACATCTCCCACCAGAGTAGTACATCTGTGACAACCGATGAACTTACATTGACACATCATCATTACCCAAAGTCCATAGTTTACATTATGGTTCACTCTTGATATTGCACATTCTATGGGTTTGGACAAATGTATAATAAATGTGTATCTACCATTACAGTGTCATACAGAATATTTTCACTATTCTATCAATCCTCTGTGCTCCACCTGTTCATCACTGCCCGCTAACCCCTGCCAAACACTAATTTTTTTACTGCTTCTATAGTTTTGCTTTTTTCAGAATGTCATATTTGAAATTATAAAATATGTAGCCTTTTCAGAAGAACTTCTTTCACTTAGTAATAGACATTTAAGATTTTTTCACGTCTTTTTATAGCTTGATAGCTCATTTCCTTTTAGCACTGAGTAATGTTCCATTGTCTGGATGTACCACATTTTATCTATTAACCTACTGAAGGACATTTCACATACTTCCAAGTTTTGGCGATTAAGAATAAAGCTGCTATGAACATTCATGTGCAAGGTTTTTGTGTGGATATAAACTTTCAGTTCCTTTAGGCAAATACCAAGGAGCACAAGTGCTGGATTATACAATAAGAGCATGTTTAGTTTTGTAAAAAACTGCCAAACTGTCTTCCAAAGTGGCTGTACCACTTTATATTCCCACCATTATTGAAAGAGAGTTCTTGTTGCTCCGCATCATCTCCAGTACTTGTAGTTGTCAGTATTCTGCATGTTGGCCGTTCTAATACATGGGTAGTGGTATCTCACTGTTGTTTTAATTTGCATTTCCTTAATGACATATGATATGGAGCTTCTTTTTAGATCCTGTTTGCCATCTGTATATCTACTTTGATGTAATTGTCTCTGGACTACTTTTTAATTGGATTGTTTCTTTTCATATTGTTGAGTAAGAATCTTTGTATATTTGGATAACAATTCTTTTTTTTTTTTTTTTTGGTTGAGCCACTGTCTCACTCTGTTGCCCAGGCTAGAATGCAGTGGCATAGTCTCAGCTCACTGCAACCTCCACACCCCGCATTCAAGAGATTCTCCTGCCTCAGCCTCCTGAGTAGGTGGGACTACAGGCATGCACAGTGATGCCCAGCTAATTTTTGTATTTTCAGTAGAGACGGGGTTTCACTATGTTGGCCAGGCTGGTCTCGAACTCCTGACCTCAGGGATCCACCCACCTAGGTCTCCCAAAGTGCTGGGATTACAGGTGTGAGCCACTGCTGGATAACAGCTCTTTATCAGCTATGTGTTTTGCACATATTTTGACCCAGTTGTGGCTTGTCTTTTCTTTCTCTTGATGGTGTATTTTCTACAGCAGCAGTTAATTTTAATGAAGTCCAACTTATCAATTATTTCCTTCATAGAGCATACCTTTGGTGTTATATCTGAAAAGTCATTGCCAAATCCAAGGTCATCTAGATTTCTTCCTATACTTTCTAGAAGTTTTATAGCTTTGCATTGTACATTTTGATCTTTGGTATGCTTTTAGTTAACTTTTATAAAAATTGTAAAGTCTATCTAAATTCTTTTTTGTTGTTGTTGTTATGTGGATGTCCAGTTGTTCTATTACCATTTGTTGAAAGGACTATCTTTTCTCCATTGCATTGTTTTTGCTCCTTTGTCAAAGATCAGTTAACTGTTTATATAGATTTAGTTCTGGGCTCTCTCTTTTGTTCTATTAATCTATTTGGCTATTCTTTTGCTGGTATCACACTATCTTGATTATTGTAGCTTTATAGCAAGTTGGGTAATGTCAGTACTCCAACTTTATTTTCTCCTTCAAATTGTGTCTGATAGTCTGAGTCTTTTGCATCTCCATATAAACTTTAGAATCATCTTATCAATACCCATAAAACAACTTTCTGGGGGCCGGGAGCAGTGTCTCACGCCTGTAATCCCAGCACTTTGGGCGGCCAAGGTGATTGGATCACGAGGTCAGAAGATTGAGACCATCCTGGCTAACACGGTGAGACCCCATCTCTATTGAAAATACAAAACATTAATTAGCAAGGCATGGTGGCATGTGCCTGTAGTCCCAGCTACTCGGGAGGCTGAGGCAGGAGAATTGCTTGAACCCGGGAGGCGGAGGTTGCAGTGAGCCGAGATTGTGCCACTGCATTCCAGCCTGGGCAACAGAGTGAGACTCCATCTCAAAAAAACAAAAAACAAAACAAACAAAAAAAACTTACTTGGATTTTTATTGGAATTTCCTTAAACCTATGGATCAATTTGGGTATAATGAACATCTTAATATTAAGTCTTCCTATCTTCAAAAATGGAACATCTCTCCAGTTTTTTGGTTATTGTATTGCTTTCATCAGAGTTCTGTAGTTTTTCTCAGGTAGGTCTTGAGGTCTTGTACATATTTTGTTAGATTTGTACAGAAGTATTTCATTTTCTGAGGTGCTAAAGAAGTGGTGTTGTATTTTTTATTTCAAATTCCACTTTATCATTGATGGTATATAAGAAAATGATTGACTTTTGATTATTAACCTTGTATCCTCTACCTTACTATAAATATTTATTAGTTCCAGGAGATTTTTGTTTGATTCTGTTAGATTTTATACACAGACAATTATGTTATCTGTGAACAAAGAAAATTTTATTTCTTCTTTCCCATTCAATATACCTCTTATTTCCTTTTTCTGTATTATTGTATTAGGTAGGGTTTCCAGTATGATGTTGTAAAGCCCTGGTGAGCAGGGGCATCTTTGCCTTGTTTCTGGTCTTAGTAAGCTTCTAGTTTCTCATTGGTAAGTATGATGTTAGCTGTGAGTTCTTTATAGACATTCTTTATTAAGTGAAGGGAGTTGTCCTTTATTCCTATTTTACTGAAAGTTTTTCTCATGAATGGGTGATGGATTTTGTCAGAAGCTTTTTCTGCATCTATTAATATAACGATGTGTTTTTTCTTCTTTAGCCTGTTAATGTGATATATTACATTAATTGATTTTAGAATGTTGAACCAGTCTTACACACACATCTGAGATCAATCTCTTTTAGCCATAGCATATAATTTTTTTATACATTGTTGGATTTGATTTGCTAATATTTTGCTGAGGATTTTTGTATGTATGTTCCTGGAAAATACTGGTCTGTAGTTTTCTTTTTTTTTAGTGACCTTGTCTAGTTTTGATATTAGGGTAATGCTGGCCTCTTTGAATGAGTATTCCTTCTGTTTCTCTCTTTCAGAAGAGATTGCAGAGAATCAGTATAATATTTTTCTTAAACGTTTGATAAAAACCACCAGTGAACCCATCTGGACTAGATGCTTTTTGTTTTGATAGGTTACTGATTATTGATTCAATTTCTTTAATAGATATAGGCCATTTACTTTATATATTCCTTCTTGAGTGATTTTGGTGGATTGTGTTTTACAAGGAATTGCTTCATATTATCTAGGCTATCAAACTTGTGAATATAGAATTTTTCATAGTATTCATTTATTATCCTTTTAATATCCATGGGATATGTATGTCCACTTGTTCATGCCCAATATTTAAACTTCTGTTCTGTCTCTTGACTTTCTTAGGCTGTCTAGAGTCTTACTGAATCTATTGATCTTTTCAAGAACCAGCTTTTGGTTTCATTGATTTTCTCTATTGATTTTCTGTTTTCAATTTCATTGATTTTTGTTCCAATTTTTATTATTTTTCTTCTGCTTAAATTTAATTTTCTCTTCTTTTATCTAGTTCCTTAATGGAAAACTTAAATTATTGATTTTAGATCTTTCTTCTTTTTTAATATATGCCTTCAATGCTATAAATTTCCATCTAAGCACTTCTTTTACTGAATTGCGTAAATTTTAAGTTGTGTTTCACTTTTTAGTTAAACATATTTTTAAATTTATCTTTACATTTCTTCAATGATCTGTATGTTATTTAGAAGTGTTGTTTAATCTCCAGGTATTTGGGGGATTTTCCAGATATTTTTCTGCTATTGATTTCTAGTTTAATTCTGGTGAGGTCTGAGAGCAGACATTGTATGATTTCTATTTTTGAAGAACTTGTTAAGATGTGTTTTCTGGCCCAGAATATGATCAGTCTTACTGAATGTTCCACGTGAGCTTGAGAAGAATGTGTATTCTGCTGCTGTTGGATGAAGTAATTGTATATGTTCATGGTATACAGTTGATTAATGCCCTGGTTGCATTCAACTGTGTCTTAACTAATTTTCTACCTGTGAGATCTGTCCATTTCTGACAGAGATTTGTGAAAGTCTTCAACTACAATAGTAGATTCATCTATTTCTCCTTGCAGTTGTTTCAGGCTTTACCTCACATTTTTGATGCTCATTGTTAGGCACACACTCATGAGGATTGTTGTGTCTTCTTGGGGAATTCACCATTTATCATCATGTAATGTTCCTCTTTATCTCTGAAAACTTTCTTTGCTCTGAAGTCCTGCTCTGACTGAAATTTATGTAGCCACTCCCACTTGTTAAAATTTAAGATCACTGTTAGCATGGCATATATTTTTCCGTCTATTTACTTTTAATCTATATGTGTGTTTATATTTAAAGTGAGTTACTTGTAGGCAGCATATGATTTTGTCCTCTTTTTGACTCACTTTGACCATCTCTGTCTTTTAATTGGTGTATTTAGACTATTAACATTTAATTTTTTTTTTTTTTTTTTTTTTTTGAGACTGAGTCTCGCTCTGTCACCCAGGCTGGAGTGCAGTGGCGGGATCTCAGCTCACTGCAAGCTCCACCTCCCAGGTTCATACCATTCTCCTGCCTCAGCCTCCCGAGTAGCTGGGACTACAGGTGCCCGCCACCACACCCAGCTAATTTTTTTGTATTTTTAGTAGAGATCGGGTTTCACCGTGTTAGCCAGGATGGTCTCGATCTCCTGACCTCATGATCCACCCGCCTTGGCCTCCCAAAGTGCTGGGATTACAGGCGTGAGCCACCGTGCCCGGCCACTATTAACACTTACTTTTAAATGTAGTTGTATTAACATCTACCATATTTGTTACTGTTTTCTGTATGCTGCACTCATTCCTTTTTCCTATTTTTTTCACTACTTTTTCTGCCTTTTTTGGTTTTCCTGAGCATTTTTCTCCTCTTTCTTAGCATTTCAGATGCACTTTTTAACTCTTTTTAGTGTTTAACTTAGAATTTGCAAAATACACTTACAACTAATCCAACTCCACTTTCAAATAACACCGTTAACACTTAACTACCTTTTTATAACAAAATAATCATAATTCCTCCCTCCTGTTTCTTGTTTTATTGCTGTCATTTCTTTCACTTAAACGTAAGCCTATGTATGTAAACATACATAATCAAATATATTGCTGCTATTATTTTGAACAAATTGTTATCTGCTGAATCAATGAAGAACAAGAAAAATATGCTTTAATTATACTTTCAATTATTCTTTCTCCAATGCTCTTCTTTACGTAGACCCATGTTTCTGGCCTATATAATTTTCCTTCTCTCTAAAGGACTTCTTTTAACATTTTTTTGCAAGGAACATCTAGTGGCAACAGATTCCCTCAACTTTTGTTTTTCTGAGAGTCTTGGTTTCTACTTCACATTTGAAGGATAATTTTCAGGTTGTAGACTTCTAGGTTTTTATTTTTTTCTTTCAACATTTAAAAATTTCATTTTATTCTTTTCTTGCTTGCATGGTTTCAAAGGAGAAGTCAGATGTAATTTTTATCTTTGTTCCTCTATAGGTAAAGTGTTTTTTCCTCTGACTTTTTTCAGTATTTTTTCTTTATCTTTGATTTTCTGCAATTTAAATATAATGCACCTAGATATAGGTTTTTGTCTGTTTTTTTTTTTTTTTTTTTTTTTTTTTTGTGTGTGTGTGTGTGTGTGTGTGTGTGTGTGTTCTCTGAACTTCCCAGATCTATCATTTGGCGTCTGACATTAATTTCAGGAACTTTTTAGTCATTATTTCTTTATATATTTTTTGTTACTCTCTCTTCTGGTATTCCCAGTTATGTATATGTTACCTTTTTTAGTAGCTTTCTTATAGTTCTTTGATATGCTTTTTTCTCCAGTCTTTTTTTTTCTTTGCTTCTCAGTTTTGGGGGATTTAATTTAGTTATCT
Source organism: Homo sapiens (assembly GCF_000001405.40). Taxonomy (NCBI): domain Eukaryota; kingdom Metazoa; phylum Chordata; class Mammalia; order Primates; family Hominidae; genus Homo; species Homo sapiens. Next base: position 116,003,086 of record NC_000008.11, on the reverse strand, counting down.
TCAAGTTCAGAGGTTCTTTCCTCATCCATGTGTATGTAGTCTACTAATAAGCCCATCAAAGCATTCTTCATTTCTGTTACAGTGTTTTTCATCTCTATAGAATTTCTTTTTTATTCTTTGAGGATTTCTATCACTCTGTTTACATTGCCCATCTGTTTTTGTATGCTGTCTACTTTATCCATTAGAGTCTTTAGCATATTAATCATAGTTGTTTTAAATTTCCTGTCTAGTAATCCCAACATCCCTGCCATATCTGATTCTGGTTTTGATGCTTCCTCTGCCTCCTCAAATTATGTGGGGTTTTTCTTTCAGCCTTTTAATGTGCTTTGTAACTTTTTGTTTTTCCATAGCCAGACATGATGTACTGGGTAAAAGGGACTGCAGTAATTAGACTGCTAGTAAAGTGGTAGTAAAATGTGAGGGTAAGGAAAGCATTCTATGTGTGATTAATTCTCAGGCTTTTAGTGAGCCTGCGTCTTTGGACTGCGACTTTAACAAGTTCTTTTTAGATGTTCCCTGCCGTGATGAGACAGAATGGCTATAGTGGTCTGGAGTTGGGTATTTCCCTGCTTTAGTGTGGAAGTTTAAAGGAGCTAAAGTTGGGTACTTCCCTTTCCCCAGATCAGTTAGGCTCTGATAAAACTCCAGCAGTTGTTTCTCTTCAAATAATTTCTATTAAGTAAAGACCTCTTAAGAAGAACAGAATGCTCTGGTATATTTCAAAATCGTCTCTTCCCCCAGTTCTGTTAAAAACACAAGATTTTTCTCTAATATTCACCATGAGAACCTGGTAGAGCTCCTGGAGGAAAAACTCATGAAAGTGTGGGGACCACTCTGTGACTCAATCACACTGAGCCTCCGGCAATTCACCAATTACAGTTTAGGTTTCCTACCCCAGCACTTGTTCCTGTGAAGATTTCTGCTCATGGGTTTCTACACTAGTATGTGATACTCTGTACCTGCTCATCTATTTCTCCAATTTTGGGGGTCACAGTTTGCCCTATGACTTACAGTTCTAAGAAGAGTTGCTGATTTTTCAGTTTGTTCAACTTCTTACTTGTCAGGATGCAGTAGAAACATCCATGCTCCTTATATGCTTTTAAAATGTCATTTCTATCCATTAATAACTTACCAATCATTTATATATACATTAGCACTAGACCTAAGTTCTGAGTATGGAGACACTGTAAGGTTTGTGTTTGTACTCCAGCTTTAGCATTTACCTAATGCATAACCTTAAGGAAGTCACTTACTGAGTCTCTAAGGCTCAGTTTTAGGATCTGTAAAATGGGCTATAAATGCTTTTTCACCAAATTTAGTGTGAGATAAATGTGAGATAAACAAGTTTAAATGAGATAATGTTTACAAACTTGTTTTATATGCCTGACACATTGTAACCATTCACTCTCTTTTTTTTAATCGTAGTTTTTAACATTTAAAAAGTCTCATTTTTCACATATCTACTCCACTCCCAGAAAATAGTTGCAGGGAAAAACCTATAGAAATTTTTGGGAACATATGTGCCATCTTCTGCAATCAGCTTTAATCTTCCTAAAGTCTTTTTTATGAGAATAATACTTGATTTCCTCCACGTTTACAGTGTTTGTGAAAGTTTCTTGATGGTATCTGCTGGCTTCCACTTGAGTTTTGGCACCATTATTGAGTAGAATTCTCACTCTACCTGCATATTAATGCTGAGGATGTCTCAACATAAAGCCTGTGTCACCAAAACTTTGGTTTAAAAAAACATTTTGGGGATAGTCAGCATATAAGCAGTAGCAAAAACACATTTTTTGATAGGAGGGTATGGCTGTCATTGTGCATTTGCCCTTCCCTGGTTCTGTTCTTTATCACAGGATGTGATTCCTAAAAAATGCACTTCTCAGGCTTCCTTGTCAAGTGACTTTAGGCTGGATTTGTCCAGGAGAGACACTGGTGGGAGTGAGGAGGGTTGGAGGTGTGGAGAAATAAAGCCACTTTCACCTGTTTTCCTTGGGAAGCATCTCTAGCTGTGGTTGCGTCCCCTCACAGTCCTGGTGTGGGCCAGGCAGGGTAACTGGTGTGACTCCCGGCTTTGGTTACATCACAGCCTCCTTGGAGACCTCTAGCTCTATTATGGCTGCTCTTCCCTTCTTTGCTGATCTCTGGGTTGCTTCACTGACCCATGTTTGCAAACTTTCAACACTGTTACAATGAGTTCCACATGTTGGCTCCTTTCTAATGAACTGCATGATGGAATTCTGATTCCTTGGATAAATTCCGAAATTCTAGAGAATAGTTTTTTTTTTTGTTTCTGTTAAATCAGTGATTTCCTATGAAGGTGCCATGAATAAATTATGAAAGAACAAGATTTTTAGGGTCATCTAACATAAATAGCTTCTTTATAATACCTGATCCCTTCATATTGTTTTTCACCAGGAACCAACCATCCTTCCCACATATGCCAAACATGTAGCAAAGTGCCCAGAGCAGAAGGCCTTCCAGTCTTCCCAGGAATTTGATTTGGCTGCCTTACCATGGCTAAACTTTGTCCCTTCATAATACTTTTGGACTTCTGTTTTATAGATGATTGTAATAATACTTTTTATTTGGAGGTTTTCTGAGTCTTAGTATTTTTTTTTTTGATTTAAGTAAGTCTTCTATTAAAGCCATTTTTTTCCTGAGAAATATATTACCAAGTAGTGCAAATAATGTCAAAGATTTAAACACAACCTTAATTATGTACATTCTACGAAGCTTTAATGTAGATCTAACAGACTGGCTTTATCTTACATTTTAAATGGATAACCATCTCCCACACCACCAACATCCACCCCTTAAAAAACTATTTTTAGTGATATGTGAGTAAAAGTTGACTTAGTTCTCAAAGCATTTAACTTTACTAAATGTAATTTTGTAACTTGAGGCTTTCCCTGTTAAATTTATTGGAACTCATATTAAGGCTGCTGAAGAATGTGCCTAGTTATCAATCTCTGGCTAGTTTCTCTGAAGACAAGTTTCCTGAGCTTCACACCCATGAACCTTGTTATTTTAGTGTGCTGCCTCCAACTGCCTGAGATAGGGTTCCAGTATTTCACCTATAAAAACTTAAGCTTTCAGTTGAGCATTGTATTAAAAGCTGCACATTTTAAATCCTTTCTGACATGCTTACATAAAAGCATAATCTTTCTTATCAAAAGTCATAAAAACATATGAAGAATCAAATCCTCCCATTTAAGATAAAGGAAAGGTTTATTTTGTATCACTTAATTGCTAGTGGCTACCATGAGACCCTTAAGTATTACTCAACTGAGAGAATTTCTTACTTATACAGTTAAAACCTTGGGATTTCCTTCCCATTAGCCCAATGCTATACCCCCTCTCTGCTGAAAATCCTAGGACTCTCTCAGTTCCTCTTTTCCCTTCCTTCATACATTACTTTTCACCTGGTCCTGTTGCTCTAAGCTAGGCCATTGATGCCTCCCGCCTCTACAATGGACACCTAATACTCTTTCTTATGGGACCAGTCTAAGCAACGGATACATTTCTGGTTACCTTCCATCTCTTTTCTTTGTATATTTTAATTTTTCAAATTAAATCCTTCAGAATATCTTTTTATGTGTACGTGTGAAAAAAAAGATGAGTAGATTTTCATTTGAAATGTCAATGAATCATATTTCGTCTAACTAGAGACTTAAATTGCCAATTCTATGGCACATAGCAACACTTAATAAATGTTAGCCATTATTTTTACTATTATTATTTCCACATGTCTGTTGCCTTTCTCTACAGTTCCTAAGTGAAGAAAGAAATTTACAAAGGCTGCAAGGGAAAACAGAAGATGGCTTTGGACTTTGGGTTAAGAGTATAGTGGGGTCTTCCACGATTCTGGAATAGAAGACATAGGGGTAGATTTAGGGAGAAAGCAAGGAAATGAAGACAATATTATGGCTCACTGCTAGTGAAAATGCTTTTGGTGAGAACTTTTGAAACTTGAAACTTCGTAATTTTCTCTTTGTTTTACTTAACTTCGTCTTAGCATTTTGTTTAGTTCCTTCTTGTTACTAGGAGTAAAATCAAAACAGGAGTGGATTTTCTTCAGAAACTAGATGGCAGGAGAATATCTATAAAACCAAGTTCTGACACTTGTTAGCTGTGTGACCTTAGAGAGTTACATACTCTCTGAGGCTCAATTTCTTCTTTGTTAAAATGAAGATAATACGATTCATTTCTTGGAGAACTTCAGAAGATTAAATGAGATAACATTTACTGCTCCTAGCGTAATGTTAAATGCCTTTCTATTCCCCACCCTGATGTCTCCTCTGAAAAAAGAAAATCGTATTAATAATGTTTTCCTCTGTGGTAACTTTGGAGGAGAAATCCCAAACTGGTGTCAAATAACATAATTATGGCCTTATGAGACTAATAAAAAGCTAAATGTTTAAATATTTACTTATGTTTATTTACATTTTTGCAAACTAAAGTGATAATCAGATTGGCCATTTGGTATTGCCTAGACAAAATAAGCAGTTAGTAGCACAGTGTTCCTGGACCACTTGTCATGTTCAACAGAGTCTAGGTAAGTTTCCTGAGAAGGAGCCGAGACTCAGTTATGGAGTGAAACTAAGTCAACAGCTCTGTCAGTAGCACCAGCAGTGACTGCTTCAGGGTTAAGCCAACTACAGGACATTAGGGACATTGTGACCTGGCATTGTGAGGATGTGAGGAGTAGCATCAGACCATGTGGCTTCTAGAGCTGGTTTACCAAGGTATATGTGATAGACCTGAGTAATCTCTTTTGATTATCTAGTGTCATTAAAGGAGCATAATTTTTTAATTTAACTAATCTTGTGTTTCTACTTAATTTTTTTTGAATATTATATGCATTGCCTCCCTTGCCCCTTTTTGAAAGTAACTAATGTCATTGCTGTTTGGGCATTAAAATATTTGATCTATTTAGCAAAAAGTGAACATGTATACACTATTGATAGGAATGTAAATTAGTTCATTGTGGAAAGCAGTATGGTGATTCCTCAAAGAGCTAAAAGCAGAACTACCATTCAACCCAGCAATCCCATAACTGGTATACCCAGATGAGTAGAAATCATTCTGCAATGATACTATGCAGCCATAAGAAAGAACAAGATCATGTCTTTTGAGGGAACATGGATGGAGCTGGAGGCTATTATCCTTAGCAAACTAATGCAAGAACAGAAAACCAAATGCCACATGTTCTCATTTATGAGTGGGAGCTAAATGATAAGACATTATGAACACAAAGTAGGAAACTGGGTTCTACTTAAGTGGGGAGGGTAGTAGGAGGAGAGAAGCAGAAAACGTAACTATTAGGGGCTGGGCTTAATACCTGAGCAATGAAATAATCTGTACAACAAACCCCCGTGACATGTGTTGACCTATGTAACAAATCTTTACATGTATGTAAAATAAAAGTTAAAAAGAAGCAAAATGAATTCAACTCATAGTACATACCAGGCAGTGTAGCCTGTGATGGAAATGCAAAGAAAGTCACTGTCCTCCAGTTGCTTAGACATAACATGGAGATGAAGTGAAAAAGAATCCCCTGGAATCAAGCTACAAAGATTCATGTTCTTCCTCTGCCACTTACTACCTATGTGATCTTGGGAAAATTCCTTGGCCTCTCCTGTCTCATTTGTACAGTGGGGAAAATAGAGAGCGTCCAACACTTTCGGTTGTTTCATGAATCAAATGGAATGCCTAGAACACTCACTGGCACATGCCAGGTGCGCAATGAATATTACATATTTTAACATTAGAACAGTGGTTCTTAAATGATGGAACATGTATTTAAGTTATATATAGACTCTGTTGGTCATGTAACTCTTGTGATTTTGTTCTGCAATGGTTAAAAATAAATAATACTATGTAATACAAGTTTTTCATTAATAAATGCAGTTTTCTTTTTAAATACATTTATTTAAGTAAAAAAATAGTGAATTTATTTAAAGAGAAAAAGTCTTGCAAATTCTAGTATAGATAAGTAGTAAAGACTCTTAGTGTGAACCCATGTCCAGTTCACATCTCTTTCCCGCTACCTGGAAGGATTTTACTACCCTGCCTCTTACAGTGGCTTAGGGGCCTGTAACTAGCTCTGTTCTACGGGTGGTCAGCAAAAGCAACATGTGGCATGTCCCAGGTGACCCACTGAATTTCCAGGTTGACCTCCTCCAGCATTCTCTTCCCCTTATCTTGTGTTCTTCCCTGGAGGGTTGTCAGGATCCACAGACAACTTTGTCTGAGCAAAAATAAAGTACAGTTTTGTTAAACCACTGAGATTGCACATTTTTGTTACTACAGTGTAAGATGGCTTATGCTGACTAACACATGTGGTAGAAGAATATTACAAAAATTGTGAAAGTGGCATCTGAATGAGTAAAGTTTGTGAAACATTGTAATAGAAATATAAAAATGCTCTATGAAAAAAATAATAGATTAGTTTGGCCTTGAGAGAGTCCAAAAGGTTTTATAGAGAAAATGGTATTTGAATAGTTTCAGTAGGATGAATAGGAGTTTGGCAGAAAAAGTAGGAAAGAGCAATCCAGGCTAAGGAAGGAGCACACATGGGTACATAGAATAATAGAAGTGATGATGCTGGGAACAAAGGGAGGAGTCAGGGTTGTCTAAGCTCAGAGACAGCTATGGTACAGGATGGTTGGGGAGAACAGCCAACGCCAAGATTCTACCTGGCAGAGAGGAACAGGGAATACTAATGTCACAACCTTTCTAACCTACTGCCCTTACCTTATTAACTTATATGTTGTTAACTTGTTACCCTTGGAAATTTTGATTTCCCTAATTACAAAGTTCTTGTTGTTCTTAAAATGATCGTAATTATTTGACCAACTATCAAGTGCCCTTCATAACAAATTAAACTGTTCTTATAATGTATTTCCCTGGAAGACTGTTTTACAAAGATAAATGGAAAACTCAATTTTAAGAATGTTTTGGATGAAGATTGAGCTCATCATTATTGAACGTCTTAAGTTTCTCATGATTTATTCACTTATTTATATGTTTATTTATTTGACTTTACTTTCTGTAAAGTATATCATTTTTGTTTTATGTCACTATCTGTAAGGTAAAGTTTAAGAGACGGTTTCTCTATTCCTATGTGTGTTTTTTAAAAAGGAAGTCAAAGATTAACTCACCACTCTCCTTATCATTACTGTGGTTTAAAAAGAAAAATCAAATCCATCGAGTGCTGAATATAACCTAGTCAAAGCTTCAGCATTCTTTACACCTTATGAGTCAACTTCTGTTTTTGTGGAAAATCGACATACCCAATTAATAGCTAATAAGAGCAAATGAGTACAGCCAGAGGAGACTGTGTTTATATGCTGTCAATGGTCAAAAGAAAATTGTGTATGCCGGTTTCACATGCCCTTTGAAATACCTGAACAGTTCAGGATTTTTCCTATTGTTACTGTTGTTGTGTGCTTTGATGTATTTATGCACACAGTAACTTAGATATTGAGAGCTGGGTTCAGTGCCAAGCAGGCCTGGCTTTAATCCCTAGGTGTGTCATTCTCTAGCAGTATGGTCTTGGTCAAATATTTAGCTTCACTGAGCCTGACTTTCCTCATCTCTAACACGGAGAACATCCTAGCTGTCTCTCTGGGTTATAGTAAAAGAGTGAATAAAGTCTGCAAAGGTATTCACATGCTGCCTGGCACATAGTAAGTGCTCAATTAATGAATTATGGAATTATCATTATTAACTCTTATTAAAGCAGATTTATTTTTGCTATTGAAAAATAAATGTATCACCTTAGCTCTAGAAATAATTAATGGAGTCTCAGCCTTATAAATGTATCAAAATAAATTTGATTTTCCTCATTACGAGATCTTGTCAACAAAGAGAATAATTATTGTTTAAAAAATAAATATTGTACACTTCTAGGTAAAGTGTCCCTTTTCTCTCCTTTCCATTTTCTCCTCCTTTAACGTCACACTATGATAGGAAAAGCCTTTTATCTCAGCTGTACTCTCAAAATGTGTCACCAGTCTGATGACATCACCACTCTGTCACTGCCAGCCTCTCTCTCTCTCACGACACTGCCACAGTCTCATAATGGGCGTACCAACCCCTGTGTCACTAAATCTGTTGTTGACAGAGCAGCCAGACTGATGCTTCTGCAACACAATTCAGATCATGTCACTCCCCAGCTCAAACCCTCCTACAGCAACCCATCATGTCTAGAAAAAAATCCAAAGACATTACTCTTGCAAAATCCAGCTCCTGGGTAAATTCTGCCCTAATTTTTTTTTTTTAACCATTCTTCTCCGTCACTTCATTCTCTACAACACGTCACTCCCATACTTACCCCAGGACTTTTGCACTTGTTGTTCACCCCCTGGAATTCCCCTCTCTGATGTCTACAAGGCTGACATCCTCCCTCTATTTAGGTGGTTTCCTTAAAGAAACCTTCCTCAACTACTCCAACTAAAATAGTAACTAGCATCAGCCTTAATCCCCTTATCCTGATCTATTTTTCTTTAGAATCTATCATTTAGTATATTTTATTCATGGCTGTATTCCCAGTTCCTTGTGCTGGGTTTGACACATAGGCAAATACTTAATAAATATTTTGGAATCAATAAATGAATGTTCTACTTTTGAGTATAATTACTTCTATACTTGTTTGAAGTTTGTTCACTTCTTTATATTACCACTTCTTAATTTAAAATGATTAGTATTTGCCACAAGTTTTTTTTTCTTTTTTTCTTTTCTTTTCTTTTTTTTTTTTTTTTTGAGACAGAATCTTGCTCTGTCACCCAGGCTGGAGTGCAGTGGCGTGATCTCGGCTCACTACAAGCTCCACCTCCCGGGTTCATGCCATTCTCCTGCCTCAGCCTCCCCAGTAGCTGGGACTACAGGCACCCACCACCACACCCTGCTAATTTTTGTTGTATTTTTAGTAGAGACAGGGTTTCACCACGTTAGGCATGATGGTCTCGATCTCCTGACCTCATGATCTGCCCGCCTCGGCCTCCCAAAGTGCTGGGATTACAGGCGTGAACCACCGTGCCCGGCCCACAAATTTTTTTAAAAAGTAGCTTTCTAACTTAATTAATGCAATATTTATTAAAAAATGTTAAAGCATTTTCATATGGAACTTTCATAATATTAACCAACAAATTAATACAGAAAGATTCTCAATTCTCTGTTGTTGCTCAATCATGATACTTGGTAAATAAGAGAAATAAAGTTCAGAGGATGTGTAATGGATGATGAGTTCTAAACAAAGCACGACTTTGTATGAATGAAAACTTTGGTTGTCCAATTCATTCTCGTTTACTTCATGATAGGGGCAAAAGTCAGTCATTCTTTATTAGATAAATATTGTAATTCATGTTGACCAGCTGAAGACATTATGTTTTTATTCAAAAAATGTCTCCACTAATTGAAAAGTAACTTTCAGACCATATTATTTGTTGAAGAGTAAGATGATCCATCTAAAATATAAGAACAAGCATCCTTATGAAAATCCCAAACAAAAAGACTTCAGATTTTCTCTGACTCTTTTTTATGTGAACATTTGACCAGTATATTCACTGCTTTAAAAAAGGAGTTCATAGTTAGGTGCTGTGCTAACATCTGACTTCATCTCAAACAGTCCTTTATTCTGATCTACCAGACCACTTCTACCAGGATTTTTAATTGAGGATCTCTTTTTCTGCTGCTTCCAACTGGTCACAAAGTCCTCAGTTCATTCATGCTCCACCCCGCCTTCTGTGACTTCTCCAGGCTCTGCTTCTCCCAGCCACTTTTATCTCAAAAGTCCTTTTCTGTACTAGCCTCACCTACCTCCCTCAACTTCCTTTTGAGCACAGAAAGGTCATACTAAAATGGCTCAATCAGATGGCAGCTTAGTGTATTACAAAAATTTGCATTCAGACATAATCATATTTGAAACTCGTTTTCTAATTTACTAAGTTTATAGTCTTTGATAAATTACCTGTTTTCTCCATTTTAGCTCCTTTGCTAGAAAAAAATGGGAATAATTGTACTTACCCGAGGTGCAAGAAATATACTAGACTGTGTAAAGCACAATGGCACCCAGCACAAGCTGTGCAGGTGGTAGCTGGGTTTCATCATGATTACGGACAATGCCTGGTAAAGTATGCCCTCAATAACTGTTATTTCTCTTCCCACCTCTTGGTGCAGACAGAGTTTCATCAGAGAGCCTCTTATTCAATGGCCTTATCTGCCAAACTGCTTACCCTCTGGAGTAGCTAAAACCTTTTCCAGAAGCTTTCAAGTCCAAATAACTTTAGTATTTCTTTCCAACCACATGGGCTCCTACAGAGGCCAGTTGGTAGCCATGCTCTGAAAATGAGGCAGAGTTCAGATTTCTACTGCATTTTATGGGCACAAACAACTCAAACTTGGTAAACACTTTCATTGCCATGTGGAGCAAAGCGTTCTGAAGCCTTGATATGACACATGCTGATGCCTTAAAAAAAAAAAGAGAGAGAGAGAGAAAGAAAAAAAGTTAAAATTTAAAAATCTAGCATAACAGTAACAGGGCATGACTGAAACGGTACTCACTCTGCTAGCAATTCTAGGTACCTTATTTCTCCTGTGGGCAATGATATTAAACCTCTGGGATTAAGTTGAAGACATCTCAGTAGCACACAAGGCCGGTTTTGATGCCAGCCTAAGTTCGTAAGACTACTGTTTACAATGAGAACACCCAGTCCCAGCAGTATGTAATCTGAAAGCATCCATTTTTATGAAGAAGTGTACACAAATTCAGGCTAAGGTGCTATTACAAAATTGTAAGGGCTTCTTAATCAAACCTGTGACACGGCAGGTAGATTTATTCTGACAAGGTAATGAATGATACGGCTTTGGTGGGAGTGCCAGGTAAAACCAATTATCATCAACTTGACATGACAGGGTATGAAATGCCTCCCCGGACTCACCCTCTTTTCTGAGGCAGATCTTTTTGTTTCTGGGCATGGTTCTGATTTAGGATGTTCCAGGTTGTTTTTCTTTTTAGAAATGTAGAGATGTAGCCATTGTTTTAAAAGACTCCAAGTGGGTCACCCTGATTTATCCTTTTAGGACGATTCCATTATAAAATGAGTCAGTTACTTCCTGGAATGGGACCAATGCAAAGAACAATCCTAAGCCCTAATTCACTGCAAACATTTCCCTGAATTCATGGCATTCACTGCTATTTGTTTAAACAAGGGCACCGCAGTTATACCCAGGAAGAGAACTAGTAATCAGAACGTGCAATGTCAAAGCATCTTTCAAAAGAAGACCTGATAGATAATACATGACTCATAATAATTCAGTTTGAACCACACTACATTTCATTTTAGCTATTTATAATCACCTTATAAATATATACACCTATATTATGCAATTTTAGAAATTGTGTTTTGGGGCCTCATTTCTGGACATAGCAGCCTGCATTCCCTCAGGAAGCCAGTTAAGCACATTAGTAGCCATGTAATGTGGGCCTGTGCAGGTTGACTGTGAACCTCACGAAGTTCTGTTCTTCTCCTTAGCTTTATTTCTAGGTGGAACACCACTAATCAGCCACCCACCCACACTGTTAAGTGGGTTGATGCAGCTGGGCTTCGATGAGGGCATGTACTGGAATCAGACACCCAGCATCATCATTCACCAGGGGAATGTTCCTCAGTGAAGGAAGTATATTTTGGGAACCTCACATTCCTCATTTAGAAACTTAGGCACATAAGAGAATGTCTGTGAACCTCAGATTCCTAATCTGTAAAATGGGAATGATAACACCTGTTTTGCAGGGCTGGTGTTGGGATTAAAAGAGATAACTATGTGAAGTGCTGGAGGATGATTCAAATCCAATAAATTACATTTGTTATTATTACTGCCTCGAATTATTCTGCTTTCAATTCTTGGTAATTTAAAATTGTTATCTTTTGATTTTCTTTTCTAACCTCTTATATTAGTTTCTTCTTTGGATGATACTCATTTAGTACTCAAGAACTATCCCATCTCTGTCTGCCCTTTACATATTGAAACTCTCTTGCTAACTTTGTCTCCCTCCCTCTCTTTCATAAACCATTTATGCCACTTCCCCAGTATGGAAACAGTAACACACTCCAGGAAATTCAGTTTCCGTCTTGAATATACACCTGCTTTGCATTCTACCTGCAATAGCTTGAACCCATCCAGTATGGTGTTTATCACTTTAACTTGACTTTGTTGGTACCCTGAAACAGAAGGATTCTTTCTCCCTCCCCTCCCCTCCCTCCCTCCCTCCTTTCTTTCTTTCCTTCCTTCCTTCCTTCCTTCCTTCCTTCCTTCCTTCCTTCCTTCCTTCCTTCCTTCCTTCCTTCCCTCCTCTCTTTCTCAATCTCTCTCTCTCTTTTTTCTCTCTCTCACTCTTTCTTTTTCTCTTTCTGGCACTCCTTTTTTTAAAAAAGAAACTTGTACACACAACATTGCATATACTATTTCACAGTCAAAAAATGATAGAATAATTTTTAGGAAATGAGAGTTGCAGCAAACAAGTAATAACTAAGGAACTCTTGAACTTTTGTCATCTTTTTAAGCGAGGGACATTTTTTAGAAAATAGATTGGACTCTAAGAGTAGATGAACTTTTCTGTGAAAATATTCTAAATTCTGTAATTTAGAAAAGTAACCCTATTTGTTTTTTCACTCCTTTAAAAGTTACCTAAAATTATGTGGAAGAAGACTGCCATCTTGAAATAGTAGTTTGGTTTTGGAACTATGCAATTGCAGCAGGCCAAGAAAAAAAAGGATGAATTGGATAAAATGTATGTCACATCTGGTTTTCTTATTAAAAATGTACCGTTCACCATCAGCACTCTTATAAGCCTATACAAGTCAAATTATGCTTTTTGATTGCTTCTGGGTTTCTTTTATTAGTGTGTTGGCTGGTTCTTTGGATTTTTTTCTGTTTTCATTTCAGTTAATCAGTTTCTTATTTTTATCTTTCCAGCGAACTCTCCTTCTCAATATGGAAGACTTTTGGGGCTTTTTTTGCAATTGCAAAGGACTGTCATGGTCTAAATTGCCAAATTCTATGCTTGGTTCTGTTTTCTCTATAAGTGAAAATTCCCATAACCACTGGCCATCTGATTAGTATATTGAATTCCAAGAAACAAAGATCTTGTTTCTCTTCATGTCTGTTTTGAAAACCTTGCAACTATATAAGCATGAAATAAATATTTCAGGAGTTCTGTATTGGTTGAGAACACTGATTTAAAAAGAATGCAAAATGAGTCTAGGTATGAGTTTCAGAATTAATAATTTTAATAAATAAAAGTCATCTTTTTATATAGTCATACATTTTATATACACTAAGTGTTACATTTTATTGAATTAAGAAAGATTCCTCTACCCATAGTGCTACTCAACAAGAAGAAAAAGAAGAGAGAAAGAAGGACATTATTTTTACAGAAGAATACCAGCTTGTGAGTGGAGGGGGAATGACAAAACTGGAAAATGGCCATCTTAATGTAATAATTACCTGAGACAAAGATCATCAATGGATGGTAAAACTACTGAGCACATTGTCGCTAGAGAACAACATTCATATGGTCTTATAGTATCACCCTACAGATTACTTACTAATTACAAAGAAAAAAATCCTCTTTTACAATGAGAAGATCTGGCAGACATTGATTGTCTCAACCAAGTGACTCAAATTAGCATCATCAATAATAGCACAACTGGTAGCATGTGGTTCCTAAGACAATAAAATGGGAAGAACACAACATTATTTATGTTGTATCCATAGAAGAATATTAAACCTAATACCAAGGAAACAAATGGACAAACACAGATAATAGATTGCTTTACCTGACAGTTTGCCAAGATTCCTGAAAATGTTCAGTGTCATGAAAGATAAGAGAAGAAGATATGTCAATTAAATGCAATCCATAATTCTTGAATGGATCCCAAATCAGAGAAAATGTGAGACAAGTTGGGGAAATCTGAATGTGGAATATGTATGTTAAATAATATTATTATGTCTATGTACAGTTAGGGGGGAATATGGTTATATAGAAGAATGTTCTTTGATGATGCATGGGAGAAGTGTTTTGGGGTGAAGTTTATGTTTGTAACTTGTACAAATAATTCAGAAATGTGGGCACATATATAGATTTACCATTTGGTGGTAAATCTAGGTCATAGATATATAGGTACTCACGGGTATTGTTTTTCCTACTTTTCTGCAATTGGAATCAGCTAGAGAGACCTATTTTTTTTTCTTTTTTCTGTCAGAGAAGAAGGTGCAAGAAACCTGTATTTCTGGCAAAAGGAGGCTGGGCGCGGTGGCTCACGCCTGTAATCTCAGCACTTTGAGAGGTGGGCTGATCACGAGGTCAGGAGATCAAGACCATCCTGGCTAACACGGTGAAACTCTGTCTCTACTAAAAAAAAAAAAAAAAAAAAAAAAAAAAAAAAAAAAAAAAAAAAAAAAATTAGCCAGGCGTTGTGGCAAGCGCCTGTAGTTTCAGCTACTCGGGAGGCTGAGGCAGGAGAATGGCGTCAACCCGGGAGGCAGAGCTTTCAGTGAGCCGAGATCGCACCACTGCACTCCAGCCTGGGCGACAGAGTGAGACTCCATCTCAAAAAAAATTTTAAAAAAGCAAGGTCTTTCTACACCTCCCTGGCCTCTTCTATAAGGTGTGTGCAGTGCTTACAACAGCAGTTCACATTCAGAATACTCGTAATAACCTCAGGTGCACACACAAGTGATCAGACTGCCAACATTTCCTGCTAATTTCTCTTCTCCAGAGGTGCTTAGAGAGGTCAGAGAGACAAAGGAATGAATAAAATGTAGGTAGGGAGATAGAATTTTCTCCTACTTATTCTGTGCAGACCAAACAGGGAGAGCTTAATAACTTACCTTCCTCCAATAGTTCATAAGATATGACATAAAAGTTAGAGACTCTCACTTTTGCTCGAACTTTCCATCTCAGAATCTTCAGGGCTTTTACAAACTGAAGGGCAAATTTAATTTGGTTTCAAGTTGTGTACAATACTTTTTTTTTTTCCGAATTGCATAGCACCAGCAAAGGATTAAATAAGGCCGTTGATAGCATCTGTGCGTGTCCTATTAAGCATGCTGAGAAAACAGAGTCAGAGCAAATAACCTGGAGCAGGACTTTAAGGGCAAGCAGGAAGGCTGCAGAATTGTTGAGAATGCTATAATGTGAATTAGAGAAATAAGTCAGCAGGTGTGTGCTTTGGCCCCGAGTAAGTATTTAACCAGGGAGCCAAATAGGAAAGATATTTTCAAAGGCTTTGTTAGAAAAAGGTAGTAAACAGCATAGACTCCTCTTTCATCCCTCACTTCCTGGTTCAGCTCAAGCCGAAATTGAAGAGAAATCTCAGTTTTAACTCTTGTTATCCAAGAAGAAAAGAGAAAAAGCGATTAGAAGTATTAATAGACAAATTCCAAACTGGGAGGCTGGTGCTAAAATTATTATGTTTTTCAAACTGAATCGTGTGTTTTTCACATGATTCGATACTACATAACAAGATTTTAATGTAACCTATAATTTTATTGAGAACATTATCAACTCTCACCCCGAATTCTTCCAGCCTCTATGTTGACCGAGCTGATCTTTATGGTTGCCTCCTTGTCTGATAAACCTTTCATATGGTAAAGATAAGACTTTTAACTAAAAAATTGTTGTGAGTTAGTGATGAGTAGGGAAATGTGGAAAAGAGTGTGTGAAGCCTAGTTTAATAAAGGAGCATGCCATTTCTGTATATTCTTACTTCGATAGTAGGGGAATATTTTCCCCAGCAGCTGCGTGGGAATTTCCAAAAATATTTGTAAAAAGTTGTGTTACTCAGTGAATACAAAAAAGAAAACCACCATCCAAACCTCAAGTCTTCACAGTATTTATAAAGTAAGTTGCCTCTTACACTTCCCCGGGGGTAATCTTTGTAAAGCAGCTCATTTTTATCCTGACTTGAGATTTTGGTGAGATTCATTTATTCAAGGTAGTCTATAATAAATATTAAACACACCACAGAAGAATTTATTACAAGCCCAGAAAATAATTTGTTTTAAACTTTTTGTATTAGAAGGAATATCATCCATGACAAAATATTAGACAGTAAAATAATCTTGATTTCAGTTTTTGGCTTTATTTTTTCAATATAAATCCTAACATTTTATCTGCCTTGTTTCTTTTAGTATCCATTTCTGAATTCAAGCAGTTTTTAATTTTTTAAAAAAGGATATTTAATTCTCCCACATAATATTTCTTATATTTGAATTGTCCTCTTAGGGCTCATATATTGCTATTGGAATGCTGTTTTCCCATTTCCTTTCATGGGACTTATTTCAAAAAAAGTCAGGTTCAAATATTCTAGAAGAATCTAAGAGCAATTTTATTCTTATTTATAAAATGGTTTCAGAGGGGGACGTTTATATAAGACAGAGTGGAGGAAAACACATTTCAGTCACTTCACAGATGTCTGATCATGTGTTTCCGTATTTCCTACTATAGGGAGGAGCCGTCTTCGCTTTGCACATTTTTCCATTCAATATTTCAGCAACACCTTCGGCAGGGAGATCAACTTCCTGAATGAGGCAGAGATGGATTGTTAAACATGGAAATATCCTCCTGTCAGAATAACTTGTCACTCAGGGAGTACATTCTACATCTCTGCTCCTTTGATTGACTTTCATAACAAACAGTCATTACATTGTTAGACTGTTTTGTATCAATATTGATTGCTAGGAAATTGAAGTACACTAAAGTTCATTGACACGAAGCAATCACATGTGGAGTGATGAGAGGAAGCTTTGAGCAGAGGACTCATGTCATGTGTAATTGGTATGGACCACTCCAGGTGTTTTGAACAACTTTTTCATTCAGAGAGAATAGGTTTTATTCATCAACAGGTTGGTTCCAGGCAACAGGGCTGAAGGATCTAGAGAACACATAAGAGACCAATGGCAGCTACTTCCCCAAAGCACAGGTCCAGTGATCAATACAATTAATTCAATTAATATTATGTGGTGCCCACAGGAGAGCTCTGGGGTTCAACAAGTTTAACATTCAGATCAAAAAGTTACAAATTATGCTGGGTGCAGTGGCTCATACCTGTAATCCCAACACTTTGGGAAGCCAGGGTGGGGGGATCACTTGAGCCCAGGAGTTTGAGACTAGCCAGTGCAACATAGCAAGACCACCGTCTCTACAAAAAATTAAAACAAATTAGCTGGGTGTGGTGGCATGTGCCTGTGGTCCCAGCTACTCTGGAGGCTGCGGCGTGAGGATCCCTTAAGCCCAGGAGGTCAAGGCTGTACTGAGCTATGATCTTGCCACTGTACTCCAGCCTGGGCAATAGAGCAAGGCCCCATCTCAAGAAAAAGTTACAGATTCAATTGTTTTACATAGCCACTCAGGTTTTTGTTTTTTGTTTTTTTTTTTTTTAACAAAAAACGTACAGTAAATGTCTGATAATAATGATTAATAATAGTAGTATTTCATGTTTATTGAGTTCTTACTATGTCCTAGGAATATGTAAAATATTTTCATTTATTTACAAGAGTGACTATCTAGAGTAAAGCACAAATTATGGGAGGAAAGCAGACTTTACATTCATTCTTAAATACTTTTAAAAAATTTACTTATATATGCATCCTCATAATTCATCAAAATCTCAAGCCAGAATTGCAAAACAGTTGTCCATTTTATTTAATTAGATCATAGAGTCAGCCTTCTTTTCCCAGTTCATAAGAATTTGAAAGTGTTGCAGAAGCCTACTGCTGTTATTGTGCTCACATTCCAAAAACTGGGAAATGTCTTAAGTGCTAAGTGAATTAAAGTAAATCCTGAATCTTTCAATTATTTGAATATGTTCATGTTGCCAGAAAAAATGGAATATAAATCAATAGAACATAATAATGCAGGATCTCTCCAGATTTGTCCTGCTTATTAGAAGTATAGCATTCTTGAAGGAGGGAAGTAAAAATTTTCAAACCATTGGATCATCATTAGAATGAATTTGTATTAAAAGTTATAATACAGGTAGGCTACTTCAACATGGCTCCTCCAAAAGACAAAATTTAAAAATTGTGTGTTTATGGTTATTTAAATGCCAAGAATGTTCAGTTTTTACTTATATACGATTTTACTTACAACATCTTTTTTTGTTGTTGTTACTGTATTATGAATTGAGAATTCAACTACCCTACAGCGAAAAGTTTTAGCCTTTTCTTCCCTCATCGTTTGGCTTGGATTATTCCTTGGATGATCGTTGCCTGGGTGTGCTATATGAACACTATGCCAATGTTTTTTGAAAGTGTGTATGTTCCTTGGAAGACTAGTTGTTGGAATGTTAACAGGTATTTGACAGAAAAGTAGACTCCTTGTGAATTAAGTTGAAGAAATAGCACTTGAACATAATTAAATGGTTTTGTCTGAATGCTGTATTAGGTTATTATCTTTGTTTACTGCAGGACTTCTCTCAGGAGATATCCAGGTAAATTCTTCTAATTTACTAATTTAATCAAAACCTCCATTTTGATCAGGTAGAAAAGGTCCTTGCCTCAGATGGCTGGAAATGTTTTATAACAAAATGGAAAGCCTTCTCCAAAGTCAATGACACTATAATCTGGAGCAGAGTTAGTGATTTGATCATAGATTATGGCACTATATCTGCATGTCTATTGCCTGCAGCCAAACTGAGCAAAAAAGTTTTGTTCTGATGAGACGGTATGATAACAAACAATAATATCTTCTGTACCATGGTGTATTGAGGGGCGAAGGACATTTTATGAACCTCCAATTCCTAGCCATACTTAAATAGCAGTTTTGGAAATAGATACTTAAATTAAGACATTTAGGGATAGAATGAAAAATACATTGATATGTTTTCCCAACAATCTGACAATTCACAAAATGTTCCAATGGCCACTTCATAATTGATGAATATGAAGAGAATTTTTTGAGGTAAAGTTTGACTCCCACTTCCTTTCTGATAATAGCTATCTCTGTTAATAAATATTGACATTCATTGCTACCAAAATTTGTGTACATTTATTGGACATAATTGGAGACATCCCAGCTATAGTAATGCAATAGAGCAGAATTTTTTCACCTTGTACCTATATGGGAGTTAAGAAACAACAACAAAAGCCAGGTGTGGTGGCTCATATCTGTAATCCCAGCACTTTGGGAGGCTGAGGCGGGCAGATCACCTGAGGTCAGGAGTTCAAGACCAGCCTGTCCAACATGGCGAAACAACATCTCTACTAAAAATACAAAAAATTAGCGGGGTGTGGTGATGGGTGCCTGTAATCCCAGCTACTCGGGAGGCCTAGGTGGGAGAATTGCTTGAATCTGAAAGGCAGAGGCTGCAGTGAGCTGAGATCAAGTCACTGCACTCCAGCCTGGGTGACAAAGCAAGACTCCGTCTCAAAAAAAAAAAAAAAAAAGAAACAACAAGAAGTACTTTTAAAATATACTATGAAAAATGGCTCTATCCCCAAATTGTCTCCAAAGTTGCCTACACTTTAGAGTAACTCTCCTCTGATCAGTTAAGGTGACAGTCAATGACTTTAACATTTAAATCAATGACAGTGAAAGTCAGAACTAAAACCCATGTGATTCCTTTGAATTAAAATGGAAATATTGCAACTTTCTTATAAGAAGAAAAAGTATTTACCTATTTTGAAAGGGCAAAATTGGTATCAACCCATCAACTCAGAGATTTGAGCACAGAATAGGTTTGGTTCAGATGAGAGTAAGTTGAACTAATGTCTAAAAAAGTGAACTCAGGTTGTAGTGACAGACATGGATACCAGACAGTACTAAAACACAAAGATGAAAGAGTGTGGACATGACAAGGCAGAAAGAAGGAAAAATTCAAATTTTGTGTGTAGAACAACCAGTTACCTTGACTAATTATGCAGCCAGTGTTATGATGTAACAAACTCTTACAACTATTTTTTTTTTAGCATTTTCATGTTATTTTATAGATTGATTAACATAGCAGAGTTGCTCAGGTAGAAGGTAATTACAAAATACAGCTCTATTTTTGTAGATATTAGGGATACATCCCAACAAGGATCTCAAAATCCCAAAGAAGATCTAAGATCTCAAAATCCTGCTGCTGGTTTCTGCCTGAAACTTGGGGACAGAGTTTCATTTTTTGGTTAACTTTTCAATGCCTGTTGAAATGCAGATACCACCACTGGAAGGTATTACTCTTGGATTTGGTGGCATGAAACAGAAAACCCAAAATAGCAGTGGCTTAAACCCTTAAGAGTTGATTTTTTTCCCTCATGTATAGTAAATCCAGAAGCAGGCAATCCAATGTTAGGAGGGAAGTCCCACGGCCAGCAAGAGCCCAAGCCCTTTTAGTCTTTTTGCTTTATCATTCTAAGTATGTACATTCTACCTCCAAGTTCCACTCGGAGTCCAGGATAGCTGCTGGAGCTCAAGCTGTCATATATGTATTCTGGCCAGCAGAAAAGATTACAAACTCTTACAACTATTAGTGACATCAGTCAGTTCCCTGTCCGTCTTTTACCTTTCCATTCTTCCCTCATTAAAGGTAAAATCTCAAGCTTCTGTGATTTTACATCAAAACACACAATTTTTTATCCCATACCATCTTTAAACTTTATTATCAGAGATAATGTTGACCCTCTCAATTGCTTGGTGGTATCATTTTTCTATAAATTGTGAAACATAGGGTTCCAGTTGGAACAGGTCAGCCTGGAAGGAGTGAGGATAGTATTACACTATTGGTACATTTCCTTAAAACACAAGGACCCTCAAAAAATATACACATATATAAATGTATATAGTGTGTATATATATATAATTACACATGTATAGATGTGTTTGTATATACATGTCCCTATGTATATATAATTACACATATATGTAATTGTGTGTACACATGTGTAATCATATATACATACATATGTATATACATACACATCTCCACATATATACGTGGTTGTATATATGTGTAGATGTATATACATATATACACACAAGTATATATGTATGTATATATATACACTCATATGAACATATGTGTACATATACCTCCATAAATACATAGATACCTTATAGATATAATTTTATATATGTATATATATAATTTTGAAGTAGAGAGGAAAGACCAGACAGCAGCAGACATCAATCACTCTTAAAAACAAAAATATTGCTGCTTCTGTGAGGAGCATTGGGAAATAAAATCACTCTATGTGATTCACCACAGCAGCTCATTCTTTTTTTTTTTCCATCTCCTATCTTGTTTTTTTTTATTATACTCTAAGTTCTGGTATACATGTGCAGAATGTGCAGGTTTGTTATATAGGTATACACATGTCATGGTGGTTTGCTGCACCCATCAACCCATCATCTACATTATGTATTTCTCCTAATGCTATCCCTCCACTACCCACCCCCACCCCCATCACCCGACAGGCCCTGGTATGTGATGTTCCCCTTCCTGTGTCCATGTGTTCTCATTGTTCAACTCCCACTTATGAGTGAGAACATATGGTGTTTGTTTTTCTGTTCCTGTGTTAGCTTGCTGAGAATGATGGTTTCCGACTTCATCCATGTTGCTGCAAAGGACATGAACTCATCCTTTTTTATGACTGCATAGTATGCCGTGGTATATATGTGCCACCTTTTCTTTATCCAGTCTATCATTGATGGGTATTTGGGTTGGTTCCAAGTCTTTGCTATTGTGAACAGTGCTGCAATAAACATACATGTGCATGTGTCTTTACAGTAGAATGATTTATAATCCTTTGGGTATGTACCCAGTAATGGGATTGCTGGGTCAAATGGTATTTCTGGTTCTAGATCCTTAAGGAATCGCCACACTGTCTTCCACAATGGTTGAACTAATTTACACTCTCACCAACAGTCTAAAAGCGTTCCTATTTCTCCACATCCTCTCCAGCATCTGTTTTTTTCTGACTTTTTAATGATATCCGTTCTAGCTGGCATGAGATGGTATCTCATTGTGGTTTTGATTTGCATTTCTCTAATAACCAGTGATGATGAGCTTTTTTTCATATGTTTGTTGGTCACATAAATGTCTTCTTTTCAGAAGTGTCTGTTCATATCCTTCACCCACTTTTTGATGGGGTTGTTTATTTGTTTCTTGTAAATTTGTTTAAGTTCTTTGTAGATTCTGGATATTAGCCCTTTATCAGATGGCTAGATTGCAAAAATGTTCTCCCATTCTGTAGGTTGCCTGTTCACTCTGATGATAGCTTTTTTTTTTCTGTGCAGAACCTCTTTAGTTTAATTAGATTCCATTTGTCAATTTTGACTTTTGTTGCCATTGCTTTTGGTGTTTTAGTCATAAAGTCTTTGCCCATGCCTATGTCCTGAATGGTATTGCCTAGGTTTTCTTCAAGGCTTTTTATGGTTTTAGGTCTTACATTTAAGTATTTAATCCATCTTGAATTAGTTTTTGTATAAAGTGTAAGGAAGGGATCCAGTTTCAGTTTTCTGCATATGGCTAGCCAGTTTTCCCAACACCATTGATTAAACAGGGAATCCTTTCCCCATTGCTTGTTTTTGTCAGGTTTGTCAAAGATCAGATGGTTGTAGATGTGTGGCGCTATTTCTGAGGCCTCTGTTCTGTGCCCTTGCTCTATATATCTGTTTTGGTACTACTACCATCACAGCAGCTCATTCTTACTTGAATTGTTTTTATAAGATGAAGCTTCCAATTCTGCTAAGTTATCATAATTGTGCATGAGGAATAAAGCAAGACAAGAGCTTAAATCAACAGTTGTTAAACATATTTAGCAAAGGGATCTTTTTTCCAAAGCAAAAATCTTATGACAGAACTCCGGTGTATAAAACAATGTTTTCTATCTTGGATCTTCACATTTATAACAATTAGGTACCACAAAGTCATTTAAAATAATAAGTAAAATTTTAGAAAATGAATGTCACAGATGACAAGCTTCAGCATTTAATGTATCTATACATTTTGTTTCTACACAATTGAGAAAATTCGAATTGTAAGCTGTTGTAAATGGCAAAAGCTTTTAAATAGCTTGCAGTCTAGCAGAAGAAACATTCCTGTGAGGTTTTCACAAAGCTAAGTTTATCTGGCTGCACCAACAATTGGTGTGGCAGTACATATCATCAATATGTTAAAATATATGTTTTATTTTTAATGTATGTCTTAAGACAGTTAAAATATTCTTAATGAAGTTCAAACTAACATTTTTGGAACACTCCAAAATACCTCTTGAGAGTCAATTGTGAGGGTACAGCTGGAAATGCACTGGCCAGGAGGGTCCTAAGAAAGGTTATTCAGAAATGTTTTATTGAGATGGAAGAAACAACAGAAGGGTATGACAGTAACATATTGTAAAATTTCCTTAATTATTTCTCTTTGCAACATTATCAATTTTCTCCTTAAATAATTCAGACACGACCAAACCGTTTCAATTGAGGCTTACAACCAATGGGTACTAAAAAAAAAAAAAAAAAAAAAAAAAAAAAAAAAACCTCTCAAAATTATCAATATCGTGGTGTCTTGCAATACCAGTTGTTTATGGCCAAATAAAAGTGGTGGATTCAGGCGGAGGCGGGTGGATCACAAGGTCAGGAGATCGAGACCATCCTGGCTAACACGGTGAAACCCCGTCTCTACTAAAAATACAAAAAAATTAGCCGGGCGCGGTGGCGGGCGCCTGTAGTCCCAGCTACTAGGGAGGCTGAGGCAGGAGAATGGCGTGAACCCGGGAGGTGGAGTTTGCCGTGAGCCGAGATGGCGCCACTGCACTCCAGCCTGGGCGACAGAGCGAGACTCAGTCTCAAAAAAAAAAAAAAAAAAAAGTGGTGGATTCGCCTAGGAGAAAGTACTATTTATTCTACAGGGATAAAGAGGAGGGAAAAGGAAGCACATTCAAAAAGAGAAGAGGTCAAATATATGATAATATAAGGAAAATAGGGGTGGAGTCTCTGAACTAAATCCTAATATTCCTTTCCTGACTCAATTTAGATCTTACTACCTTTACAAAGCCTACGTCAATCCTCTAAAACTGGATTAGAAGCTCTCAACCTAGTAGTAGAGTGAATGGAGATTAATTGTAGAGTATTAAATTTTTTTCAAATATTCTCTTCTTAGGTCCAAGTGTGCATATTCTAGGGCAATTCCTGCCTCTTTTTTTCTTATATCTGTGTACGCCTGACTCAAGATTATGATATTTGTGAGGAAAGAAATCATGTCCATCGGGTGCACCATTGTATTCCCAGTGCCTAACTCAGTGCTAACTACATAGCTGGTCCCCAGCAAATGTCTGTGGGATGAATGAACAAATGAGTAAATGAAAGTTATTTATTACTACATAGAAAGAAAGAGGAGGCATGAAAAAGACTAGGGTGAGCAACTTTGAATAGAGAAAAATGGAAGATAAAGTATGCAAATCTATATTGGACAAAGCTAACTTTCCTGTGTATCTCAGTTTTTGTTTTTTTCTCCCCTGAAGACAAATGCTGTGACAAGTTCAGATTTCCTCAGCCTAGCAAGGGGTGAGGCTAGATCATTTCTAAGGTGATTCATCATCAGATATAGCTCTCAGTGGAGGAAGTGGTGATGTTGATGATTAAGCAGAAGGCATTTCCCCCCAAGGAGAGATGTTAGGAGAGCCTTGTGTCCTGGAAGTGCTGTTTTTCATTGAGATGCAAAGTTGAGATCTTAATCTCTTGGAACATTGCTGGTTCCCTGGACTGCTCAGTAAGAGACAAGCAATACAAATAATAATATACAGTATCTTACTTTGTACAGCTTTTCGCAGCTCTTAGAGCACTGTTATATCCATCACCTTACGAGACTAGTTGTCACAGTGCACTTATAAGGGAGACAGAATAGGGGATTTGACAACAGAAGCACTAAGGCTCAGAGATGAAATCCAAACTCATGTGGCTAAAAACTGGAACATTTGGGATGGGAACCTGGGACTTTCTATCACAGGTTTTGTGTGACCAGAGTTTTGAGAATTCAGTGCTAAAATAATTGCTTGTGCACAAAATCCCCCAATATACCCTTCTGGATTTGTAAAGAGGAGAAAAATATACAAGCTAACTGTGGGGAGAAAAATTTAGCCAAAGCAAAAACCAATCTTTCAGTTGAAACTACTCATATGCTCCTAAAGATGCATCAGGGGAAATGCATCATTCATTGTCTTAGTTAAGCTAGTGTGGTCCTGAATGGGCAATTGTAGGTTACTTTTTTTTTTTTTAAGTTGCAGTGTTGCATTTTAATGCCTGATGAAGTGTGTGTATTGTGTGCAGCACCTTTACTCCAAAGCACTTAATAAATGCTTTCTCATTCATCCATTCCTTTACCCTTGAGAAAAAGGAAAAAATATTTTTCTTAAATCCCTGCTTGCATAATGATAGATGTGGATTTCCTGAACTCTCACCAGATATTTAAATGTTCTTTTAAAAGCTCAGAAGTAGAAAGACACATCTGTCCACCATCAACTCTTATAATCAAAAAATCTTTCTAAATGACCTAAAATAGAAGTTGTGTGTTTCCAAGTCCCAGGCCTCATCCTCTTCTCTCTGTATCTCTGGCACTCTATTTTACCTCTCAGGGTATGCTGAAAATCTGATCTTTTTTGATATAGGCACATTGAAGAATCAGAAGATGTTTTCCCCCTGTGTTTTTGATGGAAGGAAGAAAGCAGGATTTGCCAGGATGCATTCTGCATCCAAGAACATGAACGGAAATGAGCCACAGAAAATCTGGAGTGATGGCAGCTGTTGTGAGAGGTGGCAATGAAATGGATTTCTCAGACACAGAGATGTGGTCTCCCACCAGGTGAGACATTTCTGACTCCTGCGGATGGACTGAACAATGAAAACTTCTAGTTTGGGGTCCCGCAGGGGCAATCTATGAATCTTAAAAAAGAGAACTTCGACTTCCTATTTCCATTTAGACTGCATGCTAAATAAGAACTTTTTTTGCATATTTTAATGTACTCTTTTTTTGACCCTCAAAGGCATGAAGATACTTTTGAAATCAATGCAAAATAAATTAATCAAACAGAATACTCAACTCATATTAGGTTTTAGTGATTATCAAATCTCTCAATTAATGATTGTAAAGAGTATCACTGTATTCATATGGAAGAATAATAATTTTTTAGATATTATCTCTTTATCAAAAAAGCTTGTGGACTATTGATGAAGAGAAAACCGTGGTCTACCAACTCACATGCCAAGTATGGAACAAATAGGACAGGGGCTCAAATCTCCTTATGAACAGAATTAGATTT
This sequence comes from Homo sapiens, assembly GCF_000001405.40. NCBI lineage: Eukaryota > Metazoa > Chordata > Mammalia > Primates > Hominidae > Homo > Homo sapiens. The sequence goes on along the minus strand of NC_000008.11, from coordinate 115,976,785 downwards.
CCTCTACACCATCAGTTGAGTTGCTAAAATGCAGGAGTCATGAAGAAAGTCTAGTTTGCACATCATTATCTATTTTTAATGTATATTTCAACTTAGTTTACACTTAAATTATTTTAAAGCTAAGGAAAAATGATTTACATTCTTAAAAGGTAGACTCAGCAGTGATTTACGTACTATTTTTCAAACTGTGCTGGGAGCAGAGAAAAAAATGTAATTAAGTATGATAAAATGAAAAAAAAAAAGAAACACTTGTCCCACCCTCCTCCTGCAATTAAAGCTACTATGTTTTAACTAGATAATCGATGGTAGGATTATACCACATTCCCCTTCTCTATATGGTTTTGACATACAGTTGGCTAAAAGTGGAGCCTCTGAGAAATTTGGAAGATGGGAGTGAAGCAGAAGCCATTACTCTCAGAAGACTGTGTGATCGGACCTGGTGATGAGCAACTAGAGGGGAGTTTTTAGAGGTTCCAACTTGTCATCACTGTCTTGATCTAGCTCATTTTCCTGGCTGATGATTCTGCTGGCACATAGTGCCTTAGCTGATGTCATGAGATAAGACCCCAGAAGGCTGTGGTTATATAGCAAAAACTGCTTCTCCAGAGATTGCAGTTTCCATAATTCTTGCTATTTTTCTCTTCATGCAGGTCCCATTTCAGTGTATGGTTTCTTGGATTTCTCTGCCAGCTTCAAACAGTGCTTCTGATAAAGTGGTTAGTGAGTATTTCTCTGTTCTCTAACGCCTCTGCCTATAGTTTAAGTATGTGTCCCCTAACAAACTCATGTTGAAGTTAAATTTCCATTGTAACTGTACTAAGAGGTAGAACTTTTAAGAGGTGATAGGGCTATGAGAACTCTGCCTCAGAATAAACTACGTAATAAATTAATGCCATTATTGTGGAATAGAGCGGGTTCATTATTGTGGAGTGCAGAGGATTCTCTCTCTCTCCCTTCTTTTTGCACTTCCACCATGGAATGTCACAGCAAGATGGCCTTCAAAGGACGCTGGTCCTCATTCTTAAACTTCCCAGCCTCCAGAGCTGTGAGCCAATAAGTTTCTGTTTATTATAAATTACCCAGATGGACTGAACAATGAAAACTTCTGGTCTGGATTTCCCCATGGGCAATCTGCAAATCTTAAAAAGGGGAACTTTGTTTGTGGTATTGTGTTATCACAGCACAAAACAGAAGGCCATTCATTAAGTTCACCATCTTATATTGGTCTGGTTGCGACACCCCAAAACAATTGCAATAGTAACATCAAAGGCCATTTCTGGCCTTTATAGAGGCTTTGTTTCCTTAACTAAATCCTAATAAAGGCTCTGAAACAAGACAAAAAAACACAAAATGAATAAGATTAACAACCTACAAAAGTGATTTGCTGTGAGACATGATTGTTAATGTGTTGCCCAATGGGACCAAGTTAGTTCATTATCTGCTTTCTATAATGAGTTTACTTCTTAAACTAATAGCAAAAATAACATTGACTACAGGGATACTTCATTTTATTGTGCATATCTTTATTGCACTTTGCAGATGTTGAGTTTTTTCCTAACTGAAGATTTGTAATAACCCTATGTCGAACAAGTCTAATGGCACCATTTTTCCAACAGCACGCGCTCACTTTGTGTCTTTGTGTCACATTTTGGTAATGCTCATAATATTTTAACCTTTTCACCACTAGTGTATCTGTTACGGTGATTTATAATCAGTGACCCTTGATGTTACTATTGCAATTGTTTTGGGATGCCACAACCACACCAATATAAGATGGTGAACTTAATAAATATTGTGTGTGTTCTGACTGCTCCAATGACCAGCCATTCCTCCATCTCTCTCCTTCTTCTCAGGCCCCTCTATTCTCTGGGACAAAAACATACTGACATTAGGCCAAATAACCTCTGAGTGTTCAAGTGAAAGGAAGAGTCACATGTCTCTCACTTTAAATCAAAGGCTAGAAATGATTAAGCTTAATGAGGAGGGCATGTTGAAAGCTAAGACAGGCTGAATGCTAGGCCTCTTGCACTAACCGTTAGCCAGGTTGTGAATGCAAAAAGAAACTTCTCATGGAAAATTAAATGTACTACTCCAGTGAACCCACAAATGATAAGAAAGTGAAACAGCCTTATTGTTGATATGGAGAAAGTTTTAGTGGTCTGGATAGAATATCAAACTGGCTACATTCCCTTAAGCCAAAACCTAATCCAGAACCAGGCCATAACTCTTCAATTCTGCGAAGGCTGAGAGAGGTGAGGAAACTGCAGGAGAAAAGTTTTAAGCTAGTAGAGGTTGGTTAATTAAGAAAGGGAGCCATCTCCATAACATAATTATGCAAGGTGAAGCAGCAAATTCTGATGGAGAAGCTGCAGCAAGTTATCTAGAAGATCTAGCTAAGGTCATTGATGAGGGTGGCTACACTAAACAATAGAGTTTGAATGCAGATGAAACAGCCTCATAGAGGAAGAAGATGCCATCTAGGATTTTCCAACCTAGGCAGAAGAAGTTAATGCTTGGCTTCAAAGCTTCAAAGGACAGGCTGATGCTTTTGTTAGGGGCTAATGCACCTGGCGAATTTAAGTGGAAGCCAGTGTTCATTTACCATTCTGAAACTCTTAGGTCTCTTAAAAATTATGTTAAGTCTACTCTGCCTGTGCTCTATAAACAAAACCAAAAGCCTGGATGACAGCACATCTGTTTACACCATATTTCACTGAATATTTTAAGCCTACTGTTGAGACCTACTGCCAGAAAAAAAAAATCCCTTTCAAAGTATTACCATTGCTCCTTGACAATGCATCTAGTCACCCAAGAGCTCGGATGGAGCTGTACAAGGTGACTAATGTTGTGTTCATGCCTGCTAACACAACATCCATTCTACATGAATCAAGGAGTAATTTTGACTCTCAAGCCTTATTATTTAAGATAAACATTTTGTAAGGCTATAGCTGTGATTCCTCTATTGGATCTGAGCAAAGTAAATCAAAAACCTTTTGGAAAGGATTCACCATTCTAGATGACATTGTGAATATTTGTGATTCATGGGAAGAGGTCAAAAATAGAAATATTATTAGGAGTTTTGAAGAAGTTGATTCCAGCTCTCATGGATGACTTTGAGGGGTTTAAGACTTTAGTGAAACAACTGCAGATGTGGCAGAAATAGCAAAAGAACTAGAATTAGAAGTGGAGCTTTTTCAAGATGTGGCTAAATTGCTGTAATCTCATGATCAAACTTGGATGAATGGGGAGTCTTCTTATGGAGGAGCAAAGAAAGTGGTTTCTTGGTTTCTTGAGATGGAATCTACTCCTGGTGAAGATGCTATCAATATTGTTGAAAGGATTTGGACTATTATATCAACTTGATTGATAAAGCAGTGGCAGGGGTTGAGGGGACCGATTCCAATTTTGAAAGAAGTTCTACTGTGGGTAAAATGCTATCAAACAGCATCATAGGTTACATAGATCCCTTTCACGAAAGGAAAAATCCATGTGGCAAATTCCATTGTTGTTTTAAGAAATTTTGACAACACTCCAATTTTCAGTAACGACAACCTTGATTAGTCATCAGCTATCAACATCAGAGGCAAGACCCTCTATCAAGCAAAACATTTATCACTCAGTGAAGGCCTATATGATTATCAGCACTTTTCAGCAATATTTTTAATTAAGGTATATACAGTGTTTTTCAAACATAATGCTATTATTACACACTTAGTAGACTACAGTGTAGTGTAAATATAACTTTTATATGACCTGGGAAACCAAAATATTCATGTAATTTGCTTTAATGGGATATTCACTTTATTGTGGTGGCCTGGAACCAACCCCACAATATCTCCAAGGTGTGCCTATATTTAGTGAATATTTATTATAATTCAGGCATTGTACATCAATTCTTTCTAATTATTTTGATGCCCCCTCAGTGGAAACATCATCAATTTACAGATGATAAACCTGAGGCTATAAGTTATTAAGGAACTGGCTTAGGAGTGAAACAGCTAGAAAGTGCTGGAGTCAGGTCTACCTGAATCCATTTTTTCTTCCAGTTATTCTACAGCACTGGCATTGTAATGATTCACATGTAGTACCAACAACTCAGTGTAGTGGCACAGGCTAAAGATGATGGCAAGAAAAGAACCTGGGTTCCATTTGATTGTGGGAAGCCTGGGATTGCATCTCTCCTTTAACTGTTCTATTTAATTCCTTCCAGTTATCTGTACTATTATGTTCTTATTGTTCAACATTTAGTATTTTTAGTTACTTCCAATCAGAGGCATATGAATGAATACGTCATAAAGAGACATTAAATCTGGAAAATATTGTGATTAATAACGATTCTCAACAGAGAAAAATAATCGGACTTTTTCTTTTCTTGCATTACAAATTTCTTAAGCCCAGCCAATTCCCTTTGATTTGATGGTGTCCAAGCAAATTTCACTTTGAGAATTTATTTTCTCAGGTACTTTGATAATGGGAGTCAATTGTCCTTTATACCAGTTTTATATAATCACTAATTCACAGGAATAATCCAAATTACTTGAAATAAACCTTGATTCACAAATCCATAAGTGACTTGAGATAACTACTTTTTCTTTCTTATGAAACATACAGCTATGAGTTGTCCATTTGGGGTGGGAGAAAGTAGAAAAGAATATAGACAAAATTCTTATACAAACCAAACATCCATCAAAGGAAATAGGAAATTACTATATTATACTTCTAGGCTATCACTAAATTTTCAAAATGAAACTAATTTAGCTCTTTTTTAATCTCTAAAAATAATGGAGTAGAGGTGAACAAAAAGAAAAAGAGCTAAGTTCAAGTCAGAATGGTCACAAATCAGTAACAGGTTAAAGGCATGTTCATTGCTGATGGCAACATACAGCCTTAGATGATGTGTGCAAGACAGACACATTCTGATTCGTAATCACATTCCAAATTCAACCTCCAAAGATGAATTGTTAAGACATCCTTTCACTCCCATCTCCTCCTGAAACATGCTAATCTTCAAAGCTGGGGTCAACTTAAAAGACAAAAGAAATTAGGATGATTTGCTCTTTGTTTTTAATTTAGTTTTTAAAAAACATGCCATTAGGATTATTTGACTATACTTATAAACTTATTTGTAACATTTAAGCAGAGAATACACTGAAGAACTTTTCAGTTCCAGAAATGGGCAAAAAGGCCGGGCACGGCGACTCACGCCTGTAATCCCAGCACTTTGGGAGGCCGAGGCAGGCGGATCACGAGGTCAGGAGTTCGAGACCAGCCTGGCCAACATGGTGAAACCCAGTCTCTACTAAAAATCCAAAAATTAGCCGGGCGTGGTGACGCGCACTTGTAATCCCAGTTACTCAGGAGGCTGAGGCAGGAGAACTGGTTGAACCCGGGAGGCGGTGGTTGCAGTGAGCCGAGATCGTGCCACTGCACTCCAGCCTAGGAGACAGAGCAAGACTCCGTCAAAAAAAAAAAAAAAAAAAAAAAAAAATGAAATGGGCAAAAAAAAAAGGGGGAAAATAAAAAGTAAAAATTAATGCATTTCTGTTGATTACATTAGGCCTCCTTTTTAAAAAACATATTTTTGATGAACTTCTCAGTAATGAAATTTTAAACAGCAAAGTCAAAGCTGCAGAGTCAAAGAGTTTTTCAAACGTGGTTCCTAGTTCCTGTTATGATGTCCTCAGTGACTTCAGTGATGGAGTCATGCATGAAGAAAGGTTACTAAGCTACAAATGCCTATGTGGGATTTGCATGCAATGTTCACATGCCTTATTCTGTTTTGTATATATCTCCATTTTTAATTCAAATTTTGTAAACAAAATTATTATCACCTCTTCTCAATGGCTCACATATGCACATGAATCCTTATTGCCCTCTCCATGTAAGCACAACACATATGACAACTTAGTGGTATAAAAGAAAAATCAGAAGGATGAAAAAGAGAGATCTCCTTGACAGTGTCTATAGAACACCCTTTTTTTTTTTTTTTTTTTTTTGAGCCTGTCGCCCCGGCTGGAGTGTAGTGGTGAGATCTTGGCTCACTGAAACTTCTGCCTCCCTGATTCAAGTGATCCTCTCACTTCAGCCTCCTGAGTAGCTGGGATTACAGGCATATACCACCATGCTTGGCTAATTTTTGTATTTTAGTAGAGACAGTGTGTCACCACGTTGGCCAGACAGGTCTCGAACTCCTGACCTCAAGTGATCCACCTGCCTCAGCCTCCCAAAGTGCTGGGATTACAGGTGTGAGCCAACTCTCCTGGCTCAGAACATGCTTTTTAAAATAAATCTTCATTGTCAATAGTACTGAAGTACTAGTTGAAAATGAGTACTGCAAATCTAGTCTGGCTCTAGATGAAACTTGAGAAGAATGCAAGCTGGCCGCTGGATCCCTTCCTGAGGCTGCAGTGACTGCCTTTTTTTTCTTCTGGAAGCCCTTCCTCTTTGTACGCCCAGCTCTTCTTGCTTTCAGCCTGCTTACCTCTCAGCATTAATGAGAATTATCTGATTGTGATCTGAAGAACCTATTCCTCCCAGAGTTATTTACATCAGACTAAGGGACCCTGAAAAATGAAAACAGATTGATACCTCAAAATGGGATTTCCCAAGATGAGTATGGGTTTAAGTATTATCATGAGTAGTTGAAAAGATATTTTCAATAATAATTTTGAAGACTTTATCCTTTATTAATCACATCTACTGGTCATTGTGTAAAAACAGAACCATGAAATAACAGGATCTATTAACCTGGAAAAGCAGTTATCACTGATGTCTTATATCCCTGGCCATACTGATTTGTAAAAATGTGCAAGTCCCACAGAGCAGGTGTGTTTGTCTATTTTACTTTCTGATGTCACTCAAGGGCCTAGGACAGTTCTTGGAACACAACAAGAGCTTAGTAAATGCTTGATAAATGAATAGATGATTTTATTTATTGATTGTCCATAAAGCCACAGACCAAGGAAAAGAAGCCTTTGAACTTCAAAACATTCCCTCTCTCTCTTTAAGATTTATGAAGTAATGGGAAATGTATGTTGACTCATGGAGTAACAATGAGGAAATAGGCATTGGCACCAGGACTCTGTTGACATCAGGACTTCAGGTAAATGAATAGGACCATAGATGCTTGATCTCTTACCCCATTTTTGCATTCTATCATGAGCCCTGCAGCCAAGATCCATACCTCTTCCCACATTAACCCTAAGTATGTTAACGATATTGGAAAGTTTAAGTACTGACTGGTTAACATGTTCCAGGGAATTTAGGTGGGTTGAACTGTATGATAAAGTCATAACCCTTTAATCTGTCTGAACATTTAGACAATCTGTTGGTAAGGTGTAAACTATGGACCTGCCATGAATGTCATAAATAAAGGCTGGACCATTTTCACATGTGACACTATATACTACACTTGTCTTCAAATGATGGACACACAATTACAGCAATGCATTTTACAGTGCATTCACCATTAAAGAAACCACAGACACCAACACACTGTAATGAGTACTTATGTTTAGGAAAATAAATACAGATATGTTTTATTTTTCAGAAGAAAGGAGAAGAAAGGAAGGAAGGAAAGAAGGGGGAAGGAAATAGCAAGGGGAAAATGAATGGAATAAAGACATGCTTATATAATTGTTTTCAAGGTCTAAAAGAATTTGCTCTAGAAGGATTATTATAATATGAAGCTTATGTTTTTCCTACATTTCATATATCAGGAGCAGGCACTATTTCTAGGCCAAGGTGTCTTCATCTTTTAAACTCCCATTGTCTGCATTTTTCTACAACTCTTGACTGTGAGTGTATGTGTGTGCATTTTCCCTGAGTATTGGATGAAGTGCTCATTTATTTGCTCTGGTATATTGTCCTAAACCTTCATCCAATAAACCTGCCAAATATATGGTCCAGAGTCCTGTGGCTCCCTAACAAAGGATAAAATGACTTTAGCCATACTGGACCTGGCAGCTGGTCAAAATCAGTGACTCACAAATACAAATCAGTTGCTATAAGACAGATGCAGACAGTTGTGAAGTCAGGCTCTTCAAGGAGACTGCTGAGGCCAGGTAGGTATTAGTAGTCAATGATAAATCAAGCTCAGTGTTTAGAAATGACCACAGTTCCCTAAGCATACTACTTATCACCCTCATGGACTCCCTTCCTATTAAGGTTAATAAATATGCAAGAGACCAACAGTAATCTGAAGGAATTACTTTTATCCAAAGGACAAATATGCTTTATAATGAGTGCCCAATGGAATGGCTGCAATCATTCTAGTACCTTTGCATGCACTGGGCACTGCATGTATAAATAAGTCATTATTAGCATAAAATATATTAGGAAACCAAAGTAGGCATGTGGAAGGAAAAGCAGAAGCTGTTGGCAAAAAGAGTTATAACTGCATTTTTTTTAAAAATTCAGTTATAAGGGATCCAATTATTGAATCAACAAATATTTATTCATTCAACAAATGTTTGAGCTCCTACTATATACCAAGGATTGAGGTTATTTCTGAAGAAAATGGTGAACATGACACTTCCTAATCTTAATGAACATATAGTCTAGGGCACATTCATGATGAAAAGGCATTTGGTTTATTTACTTGTAGGGTTTTGAGGGTAGTTGTACTTATTTATATATTTTTAATGTGAAGGATCAGGTTGCCTTAAAATGAAGGAAATATCGGAGGATGTCTTAAAGATAATTTTTCACTGATGGCAGAACCATGGCCCTGAGGACAGATTGCCATCAGTAACAGCTGTGAGGCTTGGGTAGATCATGAAGGCTTTTTCATTAGAATATTCAATTCTTTTTAAAAGCTGTTGTATTTCACAAGATGCATTTCATGATCTTGAAATTCACCTCTACTCATTTGGGACAGCCTATCCCAGACTCTTGGGAATATATTATTCTGACATATGATCTCATGTAGATTATAGATACTTTGTTAATGCCTTCTGTGGAGACTAACTGGCTGTTAATAGTCTCTAAAAAGACACCCACCCATTTTCTTTAGGACATGGTTCTATATAACTATTTACAACTTAGCCTAAAGGATTTCAATTTTATCACCCAAAGTCTAGTATTGCCCCAAAGACCAGGAGATGTTCTTAATCTTTGTGTGCACCAACTTGAATATTCTCAGAAATGATCCCCTCAAAACTCCTCTGTTCCCACAGAGAAGTTCCTCCTTTCACCCCATAGAACAACACTGAACAAATACATTCTGTTAATTTTAGAATAGCCCTATTGTCTCTTCATCCAGTCATCAAGGCTTCATAACTATTGAAATCCACTCTCAGAGGGCCATGATTCATAATCGAGACAATTTAAAAATATCAATACAATTTTCATTGTTTTCCTTTTTACCAGATAGAAATATAAATACCAGATCATCGGTTTCAAAAAATGGGTGGGTGACAACTCTAGTGCTCTATCGTGGAATAACAAATAAGTTTCAGCTTATGTGACACCTCACTTCAACAGTACTGGCTACTTTGAGTGCTGTGCTGAGAAGGCTGCTAAGTGCAGGTAAAAGTATATTATTCCTCATGAGAAGAGTTTGTTGTGGGTCCTGACAGTAAGAAGTAGCTGCAGTCCTGTCAATATTTACTGATCCAGAGCCCAGCTCTGACATTTACTGGCTGTGCGAACTTAGGTAATTCACCTAACTTCTCAAAATATACTTCCTCATCTCTATGAGAGGGCAAACTAAATCAGTGTTTTCCAAATTATGGCCCCATAGATGGCAGGCAGCAGATTTAGAAATGGGCCAGGTTTGTAAAAAGATTCCAGTGGCTTGTCCTGAATTTCTTAATCAGAATCTCTTTACAGCCTGAAAATCTTAATTTTTAAATAAAGACATTTGCAAGTCATTGATGCTCAACCCGGTTTGACAACCACTGGATTAATTGAGCTATGAAGTCTTCTTCAGTTATAGCATTATTTTCCATTTAGATTCTAGAAAATATAGCCAAAGCATAACTGAGTTGAGTAAGTGCCCATCTGAAAGCTCTCTAGTGGAGAGATTCCTATGGAATTCCAAAGGACCAGGCAACAGTTACAAATCAACACTAAGACTCAGGAGATTTCCCTAACCTGGACTTTGCAATTGCAGGAAAGTGGTTTCCAGCACAGCCTTCCAGTACTTCCTGCCTGCTACACATTGCCTCTTCTGTGGGTCTCTTCAGCTCACAGAAGCAGAATATGCCTCTGATTTGTTGATGATCATTAAACCCATATCATCTTTTATTTTTGAAGTTTAAGGGTGAAAAAAGAGCTGAAAACTATTATCCTTTGAATCCCTTTTACCTAGAAGAAATAACATAAGAAAGGGACATCTGGCCAGGGTATTAACTCCTTTTAAAGAATTAGCAATGAGGAGAAAAATAAAAATAAAAAAATTTAGTAAGACTTAGTAGGTGAGACTAATGAGGGTATAAAAAATGCTGAATGGAGCAGTTCTATCCCATTTCATAATGGCAGTAAGGATTCTGACAGAATATCCATTAGCAATTCCTTTCTAAGATAACTTAATTTCCTGATTAAACATGCATTTCTAAATCATATTGACATTTTAAGAGAGAAACAAATAATTGTGCCAATTCTCTTGGGCACAGGGGAAAGAAAACCTCCTTTTTCTTTCCGACCACAGTTGCACAGCCTCTTTCATTTCTTTCTATCTTAATGCCCAGAAAGAACCACATAGTTCAAAAACTGCCTGAATCTAAACATTGCAGTTTGACCAGCTTGGAGAGGAAACCAATTTTAGATAGCAAAAGAATTTCTGTGTTGGCTAGCTCAGCTCACATCTGCATGAGTTTGAATACATGTGTTTTCCCTGAGTATGTGTATATTTGTATGCTTGGATGCATGGGCAGAACATGGTTTTCTTGGACTAAACTAGGGTTGGTAAACTATGCCTTAAATATGGCCTGCCATTTGTTTTTGTAAATAAAGTTTTATTGGAACACAGGCACATTTCTTCATTTGCATAGTATCTATGGCTGCGTTCACAGAGTTGAATAGTTGTGACAGAAGCTATATGGCCTGCAAAGTCAAAATATTTACTATTTGGCCCTTTACAAAAGCAATTTGCCAACAATTGAGCTACAGATTTTGTAATCTAGTCAGTACCCTATGCAAAAAAGAGGAGCTCATTGAGCACAGCTGCATGTGGACCAATGAGTTGTTCTATAAGCAAGGCTGGCGAGCAAAAGACTTCCACAGAGGTTGTATGCAGAAGTCTTGTGCACAGGTGAGTTCCTTGAAAACCCTGGCTTCACTAAGAACGTTGAAGATCTGAAAAGCTTCCTTCTCTGCTCAGAAAAGCAAGGAAAGACCAGTTCCTCTACTTTTTTAAAAAAGAAGCTTTATATATTTATAGCTTCAGTTGGCATTCTGTTCTCTTCCTCCTCAGTAAATTTGCTTTATGGGAAGGGACCATATAGTAAAATCTTGAGAGATTAGCAGCCATTAGCAGGTTGGGACTTTGCTTTTCACTTCCCAAATCATCTCCTTTTACACATGATACCATAAGAAAGCATCTGGGATATTCTCAATGAGAAAATTAAGAAAATTCATTTCAGAAGAAGGTTTTAAATCAAAAGCATATTTCTTTTCTTTTAAAAATTGATTTATATTCCAATTTTTCCTATTTGCCTCAATTAGAATTATATTTTTCATTTATTAAAACATGGCATTTAAAATCAGGACTTATGTAGAATGAAGTTGCTGTTATGATTGAAACAGAAACAAAAAACAAAAAATAAAAGGCACTTGCTGTACTAAAGGATGGAACTGTGTTTTAAAGTCCGGCCATGTGGCTTCTTATGGAAATATAATGAGTTAAAGATGAAATTCCGTTTTTAGTTTGCATACATCTTGCAAAGATTCTACTCAGTAAAATGGTAATTGGAGTCTTTTTTACAATAAATATTATACTTTTTAATCCTAATATTGTAAGCTATAAAATGTCTTCCATTTCCCTAACATATGCTTTTTGTCCTGTTTCTCAGTCCAAGAGACAGAAATAAAATAAACACCTTAATGAACACAATGCTGTTCCTCTTGAGACTCCGTGCCTATCTTATGGACATAACATGGACCAGGGATTTTGAAGATTCTCCCTAGAGAGCAAAAACTTGCCTCATTTCTCGACCCAATGTGGTCTGCAGAAGTATTCAGTCTGGTTTGTTGCTAAATTGCTATAACATTCTCATAAGTTGCAATTTGCAATTATAAGTGAATTTGTGAAGTGTAAATCGTTCATTTTCCCCTTTGGAACTGATAGTAAAGCACTCCAAAATGGCAGTGAAGTTAGGGTGGGGTCATTTCAGACAGTGGGAAGTTGATCATGAAAATATGGTTCTCTGTTGGTCTTTTTGTTAATTGCAAAAACATGGAGGAACTCCTGTTGAGAAATCATACTGGAAACAAAATATTTGAATACTTCTCCCTAGTGATTACAGTCACATGATGAGAGGAAATGAGACTTTAGGGGAAAGGATTTTTAGGCATTGGGTGCTCAAGTGCTTATTTGTTTCAACTTGACTAGTCAGTGTGTGGACTCATCCAATAACCATTTATTTCTTTTATCAATGCAAACATCCTGACTGTCGTACATTCCAGTGAGGGGGAAATTCTGCAGAGATGTGCATAAACTCATCGCAGCTGCTCTACCATCTGACAACCTGATGGTCATGGGGGACCTCAATGCACGTGTTGGTGGTAGTGCCAAAATGTGGAAGAAAATTATTGGACCACAGAGGATTAGTCTCTTCCTGCATGGTGAACAGACCGAGCAATAACTTGTAATCACAGACAACAGCGTCAATCATATAAGTTAGGAGAAAAATATCATGGATATGCCACAAATCAAAAACAGTGACATCACACCCATTCTGCCATTGTTTCACAGCAGAATGCCAACAAGCTGACAATCTGAATGGGTCTGAGATCGTTACCCAATATGCTTCAAATCAGGAGAACATACGGGTGGGTGTTGTGCAGTACCTCTGAGATTGATATTTTAATAAATTCAAATCACAGCAAATAATAGTACTAATAAGTAAGTTTTCAAGGATAATAGAGCAACCATTATCATCTTGGTCGTTACTTGCCTATAAACACACCAAATTTCCAACAATATTGTGGAATTTTTCATTATATAACATTACTTTTAGTGGTTTCCCAACTCTGCAATATTGTAATTCTGGTTACTCCATGACATTTCCACCTCCTTACCCACACTATATGCATCTGTTGAAATCTCAACTACTTTAAAAGCTCAGCTCAAGTGTCACTTTTTCTTTAAACTTGCTCTTCCCACGCTAGATTGAAGTTATCTTTTTCTCCTCAGAAGACTGTAACATATCTTTGGTAAATGCTAGGGACTTAAGAATATGTACTTTTATTATAGTTACGTATATGTCTTAATTGACCTACAAAATGTTTTGCCTTCTGCAGTGCAGAAAACTTCATATGCCCATTTTGTTTTCCAAGCGCAAATATTAGTTACACAGTAAGTCCTCAATTAATAGTGTTTAATCAAAGCTATGTTAGTTTGGGTCTGACACTGATTTGAGCACCATATTTTGCTTCCAGATTCCTCCAGGACCCTGTTTCCTGAAGTCAGTTTGATTATGTCCTTCAAATTGGTATTTAGAGAATGATGGCTTCTATTTTTCTCCTTTAAGTGTCCTAAGACCATACAGAGTGTCTAGTCCTAGCAGTGTTCAAGGACAGTGATTTCAGCTCTGATTTGTCAAAGAAAAAATTGGCCATATGCAGTCTCCATGGTAAAAGCTAGTGGTAAATTCACTTCATGCCTCCTTGCAAACTGGCTTTCTAAAATACCATGGATAAACTTCTATAATATCCATAAAGAAACAATTATTTTCAATGATGTGAAATGAATGTTTAATATCCTTTTCCTGATTAGCCTGTTCTTTTGACCAATTTTCTCAATGATCCTTTTTTCTTAGAGAAGGTTGTATCCACTAATTGAATTAAAATTCAAGTGTTTAATACTTTAAAATAATAGTCAAGTGTGGTAAGAAATTCATGATGGGGGGAAATCAAAGTCTAAGTTTCTGAGAACACAATGGTAGTAAATGTAAGAAAAATGATCTCGTATGAAATGAAGTGAGTTCTATGACATCACAACATGGGTTCTAGCCTGAGGTTAGTGTGTGAAAGTTTAATAAACCCTTCTCTACGTTTCTTTCTCTCTGACAATACCCTCCTCCAATGGAAGGTTCTGTATGAGTTCATTTATAAAGGCCAGGTTCCCAGAACTTAATAAAATAAAATATTTTTTTAAAAGGCCGTGTAAAGTGTTTTGATCTAACTAGCGATGTATTTTATGTAAAAATATGGCTACTTCACAAAACTGTTTGAACCAAGCTATCACTTGGGCAGGACAAAGTCAAGTGCTGAAAAAAAATGAAACTTACTTTGCAGATCATTAAAATATGCATCCCCCTGCTTGTTTTCTTTTTCTTCTTAGTACATTTGGGACAATAAGAGAAGACTTATTTGCTTTTTAATGTTCCATGTGAGATTTAAGGGAACATAATTTCCTCTCTCCCAAAGGTAGGCATGGCTTGGATCATTGCTAAAATAAACAGTGCACAATGTGTGGCAAGATTGTGGCATGCTCTTTTTTCTAGGTGCCAAGATTTCAAAGGATAACATTGATTCTGCTCCTAGTGACTGTGGGATCTTACAATGTTCAACCCTGAATATTAGATTTTGCTCTGTGAGGTCAACACAGCTAACGATCAGGCTAGGAATAAAAGGGCATTGCCACCTTTGGAAAATTCCAAAGTAACAGGACAAATTTTTCATCAGAGTATTAAAGTTTTTCCTTCTCCAGTGAAAAGTGGAAAGAATTGGAGAGTGGGTGTCATTCTGCAGAGAGAAGAGGGCAGCCATCCCTCGTGAGACTCCGTCCTCAAGCACAGCATCCCCATGCCACATCTTGCTCCCATTACTGCTCCTTTCAACTTTTGCTGACAGCTAAAGTTCAGAGGTTGCCTTGTTGCCCTTGTAGTTGATGTTAGTTCAACATTAGACTCTAAAGGTGGAGCAAGCGGAGACATTAGTGCAAAGGGATAGGAGAAGAATTTGGCAGCCAAAAATAACATACGTTTTACACTTGGGGCAAGCATATAAATTGAAAATGGAAAAAGTGGACAAAAGTGAAATAATTGGTTAATATAAATACCTGTCAAACCTGCCTTTTTTTCTGAGATTCTAAGTTGAGAAACTAATACAATTTCTCACTGCCACTCTCAAAACTCACACTCTGTGTCTTTAAGAAAACCTCAGGGTCCTTTTATGAGTTTTGGATCAAGGAATCTGGCATGTAAGTGGGAAGGAGTTAAGAAACAAGGTTTCCTTAGCTATTTTATGCCAAAAATGTGTGTCTAGGAAGAAATGAAAAATACAGTATCTCCACTGGTTTGAAAATAACTACAGGCAATTGATGAAAGTCTCAAAATTACCAACACATTTTTTCCATTTTTTGAAGGCCAACAACTGAATCTGCTACCTGGGCTTAATGGGTCAGTTTGAGTCTAAAACAGTAAATGATGATAAAGTTATGATTAATCGAAGAGTTTAAGTTCATGTTATGAGTGATACTTAAGAATGAAACTGAAATAATTGGATGTGTCAAGCAGAGGTTTGATAAATCACAGTCTACTTTTATATTCAGGTGTTGAAAATGGGTCAAAAGGTTATATCAGGCTTTAGCTCTCATCAGCATGTTTCTAAAGCTTTTTGCTCTAAATTCTTAGGTGTTAGCCTGTTTGAACTATACTTCATTTAGATTATAAAATATACTCAAGATTAAGAGCTAAAATGCTTTTCTAATTAATCATAGGTTATAATCATAGAAAATATCTATTAGGTCTAAGGAAATTGTTTCTTCTATGGATAGGCAAGAAACTATCTTTTCTTTTCTTTTAGTAAATTTTTGTACTAGGTTATGTGAGTGGGAATAGCAAAGTGTTCTATGTAAAAAGAGAAACTACATTTAAGGGTGAAGGTAAACAGATTGAGTATAAACAGATTAAATGTTAGAGAATGAAAGAGAGGAACTCAGTGAATGTGGCAACAATAGGCTCTGGAGAGTGAGAGAGAGAGAGAGACGAGAGAGAGAGAGAGAGAGAGAGAGAGAGAGAGGGAGGGAGGGAGGGAGGGAGGGAGGGAGGGAGAGAGAGAGACCAGTGAGTTCCCAGAAAGAATGGCGGAAACCCATTTAACAGAGATGCAACATGTAACGTTTTAACTTGTTATAACAATTGGAACACCTGCATGCACCTACCAGAAATCCCTTACGTGAATGCACAACTGATTAAAACATTTCAGTTCAAAGGGTTGAGATAAGCCTGAGATAGAGGGGTACAGGAAATACCACAGGTACAGGAAATAGAAGCACTGGGTCACATTAGCCCCCAGGATTTCAAAGAAGTCTTGGGACATCATTTTGTTTACCTACTAGGTATGAAATAAGAGCTTTAAATGAATTTTACATAAAGCTAAGATACTAAAGTGAATTGAGCTGATACTTGGGTTATTTGATGTAGGATGCTTCTATTTTTTCCTCCCTTAAATGTTGTAACATCGTCCAAGAGACACCAGTCATGAAGGATACAGAACACATGGCATTTAGCCATAATTCATACTTAAATCACATATAAGCTCATCAAAATAAATGGGGCTAATATTATAGTCAGAGGATCTATCCCATTCATCTTCTCAAAATTTGTAATTAACCACAGCTTGGCACTAAGATAATTTCAACTTTAGATATATTTTACATATTACACCATATCCCCCTCCAAAATGGCTTCCTAAATGTTTTAATATTTTAAGATAACCTTAAATGCCCTAAAAACCATTGTGCTATTACAAATAAATGCATAAAATGGCAAAGTAAAGTGTGTGAGAAATTTCAGCAAACACTCAGGAATGCCTTTTCCTCCCTGGGGTGAAAAGATCTACAACAATATGCCTGTGTGTATCCACCATGTAACCTCATAAGGATATTTCCAAGATGACATTACCTAGAAATCCCTGGCTTTATTCATGTTCCCTCTTTAGAAGGATTTTCAAAGGAGTTCTAGGAAATATCTAATCCTAACAATGTGGTTGTTAGTAGCCTCAGAAACTCAAAGTGTCCCTTACAAGAAACTTGGCAAAAATTTGGTCTGACTTAAACCAGCCAAAGAACAATATAAAATAGTCTGAAAATTCAGTCACATTCAGAGAATTGAAAAGTAACTGAGACATTTCTCCAAATTAATTCCTACTTTATCTTTTCTCCATCCTCCCTCCAAATTAGCTTATATTCAATAACCACACCTGAGGCAAAGAATGTCTTTAACTTAATGCAAACTAGCATATTTTACAATATCATGATTACACAGGTGAAATTATTTTCTTACAATGTGTGTGTGTATGTAGATTTGAGCCAGAATTACAGAACTATGTGGAATATCGTATTCTATTCTATTCCAGAATAGACCTTGTCTAAGAAATTATGACTGACTGCTACAAAAACTCAAATCTTTTTGAGGGAAAAATTCATGAAAATGATTCCATTTTTTATACCAGAAAATACAAGTTTTTTTCTATGTTTCAACTACTTAAAATTCTCACCAGTAAAGACAGGTCTAATTTTTAGGAAATATTATTGAGAAGGTGGCTAAGTTCAAATATAGCCATATCTCTTTTGTTCTTAATTTAGATTTAAACCTTAATTTTTCTTTAAGGCAAGGGTTATGTGGAACAATACAAAAGTAAAATCTGAAAGACTGCATTAATTTAGAATGTCAGGAACATCTACATGCAAAAATCTAATATTTTGCCTTAATTATAACAAAATGCTAGATTAATCTGAACTGATACTCTTTAAATCCTTTCTAAAACAATGTGATATAGCAATAAATAAATAAACAAGTCCCCTAATTGAACAAAAACAGTTGTACTTTTAGATGCATTTTTATCACATTAATTGTATTATTTAATAGGACAACACATACTTTAAGGGATGGCATACATCAAAAATGAATGCATCTCATGGGCATTTAATTCTAAAATAATCTTGAATTATTTAAAGTCCAGACTAGGTTGAAATTTTGCTTGGAATTGGAGGATGATCTAAGGTTTTACTTGACATGGCCTTCTGTGTTTATTATTTATTAACCACTCTCAAGGCATATTTTTTTCATAATAATTATCACAATGACAATTAAATTTTTATATGGGATTATTGCATAAATGAATTGTTTATCCTTATATTTCCAAGCTCTTAAATAAAGAGATCAAAGTCTTCAGTTTATTAGAAGTTTAGAAGATAAAACTTACATCATAAAGAAAGCAATTCAAATCCTTAAAATGAAACTAAATTCAGTTTTTATTTAACTGCTTCATTCAAAATTCAAAATGTTTTTGCCTGTTTATTTGGTAATTTTTTTTACCAAATAAAAGACAGCAAATTCTTTTAGATTATTTGAATCCTTAGCCATTTGTGTTTTCTTGAATATTCTTGAACCCACACTGTTTCGAGCCTTTAGTTTTCAGTAACTAACATTACACATGAAACGGTTCTCAGTTATTCCTATCAAATTAGTTTAAATTATTTTCCTTGCCATGAAAAGATATCTTAGTGTATATATTATAAAGTACTTTTATTGTAAGACATTAATATTTAATTCCTATAAATTATCATTAATTATAAAGCTATTTCTTTATATGATATTTATTTTGCTAAATACAGTAATGATTTAGCATTAATCACTATATTTTGCTACCAATTATTAAGCACTTTCACAAACAACTTGTGAAGGTACCACTTTTTTTGCAACCAACAAAATTAATTAGTAATATAAAATTATATTTTCTTTTACTTCTTCTAGTTTAAATTTCAGATAAAGCTAGTTTTAGGAGATATAGTTTATAGTTATAAAAATTTGAAATATTGTAATTATTTTTTGAAGATTACCTTTGATCATAAATTTCTAACTTCTTTCTAGAACATGCTAGTAAATTTTCTAGTACTTCGTTTTTGCTATAGGGACAAAATAAATTTTTATATTTATATAATTATTATAAATATGGTATTTTTAAAATAAATATCTTATTTTCTGGACATTTCCACATTCAATACTCCATCTGAGATGCAAATTACAGAAATACTAAAATCATTTTTATTTTACTTTATTGAACATTACACAAGAGCAACAAAATTAAAACTTTTGGACAAAGAGTGTGTGCATGTGTGTGTGTGTGTGTGTTTGTATATGTGTTTAACCTCAGTATCATGACAGCTTATAGCAAATTTTATTTTTTAAAATAATTACTTTTGAAGTTATGCTTCCATTGCTGTGATCAGTTGTCTATTAAAATCAGTTGCAATGAAAAGTAAATCCAGAATAACATTATTTAAAATAAATTAGAACCTACAATCAAAATAAATACTTTTAAAATTAAAAGTACATTTAAACTTAAAACTGCACCAATAAAATACTTTAAGAATTAGATTAAACTTGTCTCTAAGGAAATTAAAATAGGACTCTGAGTTCAAAGAGAATTAATAATAATGTAAAATTTTTGTTTAAAAAGAACTCTAATGTGGATTTTAAAAATGCATTATAGTGGGTATCACATGGCTATGATATTTGGATTCTATTGGACAGCTTTTAAAACATAATGTAGCAGTTTTATTTAAGGCTGCCAATATTTTGAAATGCTGCAAACTGCAACTTTTGTAGCTATTTAAACTGAAGATGAACAATATCAGATATCTATTTTAAATCATGTAAGAAGATTTCCATCTAATCTATATAAATTCTTCCCCATCTAGTAGGAGGAACGAAATTCCCCCTGCCCCATGGAAGGTGAGAGGTACTCAGTACCTGCTTCAAAATATTAAGTATGAAAAGGGAAAAATAACAATTATTCAGTGGAGAAACTTGTAAACACTATCCTAACCAAGCGAGGAAGGTTAACATTACCAGTGATGTCATAGATACCATGCACCTCCTGATTTGATATGATGAGAAGGGCTTTTTTATCCTGTCATTGTGTTACTCTTTCCCAAAACCCATACACCCAAACAAATCATGAGAAAAACATTAGACAAATCACAGCATTTTACAAGCACATCTAGCCAATATTTTTCATTATCATGAAGGTGATGAAACATAAAAAGACTGAGAAAATGTCACAGACCAGAAAAAGTCAGAGGAGATGTGACAGCTAAAGACAATGTGGAAACCTGACACCAAAAGAGGACATTAATGGAAAAATAGGTGAAATC
The DNA here is from genome assembly GCF_000001405.40 of Homo sapiens. Taxonomy (NCBI): domain Eukaryota; kingdom Metazoa; phylum Chordata; class Mammalia; order Primates; family Hominidae; genus Homo; species Homo sapiens. Next base: position 115,956,456 of record NC_000008.11, on the reverse strand, counting down.
CAAATAAAGTCTAGAGTATAGTTTTGGAAAATGTGTAAGAGATTCAAAGGGATTAAACAATCCTACGGGTCACAAAGGCAAAAGTTTGAAGGCAACAGGCTAGATGAGAAATCTTACAGGTGCACAAGTAGATATAAGCTTTTAATTAGAATGTGGCTTTTGGTAGAGACACTTAGAAATAGTCAAAATGCCTACCAATATTGTAATGGATAAGTAAGTGACGGTATAATTGACTGATAAGTGCTACACATCAGTTAACAAGAATGAGCTGGAATTGAATCATCAGCAGTTAAATAAAAATAATGTTTAGTAAATAAAGCAAGTTGTCAAATGATATGTCAATGTAATGCTGTTTATTTACAGTTAAAACAACCTCAAAATAAGTACAAGAGTTTTCTTGTGGATACAACATATTTAGAAAAAAATATACATGGGAATGTCATGCATCTATTTCAACTTAGTGGTTTATTTTCAGTAGGGAAGGAAGATAAATTAGGAAATGTTATTCAAAGAGTTCTAATTTATAACATTTCATTTATTTAAACTAATCTTAGTCAAATGTTGTAAAATATTTTAAATGTATTATGATTACATTATTTACTTACATTATTCTAATTATAGTTTTTGTAATGAAAAATAACATAAATAAGATGGGAATTTAGGTAAGCTGTCAAGATAGGAGTCTAACAGGAAGTGACCGATAGGAGGAAACAGGAAGCCCTCAGAGATAGATGGTGCTTAAAAGTCCAAGTGATAGGCTGAAATAACCAAACCAGTTCCCCATTAGGTACCTGGTTTTCAGCTGAGTCTAGAGTTCAGCAGCAGATATCCAGCTTTTTGGATGAATCTGGTGGAAAGGGCCAAAAGCAACCAGCGTGCTTCGGATTCATACACAAGGACACAAACCTAAAATCTAGTTGTTAGAACTAAAGTTCAAGGTCAGGACAAAGACAATAGAAAGCAGAGATTTACATGAAGATCCATTAGGTTTGAATGAGAAAATGCCTTGACAGATTTGACGAAGTACTTCAACAGATATTGCTACCAGTGCCGCTGTGGTCTAGTTAATTACTCTTTCAGTGCCTTACTTCTCCCTTTATAAAATGGAGACAAAAACAAGACCTGCTTCATAGGATGATCATGAGTATTAAATGAATTGTTATATGTAAGATGGTTAGAACAATGCCTGGCACCGAATTAAGAGTAATGTAAGTACTTATAAAACAACAATAAATAGCACCATGTCTGGTAGAAGTACTTTTCTTTAGCCATGTTGATGCATTTCCACTCAAATAAATTAATAGTTTTGTTTGGCAGGAACAACACGGTCATCTGCCAAAGCATGAATTGACTACATGACCTTTTCTCTAAAAACTCCAGAATATATCTCATTTGTGTGTGTTGACAAGCATTGTAAAGTGAAAAGCTTTTCTTTCTCTTTTCTTTCATAGCAACACTCATTGACTTACATATTCTGGGTAAGACACAGAGCAAAGAACTGCAACAGAGGTTAAAGTTTCAGAAAGAGGCAAGTGTAAGTTATTGAATATTTACCAAGATACAAGATATCAAGATATTTGTTGAGTTTTTATGTAAAAACCTCAGTTTATACATAAAAACAAAGCCATGGTTTGATAGAATAAAACATCTCATTTTTTTAAAAGTATAATTTCACTATTTGTAGTTTGAAACAACTCATATTTTAAAAAATATTGTGAATGCTATGTGACATATGATCTGGTCAAAATACAAATGCTATTTCTTTTTGAAATTTTGAACTTTACCATTAGCTTCACTGCTAGCATTATTGCCTAACATTTTATTAAAACAATTATTTCTCTCCCCCACGTCAAACAGAAGTCTATATGAGCTCAGAAAATATTATGGCTTATTAAGTAACCTATTGTTCCATAACTGAAGATTTATACATACCTTTGTATATTAACATGCCTCTAGCCTTTAATGTACATAGCATGTCACTCAAGAAATATGTGAAACCTGTCTCCTGAGAAATGTGTGGAATATTCAGGCAGCTTCAAATGCTGTTGAGTAATGGTAGAGGGCTGAATTTACTAACATTATTGAAGGAAACTTAATTAAATAATGTATTATTTAAAATGTATTATTGTTTTGTCTCTTTTTAAATCTCAATATCATGCGATGTGGATGCATATGCCACTTGTCAATTACAACATTCCCATTCAGCACAAAACTCATAGCTGAGAGCATTGGGGATGGGAATATTTGTTTCTGCCAAGTTGTACTAAAAAAGCCTACCTTAGATGAGAATAAAATAGATACGTTACAGAAGTTACAGAAAACACCTGTGTCAAAAATTTCAGAAAATCACTTGCCTTGACTGATATAGTCGAGCATAACGTAGAGTTGTTTAATTTTGATTATTGTAATAAAGTGTTGAGTGATAAATTAAGTTATTAAATGATTGCTCTCATCTTGCTGTTAGGGGAGAGAGAGGAAGAAGCCCCTAGTGCTAAATCCTATTTTGATCATCTGCAATGGTCGAATAACAACAGTTCTTATTGTGCAGGTTTTTCTATTGCTCATCATTTAATCTGCTCTAATCATTGAATTGATTAACAAGTGACTCATCATCAAACCAACAGTCACTTAAACCTGATTAATTTATTCCTTCCACAAAAAAAACTGTAAGAATTTAATGAATATAACATATGGAGCATATAAAAGATATACCTATATATCTAAGGATATGGCAAATATATAAAGGCTGAACCATAAGAAACTGCCATTTATGTAAAACAAAAAGTCAAATGTCAGCAACTTCAGTTGCCTTAATTTAATATTTACAAATGTTAAGCAGAAATTATCAGTCTGGCCTTCCAAATATTTTAAAATATGTAGTCCTATACGTGAAATGAGAAATTTAAGTTTTCATGAATAAAATAGAATTATTTATCAATAGAATAAGATAAAGGCACGATCTGACATTATCTCTCTAAAAGAAAGCCCATAACCCAAATGGAAGGGAAGACATACGGCAAATTAAAACACTTACTGGTTCTCTTTTATTAAAAGTGACCTATCCTTGATTAAAAATTCATGTTCAATATAGATGCTATGAAGTAAGAGAAAAAAAAAAGACAGGGTCCCAAAAAGTAAGAAAAATAATTAAGAATATGCAAAATAGGACTAAGTTTTTGTTCTTTATGGTAACATTAATTCTTACTTTAGAAATGGAAGTCTGTTTTTATTATAACACTTATTCTGTGTACTTCAGGTGACTCTAACACTACAGGTTACCCATTCCCTGCTGGGGAATGGCACCTAGGGCTGACAAACTGGAGTTCTCCAATACCCTGACCAGTAGGTTTGGATCAGAAATAGGCATGTTACAGACATTGAGTTATTTGATAGATAGACTCTTCTGAAGAGAGTATCTCCTTTCTTCGGGGATAGTGGCTGCAAATATTTTAGTCTGAAGCTTCTGGGTGAAATTGTCCACTTTAGAAACACCTTGCCTAAGAGTACAGCCAACATGAAAAAGAGCTCAGAAAGACATTGGTGTTGGAATGAGTTGAGGATAAGGTGAATAACAGAGTACGCTCCTAAGAGTAAAGTCTCACATGTGAGGTACGAGGCGGAAGGAGAGCAAAGGCGAGGCTGTCTCAAGTATCTCAAGCATTAAGCATCAGTCCTTGGGGTAGGAAGGAAGGAAATAGAACCTGAAATGGGCCATGGACAATGGTGCTGAGAAAAAGGCTGGGTGGGGATCAAAGATGAAGTTGACCTACTTCATAATTTTCTCACGCCAGCCCTGCTTATGCAGCTGCCAGGTATTTATCTGAAAAATATTTATAATCTGAGTTGGTGTGGTTTAGGCATGTTGCACAGGGAAGTAAAAGAAGTAGACAGAGCAACCTGGGTGTAGCTATAAGGAACGGACTGGTTATTCTTAACCAAAGGCTTTGAGCTTGGTGCCTAAGGTTTCTGTGTCCTTGCAATTGAACTGTCCATGACATATCTATCTTCTCGGTATCCAGCTGACTTACACTTCAAATATGTAATGATGATAGACTCAAAGCAGTTGATTCAATGACAATGTCCTTGACAGGATTTGACTTGACAATGGAAAAAATAAACACTGTAAAACCAAAATGGATTTACAAATTGGACTTAAGTGTGGACATTGGATAGAAAAGATTATCGATTATCACTTTTTCAAAACTACGTTTCAAAATTAGATCATGACAGGTTTCAATATGCAGGTCAATGTTACAGTGACAGTATATGCTTGATAGTTAAAAGTTTAATGCTGGAATCAGTCTGACTTGAAGGAAAACATTCCTTCAAGTTTTGCCTTTTCCAGAAAAAAAAAAAACTGGTTATCTTCTATAAGGCATATTTAAGCATTATTATCATTTGCTCTGCTTTTTATTTTTAATTATTATGGATATGTAATAGTTATACATATTTATGGAAAGTAAGTGATGTTTTGATACAAGATACAATGTATAATGATAAAATCAGGGTAATTGGGTATTCATCACTTCAAGCATTTATCAGTTCTTTGTGTTAACACTTCAATCCCATCCTTTTAGTTATTTTTAAATATGCAATAAATTATTGTTAACTATAGTTTCCCTATTGAGCACCTTGATTTTTTAACAATGTCCTTGTAGCTGCAATTTCTTTTATTCTGTCATTGTTATTACACATCCTGTGCTCAGTAATCAAATTATGATAATGCTCTTCTGTCCACCAATTCCCTGGACAGTTTGCCCACCACTTACTGGAGTTTAATAAAATTGGGGAAGTATATTCTAATGGCATCTATAATGGTTTTGTAATTTCAATACAGTATAAGTAGTAAAGATGTGTATTTATCCCCATTTTTCTTTTCTGTTCAGAAGAAGCAGCCTTCACTATATCAGACAGATGAATCCAGCTCCAATCAATAATTGAGTTTTGGATTGGAGGAAAGAATATTTGGACATTAAAGAAAATAAGCAGAGAGTGTAAGATGGGGAAAAACAGATATTAAGATTAATAAAAAAGAAATCTGTAAGCTTTCTCCAAATGAACCACAATATCATAATCCTCAATTAAAAATTAAGCTAAGTAAACCTCTCATATTACCAATTCCTGATTCAGCATCACTGAAAAATATATTGATGGCTGTTCTTGGCTTTGGTCCTTTCTTCCCTGCTATGGAGAGCCTATTAATGGAAATTGCACATAAGTTTTCTTGACTTTGTTTCTACACATTTATTCCTATGTCAGCAGATAAGAATGGCAACTATTTTTGAAGCAAAAACAGCATTAAGAAAATATAATTTCCTGTTCCATAGAGTCTACCAGAATTAGTGTATTACTGGTTTGAAAACCAATGCCTAAGAAGTGATGCAGTAACTTTTCTTTGATGGGCTGTTAAGAATCATGATGCAGTCATTTTATCTGCTATTTTTGGCTGAACTTGAGGGAAGGAAGTATGTCTGGAGATAAAAGTTTTCTTGGAAAATATGGAGAAATGGTATATGATTCCTCTCCCTTCTACCCGTCTGCTGATAGTAGATAGGAGCACATTGGGCTGAATAGTAGAAGAGAAACTATTTTCAGGCAACTTTGGCAAAACCTGCCTTCAGCTCATTGTTACCATAATTTCTCCATTTCGGAATCCTATAGGTATACAGTAAATCCAGTTTCGTCAACCCTAGAATATTCTCCTTCCTCTCTTCTAGGCCTAATCTCTTCAATTCTCAAGATCATGCTTAACATGACCACATTAATTACAGCAGAGTGAGACAGGCACAGAAGAGGAGGGACTTGGAACCTGACCTAAATACAGAAGTGTCAAGCCTAGAAGGAAGTAAAATTTGGAAGAAAGTACATGGCATATGAAAGAAAAATAACAACCCAACAACATCTGACATTATGGAATACTTAAATAAAAATAAAATTTTAGATTCATTTCTAGCATGGCTTCTAAAGTGAAATAACGAACATTTACTGAGTACATATTGCATAATATATGTACTTTGCATATATTAACACAACAGCTTTATGAGATGGTCACACTCATTTTCACCTTCATTTTTAGGCAAAGATGCTGAGTCAATGAAAGGAAACTAACTTGATCATGTCACCTGCTTGAAAATGGTGGCGCTATAAGCCCAGATAAAGTAAATCCAGAACATGTGCTATTACTCATAGACACCTGTGCAATGAGGCCAATAAGGCAAGTACTATCAGGAGGTTGGGAGAGGCATCCAGAAGTGACTGGGCACATAGCACTGCTCAGGCAGGTGCAGGCCCATAGTGCCTAATGGTATTTAAGAGCGTAACTCTAGTATCAGAAAATTTAAAGGAATTCTTAGTTTTATAGATCTTGGGGGATTGGAAAGGTTATGCAAGGTGAGACTCAGGCATAGAAAATACAGAGACCTAATCAACTGAATTGGGTGACGATGTAGGAAAGTGAAACTCAGAAACAAAGGAAAAGCCTCTCTCTCAAGGTCAAGGCTAAACTGGCAGGAAGAGAGACTTGATGCTAAGTCTGACAATGTTAGTGATGATTCTTAAATTCAGCCTGCCTCAAATAAAAATTGGCCCCAGGCATGGGCAGGGTGAGAGGTCTATTTAAGCCTGCAGATGGTGGTCAAACCACTCAATATCCAGGGTAAGTGTGGCAGGGCTTGGCAGTCCTGTCCTCAGCATTTCTGGATGGGCAAGTTATCATAAACAAACCAGAATCTAAGCCAGGGTTAGAGTAAAGCCAAAGCTAGATCTCAGGCTGCTTTGAGGTTCATTATCTCATTTTCCACATCGAGCAATCAAAGCCTCAATGGGATGGCCCAGACCTGCTTATGAATCACTGAGATAAAATGACTCAGGATACTGTCTTTGACATTGATGGCTGGTTCAAAGCACACACCCACATGTGGGAGCTTGGGTTTTTTAACCCTTGCATTTGATCTGGGGGCAGCTGCCATATCGGGGCTGTGTTTGATTTCCCAGATTTTATTTGACTTCCTGATTGATTCCATCTATCTTCATTTCTACCATTTTATTCTTTGCCTTTTTAGAGCACGGGTCACCATAGTCACTGGTGGGTTGTAACGCTTGGTAAATGATAAATATCTCTGAAACATTGAGGGATGCCCTTCCTGTAAATCACAATGTGGCTTTCATCTTTCTTAGGCTACACAGAGTTAGAAAAATAACTTGGTAATTTTTTGCATTTCTTCTTGCATTTGTGTTTGATGAGCAGAGTCATCAATAAGAACATATCAGAATCAGTATCTAAAAAAACATTTGATGCTATAAAGAAATGAGTCTACTTATGTGGACATTGCAGATTCAGTGGTGAGGTAAATAAAATTTTCTAATCCTTAACCAATGCCATAGTATAAGATCATAAAAGTCATTTATACTAAAACCAGTTCAGAAGAAAGTGTATTACTGAAGCAGAAGAGGTAATACTGTCTTTCAGCCATGTTGTGAAAAATGGTATTTTGAACAGTACAAGGATAATAAAAATTCATTATTATTACAACTACTCTTGAGAAAAGTAGTTCCTTCAATAATTGGGGAAAACTTGGGAAACTTAGGGAAAAGTTGCTATGGTTATAAGAGGTGTAAAAAGAGAAATGTACCTACATTAAAGTTTCAGCATGACCTTCTAACACTGAGGGTTAGTGTGTGAAAATTGGAATTATCAAAGAAGGCTGCGAAACATTTTTTTCTTGCATAGTATAAAGTTTAGATTAGTTTCTCATAGATGTGGCATTTCAGAGTTCTCTCCTGCTTTATTGGTGTTATGTAATGGATAAGGGGGAACTGGCACCCATTAGATCTTCATTGAAGTTTTTCTATGTTCCCCGGAACTTATCTTTTATCTCCTCCAAACATCATGTGAAAAAAAAATAGGGTAATTGAGGAATACCTTTTATCTGAAAAACTGATACATTGAAAGCTGGTAAGAGTGACACGTAAGATTAACATGTCCCTTAACAAGTAAGATTAAGAAATAATATATGAAAACTTCCTAGTAGCATACCTGATACAATGTCTATGATTGATAAATGGATCTGTTTATGTTTATGTCTTTGTTTGTGTAAAGGCAATTTAGTACTATATTTGAGAGAATGAAATTTGGAATCAGACAGTCATGCTTCAATTCTATTTCTTGCCCCATCCCGTATCACTTTCTTTTTCTTCCTTCCTTCCTCCGTCCTTCCCTCCCTCCCTCCCTCTTTTCTTTCTTTTCCCCTTTCCCTTCCTTTCTTTCCTTTCCTTTCCTTTTTGTGTGTGGGACAGGGTCTTGCTCTGTCACCCATGCTGGAGCACAGTGGCATGATCACCTCTTACTGCAGCCTTGACCTTCTGGGGCTTACATGATCCTCCCACCTTAGCCTTCCAGGTATCTGGGACTATAGGTTTGTGCCACCATGCCTGGCTAATTTTTATATCTTTTGTAGAAATTGGGTCTCACCCTGTTGCCCAGCCTGGTCTCAAACTCCTAAGCTCAAGCAATCCACTTTGGCCTCCCAACATTTTGGGATTAAAAGCGTGACACACCTCACCTGGCCAGTTACACAATTCTTTAAGCCCAAATCACCACGTATTGGAAATGGGAATAATAATTCTGGCCTGATAGAATCATGAGAGGATTAAATGAGAACATTTCTGTGAAGCACCTAGCCCACTACCTACTAACATGGTAAATACTCATTACATGGCGCCTACCCTATTTTTATTCTCTTCTTTTAAGAATGATTTTTTTTTAGGATTATAAATGAGTTCTACTGATATATTGCTGTGAGGGCACACTTATGTGGTTATTTTTTTAGGTTAGACACCAACAAGTATTAGTAGAGACAAATTCTGGTTTTTGTGTTCTGTATCTTCAAAGCCACCTAAAAGATTATCCCCAAACAAGAAATATTTATGAGAGCATAGCGTAAACATAACAGGCACAAGTTAGAAAGTCCCATGGTTTGCTTTCCAAACTTAGTTTATAGCATTTCAGCTGCGTGATCTGAGGCAAGTTTCTCAGTCTTTAAGTACCTCATATTCCTCATAGGTAAAATGGGATAATACTAGCAATGTCATAGGTTAATTGAAGGAATTACATGAGATTGCCTTGAAAAGAGCTCAGCACAGAGTCTGACACAGGTTGTGTCAACTGTTCTAATTCTTGACTAACATGACTCCATTCTTGGAAGCTGCTATCCTGGAGACACTTTCAAAAAATGTAATTGTTAGGGTTTAAAAAAAGAGATGGTTAAAAATAGAGCATAGTTTTCTCCCAAACTGCTCTGTCATAAAGTACGTTCCATGTTTTTTTAGATTATCACATTTTTAACTTTTATTTCAGTATCCTTTCTTCTTTTGCATGTCACTTTACTGTTGACTCTCAGCCACTTAACACTGAAACTCAGTCTCCATGTGAAGTTTACCCTACAATCAAAGTGCCAGTTTTCTTCAAAAAATCCTTTGTGTGTGAGGTTTAGAATCACGAAAGACTGGAACCCTTTCCACCTTTTAAGACAGAAAGGGAGCATGCTGCACAGAATATTCTTGAAAAGACAATATTGAGATTTACATTATCAAAAATTCAAAGATGTTCTTTTCAAAAGCTGAAGCCACCAAAGCCCCAGGCAGATCTAGACAGGGTAATATGCAGCCAGCCAAGCTGGCCAGTGGTATTACTGTGGATGAGTTAAAGGAGGAATCGCCCCCAAGCCATGGTAGCTCTCAGAAGGAGGCCTGCCCTTCACAATTTAAGCTCTTTGAAGTTGCATTTCCTTCAAGCAATAAGAAGTCTTTGTGGTAATGGGAAACATACATTTATAATTATAGAAGAACATAGTGTACACTAGACATGGTAGAAGAGAATGCATGGATCTGAAGGGAAGTCCTAATATATACCCAGCCTTGCTCACACAGCATCTTTCCTGAAATATTGGATATTTCAGTTGTATCTGATTGAAATGCCCAGGAGGCAACACTTTTCTATGGCTTCTCTCTTTCCAGCACCCCATTTGGCCCTGAACCAACCATGCCAGCATGGTACTATGGGGTGGGGCTCTCTGAAAATCCAGCTATTGAAATTTGATATATAAAAGTCATGAAATGATTTCAAAATGAAATGAATATATTCACATATAGAGCATCTGAGAAAGTGGGCAAAATGGAATTGAATGGTGTCTAGAATATTTTTAACTCCTTTGAGCAAAGCTTGAGTTGATTAACCCATCCTACCTGATCCATTACTTTTTTACTATACAGGTGGAAACAATAATATCTCTTAATCATACTTCAGACTTGGAATAAGAGATATTCATGTTTGACAGATGAGAGAGAAAAGGACAAGATTAGCAAAGGGATCAGAAGAAATGATACTAGTACATTTATTAAAACTTCAAATTAGTTCCATATTTTTAGTCATTTACTAATTACTATAAAAATGTTATATTATAATTTAAAGTCTCGGTGGAGAATATACAAAATGAGAATCTAAATAATAAAATATGTAGGTAAAGCTTCCTCAATGGTCTTTAAGCATAAAATAAATGGAAAATAATGAAATTTACAACTTTTCACCAACAGTGGAAAGGCCAAAGATTAAAGAAAAAGCCTCAAAAAATTCCCAGAGAATTTTGTATTGAATGTCACATTGTAGATACACTACTAGAAATACAATGTAAAATATTTCTGAAAGAGATTTTAATCTAATAGTCAATCCCAGCCTGTTGAATGACAACAACAAACTCTATAATTTTATCTCTAAATGGTTGTTAGTCAGTCATTATACAATATGGTATAAATGGGAACACATGGGTTTTGGGGCCCAGATAGACCTGAGGTTTGCATTCTGGATTATTATTCACTAGCTACATGAATTTTAGCAACCAGTAACCTTCCAAGCCTTGTAAGTTCCTATGTATCATGAATATGATAGCCACCACAAAATGTGTTGAAAGACTAAAATATAAAGAGCCATATAACAAGGCTAGCTGAAGTACTGGAATATAGTTAGTACTTAATAAACTGCTTTTTTTCTCTTCCAGGCTATTTTTTCTTCTGGAATTTGAATATGCTTGGGAGAGAAATAAGATTATTTTCACCATAAAAGACAATTTTGGTCCTTTGAATGGTAATGTTTTTAGCCTTTTTTTCAACTTTATCTTTCATGTGTGCATGTACCTTTGTGCATGTGCATATGTGTGTGCATATATACAACCACCTGTTTCTGTGTGTGTCCTTACTGGCCATGAGTAAGGTAAGTTTGAGGCAAAGCAAAGTCTAATTTATACATAAGTTATTCTAAAGTTCAGAGGGTGACTCATTATTTAGTCGTGACTTAATAGCCTACATAGGTCACGGGAGGTAGAACCAGATAATGAAGTAAGTGATTCATTGAATTGACAAGATTATTATATTCATATATTTCAATTTCATTATGATGAAGTAGATGGCACATTTGACTAGAAATCCTCACTAGATTCTCTTCTTGACACCACTACTGATTTATTATATGATTGTAACTGGGATGTGTCAATTTCTTATTTTCAAAATAGAAATGACAGTATAGTTTCCGTCTTCCCCACGGCAATTTTTTTGCGTATAAATTCTATTACATTGTTAGTAATTTGGAGACTGTGCTACCAATTCAAAATAATATTTTTAGCATTTCAAATTTGCCATAAAAATCTCCAGTCTCTTGATTTGTCTCTGCAGTGCCTCCTTTGAATATGTTATTTTGGAAATATGCTGAATATATCTCTTTTTGAAAAAAGAATAAAAGAAAAAAATTGTGATGATATATAGCTAGGAACTTCTGGTGGAGTTGAGAGCAGATACGAAAAAAAAGCATTTTGGAAGTGATAAGCTTTGATGTAGTCACTAGTAAGCTCAGTAGCAGAAACCACTGAAGATAAGTGGCAAGTGTCACGTGGTGTTTGGAAGCGTTGACAGCAAGAGGTGATATCAAAATCTGCATCACAAAAGGGCCATGCCATTTTCCAGGTTATTAGGAAGGCGGCTGAGGGATAATGGAGACCAGATACAAGCAGCTCCGATGGAAATGATAGTTGTTCCATTGTATTTAATGTTTGACAATACAAATACAGCCAGTACCCAACTACCTATATATGAAAAACATGTAGTATTCTTTGGGAAATAAATAATTACAAAATAGTTATAGGAATCATGGAAGAGAACTCCCTGGAAATGAGTATCAGTCATAATGAAGGACCCAGAAAAGAGACTTAAATGGAAGCTCCATGAGGACAGAGGATCATGCTTGTTTTCATCATGGTGCTTGACACAATGCCTTACCTGTAATAAGGAAGCAATGCATATTCATTGAACGAATAAGCAGCATTAAGCAGGAGGTAACTCTCAGACTCTTGATGTGAAGAAGCTGGTGTTCCCACATAAATTGCTATCTACATAAATTCAAGAACATTAACTTACAAGACTCCACTTTAGCACAGTTACCCCTAACTCATACAACCAGAGGAGACGTCACATCAAGGTGTAATTAATCAACTGCAAACACCTCCTTCCTCCTTGGTACATCACCCTCTTTACATCTCCCCATTGCAGTCTCCCCTTAGTTGATTTCAGCTGTGGCATGCTCACTAGCATATTTACTTTAATTTATAGCTACGCCTCCCTCTAGCCAGAGGGCAAATACAAGGGCTTAAACTATATCTGTATATTGCTTCACTAAAAAGATTAAAACTGAGTTGGAGAAGCTTGTTCTTGTATATCTCTCACAGAGAAGTTGATCAATAAAAACCTCTAATAAGCTACCATTTATTTAACATTTACTACGTGCCCCACACTCTCCTGAGGGTTGTGTCATTTTTAATCCTCAAAATAACTCTACAAGTTGGGTAGTACTTTTGTCTCATTTTTAAAATGAGAAAATGGAAAGATAGAGGTCAAGTAACTTGGCCAAAGTTGGTCAGTTATTAAAAGACAGAACCAGGATTTGAACAAAAGTCTGTCTGATACTAGATCAATAGATCAATCCATTGTTTCAAATCATTTGTCTTTTCTTTGCAAATCTGTGACAGGAACATTTCTAGTGACAACTAAAGTCTTCTTTATGTCAACACATCATAACTTATCTTTTACACCTAGCACTCTCTTGAACTATCTCTGAATTTTTATTTTGCTCAGGACTACTACATTTTAAGGAGAGCCGCCCTATTGAACTAACCGTATTGAAAAAAGGTTAATTTTTAAATGCCCCAAACTCTTTGCTCATCACATTTTGAATTATTGTTGGCTTCCTCATGAATATCCCATAAATCTCAATAGTCAAGTGTGGTATGGTTAGGGTTCTACTCTCTGCCACAGGCACTCTTAGAAGCAAGACCACAAATAAGAGCAACACTCTGTCTACTTCTCTCTTTCTTTCTGTGTGGATAGTTGACTCCATTCTGAGACTGGCTCCCTCTGTATTCCAAGAAACACAGCCACTGCAAGGGGGATGCCTCCCTTCCTTTAGGCTCATCTGAAAAGCATGGTGGAACCCTACCCATCTCTGCTCGGCCCTACATCTGAACCCATCACCTGTGGCCAGGGTAGCAGTTCTTATTAGAACCACATGGAGCATACAGAAAGAAACAATTGTTTAAGAAAAGGAGGAGGCTAGGTAAACAATAGATTTTCCTTACAGTCTTTTTAGGAAGTATCCTTAAGTAATACAATTTTTAGATACTTCTAAAAAGAAAAGAAAAGGAAAGGGCTAAGACATATTTTATTCTAAAGTTAAATAAGAAAATATAGAATAAGTCTGTTATTGGTATCTGCAGTCCCCTTTTTTCAGGGTAAAAAATAGATAGCTGGTGATATACTTCTTGGGATCAAAGAAGAGTTCTTATAATGCTCCCTTAAACTGCCTAGCAGAATGCTATCCATTCAGCCTTTACTATGTAAGGAAAAAAAGAAAAAGGAAGAAAGAAAAGAAAAGGAAAAAAATGGAAGAAAAAAGAGAGAGAGGTAGAGTAAGAAAATACAAGAAAAAAAGATGAGAAAGAAAATCCTATTGTTCTATAATTCTAGTGAAATTTGGCATGAAGTAAAATAACAAATGATGTATATACGTGGGAAATTTTAACTTATACATGACCTCATTGGTTAGACATTATGTAGTCATAGTTTTATTTTCTTATGATTAAATTTCATGTCTTTTGATAGCACGTTGAGCTCTTCCAGGGAGTCAATAATGACTGTTAAATTGGATTACTCACATATATCCCTTGCATTCTCTCTTTGTTCTAGCTCATCAGCTGGCAAGCAATTGCAAAAGGTCAGCCAGGAACTCAGGATCTTAACAGGAGTTGTCCTTATACTCTATATTTACCCTGCTTATTCTTAACAGTACAAAGCAAGAAGTGTCACTTTGCAAAAATGATGTTTTCTAAAAGTCCAAAGTTATCTGAACCTATACAAACCTAAAAAAAGTCTTGGGTTGGGCTTATGGTTTGAGGTTTGGATTAAAGCTTAGGTTATTTTATCTGCACTAGTTTTCCATCAGTAATTATACTCTTTCTATATCTCTGTCTTTCAGAGGGGGACATTATCATGGGTTTGGATACAGTAAGAATAAACTAACCAAGTTTTCTGCCCATCTTTCAAAATGAACCTGGGCTAAACATGTCTACAGGTTCAAATCCTTTTACACGTATGTTTGGTTCTCTGTGCTTGGTTTCCTTTTCACAGTTTTTAGCAGGCCATATTTGTATACCAGAAACATATAAGATACCTGGATATTTCAAATCCCAATATTACACAAATGGCTAATCATAGGATAAGGGCATTGATATACTTACTTGAAGAGAAACTTCTGGATTCTTCCTTGGTGAATGAACTCCATATGCCTGTTATACCTATAGCTTCTTCTATGTGAGATAAATCTGCCTGTAGTTTCTGACAACAAAAAAAATTTGACATATTTTGCATTAGCAATTACATCCTCAGTTCCACCTCTCTCATAGCATTAGGACAAGACTGGGTATCTGACCCTAAAGTGGCCAATCTACAGCCCAGCCATGTACCTATGAAGTAGTCTGCTATGAAAGATTATATAGTCAATAGATTACTTTTTTGAAAACTTCAATTGGAAAATATGGAAATAATAAAGAAGTTAGTATGGAAGCCCAAACTTCCAGGTAGTGTTGTGAGTCAAGTCAGGACCATGATAATCCTTAAAATAGTAATAAATTAATAGTCAATTGTATTGATCTCTTATAGGAGATATTTTAGTAACATTATCTCATTAAAATAAATTGGTTACTACTTTTATTTATCCTGTAGATTATAAAACTGAATATTTAATGAGATAAAGTATATTGCCTATGTCTGAGCAGTTAACTATTTGTAAATTTTGAATTTAAATCTAGATCTATATCACTTCAAATTACGGTAATTTTCACCATCATATATTGTAAACCAGAATTACAAGGAAGCAGAAACAATGAAGAAGTTAAATAAAGAAAAGACACACAGCAGAGGAAAAAAAAAACAAAAAACTATGCCCACTGGTATTAGAGGAAAATGAAACTACAGGGTAGAAAGTTGTTACGTTAATTTAATGGAGTTTAAAAAGTCTTCTTTTAGTGCTGCCGTGATTCCTGAAATTAAAATCTATAGCCTATGTTTCTGAGGAAGCCTCCTTCTGTGGCTTCTATTTGGGGATAATAGTAAGATTCCTAACTCTCAATTTTTCCTCTGAAGTACTTCTAAGAAAAACTCTTCATTTTGAGCTACCTTGAATGACAGTCCAGCCCTCCCAACTAAAAGAAGAAGCTAATTCAAACCAAGCACTGACACCTTAGTGAGTTCTACTTAACCACTTATTCATGAATAAGTTTGCCTATACATGAGCAAACTAATAACTGAGAATAGCACTATCTAGTTATGATTATTTTTTTCTTGGAAAAATAGAGGCAAGACATTCTACTGCTTTTACGTAGAAAGAATTTAAAGATGCTCCAGTCTGTGCAATTTACTAATTCAATTGGAACTGCTTTTCTGTTTAGACAACAATGGAGGGTAAGGGACTAACATCACTGAAGGAAATGTCCCTAAGCACATAAGGACATTTCAAATATATTTCAAAGTATGTTAAATAGAAAACAATATGAAATTCACAAAGTAGCTGCAAATATTTTGCCATCATATAGTGCAGAAGAGGGATCCTTTTACATCAGTACATGGATTATAATAATCTAGGAAAGAATAATAGAATGTGAAAAGTAAAGACAATGTAGCAAGCTTTCCATAAAAGATAGATTGTTTATTTTGGGTATAAAAGTTCCTTTGTTTTATGAAAACAAATGATGACAATAATTGTAGTTGCTTTTATAATACAAGAATTTGGCAGAATAATAGATTGCTTACTGTATTTTGGTCTTCAATTTATATTTATTTGCTTATTATTTTCTTATAGGTAGAATTCTAAATTACTGGTGTTGAAGATGACCATTACAGCCAAGCTGATGGGAAGTTTTGGTGATTAGAAAGGAAATATGGGCCGGGTGCAGTGGCTCATGCCTGTAATCCCAGCACTTTGGGAGGCCGAGATAGATGGATCACCTGAGGTCAGGAGTTCGATACCAGCCTGGCCAATATGGTGAAACCCCATCTCTATTAAAATACAAAAAAAAATTAGCTGGACATGGTGGCGGGTACCTGTAATCCCAGGTACTCTGGAGGCTGAGGCAGGAGAATCGCTTGAACCCAGGAAGTGGAGGTTGCAGTGAGCCGAGGTCATGCCACTATACTCCAGCCTGGACAACAAGAGTAAAACTCCATCTCAAAAAACCAAAAACAGATCAAAAAAAAAAAAAAAAAAAAAGGAACTATGTAGATGACAAGAGAAAATGGCTTCTATAAATTTATTCTTTGGGAATAATTTTTTAAAAGTTAAGAAGGAGAAAGGAGACCTTTGAAAAGTTAGAGGCTTTAAGAACATTTACATTTAAAAGCTATTCTCTTTTTTAATATATATAAACATTGGGCTATGTATTTAAGAGTTATGATTTTTTTGAGGTTTTCTTATTGTTGATTGTATTTATATTTATTTATTGTCCATGTGAAAGAATAACTGAGTGATTGATAAGATAGTACTCATAAAGCAAACATCTAGAGTCATTTTCATTAAAAAGTCAGAGCTAATCTTACCACAGAATCTCATTGGCAGAATATGAAAATATTGCAACTCACCACAATAAAGTAAATATTTTAACAAGATGAATATCCATTTAAAAATGAAAACTGCTGAACCGTGGCAAGTGGAAGCCACTAAACATTTTGCTACACGTTTCCGTCAGATTCTAGCCAAACCGTGGAATTGTCCTGTCAAGTTATGGGCATCACATAGGAACTCAGAGAGGAAGAGAGAGCAGGTCCTGGAAGGCAGGAGAGAATAGGAACAGGTTTAGATTTCAAAAGTAGCCCTCTAAGCTTTGTGGTTATTTCCTGATGCAAAAGACACTTTTTCCCAGTGCAAAAAGACATTTTCCCACCTGTTTTAAGAGCGATTGGGTTTCAATTATTTTCAGGTAGCTTAGTTTTATTTTGCTATTTGCACGTTCTTGTTTTCTTGCCAGTTTTGAGTAGCATCCTTTGTCATGCCAGATTCTTTCCCTCAGTCATCTTTCCTCTGAAGTTTCAGTTCACACTTTCTATAACAGACAATAAAATAAATATCTATGCTTATTACAATGATTTTCACAAACATTTTCATTATTGAGATACAGGGAATTATATATGGAAAAATGACTCAAAAGTGCATTATAAAGGCTGACAATTATAGTCGTGGAAATGGACACTTAACGTATAAAATTCAAATGACTTTATTCTCAATGCAGCTTAATAATTCAGATAGAACTAAATTTGAAATGGAAATAATTCAATCAGAGTAGAATGAAGATTTATTGCCTACTATCCTTAAAGCAGGGGAATTCTACACAAATGACAGTAAATCGGATTAAGTAAGAAGAAAAGAATCAGAGAAATAATGTTTAATCTTCAGAGAGAACAAGTGTAAAGAATTAAAATTGTTTGTATACAAGTGAATGCCATTACTTCTTCTTTCAAGCAAATGGGAAAGATGTCTTTATTCATTATTTATGATGAACTGACCTTAATAAAATTAAATTTTATTTAAATATTCTCTAATTTTTAGGTTAACAAATAATTCTCTAATCTGTAGGTTAACATTTCCCTTCATTAGTCCCAAATCATGAAGCTTTACTGGAGAAAAGGAAACCCTTTTACACTGTTAGTGGGAATGCAAATTAGTACAACCACTATGGGGAATTGTTTGGAGGTTCCTCAAAAACTCCTCCTGTCCCTTTGTGTCCTTAACATCTTTTCATTACAAAATTTTTGGGTCATGACTATTTGATCAATGTATTAAAAAAAAGTAGAGGAGTTGACAAAGTCACCTTATATGTCATAGGAAAGCTGAGTGAAGGAGATGGGCCAATTTACCATAATTCTGTTCATTGTATGGATAGATAAATGGAGGAAACCCCTCTTTAGTGTCTCTCTTTGTCTCCCAAGAGAAAGGCAGAACATTTATTAAAAGTGTTTAAAGCAGATTTTATTTAAAATGATGTGATATAACTTTCAGCAGAGACATGCTAAGGTGAAAAGAGCATTTTATAAATCCAGAAATGTCTAGCTTAAGGGAAGACACTGAAAATCAGGTCTGGAGTTGGCAGACAGTTTACTAGGGAAGGCATGTTATAAAATTGGATTTTTAAATTATATATTTATATATTTTTTATTATATATTATACATAACATTTTTATTA
This sequence comes from Homo sapiens, assembly GCF_000001405.40. Taxonomy (NCBI): domain Eukaryota; kingdom Metazoa; phylum Chordata; class Mammalia; order Primates; family Hominidae; genus Homo; species Homo sapiens. The sequence continues at coordinate 115,937,632 of NC_000008.11, read as the reverse complement.
TTTTAAAAATAGCCTGGACAATGAGGGTTATAGTAAAATGATTTTCATATTGGTCTCTGAGACGGCATTCGAGCCCGATCACTGTCTTTTGTCATGTCTGAAAGAGAAGTCATAGCTCTGATCTGCCTCCTGATTAGGTATAAGCACCATTGGAACAAGAACCCCATGGCCAATATTTGCAAGTATTGCATTTGGTCCTGAAATCGAGTTTCTTTTAGAAAACAAATTTTTTTAGTCAGTTTAACAGTACATGAAACTAGTAAAGGGAGGGCCTGGTGGAAAGTTAAGTACTACAGAGTTATGTCCTTGTCTTTCAAAAATAAGAGCTAGAAGAGTGAATACTAAAGAGAAAGTTGGCTTTTCAGGTGTCTAGGACACCTGAAAAGATAAAATTGTTACTAGAAATATGTGAAGGTAAGTTTGTCTTACTATTACATTTCACAATAATTAAGGAAACAGCAAAGAGATGAAAAAAATCGTACATATCTAAATTAGGTGGTTTATATGTATACGTTTATATATCTAGCTACCTAGCTAGCTAGCTCCTAAGTCTTATATAAATTTTGGTTCTGAAAACCTGTACTAGGAGAATTAATGGAGACTTCATTGTTGTTGATGTGGGAAGAAAATGAACAGTGAGTGAGTTTATGGAAAAGAACCAGGAGGGGATACCAGGAAGTTGGTTCTCAGCTGCTTCTTATTCTAGCTAACTATACACCATATTGTTTGACCCACCTCCCAAGCATCCATATGGTGTAGAGTTTTCTGGGAAGTAGTTGCCTAGCAGGGTCTACATTTCTAACCTCCATTAGTGAGGTTATGTGGATGAGAATAGAGTGGGGCACGTGTCTCAGTTTCAATGGGTGAGCCTTCCTCACTCTGTCCTCTGCCTCTGGCCTGATGCAGATGAATATGACAATCTTACAAGCCTCCTGTGGAAGATGGATGAGCCAAGTTGGAAAGGGTTTGGAGGAGAGCCACCTACTGATTAGAAAAGTAATTTGGACTGTATGTAAGCAACAAACTAACTTTGGTAATATTGTTTTCCTTGGAAGAGTAGCTAGCACTATCCCAATCAATATCTGAAGCATTTATATTTGAAATTAGATATAGCTTGGTTCTGGATCAAAAGTGAACATTCAAAATAAGTTTTCTCTAAAATCAAAGAACATTTTGCCACCAGAATCTTTGCAACAGTGACATTTCTTGCCATCTGTGGTCCTTGTTTCTATTTCACTGAAGTTAACACCACTTAACACCATAGTCTGTGTTCCACCCAACAAAACAGATAAGAATTTTGTGCTGTTCACATGTCAAAAAATTGTTTACATTTTTTCCAGTATTATTGCTTAATGTGCAGAGAAAGCTGCTGTTCATGGGGCCTTCTTAACGCTTCCTTTTAATCTTTGAAGCTTTAACTTTTTTGTTTTCTATAACTTTACTATGTCATTGGGTTATCTTGCTCTTGTGACCCTATACCATTGTGAAAACCAAAAAAAAGAAAGAAAGAACAAAAACTACTGTATGCTAATAGCACATGGCATCAGTTCTGTCAAAATATCAGCACATTAATGATATGAAAGTTTATAGTTAAGGAGATAGTTTTCTAAACTGTCCTTTTCTTCAGCATGTTGTTTTATTTCCACAAAGACTATGATGAGAATAACCTGGATGTAGGCTAGAGACGTGTTACACATCCTGTGAAATGAGTACATCCTAGTAGCCTCCTATGGCATAGAAATTCCTGGATTTAGTGAGGAATATTGGATATGTCATGTACTTGCAATTTAAACCAAAAGATCTCACTCTTGAATGAAGTATCTAAGAAGATGAAATCAATTCAATTTGACAAGAACTCAATCTCCAATCACCTTTCCTTCCTTCCTGGCAATATGTACTCTTTACCCTCAGAGTAATCATTTCGCTTACTGCTCATCTCTGATAGAGCAAATCTCAAGTACAGCAATAGCCCACAGCTGTCATTCCACACCCCATGTTTTAAAATCACCACACATTTCCTTTTCCCTCTTCTGAAATTGTCCCCTGCATAAAAACTTGTATTATTTCACAGCCAGATATTAGAAGGAAACTATATGATAAGAAATAATTAGAAAGGTGCTGTTTTCAGAATCTGGGATAAGACCACAGATTTCCTCTTACTAGCTGGCTGATATTTGGGTCTGTCCCTGAGCCTCAATTTAATCTTTCATAAAATGGGGATATAACATCTAAATCACAGGGAAATCACATATAGTGACTCTCAATAAAAAGTAGCTATTGTTATCATTTTCAGGAAGCCGTGTGATGTACAAGACCCTTTTCAACGCCCAAGTGAAACTCTTCTTGGTGAATTTTGTGGGAGGCAAAGCAGTACAATAAAGGAGAAGTAAATACTCTTAATTACAGTTGGACAAATTTTACTAGGCAAGGGAATGGAAAGAGGAGAAATAGGTCACATAAACGATAACAAAACATCTGTTTAAAATCTGCCTTTCTATTGCTGGAGGAGAAACTTCCTGGTGATCAGGTAAGTGTTTTATATTACTGCGTCTCAGTTGTCGTCACTACATAATTGAGAAAACTGGTCAATCTGCCTGAGACACTCCCTGGTCCTCCATGAGCAGATTAATATCTACTGACACCTCAGCATTTAGCTTAAAGCCATTTCCTTCAGCAGGTCTCCAGTGACCTCTTAAAACCAGGCTAGGTACTCCTCCTAAGTCTGCCCTGGCATCCTCTTCTCATGCAATTGTAGCACAAATAACACTCTCTTGTCATGGTTTTTACTGTTTCCACAGACTGAACAGTAAGTTTTGAGAACAGAAGACTTGCTTTGTTCCACATTGTATTCTTGATGCTTAGGGTAGTCCTTAGGTCACAGGAGACATTTAAAATATTGTTGAATGAATGAATAAATAAGTTAAAATCTTCCAAGTGAGAGAATAGAAAAGACAGACCACGGGGGGATAAATGTAAAGGAGAATAGGTTAAAGTAAAAAGTAAAAGTAACTGTAAAATATATTTCCTCAGAGATGTGAAGACTGTGAAGGAACATCATCTCTGTCTTTAAATTGTGGAAGGCTGCAAATTAATTGCCTTATATTTAGTCAGTTATTAAATGGAAGCCAACTGCTTATGAGAATACAAGGGCAGAGAAAGAAGGTTTCTGACCTCACAGAGCACAAAACATAGTGGAGGAAATACAGATGTTAACAAACAGTAACAATATGATATGACCGTTGCCACACGGTGGGGAGGATGTTCACCTAACTCAAGGTAAACAGAGTCCAGAAAGTCTTTTCACACAGTGTAATACTTAAGTTAAATCTGAAAGGTACACAAAAAGGGAAATAAAGAACTAGACAGAGATGACCTCTGGTACGCATCCTCCAGTTTTATCATGAGTCTGCAAGTCTGACATAAATTGTCTGCATAATGAAGAGGAATATATTGGCTCACAGAATTGAGGTCTTCAGGAATGGTTAAGTCAGGAGCTCAAAAGTTGTCTTCAGACTCTCTTTCTCTCTTTCTCTCTCCTCTCTCTCAATCTCAATCTCCTGGCTTTGATTTTCACTTTGTTAACCCCTTCTTTTTAGATTTTTACTCGTGGAGGCTAGACACCCACCAGTAGCTACAGATTACCTTTTCCAGATTACCATCTCACAAATTCTAGTAGAATGAGAATGATCTGCCCTACTAATAGCTCCAGTAAAACCACAAAATCAAGTCACATTAATCTGGCTCATTATATAATTGTCTATTTCTTAACAAGTCAGTGTAGCCAGAGAGATACACTGCTCTGCCACAATGTCTTAAATCCTTTGTCCACCTCCGGAATCTAGGGTGAGGTCAAGCCCATAAATTCACATGGCCCGAAAACGAGGGAGTTATGTCAAAATTAGGGGAGGGGCTGATACCAAAAGAGGACAGGGATGGACATCAGACAGCCAGAAGCTATAAGTATTCATTATATATATATACACACAGACGCACAAACACACAGACACACACGGACCTTAGACATGTCTTCTACATGTCTCTTGTGACCAGCTTATTATTAAATATTTAATTATTACTCCTGTACCCATATCCTTGTAGAATACCACACACTTATACACACAAACACACACACAGCAAATCACAAGAAAGCATAATAGAAAATTAACAATAACCAAAGTTATTTAAAGATGTATAATGCCGTAAGTATGATGACACTTTTTGGTAGAATCTGTACTAGCTGAAGTTCTGTATGCTTTGATTATTCACTGCTTGCATTAGTGCAGGCTCCTTCACTCATGGCCTACAATAATCATTAACAAGTGTGATACAGACAAGGCTTGTACTCTGCATGACTGTGAGCATTGATTAGGTAGGGATCACTGTAGTTTTTTAAACTGGAAGAGGCCTTAAAGACCCTATTATTTACCCTCTTATTTTATAAATAAGAAATTATGTCTAGAGAGGTTCAATACCTTGCAAAATTTTCAGATTTGACAATGATTTCCATAAAACACTGCAGGGTACTTATTTAATAGAAAGATAATTTTACACAAAGCCATTTCCCCTACCACTTTCTGCACATGAAAACCAGAGAAAGAAAAGAAGAACCAGGTGCCCTCCTTTCTGCCAGTGTAAAAACTCTCCATGATAAAACACCTAAAAATGCTGTATAACACATGAAAAACTAGTTTCCGTTACTTGAAAGCAAGAGGACACTTTACTTTCTAATCACATTACAAGTTAGAAAAGGTTGTGGTCATTCTAGGGATTCTAATGAGAAGTGATTTGTAGGGAAACTTGACCAAGCTGGGAAACAAGGACCAGTGCCTAATTTTTCTCTTGCAAATTCTTGAAGAAATGTGACAAGGTTTTTATATGACCTATTTCTACGCCTGCCTTAAATACCAGAATAAAATAGGTGAATGATTCGGAGGCAACATTGAGCTTCTGTATTCAGAAATCTAATCAGAATATTTCATGTGCCTTACTCAGAGGAGGCTCTACACAGAACTATCGCTATCCATATTTTTTTGTCATATGACAGCAAATTGACATTTGTTCTAACATAAAGAGGAAAAATAAAGGAGAAAAAAGGAAAAATTATTGCCATTTTGTACAAATGGAAACTAAGAAGAAGGAATAACAGTAAAAGAAATCAAAAGAATAACCCAAATATATATTTTATTGCTTTGTCAATTTACATATATGAAAAATTTGTTATTTAACATGAGCGTTATATTACCAATAATATTTATTATTAAAACATTTAATAACATATATTATTTTTCTCTTTGAAGTATTTTTGAGATCCGGAAACTATCAGCAAAAAATAATATTAGACATCACCTACAGAAAATAATTCTAAAAATCAAAGGAATCTTAAATCTATTTTATTTCTCATCAGAGTCTCAAATTCCTGAATCCTTGGATTATGGCCCATCCTGTGAATATTCCTCCCTCTTTCTAGAACTTGTTTTGATGTTCAAGATTGATGTGGATGATAGATGTAACTTGATATGGTAAACAATCTTATATTTTGATTTTGAGGATTACTTCACCCTTGTTCAGGAAGGCTCTGCTATATGGCTTTAAGAGATCCTACTCTTTCAGTTTTCTTTGACTTGAGTTTACCTACAATATCAAAAGAAAAAAAAATCCCTGTAGGCATTCACAGTTATATTTTACTCTAATTACAGAATTCTTCAGCAGTAGACTCTGAAACTTTCACTTTCTGAAATGAATGTTTTTGGGGTAGATTAAGGTGACAGCTATAACACTGGGTAGGACTTTGAAGTGTTTAAAAATTCCTCCCCACAAGATAAGCCTGAAGCTGAATTTCAGCCAAGAGTCTGTAATTGCCTCAAAGTGTGATGTTTTCCATTTGTCTCTTCAAAGTTTCTTCCAGTTTATCCACAAAGGCAGCATTTTCCTATTCCAAGCCTCTTCTTTTCCACAACATTTCTCTACCATTGGAGGTTTTAGAGGGCTTATCTCAGAGAAGGTTGATATGTTATGACTGGTAATCACCAGCCAATCAGTATTTAATTACCTATTCAATATATTTACAGTGCTTTTAGAGAAATATGATTGTTCAGGTTGGCCATCCCTAAACAACATAAACCCCCATGAAATTATCAGGCAAAAATACAAGCTAACTGTGTGTTAAAAAGTCAAACTGAAAGAAATGAAACAAAGAACAAAAATTGCAATAATGTCAAAAAGGTAAGGTTAAGGTGAAGGTCAGCTACAGTTTAGAACAATGATTTTTAAAATAGCTCTATTGAGGTGCATTTTAGATATCATAAAAATCACCCATTTCAAGTGTGTAATTTTTGTGACTTTACTGAGTGGTACAGACATCACCACAAATCAGTCTTAGATATTTTCATCTCCCTCAAGAAAATCTCTCATGCCTGTTTACAATTAATCCCTATTCCCACCTGCAGGCAGCCATTAACCTACTTTCTGTAGCCATAAACTTTCTTTTCCTGGACATGTCCTATAAACGGAATCATACAATATGTGGTCTCTTGTGTCTGGCTTTTTTACTGAGTAATGTTTTTGAGGTTCATTCATGATGTAGCATGTGTCCTTATTGGTTTCTCTTTATTACTGAATACCATTCATTATATGAAATGATTTTAAATGGCAGTATTGTAAAACTGTGTTTTTCACAGTGCCCTTGCAAGCTGTAAATGTTGTGGAGTTAAAACCTGTTTCCACAACAATCAGTCAACACAAGGGGTCCTATGACCAGGAAGAGCTTGCAAACCATTGACCTACGGAATACTGCACAGTTCTTTCATGCAATAATTCAACAAATATTTATTGAAGCCCTACCATGAGCCAGGTACCATGCTGTCCACCGAAAAGATAGGAAGGTGTAAAGGAGATGTAGTTTCTGTGCTTATCCGCCCGCCACGCCCCCCACCCCCCCCCCCAACCCCCCGACCAACACCATTATGGTCCTTTAGGAAAGATGGGATTTAAACAAATAATTAAACTTAAAAATTTTTGGTTAAGATTAAGATGAGTGCTACTACAAAAACGAAACAAAACAAAACGTACTTACTGTAAAAAATGAGTAAGAAAGACATTCAGCCTAGTCTGAGGCTCGAGAAAGATTTCCCTGCGGTAGTTATATTTAAGCTGAGATATGAAGGACAAAATATTTGGACAGGTTTACTAAAAATAAGGAAGAGAATGTTCTGCTCAAAGAACAGACTTGAGAAGGACTGATGCATCCAGGGAACTGAAAGGACAGCAGAGCTGCAGAAGCACTGTGTTGGAGGAAATCAGGGATGAGCGTGGTGCAGAAAGGGGGCTGGGAAGTGGAAGAGGCTGGGTTGTTCAGGGCTATGTGACCATTGTGAGGATATGAGATTTTATCTTGAGGGCAAAGGATGCCATTAAAGTGTGTGAGGCAAGAGAGTGCTATGATTGCCTTTGTGTTTTCTGAAAAAAGTTACTCTGGTTATTGTATACAGAATGAATATTTGAACAATGTCAATATTATAATAAACTGGTGGAATGAGATCACTTCTAAGGGAGTTACCATGTAATTTGTTCCCTGATAACTAATGTTTCCCCATTCCCTAGGACTGTTCCTATTATGCCACATAATAGGGTCTTTTCTGGGTATTTATCCAAAAGAATTGAAATCAGGAATTTGAAAAGATATTAAAATTCCAATGTTCATCGCGGCAATATTTATAGTAGCCAAGATGTGAAAACAATAAAAATGTCCATCGATGGATGCATGGATTAAAAATGTGTGGTATATAACTACAATGTAATATTATTCAACCGTAAAAGAAGAAAATTCTGCTATATATGACAACATGGATGAACCTTGAGGACAATATTATGCCCAGTGAAATAAGCCAGTCACAGAACCACAAAGACTGCATGATTCCACTTATACAAGGTACCTAAAATTATAAAACTCATAGAAGCTGAGAGTAGAATGTAGCTGCCAGGAGGTGAAAGTTCGGGAAAACAGGGAGTTGCTATTCAATAGATATAAAGTTTCAGTTATGCAATACGAATACATTCCAACAGTCAGCTATATAACACTGTGCTTATAGTTAACAATACTGTACACAAAAAGTTGTTAAAAGGATGTATCTCACGTTAAATGTTCTTACCACAATAAAAAATAATTGTTGGACAAATGAACAAATAATAAAGGCACCATTCTTGAATTTAACAATAGCATACTTTTTTATAAACTAGAAAAGTCTCTTGGTTATTGCATAGTGAAGTAGTTCCTGATCATTTGCTTGTTCATCTGTTTATTGAGTAGGAAAGAAATGGGTAAAGTGAGAGCTAGCATGCTAAGAAAAATGAATAACTCCAAGCCTGGGCAGGAAATGCTTCCATCCTTCTTCCATCACAGCAAGCAAAATGCTGAGTAACTCACTATAGATTTACCTGACAGAGGATAATGCTAACTTCTCTTCAACTAGAAATGCAAGCCTATTCTAACCAGAAAACAAAACAACAAAACAAGCCACTGATTATTTCAGGGAGAGTACATAGACTCAAATAGACATTCCCTGGTATTAAAATGATTTTGGGCTTCTGACTCTTGCTACTGGTAAAACTGTATGGCGAATGTTATTACATCACAGCTGCTCACCACCTGCTGAGTGATGTCTTTCTTCATCAACCTTGAGATTGGTTCTTTCATCTCTAAACTTTGCAAGATATAAAAACGTTTCCCTCTCTTCTGGACTATTTAGTTGCTAGAAACAGATTCCCAAATCCTCTGCTGACATGTTTACCAGGAATACTAGTTCTGCTGTCTTCTCCCATGAAAAACACCACCCGCCTGCTCAAAGCAAAGAACTAACATCTTGGGACAGCAAACCTGAGATGACCTTTATTATTAGTGCCAGTATTTTTTTTTATTTTAATATTTTTGAAGGCTCTACTTTTGAAATATCCACGAATATTTTAGAATTTCTTGTGTGTGCGAAAAATCTTGGCTAACTACTTGCCTCCATTTATCAAAAAATTGGAATGGGTTTATACTAGGCATGAAATGTCTCTTTGTATTTTTACTAATGAATTAATGGTGCTAATAAACATTCGAGGCAAAGGAAGAAAGCATGGTGGAATGTTTATTGTACTCACTTCTAAGAACCTGTTAAAAATAAATGGAATCATTTAATGATTGAATGTGCTTGTTTACATTTCAAAGCTGATTAACTTAAATTTAATCTTTGTTTTCTTTCATTAGATGCTGTGGAAGTTCTCTGTCACGACTTTAATTAGATGCATTAATAAGGTTTTAAGACATCTCTGCACAGAACTATGTGCAAATTCAAGAGGATGAACCCAAATCTGGTGATGTAAAAGTCTTATTTTCGATGTGCTAACTGAAAGCTGCTTATTTTTTTTTAGCCTTTTTAAACTATTTATTTTAATGTATGTATGTGAGTGTTTATAGAATCAGTAAGAAATCATAATTCATTTTAGTTCCCATTTGGGTCTCTAGAATGTACCAAAGCTCTTAGGAGGAACTCAAGATTCTTATCTGCCTTTCATATAATGAACCTAAATACTGTGGTGCTGAGAATAAGGACAAAAAATGTAAACAAGCACGGATTGGCTCCTACAGGAGACAGAGAAGGCTGCATACATACCCATAACACGAATTCCATTTTAAGTATATGTCCATTTCTTATTTATCTCAATGGAAAATAAATGCAAACTTGAAGTCCATTTTGGAATTAGCTGTCTCTCTGGCACTAGATGAGTTCTTAGGAGCTCTGGGATTGTGAACCCTTATAAGTTATAAGCCAAGGAATCCACCTTGACTTATAATGGTTAAATGGGTTAACCCATTTAAGATTGTGAACCTATAAATGTGGTTAACCCATTTAAGATTTGGAAGGGTGGTAGATTCTTTGGCTTAAAATCAAAGATAGGTTTGAAAACTTGGCGCAGCTACATTTGATGTCTGAATTATATTATACTTGACCAATCATTAATGGAGGAATTCATGTGTTTACATATAGAAATAATAGAGATATGTAGAGAGCATTTCAGTATTCAATGTTTTAAAGTTTGCCTTAAGACTTAGAGTTTATAACTTTCTTTTTATTAGTGACAATTTTTGGTCTTCTTTTCTGGAACCCTATGCTCAGTTGACAATAGTGACAATTTTATATGTATTGATGTAATTTTCTTTCATTTGGGAATTATCTTTCTCTTACCTGCATACAGAACTTGAACATGTAAGCTAAGATTTATAAATATGTAATTGGTAGTCTAGATCAGCATGAACTATAAGATTCTTTCTTAAGAAGCACTCAGTAATAAATGACTCCTATTAAAATGGTCTAATTAGTTTTAAGTATTTAACTAGAATTAACAGAGATTCAAAACCCAGCCTACCTAGACTGCATATTAGCTTATAATGACTTAGGAGTAATCAGATTTCCCAGATGGCTTCACAAGGAAAAAAGAAAATAAAAATAAAACAGTTTTAAAACCAGGTAACTAATTATACACAGATTATTTGCAAACAGCTTCCCTCCTTTGAACAAAAGAAATAAGCTTAGCTGAACTGAACTGAAGCTCTCATTGCCAAACCCACAACGGAATCATTTTCCTAGAAGAATAGGCCCATATTATGAATGTAATGATGAGTGATATCAAACTGGGCCATGATCAAAAATGAACAGGTACTTGCTCTAGCTAATTTGAATGGCTGGTCTTTGGGGGCAGCTGGGTTGAAGTTTGCATCTTTTTCTTTCCTTCTTTCTTTCTATTTTTTTACTTTTTTTGAAAAGAGGCCTTTGTCTGAATTCTGAGTGAAATGCTGGATTGCAAATGACTGTATTCTTTCCCACCTCCTTTCTAGTAGCTACAGCTTTCCAAGGAGGTCTTTGCCTCTGTCTTTTCTACTCGGAAACAATGGGTTCTTGGAACTCATAAGGATAGTTGGAATCCCAAATAGATGAAATTGGAGAAATTGGAAATTTTATTTCAGGTATCATGACTTCCTTGGCAATAGTCTCAAAGTTTCAAAATTATTTTTTAAGTAAATCAGATCTGTGTTTACTTTGAAACAAATCGTTAATCTCTGAGTAAGTTTTGTTTCTCATTATCATTATATTAATTGAAGTTCAGTTATAGTAGTCAGCAGCTGTTATTGTTTTCCAGGTGTTGAGCTAGTGCTTGACCCTGGCTCTCATTTATTCATCACAATACCCTATTATCCACATTTTAGAGATAAGAAGAATCCGAGTTACAAAGGTTAAGAACTTATCCAAGTTACATAGCCAGTGAGTCAGAAGGCAGGAATGGATCCACCTCCGCCTCACTCCTATGTTTTGTGCTCTTAATCATTATGCTAGAGAAGAGAAAATGTTTTCACAATCCTTACTTCTTATACGAATGAAAAATTGGTTACTCCACATAACAAGGATCCTGAATACTATGAGGAATAGTTTTATAAAGTCTAAATACAGAAGGCTACACCAAGGAGTTAAAGTTGTTCTTCATCCATTGTGTTCAGAAAGTGCTCCATAATCAACAAGCATGTTTATCTTTCTCAACAACGTTCATGTGGTTGCTTTGCAAAGATTATGGATTTGCTTATCCATATTCTGGGTCATAAGTAATGTTCATTTACTCTAAATTCTTTCATAAGGAAAACTGTCGAAATATTTTCCCAGAGGTCATTTTTCATATGAAAGTGAAGTATGGCAGAGTATATTATGTTGGTCTAGAAAAATAGAAGGCTTTTAGGAGAACATACCCAACGTTGCATTCCAGCTTGGCTAGATTAACTATTTCTATAACACTGGACAACATATTTAACTAGGAGCCAGTTTATTCAGTATGGAAAAGCCAGGGAAAATCAAATGAGATAATGTGGTAACATCATCAGGCATAGGGATGTTTATTTTCTTTCATCAACCTTATTTTTCTCCTTTGTTCTTTCCCCACACAATTCTTTGCTTTCTATTTTTCTTTCTTTCTTATATCCTCCATTCATATTTTTAATTTTGCTACTCATTTTTGATTTGTTATGGGAGAAGTTAGGAAAGGTGGTCTCTGAATTCTCTAGAAGTCATTCTGTTTTGCTACTGTTCACTTACCTACTTAGGATGGTCGCATCACAAAACCTTTCTTAAAATTTTCATCTAAATAATTTTTGAAGATAATAGATACGTGAACAGTGGCCACTAAGTCTGTTAAAAATGGATTCTACTTTTCAGAGTAAATCTTGAGTTTTGTGCTTATTTTGTCATTTTTTTCCAATAAAATTGCTTGATGGAAATTTTCACTTCATATGTGACTTTTATAGAATGACCTTTGTAGAATAATGAGGATTAATTTTGCTAACATGTTCTATGTCTTCAATAATTTTCCCAAGGCATTCATTAATTTCTTGTTGTATATGTTGTATTCTTTTCAACTACCTAGACTGTGACTGTCCTTTTTTATTTTCTCTTTCTCAGTTGATAACCGGTAGGGATAGATCCAAGTTTGTGGGAGCCTCCAAGAAAAAGAATATAATATTATGGAAACAATGGTTAAAGAACAAACAGTTTAGAATGAGCAAAGGAAACACAATAAATTATAAAAATCTGACAAATATCTCAATCATAAAATCCAGAAAAATCACAAAATGTTTTTGTTAATGAACTGCTTGGTGTACATCCATGTTAATTTTTACTACTTTATTTGGCTGCATATGCTTTGATTGAGTCTTTATTTGACAATGATTTTATATTTTTTGTAATGAATGCAAGCATATTTGAGATTTTCCTCTAGCATGACCAATAAATATTTTTCTATTATTATAGTTTAGAAGATTTTATTACAGCTCTACCTGATATTGCCAGTGTCATGTACCTTTCAACATACATGTCAAATTTTGGAAAAAAACTTCTAACAAGTGTATATATATATATATGCACTTGTTAGAGATATACATATATATACTTGTTAAAGGTATATATATACTTGTTAGAGGTATATATATATAATGCAGTAAGTTTATATATATATATGCAATATATTTATATATACATATATATATGCAGTAAGATTTGGAAGAATTTTTTGTAGAAAACTAGCTTCTGGCTCTAGCCAACTGTTTTCATCTGGGACTGTTTGCCCTGTGTTGCCAAATATTTTAAGAGAACCCTGAAATGCACATTTTGTATGAACTGTCTAGACAATTTCTTTTCTGACTTTTAAATGTTGGTAATATTCGGGTTTTTAAGAAACACTGTGAATAAACAAAATTTATCTGTTGTTCTACACAATGGAAAATTAAGATACTACATTTTTATTTTGTATTCATTTTATTCTTATTCTTTAGGGTTTATATTAATGTTGTTTTCTCATACCTTGATACTGACCATTCTTTAAAATGATACTGTTTGAACCAATCTACAGTTTACAATGCTTGCATCATCATTTTATACATTTATAATGCTCATATTTGGATGCCAAAATACAAAAGCGGGGGGGGAATATAGAGAGGTAACACGTGAAGTTGGAATATGGCCAGTGTATTCGCCCACAGAATAGGACACAACTGTAGAACGCCAGAGTGAAGTCCTGAAAGCTCTAGCATGAACTGGATTCCTATTTGCCTGTGTCAAAGAACAATGCTTGAATTCCACAGCCTATTTATGAAAAAAAAATTCTTAGCAAAGAAAGAATAAAAGAAATTTCCTTAATGTGATAAAGAGTATCTAACAAAAACATAACACCAAATGTCATACTGAAAAATAAATTATTGAAAGCCTCTCCCTGAGATTCAGAATCAGGTAAGTCTATTTTTTGTCACCTTTTATAATCAACATTATCTAATAGAATTTCAAGTGGGAGGCCCATTCAGTTCCCTTTTCCTCATTCTTGTCCAGTTTCTCTTCTGCTTTATTCCGAGGCTCCTAAAGGGATATATAGGCTAACTTTGCAGCTCAGGATCCCATAAAAGTGTTCATTGAAAAAAAGCCTTCGCCAACCCAAAACACAAAAATCAAAACATAAAAATCCTTAAAACTAGTGCCCCGATTCGTGGTGGCTCACGCCTGTAATCCCAGCACTTTGGGAGGCCAAGGCGGGAGGATCACAAGGTCAGGAGATGGAGACCATCCTGGCTAACACAGTGAAACCCCAGCTCTAATAAAAATGCAAAAAATTAGCCGGGCGTGGTGGCAGGCACCTGTAGTCCCAGCTACTTGGGAGGCTGAGGCAGGAGAATGGTGTGAACCCAGGAGGTGGAGCTTGCAGTGAGCCAAGATTGTGCCACTGCACTCTAGCCTGGGGGACAGAGCAAGACTCTGCCTCAAAAACAAAACAAAACAAAACAAAACAAAACAAAACCTAGTGCCCTGATTGCCCTTATTACAATGCATGCCTTTTCTTTTGGGACTAATTTCACCAGTGGATTTAGTTCCTTTTGTCTAAGTCTTCTCCTCTTTTTTCCCATTCTTCTTAAATTTTAGTAAGTAAATGCTCCATTAAGATTCCAAATAATCCTATAAGCAAACAAATCTCAAAATCTATTTTTGTATTTTAAAACTATATTTAAAATAATGATGTGTACTCACGTTATCTTGTAGTCCACTGAAGTTCCATCTATTTTTGCGGGGGGGGCTTTAATAAACAATGAAGAATATATAAATGATAAATGAATTCATTCCCTGCTATACTTGTTATCTACTGCTGCATAATGAATGATCAAAAACGTGATGTCTAAAAACAACAAACAGTTATTAGCTCATAGTTTCTGTGGGCCAGGAATTCAGAAGCAGCTTAGTTGGGTGGGACTTGTGAGTTAGAGTCAGGGTGTTGTCCTGAGCTACAGTCCTCTAGGACTTGTGTCCAGCCTCACTCATGTGCATGTTGGCAATAGGTCTCAGTTCCTCATAGCTGTCAGTTGGAGGCCTCTCTTCAAGACACGGCAGCTGACTATCCCTAGAGCAAGTGATGGAAGAAAGAGAGTGAAAGAGAAAGCAAGCAGGAAGCTTTGGTGCCTTTTATGACCTAGTCTTAGAAGGGACATGCCATCATTGCTGCTGTCTTATTTATTTATTTAGGCAGAGTTTTGCTCTTGTTACCAAAGCTGGAGTGCAATGGCGCAATCTCGGCTCACTGCATCCTCTGCCTCCCCCAGGTTCAAGCAATTCTCCTGCCTCAGCCTCCCGAGTAGCTGGGATTACAGGCACCTGCCACCATACCTGGCTTTTTTTTTTTTTTTTTTTTTTGTATTTTTAGTAGAGACAGGGTTTCACTTTGTTGGCCAGGGCTGATCTCAAACTCCTGACCTCAAATGACCCACCTGCCTCAGCCTCCCCAAAGTGCTGGGATTACAGGCATGAGTCACCGTGCCTGGCCGATGCTGTCTCTATCGGTCACATAGACCAACTTTGGAAGCATGTGGAAGAGGACTACACAACAGGGTGCATGCCAGGGACCACCCTGAAGGCTGGCTACTGCCTATGATGAAGGGAATTCCTTTCATATTTCATCTTCAATGCTCATTTCATCTTGGAAATAGCTGGTGAAACCAGCTAAATTAGTTGAACCCCAAAAATCTGTTACAATTTATGTCATAGTCAGCTAGCCATTTTCAGAAATTTTTAACAGTGATTTTCCAATTGGCAAAATAGGGCAATGCTTTAATTTAATTTAAATATACGTCTAAGTCTATCTAGCCAACTTTCCAAAGCCAATTTTTTTTTCTTTTAAACTTGAAGGGATTGGATATTAGATTCCAAGTAGTATTTTACATTGTCATTGAAAAAGAAATGGTTGAAAGTTTTATATTCTTTCAGAATAAGTGAAATTCGTAGTAGATGGCATGCAAAATTTTGTCTCTTTGCAATTGAAATGAAACAAATGAAACCCAGACTTATTTTGAGTGAATTAACTCAACCTGAGCCTATAGCCCAGCTACTGGCTTGGCCATAATTAAGTGCTAATCACATGGGTGTGCTGTTTTGTGAGGCAGTAAACCAGTTTCCTGAGTGTATAAACAAGGAGATTGAAAGCTGAGGATCTTAAGCTATCAAGGAACTGCAATTTTCTTGTAGGAAAAAAAAAAGCAGACCTACCTGTTTTTGCTATTAGAATAAGAGTGAAAATTCCAAAAAAGTGAAAGAAAGGGTTGTTTTAAAAATTGGCTAAGGGCAGTGCTGAAGTAGAAAAGTGTTTCATATGCTCACAGTCTCTTTGTTAAGTATCTCCTGTACAATTCAACAATCAATATGTTTGTCAAATACTTTCTATCTGTAAAACATCATTCCATAGGGGCATTTAAACCCATGAGGGTTAGAGCAGAAATGAGCTACAGATTTCATTTCATCTATAACCAGTTTTCTATCCCACTCACATTATGAATTTCATAGATTAGCAAAAGGGGATTCTAAATTGTTAAGTAATTTGTCCAAAGTCACATATATGTGACTTTGACATATGACACACATACAGAATGTTGTTACAGAAACGTTGTTAAAATACAGATTCAGAATTCCAACACTGGCTTAAAATTAAACCCCAGTTGTGCACTCACTATTTGACACTGGGAAATTTAAGCTTTGCGTGGTTCAATTTGTAAACCAAGGAAGCAATCCTTACCATAATCATAAATTCTACATATATGAGCCAGGTAATAAGGCTATACTGCCCTCAAAAAGCTTTTAGTCTATGAAGGAGATAAAGGTAAGCAAAATGTGCTTTGGAACATGGATATTGCTATGGTCTAAAACTTCATATCCCCTTGAAATTCATATGTTGAAATCCTAAACTCAAGTTGATGATATTCAAGATGGGCTTTTGAGGGAAATGATTAGGTCATGGGGAAAGAGCCCTCATGAATGGGATTAGAGTCCTTATAAAGGGGGCCTAAGTGAGCTTGTTTGTCCCTTTCCCCACATGAGGACACAGCAAGAGATCCTATCTGTGAGAAATGAGCTCTCACCAGACACCAAATCTACCAGTGCCTCCACTTTGGACTTCCAGCCTCCAGAACGATGAGAAATAAATTTCTGTTGTTTATAAGCTACCCTGTATAAGGTATGTTTGTTACAGCAGCCCAGAGGGACTAAGGTAGACTCCAAATCCAATTTCTCATAGGTGGTCACATATGAGCTTTGCATAGCAATGGGAAGGTGAAGAGGGAGACAGTGGTCTGGGGGAGAGTGCAGCATGTACACAGGCCCGGAGACTATAGCTGGCATGGCAAGGCAAGGAAAGGCCACACTGAGGGTGGCTGGATAGAGATGACGAGCTGGGCTGTTGAAAGGACTCACTGAGGAAATAAATGAAAAGAGTTTATCCCAGCTCATGGTACACCCTTGGTAAATGATAGTTGCTGTCATTAATTTTATTATTGCTATCATTAAGCATTAAAACTGCAATTGGGAATCTAAATTCCTATTTGAACTTATCTCTGATTACCAGTGTCTTTTTTTTTTTTTAACTGTATCAGGGTGATGTACCATAGAAACTTTCCAGTGACAAAGATTTTTTGCTTGGCTGCTCTTTTCCAAGCACTGTTCTGTTCCAGGCATTGGGGATTCAGCAACAATAGAAAGAAAAAAAAAAAGAAAAAAAGAAAAAAGAAATCAGACAAGGAAGGCCCTGTTCTTTCAGGAGAAATGGATTTAAAAAAAAAAATGGGGAAACAAATACATAAATGAAATAATTTCAGTTGGAAAAGTGCTCTGAAGAGAATAAACTAAAGGAAATGAGGTGGGACATAACAAAGTGCTGGAGGAATGCAGGGAGACAATCAATGTTCCTCCAGCTCATGATAGTCAGGGAGATCTTCCTGAGGCCATGGCCATGGAGCGGAAACCTGAAGGATGGGATGAAGCCAGCCAGGCAAAAAGAGCACTCCAGGCAGAGGCCCTGGTCAAGATCCAGACAGACTTGAGAAAAGACCTTCTTGCTTACAGTGAGGAATGAGACTGGAGGGAGTTAAGAGTCAGGGAGACCGAGAGTGAACAAGAGTGAATTTAGAGGACAGGACGGGCTCATATATGGTGAAGTGACTGGGTTTTATTTTACATATATTAGAGAGATTCAACCCGAAGCATAATGTGGTATATGATTTATACTTTCAGACACTTGTTCAACAGTAGCACTCTCCACAGGTGGGATTAGGTACTTTTTTGTTATGGGCGCTGTCACATGGCAGTGTAGGATGTTTTGCCGCATCCCTGGCCTCTCCCTGCTAGATGCTGGTAGCAGCCTCCTAGGTGTGACAATCAATATTATCTCCAGGCATTGCCATGTGTCACAAGACAGGGGACAAAACCTCTTCCAGTTGAGAACCACTGCTGTAAAAGTATATCTTTTGTTGCTATACAGAAAATTGACTGGAGAGTTGGAGAAGTGGGGAGGGCCAGGGTGGAAGCTAAGAGGCTCCTGTGAGGCTATTGTAGCAATCCAGGGGGAAAAGTCACTTGATGGTGGAGCAGCAGAGACTGTCAAAGGGGCTGGGAGGCAGGGTACCTTTTGGATTTATTTTGAACAGGCAGAAAGTGTTTTGGAAGTTAAAATGACACAACTTAAGTGACCTGTCAACCATATATCTCAATTTATTTGAGAAACACTGGTTTCCTCCTATTTTCCTGGTACAATTATTTATAGTGCCCCTTTCCATTTCAAAAGTATCCTCTTTGGACAATAAATTACAAAATTACATGTTTGCACTAGGGATACTTGAATGACAGGGCTGAGATATCCATTTTATTTTCCATATTACCTTTCTCATTTAAGGGCCTTTCATTTTCAGTCTTTCTCACCTGATGAAATGAAAAGAACACAACAAGTAGATATTTATATAGAGTAAGAACTAGATTAATTCAAAGGGGGATAGAAGCAAAATATTATACACACTAGTCTACTCATTTATAGTGTGTTAAATATAGATTTATAGTTTAAATTACCGTTCATTTCTGAGCTTTTTATAGATGGCATCTGGGTGAAAGAGAATGTGGCACATATAATAGCGATGTACATATTTGTTCATTCCATTTAACATATCTGAAAGGGATATTCTTTTCTTGATTCCATAGGTTATGTAAATTACATATATAGTTAGACATTTTAACAAAACGTGAATTTGCAAAACATTTTTAAACAAACCGTCAATTTAAATAGTGTAATTTTCTTATTTTTACTGTACACGACTAATTAGTTTTTGGAGCCCACCCTTTTAGTAAGGTTGAGGAGGGGTTAGCCCCCATGTGGACTGGGAAGGACACTTGCCAGCAGTATTTTTTAAAATAATGCATTATTTTTGCCACACAAAAGAAAAGGAGAAGAGAAAAGAAGGTAAGGAGAAAGAAAATTAGTGTCTCAGCACAAATTCATCTCTATTGCTGGAGATAAACGAACAAATATACAAGAAAACATACATGCCCAAAAGACAATTTGTGGGTATACATTATATTTAAAACAGAATGGTTCACCAATGTTCAGAGTCTCTTCTAGTTATTTGTTTTCCATTATTGTGGGTTAAACTACTACATTTGAGGAAAGTTCTCTAATTTAATCTATACTTTAGCCTTGTGAAGTTGTTACTATTTAAATGGGTGAGTTCCCTGACCCCCTCATAGGGGTGTGGCTTGTTTATTTGGCTGCTGGGTGCTCAAATCCCTTACAAGAGGGGAAGCACACAGATGGGCAGGTGCAGGAGCCAGGGCAAGTGCTTTTGGGCTCTGGCCCCACGGAAGCATCTAGAGGTGTGTTACAATTAATACTCTTTTAGCAGTTGCTGTCCGTGGGTGGCTAAGTGTTAAACAAGCTCAGTGGAGAGTCAGGGTCACAGTCTTTTACACCCTGCCTTCTTGGTACCTGGCCCCTTTTTCAGTACCCAGGAAGAATCAGGTCACTCGGAATTAAAGGATGGTGAATGCAGGGATTTTATTGAGTGGTGGAGGTGGCTCTCAGTGGGATGGATGGGGAGCTGGAAAGGGGATTTAGTGGGAAGATGATCTTCCCCTGGAGTTCGGCCATCCTGTGGCCAGTCTCCTCTCTGACCATCCCCAGCCGAACTCCTCCTAACGTTCATATACTCCTTTTCTCTCCTTCTCTGCTGCACTGCTGTGCTGCCCTGCTGCTCTGCCGCTCTGCTGTTCCTCTGCTCGTGGAGCCTGAGGTTTGGAGTTTATATGGGTACAAGATAGTGGGGGACATGGTGGGCCAAAAGACAACATTTGGGCATGAAAACAGGAATGCTTGTTCCCATTTAGGGCTGCGGGTTTCCAGGCTTGAGGGTGGGGCCTTTGCTGGGGCACTGCTCTCTTCTGCCCAGTATTTCGCTGCCTACTGTCCATATCACTATTATCATCACCATTACTCAGACAAAGAACATGAGACTCAGAAACGTTTGAGTAATTTGTACAAGGTCACATGACTCCTCACAAAATTCCCATCTAGGCTCCTCTAGATCCAAAGTCCTTCTTTTTTCTATTTTACCTCTTTAACATTGTAATATTAGCGAGAAAAGTTCTGTTTTATAGTTGGGAAACTGATGTTTAGAGTGGTGAGAAATTTGCTCGAGGTCCCACTCACAATTAGTAAAGAAAGGCCTTGAATAGAGGTCCTCTGATTCTTAGTCCAGTTGATACCATAGTATTTCAATGGTTGGAGCGCTCAAATCCAATGAGTTACTCTAGCATTTTCACTAGATTCATTTTCTCAGATTGTCTCAGGAAATTAAGAAAAAGTATTTTCACTTAGACCAAAGGAAGAGGAATAATACAAATAAGCCCATCACAGAGACACTGGAGTTTTAAATGTGACAGTGTATGTTCTGGCTTGAAGCACAAGCTGAAGATGTCTTTACTTTACTATGCCATCTACAAATGGTGATCTAGAAGAGTGCTTATAATTACACAGTGATTAGTAGAGTTTGAACAGTACGAGACTAAATCCTGGTTTGCCTCTTAGAACATTCTGAGTCTATAATGGTATCTCAGTTGACTTATGTATAAAATTTATATAAAACGGCATCTATCTCAAAGGATTGTATTGGACTAAATAAGACTTTCTACAAAAGTAATTCAAATAGTAAATGCTCACTAGATACTAGTAAATATTATTTATGAGTGTTCCTACAAAAATTTATTTGACTATTTGTCCTCTTTGTAGCTTTCAATAATAAAAGGTGTTTTTGAAGATATCTTGACAATTTATAGCTGGATCTTCCCTTTTATGCATACATGAAACAATTACTTTAGATTCTTTTCCAATAACCAATCCACATAACTGTCTTCCTTCCTTTAGATTCATAGATATTTTTGAATCACAGAGAAACTTAAGAATAATCTGTTATCCTCTTATTTCCAGACATGTAGCCTATAGATTTCAAAGTCTAAGGACTGACCAGAAGTCACACAGCTATGAGAGCAGAGCTGCGACAGGAATCTGGTTCTTAGCTCTTTGTTCTTCATTCTCTTGCCATAATACCATTTTATCTACATAATATGCCGAGCTTATTCATTTCTCCAGTCTATTTTTTTTTTGTTTCAACAAAATGCAATAGAGCAGAAACAGCTCTTTTTATTGCTGTAGTGGATGGAGTTCAAAGGGAACTCAAATTTTAGAATTATCTTTTTTTTTCTTTGCTAGCCAGCCTTTCCCAGGCTGCCTTTAAAGGTGTCTGGAAGCTAAATATGTATCGATAGTAGGTTTGCCTGGGGGAGATCTAGTTCAGTCTAATTGACCCAACACTTTCAATTCATTTCTGCTGAACAGGCCTTTGATATGAAGAGATTTATTGCTCCTCTTTTTTTTCCATCTAGAGGATAAATACAGCCTGAGATCAGAAAAGCCTTCTTGTAAACCCAAGAAGGTTTTTCAGATTAATGGGTTTTTATTTGTTCTAACTTGTACTGGGCTTTAGCTCTGACCCATTGCTGTTTTCAAATAAATTTTATTTTAATTTACTTTTACATCTTTCTTCGATCAGCTGACCTATGTCTCTGCTTATTCACTAATTTGTGTTAACTGAATATTGTTTAAACCAATGGATTAAGCAGGGAGTCTGTATTGCTTAATAAATTTGCCAGAAACTGGGTAAGTCACTTTGCCACAGTTCAGGGAAATCATGAGTGTTTTACAGTTCATTCTGGGAAAACTTATGAACCCATACAAAAGAACAACTTGCTGTCTTGGACTTTGAACACCACAAAGAACTATTCAATTAGAGCTTCCATTCAATCATAACTGAAAACAGTGTTGGGTGAGAATATGCTCACTTGCAAATGGGTAGTTGAGTAATTGTCTCTTGATAATCCCTTCTTGATCAGTTCTGTATGTGCCCTATATTTTTCTTTCTTTCTTTCTTTAGTATTTCATCTTATTCACAATGTCTGATTACAATTTAGTCCCACGCTAACAGAGACCTTTTAAAGATTCTTTTCTTCCCAAGGGTCTTGACCAACTGGCTTTCCGTTGTCTTCCACACCCATTTCATGTCCAGCGTTGCATCTCCACAGCTGCTTCTTCATATCTCTCCCATCTTCCCTTAAAATGATGTGTCCTAGAAAAGACTTCAGATAAAAATTGTTATTAAAGACTCCAGGCCCCAAATATAACTAATATGAATTAATATGAAATAACTTATGTGAATTAATGTGAAGACAAACACAACCAGAACCACCTACCTCCATCTCCATACCTCCACCCCTACCCAGTATATATCAGGATATTCTCTAACTGGGCCCAAGAGAGTCTCAATAAAGGTGTTCTCATCTATTTTAAAAACCAACCATTTACATTGTACATAGCACCCTGGTTGCAAAAATTAACAAAATGTGATCCACCTACTGAAGGAGACATGTAGCCTGCTAAGGATGGAGGTAGAGCTAGAGGAATTTGGAAGAACCGCACATAAACCTGAAAAATAGAGTTGACTTGCGTGTACCATGTACTTCTGTGCTAAATGTCATTTCTAGTCCATTTTGAGTGTCTTCTGAGTGAAACATAGAATGCTATTCTTGCTGTGGGGTGCCATTCCTGTTGTGATCTCACCAAAATTCTAACACATACCAGTTTGCTCAAGATTTCTACACTTACGCGGGGGAAATCATATCATTATAAATGTTTCTAAATTTGCAAACCATTTTGAAAATGACACGTATCTTTCTTTGTACGCCATAGGCTCTGATCAATATAAAAACAGAGGCATACATAAAGAACTATTAAAACAACTAATGTGTAATCCCAGCACTTTAGGAGGCCAAGGCAAGGGGATCGCTTGAGCCCAGGAGTTCTTCAAGACCAGCCTGGGGAATATACTGAGACCTAATTTCTACCCAAAATAGAAAAATTAGCCAGTTGTGGTGGTGTGTGCCTGTAGTCCGAGCTACTTGGGAGGCTGAGATGAGAGGATTCCTGGAGCTTGGGAGGTCAAGGATGCAGTGAGCCATGACAGCCACACTGCACTCCAGCCTGGGCGACAAACGAGCAAACTAACTAATGGACAGGCACTGAGCCTTCTTCCACTTGGTAAGAACTATGAAATTGTGACCATGAGAAATGTAATGTATTGTCTTCCTCTTCTATTTATTTTTTGCTTAGTTTCTTAGCTAAAATGAATTTGTATATCCCAGGGAAGAAAATCTGAGGTAGGGCTTTTCCAACTGTTCCTAGAGACTGAGTAGGGCTTAATGGTTGACTAACAAATGAGCAAAGTTAACTGGATCTATCTTAGTTGTTTTCACATTTTAAGTTTTATATAAGAATTTCAATTCAATTTCAATTTCAATTATTCTGAATTCAATTTCTTATTCTATTTATAGATTATATTATTACTTCAACAAGAATGTACTTTTGCAAGTGAAATCCACAATCATGCTAGAAAATGAAGAGTACAAATATTGTTACTTTTAGACATAAATTGAATTAAATCTAAACAGCCAAGGTGATTTTTAAAGAGTGAACAATGTTGATATGACCTTTCAAACTTTCATCCCCTGCTCTTTTTTGTCCAGTACTTACTATTTTAAAATTTTAATTTATTTTATATATATATATATATGTGTATATATATATATATATATATATATATATATATATATATATATATATATATATATATATTTTTTTTTTTTTTTTTTTTTTTTTTTTTTAACCTCAGAGTCTTGCTCTGTTGCCAGGCTGGAGTGTAGTGGCGTGATCTTGTCTCACTGTAACCTCTGCTTCCTGGGCTCAAGCGATTTCCTTGCCTCAGCCTTTCGAGTAGCTGGGACTACAGACGAGCGCCACCACACCCAGCTAATTGTTGTATTTTTAGTAGAGACAGGGTTTCACCATGTTGGCCAGGTTGGTCTCGATTTCTTGACTTCATGATCCACCCGCCTCTGCCTCTCAAAGTCTGGGATTACAGGCATGAGCCACCGGGCCTGGCCATTTATTATAATTTTTAGATCCAAAAACCGAATTACAGATGTTTTAGCAAATTTAGACTTATCAAAGATTAAGGTGAGATAGAGACATATACTTTTCTGAAAGAGTCTTTCTGACAAAGTTTTCCTCTCATTTTATTTCCTCTAAATTGGTTTTCACACAAAGCAAGATGACTATCTTTTTAAAATATGGAGTTTGGTAGAAGAAGCAATTGACTCTCTCTAACTTCCCATAGCCTTTCTTCTTAGTACGAATGATCTAGTCAGAGGCTTTTATTTGTCAGAGGTCCAATGACCACCAAAAGATTTGTCATATCACATCTTATAGCAGGAATATTTATTTGGGAGGCCAAGTTAGGAGGACTGCTTGGGCTTAGGAGTTCAAGACCGGCCTTGACAACATAGGGAGATGTCATTTCTACAAAAATTTTTAAAAATTAGCCGGGCATAGTGGTGTGCTCCTGTAGCCCCAACTACTAAGGATGCTGAGTTGGGAGGATCACTTGAGCCCAATTAGCTGAGGCTGCAGTGAGTAATGACAGCACCACTCTACTTTAGCCTGGGTGACAGAGTTGAACCCTGTCTCAAAAAATTAAAAAGATGGCATAGTTTACTAGGGCTTATGAGAAACAGAAAAATGAAACATGAATTAAATCTTTTAAGTTACTTTCTGAGTTTTTTCAATATGAAAAGTAAAACAGCAAATGACTTCTAAATTGCTTTGAATTCCTCAAACATTCATGAGCAGTTTGGATTAATTTTATTGCACATTTTACCTAGCATGAATAAAAGTTTGAAAATTAATTTTAGTTTTGCTAATAAAATGACTGCAAAATAACTTCCTCAATGTGCTAGTAATCAGGACATTTATTCATGACTCTCAGTAGCAAATGCTGGTAACCCAACTTGCACCACCTTAGGCATATAGATTTATTGGCTCATCTGATCAAAAGATGCACAAATCAAATCACACACTCACACCCTATACAGGTGTTAGGGACAACTGGGTGCATGAGCAAAAATGTTCTCCAATTTTAGACGCTTTCAAAAAGGAGAGCAAAAAATATTTAGCTTCCTCATTGCAGTGATGATTTTCCAGGTGAATAGATATGTCAGATCAAATTATACACTTTAAGTATGTGCAGTTTAGTGTACTTCAATTATACTGCAATATATATTTTTTTAAAAGGGAAAAAAATGAGAGAGAAAGGAAAGGAATGGAAGGGAAAGGAAAGGAAAAAGAGAGAGAGAGGGAAAGAAAGGAAAGAGGAAAAGGGAGGGAGAGAGAGAGAAAAGTGGGGAGGTTCCCAACTGAAGTTTCCCGAGTTTACCTTAAAGGGACTGAGTCCTGCATGCTTTTGCCACAATCCCAAGAGCTCTAACTGCTCTGGCTCTGGTCAACAGCCATTGCTGGGCTGTTGCTATGGCCAGGGAGGTGGGATCTCTGAGAAGATGGCCATTCCTATCCTATCCACATGGTTAGAAAAACATTTTTAATGCCCACACGCAAAAAAAGGAAGGTGCTGTTATGATTAGAGAAAAGAATATTTGTGTCCTATGTTTGGATCTCTGATATTCATGGGCAAAATATGCAAGTGAATCTCAAGTTTATAGCATGAAAGAAAAGTAGTGGTTAGAGAAAGGCTGGTAAAAGTTATATCAATCGTTGTTGGGGTGTGTGTGTGTGTGTGTGTGTGTGTGTGTGTGTGTATGTGTGTGTTTAATATGAAAGGATTAAAAGCCCATGGTCAGGATTTTTAAATATTAGGAAAGTTTCTTGATGAAAAGTTCCCATCTATTTTCCTAGGGCAAAGCACCTTGTGAAGAGGAGTTGATTGGGAAGAAAGGGAAGGCTGACATTAATTATGTAATTATTCTCTTTTTTAAATTCAGATTTAAAGGTTAGTTAATTATTACTTCTTAAGGTCCTCAATAACCTTCACCAAATATTGCTATTTAAGCAATAGACAAGCTTTGCTGAAAAACTGAGGAAAGCAAAGTGGTAGAACACATACACATCCAGTGTTTCTGTCTTTTCCTAACTTGACAAATACTGATAAAATACAGAGAATGCTGTAATTTGGTTGGGCCAGGGGAATATCAATTTAATTAGTGTAATACCTTCTGGTTTCTTTCCATTTTCTTTTTCTTGGGATAGCTCTGAGTCATTAGCTGGTAAACACAAAAGGAGAAAGGGAAAACAAAAGAGAATAACTAAAGTTTTATTTTTTAAATCTATCATGAGACAGACACTTGAAGACTTTACGTCGTCTTCTTTAATATGAACAACACTTTTTTTTTTTTTTTTTTTTGAGAAAGGGTCTGGCTCTGTCGCCAGGCTGGAGTGCAGTGGCGGGATCTCGGCTCACTGTAACCTCTGCCTCCCAGGTTGAAGCGATGCTCCTGCCTCAGCCTCCTGAGTAGCTGGGACTACAGACATGCACCACCACACCTGGCTAATTTTTGTATTTTTAGTAGAGACGGGGTTTCACTGTGTTGGCCAGGATGGTCTGGATCTCTTGACCTAGTAATCCACCCACCTCTGCCTCCCAAAGCGCTGGGATTACAGGCGTGAGCCACCATGCCAAGCCATGAACAGCCCTTCTTTATTATCCTTGTTTTACAAAGAGAAACAGGCTTAGAAAAAATCCAATTACTTACATTTAATCAACATAGTAAATGCTAAATCTCTCAAACTCCAAATTCCATCATGTTCTTTATATTTTACTAGGCTGTTTACCATTTACAACCTGACTGAGTAAGGAAGAGAAAGAGCATTGAGGATACTTATTTAATTCTACAAATTAGTATGGGTAAATTAATTCCAGAAGTCCTACTCTCTTGCACTCATAGTCTAATCTGTCCCTTCTTCTCTTGTTTCCTTTTCTCTTTTACATTTTCAGATAGCCAGGAGCTTCGGTAGGTAATTCATCTTTACCACCCACGAGATAATTCCTATTTCATGTAAAAAACAGAATTATCCCCATTTTATGTAAGAGACATGAGTCCTCAATAACTTACATGATCATTAATTGATGGATTCAAATTCAGATCTAACACCAAAAGTCAGACTCATTCCATCTGATAAACAGAGAATAATTATGTGTTCCATTTATGAAAGATTGTATTCTTAGGGGGTTTGATGTATAACCTACTCTAAAAGACTCACTTTAACAAATATACAGTTAGGTCTTAATTTATGCCTGTCACTAAGCTAGGTCCTTGGCTAAAAAGAGGACTAAGACATTCTTCATCCTTAAGGGACTCATAATCTTTTACAGGAGACAGAGCTCTCCCATATAAGAGAAGTACATACAAATTAATACCTATGTGTCTAATCTCGAGAAATCCTTTTCTTATTCTAAAAAATACACACATACACACATTCTACTTCTGTTTTAATTTGTAGTCTCTTACTTAATAAAAAGCCTACGTTCTTAATGATGAGCTCTCAGGTTTAGCAATTATCTTTGTAGTATTTGTCTCAAGAGTGAAGAATTTCCTCACAACACTCATAAAATATTTTGAAAATTTTCTGATTCAATTTTTTTCCTAAAAATATGTATCACTTTCAAAAGAAACCTTGATTCTAAAGCTCTAATGTTTCTTTAGTACTAATATAAAATGACATATTCTTCTATAATTTTAAAAAGCTAAGTCTTAAGTGAAAAAAATTATAGATTTCAAACAAACAATCTAAAAAAGTTTGCTCTATTAGACTTGTAACAAATTTGGTTAAAGTCTTATAAGAATTTTATAATTATTTTCAGAATGGAAACAACTTTTCATTAATATAAACTGGCAAAAATATTTTTATGATCTCCCTCTGTGCCAGCATGAAAATTAACTCTAGGCAAAGCCAAGCTGGCTTTCCATGGTTCCCAGGTAGTTTAGGTTTCCTTGATACTCAAAATATCTCCTTGGTAGTTTAATTTCACAATTGAATATTTAGCCCTATGGTGTAAGAGTTGTTAATGCTTCTTAAAATGTAAATAAGCCAGAGAAAATAACATCTTAAACTTTGCCAGTCCAGTATCTACTAAATCTAAGCATACGTCTATCCTTTGATATTGTAATAGCTCAATTTGATGTGTAACCAGCAGAAATATATACATATGTTCAAAGAACTATAATGTTCTGACAACACTCTCTTAATAGCACCAAATGAAAACTATTTAAATAGTCATCAATAGAAGACTTGATACATAAACTGTAGTTTATTCCACAATGGAAAATGCAGCAATGAGAATGAATGAACTGCAACTACTACAACAATTCAGGTGAATCTTACAAACGTAATGCTCAGTTAAAGAATTCATACACAAGAAAATAACATGCTCTATGACTTCATAAATACAAAATTCAGAAAAAACTCAACAGTAATCTTTGATGTTAGAACTCAGAAAAGTAATTCCCCTGTATGGGAGTGAGATAGTGACTGAAAGTGGGCAAAACAGGTTACTTTGAGGGGGCTGGTAATGTTCTGTTTTTTGACCTGAGTTCTCATTATACATACATGTTCAAGTTGGGAAAAAAAACATTAATCTGTCCTTTTTGATTTGTGCAGTTTGTGTATGTAAGCTTTACCTCAGTAAAAATATAAAAATAGGAAAAACAGAAAGAAAAAAACCACAAAGCTTTGCCAGTCATTATAATTCATATCAATGAGATGAATGTGTTTTTTTGTTTGTTTGTTTTTACTAAGGTGTGTTCCAGAGTCAGAATACTCAAATACGAGGTCAGAATTAGCACAAAATACAGGTGAACCAAAAAGGAAAGGTTATCAGATGCTGGCTATATACACAGTTATACAGGTGAAGACAGAAATGGGATCAGTGATTTGCCAAGAGTTCATTTCATTTCACCCTAACTGGGCTTTGATCTCCAAGAGAAAGACAATTTATTTCTAAGTGAACACACTCATTAACACCCGAGCATCCTTTATTCTCTCTCTCTCTGTCAATCTAGGTGGAAAGTTCTTTGCTTCCAAGTCATTTCATAACAACCTCATATTCTGTAGGTACACACTGAATTAAGATTACCATTTGGCTGCTTCTTGGTGCAGGTCTGTCTTTCTAAACACAACTTCGTCAAGTACCATAACTGGCATCTTGAGTTCTAACTTTACACAAATCAAAAAGTACCTTTAAATATTTCTCACGTGATAAACACGCGCGCACACACACACACGTAAGCTATGCAATCTCCACATCACAGTGCTTCTGGTTTACTTTAAATTTTTATTTTATTAGCTGTCTATTTCCTTCTGTGTGTTTACGTATGTAACACTTGTCCTAGTAGTAACTGATTCAGCTAGTTGGTGGGCAGGGAACATTGGTAGCCACAAGATGCCATGCTTAGCCATAGAATAGTAAATACAATTCTTTGATCTCCTAATAATCAAAGATTTTTACTGCCTTCACCCAACATAACTCTAGCTGAAAGAGAGCAAATATCTAGCTGTTTGTTCACTTACTATGAATATTGTTTTCCATGTCACTAAATAGTAATGGAACAATTTTTAATGGGAAAATTTTATTCCGAATTCCAGATTTGCCTACTTCAATTAGTTGAACCTCTACTATTGGATATTGAAGCTATTTTCATTTTTGCTTCTACAAAAAAAATCTACATAGGTATATTTTGCACACATTCACAGTTATTATCTTTGGGAAAATTTTAGACGTAGATTTGCTGAATTAAAAATTATGCACATTTTAAGTTATTAACTTGATAGAATCATTTTTATCTTTCTTCAAGTTTTCCAAAGGGATTAATTTGGCTTTAAAATAACATCATCAGTCATAATTGAATTCTCAAATGCTTCTCTATATTGAATAGAAATAAGTTAGCGCTAACTTTTTTTAAAGATATAGACTGTGAGATGGAAACATATTACAAAGTAAGAATTCTTTTATTTTGTTTTGTTTTGTTTTGTTTTGTTTTTGAGACGGAGTCTCCCTCTGTCGCCCAGGCTGGAGTGCAGCCGCGGGATCTCAGCTGACCTCAAGCTCCACCTCCCAGGTTCACGCCATTCTCCTGCCTCAGCCTCCCGAGTAGCTGGAACTACAGGCGCCCACCACCACGCCTGGCTAATTTTCTGTATTTTTTGTAGAGACGGGGTTTCACCATGTTAGGCAGGATGGTCTCATTTTCCTGACCTCGTGATCTGCCTGCCTCGGCCTCTCAAAGTGCTGGGATTACAGGTGTAAGCCACCATGCCCAGCTAAGAATTCTTACAGACAAAATAGGTAATAGTTCACCTGGGTAGATTCATAAATGATTGAACTTCTGCATTCAATGTGTGCTGCTTAACAACAGTCAATACCAATATGTAAGGTGGTCTACAGTGCAGTGCCATGGGAGGCTATATTCATTCTGCCTTGTCCAATAGTTTTATTAATCATTTTAATAAGAGCACTGACTTGTATTTTTGCATATTGATTATATGTTTAGTTGACATTGTTTAGGGCAAAAAATCTAAACTTTTGGAAGATAAAATTCTAAAGAGACTATACAAACTAGAATGGTACATAAAATTTAATATAAGGACAGTCAACTATGATAAATTTGCTAATTATGAGGAACGACAGAAATCTATTAGCAAATATGAAAATAAGAAGTTTTATTTTACCAAAGTTGCATAAGAGGTTAATTGTGGTATAGATAATCAAGTTATTATGATTTGAGATTTTGTTACTAGATACATATACTTTGGAATGAGGGAGGTGATATCACAAATCTACTCTATGAGTCTCATACCAAGAACATTGGCAGACTAGAATTTATTCAGGGAATAAAAATTATCTTGGTGTGATTCCCTATCAAAGATGTTAATGTTTCATTGGACAATATAATGCCTTT
The DNA here is from genome assembly GCF_000001405.40 of Homo sapiens. Classification (NCBI taxonomy): domain Eukaryota; kingdom Metazoa; phylum Chordata; class Mammalia; order Primates; family Hominidae; genus Homo; species Homo sapiens. The sequence continues at coordinate 115,906,364 of NC_000008.11, read as the reverse complement.
GCAACAAAAGTCATGAAAATAAGAAGTGAGGGAGGGGAAAATGGAAAGGAAATATAAGGTGGTATCTCACAGAGTAGTTCAGAGCCTCATAAGAAAACAGCCAATTGCCTGGTCTTTTGCGAGGTCTCCAGAGAGATACATAGAGCAATCTGTATTGAAGATGAAGAGTGACTTACTTGTGTGCTTCTTCCCATATCTTGTCCATATTGGGTTAAAAGTTGTCCGACAAACTATTACATGTTCTGTATTTCCAGCCTGAATTTGCCAAGCCTTCTGGTTAGCCACGTAGAGGCCAGAGACTCCATGGATCTGGTTGCTTTGGCATTGAGCCCAGAGCTACTGGACCTCCTGTTGTAGTAGCTATGATGAAAACCTTGTAGAAGCCCGTATCTTTGAAGAAAGGTGCAACAGTTGGAGATCCTAGGAGTCAAGGCAACAGAAAAAATGAGCAGGGCTCTCGTCATGAGAGAACAGATTACAGGCCCATAAATTGTATCCAATATAGTCTACTACTTGAGCTACTCAGATGCATTTTCACTCTTTATCATATCCATATTTCATATAAGAACTAGACAGTCTCACCCCTGAGATGAAAAGTGCAAGAACATTCCAGGAATATGGTGACAAGGCAACCTCCTAAAAATATTTAAAGAAGATTAGCCAACCAAGCCACAGTCCCTCACTGAGGTAGCTAGACCTGGAACTCCAATATGTATCATTACCCTCTTTTATTGCTCCTTCTAGATTTCCTCATGTTTGGCCAATATTTTGGCTGGTCTCTGTTGCTTGATAGATGGAATAGTACAACATCCATTTTTCAGGGGTCTTCATTTGCCCATTCACCATTATTCTTAGCCGTGGAAACAGAGTTTCTCAATGAATATTCTGGGTTCCAGACAAAATCTACCTCTAATATATAGTGGCAAACCTATTTCTTCACAATAATCAGAGCTCATTATCCCAGTCAGTACAGAATCTCCCTTCTTTGTCTACTGGCTCACTGGTATGAGGTATAAAAAAATGACCAGGTGAATTTAACTTCTGACTTAGTAGGAACTTTTCTGTGTCCCCTTGTGGAAGCATCCTCCCTGGGAATTGGACTCCTAACTGTAGGGATGAGAGGTACCAATTTTACAAGAGGATCTCTCAGAATGATGACAGGGGCTAATGATCTTCTATTTTCACTCCTTGATTAAAGCCATATGCTTTGTTCATTTGGGACACAGCACCACAAAAAACATTATCAGTTGCTTAGCATTTAGGACATCTTGAGGTCAAGAGAGGCAGGAGGCACTTTCTTCCCATTCTTGCCTTTTGTTTGTCAGAGTGCCTCATCCCATCTTAAATCCTAGGACTTCTGGTTCTATTGCCAATCCCTCTGGGAACCTGGGAAAACTAGAGTCTTCATGGGTCCAGTAAGATTGGACCTGGGCACTGGAACTGTTATAAGTAAGGCTGAGAAAGCTGGTGCTATTAGGTGGGGATGTGGTGGCATAGGGCCAGATGAATTTGGAAAGGCCTTATACAGTGAGGAGTATAATAAGGAGAACTAGTATATGTCATACGAGGACCTCTGGGAAGTATTACATTCATTAAACTCCAGGGACGGGATACTTAACTACCTTCACATGTTTAGTCTCTTCAGTCAGAAACTTGACAACCATTTATTGAAGAATCATATGAAGGAATTTGAATAGTACCTTGATTCAAGCTCTGTAGGTGAACTTAATCATTCTGCCCAAACATGAGGCTGTGATTCTTAGGACAGTAAAGCTTCACTTATTAGTTAAAATTTTGAGTTTCAACCAGCCTAAAAAAACCTAAATAATGCACAGAACACCTTTGGAAATCTCTGGTGTAGTAAAGCCCCATGACCAGTTAAATCTATTTTTGTCTAATGAGATTGTGTATCTGAGTTTTTCTTCCTGGGACATAAAAGAGACTAGATTATGAGCAGAACCTGACTGCAGCCACAGGTTGAAAGTGATAAGTTATACTAGGTGACTTCAGCCTTAGCTGATGTCCACCAGCAAGCTGGCGACACTCAATATAAAAGTATCCAGCCCCCATAACCTGTACAATATGACCCCAAAGAACCATTAAAAAAACTGCACTTATGGTTGGCTTACTCTACTTCCATGTGATAATGAATATTACACTATATTTTAGAAAAGTCTTTTTATCATATCTAGTTAAACAAAATTATTTTGTTGACAAGACTAATTTAACTTAATTATTTGTAGAACACTTACTTTAAGTGAGTCCTTGTTTTCATATACAGAATATGAGATAGATGCCTCGAGGGTGCAATAAATATTTATTGATTGATTATGGATGCATTTAATGCAATATCTAACCAATGACTATATTCTTTTTAAGTAAAGACTAACTTGCCAGGCAAGAATAAATATTTCTGCTTTATATGATTCTAAAAGTGCTCTAAAATTATAAGGTATAATTTTAAAAGCATCAGCCATTGTTTCATTTATCTAGGTATGTGCCAAAAATCACAGAAGAACTTAGTGATTTAAAAGAACAACAATCGTACTACTACTTCCAAAGTTTTTTTTATGGCTCCCAAATTTGGGTGGTGCTCTCCACTGGGCAGTTCTTGCTCAAGGTCTCTCTGATATGGTTATGGTCAGATAGGAACAGCATGGGGCTGGAGTATCTGGGGTTTGTCCTCTCACGTCTCTCTCTTCGGGCAGTTTCAGGGCTTTTCCATGTGGTTCCTTTGCTTGTGCTAGGTTGGGCTTTCTTACAGCATGGAGGCCTCAGGGTAACCAGATTGCTTACATTGCAGCCGAGGGCTTCCCTAATGAATTCACCTCAGAAGTCATTGTTCATAATGGCCACAGAGCCCCACTGATTTCAATAACAGAAAGCATCAATCCCACCTCTTGATGGGAAGATTGTCAAAGTCACCTTGTAAGAGGGGAATATGGGATGGGAGATATTGTTGCAGCCATATTTGGAAAATCCAGTCTACTACAAACATGTTCAAAATGTGAAAACTAAAAATTACTTGCTGCCATAGCTATAATAATGTATCCATGAGAGCATGTTTACGCTGTTGCATTCCACAGAAAAACACTGATATTTTTCTAAAAATTTAAACAGTACCTTTAAAAAGGTGATAATATTCAATGTAATCTGCATATTCTTTAGGTTTATATAATTCCACATGTTGGGGATTAAAAAGGCAAGGAGTAACTAAGAGCAGATACCCTTCTGCTTCTCCTTTTCTGTTCTTGATTAGAGAATAAAATAGAATTCTTTTGGAGGAAAAGGAACTTAATTAATATTTTGCTCATGATGAGTGAATCTGGAAAGCAGTGAAGAACTCTTGGCAACTTCTCATATTGTGTAGTCTGAGTGATGACAAGCACCTCCAGAGTGGGTGACCTAGTATATTATAAAATACATTGTTCAGAAATGAAGAGTCTGCACAACGATGTGTTGGACGATTCTACGGGGTCCTCATAGTGGCTGGGTTACAAGTGCACAAAAGCAGTCTCAGAGATTCTTCTGTGGACCCTCATAAGAAGGAGAAAAATAAGAAGGAGAAGGAAAGGGAAGGAGAGGGGGAAGGGAAGGAGAAATAACTAAAACTTCTAGCTATTGGGAAGAAGAATATTCCTGGCTTTATCTCAGTGCATGCAGTTAACAGATCAAATCAATATCTTCTTTTTAATATTCTTATATTTCACTGTAACATAGTTCAGCTCTTAAGAATTACTTTCTTTCTGCTTTCCCAAATTTGACTAGCATTCAAGTGTTTTTAGCTATTGTGGATTTTTATTGTTATAAAAGTAAATATGAAAAAAGAGTTTTTATTTCACTAAATTCTTTTTAGGTGTGTGTGTTCACATATTAACAGTTTTTTATTGACTGAAAATGGGTTTATTTTCTTTTTCACCTGTAAATGAAGATTGTGGTCCCCAGTTTGAGATCCTATCAATTTTACCCTTTGGATCAAAATGGATTAAAAAATAAAAACATATTGCTTGTTTTAAGGAGAAGAGAACAAAAAAAAGATGGTGCAAGTGGCATATTCATTTTAGACTGCTTATTTCTATAAGATAATGTTGACATATGAAAATTTTTTCTGAAGGATGTTTTTAAAAGCATAAACTGTTATTTGGGGTTTTCTCTACCTGTGGTGTGGTATTTAGAGCACAGTTATTTTGAAAACTTGATTTTTGTTCCACTTCAGTAAGGGAATTTCAGCCTTAGTATAGACCTGTAAGTAAAAAGTCAATTCCTAATGTAGATTCCTTTTTAAAAGCCACTGAAAATCCAAGTGTCAAAGCGGGAGAATTATGACTTCGTAATGTGGCCCTAGCATTAAGAAATGATTCCTAAGGCAATTTCAATCTGCAACATCTTTTTAAAAAATTAGTAAGAAAAATGACCTCGCTTCTAATTCGTTTTCCCAACATTGATGTATTTGACTTAGCAGTGTCTGGATCTAAATTAAGATTAGTCTCTAAAGTACCTTTTGGCGAAGGAAAACTATAATGATTTTATTACTCTTTTACATGAACCAGGAAAGGAAATTTTACAAGCATGAAGAGGTTCTTAAATACAGCGGGTAATGGAGGAAAATGAAAGAACAAAAAGAAAAAGTAAAATCAAGATCTTTTTTCCATTGCATTGTTTAGCTTCCCACATCACAGAAAGAAGTAAGGCTATTTGCTCACTTAGTTAATCTCATTTTTCCATTATCAATCCACCGGGCGCGTTTTCAACTAGTTTTAGCTGGAGCTGTAAAATGGACTCTAGAGTAATGTGAATGAGAACAAACAAAAGGGGCTATTCTCTCATCACTGCCTGTGTGTCATTCCCATTAATGTCAGCAGGGATTATGTACTCACATGTAGGAAAATGTCTGTTTACAAATGGAGTGGATGCATTACTCTTCCTGTTACCACCATTTCCATTCATTGAAACTGGAATGGATTTGTATGGGGTGTGTTTGTGTTTGCTTCAAAAAGGCATTATTTTAGAATGGGCCACTAATGTCATAAACCTAATTATATTCTTTTTTTCTTATATACTAAAGTAATACAACTGGCTTTACGTATTCATTCTTCTCTTTCTGTGCCCTACCACCTAAACCTGAAAAAAAAAAAAAATACAGGCAAAGCAACTGTTCAACTTCTAGCTCATTTACATTATTTTTTTAAGGCAAGCAATATAGTTGAGTAATGCTAAACTCAACAGATTGTAAATGGAACCCAAAGTACCTTGTTAAGACAAGATGTGTTTGCTGTCCACTTAAGCACTTCTTGTTGCTGGTAATTTTCCCAAAATATCTGGATGTAAGTGATGTAGCCGGTGGTACTTAGGCCATGGAAAGAGCTGTGACCTATATTTTCATGCTTTGGATTAATCCTTATTCTGCTTTGGGTATTGATATTCTCCACTTACTCTTTTCTCATTCTTTCAAAGTAGGTACTCTCAGCATTTTAAACACACACACACACACACACACACACACACACACACACACGCTCTGCTAATACAGAAGCTGCAGATTTGTAAGCCTGCTGCAAAGATCTCTGACTTGTCTTTGAACAAAACACATTGGTGTGATTAACATAATGCTGTATGTTAGACCTCTTGCTTGCTTTGGTTTCTGTCAGTGTACCAGTCAATAAGGCTAAAATTATACAGTCGGGAGTTGTTTACTTTAAAGCTGCTTGCAAAATATCAGGAGACTTTTTAAAGCATTAGCCACCAATTTAAGAGAAAATGAGTGGTAGAGAGGTCAGGGGGAAATATTTACTTGGGAAGGTCAATTGAATATTTGAAGAGAGTAACAGGTTTGGCTTCTAGGGTCATGTTAATGTACCTAGTTGTCTATTTGATCCTAAATAATTAAGCTGTAGAAGCAGGAGGTTGCAGAGTTGGAGATTCGGTCCCCAGCAGGGATCATGCTCAACGTGGTTGGAAAATAGAAGGGCTATGTCTTCTATGTAAAGTATGGTTAGTTGCTAGGGCAGGTCATAGCCTGCTGTCCTGAATGCTTAGTCTGGACTCCTATACCAGAAATCAGGGCAGTCACGTCTTCCTCTGTAAAGCTATGTGGTCAACATTTGTCCTTTGATTTTTATTTTGTCTGTTACTATCACAAATGCTATTGACTCTACAGATGACTGCTCGAGAAAGTGTATAACCTGGTGGCTTTTTGGAAGAAAAATATCTCCAGTCTTTGAGTCTAACACACATTCCAACATAGTTGGCCTTCTTCAAATTGAAGTACAACCCTTAATGTGTTAATTGCAATTACTGCACTTGAATTATATCTATGGCAAACGAGCACTGACATCTATCAAATTAACTTTTTTTTAGTGGAAGAATTTGTGTCTTTTAAAGTGATTGTGTTATCTGCAAGAAAATTTATGCTATAAAAATAAGGGGGTGGGAAGTGGGAAAGGATTGCGCTTTTCCAGTAGTAATTGTACTGTGCTTGTGGCTGACATAATCCTCACAGATGGATGGCGGAGCTTTTCTTTTTACACATCACACTCTATGAGTTAAGTGGTCACAAACTTAATAATGATTAAAGTAAACAAAATGCTGTGTTTTCTATTTTAATATTAATTTGATTATATGTTTTTAAATGTACCAGATCCAAAATCCTCTTTTCTTGCATTATTTAATTTAAAAGTAAACTGTTTAATTGGAAGTTAAATAATTTTTGAGCCTCTATCCTCTGATTTAAGGAAACCAAAACCAAAGAATAAAATCAATTTTATTATTAAAAATTACATTTACTTGGAGACATTTTCTTTGTTATTTCTATGACCTGAACTTTTACTGGTTCTATTGGAAAAGTTCAGGAAGAAATTTAAGGTTGTTTTCATATATAAATCTTGCTTGTACTCACCATGAATCTTGAAAAAAAGTATATTTCTTTGCAAACTGATATTTATGCCTGAACTTTAAATATTATAGAATTTTAAATAAGGACTGGATTAACTCACCAGGTTCAGAATACTTTTCGGTTAATAAAATCAAACTATGTGAAATTCAATTTTACGTTAATGTGTATAATCATGGTTAGATTAGGGTATTTTGTTTTATGGAAAACAGAAAACCAAAACTCTGTTGACCTCAATCGAATTCAAGTGAACAAAAGGAATTATGTAGGGTTGAATGGAATGATTTTTACAAGTTTCATTTTTACTTCCCGGAGATTACTCTCAAAGGTGTTTCCGAGATGTTAATACTTTAGGTATCATCCGCACTCAAAAATATTTTAGATTTTGTAATAGCAGTCATTGTCATCACATAATGCAGAAAAAAGAAACATCAGCCAGCCTGGCTCTGGTATAATCATAATATAAAATATATTTTACATTTAATAAAAGTAAATTATGTGTTGAAAGGTAAAGCAACCTATAATTAATAGCAACTTGGCTTGCCATAGCAAAACACATCAAAGCAGTCTGTTTCTTATTGACTAATGTATGTGCTCTGGGCAATCGCTCCCCCTACCCGCATCCCCACCCACATCCCCCCGCATAAGGTGGGATCTTTTAAGTTTAATGGTATGAGATGTCAATTGAAAAGATTATTTTTAAAATATGATATCTGCTTGTCGTTAAATTTCCTGGATGATGGATGATTATTCTAATGGACTTTTAAACATTATAAGAGAGGCAGACAAAATTGTACACATGCATGTTTGTGACACAATTGCACAGCCTTCACTTGTAAGATGAACAGGGCACACACAGATACCTTTTGTGATTAAAAATTAAGCAAGCACACATTTCCCCCTTAAAGGAAAACTGTGTTTGTAAATGAAAACAATCCCCATGAACTCTGCATTTGACACTCCTCATGCCAAATGAAGAAAAAAAAAACAGATATATTTAAGATATTAGGGAGAAATACACATTTATTACTCCTGAGCATTCTCTCCTGTCAAATTGTCAAGGTACACTTCCACTATAGCCTAGATTATTCCTGTTTGTTTTTAAGGAACTTTAAAAAGGTTTGCAAAAGACATGGTATTGAAAACATCAGACACTAGAAAAAAAATTGTATCCCCCTTATAGGAAGTAATAAAAGTAAAACAAAATTGTTTAAAAATGTTTTCTAAAAGAGATTGGAGAACTGGACTAGAATGTCTTACAATTGTCTTTTTAGAAATGGAAGCCAAGCTAAAACTGCTCATTTTATTGTTATTTTAGTTGTAGTCGCTCCTTTTGTTGTTTTGATCTAGTTGAATCTTTTCATAACTGGGCCAGCCCACAGTCCAAAGGAGAACTGCATTTGCTAAGTATCCTTGCCACCTTTCAAAGGCAATGATTTGATAATGAGTTTATGCTGCAAGCAGGAGTTTGGGAGGAGTCAGCTCGCATATATTCCCATTTTTAGAAACTCTGTGACTAAGGGTTCACATAATTAAGAATTACACCAGAAGTACACACAGACCCCAGATCCTTCCCTGCTTTCCTAAATGTCATTTACTTGAAATCTTCCCAAGTAATTTACCTATTACAATTGTTCTAACTAGAATTTTAAAAACCCACACATTTTCCCTAATTTCTCTACCTCAATCTCTTCTAGATGATGCCCCATCTCTGTTTTACTTATTTTGTGTAATGTCTTTCTTCAAAAACTTTATTTTAAACAACATCCAATAGAGATAGAATGAAGGAAATGTGTTGTATATATCAAGATCATCTCTATAATCTTAACAGAGTCATCACATTTGGTTACAGCCCTGTTTTATTTTATTTTTTTCTCAAATGCTATTTTCTTACAGATGATAGCCTTTATGCATATCTGAATAATGGCTTGCTGTTTGCTGAAGAACTTCAAAAAGTATTCAGAGCAAGGCTTCATTTTCTGTGTATCATCACAGGGTAAGGGATTATTGTAATCCCCATTTTATAGACAAACCATTTGAGGTTTAAGTAACTTGGCCAATGCCTGTAAGTAGGTTAGACATTAAACTAGAGTAATATTTGCAGTTTATGATTTTGATCTCAGGCAAACTTCTCTGTCTTTTAGCAAATGGGCTTGTTTTCCAGTTTTCTAACCTGCAAGAACAAGGTTATTTGGTATGACTATCAGTAAAAATCAGAACTGAACTCATAATGTTAGATCATTTCCTGACCCACTTTTAACTCTCTTACAATCACTGAAATAGTTAAAAGTTTATCTTCCTGTTTGCACTTTAGTTTTCTTATTAATCAGAAAAACAGCTTTTGTTAGACTTTTGCAAGGGCCAAATATACCATTGCCAGTTCTATCAGTGAAAGAAGTGCTAAGTAAATAGCTTTTTTTTCTTGTTGTTGAATTAAATGTATGGATAATAATATCTACATTACCATACTCCCTTTAAGATAATATGTATAGTTTAGAATGCACTTAAGATTTTTCCTAAGTGATGACTTCAGGATTTCTAGACTATATAACATAAGGATTGCTAAGCTAAAATGTAACTCCACTGTACTAGAAATATTCATTTTTAGAAACCAGCTTTGCTTGTTATATTGCAATAGTGATAGCAGTTATAAGGCTGTGATACGAAATGTGATTTTCTTTATCAAGAGAAAAAAAGTCCATGTAATTGAAAAAGTTGAGTTTGTTTAAGCTTTTCATTTAAAAAAAGAAAAGCTCTGAAATTTTATAGGAAATAGTCTGGGATTTCTGATGTCAGTTACAACAGTTTCCAAATCATAAAATGGTTTCTTAATCAAAAGGCAAATAATTTTATGAAGTAAAATTAAGCTAGTTCTAGAAAAAAAATAAAGCAGCTTTATTTTAACCTGCCTTGAGCATTCCAATTACAATGTAAAAAATTAATAAAAGCCTTTTCTTCTATTTGAGACGTGGGATGTTTTATAGTTGACTTAAAGATTCTCATTTATAACTTTAATTGCTTGCAACATTCTGAATCATTTTCCTTTCAGTCTAAAAGTTTCCATAGTTAATCTCAGGCAATAGTAACTTTTTGTATTTTAAAAATATTTAAGGAAGAAATTAATAGAACTATTTTGGTGATTCTTATATCCTTTTACACTTAAAATATTATCCAAATAATTCAAAAATACACTCTCAAAATGTCAAACTTTCCTAAGGTCTTTAATTCAATACAGGATTATTGCTCTTTGAAAGTTTAAACATATAACAGCAATACATTTAGATGTTAGAAATACTTTTAATACATGAGTTATATAGCATTTCTACAAATCTCTAATGCATTGATTTTAGAAGCATACACTCCAACATTGTACACTCCATAATTTCATAGCACGGTAACAGAGAATGTTACAAATCTAGAAGACAGCATTGCCTAAAGGTAACATAATTAGAGAAATTTTAATTATATTTCACCAACTTCGCTTTCGCTGATTAAAAAAAACTTTAAAGTTGAAACAGTAAACGTTAAAGGCAATTTTACATTGCTAGTTTTAAGTGAATAATATGTAAATCAAAGCTGAAAAAAATGAGTAATTCAGGCACATGTAATATTCTTCTTAATATTATTGTAAGACAGCTACATGAAAGACAGAAGGTAATAGTTGCTAATGTATTCGAGATTCAAATAAATCGCCTAGTTGTGGTATTCATATTCACATTTTATGCAAAACTAGTTTGAAACAATGCATACATCCTATTTAAATAAAGCTCAGTCAAGCACTTTGATCACTACACAGAAATAAAGCAGAAAAAATAATTAGTAATTAAAATGCAAGTTCCAAGGGGGAATACCTTTCAGAAGAGAGCCACAGAAGCACCTGATTCTAAAAATGTCAGTTTTCATAACTGTGAGTGCCATTTGTTAGCAGGTGGAGGTACAATTTTTATAACAGCACTTGCCTGTCAATAACTTTATTACAAAGCTGGTAATTTAGTGAAAAATTTAAAAGAAACCTATTAAAATAATCTCTCACTCACCCTGTTAGCCACCATTTTAATCACTGCAGACAATATCCTTATTTAGTGATTTCTGCTCTCTCAGTTCTTCAGTGTTTTCAAAAATTAGTGACTTTTCTAATTTGTTTCTGTGAAATACTGAAATGCATACTCAGACATTATATATACTTTTAAAAATATAAACAAATACTTTACATGAATGTGTGTTACAGAGCAATATAACAGCATTTATAAAAACAGTAATATAACAAAATAGTTCAGTTCTTACCAAGGTGGCTCTTTTAATCTATCCACTATATCTGGCAAACATTTAAGATCTCCATGTGAACATAGTAAACAGGCAGAGAATAAATCCCTTCACTGTTATTATAAAACCATTAAAAAACTGAAATAAAATGCTGATTTATTTCATCAGCATTTATCTGAAATATTTTCTCAACCAAAAGATAATTTAAAATATACTTTTCTGTACCTAAACGTTCCTTTTATATTTCATCTTCCTTCCCTGGGCTAATGACTTTATTATTGGAAATAGCCAATTCAATGTTAGTTTCTCCAAACCCAAAAGTAAATCTTGAGCTATGTCCATTAGCTTTCACAGCCCCTTGATTTGCTCTAGGAATCGTTGCCTTAGACTTACCTTAGTAACCTTGAAAAGCCTTCACTTTTCTCCTGCATGAACATATATTTTTTAAACTCTTCTATCTTAATCTTTCTAGTTCTCTTCATTTTTACATTTTGGGAACTTCTATAAAGGCTCGTTAAGTACCAAATATAGTTGGTGGTTGCCCAATATTGACGGGTACCAAGTGTAAACGTCTTCTCTCAAATCTTTATTGAATTCCTACTATGAGAATTTAATGTATAAACTACTTTGCAATTTACATTCATGTTCCTGAACAGAAACTGATTATATAGATAGAATTCATAGCCATTATTGGGTGAATAAGTTAAGATGTACACACTGAAATGTATACCAGAATATCCCTTTTTTAGCATTCACTCTGTCCTAGGCATTATGTTTGATACTTTATATGTGGGATCTCACATACTCCTCATGATAACCAGAGACTTTGCAATTTTCCTTGAACTCTCTCTTTCTTTCCCATCTCATATCCAATCCTTCAGCCAATCCTTTGTTCTATTTTTAAAATGTATACAGAATGTGACTGTTTCTTACCACCTCCCCTTCTATCACCTTGGTCCAAATTTCCATAGTTTCTCACCTAGAATATGGCGTCAGCTTTCTATGGGGTCTTCCCTGTTTGTATTTTCTACAACACAGTCTATTCTAAGCACAGCAGCCAGGATGAGCTTTTCAAAACACAAGTCTGATTCTATCACTAATTTGCTTACTGCCCTCCGTTGACTGTCCATTTCACTCAGAATAAAAAACCACAACTATTTCTTTGACTTCTTTTTTTTGCTTTATTATGAGAAATTTATTTTTATTTATTTATTTTTTATTATATTTTAAGTTCTAGGGTACATGTGCACAGTGTGCAGGTTTGTTACATATGTATACATGTGCCATGTTGGTGTGCTGCACCCATTAACTCATCAATTACATTAGGTATTTCTCCTAATGCTATCCCTCCCCCTCCCCCCACCCCATGACAGGCCCTGGTGCATGATGTTCCCTACCCTGTGTCCCAGTGTTCTCATTGTTCAATTCCCACTTATGAGTGAGAACATGCGGTGTTTGGTTTTCTGTCCTTGCGATAGTTTGCTCAGAATGATGGTTTCCAGCTTCATCCATGTCCCTACAAAGGTCATGAACTCATACTTTTTTATGGCTGCATAGTATTCCATGGTGACTTCTTAAATCCTGTATCATCATCCCTCTTACTTCTCTGACTCCATCTCCAAATAGGCTCCTTCACTCATTCCACAGCCTCCTCCAATACAACAGGTCTGCTCACAACTCAGTCTGCCTTGGGTCTTTTTGCTTCTTTTTTTCTTACAGATATTTCCTCAGATCAACCTCGTCAGTGAAGCCTATCCTGGACTCCACATCTAAAATGAAGTTATTTTCTCCATCCTGATTCTTCTCGCCACCCTTATTGTTTTGTTTTTTTTTCTCCACTGCACTTAACACTATCTAAAATACTATATGTTTTGCTGTACATTTTAACATATATTAATCTTGTCTGAGCTTTGCCTGTCCAAATAGAATGTAAGGTACATAGAGGCAGATATTTTTTGCTGGGTGTAGTGGCTCACACCTGTAATCCTAGCACTTTAGAAGGCTGAGATGGGTGAAATGCCTGAGCTCAGGACTTTGAGACCAGTCTGGGCAACATGGTGAAGACCCGTTTCTACTAAAATACAAAAAAATTAGCTAGGTGTGGTGGTGCACACTTGTAATCCCAGCTACTCGGGAAGCTGAGGGAGGAGAATTGCTTGAACTGGAAGTGCAGGTTGGAGTGAGCCGAGCTCGTGCCACTGCACTCCAGCCTGGGCAACAGAGCAATACTTTGTCTCAAAATACATATATATTTTTTTGTTTGTTTTCTGTTCCATTTTATAGAGGAGAAAGGTACCTGGCACATGGAAGACACTCAATTAATATTTGTTGAATCAATGGATGAGCATCTGTATGACATAATATTATTATCTGCCTTTTAGTGATAAATACACTTACAGTTATCAAATAATTTGTCCAAAGTCACAAAGCCAGGCTTGTCTAAGTCCAGAACTATGGTCTTAATCACTTCTTCATCTGGTCTGTCAAACTGGACTCTCATTCTTGAGCCTGATGCTTGTACCACTTCACCATGCAATTTCCTACGTACCATGTCCTAAAAGACATGAAGCCATGTAAACAAAAACAACAGACAACATTCTAGCTGTGCAAAATACAATGACTTGCATAGAGATGGCATGAAACACCTATTTGAGGGCATGAGATAATTGAAGGATTAAGAATTATCATATGAGTGTGTGGAATTTTTCCAATTTAAGAATTATCATACTTATCAGCAAATGTCTCTTTCTTACTAGCTGGCTAACTTTGGTAAAGTTTCTTTATTTCTCTGTGCTTGACTTTCCCATTTATAAAATGGGGATGGTGATAGGAAATAGATGAGGTTATCTGTGTTGCTTAAAGCATTGCCTAGCACATAGTAAGCACCCAATGTGTTCCCTTCCCTCTTGTTATTAGCTAATTGTGGTTATTACTATTATTTTAGGTTGACTATAATACAAACTCCCTACTGTGGTCTAAATAGCTCTACATGATCTCACTTTGCCAAACTGTCAACTTCATTTTTTTTCACTTGTCTCTCCACATGCTCAGCTCCAACCACCACGCCTCTCTCTTGCTTGAGCATGTCTTCTCCAGCTCAAGGCCTATAAACTGGCAGTTCCTCCAAGAGAAAAAACACCATCGCCACCTTTTCATTCCTGAGTCTCAGCAAAGTGTCCCCTGCTTCTGTGTGTGTGTGTGTGTGTGTGTGTGTGTGTGTATGTGGCCATCTTTTTACTCCTGTGTCTCAGCAATATCCCCTGCTTCTGTGTGTGTGGCTTCTGTGCATGACCCAAGCTAAAGAAGTTCATATCTCCTGTATCAGCCTCTCTCTACCAGTTTCCTTTTGTGATTTTTTTTCCTTCCCTATTTGGAGTTATTTAGTTCTATATTTTTTCAACTGTCTGCCCCTGCTAAGGGATATAAAATACAAGAGGACAATGAACTTCTCTCCTCTTTACCAAAGCTCCTCAGTACCTAAAGCATTGCCTAGAACATATATTTTTTGTAGGTGCTCAGTAGATGTTTGTGGGATGAATAAATGAATGAGTGATCATGCTGTCTGGTTCTGGTTAGGATGTTCAGATGTTGTAGGAAATAAAAGCACCTCTGATGGATAGTAGTACAGGGGTAGTACCTCTGATGAGGTCTCTAAGTTGGGGACAACCCACAGACAAAGATTTACGTTTTGTTTAACTTCGGGTACAAATATTGTATACATTCTTCAGATATAGCCTCTACATGTCCTCATAGCATTAAAGTGTGGCTTTCAAAAATGGTACAATTACAGACCATTCCGAGGCTTGGTTCCCATCTGTCTTGAAGGGTATGATTTTGGCACATGGCCCATTTTCACTGGGCTCTGTTCTCTAATGTACTCGGCATATCATTTGACCCCCTAATTACTGAAGAGAATCGGAATCCCAGTGCTTTTGAAGTGCCTACAGGTAATGTGAATCATTAAAAGCATATGTCATAAAAACTGCAGACATTTTTCAAATCACTTAAATTATAATAATTAATTTAATATGCTTCATATGTTTAAACTATATTTACTTTCAAGCCATATGCTTTCCTACATGAAATGGAGTTCCAGATTTTTCTATTGCTTTTAAAATACGGTGTCCAAACTGGAATTTGTCCAGCACACCAAGAGTTAACATGCCTACACTAGAGAAACATGTCTTGTGTCTGTAATAAGTATTAAGAATTTTTTAAAATGACCCACTTTTGAGTAATGCCATATCCTAAGTCAGTTACTTCTGCATTGGTTAATGCTTACTGTATCCA
The DNA here is from genome assembly GCF_000001405.40 of Homo sapiens. Lineage (NCBI taxonomy): Eukaryota > Metazoa > Chordata > Mammalia > Primates > Hominidae > Homo > Homo sapiens. The sequence goes on along the minus strand of NC_000008.11, from coordinate 115,890,922 downwards.
AGTCGGAGCTTTCTGCTCAAAGACCTGAGCAGCCAACTCTGCTAAGAATACTGATGTCACAGCCTAAGACATGTTACTGTCACAGGTTCTTAGCTCTACCCTAAAGATGTTTTTATTCCTCCAAAGGATCTGATTTTTAAAAACTATTTTAGGAATTAAGCTCTATGTTTTGTTCTTACATCTTTCTAGTTTCTCTCCATTCTTTCAGAGACGAGTTAGTCGTTTCAAAGTTTATCACTGCCTTGGCTTTTTATGTATGTTTACCTTCATTCATTAATTTTTGTTGTTTTAAATAAAAATCATGTATATTTAAGGTGCACGATGCGATGTTCCGATCATTGCCTCTTAAATATTTCCCTTAGTTTACTTTTCAACTGTTGCTATCACAGGCCATGTAATAGCTAAATCATGCTATTGTGGTTTTAAAGAGGAATCAAATATGAGGGAAAGATTGCTGACCATTTACACAATGCCAAATAAAAGATTTTATGAAATAAATATAACTTAAAGTGGAAATATTTATCAACCAGCACTGATTTCTCTTCTGAGACTTGAAATCCTTTTTTGTTTTAAGAGGATATTTAATTTGTGGCTTATCTGGCAAATGCCAAGGAGTAGATTCACTTTAATTTGCTCTCTCTACTGCTTTGGACAATTGTTGGGTAGCTGAGCTGATGACGGCATGAAATGAAGAAAGACTACTACTTTATGTCATGACAAGTCAAGACTGCAGGTATACTAATTGTTTGAATTCTACTGTGCCAGTAGACTTTCATGGACTTATATGTAAATAAATGATGATGTCATCTGAGGAAGCAATTCTTGATAGAGATGGAGGGTTTTTTTTCCACCTGGATTCAGGATTTCCAATGATTCTTTAGTTTATTTAAGGAAAAAAAAAAAGCCCCTGTTTCAATTTGCATACGTTGGGTTACTTCACTGATATTTTAACACCCTGTCCCACTCACTGTCTATTGTCAATTGTGGAGAATATCACCCTGATATTAATCTAAGGAGATTCTGGCAACCAGAATTTACCACCACCTACATAGCTAAATTTTGAAAGGTTCTTATTCCCAGTATACGTTTATACTTGTTTTTTTGTTTTTGTTTTTTTAATACAGACAAGTAGTTTTGCCACATGTGTAAATCTTCAGGAATCTAGTTGACAGCACATGATATTCCCTATCCGATGTTTGTAAACTCAAATTAGCTACAGAAAAAGTGATTTCCAGGCCAGTGTGTAACGCTGCTAACCAGCTGCATGGACAGGACTGGCTATCTGCTTCTGGACTTGCTTTAGCTGATGTCCACTGGAACATGAGAAGAAACATAAATAATTTTTCTTTTTGCAAAGACTACTTCATTGTAGGCCAGATGTAACCTTAATGATCAACAGCTGTAAGTACCATCAGCCAAAAGCAGAGAAGAATTAAAGCACAATAGAGATTTAGAAAATAGATGAACTGATAGGTGTTAGAAGGATGTACTGTTGCTTAAAGTGGTAGGTGATTTAAGGTAGAGTATTATCGTAAAATGTTTATAGGAAGGCTGTTCCTAGTATTTAAAAAGTACGAGCAATTAGTTTTTCGGCATTAAGAATTGATCCTTGGTCTTAATGTTTATCCACTCTTCTACCCTCATGCAGTATTCTTCACAAATGCTATGCCAATTCAGTTGGAGATCAACAGTGCACAGGCATAGATTTTTATTTTGTCATATGTACATTTTTTAAGTGCACTTCTTTTTACCTTGAACTGTGAAATATTTTTTGAGAAATAATTTTTCCCACATTATATTGTTAAAATTTTATTTACCAATTATACATATTTTTGCTCAGAAAATCAAATTGAAATTAGAGCTATAGCTTAAAAAGCTTGGATTTTTCTCAAATAAAAGCCAAATTAATAATTTTATAGTATCCCTCGGGATGTTTAAGAGATCTATTTCAGTAAATTTTGAATACTACTGAACCCATTAATGACACATTTAAAAATTTTGCTGGACATTTGTTCTACTGTGCTAATTATTTATTTAAAAGAACTGGGCCTAGAATACCAAGTAATAAAAACATTGTTTCCAAGAATTAATTTCAACTATAAAATGACTCTTTCTGACTTTAAAAATGTCATCTACCCACAGGTTCTCTAATTCATTGGATTCTTAAAAATATAAATGTTTATGTGAATTTACAATATGCAAAGTTGTGCACTCTCTATATTGTTGCTAGTCAAAAAGTATCACTGGGGGGTTATTCACATTTGCATAATAAACAAATTATGTAGTAAAATTTCAAATAGCTGTTTGAAAACAGTTATTTAGGCAACCAATTTGAGTATAAAGAATTAACGTTTGTGGGTTATTAGGAGATAGGCTGGAGGATAGCGGGGAAAGAATTCCTTGCTGATCAACTCTTTGTTCATTTGTATTCTTGGAACTGACAGGTGATGATTTATATTTATATCTTTTTGTATAACACAATTTGCTAACTTCTCTGAGACTTGTAGCTCTGGAAATTTAAGTTTCATTAAAACGTCAGCACCTGCTTGAACTTCTCTAGGTTCTTTGCTGGTCTTGTTCTCTTAATCTCTTTCTGCAGACTTTTTACCAGTGGGAAATGCGAGCAATGCTTTCTTGCATTCGGTGATGCTGTGCTGTCTTTTTACGGTGCATTGTAAACACGGTAAACATGCCAACCTCAAAATAAGCAATGTGAGAAGACTGCAGAAGTGCCTCTCTTTACACTGGTGATGCCAGTTACAGCGTTCTACAGAACTGCCCCCTCCAAAAAACGTCATTCAAATAACACTCTTCTCCTCTTCATCAGAATTGTGTTCTTCTTGTGTTGAAAACCTTTTCTCTTCTCTTACTTTTGCTAACCAGTTTTTAAAATAAAAGAAATGAAAGCAGACATATTGGACATAAATGAACATACGTTAAAACTTATCCATCTGCCTCTCTTCTCACTTCCTTGTCTATATAACAACAAGGTTCATAATGTCCTACTTGTGTTCTTGCTATTAAAAAAAAGTTTACAATTTATACTGCAAAATATTCTGGTAAAGCCACTGGCAAATGCCTACAGTAAATCAGCCCTGCACTTGCCGAAGTTTTAATTTGCATGCCTGTGTCTCTCTGGAAACATTCTGGAGTCTTCTAAGAAAGCATTCCAGTGTCTGCCTCTGTAAGAGTCCATATGGAAAATGCCTCTGAGATCACAGAATTTTTCCTATTTAAGGCCAAACATATCCCCTTTATGTTTGGAGTGCTAAGTAGGAGCCTAACAAAGATTCTGGAAATTATGGGGAGAATAAAGGCAAAGTGGAGTCAAGAGAATGAAGGAAAGCATACTGGAAGACAAAACCTATAAGTGCTGATTAAGCGGCACTCACATAATGCACCTCTTGGAACGAGGCACAGTCCTCATTCTTTGCTTCAGGAAATGAGAATGGAAAGGACATATATCAGATGATGGAGTTGATTAGGTTAGCAGCTCAATTAAAAAATTTAAATGTCCTCTCTGATACATACTGGTTTTTTATTTATTTTACTCAGGGGATACCAACCATGAGTGTTATTTAAAATGAAAGAGGTAGGAATTTTAAGAGTATTTGATTTTTTGAATGAGGCACTTTAAAATTTCATGAGTGCACAAACAAAACTTTTAAGTGTATACTCACCCAGTCCAGCCCTAAATGTAAAAGGCAGCCCTGCATCTAGAAAAAAAAAATTACATCAATTCTGTCTCTGAAATGCAAAGTTACAACTTTGAAATTACATTTAGGACCTTGTGCAAATGATGAAAGGAGCATACAGGGAATAATGAAAAGGAAGATATTTGTGAGTGAGTCTTTTCCCCAAAAGACTTTGGTGGTATCCATTCGTTTCTCAAGTATTAATGGAGAGCTTTCTCTATGCATGGGCAGTGGGGAAAAAGACAATTACACCATAGTTCATCTTTTTAAGAAACCCGCAGTCTAGTAGGGGAGACAGGCATATAATAGATTGTTGTAAAACCACACGAGGAACACATGACGGAAATGGCTATGGAGTTAAATTCCTCTTCCCATCGCCACCTCTAACCTGATGGGGCTAAGGGCTTTGTAAGAAATAATCACTGAACTGAGTCAAGGATAGGATCTAACCAAATAAATTGATCTTGGATTGGGGTGGCTAAGAAAAGTGAGTATGAGCATGGTTTGCAGGAAGTAAGAAAGAGCTACATGTAGTTCTGCATGACTAAGGTTTAAAAGGTGAAGAATGGAGTGGCGGAGGGTGATGTTTCAGACGTGAGCAGGCATAAACTAGGCAATAGAGGCTCTTCAATGCTTACAATGATCTTGGATTTATTTATTGTAAAGTTAAGATTTTCCAGACTTCACTACTTTTGCCATAGCTCTATATCTCATTAAATGTGTTCTTCTTTACATTTACTTAATTTTTTTTTGCTTCAATACATTTATTTTAAAAACAAACTTGATATATGGGTCTCAGAATCACTTAAAGGAAAGTATTTGGAAGTTTGCCAATGACAAGCAAGGAGGAAGGGGGGAGATGGGATAGAGCTGGATGATGAGCATCACAGGGAGGTGAATAAGCTCTGGAGGTAGTGATAGGGACCCAGGAAAATGCTAAACTACACATCCTGGTTATGGCTTCTGGCAGAAAGAGGAGTCCCAACTACACAAACCACAGGAAAAAATATTTCGAAGGGAGAGCTAGGTTCCAGTTCAGGCCAAAGGAAAAAGATCCCTCCACCAACATTGGGAGGATATAGTAGAAACTGTTAGAAATAAATGAACAGTTCCAGTGGCAAAGCAAGAGTGATTGTGGTCTATGGTGAGGAATTCCAAGTGAGAACATGGATGATAAGAACCTCTCTGATATGAGGATACCAGAAAGGATAGGAGTCTTTCTAGGCAGTGGAGTAGTGACAGTGGGGAGATTAATGTGGGTTCTGAGACCTGGACAGGGACTAAACTCAAATGGTCTGATTTTTGCCCAGTCGTTTCAGTGCCAGAACTGGTTAAGCCATTGAATAGCCACACTGGTACTAGAAGAGATGTGTGATGGTCATTTAATAGTGCCCTTTATCAACTCTCTCCCAGAATCCAAGCTAGAAGGCAACTTAATTCTATAAGTTGGACTGCAGTATTGAGTTGGCTTTTTACTCATTGTTTGACCTTGTGCTTCAGTTTCTTCTTTATGAAAATGGGTATAATCATGTCTACTTCATAAAGTCAATGCAATTGTTAAATGACACAATGCATATAAAGTGCTTATCGGAGAAAGTGCTTGAAAACTCTAACTAGTGTTGTCATTATATTGAACTTGAGTCACCTGGAATGTTTAAACCTATTTCCACTGTTGCTTACCAAAATTTCAGTGGAATATCTTTGTGGAGAAATACTTACATACTATTCTTGAGCCATCTACGGAATGCTTAAAACATTCTTGTAACACTCGTTTATTTTTTCTTTGTTTCTAAGAGCTTGAAATTTCCTTTTTTAATGAAAGATCAAAATCATTGGTACAGGCCCTCTTCATAACAAGTATTTTAACCTGAAACACAAAGCCACAAGATAGGGTATATGATGGCTAATCTCAAACTCCTGACCTCAAGTGATCCACCCGCCTTGGCCTCCCAAAGTGCTGGGATTAGAGGCGTGAGCCACCACGCCCGGCTAATTATGGCTAATCTATATACCCATGTGGGCTTGGCAAAAGTTCCTACTTGGTAGTCATCTCCTTTTGCTACCACTGTAATATAACTACCATTTTCCCTCAGGGGAAATATTTTTTTTTTTTCTTCTTGCTTGTATGGCTTCTTATACCAAGTCTCACCCAAGACCAGTTCTCACATTTCTTACATATATGAAAAGAATGTTTTCCATCACTGAGAAATACAGTAGAGCCTCAAATATTTTTCCATGAGCCAGACTCCACAGGCTTCTTAATGAGAACAATCAATTAGGGGAAAAATGGATATTATGGGTAGGCAGACAGAATGAAAACTAGTGATGGCTAAGCCGAAGGATAATATTGGGGGAGTTATGGGACCAAAAATAGAAGAATAGATGCTCCAAGTTTCCCTGCCCTCACACCCTACACTTCCTTTCTTCTGTCTGTAAGTTTGCCTGTCATCATCATTCCCATTATAAAATTGTCTGGCCAAAGGTGAAGGAATGAATAAGATAGAAGGCATATTCTCAGAATCTCAGGAAGCAATGCCATTGGCTCCATGACTGATCGTCATACTCTTGGCTACTGTCCTATGGATCAAGTCAAAGGAAAGTAATAGGAACTGGTGAACAGTGCACTCAACTCATCTGTGTTTCAGCAGATGCCACTAAGTAATCTGGATTTCCAGAAATGATTACTTCTATGCAGATTCTTGCTGCTCTCTGAACTGGCCCCTTAAAAAAAAAACAAACGGTAAAAGTTATTGTCTTCATTCCCACCTCTTTCTTTTTAAGCGTCTGATGCTAAAAACTTTAAAGCCTTTTAAAATACTTTAAAACAGAATTTTGCCAAGAAGAAAAGTGATCTGATCAATCAATTTACATTAAAATGATTGCGATTAAAATGAGTTTATTCTCTCTAAGGTGTATTTAGAGTGTTGTTTGAAGCAAAAGAACAACTCATGAATAATAAACTTTTAGAGAAGTTTTATTGAAATAGAAATTTCAGACACCTTTACATAGTCCTTCACTAATATGCGGATACTCCTAAAGGCAATATTAGGTTTATTTTTCCTCTTCATGTGCTACTTGATTTATGTGAAAATTGTACTTTAAAACATTTTTCCCCATAGTTAGATCATGATAGTAGTTATGCCGGGCTGTAGGCAAATTGTAACTATTCACTTCAGCCTGATTGATCCTCATTTTTTCTTTCTCTTAAATGCATTTTCTCCAATTTCCTCCTTGAAGTCTGACTCCATCTTATCTTCCTAGGCAATGAAGGAAAAATAAGAAAGAAAAAAGAACGGAAATTTTTATCTGGACTTACTTGTATCTGAAAAAACTATTTCCCTTAATCTCAATATAAAAATGTGGATATTTGTTTGTCATTTTATAATTACTTGTTGATACTGAATATGGAAATCATATCATGGAAAGTGGTAGATTGGACTCTTCATGAAAAAAGAAAATAGATCATGGAATGGGTTCTTATCATTCAGGTAGAGAAAATATAACACATTTCAGATTAGAAGATATGTGTGTTCATAACCTGTGTGTGCTAAATGGTAGCTTCTATGTTGTTTTAAAAAAGTGGAAATGGCATCTCACCTTGGCTTAAGCATCCGTTATGTGCCTTTTAGCTTAATTCCAGGGAATGTATAAATGTCGTCCAAACAACAACAATAACAACAAAAAATAGAAAGCAAAACCAAAAACTTCCGTCAAGGATTCATTTCTTCACAATGATATTAAAGAGGCATTTGGTGGGTCTCTACTACCTCCAATGATGACTACACTGCTTGCATCACCAGCATCTAGTGTTCACCAGTTATAAATTTAATGTTAAACAAGCCACCAAACAAATGTATTTCAAAGCTTTCAGAGGATGCAGGGCAAATATATGTTGGGGAATGAGTTGGGCACGAGAATCAGAATTCTCATGGGAGAAAAAAAATGTAGATTTTTCTGCACCATAATAATTCTGCCAAATCATAATTTCTGTGAGTGGGTGTCTAGAACCTACATTGTAATAAGTATCCCTGGGTGGGTTATTTGCCTTTATCATACTCCAGTATCAATCTAGAATCTACCACTTCTCACAGTTTATGCTCTTTACTGGTGGACAGTGCTCTTCCTCTTCCTGGATGATCACAATGGTTTTTTTAACTTCTGCTCTGGCCTCTTAATTCTCAAAACAGCAGTCAGAGTGCCCTTGACACAGTGCAAAGTACAGCACATTACCCTTCCACTCAACACATTCCAAAGGCTTCCCATCTTGCTCAGAATAATATCTTGAAGTCCAGGAAGGACCTGCGAGAGATTCTACATACTCTGGCCCCTCATTGACTTTCTGTCTCCTATTTCCCTCTCCCACTTGTACCCAGTTACAGGTATACTGACCTCCTTGTTACTTCTTCTGTTGTCCGCCTCTTCAGGACCTGTGTATTTGCCATTCTTTCTGTTGGGAGCAGCACTGTCCATTAGAACTTTCTGCGATGATGGAGAATTTTCACACCTGTGTTGTCCAATGTGGTGTTTACATGAGACTCATGGCCAGTCTGTTGGACAGCACTTGTCTGGAGTGATTGTCCTTTAGATGGCTATATTACTCATACCCTTCCTTTTTCAGGTCTTTGCTCCAATTCTAATATACTTAAAATATTAGTATCCCCCTTCTCAGCATTTTTAATCCCCCTTCCCTGATTCACTTTTTTCTTGATATTTATCAGTATCTACTATGCTATACATGTATTAATTATCTGATTATTGCCTGTTTGCCACACCAGCATGTAAGCTCCATGAGGGCAGGGAATTTTTTGTTTTGTTTTGTTTTCACTCAGTGAAGCATCCCCAAGAACCTAGAATAGTGCCTGGCACAGAATAAGTTACTCAGAAATATTTGCTAAATAAATGAGTAAATGACAATTAATTAATAGTGTATAAATTAGCTATCACAGCACTTGTGTTGGTAGCAAAACTTGATGGGGATTTTGGAAAGGGATAAAATATTTCAGTGCCTCTAAAATTCCCCATTTGTTCAAGTTCCGAAATACCTAGGCCCCGAAAAGGAACTATTGTAATTCCAAGCACTAACTATTCCTGATGCTGTAAGTTAATGCATCAGTCTGTGTAATTCTAGTGTATAAATTTTGCTCTTGCTGGGAATACACTCTTCCTTTTTTTTTCTAACCATTTATCAGTAAAAAGACAAATTTTTAGGTTGGGTCAAAAAGAAATTTCCCAATACTAAAAACAAAAAGACATTCAAACAAAATTATTTCACAATTATTTACTGTCTAAAATATCAAACCTACTGCTTTAGCTGCAGCCACCTGGACGTTTGTTATCTAATAGTATCATGCTCCCTTATGTTAAGCTGCATAAGAAGATAGAAATCTAATTATGAAAAGCATACTCCTCTTTAAGAAGTGCATATAATTTAACATATCCAATAATAGCTCCGAATAACTTCCAAAAAGACTGAAATAACATATACATAAAAATTTTCAAATAAATCCTTTGGCATTAACAGTCGTAGTGCTCAGATGGTGGTTCTAAGACACATGGAAGAGCACCAGTAACAAACTGCAAATTTCATCTGATGCTAGAAGTATCTTGCTAAAGAAATATTAGAGAACGAAGCTTAAATTTGATTTTATTTAACCGAATACTGAATGTGGTACCTTTCTTCTGATTGATCTTGGGAGAAGGTGATCAAAGGTATTGAATGTACCTAGGATTCCAACAGAATGGGAGGCCAACCAGAAGTCTACATTTTTAACCACTCCCATCCCAACTTGCCCCTACCCAGGAAAAATGAAAAGCCTGACAGAGACACATCATCAAGCTATTTTACCGTGATTACTTGCAGGTTAAACACTAGTCTCTGAAGCAGATGGTCAATTGCCAGTCTAATAGAAGGAATTGCTATCCTTCCTCTCATTCACTGAATGTGCTTTTGATACTCTTGGTGCCAGCAAATTGCTACAGGTTCAAATAGTGCTCTGTGTATCATAGAAACACAAAATAATTGAAGCTGTCAGACAGCCTCTCCTTTCCCATCCTTTTCCTTTGTATAGGAAAATTGTTCTACTTTCATATAATTAACGTTCAAGAACATAGCACAGGGGAATACCATGATGAGATCTTACGACCCCATTGAAATGAAAATCATACCAATATGTAAGATAAATAAGTTTATCATACCAATATGTAAGATAAATAAGTTTGTCATACCAATATGTAAGATAAATAAGTTTATCTTACATATTATCACATATAAGCAATAAATTTAGAAGTCTCAGAGTAAATAATGTATATTTTCACCACTGGGCATACTCTGGCATGAACCACAATTCTTATTATTAGCCAAAAAAAAAAAAGGCTAAATTGAACTTAGAGGTTTAGTTGAAACTTTGTCACAAATGTGTACTATCCACCACAGTTTCATCATAGTGCTGTTTTGTGTGAAACCCTATTTTTTGGATATTTGTACCTACTCAAAGTGGAAAATTCTTATAGTTATAATGTCATTTATGTAAGATATTGAAGCTTAAATATCTTACATTAGGTAGACAGGCACAGTGATGTGGAATGAGCATAGAAAAGCAAAACTGAGTTCAAGTTTAGCTACAACACTTACTGTGTCCTCTTTGGCAAGTTTGAATCTCAGTTTCTCTACCCTCCTATTTTACATAATTAATTTAGTGATTAAATGTAAAATAGATAGCATACCTGGTACATTATAGGTACTGAATAAATCATAACTATTATTATTATCACTAATAAATTATGCAAGCAGTAAAATTACAACTAAAAATATTTTAAAGAATGAATTCATTGTGAAACAAGAATTGGAGGATACACATTAAAATGTTAACAGCAGTTATGTTTACATGGTAGAGAAGCCTTTTAAAAATTTTTTCCATATTTTTATGAATTTTCTTTAATACACTTAATTTCTTTTTAATGAAAACATTTGTTTCAGTTTCCATACTAAAAATTCATTCAATGCGTATCAATATGTTCTCCTATTAAAAAATAATTCAAATAATATATTAGTTTATGTAAACTATAGAAGTACTTTTAAAACATTTTATATTAGAGAAAAGTCAAAATTGATTTGCCAATTAATTTCTCCCTTAATTAAATCCTTTGGAACCTGAAGGAAAACTAGTTACAACTTATCAAATAATTTTTATAAGAATTATTTTATAAAGAAATATTCTTGGATTTTAGTGAAGTTTTTTTTCTCTGAAATGGGAAGTTCCTATTTACCAAGACTGAACTAACTTCTAGCCTAAAAACTACATACAATTCGAATAGAAACTCTGGACAACCATTTTTCCAGTTTTAATTTCTACCCCAAATCACAGGAACTTTATCTTTGACAAATGACAACCGCTTTTTATTGAAGCTGTATAGATTCACACGTGGGTAGAAACTTCAGCCAGCGTTTAAAAATCACTTCGTTTTTCTGCATTTAGTAACCAGAAGTAATCATTTTTTTAGTGGGAAACTTTCCATAGTTTATACATGTATTTCTAAATGCATACCGTCTCCTAACACTCATCCCAGGGAATTGTCCTGACCAGATTTCTGTTGGCTTTTCTTTGTATATTTTTTCCTATTTATTTCTCCACCTAAACCTTTTCTCTGTAAGCTGATTTACTTTTTGTTTTTCCTTTTGTCAAGATGTTAAAGATTGTCTTTAAGTTGAAAGAAACCAAGAAAAAAAAAAGATAGAAAGAATGGAAGGAAGAAAAGAAGGAAAGGAAAAAAGATAAGAAAAAAGAAAAAGAAAGCAAGCAAGCTAGGATGAAGTCTTCTTAATTCTTAATGTTGATGATGATCTCAGCCTCAATGGCTGGCCAGCAGTCACCTGCGTACCCGAAAGCCTTAGTATAAAGATTAAACGAAATTTTGCCGGAATGTGAGGAAAAACGACTACTCTCTTCTATCCACACAGTAAAAAAGGCAAACAGGCCTTCTTCGAATGTAAATCTCTCCAATGCTACCATGAATATGAGGTAGCAGTATTCTTTTAAAAGATGTTTTCCCTGCTCCAAGCATCATTCCTCTCTGTGGCTTTCAGCAAATGACGAAGGTTTGTTTTGTCAATTTTTCAACCTTTGCATCAAGCTAAGACACCACGTCAGCATTCTTATCCCATTTCCCAGAAGGTGGCAGGTCACTCATTAAGCGCACAGAAGGGGGTGTATTTTTCCTTCACCGCTCTATTTATCATAGCTTTCCTTGGGAGGGAAATCTAAATGTCCCTAGTCACCTTGAGTCTTCTACAAAATGGAAGGAGCTTTGCTAATATCCTCCCCAGAACCCTCTGATTTCATTCACAACGTGACATAAGAGCCCAGAGTTGTACTTTATCTGTCATTAATCCTACTGCAACATGCTGCAGTCATTAAGGTGGTTACTTACCAGCTCTCTCACTGATGAATATACAGAAAAGAGTAGAGAGGAAAGTTGGCAGAGTCCCTGACAAACGATAGCAGAAACTGCGAATAAAGACCCGGCTATGCCGGCTATTGGGGAGCCATTTTTCCTGTGTCAACACAGAGCCCACAGGGCAAGGTCGTTTTACCATTTTATGATCTACTGTACTTGGCATTTGTTCTGGCACTGGAGCCTGTGTCTATTTTGGGGATTCGCTGTATATTCCCAGATTGCCATTTTCCTCTGCCTTTCTCTCTGTTAAATATTCTACAGTATATTATCACTTCATTTTACTTCAGTTATTTCCTCTGACAGTGGTGCGGGGCAGTCTGGACTCAGAGTCACTTCCTCTCTCAAACTCAATCTGTCTAAATGTCAAAAAGGAAAAAAAAGTAGGGCTCTAAAATCCCAGCAATCTGGCATTTCTGAGGAACTACTTGATAGGTGTTGCGTTTCTGAAGCTCTTTTGCTGGAGGAAGGGGGATAAGAGGGACACTTGAGTTGGAAAATACTGTTACATTCATGTCTAGCTTTTTCTGAAAAGTGGTATTATTGTGTTCTTAAAAGCCCCAATCACAAAAGCAGAAGCCGTGTTGATGTAAAGATCTGTTCGTTCGTTGAAATATATACACCTACTGTGTACCCACAAAATTAAAAATAAAAATAAATAATTTTTTAAACGAGAATGTTTATTAGGGATGATTCTCTCAACCTTTACTCACGGATTTCAGATATCTAGTAATGAATTTGAGTAATGACCTGGTCAACAATTTGATGAAACTCACAAAACTGACAGATTATTATTTCTGCCTCTTCTCCTCCCCTCCCTTTCCCTCTTCTCTCTGGTTTCCTCCTAATCTACCCTCCCCTTTCCCCCACTCTCTCTCCATGCTGAAAGATTGTCAAATCCAGTGACATAAAAGAACAAATCTCAGAAAAGGCCTTATTGAAGGTTTTGCTACTTGCCTTTTGAGACAAGTGCTGGCGCTGAATATTTTCAGGCTATTTCAGACCATCCTAATTATAGACTTTCAGGAATAAAATTAGAGATGGCTTAACTAGGTCAACAGAATTCAGTGATAACACTATGCTGTGGTGGAGTATCTGGAATTAATGAAGTGTTTTACTAAAAGCACTTCTATTGAACCACATTCAGAAATGCTCCTGTGCCTGGAAGCAGCAATGTGTCTACTAATAATGCTGAATAACTCATGCTGCACAGAAACAGGATGTGTCTGTGGCACCACAGATTTCATAACTTTTAGAAGTCAGGGAAACCTTTTTTATTCCTTTACTTGTTTCAGGGGGAAAAAGAAGGTCAGTAAGTTTGAAAGCAAGCATGTGAAGAAGAAAAGTCAGGCACAAAATCAGATGTTTAATATAAAAATAAGTCATTTAATTGCCAGGACATCTCTGGAAGGTGATCTCCCCCTCCCCTCCACTGTCATCATTTAAAAAATTGAGAAACGGAAGCAAAGCCAAAAACAATTTGCCCAAGATTACAAAATCAATAAATAGCAGAGCCAGGTTTATTTTTTTTTTTCTGTAAGTGTTTCTTTATCATTAAAGTCCATGTAATTTCCGTAACTCTAAGCTGAGATCTCAAGTCTTTTCCTTCTTTCTTTGGGGACTTGCCTGCTTTCTAAGACTTGGAGCAGATTGTCAACCTTCAAAATAATTGCCCACTCATCTGGCTAGAATGCATACAAAGCAAAAAGAAAATTTATTCTGGATTAGGAAAAATATCACTAATTGTATTTTCTAAATCCCATAGAAAAAAGCGTGTTGACAAAAAACACTGGGGAATCTAATAACTATTGTTAATTCATTTACAATAGGAAAAGGTATTTTGAAATTTTTTAAACTTAACTATTTTACATTTAAGGACATTATGATCACTAAAGTTATTTATTTCTAAGCACTGAATAAAAAAAGGACATATGAAAAGATTAGCCAAAATTTGGTATTAGGTTTTAGAACACTACAGCTCTAGCTCTAAAATATAAAACTAAAAATAGTTTCTGTATGTTTTAAAAATCCATTGCCATGAAAGTACATAGGATCACCTTTGTTCAATTCATGACAAGTATGAACCTTATTTTTAATGTCTCTTCATATGTATTTTTAAATCAATAAAATTTCCAAAGCAGTGTTTCCTTTTTTTTTTTTCTCCCAAGTTTGGCAGAGTTTTTATGAAAAATTCAGGGTCGCTTCTCATCCTTCCAATGTGGGGTTATTTTCCAGAAGAACTGCCAATAATTCAGTTATCTTCTTGGAAGAAGCAGAGTTGTTGGAGGCGCTGCAATTCTCCTGCTTTCTTATGAGTTACTCCTTAACTCAACAGGAATCGTCCTTCCCTGAGACTTACATAGCAGAGGTTGTATATTTGAGCCTCTTCTTGGGCTCTTTCATCCGTGTTCTTTCTTTCTGACATCCCTGTACTCTGGATGGTTTCTCTCTTTGCAGAGACATTCCCTGTCTACATGTTTATGAGTCTATATCATAGCTTAGGAATGGTGGAGGCAAATGATCATGGGGACATTTCTTGACCCTAGACAACCATACAACCTGTGACTAAAAATATCTCTGATAATAGAAACATGTAGTCTGGCCTGGCTCCAACTTGAGGGATGGGGCAAGGGCAAATTACTCCATATTATATTTTCCTTTTACTTTGATTAAAAGTGGTCTCTAAATACTCTGGAGGGGTAACAACTAACACCATGTCAAAACTTTTTCTTCTTTACTGGATTAACAGAAAAAAAATGCATGAAGAAACAAAAAGCTCTATGACTTCTGACAAAATAATTTTGAAAGGTGAGTGATAGCTATAGACCCCAATCAGTCGTCTATAGAAACACTATCTAAACAGAAAAAAAAATAACTATGGAATATTGAATTTGCCCTGACAGCATGTTGTAATCTTTATGAATAATCTTGGCAGCAGGTCTGGGTTATAGTCATGGAAACTCATCCTAACATACACATTCATGCATACTGTTTTAGTCACTGCAAACACATACATGTGTAGATAGTATATATGTGTGTGCATATTTTATATATACAGTACATGAATGCTAAGCTGATTCTCTTCAGAAACAAAGTAGTGAGTTTATTTAGGATATATAAACTATATATACAGAGTACACATATATGTTCTATGAAGACACGTGGCTCTGTGTCAAATGTTAAGTGGGGACTGTGTTTTCCTTGAGTCACTGTTAAGAACAATAAAATTGCTTTATCAAGCCGTCATCAAAGAAGCTGTCACCTTCATCTCTTTGTCACACAGACGACAAATTAGTACGGAATATTCTGTTTCTAGCTGCATCTCAGGAGTTTGCAAGCAAAACAGAGGGGTGGGGCCACACCAACATTTCCATTTCCAACTTTTATTTTTTAATTTGCATGTTGAAATGAGAGAATTATATGAACAGAAATTTATGTTCTTGGTAAAAGTCTGATTTATACCATTCCAGTGGCATTATATTTTATTTTCACCAATCACTTGGAATTCACTTGTAAAGCTGCACTGCATCCATCAAATGGCTTCTAGCAAAAAGGAGAATAAGGCCATGTTTTTCAATCAGATTCGTAGAAGAGGGTTCCTTTCAGGAAAAACTGAATCGCAAAGCATTTGCCAAGAATGTGAAATTTCTGGAGTATCTCGACTTCAAGTGTCTTCTTGGTGGTTTTTGTGTAGCGGAATAACTTGAAGTAAAGAATAAAAGATTTTTTTAAATAATGTATATTCAAGGGGAGCTGGGTGGAGAAACTGGACAGCTACAGTGGTGTTTGGAAAACAGTGCTAACGTACAGACTGTATCTGACTTCAGATAGTCCTGAAACCTTCATTAAACTATTTGTACTTGAAATAAAATTGAGTTCCTTCCACCTCATTAGTTCACCAGTATCTGCTAGCTGCCTCAAACTGTGCTGTATGCTAAAAATACAAGAACACAATCCCACAAACTCATATTCTAGTGGATGGGAAAGAAATTTATTAGAAGAAAGAATATGAGAGGGTTTCTGCAAAAGCACTGAATCCAGTGAGGCTTGAAGAGGATATCCAGAGAATGTTTTCTGCAAGGTGTAACAACACAGGTAAATGTCCAGAGATGAAATTTTGAGGGGAAGGGTGTTCTAAGCCTGCCCAAGAGAAAAGGTCTGGAAACCTCAAGTGGTTTACCAGCATTGGAATATGGGGTCCATCCTGAGGGAAAAGCAAGAGTTGATCCTATACAGTAGAAGAGGCTCCCATCTATTCCTTACGTACTCCGGTGGTTGGAATTTATCCTCAAAGCTGTGGACCTTCTGAAGGATTTTAAGTAAGGACTTGGCATGGTCAGATTTTTCTGCCTCCTGTGACTGAAGACAGGGTGCTATGGTGATAGGAGATAACAGTTTGTAAGATGGCTGTAGTTCTTTGTGTGGGGGACATATTTATCTTCATGTTCATTGTTCAGAGCAGAGTCACCAAAAAGGTGGAGATCCATACATGCCAGGAGCATCTGTGATCAGACAGGAAAAGACTGATGCTGCCCAGGAATTATACATGTATAGCTGATAGGAATTTATATTTATTCCAAACTCTTTCAACTTAGATTGCTGCTCAGCCTCGTTGACTATTTATCTTTGACTTTGTTTATACAACAAAGAGCAGTTCTGTTTCCCTTGAATCTTGTATGACTTAGGACAAACATTTCATCTCTTATTTTCATCTCCAAAAGTCAAAATGATTTTCCAGTAAAAGTAAACTTTTAATTTAAGCTTCATTTGTAGTGAAATTTATTATTTTGTTAACTGTACATAATGGCTCATCTTTATCAAATTTTTTCCTGTTTTGGGAAGTGAAGGAGGGACATATCTTACTTAAAATAGCTTCAGGCAAAGATATTTCCACTTTTGGCAATTGACCTGCCATTCCTCCATTAGGACACACCAATATTTCTTTACGTACTGCTGGCATTCTAGGCAAGCAGTGGTTGCTGATATAAATTAATTAATATTTAAAGGTTTTTCATGTATAATTACTTTTCTAAATCTATATAGTATGCTTCATTGTTTCTTAGAATGGAATCCTCAATAAAATGATCTGCCAAAATAAACCAATGTTCTTATAGATCATTAGAAAACTTAGTATCTTTTTAATTCTTTAAATTAATCCATGAGGTTGGATTAAAGAGCTGACTTTTCACAGTGTTCCTTTACTTAGAATAGCTTTACTTTGGTTATATTTATTGTTTTCCTAGAAATATATTTTCTTTATTTTTAAGAAAACTCCATAAGATTTTGCTAATCAAGTCAGAATCCTCTGAAGGAATATTTAAGAACATAATTGGGAAATGTAATTATGTTTAAAGGTAAAGATAGATCTTCCAAAATATCAGATATTCTCAGCAACCGTTTTTTTATTAGTTTAAAAACCATTCTCATGTACAGTAGAATAAAAATTTTGGTTGTATATTTGATTCATGCCCTAGGAACAATTTTTTCTAAGCCTTGTTTTTTTCCTTAGACTGTTTTGGACATCCATGCTACCTCCATCCTGTTCTAGGTCACTCTCTCCCTATTGCTTGTCTCTTGCCCTTTTCAACCAGTTTGTAATGTCACTGTCCAGGAAGAAAAAGTGGGTAGAATTTATAAAGCATTACAATACGAGGCCCCTTGCTGGGAACCTGGTGCATATTATTTCAGTCAATTCTCTCAATAGCCCTCCAAGGTAAATATTACGTCCTACTTTATTACAAAGAAACTGAAGCTTAGAAATGTTCAGTAATTTGCCCACGGTCATACAATTTACAGGCTCATCTGAATCCAAAGGCAATGCGTTCTCTCTGCTCTAGCAATCAATCTTCCAAAGCATGATTATTTATTTACACCGTAACATTTCCCTGATCAAGAAATCTTCATTAATTTATCACAACCTGTCGGAACATCCCTGCTTGATTTTGAGAAAAAATCTTTTCTAATCTGCTTCACTTAATAAATAGTTATTGAGTGTAGGTCAGGTACCAGACACTATTCAGGGTACTAAGGATGTGAAGAAGGGTAATGTGTTTTAGCCTACACAAGCAAGGTCATTTGCTATCAGTCCCTGGCCTCTTCACCTCTATTTTTGTCAAATCAATATCCTTGTTCTTTCTTCATGCCGTGATCTTTCCTACTCTCATCACTTATTCCCTCATATCCAGTAATGAGTTTTCTTTTGTGTTTTCAAATTATATTCTTCATTCAAGGCCTAATTTAAATTTCACTTTTTCATTGAGACTTCCCAGTCCTTGGTGCAATAGTTAGTGCTTCATGGTTTAAGTCTTAGTATCTTCTTGTTTTATATCTGTTCTTTTGATCTTGCCAGCAAGATTGTAAAATGTGTCGAACACAGGAACTGGAGGCACTCCCTTTTTTCATTTCTCACATAACACCAAGCCCACAGTAAGTTAATCATTCTGTCTACCCATTAGCAGTAGGGAGAGAAAGCAATAGGGACCTGCTGGAATCTGACTCAGCCTAGAATTCCGGGAACTTTCCCTCTGCTTTGCTGAGGAGAGATCCTTGTCCAATATCATGAATCATGGAACATCACCAAATCATTTCTTCCGTAATGTAAGAAAATAAAACTTGTAAAATTTTATAAATCATAAGAGTAGGCATTATGAATTGTGGGCCATGTTTCTAGCTGTAACATTTTCAGACATTGAATACACCAATTAACATTGTCTTCACCTATTGAATAAAAATAGTTGTATATAGGCTGGGTGCCGTGGCTCACACCTGTCATCCCAGCACCTTGGGAGGCCAAGGCCAAAGGATTGCTTGAGGCCAAGAGTTTGAGGCCAGCCATGGCAACTTAGTAAGACCCAGTCTCTACTAAAAACAAACAAAAAGTTATGTATAACTATTAAAGTTGATACATGCAAGGCAAGAATTAAAGTTCTTAATTTACTTTATTTAAAGAAAACACTCTTGACCTCACAATAATACTCTTTTGAATCAGGCAGCTTTCTCTGAGAAACTCACTAAGAAGATGGCTTCTGAGATTAATAAAGAACCTTACAATAAGATTCCGGTTCAATAAGCAATAAATGAGTGTTCACCATGGCAAAGCCACATGCAAGTCTTGTTGGGGGCAGCTGGGAGGTGATAAAGCTAAATAAGACAGGTTTTTCTGTCTTCTAGGAGTTATAGTTTCTAGGCTTCCTACTGACATTTGATATCTTGTTACGAGTTGCATATGGGTAAGAAGCGTTGTGGCACTTTGGGTAATTGTCTGGGGAGAGCAGTCTCCACATTTATTCCCATAAAGCAGAACTGAAATAGAGGAGTCGAGAGAAGTTTAGGAATATCAAAATTTTATGAAACAAGAAAAATAAAATTGTGAGACAGACAGCTTCAACATAGATATAATTTTTTTTTTCCTTTACTCTCTCCTTAGACATATTGAAATTCTGGTGCTTTTAAAAAGTGAAAGATTACTTCTAGATGTGATCTCTGGTTGGCAAAAGATCAAAGTTTTCAGATAGGTCAGGGAGTACGGTTTTCAGATTTTTTTATAAAGCTATCAACTGAAATCATAGTTCTTAGTACAGAGTCAAACATCATTCCAATATCCTGCTGGGGTTATCTTTCATAGAATAAGAGAGACAACAATCACATTACTAAGCATCAGGTTAGAGCTAGATCATTTTCACCTCCAGGAATTTCTATGTAGGATATGAGAAAACTGTCAAGATAAACCATTCTTCTTTTGGCAAGAGAGTTCCTGATGTACCTGTGAGGTTTCCCATGTCAGTCAATACTTTCCATTTTCACTTCACTTTCACTAAAGACGCTCAAGATGTCTATCCCTTGTTTCTTTGCACAGAACATTAAACACAGGAGATTTTCTTCTGGTTCTAGATAGTCAAGAGAAGTGAATTTAACTGATTCTAAAAGGGCCCAGAAATAAGCCTCTCTGTGAATGAGTGCTACCATTTTCACCAGGAAAGGAGATTACACCTTTTATTGTGGCTGCAAAGCAGATTGTGATGTTTGAGAAGTTTCAGCCATTTCAAAACATGTCTTTTCTTTTCCAGTGACCCTTCTGCACTCTCCTGTTAAGATTCTGAAATAAGGAAGTTAACAGGCTTAGAGATCCCACTGTTTCCTATTTCTGTTTCCAGTAATAGCTCTCAGGGCTACTTTGTCACCAAGATCCGTAGAATTGAATGCGATTGCAGCAAAAGGTACTATGAGTAGAAAATAAATTCCTTATGTCGAAAAGAGAAAAATGTGTGGGTGCTTTAGGAATAAGACTGTAGACAATCATGTGCTTTTCAACAGCATACTACAAAGGGGTGGCCAAACTGACAGATGATTAGATGATTGACATAATTTTTGGAAATAACAAAGCGGAATTTTCTGATTTATTATGGCTTTTATGCATTTTCTTTTTAAACTCTTGGTTATAACATTTACCAAAAATTTGTGTGTCCAACCTATTCTGATGTGTTTTGTCAGCAAAATTTCATGAAGTAATGTGAACTCATATAAAGTCTATTTACCTTGTAGTTTTCTCCCAGGAAATAAAAGTATGGCTTAAGTCATGGCCAGTGATTTTTACATTTAAAAAAAGGCACTCAGTTATTCATGGATCCTCAATCAAAATGGAAATGGGGACATCATTTGAAATTTGGATGCTTAGTGATCTAATGAATTTAGAGAAGACCTTTGGGAATTTAAACAATTACCTACTATAGTGTACCCTATATTTTAGTCCATAATACACACACACACACACACACACACACACTGTACTGTTTCACCTTTCTGCCATCACTGATCTTTTCAAAATTTGAGAAGAAAAATTCAGTGGCGTTGCATCCTAAATAATGGTTAAGTTAGAAACTGAGCTTGTAAATTAGTAATTACACATAGAAAAATTACCATTTAAAACCTCTTCAATTACCCATGAAGTAAAATAAAGTACATATTGTTTTTATAAATAACTTCATATATACACATGAATGTATACCATAAAGCACAGTATAATAATGAATGCATTCTTAAATTATGGTAAAATATATATAAAACATAAAATTTACCATTTTAACCATTTTCAGCATACAGTTTAGTGGCATTAAGTACATTTACATTGTTTTGAAACTATCATTTCCACTCATTTCAGAAATTTTTTCTCATCTTCCAAAACTAGCCCATTAAAAAATAACTCTCCACCACCTATCCCCCCATGCCCTCAATCCAACAGTCCCTGTCAACCATCATTTTTCTTTCTGTCTCTATGAAATGACCTCTCTAAGTACCTCACAGTAGTGGAATCATATAGTATTTGTCCTTTTGTGATTGGCTTATTTCACCTAGCACAATGTCTTCAAAATTTATTCATGTTTTGAATTCCCTTCCTTTTCAAGGCTGAATAATATCTGTTGTATGTATTTGTCAAATTTGTTTATTCATTTATTCACAGATGTACACTTGGGTTGCCTCCACCTTTTGGCTATTGTAAATCATGCTGCAATAAACTTGGTGTGTTAGTCCGTTTTCATGCTGCTGATAAAGACATACCCGGGACTGGGTAATTTATAAAAGAAAGAGGTTTAATTGACTCACAGTTCCACATGGCTGGGGAGGGCTCACAATCATGGTGGAAGTCGAAGAAGAACAAAGGCATGTCTTACGTGGCGGCTTGCAAAGAGAGAGCATGTGCAGGAGAACTCCCGTTTATAAAACCGTCAGATCTCAGGCTGGGCGTGGTGGCTTAGGCCTGTAATCCCAGCACTTTGGGAGGTGGAGGCGGAAGGATCACAAGGTCAGGAAATGGAGACCATCCTGGCTAACACGGTGAAACCCCGTCTCTACTTAAAAAAAAAAAAATACAAAAAATTAGCCGGGCTTGGTGGCAGGCGCCTGTAGTCCCAGCTACTCGGGAGGCTGAGGCAGGGTAACAGCGTGAACCCAGGAGGCAGAGCTTGCAGTGAGCTGTGATCACGTCACTGCATGCCAGCCTGGGCAACAGAGCAAGACTCCATCAAAAACGAAAACAAAACAAACAAATAAAAAAACAACCATCAGGTCTTGTGAGACTTATTCACTACCATGAGAGCAGTATGGGCAAAACCACCCCCATGATTCGATGATCTACCCCCAGGTCACTCCTACAACACACGGGAATTATGGGAACCACAATTTAAGATGAGATTTGGGTGGGGACACAACCAAACTACATCACTTGGGTATACAAATATCTGAATCCCTGTTTTTTTAAATTCTTTTGATTGTATGCTAGAGGTGGAATTGTTGGATCATATGGTAATTCTATTTCCAATTTTTTGAAAAACTGCCATTCAATTTTTCATAGCAGTTGCACCATTTTACATTGGGAGCAACAATACACAAAAGTTGTAGTTTCTCAACGTTCATGTCAACACTTGTTAATTTCTATTTGTTTGAGGTTTTTTATGGTTGCCATCTTAATGGGAGTGAAATGTTTCAATATGGCTTTGATTTGCATTTCCCTAATGATTGGTGACACTGGGCATTTTTTCTTGTTCTTATTTATTAGTATATCTTATGTAGAGACATGTATGTTCAAGTCCTTTGCCCATTTTTTAAAATTCAAATTGTTTTTGTGTGGCTAAAGTGTAGAAACAATGGATGCATTTTTAGTTTCATTATATACATTTGAATAAGTTGAATGTGTCATGTGATTTCACCATAATGTATTCTGGGTAAATTCTGGTTTGGGATGTAATGATTTATTATGAAACAGCCAATGTTTTGACAACATACTGGGTACTATCAATAGTAGAGAACATATGATGGGGAAGAAGATATCTAATTAGAAGAGGAGGTAGGGAGAAGGACTGGGTTGCTCATTCAAGTAAATTTTGTCAATCATTGTGTTAGTTTTAATGGGTAAGATGCAAATTTAGGAAGTGAGTGATTCATTTTTTCATTCTTAATGGTTGTATTACAAAAGGCATTGCATGCACTCACTTATGCATCAGCAGTGAGCACCCAAACATAATAGGTCAGTGTGGTGAGTGTGTTTCCAAGTTGTCAAGCAGGGCTGACTTCTTAGTTGCTAGGCTGTACAGAAACAGTCTCAAATTTTCTTCACAGAGCAGGTCACTGTGACCTGAAGTGCTTTGGCTCCACCTCTGAAATCCCTCCTCTAGTTATGAAAGTTCTGCCAAACTCTCTTGACAGTAAAACTACAACAGATTCGTCTACCACTTCTGCTGCAGCTACCGCTACTGCTCCTGCTACTGGTCCTGCTGAGATTTCCTAGTTGTTTCCTACTTGCCTTTGTCCAGCCCCAGCTTGTCCATTATCTGCCCACCCTGCCTATTGCTTCCTCACTTCAGCACCCCCTAGAGTTGTGCTTTCGGATCTTGGCAACATCCATCCTGAGCACGTGTCCAAAGTCATGGGACCTGTTGCAGCAGGCATGGTTGAGGGCTTGGCTGTGTTCCAGTAACTGGTTGTAAGGGCTCCTTCCTACGGTTTAAGATTAAATGAGGCTCAGGGATGATGCTGATGAAATTGTTTAGAAAACTGGATGTGATGTCTCTTAGCAGGTCTGGGTCCTACTATCATTACAAAGATTAGACTGACTCGACTTTCAAGTTTGGGCGGATGCACATTTGCAGGAATGCCCTAAGGACTTTCTACTCAAAATACATGCAGGGCAAATCCCGTTTCGAAAATTCCAAGAGTTTGTTTATTTTGCCAGCACTGCAAAGGTTCTTCCCTGATGCACAGACAGATTTTTTTTAACCACATTGATGTCATACAAGTTTTTTCATACTTCTATCATATTCTTGAAGTACTCTCTATCATGCACTCCTTTCTTTATTCAACACATAGTTCTTGAGTGCTTATCAGGTACCAAGCACTTCATTAGGGAATAGGAGGCAGAGCATCCTGGTGGATAAAATTGTGTTCTTTGGAGTCATGTACGCTTATCTTGCATCCCACCTCTGCTACTCACTGATTAAACCAAGCGCAAATGTCTTGGCTCCATTAATACTCACCTCAATTGTAAAATGGTGAAAGTGATAGTACCCTTTATGATGTAGAATAACATAATAAGAACTATGTAGTTGTATGTAAATTGTCTGGCACAGTGCCTGGCACAGGCTAAAAATTTAACGTATGTTTGAAGTTACAGTCTTGCTGATATTCTTGAATTGGGAAGTAGGATCTAAGATTTTCAGCCACAGGTAATGCATCAGCTAATATGAAGACAAGCCTGTAATCAATTATAAGATAATCTAGGTACTATAAAGAAGTTAGTGAGATAGAAGTCCTAAGGGGGAGCTAATTAATTCTGCCTGGGAGGTAGAGTATCAAAGTTTGTGCAGATAGCGCCTCTAAGGACATTTTTCTTATACTGAAACTTAACAAACAAAAAAGACTTAGATACATGGTTTAATGTTACAAAATTTTGTTGTATTTAATATGCTTCTTAAAATGTCCCAGCCTACATTATCCTTTGTCCCTTCCATTTAATTCCAAATTTTAACAGCCCTCTAATCCTTCAAGGCTCTGCTCAAATGTCTAATATTCTTTGATTCCTTCCCTAATGAGTGAATAAATTAAATGTTACTTGAAAGTATATTTGTATGGCAATGCCTGAAAATAATTTTCCTTATGCAGAAATTTATTTTGGCATGAGAAGTGTTGTAATAGAATATAACCTGTATTAACATGAGTGCCGTCAATCATTCTCAGAGATGAGTACGATAAACATTTCCATTTTTGATCCAATTAAAGCTAGCGGAGCTAGAAAAAACCATATGGGCTCTTTTCTTTTTTAAAATAGTGTAAATTTTCATGGAATAACTACCCAGCTGATTCAGAGACAATAATATGCCAGTAGAGTTTGGATATAATCTGCTGATATAACATAAAGGTCTTAGAACAATAAATAAGACCCATCATACAGGGAACTGATGGCATCAAGATAATTAGATCCATCAGTACACTTAGTAACAACTAAATGAAAGAAAACTACAACCTAGCAAGCTAGAGGCACACTGCTTGTCCCCTTTTGCTAAATAGCTCCAACTAGATGATAGTCAGTGATAATGAAAATAATCAGTAAAATTTACTGCATAAATAACCAAGGCAAATTATACCTATAATAATTCCAGAATTACAAAACCCAAGAGGCAGTACACAACATACAGCCAAATTTCTATCTTCCACAAAGTGTTGCCCAAATCCTAGTACTGAGAATCTAAATATTGGTGAGAGCAGAGACAAGGCCATCATTCAGATATAAAATGATAAATATATACCAAAATGGTTCTAGCAAAATGTTAGAGAGAAACTAACATTGGAGAATCTGCAGTATCTAATGTCCAACAGCAAATAGGAAGATGTGAAAGTTTGATGGAGAATGAGTTGTGCATGTTAAAGTAGCCCTGAAAATGCAAATTTTCATTTTTGCATTGAAAATTAGTAATAAGTGGATTGAAATAGGTTGAATTTTAAAGAAACCACAAACAGATTATCTACTATGTACATTTGATTAATTGACACATCTTGTTTATTTTTTGCCAGCCATACAGTATTTAAAATATTTGTTTTCTTCAGAGACAGGGTCTTGCCCTGTCACCTTGGGAGTGGTGAGAATATAATTCATTGCAGCCTCAAACTCCGGAGCTCAAGCGATTCTCCTGTCTCAGCCTCCTGAATAGCTGGAATTACAAGCATCTGCCACCATGCCCAGCTAATTTTTGTATTTTCAGTAAAGATGGGGTTTTGCCATGTTGGAGAAACAGGTTGGCCAGGCTGGTCTCGAACTCCTGACCTCAGGTGATCCATCTGCCTCAGCCTCCCAAAGTGCTGAGATTACAGGCGTGAGCCACCGTGCCTGGCCAATAACTCTTTATTAAATAAATCAAACAACACTGGGCCTATATTTCTGCATATAGTAATTAACACATGCTCAAGAGAAGCTGTCTTCATTGGATAAGTCCCACAGTTTCCAACAAATCATTAATCCCCCAATCTTCCCATCTTAGCCCTTTCTTCCTCAGTACACAGTTTTAAAACATGAACTTCATCCTAACCACACAGAAATACTATCAGAATAAATGGATATGCAAAATATTTTTTTAAATTATAATTTGCAAGACCTTGTGTAAATGCTTTTAGAGACATCAATATCTATTTTACAGAAAAAGAAATCTGAGGTTCTGAGGGTAGAGTTTGTTGCCTAAACAAGGAGACTGAATTTAAATCCTGATTTACCTAAACTAAAACTGTGCGTTAGCCCTATGAGACCTTGAACCTAGTAAGACACAACATGAACATCATCATGACAAAAGATACATCAAAACTCATTTATAAAACCAAGACTTTAGTCATCCTAAATCTAAGGAAAACAAAGATACCTGCACTAGGAAAGAAAAAAAAGTATTTCAATAGATTACTCAAATATCCCTTATTACAATAAGAAATGATGTTTGAGCTGAAGGATAAAACAAAGAACCTGAACTTGGTCTTTGGGGAATATGTAGTCAGTAGAACAACTGCAGATTCTTTGAGTAAATAGTAAATCCTCTGACCAGTCCCAGTTCCATGCAGTGCAATTGCAGAGACCTGGCAGAATCAGTGGTTCTGAACCCCTCCATGGGAAGAGATGACAGCCGTGTGATTTGACTGCCAGTCCTGATCTTACAGGTGCTCTTGCCAGATAAATAAACAGAGAATATGGCATATTTTGCAACTCTATTTACTCTTCATGAGTTATGTGATTTCAGACACATCTCACTTTTTATTTCTTTTTGACATAAGCTCAGCTATGGGAAGATTGCATTTCCCTCCGCATCTCATCAGTGGTGAAGACAAACGGGGCAATAACACTCCCTACAGTCTTCAACTATAAATCCACAGAGTACATCCCCCTCACTCCACAAACCCCTAATAGTACTTTCATCTTCTGTTCATACTTGCTTTTCAAAACCCAACCCCAGATAACATAGCTCTAATCGTCCAAAGGGAAATGTTGAGCTATCACTGCTTTCAATCAAGAATGGCCTTGGAGAGTATAGACCCAAAAAATAAAATAAGACCATGTACCCCAACATCATTTTTCTGTATTTATGCCATCTTTATAAAGCGTATGTTCATTGCAGCACTATTCACAATAGCAAAGACATGGAATCCACCTAAATACCCATCAATGGTAGACTGAATAAAGAAAATGTGGCACATATACACCATGGCATACTTATTTTTTATTTTTTTTTTTTTTGAGACAAGGCCTTGCTTTGTCACCCAGGCTGGAGTGCAGTGGCACAATCTCTGCTCACTGCAACCTCTGCCTCCTGGGTTCAAGCAATTCTCCTGCCTTAGCTTCCTGAGTAGTTGGGATCACAGCTATGTGCCACCACGCCCTGCTAATTTTTGTATTTTTAGTAGAGACAGGGTTTCGCCATGTTGGCCAGGCTGGTCTCAAACTTCTGACCTCAGGTGATCCACCCGCCTCAGCCTCCCGAAGTGCTGGGATTACAGGCATGAGCCACCACGTCCAGCCTACACCATGGCATACTATGCAGTCATAAAAAAGAACAAGATCATGTCCTTTGCAGGAACATGGATGGAGCTGGAGTTCATTATCCCTAGCAAACTAACACAAGAACAGAAAACCAAATACCGCATGTTCTCACTTATAAGTGGGAGCTAAATGGTGAGAATGCATGGACACATAGAGGAGAACAACACACATTGGGGCCTACCAGAGGATGGAAGGCGGGAGGAGAGAGAAGATTAGGAAAATTAACTAATAGGTAATAGGTTTAATACCTGGGTAACAAAATTATACAATAAACCCCTGTGACAGGAGTTTACCTATGTAACAAACCTGCGCATGTACCCCTGAACTTAAAATAAAAGTTAATAATAATAAATAATAAAAGAAATAAAGGTGGACTCAACTGCATTCAAATATATTAAGTTGACATTCCAGGAAGTTGGCCATCCCTCAGGCTCCCCAGTTCCCTTCCTCTCCATTTTCTTCCTCAACATGCACCGAGGTAAGAGCTGGTTTCCTTCTGTTGCCTGAATTCTAGATCTCAAAATCCCATCTGCGTCCTATTCCCCTCTTATATGATAGAAATATTCACATGTCTGTATCTCCCCTTACATGCATAATGTCTATGTGGAAGGAAAAAAAGAACTAGCCTCATTGACTACCTCTAGTCCTGTTTTTTATTGGTTGGTTAATTGGTTGGAAGAAGCATTATGGTTTTTTTTCATTCTGTTTCTGATTATTATTTTTTTCAAATGTCTCTTAAATACCATGATGGGGTATGTTGGCAGCTTAGAGAGTTATACGAGTCTGGTGAGATACACAAAATTTGGAGGTGGCCCCTTTGTTATTAGGCAGGTCCTGGCAGGAAACGCCCCAGGTCTCGGCCAGAGGAAGCCTGGCAGGACAGAACCTGCAAGCCCTGACGGCACAGCTAGAAATGATGTGCACAGTATGATGCTTTGTGCGAACAAGTGGCACACTCTGATGCTATAAGGACACCAAGACACTTTAAAATGGAATTTGGGAACATTTGTACTTCTTTTTGTGACCACTCAAATTTATAAATAACCCATAAAATCCCAAGTAGCTTGATTTTACCATGAAAAATTAAAAGGCAGGAAAGGTGGTAATTTTCTATGATCTCTTAATCAGAAAGATCAACTACTTGGTTGGGTCAAACAAAAGCTTGCCAAATTTAGGTCAAATGCAAAATGTCTTAATCTTCTGAGAACATTAAACTATGATACAAATGATCCAGAGGCTAAATGAGAGAAAATTAGAAGTTGGTATCCATAGCATTAATATAAGACATATTTAAAGATGTTCTTTACTATTGATGGTATAGAAGCTTCATTAGCTCATTAATTGATAAAGGAGATGATTGATTTTGATATGCACCTTTTTCTCACAATACATTTTTTAAAAGATGGCTTTTCCAACAGAAATATTTTTATATGCAGTCTAAGTAGGTCTCCTCCTGAAAATTTTCCTACATTCTGAAGTCTCTATGCCCTTACTGTGGTTTGAAGATGGCTGCCGAGCTCAGAATTTGTTTTTCGCCCCTCTCTCAGCTGTCCTGCATACTGAGATCATGAGGTGCACTCATTGGGAAGGAAAAGTAAATACTGGGTTGCACTAACTGAGGTCATAGTTTCTCCATGTCTAGACACTACTAGTAACCGGTGCCTTCTGTACCTGCTGTGCTTTCCATGGATTCATAAATGTGTGAACTGCTTTGTATTAGATTGCATAAAATGTACTGCACTTTCAGACAGGTTTTTACACTGTATTTTAGATCTTTCTGATAAGTCTCTGCTCAAAGTATTTTTTTCTCCACCTAGAACAAATGACTCTATGTAATGAATTGGTAGACAATACGATGGCTATTTTCCATATTTTCAAACTCAACAGGCAAACGTGTTTAATTTTTTGTAAGCCCGCTATACTTTTACTCCTGTGGTGGTGTATCTTTCTTCAACCACTACAAGTTTAAATAAAAGAGAGAGAAGAAAATGAAGTATCAACTAAAAATAACATGAGAAAGCAATTGCTTTTTATAGAACAAAATCAATAGAAATTATTTTTTCTTTTTACGCTTTTTCTTTCTGCTTGTATAGCTATTTGCTTTGGTTGTTTTATTGCCTTACTATGTCACAATATATAAGAAAAGTGAAGTATGACAAAAGGCACACTCAAACACATATGTTTTTAAAGATAGTCCAGGGAAATAAGTCTTTATGAATAGGCCTGAATAATGCTATAAGTTGCATGACTTTCAAATTCTTATATAGTTACCTTCTGAAATTCACCAAATAATTATAAATGCAGATCTATATATGCACTTCTGCAAACAACAAATAATATATTACTTGTTATGCCAATGCCCAAATAACATTTGGCTGTGTGTGTGTGTCTCTGTGTGTGTGTGTGTGTGTGTGTGTTACATACAAATGTATGTTCTAATAAATACCAATAAATATCTTGTGAGGCTTTGTAAATATTTCAGGATATAATGAATTTTTTTCACCTTCTATTCTGAGCATAGAATATTTAATAATTTCTGAGTTTTCCGTGGATTCACATTATATTATTTAGAGAAACACATCATAATGTATTGTTTGGATATGACTTCTAGTGATGTTTCAGCAATTTGCATTTTTTAATTGAAGGTAAGATACTAGAAGCCTATAACAAAACCTGAAAATAAGAACTCTCTTTACAGTTGTTGTCAAAATGTTTTAAGTTGCATTGATTTGTCTGAAGCTAGTTGCTCTCTGTAGAAATATCTTACCAATGATTCTGCTTTGTCAGTTTCACTTTGGTGAAAGAGAAAAGCTGCCTTCATGACTCCAGCATAATAATAATAGTAGTAGTAAAAATAATAGTCATAGCAAACTTTAATATTATTTTATTAATCAGTCATTAATTCAGGAGATTACTCCCCCTGCCTAAGTTTCAGGAGGGCCACACTCTAACAGTAAAAGTGCTGCAATCTGGCTTTCTTGATTTATACAGTGATTTTTGCTTCCTTGAGAGAGTGGGGAGATGTTGAGAATCCATATGTTGTTTCATTCACTCCTTTCAAATGCTTTTCCTTCTTGGTAGAAGTCTATTCCCACTTTCTCTGCTTGGCCTTTCAGTTTGTCCCCTTATAAAGGCTTCGCATATCCAATTTCTGTTAAATAATCTCAGGGTTTCCTGTAATATTTTACACTTATCTCTGTTGTAATACTGGTCATGTTTCATTATACTGAGTTATTTCTTTGTCTCTTTCCTTTTCTGTGAGTTTCGTAAAAGCAGAGACCTCCAGAGCCTTGTCCAAATAGTCAATAAATATGAATTAATTCATCATTTAATATTTATCTAATAAATGTTTGTTAAACTTGTTTGTATTTTGAAAGACAATTAACTTAGCTCTGTAAGTGTTACAAAAAAAGATTAAAGTTAGAATAAAAGGTTGAATTTTAAACATGATACTGGAATGAAAATACCAGTGTAACAATTGGGGAAAAATTGTATTTGTCTCAGCAATTGAATTTGTTCCTAAGAAATGACCAGTTTTTATTGAGCTAATACTTAGGTTAGCTGCATAAGGTAAGATAATGAAACCTCAAAGAGCAAGCTTGAGCAATAGGAGACAGTCACTTGTTGAGTTTTAAGTCACTAAGCTCAGTTGAATATAGAGCTTTTTTGTCCCAATTCAGATTAGGCATGCATACTTAGAGCAAGCACTGAGTTGTTTCAGGAAATAGGATTTCAGAGACTGTAAAGGAAAAAAAAAACATGGAAAGACAAGACAATAGGAAAATAAAAGAAGGTTTTGACATAAATAAGGGGAATTTGAGGAGAACAGGGATGCTTACTGAAAATTCAGTAGTTATTAAGCATTCAGTATTTATTATTGCCATGCAGTGTATCTTGTAATACCTTTTCTTTTCTTCCCCATGAAATCTTTCGCAAAATCTATATGACTCATGAGTATATCTTGGAGAATGCTATGAAATCATAAATAAAGTTTCAAGATTGGTATCAGATAAGACCACATCATATCTGGGTTTATACTGGTCAAATTAAGAAGCATGTTTAGGGTTAATGTGAAAGTACAGTAATGCTTTAAATGCTAATAAATAGGAAAAATAACAAAAAATGACATTAGCCGGTTTAATTGTAATAAATTTAAATGTTTATACCACAGAAAAAAACATATAAAATAAAATAACCACGAAGAGCATATCTGTAGAAAGGGTTAATTCATGTGTAAGAGCTCATAAAAATTCATAAGAAAACATCAAGACACTAATATGGTAAAAAGATGAAGAGACAGTTGATAATTAGTAAACAAACATATGGGAACATGCTCACACTCACTGGTTATTAAAAGAAGGTAAAATTTTTAAATGTTACCCTTGTATATTATTAAATTAGTAAAGTTTTAAAGTAATGTTATAACCCCATGTGAAAGTAGTTTTTGCAAAGTAGTATAAATTTATCCTTTGCTATTGGTGGTTTAAATTGAATAAGTCTTTCAGGGAAAAAAAATGTTACCTTATGTTTTAAAAGCCATAACTATGTCCACACCCTTTAAACTAGTATTTCTGGAATTTATGCCAAGGAAATAATCCAAAAGGCAGAAAATATCATATTGATGAAGTTCATCAATAGAGTTTTTAAAACTAGATCTTTTGTTTTTCTTCTATGAGAAAATAGTCAAGATCATAATTTCTTTTTATTGTGCGTAGTTTTGCTCGAAAATAGAGTGAACAAATACTATACCATTGAAATGTAGTTTGTAACACTGCTTTGATTTGAGTTATCATGATGCTGAAAAATAAACTAATTGCTATTCCTTGAACTTAATTTATATATAGTATTAAATTTTAAACTGAAATGAGATTGGATTTTTGGTATAATATTGGCACTTATTTTGGACCTCCAAATAAGACAAAAGATAGAAGAGACTTATATTTTAATAATCTCTTTTTTATTATCAAAAGATAACATGTATTCATTGCAGTAAATTGAGAAAATAGCAAAGTGCATGAAGAAAAAAGTAAAATCCTGTTTCTCATCGCCCAAAGATAACACTGTTAATATTTGACCTGTATTTATATAGTTTTCATAAACAAAAATGGAATACTAATGTGCATACTGTTTTGTAAACCTCTTTTGTCTTTATATAGCATGATACAGTTTTGCATTTCATTAAATATTTTAATCTCATAACTTGTAATCCTGTGTTGTATTTAAATCTGCCTTATTTAAGTCAATATAGAGTGTTAAATCATATCTGTTTCTCTAAAAAGAATGCCAAAAAAGAAAAGTCATACATATACCTCATAAAGAAAGAGAAATAATAATACCAAAATATGTTTTGAGAAATAATATTTCTTTCCACTGAATTCCCTATCTGTCTGCTTTATGGAGCAAATGTCAAATATTTTTGTTTTATTTTTATTTTTACTGTAGCTCAAAAGTCAATATTCTGCCATCAAATGTGGGCTTACATGTGAAGAATAAGAAAGGAACTTAACTAGGAAGCACTGAGCTTAGGGAATTGAATTTGCATCTAATTCACTAAGCATACATGTTTACATGACCTTTAGAAAAAAGAATTAAACCAGTTTTTCACTAGCTCTGGGCAATCCATGTTAAAGAGGTGATTGAATCAAGAATCTAAAATACTCTTTACAAGATAGCCAGGCTAACAGAAAACTACATTAATGCAAATATATTTCACTATTAAATTCATAGTGATGTTAGCTGGCATGTTGACCCTAGTAAGAAACTAGTGGTGTGAGTTTTAATTCTAGTTGAGTTGTTACATGATCCATAGACTATTTTACTAAGCACCAAAACAATTCTGCCTTTCCTTGAAAATTCAAATGCAATATTTTAAAATTTTATTTCAGGGCACGCAGAATTTCTCTTGGCAAAATTCTGAATCAATTCCAGATCTATGATTAATGATAATATCTAGCATAAAATCAATGCAATGTCAGGAAGCAAGACCTAGTGGCTAGCTCCATTATTAAATGTCAGCTACAAAAAGCAAGTAACTTAAGCTTTCTAGGACATACTTACTTTTATGGCCGGTAAATAAAAATATGGCATTATGTAATCTCTGTGATCCCATGTAGCTTTAATGTCTTGGAATACTAGTCCCTATCACTCATTTTTTTCTGAAAAAAATACCAAAATATTACCATTATATTGCAAAGGACCTGCTGTCCATTGTGGCCGCAAGAATGGAATCTATTTTGTTCTCAGGCTTCTATATTAACCCCAAGGAAGATATCACTAAATATTTAGTGAATGAAATGAATAAATGCATTAGTAAATTGCTATCTATCTATCTATCTATCTATCTATCTATCTATCTATCTGGCAAGGAGAGGATTGAATTATTGTGTCAACACAGTGTCATCTATTGCTGAACTTGCACAAAGCATGGCTACATTGAGCTGGCCTACAGTTCCATCTTCATTACTATATATTTAACTACAAGCTTGTATATACAAAAGATCCTAACTTTAACTTTAAAGAAAAGGCAGCAAGAAAAGGCATCATTGAAGACCAAGCAGATTAGAAGGGAGCAAAATACACCAGTTGTTAAAAAGTATTCAAGGATTTGTCTCTTTAAAAGTCCTGCCTTAATTTCCTTAGCTGTGTAACTAAGCATTTCATTTCCTTAAAAATAGTAGGAAGAGCTAGGAAATGTAATTGGCGGGAAGGGAAGAATCATCAATTTGGAAAAAAATCAGAGGAAAAAAAGCAATTAACAAGCTCCAAGGATTTCAGAAAAATGATTAAAAGAATTTTACGTAGCCTAACTGAGCAGAGACTGAGGAGCATAACGGTACCCATCAAGCAGTATCTGAGGATTTAACGATGTTTTTGTTACATAAAGGTTCAATTCAGTGCATTTAAGTAAGAGTTAGTGCTAGCCAAAGCTTAGCAAAAAGAGTGGAATACCTTATGGAAAACAAATTAAATATAAATAATAATTTCATGGATTAAGGGTTAATTTATATGCTTATGGAAAAAGTAGACTGAGAAAGAATAGACTCTTTTTTGGACCAAAGGAAATACTTAAATGAATGATGAGGAAATTGAATAGAATTTTCTTTCAGTTAATGTTTCTTTGGAAGCAAGCAAAAGAAACCAACTCTGACTAGATTTTTAACAACTATTTCAAAAACTATTTATTTACTACCAAATACATGCAAGAATAACTCCAAGCTTTGGGACTACAAAAGTAAATAAAACTGAGTCTTGCCCTCACAGAGATTACACTCTAAGAGGGAGAGGGGAAGAGAGAGAGACAATTAACCATAGTTTCACCATATGTCAGAAGATGACCAGTGGGTGAAGTTAAGCAGGATAGGAAAGAGAGTGGCTGAAGTAGAGATTATTTTATGTAGATGTTCAGGAAAATTATTATTATTATTATTACTATTATTATTATTTGAGATGAAGTTTCACTCTTGTTGCCCAGGCTGGAGTGCACTGGTGCTATTTCAGCTCACTGCAACCTCTGCCTCCCAGGTTCAAACGATTATCCTGCCTCAGCCTCCTAAGTAGCTGGGATTACAGGCATGTGCCACCACACCCAGCTAATTTTTTTGTATTTTTTAGTAGAGACGGGGTTTCTCCATGTTGGTCAGGCTGGTCTCGAACTCCCAATCTCAGGTGATCCGCCCACCTTGGCATCCCAAAGTGCTGGGATTACAGGCGTGAGCCACTGCTCCCGGCCAAGGAAAATTATTTTTAATAAAATGACATTTCAAAATTTTTGATAAGATGACATTTGAGCAGAGAGCTGAATGAAATGAGAAAGCAAAATATATGGATCTCTGTGGGAAGAGCATCCCAAGAAGAGAAAAAAGCAAGTGCAAAGATCTTGAGGTAGGAGTATTTTGGACATATTCAAGGATGAACAAGATCAGTATGGAGGATGTAGAATGTGCCAGGGAGATCAAAGTAGAAGAGAAGTTCAGAAAGATAGCAGAGGGCAGATCATATCTGGCATGTAGGTCAAGATAAGAATTATGGATTTTCCTCTGGGTGAAGTGAAAAGCTACTGAATACTTTAAACAGAAAAGTAACATTTATAACATGTTTGAAGAGAATCTTTTTAATTGCTGTAGAGAGATGAAATTGTATAATGGCAAGGGCCAAAGGAAGGAAATGAGTTAGATTACTGAGTAGCTCACCTGGGAGATGGTGGTAACTTAAAGTACAGTGGTAAGAATGGGGTTAAGAGAAGTGGTTGAAATATGCATAATGTTTGAAAGGGAATGCCAAAATGATTTGTTAATAGATTTGGATGTGGATGTGGAGGCAAAAGGGAAGATAAATGTAACACCTATGATCACTGCTAAAATTTAAGTACTGGAAAGGAAAAGATATTCACCTATCTTGTTCACTGAAGTGTTCTAAGCACCTAGAACAGTGCCTGAAACAGCAAGTACTCAATACATATGTGTCAGATGTATAATTCCTGGTCTGAGATATTTGGAAAAATGAATTTGTCACTTACTGAAATGGAGAACGCTGTGGTAGGAGCAGGGTGCAGATGAGAATCAGGGCTTCAGTTTTGCATATATTAAGTAGTGATATTAATTAAACATCCAAATAAAAATATAGAATAGGCAGTTGAATATGCAAGTCAGGACTCAAGGGGTTGGGCAGGACTGGAGAAATTAATTTGAATGTTTGGATATTTGAATCCATAGAAATGGATGAGATGACCTGGTGGTAACTGATTGTAAATGGAGGAGAAAATATACCTATGAATTGAGTACTAAGATATTCCAACATTTAGAGTTTGAAGAGATAAAAATGATCCAGCAAATGGTCCAAGAAACAAGGACCATGAACTAGAGAACCATGAAATGAGAAAATGATAGAAGCCAAGTGAAAAAAATGTTTCAAAAAGGAAGAATCAATTAGCACTGTGGATTGTTGCAGTTAGATAAATTCAGATGAGGACTGAGAACCACTGGGTTTATCATTATGACCCTGAGAAGAATTACTTGGGTTGGGACAAAAGTTGGAGTAGATTCAATAAAACATGAAAAAAAAAAAAAGCATGGGAAGTGAAAGTGAGCTTAGACAACACTTTCAAGTAGTTTTACTTCTAAAAGGGACTAGACAAATAGAGAGAGATGAAGAGTTAAGGGAGGGTTTTACAAGATGGGAAATATTATACCATGTTTATATGTATGTTGGTAACCTAGCAGAGAAGGAAAAAACAAGACATTACATGTAGGAAAATTGCAGGAACAAAATCTTTCAGAAGTCCCAAATTGATGAAATTCAAGGAATAAAGGGTGGGATTGGCTTTAGACAGGAGCACAGAGAGTTGAAAAGGGAGGCATAATTTATAGATATGAATGCAGATATATTTGGATTTTTTCCTTAGAGAATCATGTGGATGTTTGGAATAATTCTTTATGAAATAAGAATTCATCAGCTTATACATTAGCCAATAAAGAAAAGTCCCTCAGCTAATAATGAAAAGTAGAAAGAAGTTATTGTGAGCTGGAAGAAAGAGAAGGAGTGAAATAGCCTTCTGTATGAATAGAAGAGTGATTGGCTTAGAAAAATGTGTGATAGGATTTCAGGTAACACTGGGAAACACTTAATATGATGAGGCTCAAGAAGTCTACAATCTATGGTCATAAATTGAAAGTGAGAATTATCAGTGTAATTGTTTTTCCCAGCCATGTTCTGAAGCTTGGGTGCAAGAACCAGGTAGGAGGATGGTTAGATTTAATCAGGACTGGGAGATTTTCCTAGAAATGTTGACAGAGGGAGAAAAGCTCAAGAAGTTGAAAGTACGACAGAAGAGCCATTATAGTATTGAACCAGAAGAACTCCAGTTTACAAGAAAAAAACAAACAACCCCATCAACAAGTGGGCGAAGG
The DNA here is from genome assembly GCF_000001405.40 of Homo sapiens. Classification (NCBI taxonomy): domain Eukaryota; kingdom Metazoa; phylum Chordata; class Mammalia; order Primates; family Hominidae; genus Homo; species Homo sapiens. Next base: position 115,853,309 of record NC_000008.11, on the reverse strand, counting down.
ATATGAACAGACACTTCTCAAAAGAAGACATTTATGCAGCCAACAGATACGTGAAAAAATGCTCATCATCACTGGCCATCAGAGAAATGCAAATCAAAACCACAATGAGATACATCTCACACCAGTTAGAATAGCGATCATTAAAAAGTCAGGAAACAACAGGTGCTGGAGAGGATGTGGAGAAACAGGAACACTTTTACAATGTTGGTGGTACTGTAAACTAGTTCAACCATTGTGGAAGTCAGTGTGGCGATTCCTCAGGGATCTAGAACTGGAAATACCATTTGACCCAGCAATCCCATTACTGGGTATATACCCAAAGGATTATAAAACATGGTGCTATAAAGACACATGCACACGTATGTTTATTGCGGCACTATTCACAATAGCAAAGACTTGGAACCAACCCAAATATCCAACAATGATAGACTGGATCAAGAAAATGTGACACATATACACCATGGAATACTATGCAGCCATAAAAAATGATGAGTTCATGTCCTTTGTAGGGACATGGATGAAACTGGAAACCATCATTTTCAGTAAACTATGGCAAGGACAAAAAACCAAACACCGCATGTTCTCACTCATAGGTGGGAACTGAACAATGAGAACACATGGACACAGGAAGGGGAACATCACACACTGGAGCCTGTTGTGGGGTGGGGAAGGGGGGAGGTATAGCATTAGGAGATATACCTAATGTTAAATGATGAGTTAATGGGTGCAGCACACCAACATGGCACATGTATACATATGTAACAAACCTGCACGTTGCACACATGTACCCTAGAACTTAAAGTATAATAAAAAAAAAAAAAAAAGAAGAAGGAATGTGAGGTCATGGGAGAGGAATGAAAGACAATGAAAAAGTCACAGAATCAATGGATCAGAAAGTTCCCACGGAGTTGTTGGAATTAAAGTACAAGTGGGGTGCACTAAATTTAAAAAGGATGGTAGTCAGAGAATGGAATGCTTAGACTTAAAATGACAGGGTTCAGCAGGTGTAATCACCATGTAAATGGGCAGTTGACCTGAGATGGAAAAGAAGAACATTACATAATCTAAAAGGTCTGGTGGTAAAATGATACCCAGATTGATACTGAAATCACAATAACTGTAACAGGAGTAAAAGTGCACAGAGATTAAGATAGTAAAATATTCAAGTAATGAGGAAAATAAAAAGAGATTTAATGAAAGAACACGCTGTAGCTCATCCATTAAAGGAAGAGTTAAATAGCCAAGACTTGAGAAGGGAAGGATCTGAGCAACAGGAATCTGAGGACCTTCTTTCTAAGATTTTGCCATCAACTGTCTCAGCTGCTTCCACCTTTCACTTCTGTTTATCCCTGCTAAACAAGAAAATACTAGGGAGAGCCTCTGCTTGATCAGCTTGGTTAAGGAATCAGTATCTTAGGTCAAAAACAATGTACTAGGCCCTCTCCTTGGAAAACAAATGTGGGGATCTGATGCCAAAAGAAGTTTAAGAATTAATGTTGGGGTGACATACAGAATAGACATTGCAGAGGATACCACCCAGTATGAGACAAACTAGAGATGGCAAAATGCCCCAGTTGAGGCAAAATAATTCTTAAGTGCCAAAAGAAGGTTCAGCAGTTGCTGGGAACTTTGAGAGCTTCTGGAATAAAATCAAAGACAAGCATCTGATTATACTGTCAACTGCAACCTTGCCAAAGAAGACTGGTACTATTACTTTTGGAATATTTTAAAGGTTTCTTATCCATGTTATTTTTGAGACTATTGAATTCATTTGTCTGCACCATTTACCTATAGAAGAAAATTCTTAAAACCAAACCAACCAACCAAACAAAATGACACTTTTAACTTTGAAAAACAAACAAATAAAAACCACGCATTTATTGTTCTCCCTTTATGTTCCTGGTACTAAGTAGGAAATGAAGGGGGAAGCCAGGTAGCTGTCATCTCACCCTTCAAGTAACTTTTGAGGAGAACACAAAGGGCAACAATTGGTTCTGTCAGATATATATATATACACACACACACACATACACATATACACATATATATACACATATATATACACACACATATATATACACATACATATATATATATATATACCCACATATATATATAAAAGCACAGGTGTTTATGGAATAAAAAGTTAAAAAAATTTTTATTCACATCTCCAGATCTTTAACATCTCACTCTTTTCATCACTTCCATTCTGCCAAATCCTTTATGCCTATTATTTTATACAATTTTAAAATGTTAGCCATTCAAGCATATCGCTCTCCTCCCCTGAATCAGGCCTATCTCACCTCAAGATTATAAAAAATCCTTTAATGTATTCTTCCAAGCTTTCAGTTTTGTTTCATTATTATTATTTATTTGGTTATTTAATTTATTGTTGTATATGCTATACAGTAAGTTAAGCTAAGTCTATTTAACTTTCTGTTTCTAAAAAAAATCAAATTGTCCCAACAAAAGTTCCATCTTTTCTCCACTAACTTAAAATAGTGTCTTTAGCATATGTTGGACAGCTGCTCTTATATCTGACCAACATCACATCCAGCTACCTTCTACCAAATATAGTTCCATCTTCTTTGAAAGAGAATTATCAATCCTTTCTTCCATGCATTTCTCACAGGGCTGTCAATAATATAATCTGATCCACTGGGGAAAGAGGAATGATCAAATCACCCAAGGAAGGTCGGTCTAATTATGTCTGTCTGAAATTTGAATCATAAGAGCTGATACACCATGACAAAAGACAGCTAGAACTGAATCTCTCATTGGCAGCATCTCAAGATAACCCAGGAGCTGTTTTTGTTTCTTTTTTTAAATAGTGAAAACCCCAGAACTTCTCTGGCCTTTATTGGGACCTATTTGTTTAGAACAGCCTCCATTTTGTGAGCTACTCAGAAAATTTCTGAATTAATCAGTGTTCATTGCTGTTGCTTGCAACTAGGAACTCTAACTTATACACTCATATGTTAATCCCTACCTACATGAGTCATATTTTGTATTCTTCAGTCTATTCCTTACATTCATTCATCTACTCCAAAATGGGTTTTATGAAACTTGCATTACTATAATAACAGTGAGTTTTCATATCAGAAAAGCAAATTCCCCTTTCCTTCTTTTTTAATCTTCCAAAAGTTCTGCATAATCTTCTAGATAAACTTAAAGTTCTTAAAAAATCCTATTGAGAATTTCATAGAATTTCAAATAATTTATAATTTTGGAAGAACCTATATATTTACACAATTAAGTCTCATCATTTGTAAATATGGATTGTTTGCCTTTTGATATATTTAGATCTTTTTTCATGTTCTTTATTAAAGTTTCCTTTTTTTCAGTTTGGACTTCCATGTTCCTTCTTAAGTTTAGTCCCTAATATTTTGGAATTCTTGCTGCTATTGTAAATGGGATATTCTTCACAACTTGGCACACAATCAGCATTGTTTTGAAAAGGGGAGAGAAGTTGGCTGAGTCTCTGGAGACTCTTGGAATGAAGAGAAAGTAAGCATGGAGAGGAGTGCTGTCTTGGACATGAGAAAGAGACCTAAAGCTGAATGGAAGAAGGACCTCTTGAAGTTCCTTGCCAGCATTTATTGTATTGCATAGTTTGTATTCTCTTCTTGTTGCCCATAAAATGAGTTATTAGGACCAAATTCCAAACTTCTAGATACATATATTGTCATATATTAAATGCCAAAATCTATAATAAAAATTTAGTGAAGACAGATTGTGCTGTAATTCTGAATGTATTGCAATCCTGTTGCTATAATTTTGCTGATTTACTGCTCAAAGGATGACTGAAGATATTATCTTTGAGTAATGAAGTGTTATGTGACTTGGGTGTTTTTAGAAATGGTTTTTCTCCCACCCAGTTAGGTCATTTGGAGCATTCTAGCTAATGGCTGCCAAAATGGGGTCATGTGAGACCATAGTCATTAAACTTTACATCAGAGGCTTCCATCTATGGATGTGTTTCCAAATGATGCATTTCTCTTCGAAATTGCCTTTTATCTTGGTGCGAAAGTCTTAAACTGTGTGTTGCTTTCAATAGTAATCTAAAGGGCCATCTTGTCCTGATTTTACTGAAAAGTTTCCCACCTTTCTCTTCTCAATCTGAATTGAAGTTTTACATCTCTCTCTGTGGTAGGCCATCAGGTCTTTAAGGGTAGAGATGGCATCCTTTATAGCCCCACTGCCTACCATAGTACCTGGTGCTCAGAAGGCACACAGGGAGTATTTGTTGAAGTAATAGATGTATGCTTTAAAATAGAGTTTTTAGTAAGTTGTACTGTTTTTTCAGGTATTCAGCAAACATTTCTTGATGACTCGCCCTATGTCGAACACTATATTAGGTGCTGTAAACAGCACAGTAAGCAAGACTTACAAGTTACAACCTAGTGAAAGTAAGCAATAAGACCCTAAACAATTACACAAGAAAATTTCATAAAGAGGAAATAGAGCAAGAATGAGGGCCAGGTTCAGAGCCCCGGGCAAAAGGTAGAGGAATGTAAGAGGATGGGGACTGAGAACAGGAGACTGAGAAAGGGCCCTAGCAAGGCAGGTAGCAATCTTCATGAATGCAGCAGTGTGAAAGACTGTAGGAAAGGGCTTGAGGTGAGACTGTCAGCCACATCACATGCTACAGAGAGAAGCAACAGAAGGAGAAGAATGGGCATTGACTGGCAAAATATAGGTCGCTGGTGACCTTCACAAGGTCACTGAAACAGTGAGGAAAAACAAAACAAAACAAAAAACCCTCCACATTCTTGTTAATTAAAGAGAAAATGGAAGGGAAAGAAAGACAGATAACAAATATACACAACTGTTTGGAGGAGTCCTGTTGTGAAGAGTTACAGGAAAAAAATGGGTACAGGCCAAAAGACACTTTAGATTAAGGGAAAGTTTGGGTTGTTTTACTTTTTAAGCTGTATAATCTAAAGGCATATTTGCAAGCCAATTAGTATGAGCCAGTTCAGAGAGAGAAATAAATAATGCAGGAGAAAAAGTGTGTTATTTCAGGGATTCCTTCCCAAATTCCTTAGGAAAACAAGACAGAAAACACAATTTTTAATAAGAGAAGGAAAATTTATTTTAATAAGAAGGCATATGCAGAAAATTGAAACTAAACCCCTTTTTCACACCTTACACAAAAATTAACTCAAGATAGAATAAAGACGTACATGTAAAACCCACATCTATTTAAAAAAAGAAATCCTAGAAGAAAATCTAGGCAATACAATTCAGGACATAGGCACGGGCAAAGATTTCATGAGAAAAATGTCAAAGGCAATTGCAAAAAAAGCAAAAATTGATAAATTGGATCTGACTAAACCAAAGAGTTCTGCACAGCAAAAGAAACAATCATCAGGGTGAACAGACATCCTACAGGAGAGGAGAAAATTTTTGCAATCTATCCATCTTACAAAGGTCTAATATCCAGAGTCTATAAGGAACTTAGTTTACAATAAAAAAAAAACATTAAAAAATGGGCAAAGAACAAGAAAAGGCACTTTCCAAAAGAAGACATACATGCGGCCAATAAACATGAACAAAATCTCATCATCACTGATCATTACAGAAATGCTAATCAAAACCATAATGAGATACCGTTTCACATCTGTCAGAATGGTTATTACTAAAAAGTCAAAAACAATACATGCTGTTGAAGTTGTGGAGAAAATGGAATGCTTATACACTGTTGCTAGGAGTGTGAATTAGTTCAACCATTGTGGAAAACAGTGTGGCAATTACTCAAAGACCTAGAGGCAAAAATACCATTTGACCCAGTAACCCCATTACTGGATATATTCCCAAAGGAATATAAATCATTCTATTATAAACATACATGAATGTGTTTGTTCATTGCAGCACTATTCACAATAGCAAAGACATGAAATCAACATAAATGCCCATCAATGACAAACTGAATAAAGAAAATAAGGTACATATACACCATGGAATACTATGCAGCCATAAAGTGGAATAAGATCATATCCTTTGCAGAGACATGGATGGAGTTGGAAGCCATTGTCCTCAGAAAACTAATGCAGAAACATAAAACGAAACACCACATTTTCTCACTTATAAGTGGGAGCTGAATGATGAGAATGCAAGGACACATGGGGAGGAACAAGACATACTGGGGCCTGTTAGAGGGGTTGGTTGGGGGAGGAAGAGCATCAGGAAGAATAGCTAATGGATACTGGGCTTAATACCTGGGTAATGGGTTGAGCTGTGCGGCAAACCACCATGGTGCACATTTACCTATATAACAAACCTGCACAACCTGCACGTGTACCCCTGAACTTAAAATAAAAGTTGAAGAAAAAAAAGAAGTAGATAGAGTATGTGAGTTCCGATACAAAAAGAATAGTGGAATCTGTAGTGGGAAGATAAGGTAGTTCCTGTCTGTTTTCGTCTATTCTTTTCTGTGAAATACACAATGAGGCCATTACTTAAAAGTGAATCAGAAATGGGGAATTGGGGATGTTGACAAAAAAGGGGAAGGATGAAATAGTCGCTTCAGATTAGAAACTGGAAACCAAGTAAAGGGAACTGAAGCAATAAGATCTCTGAAGAGTAATGTAATGTGTGAAGTAAGCCCAGTCAGTAAAGATATGTGGTTTTTTCCCCACAAAATTTAGCTTCCCTGTTAAAGAAATGAGAACATGGACAGTAAGATTTAGCACAGAGTTAGGATTGGATTATTTTTCAGACAAGAGGAGAGTTTAAGAATCAAGCTTATTTGCAATGAGATGTGATGTGCTGAGTCACAGAATTTAGTCTGGGTAAAGAGGGGATTGAGGACATGAGGAGAATGAGGCAGAGTGAAAAAATAGTACAGTCCATGCATTGGGAGTATCAATGAGGTTCAAGACTTTCTGGAGGAAGAGAACTGGGACTAGGAGTGAGATGGAAATAGTAGTGAAGGCCAGAGATAAGATGCTTGACCTGGAGATTTTAGATTAGCTAAAATTATTGATGTCATTAGGAAAAGGGTAGAGCAACTTGAGTGGGTGGCTGAGATCACTGGAACTAAAAGGTCACTAATTAAATAAGTCATAGAGATGAGTGGGTTAGAGTGTGTGAATGTTGAAGTCACTAATTGTGGTTCCAGTTGCAATAGTGCTGAGAGAATCAGTGAGCTAGATACTGATGAAACTAATCAATGAATGAAGATGACGCAGGAGGGGTAAAAGGTGACACATGCTTCAAAGAAGTCCTGAGAAAAGAGGAAGGAAGGAGAATTTGGGAGGAGCAATATGGTGAATGAAAGACACTCCTGAGCATTAGGCATTGGGGGATATAAGGTGTGGGAGAAAAATCAAATTCCACTTAAGAGGTAGGTAGGGAGAACAGCATCTTCAGTGTACAACCATGTTTTAGTTAATGCAAATGGACGAAAGGAGTGTTCATAAAATAAATAAATGATTAAAGCAGTTTGTTGATGATGGACCGTGAGTTCCAGAGAGTAAAGCGAAAGAGTTCTGGGAAGGGGAGAGAGATTCCAATTAACAGCTATACAGAGAACTATGAAATGAGGTATTTTTCTTTCGTTTTCCTTTCAATTTCCACTAAAAATTAAGTTGGGGATCTTTAGATTAATATCAAAGGAATACACTATAAATGGCATTTAATAATGTACATAACATTATCAATTTTATTTTAAAAATATTAATGCTTAAAAAATAAAAATAGTATGAAAGGTTGTAAGTTAAAATGTAAATGCCCTCTTTTCTAAGAACTCACTCACAAATATACTCTCTTTAAGAAACAATTGTTGACAATTTTTATGTATCACTCCAGAAATATTAAGTCCAGAACCACATAGGACAGTGTCCTATATGTGTCCTATATGTACTTGCTTTTTTTTTTTTAATTTAATGAGATTCTGGATAACTGATATGGTTTGGCTATGTTCCCACCCAAATCTCATCTTGAATTGTAACTCCCACAATTCCCACATGTCATGGGAGGAACCTGGTGGGAAGTAATTGAATCATGAGGGCAGGTCTTTCCCATGATGTTCTCATGATAGTGAACAAGTCTCATGAGATCTGATGGTTTTAAAAATGGGAGTTTCCCTGCACAAGCTCTCTCTTTTTGCCTGCTGCCATTCACATAAGATGTGACTTGCTCCTCCTTGCCTTCTGCCATGATTGTGAGGCCTCCTCAGTCATGTGGAACTGTAAGTCCAAAAAACCTCTTTTTTTTTGTAAATTGCCTAGTCTCAGGTATGTTTTTATCAGCAGCGTGAAAATGGACTGACACAATAACTGTCTCTAAAATATGCACACATAAACATATCTCATTCTTGTAAAGGTGAATAGTTTTCCATTATGAGACATACCCTACAAAAGGATATATTTAATCTTATCATACTGACTACCACTATTCTTGAAGACTCAGAAACATCAGAACTAATCCTGATTATGGGTATCAATCAAGTATCTTAGCAAAGACTATTAAAGAACCAGCTCAGATAAAACAAATAAATGACCAGACTGAAGTATTGCCTCTCAGCAAGCATCTAACCTGTGTCAGTAATTTGCCAAGTTTCCCTGCTGCTGTCATATATTAAAGAAGCAGAGAGTCAAAGCCTTGATCAGTGGCAGTGGTGCTGCCTTTCTGAAGAAAGTGCTTGCACTGATGTTATTGAAACTATTTTTTTTACTGAATTAACTGAGAATGGGAATGATGATCCATATGAGAACTGTGATCATTCACTGGTCTCATCATGCCCTAGGAAATGGAATGCTATTATCCTCTCTTTATGGATAATTTCTATTTGTCTTATTTAGCAAAATTTATTTACTTATTTAAGTATTCATTGCAGTGTAAAGCAATAGCAAAAATAAAAACAGACTTTCCACAGTGAAAGACTCAGCATCTCGCACATTCTAGAACCAACATTTCTACAAACTAGTTTTTATAGAGGTACTCTTCAATTAATGGAAAAGATGCATTCCTGAAAACTTGATATTAAGGTGAAATCTCTCTTCCCACTGAATTTATGACAAAATGGAAAATATGTTGCCTCATAAATACATCCACTAATTTTTTTAATCTTAAAAGCAAACAACTAATGTTTTGGTAATAGTATAAACTCTTTCGCTAACGCTTGCGGCATATTAGCTATTTCCCAGCTCTAGTGCATCTCTCCTGTTACTCTTTGAGTTCTCTGGTGTTTTTATCATTTCTTAGGGAAATCTTCAAACTCCATATTTAGTTTCTAGGGCTTAACTTCCCTATATCTTATGGCAGAATATCTTTATCATTCTCATTCGTTTGTATGACAGAACACTTTCTTTTCTCGTGTCAGAGTATTTTTGCCTGCCTAGCATTTAGTCTTTGAACCCTGCACAAAATTTCAGTTCATGAGTTTGGGTAGGTCTCTTGTGCTGCTCTCAGTGGTGGAACATGGGACTCTGTTCTGGCCAATCAGTGTTCCAAGGCCCCCTAACAATATTTCCTGGGATGAAGGCAGTTATATGGTTGGGTAAGTAATGAGCTCATCTTGGAAGCTGTGTGAAATCTCCTGAGAAGAGACCTTTATTTTTCTTTTGGTTTGTCACTGTGAGGATACTGGCTTGAAACTGCTGGTGCCATTTGGACACCACATGGAACCTGATAATGGGGTCAACATGAACTAAGAGAGATACAAGAGATAGAGAGTGACCAGGCTAGGACAACATCAATGGAATCTCTGAACTGTACCATTCCTGAAGACTGCATCAGTACTGTTCTGTTATGTTATTATGCCATTAATGTTATTATTATTTGGTTTAAGCCACTTTGAGGATTGCTTTCATCTCTTGTGACTGAAGTATTTATAACTAATGGAAGGACATATGAAAATTCCATTTACCTTAGCACACACTTGTAGCACCCAGCAGTGAAGAGGAAACATGGAGAAGGAGACTGAAGCCGAACTCACAGAGCCTCACAGGCCATACTTAGTTTTTGGGGTTGGTGCTGTATGAATTTGCTAAGAGTTGGGAATTGGGAAATGATGTAATTGACACTGAAGAGAGGAGAGAGATGGATGTAGGGACCAGGTAGGAGACTCTAAATAATCCACTTGACAGATGACTTGAGCCAAGTGGTGGCAGAGGAGATGGAAAGAAGTGTACGGGTTTGAAATGTTTTGTAGAAAGATTTATAGACTATAAATCATAGGCTTCTCCAGCTCTAACATTGTAACAACTATATGACCAAGCAATACAATTGTTAGAATGAATTCACTATGCTTCTTTGATCTTCTGTGGCTTTTTCCCAATTCAGTTTTATGAGGCTCTGGATGTGTTCCTTGAGTATCATGGATCATTCTCTTTTTCCCCTCCCATGTCCATTACCTTGCTCCTTCCTCATCCTTTCCTTTGCCAAAGGAATGTTATAGCAAAGATAATCAATGGAATTTGTGTTTATTTTCTTAAAAGACAGCCAGTGTCTCTTTCTCTTTCTTTCTTTCTGTCTCTATTTCTCTTTCTTTCTTTCCTTCCTTTTTTTCCTTTTTTCTTTCCTTCTTCCCTCCCTCCCTTCCTTCCTCTGTTCCTTCCTTCCTCTCTTCCTTCTTTCCTTTCTCCCTTCCTTCCTTCTCTTCCTTCCTTCCTTCCTTCCTTCCTTCCCTCCTTCCTTCCTTCTCTCCCTTTCTCTATTTCTGTATTTCCAGGGTTTTGCTTTGTGGCCCAGGCACAGATGATACAGTGGCACCAACATGCAATCATAATTCACTGCAGCCTACAACTCCTGACCTCAAGCCATCCTCCCATCTCAGCTTCCCAAGTACCTGGGACTACCGGTATTCATCACCATGCCTGGCTATTTTTTTATTTTTTTTGTAGAGACTCCTGTCTCTCTATGTTGCCCAGGCAGGTCTCGAACTCCTGGCTTCAAGCAGTTCCCCTGCCTCGGAGTATCGTTTCTTAATTGCTGCAATGGTATTTTATTCAACACTGTGATTAGAGAGATAAGTTAATCCAGCTGCCTGGATGACATGAAAGGAGACATAAAAGTTACTGCTTTGGGTACTGCTTCGGGCAGCACTCTTTCATTTTTCCTTGCTGTCTCCCTATCTGTCAGAAAGAGAAAAAATATATTTGCTTTTAGCTGATCTCTTACACTGTCATACACAACTAACCAAGAAATAATATTTCTCTAGGTAATGTACTTTCATGTTTGATTCGATGGAGTTTCATGAAGGTTTGGCATGGTTTGAAGTTCTCTTTAAAGATCTGGTGGCTTTTGCATTTACTGAACTCTGCCTTACAAAAATGTATTCTTTCAACCCTCTGAAAAAATCTGCAATAGCGTTTATCACTTTACTCCTTCTAAACCTAAATAGACCAACAGAGTAAATATAAGCAGCTTGATAAGTAATAAAGTGTGGGAATCTACAGATTCACCTCACTTTACAGAATGATATGTTCCTGAAAAGCTAATCGGTTTTTAAATACATCCAACTATATTTTTAAAACTCTGAGAAGTGGACTATTTAAAGAAACTCAGCAGCTAATCTTTTCTTGTGTGAAGTTGTATCCTTTTGTAATGCAAATATTCATGATTAAATTTATCTGATTTGTTATCTAAGTGAATTGTATTTGCTTTTTAAGAATGGCCCGTTTATATTTTACTTTTTAATGACAGTAATTATAATGACAAAAATCTCTTTCTCAGTAAGGTACACAAACAGTACCAAGAGATAATACTTAGTTCCCCAAAATGGAACATTTCATATATATTTCTATTCTTTCTAAAAAGAACATCTCTACATTAAATCATCCAAGGTAGCTAAAATGTCAATAATATTAACATGTATTAAAATAAACAGGTAATTGGCATCTTATTTACATAACTATTGTCAAGCACAATTTTTTTTAGTCTTGTGTCTTGTGTTTTCTTCATTAAGTCATTACCATTACTTCTAAACAAATAAAATACTTGTTTAAATTTAAAAGATTTTTTAAATCTTTTTTTAAATTGCACATGTCCTATATTTGAGAGCAGGAATTAGACTCTTGACAACATATCCCTGTGTATACACTCATAATCAAAGTATTCTGTCATTATTTAGATAACAAATGTCTAGAAAAGAAAGAAAACAGACTTAAGGAAAAAAATATCTTGTGCAGTTACATGTTACAGAAAATATGTTTGTCGTATCAAGGGTTTTGAGGATCTCATATTGAACAGGTACCAAGGGAGGGCTGCCTGTGGTTCACAGGAGTGCAAGAGAGAGCTTCTGTCTCCCCCTGCATAAGACTGTCTTTTAAAGCAAAGGATGCAGAGTATTCTTGATGGACCAGGGGAAAGAAAATATGGGAGCAAAGGAACAACGATATGAGCATATAAATTCGGAATCACTTAGATAAAGAAGAATGTGCTGTGTGACATGGGTCAATAAGAGTAAGTGAAGGGATAGAGAAGAACCAGATGAGCATGTTGCTCATGCTATGACATGAGGGTGGAGTGGGGTCCTGAATGGCTAAAGCAAAACTTTGGAACATTAAACGGTTAATTTCTTAAGACAATCCCTCTGATATTTTTTAAGATAGTATTTTCTTTCAAGAGTGAAGTTTCAGGGTCTTAGCCTAGAAATAGAATACTAAAGAGAAATACTAAATTTAGAATACTAAAGCGATAATAAAATCATTCTAGTAGTGCATATCTAGTGGTCTACTAATAATGGGTCTAATACTCAGCCATCATAAAATCATCATGTTTTCCTAACATACACAATATGAATTTTCTTTCTAAGAGTAATCCCACCCTGAATCTCCTCTATCTTCTGATACATAAGCATCTTCTGTTGTGCTACAGTGGTCCCAGGAAAGATTTCCTTTCCTTCCACTGACCCCCTATCGCTCTTAGTTGGCTCCACCTCACTGAGTCTATGCAAGGCTTATGAAAAGTTAACATTTCCTAAATTGGGATTTAAAACAGGAATGTGTACTTGTTTAAAAAGTCATCTTTGATATATTTACAAAGTCTTGTCCTGGTAAACTTAATGAATTCATTCCAACAATGCCAGATATCTATAAGGTAAAAACTATGACCAAAATCTTTGCTTCACATAAGTCACCATTTCAAGATTTCTCATATTCTTTGGCCATATTCCTTAAGAGCTTACATGGTCATTCAAAATCTGTTTTATCAGCAGATACTGCTAATACAGTCAGTAGGGATGGAGGTTCTAAGAGTATTACAATATTGATCTTGCTCCAAGATGCTATGGTCTAGAAGACAAAAATAAGAAAGCAAAATAAACAAACAGCAACAATATAAACAATACAATTATGTAAATGTTATGATGGTTGTAAGTCGGGGCACAACTGGCCCTCAAAAGGGGCTGTACCTAGCTCTTTTTTGTGGAAACTATTTTTAGACTTGAGAAGATTATAGGATCTGTCTTTCCATGTTAAGTGGCAATGATGTTCAACTTTAATTGGGCTTTTCATTTTTATTTCAGGCAAAGAAACTAAAACTGAAAAGAAAGAGGATAAATTTAGCAGTTAAACCTATTAGAAAATTTTGCCTTCATTAGTCTTCTTCTTGCCAGTTCCTTTAACATAGAAGTGGAATTATTTGCAGAGACTGTGACACTCAATGACTTATAAAATGTAGTAAGTAAAATCTGGTATTGTTTCTAAAGGGATCACATTGAGATAAGAAAACAAATAATAAATTTGAATAGAAATAAAGGTCTTAACTTTCATATTTAATCAAGGAGAAAAGTTATAATGTAAAGCAAATGGAAACCAGGTATTACAATAGGTTAGTGCAAAAGTAATACTTAGTATACTTATTTTCTTACTTTTATGTATTTATACTATGCCCCAATCTACAAATCCTTCTGATAACTGTTGGAATTTCATAAGCAGAGTGAAGAGTATTGCCAACATGATAAAATGGGGATGTGGTTTTGGATTAGATATATTTAAATAGATTCAATGTTTGATCATGATAGGGAAATTATTGATTATGAGATTATAACAGACATAGAGGCAATCACCTCAATTATGCAAATAGATTAATATAAGAATATTGGTTTAGTTGGTTTATACACATACCATAATCAAAAGGAGATTATTTTCATATTACTGGTCACAGTGACCTAAAATTCCAGGAAATTAAATTCAATTAAATATAGAATATGTATAAAATACGCACCCTGGGAGAAAAAAAAGGCCTCTTCGTTCTTAACTAGTAATATAAACTTCAGTGATATTGAGAAATTTCATATTAGGAAAACACTAGGAAGACTTTTTTTAATCCTCCTAGGAAAATAAAATGCTCATAAACCAGATCATTATTCCTCTTTACTATTCCTTTTACTCTATCACAGGTTCTGATGTGATATAACATGTTTTGTTAATTTTTTTCTTCTACCTTCATCTTTACTACATACATTTCTGGAATATTTAATATTTCTTCTACTGTGAACTGCTTTTTATGACAGCAAAATGAGCTGGTGATAACTTTGCGTATGGTTTAACTTGTTTCAGAATAATCCACTTACTTGGTTTGTTAAAGCCGTGGTACTACCATCCTTCCAGATTCAAATCTCAGATTTACTAGCCATATAAAAGCAATGCTGTTCCTTCAGTGGAAAGGTTACCCTAAAGGATGTCCGCAGCTTGGCACCCCTCCCCAAGGAATGCCGTAATGTTAACTCACGCTTCCCTCAGAGGGAAAGCAATTCAAAAGTAAACAATCAGCTACCTCTCCCAGACATCTGACACAATATGTACAAAGTACCCTCAGTCCTGGAGGCTATTTTGTCAGCCTCGATCTTTAAAGTATATATATAGCATAACGATTTAAAAGAGCCACCCAACAGGGGCATGGACATGCCCCAACCTTCACTTGGCTGCCTTTCAAAGAAACTTCACTGGCCATCTGAGCTGCTCTGCTTTATATTCTACAGAAAAGACAAACCTTCTCAATAAGAAAAAAAAAGATCTACCAGACTAGAAACCTTTATGGCCAGCATGGTTGTGTAAAACAGCACACCCAAGCTATAATGAGCCTCATTCACACAATATGTAAGTTTTTGTTTATTTGGTTGATTGGTTGCTTGCTTTTTACCAGTTCTTTCCAACTGTAGGAGCAGTCTGGTTGTGAAGCATCTACTTGGAAGACTATGACAATACAACATCAAGAAGTTTACACTTTTGAACAGTTTTATAAAGATCTGTCCTTAATAGGCTGATATATCATCTTATTTTCTTACTTTGCAATACATGGTTTTGTATTTTAAAATCATCCTCATTTGTGGCAATTGCATTGTGAATGCTTCAGTTTGTGCTAATTTGCACAATTCCAGATAAACTGGTTAAAGGTCTAAAAGCTGGTTTCTACAGGACTTTTTTATTTTTGAGACGGAGTCTCACTCTGTCACCCAGGCTGGAGTGCAGTGGCACGATCTTGGCTCACTGCAACCTTCACCTCCCAGGTTCAAGCGATTCTCCTGCCTCAGCCTCCCAAGTAGCTGGAACTACAGACATGTGCCACCACACCCAGCTAATGTTGGTATTTTTAGTAGAGATGGGTTTTCACCATGTTGGCCAGGATGGTCTCAATTTCTTGACCTTGTGATCCGCCTGCCTTGCTTGGCCTCCCAAAGTGCTGAGATTACAGGCGTGAGCCACCGTGCCCGGCCTCTACAGGACTTAAAAAAAAAAATTATGAGGGTGTCAGTAGCATTTGCAGTTGCCTCCATTATGTAATTATGAACAAATACTATGAGTTTTACCAAATTGAGTCTATTTTTTTCCACAATGCAGTTTTTATATCCATGGGCATTTGTGAGTGCCTCTATAGGTTTTTATCTGTGAAGAAACATTTTGGAGTAAATTATGTTTGAAGAGGCACATTGAGTGACACAAGAGTATGGTGTTAGTCACTAGTTTTTCAACAGGGCTCTGACATTTACCCAGAATGACCAAGCATGTTTGGACTCCAATAGGGTCCTCCTCTGTGTGTCCTGTTTAGTTCCTATTCCATGTTGCTTAGTCTGTTATAATGACTGCTCTTGCTCCAAGGTCATACGTGTAAATCTCTGTTTTAACAAAGAGCTTGCTTTTAAAAGAAAAAAAGTCATTAAATATGAAGTCTGGCAGGGTGCAGTGGCTCATGCCTGTAATCCCAGCACTTTGGGAGGCTGAGGTGGGTGGATCACAAGTTCAGGAGATCAACACCATCCTGGCCAACATGGTGAAACCCCGTCTACACTAAAATACAAAAAATTAGCCAGGCATGGTGGCGCATGCCTGTAGTCCCAGCTACTTGGGAGGCTGAGGCAGGGGAATCGCTTGAACCCAGGAGGAAGAAATTGCAGTGAGCTGAGATTGTGCCACTGAACTCCAGGCTGGCAACAGATCGAGAATCTGTTAAAAAAAAAATTCTACAAGAATTGATGTCAGTGTAAAATTTAGCCATCATCAGAAATTTGTGAAGCAGTTTGAAAGCGAATCATTTGATGAGTGCTTGCTTCCTTTTCTTCTCTGTGGGCTCAAAGATCCCCTCTTCCAGCCTCTATGCAGCAATCCTCTGCAGAGTTAGCAATAGGACAGTAGCTTTAAAGTCCTTTTGCCCTAACGATTATTTCTTATTTAAAGTCTATATTGAAAAGAGCCTTTTTCCCTGCTATAGGCCCAACCCTCCACTGCAAGCCCGCAAAATTAGAAACAATTTAATTTTATAATTAAAACAATTAATAACACAACTTCTTCATGGGATACAGAGAGATACAGATGCTGGTGTTTGACAGCTTAACGACTTGTTCCAAATAGCAGTTCCTCACTATCTGTTGTATCTTAGACAATGCAGTGCTTTAGATCTGGGATACTATTTAATAATGATTATGAGATATAATGTATACCAAAGTAGGTACCACATTAAATATTATAATTCTGAAATATGTGGCATTAGTGGTAGTGACAATTATTGGAGAACTGGCAATATGCGAAACAAAATCTAACTACCCAAAAATGTAAAAGAAAGTAGGAATTCTGTTTAAGTTTGCTGCATAGCTAAGTCGGCTCACAAGAAGGCATGTATCCTAGACAAGTGCTGTCACCCACTCAGAAGTGCTGGTTCTCAAATTCATAGGTTGGGCTGGGAGTTGCCATGATGCTTGACACACAAGATTCCCTTCAGACATTGTGGTTCAGATGACACTCCCCATCTGTTCTGCTTCCATTTCTAACTGGGTAGGGTGTGGGGCTATATGTCTTGAAAAACAACTGCAGAAGTAGGTATAGTATATCTTTTATGCACCTCACACAACCACCCCTTTCCTTTGCCTGTGCCCCTAGTCATGCACCTCTATTCTTTTTGTCCCACTTCCCTTTCTCATCTTTCCTCTTCAAATACTGTTTTGTTTAGTGTCTTCAGTTATCACCTACCGTTTTTTAAGTATTTTAGTTGCAAATGGAGAAGTATCTGTGGTAGTGCGTTAGTTCTTCTTCTCATTCCCAGCTCCTCTGCTGTTTCCTAGGACCATCCTTGCTTCACAATTTTTTCTCCACTTTCAATTCCACTCTCAAACTTTTGTTGGACAGGTTTATATGTCAGTTGCTAAAGCCTAATAAAATCAGACCAGTTCTTGAAATCCATTTACTGATATTATATTTGTTTATTCACAAACTGTGGTTCGAATGACTATAGGTGTCAATTCTTCATTTTACCATTGGTAAGGAAAATAAGCTCATTTTCACAATGAATAGTGTGTGAGGTGGAACATGAGGATATTACACGAGTAATTATATAATTGCAAACTCTGATTTAAGTGATTTAAAGACGTAACAAATGCGATTACAGAGACTGACAAGGGAACAGAAAAACTAGTTTTGCATATCTTGTGGTCTGTTAGGAATACCTGCAGGCAAATGTTCAATTACAGTGAGAAAGTAAGAGCCAAGGTGGGTAAATAAATATTCTATGGGAGCATAAAAGCACTTTCCAACCCAGATGGACTGGGGTCAGAAAAGACTTCCCAGAGAAAGTGAGATCTAAACTAAATGCAGAATAGGAAACGTATGCAGGCATTATCTCATTTAATATGCACAAAACCTCTATGAGATAAGTACTATTATAATATTTATTTTATGAGTAGGAAATGGAAGATCAAATATTTCATGAGTAAAGAGAATATTTTTGATACCCCTAGTACACCGTAGGCACTGAGTAAATACATGTGAAATAAACAAAATAAGTCGAACCAAGGGCACAAACACGAAAGTCTGTGCAATTCATCACCATATTACTTTGTCTCGAAGAGACATGATTAATTCTGAATGGAGAGTTTGGGAAGATTTCTTTTTAAAGTACTACTCCAACAATTTTTTAGTAAATACATTTTGCTTCTTCCTCCAGCCTAAGGTATTTTCTCCTTCCTCTATTCAGAATCCCGAAGTTTACAATATGAAATGAAAGAAAATGTAGGGAAATGGCTAATTTGGAAAATGAAGCTCTTTGGAAAAAGCAATTTTAAATACACATCTCCAATTTGTTCCATCTTTTTATTATAAAATCCTGTGGGCAGCAGTCCTAGTTTATTCTGTGTGTACTTCTGTAGTCATGTTTCCTGGAGAGGTACCTTTGATTTTTAAAATTATTCCCTTTGAAAATGTTTCTACAGCCCAGGTAACTACACATGTTTATATGAGAGTATCTTCATTGCACTGAGAAAATATTATCTTTGCTCAAAATCTTTCAGAGGTTTTGTATGTATTCACTTTTCTTAGATTTGTGAAATTTTGAAAACTGTAGAATGAAAAAAAAAAAGAAGAAGGGTAAAAAATTATCCAAATCAGGGAAGGCATCCTGAGAGAGGTGATGCTTGAGTGAAATTTTGAAGGATAAATGAAGGTCAGCAACACAAATAAGATGAGAAAAAAAGAATACCAGGAAGTAGGAAAAACATAGCAAAAGCATAGAGGCATAAAACAGCAAAATGTATTTGAGCAAATACAAGTAGTTCCAGATGTCCAGAAGGAAAGATCCATGTTGGTAAATGATAGGAGATTAGAATGGAGAATAAAACATTTGGTATATGTCTGCTATACAGCGAATGTCAAAAGCCCAGATGGAGCAATTGATATGTACAAAAGAAAAGGCATTCTAATTCATTTACAGATATTTTCCCCAAATTCTACCTCCCTTATCATATTACATCATTGGAAAGCATATAACTAAACTAGTGTTCTCAACCTTCGACGTGTATCAGAAGTATTTGGGAAACTTTTTTAAAATGTGAATTTCCTGAAGCTTGACTCTGTCTAAATGAAACAAAATATTTTCTGATGAAGACGTATCTTAGACATTTCTCTATTATGAATACATAAGTGTAGCTATGTATTATCCTTTTAATCTCCCTATGTCTTTTATTGAAAATTCACTATTCTATGTACAATTCCATTATAACACAGGCTGTTTCATACCTTCCAAGGTATGACAAATAATCTGATAAATAAATTTGTTCTACTATGCTAGAGATAGAGAGAAAGCTGTGTTGAATACACATTTAATTTATGAAAGCATTCTGAAAACAATGTCTCCACCTTTGTTGCCTAACTGGAAAAAGTGACTAACGTTGTAAATTTGGGTGAAATACAAAGGTTGATGTTATGACACTTACTAGAGCAGATATCTGGGAACAGGTGGAGACCTTGAGTCACCCCTCAAGTCATTCCATGTAAGACTCCGCCCACTGTACTTTTGCATAAGGCAAGGTCTCTTTGAAATTTAGAACTTTCCCTAAAGGCAGTATTGTCACTGAGTGGGGCAACAGGTGGATAAATCAGCAGTGCTGGAGACAAGTGCACGAAATGCCTTCCTCAGCCCATACTGGATTACCCAGAATGCCTCTCTGCATGGCTTAGGAATTTGCCTTCAACCACTCATTGAACAGTCTCTTTAGAGGCTTTGTCTTAACTATTATGGGCTCTCAGAAAATTTGGCTCTCAGAAAATTCATGTTGGTAAATTGACAAAAATGCAAGCAATGTCCCAATGTCCGAAAACAGAATTAAGTAAGATTCCCCTAAAGTTGGACTTATTTATATCAATATTTTATACCATTTTATTTTAGCAAGGACGGGATTATATTGTACTCAATTTCATATCTTTAGGGCCTACAACATCACTCAATTCTTTTTTTGTTTTGTTTTGTTTTGTTTTGTTTTGTTTTGTTTTGTTTTTTGAGATGGAGTCTGGCTCTGTCGTCCAGGCTGGAGTACAGTGGTGCGATCTGGGCTCACTGCAAGCTCCGCCTCCCGGGTTCATCCCATTCTCCTGCCTCAGCCTCCCAAGTAGCTGGAACTACAGGCACCCACCACCATGCCTGGCTAATTTTTTGTGTTTTTAGCGGAGACAGGGTTTCACCATGTTAGCTAGGATGGTCTTGATCTCCCAACCTCGTGATCTGCCTGCCTCGGCCTCCCAAAGTGCAGGGATTACAGGCGTGAGCTACAGCACCTAGCCTAACATCACTCAATTCTTAAGATATTCAATAATTGTGAGTTCAATAATTTTTAATTATTTTAGGAGCTCAGAAAAAAGCTACATAAAAGTAAAAAGGAAAGGACTTTTCACATATGGGAAATGTTGTTCAACCTGATTTTCAAAGAGAAGGGATAATAGGATTATAGGAATACATAATGTCTTTTTGCTTTTCCTACTACAGTGTGTAAGGCAGTTTCATATCTAGTACTCTTTTTCTTCCTCAACATGAAAACATGAGGAAATCTGTATAGGGCGCAAAGCTAATAGGTGGGGAACTAAAACTGAGTATAGGACTCAAGATTCTGAATGAAGTAAATTGCAAAATACAAATTTGCTACTCCTCCCATTGAAAGGAAGAGTCTATTTCCTCAGTCTGAGCTGGATTTGTGACTTATTTTGGCCAACACAATTCAATAGAAATGAAGCTACATAAGATTCATTCATTCATTCAAGGGTAGGATTAAAGTTGCCTTTGAGTTTTCCATTTGGTCTCTTGAAATGGTTGTTCTTGGAACCCTCCTCCTTGAACCCAAGTATGATGCTGTAAGAAGCTCAAGACATTTTGACAGCTCCAACTGAGTTGTCATTGATCACAGTCAGAATTAATGTCCAGTCATGTGATAAGCCATCATGGACATCCAGCCCAGTCCAACCTTCAGATGACTGGAGCTCCAGCCAACATCTGATGACAAACACATGAAAGACCCCAGGAGAATCATCCCTCTGCCCCCAGTTGATCCTTAGAATCATGGTAAGTAATATTAAGGTTCTGTTTTAAGCTAATAAGTTTGGGATGGTAGGTTATGAAAAATAGATAACTGGAATGGAATTTGTTAACAGAAGTGAGGAGCTATTATAACAACAGCATAAAACAGGTGGGACTAGCTTTGGGACCATGCAACATGTGACACCAGATAGTGTTGATCCAGTTGATAATGTGTGATGGGGTGGAGGTTGGAGTTGGAAGAATACAAAATAAATTAGTAATGGGATCTGGTAAAAGGATAAACTTTGTTATGTGATGGAAGAAAGTTTAGTGAAAGTGTGGCTAGCAGCAATGAGAAAAATAGAAAATGAACCTAATGAACTAGGAGACTCAGTAAGGACATTTTTCAGACAAAATGTTGAACGTACCAACTGATTTCCTTTAAGAACATATAGTAAAGGATGAATAGGGAAAAATGTGATATAAGGAACATCAGTTTTCAAGCAGAATTTTGATGAATATAAAGGCTACAGGACATATTGTGTTCAAAAATAAAACTCTTCCTAATCACCAGCCTCTCCAGATTGCAAAGCCTCTCAAAGTAAAAAAGAGACCCAAGGGGAAGATTATCTTAAAGGTGAGAAGGTAAAACTTCAGAGAAATTTAAGGGTATGCTGGTAATGTCTCTGAAGTTGACAAGAGGTCTCCTAATAATCTTAAGACCATAATTATATAGCACTCTCACTCCTAGTCTTAATTTCAAAAAGAGGCTTGTCTGGAAGAAATATATAGATGTACTTTTTGTCCAGTGGAATGAATCACAATAAATCTCATAAGAAACCCACAAAGTTTGAAGAGAATTGAACTGGCAAAAGCAAAATCTGCTTGGATATTTTTTAAAAAGGGAAAAGAGACAGTTCAAAATGAAAAGAACCTTTAGACATTTAAACTTATATGAATAGGAAGCAGACTGAGAGGTGTTCAGTTGCAAATATAGTTCCTTTTTGCTTTCCTACCAAAAAGCAAGCATGACAGAGTATATAACCAAATGTCTGAGAGCAGAGTAAAAAGCCCAGTGGTGGAGCCAAGTGCCACAGAAAACAGCTTTCAGGAGGCAAAACTGAGCATTTAACAAGGAACAGGTGACCTGCACAAAGTTGAATTTCAAAAATACTTTAGATGAGTGACTGTTACATGACACCTGTTCTTTACCCTCCAAATTAAATGGTAGTATTAATGGCCCATTAATTAATGTTAAGAGAGCAGATTACTTGTCTGTTTAGACCAATATATTCAGATCAAGAGAAACCACACTACGTATGCTTCATTCAAGAAGTTTTATGCACAGTTGAATCTAAATTAGATGAAAAAATCCTGGGCTTGGAGCCTGAAACTTTTGTTATAATGCGTACAAGTTTTAGAGGCCTTTTGAAGGTGACTGTACATAATTTGTAACGCTATGGCAGCTGCAATAGCAAATTCTTTGCTACTTTTCCTGTTGTGAAGTGAAATCTAATTTTTCCCCTTCAATCTAAGCTGACCCTATGCAGTGTTTTGACAGAGAGAATGCAGTGAAATTGATTTGAGGTTCACAATCCTAAATATTTTCCCAAATATTTACTAGTGCCAATGAAACCACTTAAAGAAAATGTTTCCATAATCAAAAAGTTTGGCAAATACTACAAATTGCATGGTCATTTAGGAAATTCTTGATGTACAGCAACTTTCAGAAAAGACCTGCACCTATAACTCTCTTTGGCTTTATGTGATATATTATTTCCCAAACACTTTTGGCCCCAGGACATTTTTTTTTTTGGTCATGATTTCTATAGACCTTTCACATAATATACTTTGAGAAAAGTGATCTAGGGAAGGTTTATGACATTCTATGGTTCTTCATTAATGCATTCATCTTTTAAAGAAAGGCTTACTGAGTATAACTCAATATAATGCTAGGCCTCAGGCTACAAAGGCTAATAAAAAACATTTGCCTTTAAAGATATCAGTAATGAGTAGAATAGAAAAAAAAACCATTTAAACATATAAGTTAAATATTATAAAAAATGTTATGATAAACTGTCTAGGTAAGAGCACATTAATATCAAGGAGAGGAAAGTACACATTATTTTTGTCAGTAGAGTTAATCAACAAAGATAGTTGAGTAGGGCTAAGAATTTGACATGCATGTAAAAGAAGAAAGTGAAGATGGAAAAACATATTTTCTTAAAGTCAGAGATGGAAAAGTCACAGATTAAAATAGCATGGCATAATTAAAAAGCACTTTAGATACTTCAGAAAGTAAAGATTTAATATAGAAAATGTGATGCTTACAAAAGTCTCCGTAAGGATGGAGGAAAAACAGACAGGAGAGGCTAACAGTTTTCAGGCATGCTATTGTAATAAACTGCTGCTGATGACTACTGCTGTTTTGATTGATTCATTCAAAAGCACACAAAATCTACTGCAGAATGTTACATCTACCAAAGTCCACACATGGGCCTCCATTGCATATCATAATCTACCTGCTGAAAACCAGAGATAAGGGGAAAATCTTAAAGTAGCCAAAGTAAAGGAGGAAAAAGTTCAGAATTAATTACAGCATTCACCTCATGAGAAACAATGTAAGCTGTTGAACAATGGGAGATCTATTATGTACTGAATGAAAAAAAAAGAACATGTCCATAAAAAAGTCTGAACATAGAAGAACTATCTTTCAAAAACCATAGGTAAAATAAAGACATTTTTAGATATGAGAATTCAAAGGTAGCTCATTGTTAGTACATCAGCACTATAAGAAATGTAAAAGGAAAATATCAGAGAAAAATTTGTGTATACCAAATATAGTCCCATCAGGATATAGCAAATGAGCACAAAAATAGAAAAATACATATATAAAAGATGTTTTTCTTGTATTTTAAATTACTTTATATGATAATCTATTGTTTAAAGAAAAACTATACTAATGTCTTACGGAGTTTATGATGAATATATGACAAGGATAGTACAAACACCAGAAAGAGAAAAGAAATGAAATGCATTATTGAATGTTTCTTTATTTATTCCCCCTTTTTTTTTTTTTGAGATGGAGTTTCACTCGTCGCATAGGCTGGAGTGCAGTGGCACAATCTCGGCTCACTGCAACCTCTGCCTCCTGGGTTCAAGCAATTCTCCAGTCTCAGCCTCCTAAATAGCTGGGATTACAGGTGTGTGCCACCATGCCTGGCTAATTTTTGTGTTTTTAGTAGAGATGGGGTTTCACCATGTTGGCCAGGCTGGTCTTAAACTTCTGACCTCAGGTGATGAAAGCCTGCCTCAACCTCCCAAAGTGCCGGGATTACAGGCATGAGCCACTGCACCCTGCCAATTGAATGTTTCTTATACTATATTTTAAGTGGTATAACATCATTTGAAGGTAGACTTTAAACACATCATATAAATAAATAAATAAGCCAAAAAAAGATAAAAGAAAATTATAGAAAAGTAATCCGAACTGCAGGAAAATAAAAAAAAAAAAATAGGCCAGGTGTGGTGGCTCATGTCTGTAATTGCAGCAGTTTGGGAGGCTGAAGTGGGTGGATTACTTAAGGCCAGGAGTTCGAGACCAGCCTGGCCAACATGGTGAAACCCCATCTCTACTAAAAATACAGAAATTATCCAGGTGTGGTGGCACACACCTGTAATCCCAGCTACTCAGGAGGCTGAGGCACCAGGGAGGTGGAAGTTGCATTGAGCTGAGTTCACACTGAGCCGAATTCACACCACTA
Source organism: Homo sapiens (assembly GCF_000001405.40). Taxonomy (NCBI): domain Eukaryota; kingdom Metazoa; phylum Chordata; class Mammalia; order Primates; family Hominidae; genus Homo; species Homo sapiens. The sequence goes on along the minus strand of NC_000008.11, from coordinate 115,828,326 downwards.
CACTACAGCCTGGGTGACAGAGCAAGACTTTGTCTCAAAAATAAATAAAATAAAATAAATAGGAAAATGTGGAATATAAATTCAGACTTATGAATAATTACACTAAATGTAAAGGATCTTAAACATCAATTCTAAAAGTCAGAGACTATAACATTAGCTAGAAAAGATTCAACTAAATGATGCATATTTTTAAAAAACTACATTGAAGAAGTAACAAGTACAAAGTGAAAAACTGAAAAAGATGTATAACATTTAATAAAAAATAGTTTGAGTGGCTATCTTAACATCAGATACAGTAAATTTCAGATAAAGAAATATTACCATGGAAAAAGTTGATCATTTCATGATGATAATAAATTCATCAAGAGGATATAACCATACAAACAGTTTATATACCTATAAAAGACCTTCTAGTTAAATGAATCAAAACTGAAAAAATCAAATATAAAATGAAGTAAAACCACTATTATAAGGAGAGATTTCAAAACTAATCTCTCAATAATTGACAGAAAATATAGACTGAAAATCATTGAGGATACTGAAGACCTGAATAACATTACCAAACAACCTGACATAATTGACAGTTATATAGCATTTTACCTGACTCCAAAGAACACACATTCTTTTCAAGATCACAAAAACACACACACAAATATGTGCATGCACATGCGCACACATACACACACGTTTACCAAGACAGACCAAAATCGGTCCTTAAAAATAATTTTCAATAAATTTAAAATGGTTTGAATAAATAAATGTATGTTCTTAGGCTACATTTAAATTAAATCAGAAATGAATAATATAAGTATAAAATCTCAAAATATTTTAAAATTGAATGCTATAAATACAAATAACCCATAGTTCAAGAAAAACTAGGGAAAGGGAACGTGGAAAATATTTTGAACTAAATGAAAATTGAAAACAAAAACAGCAATATCTGAAGAATGCAGTTAGTTCAAACAGTGCTGCCATAAAAGTTACCCTTAAGGCTTATGTTTAAAACAATGGAAGAAATTTCTATTTAGAAATTCAAACATAAGGGCAAATTACAACAAAAAAGAAAAAAATAACAAAGACAGGAAATAAATAAAAAACAAACATAATGTTAAAAAAATGAAATATAAAGCTGAATATTTAAAAACAATGAGTGTCTAGCCAGACTCATTAAAATAGAAAGAGGCCAAGTGTGGTGGCTCATGCATGTAATCCCAGCACCCTGGGTGGCTGAGGCTGGCAGATTGCTTGAGCCCAGGAATTTGAGACCAGCCCGTACAATATGACAAAACTCCATCTCCCCGCCACCCAAATTAGCCAGGCATGGTGGCATGCACCTGTAGTACCAGCTACTCAGGAGGCTAAGGCGGGAGGATCGTTTGAGCCCAGGAGTTAGAGGTTGCATTGAGCAAGATTGTACCAATACACTCCAGCCTCGTGACAGACACAGACTTTGTCACAAAAAATTTTAAAAAAGGTAAAAAGAGAGATTATGTAAGTTACCAATATCAAGCGTGAGAGATATAAAAGCACTAGAGTTTCTACTGGTATTGAAATGACATAAAATATTAATAGCTTTATGGCAATAAATTTAAAAACTTAGATGAAAGAGGAAAACTCCTTGAAGCTGCCAAAGTTCAATGAAGAGGAAACAGATAACCTGAGTCATGTAAAGAAACAGAATTTATAGATAAAAACATTCTAAGAAAGAAACCACAAGACCAAGAAGGCTTTACTAGTGTATTCTATAAACAACACCAATTCTACTCTAACTCTTCCTGGAAATAGAAATAAGTGAGAACTTCTGAACTCATTTTATGAGGCTAGTATTACCCTGACACAAATACCAAAAATAAAAAATGAAAACACATTAGAAAACAGAAAACTACAAACCAATAATCAACATAAAAATCCTTATCAAAATCTTAATAAAGTGAACTCAACAATATATAAAATGGTTAATATAGCATAATTAAAATTTGATTACTCCAAGTAAGGCAAAACTGATTTAATATCAGAAAGTTGATCAATGAAGTTATCACAGAAATAAACAACATACGTAATCATCTCAGTAGATTAAAAAATGTTTACAAAATTAAACACCCATTAATAATAAAATCTAATAAAGACCATCTAACAAAAACCTAGAACTCATATCATATTCCATGTCAGAGAAGAAATAAATGCTTTTTCCCTCAGATTGGGGATATAAAAAGAATTTTAATTCTAACCACTTTTATTCAGCAATTTACTGGAGCTCCTATACAAGGAAATAAGACAATAAAAATAAATAGTCTCCAGATTGCAAAAGAGACTGTAAAATTGTCTTACTTACAGAAGTAGTTATCCATGTAGAAGTGCTGATGAACTACAAAAAAAGTAACAAAACTATTAAGTAAATATAGGAAGGTAACAGGATGTAAGGCAAATATACAAGAATGAATTGGAAGATGTCACCAAAAATGGTGGAGTGAAAATTACAGGACCCCATCTCTCCACACACAAAAATAATAAGCTAGGAAAAATGTGTTAGAGTCAACTTTTGCAGATCTCTGGAATCTAGTCAAAAACTCACAATAAGAAAGGAAAAATTTGGTTAAGAAAGAAGCTGCTGCCTGCAGTAAAACTATATTATGCCATTCTCTGTTGCTAACCTAACATCTCCAATGCCCAAATTAGCAGCCATGAGGACAGCAGTTGGACTCTTGGTGCAAATTCCTAGCGTCAAAACAGCAATATGGACCTCGTGCTCTAAGAATTGTGGTTATCTGTTTCAACCTTTCTGATATCTCCCTGAAGGTCCAGCACAAGGACTTACCTTTGTTTTACCGGACTCAGAACACTACCAAGGATGAAGTAGCTTCCCATGTGGCATTTTCTGAAAGAATTTAGAGGCACAGTATTGGCTATATCAGGTCAATATAGGGACAATAATCAGCATAGGCAATAAACATATCAAAAAGCCTGGAAAAGAAGTTGAGAAAGGAGATATATGGAGTACAAAGGCTTTTAAAAACTTCCACAAATGCTGAAGAATTGAGAAGGCCAAGCAAATACCCACAGCAGGATGCCTGCTCAGAAAAGGCTAGAGACAACGCTATACTTCTAACTCTGGCTGACCGCCAAGCTCTGCTCAAATAGGATGTGAATGGTAAGGTAGGGTTGTAAATGGCTTGGTTAAGGGTTAAAGGAGTGACATAACATAAAGCCCATCTGCCAATACTATGAAGACATATTTTTCTTTCATTTTCTTTCTTTTCTTCTTCCTTTCTTGATTATAGGCATTTAAGGAAACTATCAAAACACTAGCTGACTACTAAACTAACAGAATGCAAAAGTCAATAGCCATACACAATAAAGAATAAAGAATTCAGAAAATTGGTTTTGACAATTCAATAAATAACATTAACAACACTATCAAAAACATGCAATATAAAAGCTACATTTAAAAATACATATACAACATTTATGAAAACTACAAAATAATGTTAAAAAACTTCAAAAGACCAAAATAAATGGAAAGTTACATTATGGACATATATCATAAGACTCTTGTTATTAAAATGATACTTTTTCTAAAATTGTTCTATGGTTTAAATCTAATCCTAATCAGACTCATGACAAGCAGAGCTCCACTTCCCTACTTTCCACATAAGTTATGAAACAATCACTACTTATGAAAATTATGCAAAAGTCACCATTTAAAATACCTGAAAATTGTTTTAAGGACATAAAGCAAATGTAGGAACATTCATTCAAGAAAAATTTCATAAGAAAAATCAGAGTCCATGGCAATTGAACCATAACCTGCTCTTTCCCTTCCTATTCCCAGCTCAGTGTGACAGAGACACCTCTATAAAAAGACGACACGGAGATAACAGTACTCCTGGTCCCTCAGTTCCCATCTCCTTCCTAGTTAGTACCTCCTTCCTACAGTTAGGCCACCAGTATCACTAAAGTTCCATACGTACGTGTTGCAGAGGCTAAGACCCAGGCAAGTATGGCCAGGAATTTAAAGATTTCCTCCCTGTATTCATTCCAGACTTGTGGAGTAGAAGCTCTATGTTAAGTACAGCATGTTGTGGTTACTGGGGCCCCAACTGAAATTATCCCAGTTTGTAATGAGCAGAGGTTTCATGCCAGGAGAGGCAAGCTGAGGAGACAAATGATACAACCCTGCACAGTTCCCTGTGCATAAAGCAGGGGTGTCAATCCAAAAAAAGTTGAGCATTGCCCCGTCTCAAGGTCTGCAGCTGTATCTTAAATATTTTCTCTAGAGGAGAGAAGCATAAGAATGGAGACCCCCTGAAGCTCCCCACTCCCTTTCAGTCCCTCTTCCACACACAAAACATTACTTTGTTTGTACTAGAGTGAGGGACTCAACCCTAAGGGCATTCTGGAAAACAATGGAGATTTTGGTGGCAAGCAAGTTAAAAAGGCTGATAGCTTTATGAGAGCAACAAGCTACATCATTTGTTAGCCATTTAATTAAAGAGAACCAGAGAAATGGTAGCTAATAAATGACTTTTTCATATCAGAGCAACTTTCCACGACTGGCTTCAAAAATTATCCTGCAAAGGAACCCAAATTTAATAGAATCAGACTATGGAACAATATGTGTCCCAGGGCATGGTTGAATACAATAGAGCAATTAGCCAGCAATTAGTGAGGACAAACAGCTGTTTATGATACTAAGCGCGCAATACAACCGAATAGAGAGATCAGGCAAATCAGAGAATCAAAATAGCCCTGGTAAAATTGCTGTCAACTCATGTGACTGTGCTCATGACAAAGCTGTGTTCTATGAGGAGAGACATTAGAGGGTGATATGGTTTAGCTGTGTCCCCACCCAAAATATCATCTTGAATTGTAATAATCTCCCCATGTCAAGGGCGGCACCAGGTGGAGATAATTGAATCATGGGGACAGTTTCCCTCATACTGTTCTCATGATAGTGAGTGTGTTCTCATGAGATCTGATGGTTTGATAAGCATCTTCTCCCTTTGCTTGGCCCTCATTCTCTCTTCTGCCAACATGTGAAGAAGGACATATTTGCTTCCCCTTCCACCATGATTGTAAGTTTCCTGAGGCTTCCCCAGCCATATGAAACTGTGAGTCAATAAAACCTCTTTCCTTTATAAATTACCCAGTCTCGGGCATGTCTTTATTAGCAGTGTGAGAATGAACTAATAGAGAGGGTTTGCACTCTGAGAGAAATAGACTTCACTAAAATGGTCTGGCTAGTCAATTAACAAATAAGCAGACCTTTCCTTTCAAGCAAGGAAAGATTAGTATCCAGATTTCCTCTGATATATTATTTTTAAAATCCAATTTTTGACAAAAAAGATTATGAGGCATGAAGAAAACAGGTGAGTATGAGTCATATACAGCAAAATATAGCAGACAACAAAAAGTAACTGTGAGAGAGCTTGGTAATTGGATTTAACAAACACTTAAGCAGCCAATTAAATATATTCAAAGAACTAAGAAAATTCATGCTGAAAAATTAAAGAAAGGTTTGATGATAATGCTTTGTCATAACAAAATATCAATAAAGAGATAGATTGTATAAAATAAAACTAAATGAAAACACTGGAATTGAAAATTACAGCAATTGAAATAAAAATTCGCTAGAGTAGATTTGAACTAGCAGAAAATAGAATGAGTGACTTTGATGCTAGATCAACAGAGATTATGCAATCCAGAGAGTAGTGAGAAAACAGAATGAAGGAAACAGAACAGAGTATGAGAGAAATAAGACACCATAAAGAGCATAACATATAGACAGGAGAGAAAAAAACACAGAAAAAAATTTTTTAAATAATGGCTAAAACCTTCCCAAATTTGCCAAAACTCATGAATCTATGAATCCAGGCAGTTCAGCAAACTCCAAGTAGCCTAAATTTAAAGGGATTCACACAGACACATTGTAACAAAGATGCTGAAAGACAAAGACAAAAATCTTGAAGCAGTCAGATAAAACTGTCTAGTCATGTACAAGGAGCCCCAAATAATATTAACAGTTGACTTTTCATCAGAAACAACAGAGGCCAAAAGGCAGTGAAATATCATAGGCAAAGTACTGAAAGAAAAAAAAAAGCTGCTAACCAAGAATCTTATATCTAGAACACTGTCTTTCAAAAAATAAAAGTGAAAAATAGACATTCCCAGATAAACACAAACTGAGACAATTTGTTCCTAGCCAACTGACTACATAAGAAATACTACAGAAACTTCTTTAGGTGAAAATAACCAAACACAGTAATTCAAATAGACATACACACACACACAAACACACACACGGTAGGGAGGGAGACTAGGAAAGGTAATTATGTAGTTATAAAAGACCACCAATGCATATTTCTTCTCCTTACTAGTATTAACTGATTTAAAAGGCAGTTTTATAAAACAATATTTTTAAAATTAAATTGTGGTTACATAACATATACAAATGTAACATATTTGATAATAATGGAACAAAAGAAATGGAGAAAATTGTATTAAAGGAAGTCATTAATACCAAATGTTAACTTAAATCCAGAGGAACAAATGAAGAAAACCAAATTATAAATGAGAGCTCCTTATAACAAACTCATGAATATATACTTTTCCTCCTTTCTTCTCTAAGCTTTTTGAACAAACAATATATGAAGTAATAATTACAACAACTTATAACTGGTTTTATGCATAACAATAGCACAAAAAAGGCAGATGAGAAAATTGGAGTAATATTTCTATATCTCTGGAATTAATGTAGTACAAATCTGAAATAGATTCTCATGAGGTAAGATGTATGTGGAAACCCCTAGAGCAGTCACTAGCTAGCAGAAAATAGAATGAGTGATCTTGATGCTAGATCAACAGAGATTTTACAATCCAGGGAATAGTGAGAAAATAGAATGGAGAAAACAGAACAAAGTATCAGAGAAATAAGATTCCATTAAGAGCATCAACATATAGACAAGAGAGAAAAATATTTCCCTTGAACAAAAGAGAAAATATAAAATAGTTTCACTTGAAAATAGTGAAAATTTGAAATAGCATAATTTTTTCATTTAAATATAGTGAAAAATTATTAAATAATTAAAATATAAAAATATAAAATATTCAGTTAATGTATAATATCTTAGCGTAGTCTACCTTTAAATACTATTACACCATTTCATATAATATCAGAACCTTACTACAATATACTTACATTTCCCCATCCCATCCATTGTGTTATTGTTGTAGATTTTATATTTAAGTTATAAGCCTCACAATGCATTCACATTATTTTGCTTTTAACTAAATTAGAAATTAAAACGAGGAAAATATTTATATTTTCACTATGTTTACTATTTTCACTCTCTTCCTTTTCATACTTTCGACTTTTTATTTAATATTCTTTTCCTTGAGGTATTATTTTCCTTTAGCTTTCCTTGTAGTTTAGATCTATCAGTATTGAGTCATATTAGTTTTTAAATCTGTAAAGTCTTTAATTCCATTTTTTTGATATGTTATGCTTTTATTATCACACAATTCGATCTTTTTTTTCTTTTAGATGGAGTTTCATTCTTGTCACCCAGGCTGGAGGGCAATGGCATGATCTCAGCTCACTGCAACCTCTGCCTCCCAGGTTCAATGCCTCCCTGCCTCAGTCTCCCAAGTAGCTGGGATTACAGGCACCCACCACCATGCCCAGCTATTTTTTATATTTTTAGTAGAGATGGGGTTTCACCATGTTGGCCAGGCTGGTCTCGAACTCCTGACCTCAAGTGATGCACTTGTCTCTGCCTCCCAAAGTGCTGGGACTACAGGCGTGAGCCACCATGCCTGGTCCAATCTGAAATATTTTATAAATTAATGTCTTCTTTGACCCATGGGTCTTTTAGAAGTGTTATTTAATTTACAAATAAAGGAAATATTTTAGATATTTTCCTAGATATTTTATTGGCTTTGCTTTCTGGTTTAATTCTCTCGTGATTAGAGAATATCCTATGTATGATATTATTCACCTTTAATTTATTGAGGTTACAGATTTCTGGTTTGATATTTCTTTTTATTTCAACATTGCTGGTCCAGTGTCTTCTGGCTTAGGTAGTTTCAAATGAGAAGTACTTCATCATTTGCTGGGCGCAGTGGCTCACGCCTGTAATTCCAACACTTTGGGAGGCTGAGGCAGGCGGATTACTTGAGGTCAGGAGTTTGAGACCAGCCTGGCCAACATGGTGAAACTGTGTCCCTACTAAAAATACAAAAATTGGCTGGGCGTGGTGGTGCATGGGTGCACACCTGTGATCCCAGCTGCTCAGGAGTCTGAGGCAGGAGGATTGTTTGGGCCTGAGAGATGGAGTTGCTGTGAGTGAGCTGAGATCATGCCACTGCATTCTGCATTCCAGCTGGGTGACAGGCGAGACTGTATCAAAAAAAAAAAAAAAAAAAAAAGTCATTTGAATCATGGTTTTTCTGTATGTATGTATGGTTTCTCCTGGATACTTTCAAAAATTTCTTTTTATTTTTAATTTTGATCAATTTGAGTACAATGTGCTTAACTGATTGCTTCTTATTCATCCTGTTTGGGGTACGTTGAGTTTTTTGATACTGCAAATTTATTTCTGCCACCAAATATGGGGAGTTTTTGGCTACCTATATATTTAATTATTTTTTTCTGCTCACTACTTGCTCTTCTCTTTCTAGGGCTCCAATTTTACATGTTATAATGTTTGACATTTTTCTACTGACACTTGAAACTGTTTATATTTTTCAATGTTTTTCTTCCTTTTACCTCAAATTATATAACTTCTACTGCTCTCTCATCAAGCTCATTGATTCTTTCCTCTGTCATTTCCACGATATTATTGAGGCCATCCTATAAATTTCTATTTATATATAAAACATTTTATTTCTAAAATTTCCATTCGATTCTTTTTTTTTTTTTTTTTTTTTGTGAGCAACATGGCTGTTTATTTCATCTGGGTGCAGGTGGGCTGAGTCCAAAAAGAGAGTCAGCAAAGAGTGGTGGATTATTATTAGTTCTTATAGGTTTGGGGATAGGCGGTGGAGTTAAGAGCAATGTTTTGCGGGCAGGGGTGGATCTCACAAAGTACATCCTCAAGGGTGGGGAGAATTACAAAGAACCTTCTTAAGCGTGGGGGAGATTACAAAGTACATTGATTAGTTAGGGTGGGGCAGGAACAAATCACAATGGTGGAATGTCATCAGTTAAGGCTATTTTTACTTCTTTTGTGGATCTTCAGTTACTTCAGGCCATCTGGGCGTATACGTGCAAGTCACAGGGGATGCGATGGCTTGGCTTGGGCTCAGAGGCCTGACATTCCTGCCTTCTTATATTAATAAGAAAAATAAAACAAAATAGTGTTGAAGTCTTGGGGTGGCGAAAATTTTTGGGGGGTGGTATGGAGAGAGAATGGGCGATGTTTCTCAGGGCCGCTTCAAGCCGGATTAGGGGCGGTGTGGGAACCTAAAGTGGGAGAGATTAAGCTGAAGGAAGATTTTGTGGTAAGGGGTGATATTGTGGGGTTGTTAGAAGAAACATTTGTTGTGTAGAATTATTGGTGATGGCCTGGATATGGTTTTGTATGAATTGAAAAACTAAATGGAATAACAGAAGGAGAAAAACAGGTATAAAAAGTCTAAGAATTGGGACAACTCAGGACATCTGATTAGAGAGTGCCTAAGGAGATTCAGCATAGCCCTGCCAGCAAAGATTATTTATTTACTTCAAGAGTTAAGAATGGCAGTTTGGGGATAGCACGAGGCAAGCGTGATCAGGGTGAGGAACAGGAAAGAAGGAAATATGGGGAAATGGGGTGAATATCAGGTGGATCAGAGAGATACAGTCATGGGGGTCAGGTGTGGTATCAGGAATAATGTGGGAGGCCAGATTGAAGTCCGGGCCAGGAACAATGGTAATTGTGGGATTTAAGAGTGAGTACAGCTGAAGGAGCCGGGGAGCAGAAAGTATATGCGTCAGGTATGAGGAAGAAAATAGATTTTGGAAGTTATGAGAAATGTAGAGAGTGAGTTGAGCATAGTTTGTGATTTTTAGGGCCTCTAACAGTATTAAAGCAGCGGCAGCCGCTGCATGCAGACATGAGGGCTAGGCTAAAACAGTAAGGTCAAGTTGTTTGCACAGAAAGGCTACACGGTGTGGTCCTGGCTCTTGTGTAAGAATTCTGACCGCACTAACCATGCCTAGGAAGGAAAGGAGTTGTTCTTTTGTAAGGGATTGAGGTTTGGGAGATTAATCGGACACGATCAGCAGGGAGAGCACGTGTGTTTTTATGAGAATTATGCCGAGATAGGTAACAGATGAGGATGAAATTTGGGCTTGACTGAAGTAATGGGGGCTGTCTGTGAAGCCTTGCGGCAGTACAGCCCAGGTAATTTGCTGAGCCTAATGGGTGTCAGGGTCAGTCTAAGTGAAGGCAAAGAGAGGCTGGGATGAAGGTGCAAAGGAATAGTAAAGAAAGCATGTTTGAGATCCAGAACAGAATAATGGGTAGCAGAGGGAGGTATTGAGGATAGGAGAGTATATGGCTTTGGCACCACGGGGGGGATAGGAAAAACAATTTGGTTGATAAGGTGCAGATTCTGAACTAACTTGTAACCCTTGCCTGGTTTTAGGACAGGTAAAATGGGGGAATGGTAAGGAGAGTTTATAGGTTTTAGAAGCCCGTGCTGTAGCAGGCGAGTGATAACAGGCTTTAATCCTTTTAAAGCGTGCTGTGGGATAGGATATTGGCGTTGAGCGGGGTAAGGGTGATTAGGTTTTAATGAGATGGTAAGGGGTGCGTGATCAGTCACCAAGGAGGGAGTAGAGGTCTCTTATACTTGTGGGTTAAGGTGGGGGAATACAAGAGGAGGAAGCAAAGGAGGTTTTGGATTGGGACGAAGGGCAGCAATGAGATGCGGCTGTAGTCCAGGAATAGTCAGGGAAGCAGATAATTTGGTTAAAATATCTCGGCCTAATAAGAGAAGTGGGCAGGTGGAGATAACTAAAAAAGAGTGCATAAAAGAGTGTTGTCTAAGTTGGCACCAGAGTTGGGGAGTTTTAAGAAGTTTAGAAGCCTGGCTGTCAATACCCACAACAGTTATGGAGGCAAGGGAAACAGGCCCTTGAAAAGAAGGTAATGTGGAGTGGGTAGGCTCCGTATTGATTAAGAAGGGGACGGACTTACCTTCCACTGTGAGAGTTACCTGAAGCTCGGCGTCCATGATGGTCTACGGGGCTTCCGAGGCGATCGGGCAGTGTCAGTCTTCAGCCGCTAAGCCGAGAAGGAGTCAGTCAGAGAGCCTTGGGCCAGAGTTCCAGGGGCTCTGGGAGTGGCTGCCAGGTGAGTTGAACAGTCCGATTTCCAGTGGGGTCCCGCACAGATGGGATACGGCTTAAGAGGAATCCTGGGCTGCAGGCGTTCCTTGCCTTGGTGGTCAGATTTCTGGCACTTGTAGCAAGCTCCTGGAGGAGGAGGTTCTAGAGGAACGCCTGGCCGCTGCGGTTCAGGCATTTGGAAGTTCTTGTGTGCTGGAGATGTGGCTGGGGTTTGTCTCACAGTGGAGGCAAGGAATTGCAACTTTTTTCTATTATTGTACACCTTGAAGGTGAGGTTAATTAAATCCTGTTGTGGGGTTTGAGGGCCGGAATTTAATTTTTGGAGTTTTATTTAATGTTGGGAGCAGATTGGGTAATAAAATGTATATTGAGAATAAGACGGCCTTTTGACCTTTTAGGGTCTAGGGCTGTAAAGCGTCTCAGGGTTGCTGCCGAATGAGCCATGAAGTGGGCTGGATTTTTATATTTGATGAAAAAGAGCCTAAACGCTATCTGATTCAGGATAAAGAAAAAGGAGCATTAACCCTGACTAGGCCTTTGGCTCCAGCCACCTTTTTAAGAGTAAATTGCTGGGCAGGTGGGGGAGGGCTAGTCACAGAATGAAACTGTAAGCAGGACCAGGTGTGGGATGCGGGGTGGAGGGGGTGGGGGGTGGCGATAAAAAGATTACAGTGTGGAGGCGCTGAGGCTGAGGAAGAATTGGGACCTAGCTTGGCCTGGTGTGGAGGGGAGAGGTCAGATGGGTCTGTAGAAAAAGAAGATTAGAAAGACTCAGCACTGCTTGGGGTTGGGACTGAGGGGACAGGAGGGAGGGAAAGAAGGAAGATTTGGAACGAGTTGCACTGGGCACAGAGACTAGGAAGGGACAGATGTGTAAAAGAATGCCTGGACGTCAGGCACCTCAGACCGTTTGCCCATTTTACGACAAGAATTATTTAGATCTTATAGGATGGAAAAATTGAAAGTGCCGTTTTCCAGCTATTTGGAACTATGTCGAGTTTGTATTGGGGTCAAGCGGCATTGCAGAAGAAAATAAAGCATTTAGGTTTTAGGTCAGGTGTGAGTTGAAGAGGTTTTAAGTTTTTGAGAACACAGGCTAAGGGAGAAGGAGGAATGGAAGGTGGAAGCCTACCCATAGTGAAGGAGGCAAGCCCAGAGAAAAGAGTAGAGACACGGAGAAGGGGTGGGGGGTTCTTGCCCTCCAGAAAAGCAGAGAAGGGGTTGGGGCACAGAAATAAGGGATTGGGGCACAGAGATAAGAGGTCAGGGTGCGGAAATAAGGGATTGGGGCACAGAGATAAGAGGTTGGGGTGTGGAAATAAGCGATTGGGGGGTTCTTGCCCCTAGGAAAGCGGGACTTGCCGCTAAGGGTGAAGGAGAAGGGATTGAGGGGTACTTGCCCCTGCCCCAGGAAAGGCAGAGAAGGGGTAGAGACAAGGAGAGAAGGGGTTGGGGTACTTGCCCCTTCCCCAGAAAAGCGGGACTTGCCGCTAAGGGTGAAGGACCAAGGCAGGCGTCCCTGCGTGGTCTGACACCCTTGAAACGTGGGTGTATAATCAGAGAGGCGTCCCTCCAATGATTAAACACCAAGGGAAGGCTGCCTTCCCAGTCCGTGACTGGCGCCGGAGTTTTGGGTCCACGGATAAAATGTGTCTCTTTTGTCTCTACCAGAAAATGAAAGGAATTGAAATTAAGAGAAGGGAGAGATTGAAGTGTAGCGCCAAAATTGAAAGGAGAAAGAGGTTGAGGGATAGTGAGGGAAGTTGGAGAAGAGAGTAAAAAGAGGCCACTTACCAGATTTGAAATTGGTGAGATGTTTCTTGGGCTGGTCAGTCTGAGGACCTGAGGTCATAGGTGGATCTTTCTCACCGAGCAAAGAGCAGGAGGACAGGGGATTGATCTCCCAAGGGAGGTCCCCCGATCCGAGTCACAACACCAAATTTCATGCGCGTCCGTGTGAAGAGACCACCAAACAGGCTTTGTGTGAGCAACATGGCTGTTTATTTCACCTGGGTGCAGGTGGGCTGAGTCCAAAAAGAGAGTCAGCCCATTCGATTCTTTTTCATGTTCTGTTTCTTTGCAGAAAGTTTCTAATTTTTCATTTGTTACCAATGTATTTTCCTCATCTAACTGATCATAGTTAACTGGTTTAAAGTTCTCATCTGATAATTCTAATTGAATATACTTAGCCATTAATTTTTCAAATGTTTTTATGCCTTCTTTTTTATGAGACTCTAATTATACATATATGAGTCGCTTTTATGTCATTGCACAGCTAACATACTCAGTTCTTTTTACCAATCATTTAGTCTCTCTCTCCAGTTCATTGTGGGTAGTGTTCATTTTTATGTCATTAAGTTCATAAATCATTTCTTCTGCAGTGTCTGATCTACTATTGTGATTTTCATTCTTAAAAGATGTGTTTATTTTTATCCTCCATCTCTCTATTCACTGTTTTCCTCTAAATAGTGCAATATGATAATAGCTTTCTAATTCCTTTGCCTAATAATTCTTTCTTGTCTATTATTTTTATCTGTTTTTAATGACTGATTTTTTTACCTAGTTATGTGTCACATTTTTCTGCTTTTTTGAATTACTGGTAATCTCTCATTGGATGTTGGGCATTGTGGATTTTTCAATGTTATCTTTCTAGATTCTGTTGTCTTCCTTTGATGGTTGTTGGCTTTGTTCTGGTAAACAGTTAAGCTCTTACAGTTTAATTTGATATTTTGAGGCTTATTTTAATCTTTCTTTGTGTGTGCCTCAAGTAGTTTTTAACTTTTGCAGTAGTTTATTTCCACTATGAGATCCACCCCTTCTGTAGTTTTTTTCTAAATTGTCCAGGTGGTCATCAAGAAGTCCCCGTTCTGACTGATGGGAACTAAAATAATTTTCATTCCTGTGTGAGCTCTGAGAACAATTCATCTCACAGATTTCTAAACACTATGCTGAACAGGCTTAATAGATTTCTGCCCTACATATGTGCATCTTTGTAATTAAACACTTTATGGAAGTTTTTAATCATTCCCTCCTATGCAGAAGTGTGCTGCACAACTTTCTACTGGTTCAGACTTGCTGACATCTCAACTTCCAAACTTCACAACTCAGCAAGAACTCTACTTTCCACTTGGGATTCCCCTCCCTGCTCCACAGCCTAGACTGTCTCCAAGCAGAGTCCAAAATGATCATAGGTTTTATTTTATTTGTTTTCTTCTTCTCAGGGACCAAAGTTCTGCACTGTCTTGTGTTTCAGATTCTGAAAATAGTTATTTCATATATTTTGTCCAAATTTCTAGTTATTCAAGATATGAAGTTAAATGTGGTCTGTGTTACTTCATTGTCCCTCTAGAGGTTTTGCTATTATTTATTGCAGAGGACAAGAAAGATAGCAAATATGATGACATACAAAGAAAAAATAATGTTGAGATTCTGCTATGTGCCAAACCCCACATTTTGTCATTAACATCCTATCACATTCAAATTGCAAAGCAGAAAGATAATTGATCAAATACACCTTTGACTAACTTACTGGTTTTGCAACTTACAAGGTCATTAACAAAGTCGGCAAACTCCAAGGACCTTCTGTTTGCCTATGAGATCAGTTTTACATCCATATGATACTGGAAGAAGAAACCAAGATATCAATTATCATATCTAATAAATAAGATAGACAAATTTGATAAGTATCCTTGATTGCCTGACAATGACTAAAGTAAATAAATAATTTTACTTTCTACCTTAGTAGTATATTGAAACTACAGATATTAGACAATTTAATCAAGAATAAAAAATCAAATTTCTATCTGATATCCAGATAGAAGACCCCAGCTCCACCTGGCTCCCACAGAAAATTTTCTTTAGATCTTTTTCAAAAGCCTTAACAAGTTTTGTAAGATAAATCTTAATAAATTGAAATAACTTCAGTCACCCATACAAATATAAAGGTAACATTAGCTGACATATTATGTGTTTTTACTTATTGTATAAGATCATATTGTAACTTTATTGTGTAGCCATATGTCAAAAGAGAATTTACAATGCGTGACTTTACAGTGTTATTAAAATATTTTGATCTTTTTATTTTGCATGAACTTTGGGATTATTACTAAATACTTTTATTTTTCAAGATACACCTATATCAGGGTTAGGCAAACTACAGCTTAAGAGCCAAATATGGATGACTCTCTGTCTTTGTAAATAAAGTCTCATTGGAACATAGTCACTCACAATTTCTATGTGTCTTTTGATGCTTTTATGCTGCAACTGTTGAGTTGGGTAGTTGTGGCATACAAAGTCTAAACTATTTACTATCTGTCTCTTAACAGAAAAAATAATTAAATTGCCAAGCCCTTACTTACATGTGTGGTGGTAGAAGGAAGAGATTAGGAAATGAGAAGGAAATGATGAGGAATGAGCAGTTTGAGTGATCATTTTGGTCCCCATTGAAAGAAATAGAGGAGAAAGCATGAGGAGAATTGTGTCCACATGGTTCCTATACATATTATCCTTTGATCCTGTGCGTCACTTAAAATTACAGATTTAAGGATAATTTTTAGCATCTGGAAGAGAATCTAGAGATCATTTAGACTTTGCATAAATGCTTCAGATTCTATTGAGTTCTTATTTCACTCATGCTAAATAGAACTGTAATTTTTTTTTTACCAAATAAGGCCAAGATGAAATAAATATTGTATGTGAAAATGTTTTTTAAACCCCAGTAACTACCACTAGTAGGCTCTTAATATAAGTTTGTTGCATGCATGCTAGTTGTCCAGACCACCTTGTTTTACAAAAAATGAAAGCAAGGTAGAGAAATTAGATGGATTGTGTGACACCTCCCTAATCATTTTGTGGTGGACATATGAATTGATTCACATTTTATATTTCCTCTTTCAACACAATTTATATTGGAGTCTCTAGATCTCCTTCTTGAAGTTCCCTCTCCCCATCGCCCAGCTTAGGTCTGAAGAAGATTTCTTCACCATATTCCACCTCCCACCCAAATTATAAGAATAAATGCATCTTCATAGGCGTTTGACTTGAAACACGTTCATTTTTTCTTTTTTTAAATTTTTTCCTTTTTTCATTTTTTTAATCAGGTTTGGAAATCGTTCCTATTATTGTGTTTGATTTTGCTTCTTTAGATACTACAGAATGAAATGACTAGAAAAGCATATCCTGTATTACCCACATCTTATATAATAACATATCATAATTTAGTTAAAATTTACACAGTTACAGCTTATTATAGCTAAAATATATATCTAAGTTATATATATGCTTCTATATGTTATATGTATAAATATGTATGTTGAAAATAGATGTTTAAATTCTGTTTTACTACCCCTTGAAGTGAGTATAGATTGACACTGCCCAAAAGTCCATATCAAATCTAAATATGGCTTGTCTCTGCCTATAAAAGAAATGCATAAGTACATTTTCTGTTAAACTATAGAATGTATTTTCAGGTATACTTTTAACCACTAGAACCATACAGGAAAGAGCAACTGAAATATAAGATAATCCCATTGCCATCCACACCAAGGGCACTTGAAATATTTCTTCTGGGAAAAATGATAATTTAGTCGTATCTTCAAAATCTGTAATGCCTGTAGTACCTGCGGCTCATTGTAGACACTCACTTGTTTGTTGAATGAATGATATTTTTCATCCTTGAATGATTCCTTCACTTCAATCTGCTATGGAAAAAAATATGAGTGAACAAAGGACTTTAAACATTACATCTCTCAAACAAACTATTTAAAATCTTTTTGGAAGTTCAAAAACATTTTAAAGCATTTTAATTTGTTTTGTTCTTTCTATAGTTTATGCCAAAGACATGATGTTGCCTGCCTCTGCTTGCTTACAGGTAGAAGCAACCTGAATCCCTCTAATGGAGGAGATTTCACCTCTCATGCCAGGAGAGGTGAAAGCAAGCATGAGATGTCATTTCCCGTACCAGATTGCACTTCTTGTCACGGTCCTCTTTGGGAATAGGATGGCAGTTCAGCTCCAACTTTCTACTTGCTACAGTAGCAATAATGAAAGAGAAGAATGCCCTGACAGTTTGTGGGTGGGTGGACTCCACCAGACCTTAAGAACTCACAGTGTTCTCTTCCACTTGAGCCCAATTGTGTCTGAACCTCTTTTGTTCTCAAGAGCAGCTGTCTTTCTATTGGTAAAAGATAGTCAACATATCAATACTTATTAAACCATAGAGGCTTGACAGTCACTTGAAAATCATTTGGATTCCTATTATTGCCACTAGTTGATAAGTATTTACCTATGCAAAAGAGTCATCAGTGAACTATAAGCCATTCAGGGATTTGCATATATAGAACACTGATGAAAAGAAAATCTGCATGAAAAAAATTCCATTGTTTGGCAGGGTTATACATGACTTTATTCTTAAATGTTTTCATCCTCTGAAACTTAGGTCAAGAATAAAAAGCACAGAGAGAGTAGCAGCATGTGGGTAAGCCTTAAGAAACTTTAAAATGTAAATAGGGACAAAGGTAATACTGCACTCATAAAATGGAATTTGTAGGCAAGAGCTATCTTTTCTTCAACAAAGTGAGTCAGTCTATTTCTCCTAACTTGGAAGTATTTCCTACAATAAAATTCATATAATAAATTAAGTATTGAATTAATAATATATCCATTATATTTTAACCTTATTTACAAATAAAATATGACAAGAAATTTGGATTTGAAATATCAAGCATCAGCCATAATCTACCAACCAAATTTTATTTTTGCATATCACTGTATAGTCCACGTCTACAAGTGCACATATTCTTAGCAACAATTATTAAATGCATATGTACTGTTTAAATCTTCTGAAATTAATTCAGTATGAATTTAAATGTGGACTAGTTTAATGAAAAGAAACTTTTTGCGTGGCACTTTTTTAGGGTATTGAAATGTTGGCTGTATTTTTCAAAATTTCATTGGCAATGGAGACTCCCTGCCTTTGTATACTAACATCAAAATGACACCACACAGTCATCATTTATTTTGACTTATCAAATATCAGAGGAAAAATAAGGCAGTGTATTTCTTTAGGCCATCTCATAGGTAGGTGTGGCTGCCATTCTCTGGCATGGCTTTTCTAGTACATGGCATGCCAAGATCTTAAGGCTAAAAGTAATTATGCCCAATGTAAGTTAGTTATTCTTTGCCAGCTAAAATTGTCTTCTCAAAGAAGGATTTGAATCTACATACGTATCAACTGTTTCAAGAACAGAGGTACAAGAAGTACAAGTTAAATGATTTATTCAACTTTCAAACACAAAGTGAAAGTAAGAAAATGTTGAATGAGAGTAAGAGAAAAATACACTGGAGTTTTCATGGCGTTTCTAGGTAAGGACATTTACCTTGTTTACATTGAAAATAACTGGGCAGTAGAGTAGTTACAGAGCGTTGCATTTTCCTCTATTATTTTTCCCTCTTTCTCTATTGTGTTCATTACTTCCTAAGAAAAATAGTTATTGTATTG
This sequence comes from Homo sapiens, assembly GCF_000001405.40. NCBI lineage: Eukaryota > Metazoa > Chordata > Mammalia > Primates > Hominidae > Homo > Homo sapiens. The sequence goes on along the minus strand of NC_000008.11, from coordinate 115,809,496 downwards.
TGATTGTGTATTGTACTACATCTTTTGTGTGAAATTACTTAATTTAGCTAAGTGATGATGTTTCCTAAAATTGAACAAAACCTTTCTCAAACTTTGATGGTCAGGTTAGAATGCCTCTTCAGTAGTATAATGTTACTGTGATTGCAAGTCAAGTATATGAAGTTGGGTAATATGAAAATATCTTACCATATATAGTAAGACACAAAAGCTTATTTATTTTAAATTAATATTACTTTAACAGCTCTAAATTTATTTGTATGGATATCATGACTTTCTCAAGGGTTTTGGTTTAGGCCAACTAAGATGTAATGACAACTCTTTGAAGTTTCATTTTTATTCATCTGCATTCCAAGTAGTTTGTGTTAAATATATTGGTAAAATTCCTTAAATAGAAACAACTGTGATGCAGGTTCCAAAGTGTGCTGAGCCAGTGATAGTTCCCTCTCTGGGTCCTTATAATTTCTGTAAGTTACCTTTATTATACCATTAATATGACACAATTATCACTTTAATTAGAGGCAGATGTGACTGACAATGATATATGTAGTTTCCCTTCCTTTCATATCTAGTTTTAACTTGTCCCCAAATAATATGCACACCCCTCTAAAAAAATCTGTACTCTTATTTGTCGAGAAATTCCTATCAAAATGCTATAATAGTGTGTAAGTTTCCCAATGGCAATGAGATTAAAACAAATAATGGAGGCCAGCTGGACTCATGGATCCGTGTCTTCTCTTTGAGGCCACCAAATACCCCTCCCTTCTTTGTGTTCACACCCTTGGAAGATTTGCAGGCAGTTATCATGTTCCCACTTAGTCATTGCTTAGCTAAACTATACATACTCTTTTAATCTTTTTTTGCATATAGAAAGTCAAACCGTTCTTTTTGATTTTCTATGAACTCTCTCCAACACTTCTATGTATTTTAAAAATAGCATTCTAGTGTTGACAATATGTCCTTTGTTTTCTATTTTAGAAAACTTTTAATGGAGCCAGAGCAATATACTGGGTTTTTTAGATGGAGTTTATTTTAGAAAGGATATGTGAATAATAGCATAATTTTTACAAATTATCACTTGCCCGAGTGACAATGTAGAAATGTAGGGAAGTTTGATTTCATGTATTTTTCTACCTTGTTCACATGGACGGGTGATTTAGAAAGTCGCATTTGTTCCTTAAATCCTTTTTTCCCCTTCAAATGTATGTGAGGATGGGTTCTCTAATATTTGATAATGTCTTCCAAATTTCCCTGAGATAAGTTTATTTTACCTCCAATTTTAGAGATGAAAGTCTAGTTTCTAAATTGTATTCTCACATTCATGTATTTTTGTCTCCTCCTATTTTACACAGACTTGATAATGTTGTGGTTTTATAACAAAATGAAATTGACACACTGTACTTTCACCAATCACGAGAATTTGAAATCCTTTATTTTGCTTTGCAGAGGAAAAGGGGATTTTAGTTTTACTGTACTTCACATTCTAAAGAATGGAAACACAAGTTTCTCTACTTTCTGTCTCCTTTCTTCCCCCAGAGAATACTAGTGTTGACTGTAGTGTATAGGCAACATACCATCTCTAGTACCATTTCAACGTATGGACTACGGAGCCGTTGATCCAGTTTTCATTGTGTTTGTTAATCATCCTCAGTAATTTGGTATGAAGAGAGATGAGTAGGATAGCAAGGAGGCAGGAGTTGAATCTCTCACATGCCTATAATGTTAGTGAGTGGGAGGCTGGGACTTTCCTCTTCCTATAAGGACTAATTTCATAGATATAAAAGACAGTGGCTCTGCAAGCACTCTGCCTGGAAATGTGTAATTATTTTTGCCGTCATCACTATATTTGCTCGGAAAGAGGGCTGAACCAAAGAGCTTAAATAACTTGACAAAATCTCTGTTGATGAAAACAGTTGCCACATATCTCTGAAATAGGCACAAACACATTGGAGACCTCATCTTACTAACTCACTGTTGCTCAAAATTGTTTAATACAATCAGAATAATATGACAGCTGCATCACTCATCAAAGAATTTAAAAGTGAAGAAAAGACAAATAAGCAAAATAGGATTAAATAGTGAAAAAAAGCATATAGAAATATGTAATTTAAAACACCGAGAAGGGGGTGTGTAGCTGGCATGTTTTCATGTATATGATAGTGTTGTTGGAGGAGTTACCTAATGACAGTTTTTAGCAAATTCCTATAGGCAGATTTTGACACAGGAAAATAGGACATTCAATTTACTGTCTGAAACATCCAGTTGTTATCAAAATGTTTTGGTTTTATAGGCATAGTCACAATATTTTTCCATTATGAATATATTTTAAAAACCTCTAAAAGTATTTTACAGAGCAAAAGCCTATTCTTTCAATGAACAAATGAACATGATTTATTAAAATGTCAGGGTAATTACCTGGGGTATCCTTTCACTAGTCAACTTAAAGTTATCATATAAAGGCTTAGAAATTTAATTATGGAGCTATGAACATTTCCTCTGACTTTGTGTTTAAAAATTTCTTTTTGGTGAGCACATTATTTGAGAAGAGCCCATACTTATTTAGGGAGAAATATTCTTGATGTGATTAATTTTTTTATCTCTCATCTTTTCTTTTACTTCTCTTCCCTCTCTCCCTTCCTTCTTATTCTTCTTCCTTCCTTGCTTTCTTCCCCTTCCTGCTCTTCCTTCCTTCCTTTTTTTTTTCTTTTCTCTTCTTCTTTCTCTTTCTTCTTTCCTTCCTTCTCTTTCTTCTTCTTTTTCTTTCTTTCCTTCCTTTCTTTCCTTCCTTCCTTCCTCCCTTTCTTTTTCTTTCTTCCTTCTTTTCTTCTTCTTTCTTTCTTTCTGTCTGTCTGTCTTTCTTTTTCTTTCTTTCCCCTCTTTCTGTATTTAAGGTAGAACAGCCTAATTTTCTAAACCATTAACCAACTTTTCAAGATATTTGATGCATGGTGTACCAAAACATGAAATGAGAGCATATAAAAGTTCCAAGTGTGGGTTAAAAGCTGGGGAAGGAAGTCCTGATAAGATTGTCTCTATCCTGCTGTTGGCTTTTGATGGACTGCATTTCCATAAAAAAAATATCAGAGCACTGTTCATGGCCAATTACAATCCAATTTGCAACTGTAACTGCATGTTAAAAAGTAAATCGAGTACAGGTATGAAGGGTAGTTAGTTTTCAAACAAAAGAAATAAATATAAGGAAATGTGAATATTCAGGTAGCAGAGTGTAACTTTTTAAACCTACATAAACTAAATCGTAATCTCTGACTTTGACAAGAGTGGAAAAGATTACTCTCAAAAGTAATCAAGGATCTAACAATCATGCCTTTTCCTTAATATGGGTTCATGTTTTTCTGAAAATAGACTTATTGGTGTCATTTGTATCCAAAAGCAAAAGCATTGTTATTGAAATGGAAATAAACTTCAATCTTGTTTGTGAATTGGGATGACATTTATACTTTGTAATGAGAAAATCTTTAGTAGCTTTGATTTCCTGCTTGCCTATTTCAGAGTGAACTTGTCTATCCAAGTCTTTTCTTCTTCACCCCTAGCCCTGACTGAAGGTAAGTAGATGTCCTTCTGAGCCACCGAACAGAGAAGTGTTACCCTCTACCTGCTCTTAAGTTCTCTGAAGTTCCGCAGGCAATGCCCCTGAGAACTCTCTTGCTATTTCCCCTGAGGTTGAGAGAACTCTTCTATGCACTGGAGATGAGGAATGGGAAAGAATTTCAGCAATATTTCAGGGAAGGTGGGCAGCTGAGAAAAAGTACTATCAAAGACGCACATTGTCAGTTTTCCTTATCAGCCTCTCTCTCTGATAGTCACCAATAATAAGAGTGAGAAACATTCTTTGAGCATGTAGAGGGGCTCAGCACTTGGCCTCACACAGGTTTTACCTAGTGTATTAGCAGAAGGGGAGATTTGGGAGAAATTTTTTCCTTAAACTTTCCATCTGCAGAATTTCTGTTTGCACTCTCACACTCACAGGAGCAAATTAAAATCAATAATCTTTAATTTATAAAAATATTAGATAGCAGTATATTAACTCTGTCAAATAGAGCAAGCGTCAACTATTTTTAAGACATCCTCTTTACTCAGGTTTGTAAGAAACTAGAGTATGTAGGTCAATTTTGAGAGAACAATTTCCCTACTGCCTAAGGACTTGTGTCATATTAACATTGATTATAATTCTGCTGCTGCCTGATAATATATGTTAAATGGTTTTTAAAAGGTTATTGGTTGAAAATATTTGAAGGCTCTTCTCATCTTAATTCTCCATGCAGTATCTGACCTGTAAATCCATAATGAAAATGTTGCTTTCATTTGGTTTTCCTCCTTAAAAAGAAACTAACTTTAACACAGTTTTTTTTTCTCAAAGATTCACAAATATAAACCACACTTATTAAAATACAAAATTTTACCTATTATAAAATGGTACATTTATCAAAAAATGATAGTGAGGCTTTTCTGACTTAAACAGGTGTGTATGTTCTTAACTGTAGTAATTACTCCTGTGGAGCTTGTTTGTTGGTTTTAGGAAAATCAATTTCATAGAATCATATGCTGGCACATTATCTTTTAGTTCATGTGTATTTCTTAAAAAGATACCTGTCTAATATATACGTAACAATTGGCAGAGTTTGGATTTCACGCCCTTTCTTAGAAATATAATTCATAAGCCTCTACTCCACAAGTTTTCTTAAAAGGCTTACCTAAAGAGAAAGCACTTAAACAGTCACAGTCGATTCTTATTTGGCTGTTTTGAGTAGAAACAATAAAATTGCTTAGCTTGTTTCGTTTAAGTATTTGAGTACTATTAAATTTGAACTACCAGCCTTTTCCAACATTCTTTTTTGCTCACTTTCTCCTTTGCACTTACTTAGACGATCCAGAAAATATTAAAACATCCTTAGAATACTGAATTTGAAAAGAAAAGATACGTTATGGAATTATGTGTTGGTAGAAATCTCACTGTTGCTGGATTTACAGGATTTACTTAGTTAGGAAACACATACCAAGTGCACACTATGTACCAGGCACTTTGCAAGTTGCTAGGTATACAAAGCCGTAGAACATAGCTCTGTCATTCGTATAGCAAATAATTACACTAGAATCTGATAAATACTTTAATACATTTGTATAATGTGCTTGTTACAAGAACATAAGGAGAGACTTTAGTCCAGGAGAGCTGGGAATACTTTCACAAAAGAGAATGAGAAGTAGTCAATTAGACTGAAACGTAAGGCATGTGTGTAGAAGTTTTGTGAGTTAGGACTAAGAGATTACAGCGAAGCTGGGAGTTGAAGATTATATGCCTTGCAAAACATTTGAGCTTTGTCTTGTTGGTTCAATAATGTATGTATTCATTCCAAAAACATCTTTTAAAAGTATTTATTGAGTACCTACTATGTTCCCAATAGTATGCTAGACACCAGGGTTATAGCAACAAATAAGACAAAAATCTCTGGTCAAAGCATTTGCATTTGGGGTGGGGTTACGGGATAGGGAGAGTAACAAATCAAATAAACAATACAATAGTAAGAATGATAAATCATTTATCATATATAGTATGATTTTAGGTATTATAAGTGTTATAAAGAAAACTAAAATGCTGTAAGGGGAAAGGAAGTAATGTGGGAAGGGAGACTGGTCACACAAGTTTTTCAAAGAAGGTAATGTTTGAAACAGAGATCCATTTATCAATTTGAATGGTGGAAATGAGGCTGTAAAACATCCTAGAAAAGATTATCCTGGGAAGAGAGAAGAGAAAGCTCAGAGACACATAGGAATTAATTCATTAGGTTGTAAGAAACCATCATTGAAATTTAAATATGATGAGCCAGGAAAGATAGGCACTATTTTCACATCTTCAGAAAGTCCTATCATTAATAAGAAAATAAATATATTATTCTTTTCTTGGAAAAATAATCTTTACATAACAGAGTTAGGTCCTTTTAAACTGTTAACTCTAAATTCCTGTTTTTATATTATCATTGCATCTCACCTAGAATGAAGACTCAGGAATATAAGTGGTTTTGAAAAGACTAATTTAAATATTGAACATTTGTCTACATGTTTAGATAAGTTTGCATTGGGAACTACTGAAATATCATCTTCTGTATGGTCATGTAAATGCTAGTGGATGGTAGGATGGATGAATTGTTACTCATTTTGACTTGGAAAAATCAGGCTTTCACTGAAATTGTTACTGAAAACAACTGCAGCAAGAACTTTGATAGGATGAATAATGACAATTCAGAGTTTAACAGGTTTCTGGGTTTCACTGTCTTTTGTTTTTCATATGAAAAAATACTGCTGCTCTGACTTATTTTCAGTATTTATTGGTAAGTCTAGATGCTAAAATAAAAAATATTCTTAGAAGATATGGGGGTTTGAAGGTTAATTTCTAGCAGCATCTTAAAGCTCTCAATTGCTGTTGTGCTCCCAACTGGAATTAGCGTCAATTTATGCTCATGCTCATGCACCTATGGAGACATGACAAAGACAAATAGACTGCTTAAAGTGACAGCAGGGGCCAGGACGAGCCACCAAAGGAAGCATCTTTCAATTCCCAGGCTCACCATAGATTTGCAACGCCAGGAGACAGTATTATTTGCCACCTTTTCAGAACTTTATTTCACAAGGACACTTCACTTTCTCCATTCTGAGAGATTCTTTGTTGCTTTGAAATTCATCCGCAGAGGACAATATTTACCATGTTAAATGTCTTCAGATTTTCACTGCATTTGATTTTAGGACTAACCTCTTCTGTCACCTGACATTTACCCATGAATTTCTATTCATAACTAAGGCTTTAGACAGAGACTTGACAGATTCTCCCCACAGCAGCACCCTATCCTAAATAAAACAAGTGATGGTTTCCCATATGTTTTACAAAGCAGCACACAAGCTGTCTAATTACAATATGTCTTAGTAGGAGAATTTCAAACTTAAGACAGAGAAAATGCCCCCTTTTCTAGAGTAGAGCAATTCCTTAGAATTTCTATGATCTCATCATTTACTCAAAGTAGGCAAAGACATATCCCTGCTTCCCAGTAATATCCCAGGGAAGATAAAGCAAAGGAGTAGAACCTGATGTGTTGGAAACCTATTCATAATGAGTGGGCAAGGCAAGAGTAGTGGCATGTCAACTCTTGTGTGTCAATGTTTCATGTGAATTTATTTTGAGTTCGGCCAAACTTTTTCTTCCTCTGCTCTCATGCCAAGGGCAAGCTATAAATCTAGACTCAGCACCGTAATTTTGGATCATGTTGCAAGCACTTTATCAATAGGATGTAGACAAATCTATATTTGTGTTTTATGAGTTGGTTGGGTTTACACTGTCGTAACAGAGTTATAGCAACTGGTGGTTTGAAGTACTTGCTTTGGAAATTTGTGGAGTTTGAACAACCCCAGTTCTCATTGACAAGGAGCAGAAGAGGACAAATGGTCTATGAGTCAAAAAGAGAAGGTTTCCTTAGCTCCACACTCATTGCTACTCTTTTACTTCTCAAGGTCCTTTAGCCTGAAAATGATATGCCTGACTGTCAGGGAGATGGAACCTGTGGTTTAAGATAGAAAGTACTTCATGAGCCACTTTGATACTCAGGGACTAACTTGAAATATTAGTCTTTAAAGGATTTTTATTATATACACGGAAAAACCAAGTTTCCCTTTCTTTGCCTAGCAAATAGCTTATTCAAAGGAAATAAATGTAGATTTCAAGTACCCGAACAGAAATTAATTTTCATATCTTTTGCTTTCAATAATGGGGACAATGATATTTAGAGTTGCATTGCCAAAATGGAAGCCCCTAGCCACATGTGGATACTATGCATTTGAAATGTGGTTAGACTGAATTGAGATTTGCTGTGAGTGTCAAATACATACTGGATTAAAATACTTTATTATATAAATATGGTTTGTGTTTTCATTACATTGTATTGGATTGCATTGGTTTGCCAAGTTAACGTGCCAAATTCATACAACTTAAAAGAGGTAGTAAGAACATTAATAATAAAAGTTAACATTCATGAAACACTTATGAAGGGTCAAGCACTCTATCCTGTGCTTTAATCCTTTCAAGAACCCTATGAATAATGCATCATTATCCCCATTTTTCAGATGAAGAAACTGAGGCTTGAGGAGTTTTAAGTAAATATGCACAAGGTAACAGAGCTAGTACATGGCTTTAGGCTACTTTTGAACCAAAAGAAAGTTAACTATGTAACTTTTCTATTAACATCTTGCTCAAAATAGAGTGACATTGATTTTGTGTGTGCATAAATGTGTGTGTTTTGTTTGGCTGTGTGTATCTTTTGTAATTTAGTTTTAGTTTACAGTAAAACTTACTCTTTTTGGTGTGCAATTAATGCGTATAACCATATTCACAAACAAATGTCATCCCACCAAATTCTCTTAAATTAGTTCCTCACAGTCAACCTTTCACTCAACTCCTAACCCTAGCGGCCACTGATCTATTCCCTGAACCACAGTTTTGCCTTTTGCAAAATGTCTATATGAATAAAATTATATAGGATGTATCTTTTAAGTCTGGCTTATTTTAATTAAACTTTTTTTTGATGACTGGCATTCCATGATAAAGATTAGCAAAATGTGCTTTTCTATTCACAACTTAAATGGCATTAGGGTCATTTTCAGGTTTTGGTGGTTATGAAAAAAGCTGCTATAAATATTTGTGTACAAGTTTAGCATGCATACATATTTTAATTTACTTTTTTATTTACTTTTATTGTATTTACTAAATACCTTGGGGATGGATTGCTGGGTCTCATGGCAAGTACAGGTTTAACTATGTCAAAGAAATTGCCAAGTGGTTCTTCTAAGGGGCTGGGCAATTTCGAATTCCCACCAGGAATGCATGTGAGTTCTGGTTGCTTTGTATCTTCATCAGCCCTTGGTATCTTGAAGCACTTTGTTGTCATTGTTGTTTTGCTTTGGTTGGTTTGCAGGGGTATCTCATTGTGGTTTAATTGGCAAATCCCTAATAACTATAAATGTTAAGCACTATTTCATGTGCTGACTTGCTATTCATATTTGATGAACTTCCTGTTCAAATCTTTTGCACATTTTTTCAGGGATTGTTGACTTTTATTATTATTTTTAGTTATTTATATATTCATACAAGCTTCTTATCAGATATATGATTTGGAAATGTTTTCTCCTAGTCTGACCTAGTAAAGTCATTTCATTGCCTTTACTGTGTCCTTTTCTAAGCAAAAAAAATTTAATCTTTATGTAGTTCAATTTATCAATTTTTATCCTATTAGGTCATAATTTGGGTGTTCTAAGAATTATTTGCCAAAAACCCAAGCCACAAATTGTAAACTTTTTTCCTAAAAGTTTTATAGTTTTACTTTTTCCTTAAAATCTTCTCTTTTTTGCATCTGAATGTTCAATTAATCTAATATCATTTGTTGAAAAACTATTTTTTCTTTTTTGCACTCTTGTCAAATAAACACAATTGACCTTATAACTGTGGGGCTGTTACTATGTCCTTTGTTCTATTCCATTGATCTATGCATCCATTCTTTGCCAATACCACTCTGTCTTGGTTACTGTGACTTCAGAGTATATCTTGTTAGGTAGTGTGAGACTTCCAGCTGATTTTTTATCAAAATTATTTTGGCTATTATAGTTTCCTTGCTTTTCCATATACATTTTTAAAAATATCTTGCCAGTACCAACAAATAGCCCCCTGGTATTTTGATTGGGATTATGCTAAATCAGCAGATACATTTGAGAAGAATTGATATCTTAGAAACAACGAATTATCCAACCCACAAAACCGGTATCTTTATATCTCTACATAATTATAGGTCTTTTAAATTTTCTTTTCTCATAATTTGTAACATATAGATCTTGCACATATTTCATTATATCTAAATATTTTACCTTTTGATATTCTTGCAAACGGCATTGTTTTTAGTTTTTGTTTTCCAGTTATTCGTTGCTAGTATGTAGAAATAGAATTTTTGTGTATTTACCTTATATACTGAGAGCTTCCTCATTTATTAGTTCTAAAACTTTTTAGAGTTTCTCTGAGACTTTCTACATGCACAAACATGTCATGCCTAAATAAAGTTTTATTTCTTCTTTCAGTAACATGCTTTATTTTTCTCTTTCTTGTCTTTTTTGACTAACTAGGCCTTCCAGGATGGTTAAGAATAGGAATGAATATCCTGCTGTTGATTCTGAACCTAGGAAAGCATTCACTCTTTTATCATTAAGTATGATTTTAGATGCAGGGTTTTTTGTAGATGCCCTATATAAGTTTAAGGAATTTTTTTTATATTTTTACTTTGCTGAAAATTTTTTTATCAAGAATAGAAGATAAATTTTCAAGTGGTCTTTCTGTACCTGCTGATATGATCATGTGTTTTTCTTCTTTATTCTATTTTTGTGGTAAATTAATGATTAATTTCCAAATATTGAACTAGCCTTCAATACCTGGGATAAATTCCACTTGGTCATGATGTATTATCCTTTTTATGTATCCCTAGTTTATATTTGCTAATATTTTGTTGTGCATTTCTGTAGTGAGGTTTATGAGGGCTTATTTTTTTCTTGTAATGTCTTTGGTTTTGGTATCAAAGTGATGCAGGTCAAATATAACTTGGGAAATGTTCTCTCCTTTTCCATTTTCTGAAACAGACTTTGAATGTGGTATTATGTCTTCTTTCAATGTCTGTTAGAATTTTTTGTATTCAGTCTGACGATCTCTGTTAACTAGAATGTTTAGATCATTTACATTTATTGTATTTAGAATGATTGAACTAAGGCCTACAAATTTGCCTATTTGTCCTCTGTTTGTTTCCTCTAATTTTTGTTTTTCTGTCTCTCCTGACTTTTTAAGTCTATTTGATTTTAAATATTTTCAACTATATCTTTATTCTTATTGTTCTAATTGTTCAAATAATTAAAATATACATGCCAAAAATATTCACAATTTACTTAAATTTAATATTTTACTTAAAGCCAAATGCAGAAAGCTTACAACCATGTGAGTCACTTAAACTTTGCCCTTTTATTTAAAGTTATGTTTCATCTGAACATAATGAAACACTACCAGATGATGTCATAAATGTTCTTTCAACAGTAATATATATTTTTTACAATTAAGAGGATAAAGATGGTCTATTATAGTTACTCAGATATTTACTATTCTACTTGCTTTTCTTTTTTCCCCAAAGTTCTGAGTTTTCCACTGGTGTCATTTGCTTTTAGCCTGACAAACTTCTATAAATTTCTTTTAGAACAGATTTGCTCATGGCATATTTTTAGTTTCCCTTAAACTAAGAATGTCTTTATATCACCTTTATTCTTGGAGGATATTTTCATTGGATATAGATGCAATTTGACAGATTTTTCCTTTCAGCTCTTTAAAGATATTGTCTCACTGTCCTCTGGCCTCCATGAGGAGACCATGATCTCTGATGAAAAATCCAGCACCAGTAATATTCTTCCTTTTAACTCATGACTTTGTAAGATGCAAGAATAGAGGAATAAAAACAGTGAACTAGGATAGAAGAATATGAATACATAGCAGCATTGAGGGTCCATGAAGAGCTTCATGATTGAGTTTAAACTAAGCTAGTCAGCCAGTTTAACTACACAGGTGCCAGGGTACAGAAGAGAGAAAGCTAGACTTATCCAGTGCTGTGATATTGTCCCGCTTCTGTGACGAAAATATTTTATAAAAAGAACTGCTAACCTCCTTGGAAATAACAAAGAATAGAGCAAAACTTTAAAAATACTTTTTAAACAACATCTGTTTAATTGTTTAATACTGATATCATTTGAAGACTTGTGAGGAATGGTGCGGTATTTAGCTCCCTCTCAGTTCATGTATTTAAACCACACTACTTATCCATTAATTCCAAAAACATGTGCTGAGAGTGGGTTATGCTATATGCCAAACACTACATGAGGATTTGCGAATATAAAGGTGAACAAATATAAGCATTGTCCACATCCTCCTGTAGCTTACAAACAAGTGATTAATTACTTAACATGATCAAATACTCTCCTTTTAGGTCTGGAAGAAAGCGCTCCAAGGGGGAAAAAAAAGACAGTGCATGGGGCTGGGGAGATAACTTAAGAAAAAAATCCTAGTATAAAGGTATATTTGAAAAATAATTAAATATGTAATCATGACAAATCGACCTGGAAAAAAATAATGCCGCATATCTACAACTATCTGATCTTTGACAAACCTGACAAAAACAAGCAATGGGAAAGGATTCCCTATTTAATAAATGGTGCTGGGAGAACTGGCTAGCCATATGTAGAAAGCTGAAACTGGATCCCTTCCTTACAGCTTATACAAAAATTAATTCAAGATGGATTAAAGACTTACATGTTAGACCTAAAACCATAAAAACCCTAGAATAAAACCTAGGCAATACCATTCAGGACATAGGCATGTGCAAGGACTTCATGTCTAAAACACCAAAAGCAATGGCAACAAAAGCCACAATTGACAAATGGGATCTAATTAAACTAAAGAGCTTCTGCACAGCAAAAGTAACTACCATCAGAGTGAACAGGCAACCTACAGAATGGGAGAAAGTTTTTGCAATCTACTCATCTGACAAAGGGCTAATATCAAGAATCTACAATGAACTCAAATTTACAAGAAAAAAACAAACAACCCCATCAACAAGTGGGTGAAGGATATGAACAGACACTTCTCAGAAGAAGACATTTATGCAGCCAACAGACACATGAAAAAATGCTCATCATCACTGGCCATCAGAGAAATGCAAATCAAAACCACAATGAGATACCATCTCACACCAGTTAGAATGGCGATCATTAAAAAGTCAGGAAACAACAGGTGCTGGAGAGGATGTGGAGAAATAGGAACAATTTTACACTGCTGGGGGGACTGTAAACTAGTTCAACCATTGTGGAAGTCAGTGTGGCAATTCCTCAGGGATCTAGAACTAGAATACCATTTGACCCAGCCATCCCATTACTGGGCATATACCCAAAGGATTATAAATCATGCTGCTATAAAGACACATGGACACGTAGGTTTATTGTGGCACTATTCACAATAGCAAAGACTTGGAACCAACCCAAATGTCTAACAATGATAGACTGGATTAAGAAAATGTGGCACATATACTCCATGGAATACTATGCAGCCATAAAAAATGGTGAGTTCATGTCCTTTGTAGGGACGTGGATGAAGCTGGAAACCATTATTCTCAGCAAACTATCGCAAGGACAAAAAACCAAACACTGCATGTTCTCACTCATAGATGGGAATTGAACAATAAGAACACATGGACACAGGAAGGGGAACATCACACACTAGGGACTGTTGTGGGGTGGAGGGAGGGGGAAGGGATAGCATTAGGAGATATACCTAATGCTAAATGACGAGTTAATGGGTGCAGCTCACCAACATGGCACATGTATACATATGTAACAAACCTGCACATTGTGCACATGTGCCCTAAAAGTTAAAGTATAATAATAATAAAATTAAAAAAAATTGTTACAAACTATTGGCAAAACAAGGAGCTGTTAAAAAAAAAAGGCGTATAAACGTAAGACTAACTTGACTCCGAAGCAAATGATATTTATGTGGTAATAAGCATGTAAACATTGCTTATTGATTTACCTAAAATACTGCTCCAAATAAAATCGAATAGGAAGAAGGATAAGGGTTGGCAGAAGTGATCTAAATTCTCTGCTATCAAAAAAGTCAAGATAGTATCAAAATTTATAAATTAAGAAATGATAACTATATTATCTGGAAATATAGAGATGAATTCTAGAAATGAGTATCTAAAGAGTTAAATGTTTTATTGTGTCTTAAGGACAGAATTAACTAGAAGAAAGTCAAGGAATACTATTTTTAATAATGCTTTGAGAACAAATCGATTTTTAAGGCAGGCACACATATTATTTTGACTCAAATTTAAGCAGTATTAAAGTCATATAGTCTTCCTTAGACCTCTTTCGTGCACCTTTTTCATTAAGGCATCATTAAGTCTGTAAATTTGTAAGTGTTGAGCAGAGATGTTAAGTCCAATTTATGAACTCTTTACCAGATATTCCAATTGGTATTTCCCCTTTGCTGTATTCAATGCTCCTTATCTATTTAGTAATTTATAATAAATATAGGAGCAAGATTGTAAGAATTTGAGAGCGTTTTTTTAATCTAACAAGTGTTTGACAATTATAAATTAGCATTCCAGAAGGAGAGGTGACATGCAGATATCATGAATATTAGAGATGATCTAACTATGTATACGTCTTAACACTAGAAAGGAAACTTTCAGAAGGAAAATGGAATAGTTATTAGCTCTACGACTCTTCTTACATAAATTGCAAATCACTCACATTTCCTAGGAAAATATATTTGGAATCAAGGCAATTGCTCTGCTGTCTCTCACTATAACTTGAGTGACAACTGATGGTGATAAATAAATATTCAAAATTATTTAAAACAATTTAAGCAGATTTTAAAGGTATCCTACATTTTTCTATTTAACCAAAGCCATGAAACTGCTTTCAACCTCAAAATCTATTAACTTGATGCAACAGAAAATGAAGAAACCTGGCTATAAGAAAAAGAGATATCTAAGTTCAGACATCATCTGTGTCATTTATTTTCAAAGAAATTTAAAAACAAGGAGAAGCAATTCAATTTCAGATATAGAGTTTGTTTCTCAGACTTTGAAATCCAACAGATCTACATTCAAGCCCTGACTCTGCTTTGAGCAAATTAACTTACCCCCATTTTCCACATCTATAAAATGGGAAATAAAACGACAACATTATAGTTTGGTGAGAATTTCATAAAATAATGCCTATAAATTATGTGGTGACCAAACACAGCAAACTCTCTAAAGGTATTGGTTCTTTTCACTTCCATACAGTCGATACTATGACCACCTCACCTTATCGCATGCATAGTACAATTATCAGTCATAATAACTGCCACTTAATGAACTTTCTCTTTACATACAGTGTTTTTTTCTCTTTCAAGCATGCAATTTTTTTTTAATTTTAAATTTTCAACTTTTCTGGGTACACAGTAGTTGTATATATTTATGGCATATATGAGATATTTTGATACAGGTATGCAATACATAATAATCACATCAGGGTAAATGGAATATCCATTACCTCAAGCATTTATCTTTTGTGTTACAAAAAATCCAATTATATTATTTTAGTTACTTTTAAATGTATAATTAAATTATTGACTGTAATAACCCACCCTGTTGTGATATCAAATATTAGATCTTACTCATTCTTTCTAGTTTTTGTGTACCCATTAACCATTCACACTTTCCCCATCCCCACCACCCCACTACCCATCCCAGCCTCTGGTAACCATCCTTTTATTCTCTTTCTCCGTGAGTTTGTTTTAATTTTACCTCCCACAAATAAATGAGAACATGTGAAGTTTGTTGTTTTCTGCCTGGCTTATTTCATCTAACATAATGACCTACAGTTCCATCCATGTTGTTGCAAATGACAGGATCTAATTATTTTTTATGGCTGAATAGTACTCCATTGTGTATATGTGACACATTTTCTTTATCCATTCGTCTGTTAATAGACACTTAGGTTGCCTGTCTTTTTGGATAAAAGTCATTTTAACTTGGATGAAATGATACCACATTGTAGTTTTGATTTGCATTTCTCTGATGATTAATGATGAGAACCTTTTCATATGCCCATTTGTCAATTTTATGCCTTTTTTTGAGAAATGTCTATTCAGATCTTTTGCCCATTTTTAATTGGATTATTAGATTTTCTTTTCCTATAGAGTTGTTTAAGCTCCTTATATATTCTGGTTATTAGTCCCTTGTCGGACGGACAGTTTGTAAATATTTCCTCCCATTCTGTAGGTGGCCTTTTCACTTTCTTGGCTGTTTACTTTATTGTGCAGAAGCTTTTTAACTTGATATGATCCCATTTGTCCATTTTTGCTTTGGTTGCCTGTGCAAGAAACTTTTGCCCAGTCCAACGTCCTAGAGAGTTTCTTCAATGTTTTCCTGTAGTAGTTTCATAGTTTAAGGTCTTAGATTTAAATCTTTAATCCATTTTGATTTAATTTTTGTATATGGTAAGAGATAGGGGTCTAATTTCATTCTTCTGCATATGGATATACAGTTTTCCCAGCAACATCTGTTGAAGAGACTGTCCTTTCCCCAATATATGTTCTTGGCACCTTTGATGAAAATGAGTTCACTGTAGAAGTGTAGATTTGTTTCTAGGTTCTTTATTCAGTTTCATTGGTCTATGTGTCTGTTTGTATCAACTACTATGACGTTTTGGTTACTTTAGCTCTGTAGTATTATTTGGAGTCAGTTAATGTCATTCCTCCAGTTTTGTTTTGTTTGCTCAGGATAGCTTTAGCTATTCTGGGTCTTTGTTATTCTATGTACATTTTAGGATTATTTTTCTATTTCTTTGAAAAATGTCATTTTGATAAGTGTTGCCTTGAATCTATGGATTGCTTTGTGTAGTATGAATATTTTAATAATCTTTATTTTTCTAGTTCATGAACATGAAATATTCTTCCATTTCTTGTGTGTCCTCTTCAATTTATTTCATCAGTGTTCTATTGTTTTCATTATAGATATCTTTCTTTTCTCTGTTTAATTCCTAGGTATTTTATTTTATTTGTAGTTATTGTAAATGAAATTGCTTCTTTATTTCTTTTTCAGATTATTCACTGTTGTCATACAGAAATGCTACTGATTTTTGTATGTTGATTTTGTATCCTACAACTTTACTGAATTTGTTTATTAGTTCTAATAGTTTTTTGGTTGAGTCTTCAGTTTTTTTTTTTTATGTATAAGATTATATCAGCTGCAAACAAAGAGAATTGGACTTATTCCTTTCCAATTTGGATGCCTCTTATTTCTTTCACTTGTCTGATTGCTCTAGCTCAGACTTCCAGTACTACATTGAATAACCGTGGTGACAGTGGGCATCCTTGTAGTGTTCCACATCTTAGAGGAAAGGCTTTCAGTTTTTCCCTATTCAGTATGATACCAGCTGTGGGTCTGTCATATATGGCTTTTATTAAGTTGAGATATGTTCCTTCTATATGCAGTTTTCGAGGGTTTCTTTATCATGAAGGAATTTTGAATTTTATCAAATGCTTTTTCAGCATCAGATGATATGATCATATGGTTTTTACCCTTCATTCTGTTGATATGAGGTAACGCATTGATTGATTTGCATATGTTGAACCATCCTTGCATTTTGGGGATAAATCCCACTTGGTCACAATGAATGATCTTTTTTAATGTGTTGTTGAATTCTGTTTGCTAGTATTTTGTTGAGGATTTTTGCATCAATGTTCTTCAAGGATATTGACCTGTAGCTTTCTTTTTTTGATGTGTCTTTGTCTGTTTTGTCTTCTTTGACTGTGTATTTTCGAATAGCCTGTCTTCAAGCTCATTAATTCTTCTATTTGATCTATTCCACTATTAAGAGACTCTGATGCATTCTTTAACAGGTAAATTGCATTATTATCTCCATAATTTCTGCTAGATTCTTTTTTAATTATTTCAATCTCTTTGTTAAATTTAACTGATAGAATTCTGAATTCCTTCTCTGTGTTATCTTGAATTTCCTTGTATTTCCTCAAAACAGCTATTTCCAATTCTCTGTTTGAAATGTCACATATCTCTATCTTTCCAGGATTGGTTCCTGGTTCATTATTTAGTTCCATTTGGTGAGAATATGTTTTCCTGGATAGTCTTGATGCTTGTGGATTCTTGTGGATGCTCATCAGTATCTGGACATTGAAGAGTTAGGTATTTATTAGTCTCTGCAGTCTAGGCTTGTTTATACCCATTCTTCTTGGGAAGACTTTCCAGGCATTCAAAGGGATTTGGGTGTTATAATCTGTTTTTGGTCCCTGCAGCCACATCTACATTGGAGTGCACCCCAACCCTGTAACATTGTGGCTCTTGTAGACTTGTAGAGGTACTGCCTTTGTGGTCTTGGATAAGATCTAGAAGAATTCTGTGGATTACCAGGCAGATTCTTGTTCTCTTCACTTCCTTACTGTCTCCCAAACAAATGGAATCTTATTCTGTGCTGAGCTTCCTGGAGCTGGAGGAGGAGGTGAGAAAAGCACCCCCATGGCTTCCACCCCTAGGACTGTGCTGCATCAGAGCTAAAGCCAGCACAGCAGTAGGTCTCGCCCAAGGCCCACTCTAACCACTACTTGGCTACTGCCTATGTTAGTTCAAGGCCTTAGGGCTCTACAATCAGCAGGTGATGAAGCCAGCCAGTCTTGTGTCCTTTTCAGGGCAGCAAGTTCCTGTGCACCCCAGTGGGTCCAAAGATGCTATGGGGGAGTCAGGGCCTGGAATTAAAACTTTAGGGATCTGCCTGGTGACCTATTCTACTATGGCTGAGCTGGCACCCAAGCCATAAGACAAAGTCCTTCCCACTCTTCCTGCCCCATTTCAGAAGCTGAGGAGTCTCTTGCCGTGGCCACCACTACAACAGACCCGCAGGAAATGCTGCCAGGCCACTACTGATGTTCATTCAAGCTCCAGGGGCTCTTCAGTCAGCTTGTGGTGATTTCTGCCAGGCTTGGGACTCTCACTTCATGGAAGTCAGCTCCTCTCCAGCCCAGGGAAGGTCCAGAAAAGCCATCTAAGAGCCAGGGCCTGGAATTGAGGACTCTAAGCACCCACTTGGTGCTCTACCCCACTGTGGCTGAGGTGGTACCTAAGCTGCAAGACAGTCTCCTTTTCTCTTTCCTCTGCTTTTCTAAAACAGAAAGAATCTCTCTCCATAGTCACTATAGCTGGTATTGTGTTAGATCACACCTGAAGCCAGCAAGTCTCAGAGTCTCACCCAAGGCCCATGGCAAGTACTGTCTGGATACCACTGCTGATTATTCAGGGTACAAGGGCTATTTAGTCTTCAAGTAATTAATTCTTCAGGACTGGGTCCTTCCATTTAAGGCAGTGGGTTCCCTTCTGGTCCAGGGTGTATCTAGAAATGTCATCTGAGAGCTAAGCCCTGGAGTGAGTACCTCAGGATTCTGCCTGCTGCCCTATCCTACTGCGGCTGAGCTGGTATCCAAGTTCCAAGACAAAGTCCTCTTTACTCTCCCTGCTCCTCTCCTCAAGTGGAAGGAGGGAGTCTCTTTAGGAGCTGCAAGCTGTGCTGCCTGGGGTTGGGGGAAAGATGGCGCAAGCACTCCTTTAGCTACCCCAGTTCATGTCTCACTAGGTTGTGATGCCCCCACTCTACTGGCTCCAAGCATAGCACAGCACTAGGACTTGCCTAGAAATTGCAGTCCTTGTGGTCTAAATAGCCTTTCAAGTTTATTTAGAACCCCAGAGCATTTTAGCCCACAGTGGCAAGGCTTGACAGAATTCAGATTCTGACCTCTGGGATTCCCCTCTGGCTAGGGTTTATCTAAATGCTCCCGCCACAGGTATCAGCTGAATTTGTCCAGTGTTTCTTTCTGCTGTGACAGGGCTGCAATGAATTCCAGTGCAAAGTCCCACAGCCACTGTGCCATCTCTCTCACAAGTGCACAGATTCTCTGCACTACACACAAATGCCTGGGAATGGGGCAGGGATGGTGTTGGTAATTCAAGACTATCTTTCCTACCCTCTTCAGTGCTTCTTTCAGTGATATGAAGTTAAACACCAGGTACTGCGATCATTCTCCTGATTTCTGGTTCTTCTGAAGGTGCTTTTCTTGTGTAAATACTTGTTAAATTTGCTGTTCCTGCAGAGAGTATGATTGGTAGAGGCTTCTATTCAGCTGCTTCCTGCACTTTCTTCCTCTATTCAATGTTTTATACAGAGATCACTAATCTGGACGTCCTGGATTATCACCCATTTGACAAAGAAGGAACATAGGCTTGGGGGAAAAAAGGAACTTGTTCTAGGTAACACAGTTAACGTATGTCAAATGTTGAATTTGAACCCAGACATGTATGATTCCCAAACCCAGGTGCTTTACAATAGTACATCACCAAGAATGTTGTATTTCTTTTAGGAGATCAGAATGAGTAGATAAGAGTACTGCATTCAAAACAGATAGAGACCCCAGTGAAATGCAGACCAAGTTTCTAACTATATCAGATTTCATTAACATTAAAACCACCATGTTTTCTCACCTAGAAAATTTTAAATTGGTGTCCATTCAAATTAATTAAAGCAGCACAGCACCTGTCTACTTATAAAAAAAAATCAGGTCCAATACATTGGGCTATATATGGGAATTACTTATTTGAGCATTAAGATAAAATTTAAAGTCTACTAATAAAAGTTTTTAGCAGTGTAATATATTACGCAGGTATCCAGGGCTTCTGATAGCAAAGTAATTTACATATATTATTTTAATAATCCTCATAATTTTTCTGCTGGGAAGGTAACTAGCAATTATTTCTCAGATTTCTCAGATAGTGAACAAAAGCACAGGGAAAGAAAACCTTTTACATGTATGTCTCAATAGATCTCAAATTTTATTTTTAACTTTGGGACTATTTGCTAAATTTGAGATTAATTCAAATTAAAATTTGTCTCTATTTTAGATGGAAAATAGTAATGACTTAACTTTGGAGGGATATCCTGAGTTATAACAAAAAATGGGAAAAATAAATAAATTTTTGTGCTCTTTCCTTTACTATAGAAAATATCCAGTGGTTCTCTGGCAACTATTTCAGTAAAAATAACAACTACTCTTATCCAGTAGGTTATTTTTTAGCATCAATTAGTGAAATGAAAGTGATAGAGTCACCACATTAAAAAAAAAAGCCACCAGATTTGTCATTGAATTTATAATGTTAGGTACAAAGTAAGAATATTCCTTAGGATTTTGTTTTTGATACCAGCACTATAGTCCTGAAATAAAAGCACAAACTATAGGGGGCAAGAAGTCAGCATGGAACTACCATAAATTTTATTTGAAAACTTATCATATGGTTTTTATAAGTTTTCAAACAAACTAGAAAGATGAAAACAAAATGGAAGCGAGGAAATCTGATATCCCTCATGAGTCAGTTTCTGTTTGACCGATCGTGCCAAGTTGTGCTTTATTGCATCTGTGATGAGCAAATGGCAATTTCAGAGCCCTAATTCATTGCAGAATTCTCCCATAAGTAGTTTATTTAATATGACTTAAATTAGTTTTCTCTGAATGTTGTTACAATTTGATAGAACAGTTGTTCTTTTGTTAATCTTATTGTGGTGAGATATAGAAAATTGTAATGGTATAACAGAAAAGGTATAATTACTTATTGGTGCATTATATGTTAAAGAAGGTTTGGAAATAATGAAACGTAGTAAAAAGACAAATACGGAGGTAATCTCAATTTGTCTATCTATCTCACAAATATTTGATGAGCACCTACTTTACACCAGCCACTTTGGATAAAAAGGTAAGCAAAGACAGCTATAGCTCCAATGCTTATTACAGTTTAGAGGAGGAGACATATAGGCATCAAATAGTTATACAAATAAGTGTAAAATGAAACATGAGGTAAACGTCATGAAGACCTGTTACAACAGGAGATTTGACAACGTAAGGAAGTCAAAGAAAACTTCCAGTGAAGAAACGATGACTGCACTGTGATCTGAAGGATGAGCAGGAATTAAGCAGACAATAAGAGGAAAAAGCATTTTAACCAAAGAAAAGACTATCTACAAGGGCCCTTTGGCAGTTATCTTAGTATGTGTGAAAGACTAAATAAAGTTCAGTGTGGCTGAAGTAGAGGCAGGGGAAAAGGTTACATTGTACAATTTTATTGCATATAAAGCATGTTGAAAACTGTAGTTGAAAATTCTGTTTTCAGCCATAATGGGGTAGTGAGAACTAGAGTTACCCTCCTTCCTTAAGCAATGATAAAAGAGATGAAAACATATAAAACAACTGTTTTTCAGACATTAATCAAGAGTCAGTGCAGTACAGAATCACTACAGGAAGGGAAGCAAACTAAGTGAGTACTATGACTGCCCCGGCTTCCTGCCCGCAAAGGCTACAGTGCAGTGAGCGAAACCAAAACAGAACCTGCAGGCCACTGAGTTGAAGGGACGGAGGCAAAAAATTGGAGAGGTTACAGTACTGACAAAACAGAGCTTCACAGAAGGAGAAAGTCACATAGAGAGGTAATTGAAAATTGACAGAAATCCAAAGAAACTACCTAAGGCCAAGAAAGAACCACCTGAACAGACGAGGCTGAACAATACTGAAAGAGCATCCAAAGCCAAGAATATGGCTTTAAATAGCACAAAAAAATGTAAGAGGCACTTACGTATACATCTAAAGGAATGCAGTCAGAATCTTTATGTTGAAAACCACAAAAACAACACTTTTGAAACTTTTAAAAGATCTAAGTAGACATATATCTCTTTCCTCAATTGCAAGACTCAATGTTAAGATACCAACTTGATCTAGAAATTCAACACAATCCCAATAAAAATTCCCGAAAAGTTTTATGCACATAGCAATGAGACAGTTTTAAAATTTATACGGCAAATATAAGGAAGCAGAAAAGCCAAAATAATATGAAAGGGAAGAAAAAGTTAGAAAACTCATGCCCCTTGATTTCACAGTATCTACAAGATACTGTGATGTTGGTTAAAGGATAGACACAAAAGTCAATAGAACCAAATAGTGGGCCCAGAAACAAACCCACAAAACTATAGAAAACTGACATTTTACAAAAGTTCAAAGTCATTTGCAATGTAGAAGGGTTTTTTAAACAAATAGTGCTAGAACAATTCGACATTCATTTATATAAAAAAGAAACCTCTATATATGCTTCATACATTATACAAAAATTTACTCTTTTGAGAAGTGTCTGTTCGTATCCTTCTCCCACTTTTTGATGGTGTTGTTTGTCTTTTTTTGGTTAATTTGTTTAAGTTCTTTGTAGATTCTGGATATTAGCCCTTTGTCAGATGGATAGATTGCAAAAATTTTCTCCCACTCTGTATGCTGCCTGTTCACTCAAATGATAGTTTCATTTGCTGTGCAGAAGCTCTTTAGCTTAATTAGATCCCATTTGTCAATTTTGGCTTTTGTTGCCATTGCTTTTGGTGTTTTAATCATGAAGACATTTATGCGGCCAACAAACATCATTTTTATGATGAAAAAAGCTCATCATAACTGGTCATTAGAGAAATGCAAATCAAAACCGCAATGAGATACCATCTCACACCAGTTAGAATGGCAATCATTAAAAAGTCAGGAAACAACAGATGCTAGAGAAAATGTGCAGAAATAGGAACACTTTTACACTGTTGGTGGGAGTGTAAATTAGTTCACCCATTGTGGAAGACTGTATAACGATTCCTCAAGGATCTAGAACCAGAAATACCATTTGACCCAGCAATCCCATTACTGGATATATACCCAAAGGATTATAAATCATTCTACTACAAAGCACATGAACGAGTATGTTTATTGCAGCACTGTTCACAATAGCAAAGACTTGGAACCAACCCAAATGCCCATCAATGATAGACTGGATAAAGAAAATGTGGCACATATACACCATGGCATACTATGCAGCCAGAAGAAAGGATGAGTTTATGTTCTTTGCAGGGACATGGATGAAGCTAGAAACCATGCTTCTCAGCAAACTAACACAGGAACAGAAAACCAAACACTGCATGTTCTCATGCGTTAAGTGGGAGTTGAACAATGAGAACACATGGACACAGGGAGGGAAACATCACACACCGGGGCTCGTCAGGGTTAAGGGGGCTAGGAGAGGGATAGCATTAGGGGAAATACCTAATGTAGATGACGGGTTGATAGGTGCAGCAAACCACCATGGCACGTGTATACCTACGTAACAAACCTGCATGTTCTGCACACATATCCCAGAACTTAAAAGTATAATAAAAAAATTTTTTTTAATTTGCTCAAAATTTAGTATAAATCTAAATGTAAAATATAAAACCATAAAACTTTTTAGATACCTTACTATAAACACAAACTATAAAAGGAGACATGACCCCTGGATCAAACAATAAATCAAAAGAGAAATTACAAGGTATCTTGGACTGAATAAAATGAAAATAAGGACATGACATAATAAAATTTGTGGTGCCGTGCTTAAAAATTTACAGTATTAAATGTTTATAACAGAAAAAAATGCTAATCAATGAACTAAGATTCTACCTTTAACAGCTGGAATAATATGAGGAAATTAAAGTAAACAGAAAGGAAATGAGAGCAGAAAAGGGAAATAGTAAAGTTAGAGCAGAAAGAAAAAAATAGAAAACAGAAAACCAATAGAAAAAAATCAATTAAATGAAAAGCTGTTCTTTGAAAAGATTAATAAAAGTGATAAAAAATGCTAGCCTGATTGATCAGAAATAAGAGAAAACACAAATTACCAATATCAGGAACGAGATGAGGGGACATTTTTAGAGATACTACAGACATAAAAAGGATAAAAACTGAATATAACAAATAATTTTATACTACTAAATTCAACAAATTAAATAAATTGAACAAATTGTTTAGGATTTCTTATACAAAATCTTCCTGCAAATAAAACTCCTGGCCAAGATGGAATCCGAGATGGGTTCTATCAACTATTTAAGAATAAATAATATCAATACTACCTAACCTCTTGCAAACATGAGAGAATATAGAATATTTCCCAATGCATCCTGGGAGATGGGTATTACAGATACCAAACCAAATATATTACAAGAAAACTACAGACCAATATCCCTCACGAACATAGATGCAAAAATTTTTAACGTTTTTCAAAATCAATTTTAATAATAATAATACATTATGGCCAAATGGTTTTTCCCCAATAATGAAAAGTTAGTTTAATACTCAAAATTTAAAATCACAATCAGTAAAATTTTACATTTAATAAGTACATTTTACATTTGTGACTCTTTGAGAAAAAAAATCTGTGTTAAAGTTAGTTTCCTTTGAAGGAGGAAAACCAAATGAAAGTAACATTTTCATTATGGATTTACCGGTCAGATACTGCATGGAGAATTAAGATGAGAACAGTCTTCAAATACTTTCAACTAATATATTTTTAAAAACCATTTAACGTATACTATCAGGCAGTAGTAGCAGAATTACAATCAATGTTAATATGACATGATTCCTTGGGTAGCAGAGAAATTGTTCTCTCAAAAGTGTTCTCTGAAAAAGTCTCTCCCATGATTCATTGGGTAGTAGAGAAATTGTTCTCCCAAAAGTGATTTCCATACTCTAGTTTCTTACAAACCTGAGTAAAGAGGATGTCTTAAAATGAGTTGACACTTGCTGTATTTGACGGAGTTAATATATTGCTATCTAATATTTTTATAATAATATAATAGACTAAAATGAGAAAGAAGAAACATATGATCATCTTAATAGAAGCAGAAGAAACGTCTGATAGAATTCAGCAGCCATTCATGATAAACACTCTGAGCAAACTACAAATAAAAGGGAACTTCCTTAACGTAATAAAGGATATCATCAAAACTCTTGCAGTTAATATCATATTAAATGTGATCATAGCAGCTAAATGTTTTCCTCACGAGATTGGGAAAAATGTAGGAATGTACAATCTTACCGCTTCTGTTCGACATTGTATCACAGGTTCTAGTTAGTGCCATAAGCAAGTAGAAAAGGAGTTAAAGTTTTTTTATTGTTAGAATATATGATTGTCTATGTAAAAACTCCTAAGTAATGTACCAAAAAAGCTTATTAGAACCGGTGAATTTAGCAATTTTGTAGTACATACACATGATATACAAAATCAATCATATTTTTATTATACTAGCCCTGAAAAAATGAAAATTAAAATATGAAAATATTATTTACAATAGCACTAACATGTGAAATACTTAGAATAACATTTGAAAAAATATGCAAGAATACTCCAAAACATCTGTAAGATAAATTAAAAGCCTAAATGAATTGAGAGATATTCCTTGCCCAAGGATTAAGAAACCTAATTTTGTTATGAAGTCAATTTTCTCCAAATTATCTAAAGATTAAATACCATCCCAATCAAAATCCCAGCAGATGTTTTATGAAACTTGGCAAGCTGATTCTAAAATTTATATGAAAATTAAATGCCCTATCATTACCAAATCAAATTTGAAAAAGAAAAACAAAATGTTAGGACTCATACTACCTGATTACAAAATTTATTAAAAGCCTAGAGTAATAAATGCAGTATATTGTTGGTGTGAAGAAAGGAATATAGATAAATGGACCAAAATAGAATTCAGAAATAAAGCACACATGTATGGTCAATTTATTTTTAACAAAATTATTTTTAAATTTTAATTATGGCAGAAATGTTGGATAATCATGCAAAGACAATGAACATAGACCTCTACCTCACACCATTCATCATTGCTAGCTCGAAATCAATTGCAAACCTAAATATGAGAGCTAAAGCTATGTAATTACTCAAAAACTACTGTAAATAATGACTGAACTTGGCAGAGATTTCTTAACTAGCACATAATGATCTGTCTAACCTGTAAGTTGGGTGTTGAAGTCCCCCACTATTACTGTGGCTGTCTAAGTCTTTTTGTAGGCCTAAAAGTAGTCAAAATTGGTGTTCAGGATTGTGCTTACTTCCTTGGATTACTTTGAGAAACACACTTTTATTAAATGTAAAGCACTTTTCCACAAATTTTAAACATAAGAATAAATATTTGTTCTCATTATTACTGAAAACATATCGGCTGTGTCATTTGTCTCAGGAAACAATTTTCTGTTTTTGTTTTGTTTTGTTTTTCTTCAATAAAACAATATTTGGCTCTAAAAATGAAATAAAAAATAATAAAAAAATAAAAATACATATGATGTAGCCATTCTACTCCTAGGTATTTACCCAAGAGAAATTAAAGTAATGTCCACACAAAGACTTGTAAATGAATGCTCAGTACACAAATGATCATAGCAGCTTTATCTGTAGTGGCCCAACAGGAAGTAATGCAAATGTCCACCCACAGATTAATGGGTAAACAATTTGTCATATAGCCATAAAATGGAATACTATTCAGCAACAAAAATAAATCAACTAGTGAAACATGCAACAAAATGAATGAATCTGAAAAATAGTTATACTGAGTGAAAGAGGCCAGGTAAAATTGAATCCACACTGTATGAGTCTAATTATATAAATTTCTAGAACATGCAAACTAATCTCTAGTGACAGAAAATAGATCAGCTGTTCCCCGTGGTTATGGTAAGAAGCAATGATGAATGACAAAGGGACCCAAGGAAACTATTGGTATGAAGAATATGCTTATTATCTTGATTGTGATAATAGTTTCACAGGTGTATATATCAAAACTTATCAAATGATATACTTTAAATATACTGTAAATATATCAATTATACCTCAGTACTTCAAGAAAAGTATAATCCGGTAGGAAAGGCCAGAAAAATCAGTATAAGACCATCAGCAGACCTCATGATAACCAAATGCCAACTTATAATAGTTATAATAGTTTAGCGAAAAGTGGCACCAGTCAGGCCTAATCAAAATTAGTTTCACGGAGGCAATTTAATGACCTGGGACCTCAGCCATTGACAGTATTGGATTAGTCTGAGAAAAGCAGATTTGCAGGAATGAGAAATATGGACATGAAACAAGAAGCCGTGTACACACACGCACCCACACTCACATATACACACACACAAATAAGCACAATGTCATTCATGAGTTAAAGAGGAGACTCTGACCTCATTTCTTTCTTCAGCTGCATCATCATGAGGGCTGGCCAGTCTGGCCGTACTTGGAGTTGAGCTCCAGCTCTTTACTGTGTAACCTCAGGCAAGTTCTTTAATTTTTTGATGACCTCAGTTTCCTCATCTACAAAATGGATATAAATAATACTATTTCTTTCCTGGGGTTGTCAAGGGGATTAAATGAAATGATAGATGTAAAAAATTTTAGTACAATGTCAGGCAATTTTTACTCAACAAAGATTTTATTGAACATCTACCAACTACTGGAGTACTGGACATTGTGCTATGTTCTGAGAATCCACAAATGAATATGCATATATTAGTTTCTAACTTAGGTATCTCACTGTCTGATGGGTGAGACCCATAAGTCATAATAATTATATGCTATGTGAAAATATTTTAGTAGTGATACATTTAAGGTCCTTTGTACTAATAGTATAATAGAGAGACACACTCACTCAGCCCATATGCATTTTGAAGGCTTTCAGAAGAGAAAATCTTGAGCTTCTCTGAATTTATGTTTTTCTCAAAGGACACGTTCAGCAGGCAGGCAAGATGTATAAGAACTGTTTTTTTTTTTTTTCTCATAATGTTTAAAAGGAAAATATAAATTTTTCTTATGAGGGAAAAATAGTTCAGAATTTTAAGTACAGGCTGATCATACATTCTAAAATATTTACACCTGTTTCGCTGATGAATTATCTGGCTTCTAGCCGATCAATTATAATTTATTTTGTTTATTAAAAATGGCTTAGCCAGGAATGAAAACATTTTAACGTGTTGAGTGCAAGGTGAACCTGTTCTGTCACACATTGTAGGTATTAACTTCTCAGAACAGCAATTACTAATAACTCCCCAGGGGCTCATCTCAAGTGTCACTTTTTGCTTTGCTAGTCACTGTTTTCTAAGGGATACTTTGGTTAACTTTGTCTTTCTTTGGCATTGACAGCTGAAGAAAACCATCCTAGTTAAAAATTTGGCATTTCAGGTAAAATATCCTGTCTCTTATATTTCACTGAGCTTCTTTCATTGAAAAAAAAAGCATAAATATTTTAGATGATGTGCTTCATTGCTGTATTTTTAGGATTCTCTTTGTGTTTGAATATACCATGGTATTTGGCTTTATACATTTATATTAATGTCTCCAAGAAGCTACAAAAAGCAACTGCTGCCCTCTTATCATTTTGTCTTTTTAACTTCTTCTACCACTCAGTGTTTGTGTGGAGGGTATAGCTGCGAAGACAAATTTGTTTCACTTTTTTTTCAACTAGCCGTGTTTTGAATGCGACACCAGGCTCTTCATGATTTGAAATTTTCCATGTAGGATCAATTGCTTCTTCAGCTGGGTTTGTTTTGAGGCCAAAGAGTATGTTAAAACACACACACACACACACACACAAACACATATAAAATACTGTTAATATTAATCTATAAATATTCTTCCAGCATCCTGCAGAAAGAATTCTCCATGGCTTGGATATCATCATCATCATCATCACTATATTTGGTTTATAAATTTGTAAAATAAAAGTTTCTTAGAACAAGAATCAGATAGGAATCAATAATGTCGGGGAGGAGTGGGAAGAAAGAACAAATAAATCAACCAGAGGGCTGTAGGTTCTACAGTTCATAAAATATTCAGGCTTCAGACAGTTTTTGGAAATTGGGAGCAGTCCAGTCCTAAGTATCTGAAAGCCAAAAGATGGTGTTTTTAACGCTGGAAATCTGCATTGTTCCACCGGGTTAGGACATATATTCTGCTTAAACAGGCCAGCATTTGTTTTCAGGAGAGAAAGTGATAGATTATTTCTCCCCGATTCCACATGTGCTCTTCCGTGCCCAGGCACAATCCAGTTGACTGGAAAAAGAGAATGTGACCACCACTCCTACTCCCTATTCACCCGCGGGCAGAGCTCGAGGCCTTTTGCCAAAGCTCTGGCACTTTTAAGACTATTTCTTGGCAGCCATTGGCTTGCAGAGGCCATAGGCTTCTGCTTCTGTCTGTCTGGATTTTGTTCTGAATTTCTTCAGGATTTGCTTCTGAGCAGCATCTCGGCGGCAGCAGGAGCCCTGGGGCTCAGTGAAACCATGTTATCCAGGAACTTTGGATCCCTGAACTGTCCCTGGCTCCTTCTGCCTGCCGCTTGCTCCAGGGCTTCAAAGAAGCGCTCGGCTGGAGTACCCAGGATGCTTTTCAGCGGCTGCCACAGCCCCTCTTTTGAAGCACCATGGTAGCCAACAGAGAGTATTCTGTGTTACGTACAGTATGACCCTGGAGGTGCCAGCCAGCTGCTGTGACTCAGCTGAAAACAGGGAGCTCGCTGTAAGAGAGAGGGCATGAAGGGGAGAGATGACTGAGGGGGAGGGAAGAGAGGAAAAGCAGCAGGAGTTGATGATGCCCAAAGTTTGTCAAAGGGCTCAAAACACATTTCTGAAAGAGCTTTCTTGATGGGCCAAAGGAAGCCCATCTCTGTGCCTCTAAAATCTGCTTGGGCTACATAATGTTTAATGGCCTCTCTATCTGATGAAAACAAGCAGCAGGAGGATTAGGAAAACCAAGAAAATAAATTCTCTCTCCTCATACTTACTCCCAGGTGCCCTGAGGAAATGTGTACTAATTGGCCTTCCAGATACAGTTTGAGACCAAACACTGATGTAAAGAAACAGAATCGCTTGTGTGTGAACTTTTTCTTGCTTTTTTTCTGCTTTTTGTCTTTTCCTGTAGAGAAGGGTTATATTGCCTGAATACAGGAGGAACTGATCATCTCAGAAGCAACTCTGAATCCAAATTGTGAATAAAACAACACAATATAGGGGAAATTTACTTATGAAACACTCTATTATGGCACTATCCTTGGCTCTGCACAGTTTCTTAAGGCGAAAAAAAAAATTGATGCTCAGCTAAAAGTAGGTCTTAAGCAACCTAGGCTTATTTTGTGAAACATTCGCTAGGGTACTTTGGTCAGTTCAAAGGTAGAAATTTACAGGCAGATGGAACATAAAGTGCAAAATGTACCTTGGCTAAAAAAAAAAAAAAAAAAAAAAAAAAGGTGAGCTTAGGAAGAGTGCTGGAGAGAAGAGATCACTGCAAAAGAGTAATAAGAAGCTTTGATTAGATCAACATTTTAAAGCAAGGACAAAGATACTCTCTTTTTAATCTCCCATATGAATAAAGTATCTCTGAAATGACACAGTGATCAGTCTGGTTAGACAGAGAAGAAAATCAAGTTTGTGTCTTTTCTCCAGCAGACTTTAAGTACTGAGTGAGAAGGTGGCTTACATTTAAGATCACTAAAATGATCAAGTTTGCTCATGACAAACAAGAGGGCAAGTCCAGCCCATCA
Source organism: Homo sapiens (assembly GCF_000001405.40). Lineage (NCBI taxonomy): Eukaryota > Metazoa > Chordata > Mammalia > Primates > Hominidae > Homo > Homo sapiens. Next base: position 115,778,425 of record NC_000008.11, on the reverse strand, counting down.
GCTCAGACCTGGGTGTGTCCTCTCCTGGCAGAGTTTCTAAGGTGATAAAACCCTGAACAAGTGGTGACAGCTACCGTCTGGGAGAAAACTCAATCTCCAAAATTTTTCCAATGATTTCTTCTGGTTCCGCTGTCACGAAACAGGTCAAATTGATCAGCAAAGGAGGAAAAGCTCAACATCAGCAGTTCACACCAAGCATAAGGTTTGAATTTGCAGTTTTATCTTTGTTCGGCCTGTCTATGGCTGCTGGACAAATTAGCAGACATATGTCATTAAAGAAGAATTATTTTTCTCTCGGATTCAATTCACACATTAGTGTACTCAAATCAGATTCTCAAAAGAAACTAACTGGGCTTTCTTAGCAACATGATTTTTTATTGTGGAGTATATATTCTTGATAAGAAGCATGTACAAAGAAAAAGAAACGAGAAGTTCTGTTTTGTTTTCTAACAGGGGCTCTCTTTTGAAATTCTGTTTCCACATAAGAAGGAATAGTACCTCCTTAACAGGCATGTTGGTGAGTTCTTAAAGCAAACTGAGTTTAAGAGAGGAAAGGTTAGAAATAAGGACATCATATTTTGCTCAAATCCAAAAGATTATATATAGCTTCAACAGAAAAAAAGACATGAAACGAAAAAGTTTGATCAGAATATCAGAGAAAGGTGTAAGGGAGAAATATAAGCAGTGGAATTAGGAATTTCTCTATTTCAAAGGATAAGATAAAGCATCAGGTGACATCTGTCCAAATGCCCGCTACCATGCCACTGAAATAAGAAAGTCAAGAGAAGAAAAAAAAAATGTGGATGAAAGAGGAGGAAATGGCTAAAAAATTGGATTGGCTGTAGCCTCAGGTTAGAAGGAGATGATCCATTGGCTGGATTTCAATACTTATTCACTTGGTTTATATGACTCATTCATTCCAAGTCCCATTTGTCCTCACAATCATTCGTGGCTGATCCTAAATATTGGGTCTGTGGTTTGCTAGGCAAATGCCACTCCCAGTAATTCACTTGAAACTTTAGGACTCTGTACTAGGCTGAATGGTGGCCTCTCAAAAGATATGTCCAATCTGTGAATATGATCTTATTTGGAAAAAAGGACTTTGCAGATGTAATTGTTGAGAAACTTCAGGTGAGATCATGTTGACTTAGGGTGGGCTCTAAATCAATGACAAATATCTTTATGAGAGAAGAAAAGGGAGAAGACACACAGAAAAGAAGACCATGTGAAGACTGAGGCAGAGATTAGAGTGATGCAACTGTAGGCACTATAGGAACCATAGGAATGAAACTATAGGAACACTGAGGATTGCCGGCAGCTACCAGGAACTAGGAAAGACGTGGGGAAAAGATTCTCCCCCAGAGACTCCAGAAGGAAGCAAACCCGCAGACATCTTGATTTTGGACTACTGGCCACTGGAACTGTGGAAGAATAACTCTTTTTTTGCGAGTCACCCAGTGTGTGATACTTTGCTATGGCAGCCCTGGGAAACTATGACAGACCCTCCTCAGATTCAGCACTGGCGGTGCTGAAGATGAAATGGAGCAAAATGCAACATGGGTTTATTTTAGCTGAACTATAGTACATGCCTATACGAGTTCTTCCAGATATCATAAATGGATTGGGAAATCAACTCAAGTATTGTGTTAGTTGAGCACTTACTATGTACCAAGCACCATGCTAGCTGGTCAGTTAAAAAAACAGCTCCCTTGTCTTAGGAATTTTATAGTCCAGCTGTACACAGTTTTTACAGGTCACCAAAATTTCCTGGCAGGTGGAAACTCAGCTTTGGGTGTTACCAGTTAAGTTCTGTTTTGCAACACTGATGAGCCAAGGGATGGTGTCTGTTTTCCTGCGGTTCTGTCTTAAAGCACAGTATAGGCTGGTTGGCATATTCTCAAGGAGAAAATTTTATTAATTGAATGAACAAATGGCTGCAATCTCTCTTGCCTAGCAGGTAAGGGTCCAAGGAAAGATATCACTAACAGTTGATAAATAGTAGGTGGGCTTTATTAACACCACAATTGCAGAGGAAGTTTTGCAAGGACCATCAGAATTCCTTGTTATGGGTTCTTTGATTGGCATAGTTAGCCCTATTTTGAAATTTGTTTCTCTTCACCTATTCTAGCAACACTAAACCCCCCTTATTTCTTTGACCCTCACTTAATTAACTGTGTTCTGAAAGAACATCTGTCTCAAGGTACCATGCAGTTTCTGATGTTCAACTTGGAAAGGACCCACAAGCACAATAGGGGAGGCACCACTGAAGGCGCCGCGTCTGGGAAGTCTGCTCTTTTCACAGCCAGCACTGCTGTTGGTTTTGCCTGCTGGCTTACATGAATTGGCTTTTACATTTCTTAATTTAGACACTAGCAGTATGGAGACTTATTATATATATATGTTTTTTCTGTCTGAAGAGAGCAATGTTTTCCATTGCACAAACGGAGACTGCTGCCAGCAGCTATAAGCACACAGAGGGACACACAGCGCACAGATGCCTCACTTTGTAGCATGAGGGCTGAGCACTAGGAGCTCAAGATCTTTCCTCTGACTCAGTTGAGATTGTTCCCCTCTCTGCCTTTTAAAAAATCTAATTAGGAGCCAGGATATTCAAGCAATAACTACTCTCATTCCAGAGTGGGGGAGCTAAACCAGCCTTTTTGCTGGTGTTCCCAAATGTTTGAGAAGGTGTCACTTTATCAGAATCTCCAATCCATATAGCTAATAGCCTAGCAAATAACATAACTGATACTATAAGTACTCTGTGTGCCAGGTATTGTGCTAAGCTCCGTGTGAACACTTAATACTTAGAACAAAATTGTAAGGTCAATAATATCAATCCCATGGGATATAATCCCATTTTGACAAAGAAGAAACCTGAAGCAGAGAGAGACTGAGTTACTTCCCAAAGTCACCTAATGCCTCAGGTCAGTTTTCATAGAAGCAGGCTAGAAGCAGTCACTTATTTAGGGGAAGACTGGGGCCTCAGCTAAAGTCTACCTTCACCCTGATCCCATGGGAGCACCAAAGCACAAAGTGTACCAGAGCTTTGGTCCCACCTTGAGGCAAGGAGACAGGTATTTTGTGTCAGATAACAGTCATTCTTTGGCTTCTAGGAGAAGTCTTTTCATTTTTGCTAAGGACAATTGTCTGAAGGGATACATGGGGCAATTGTGACCATAGTTAGCAGCCAACATTCACAGCAGCTGGTTACAGATGCAAAGTCCAGGTGAATGGAATCTTGGTAGAGCAAATACAGTATTAACTACCAGCTCACAAGTGGCAGAACTTGGGTTGAAATCCTGTGACTCTGAAGCCACGTTCTTAACACTGTAATATATTGTAAACTCAAAATCTCTTAACAGGGTTAAGAAGTGCCATGTTTTTACCAGCCACCAGATTCTAAGGAATGTGGAGTCTCTTGTTACTCCCAGAAAGGATGTCAGTAAAATCTCATACATGGTCTTTCACAGTTTCAAATAACTTGATCTCGAAGCTCCTCTAGGTGCTGCAGAATGTAGCACCCACTCGTAGCCTAGCACTTCTTGCCCCGCCTCTAGATGACTCAGAGCTTGTGGCTTCCATTGCCCTTTGCTCCTAAAGTTCATGATGAATAACAGAGCCTGGACGATGACTGCATTTGGACATGTGTATCGCTGCTCTTTGCACCCAGCAATAAACAAGAAAGCGTAAGAGAGAGGGAAACTTGTTAACACCATGCTGTATCTAAACAAGCAATCCCAGATGGCATCCTTTATGCCTTCTGCCTCTGATAAGAAAAGATTGAGCAGGGAAAATAAGCAACAGCTGACAAGCCATACCCAGCATTAAGACCAACAGGGAGAACAGATACCAGCTCTGTGCTCTGTCCTCATTCATGGCTCAGAATCCAACCCAGAGGCCCGCCTGGCTTCAAACACCTTCGGTACTACACTCTTTTATAAAACCAATGAATCATGGAAGGTTATAGGCCAAAGTATTTTTCTTTCTAATTCAATCCTTCGTTTGCTAATGAAGAACAAGGCATGAAGTAGTAAGATATTTTATTTAAATACATTTCGTCGTTTAAAAGACAAACAAGAAATGAAATTCAAGAGCTCCGGACTCCTAGCCGGTGTTTTCCCAGAACCAAAGGCTAACTTCTCCTTAAACACGCATTACATGCATTATCTGCACGCGCACGCGCGCGTGTGTGTGTGTGTGTAACTGGTTCTAAGACTATGATAGCAACTTTGTCTCAAGTGGATAAGAACTCAGTCTCTGGCATCAGTCTACCTAGGACTGCAATCTTGCTCCCCTACTTCAAGGATACTGTATGTCCTTGGGCAACATTCCCTGCACCTCAGTTTTCCCATCTGCAAACTGAGGTTAATAATTGCTCCATGGATATTTGGGAAGCATTCAATCAAATAGTTCATGTACAAAGCTTAGCATAAGACCTAACACTAGTAAACATTCAATGAAGTTAACACTTGCTATCATTTGTCCATGGACTGGGGTTAAGAAAAAAAAGAGAATGCCTTCTTCTTGTCCCACTGGGATAATTCTGGAGATATAAACAATAATACAACATGGTATCCTTCCTCAAGAAAGCAGTCCAGTTGTTTTAAAATACCAGTTTCGAGTAAGGTGTTGTTTATGACACAAATGTTTCAACACGGACATTATTTATGTAGCATACAACAGGACACAAGTTTTAACAGACCACTTGTAAAGCCCACATCAAGCAATATTGTAATCGATAGAAATGCTATTAAATTATATAGAAGGAGTGCCCCCAACAATGCCAATAGGTAACCCATTTAATATATGCTAGTCAACTAAGCATCTAGGCTACTTTTTACTTTTTACTTTCACAATTTGATAAATGCGAAGTGCTCAGAGATGGTGCTGAAATAATGAAAGCACTTTAATGAAAATCTTAAAGGCCAAAGGTCAAAGGCAACTGTCTGACTTTTCAGACAGAAGAGAAACCCAACTGGATTTTACTTTCCCTCTTTAGTTCCAGAAGATAGCTGAGTGTTCCGTCTCAGCTAACAGGTTAGACAAAGAAAGAATTTTCTGATAGTCAAATTCCAGAAAGCAAAGGTTAGGAAGTCATAGATGACACAAATGCCTCCTTTGAAAATATAAAAATCTAGCAAGTATTTAAAAAGAGCTTATGATAATGGAATGAAAATGAGTCAGAAAATATGCAAATTGAATTCGCTTGAAATATATATGTCTTTAAAAATTAGTGATAAATTGCTTTGTCAAATGCTTTTTGTGTGTGATTTACCACCCGCACACCCCCCGTATTTAAATTCCTGTTCAAGATGCTTTTCTTAACCTCAAATGGGTTTTTAGGAGACTGAAAAGGTCAAAGAGGAGGCACTCTTCAATACATGAGGAGTGGCAGAGTTTTTAGTTCTGTATAAAAGGAAAGAGAAAAATAAGAGGAGTGTAGTACCAGTAGAGGTAAAGCAATACAGTATCACAATAATTCTAGTAAGTTGGACAGAGAGAAATAATACACTTACATACTATAATAAGCCTAATGTAAGATGTTCCTCAAGAACAGAGAGTTTTCCCTACCCAATGCACTATTCTTAGTAATTAATATAGGGTTTAGCACATTGTTCATTCAGAAAATACTTCCTGAATAAGTTAAGTGTGCACTTTCCTAAAATCCTAATGCACATCTTCACATTAGGTTTTCCTTAAAACCTTAACTATTCCAAGTTACCAGGGGATGGCAGTGCATTTTGGGGTGAGAAGCTGTTCTCAACCTTTAATTTAAAACATTAAAACCTTTAAATTAATACCCATAACATCTGATCATTTCTAGGAAGAGCTGCAACCAGGCTCTTCAGTGGCTTAGGGAAACAAGGGTGTAACAAAAGATGGTATAACTACGGTTAACACTGATCATGGTTAGAAAGAAGCTGAGAAAGTAAAAGTTAAAAGTTAAGCTGCCACAAACTAGAGAAAATGCAAAATCGCAGCTGAAAGAGAGCAGAGAACAAAAAATCAAGCACCCAGCCAGAGATGAGAAAGGGCTCCAAAGTCAAAAGTGAAGGGAACTTGCAGTGAATGAAAGCAAGGTGTCCAGTCAAGAAAACAGGTGCAGACTCATGGTTTCAGAAACATAGCAACCTTGAACTTGGCTAAGACCTGATTCAGACAGGAAGCTGTTTATGAGATTCCTGCTGCAGCAGGCATCCATGACGACTAAAGGAAGAAACAATACAGAGCCCAGGGCCTCAAAATCTGCTGAAATAATGGCAACTCCCTTCACTGGGCTGCTTTTGACCCAGAACATTCAAAGCTACTGTGGAACCACAATCAGCAGATCCTAACATGCTTCTTGCAAACTGATGCACATTTTTTAAACTATCTGTGAATCCCCTACTACTTACCTTAATTGAAAATGACTGATACAGAACTTCCCAGAGTCTCTTTCCTCTTTTCTCTCTCACTTATTTCGTTCTCTGCACAAAAAATTTTGGAATAAATGAAATGCATTTTTCTCTGCATAATTTCTCTCTGTTTAACAGTGACCACACATCTTTGATTTTTGTCACTGAACTTTCAAAGGTCTTTGCATACCATGGGTTGACAATGTCAGTCAAAGGACAATTTACAAGCATATTTCTTCACTCTTCTATGAACCAATTTGCTGAATAATTTCTTTTTTTAAAAGGTATGAAGTGTACAGTAGATGCTCAGTAGATATTTCAAAGAATGTAAAACCAGAAGTCTCTCGAGGCAGTCAAACCAATTACTTGTCCCATCTAAGGCTTATTTTCATTTACAACATGTTGTAATTGAAATTTGGAGGAAATTCATGTACAGTTTCCCCCAGAATTTCTCCAGAAAAATTGTAATTCATTGCACCTTATTCCATGTGCTGTTAGAAAGTTCTTATGATCACAGGAAATTTTACTTCCTGTTATCATCTTTGATACTAGTTTTACCTTCTGTAAGTACCACATTTTATGTATGCAAATATTTCAAGTATGTGAAGATCTTTACACATTCAGATAAACACATATGCCCAATCATGTGTCATTGCGTCTCTGTGTTATAAATCCCTACTTTTCTTATGTCATGATTTCCATATCTGTCAACATTCTGGTTATTCTCTTTGAATATAGTTTCATTTGTCAGCATCCTTCTGAAAACATGCTGCCCAGAAATGAATTAAATATCCCAGACCAGATCTCATGTGTGCAGGAAATTTGATGCACTTTCTTCAGGATACCATCATCAACACAGCCTATGACTGCATTAATTCTTCCGGCTGTGCATTGCACTGTTGACTCATAGAATTTTGCAATGAAGCCAAATCTTAACTTTTTTTCTTTGTTTTTTTTTTTAAATATATGCTTCTTTGTAGCTATATTTGCCCTAGTCTATTGGTTTGAAGAAATGGATGAATGAATACATATGTGAAAAACATGAAAATATTTGAAAATTATATATGTCTTTCTTATCAATAGCAGCTTAGCTATTAGATGAAATTCAAGCAGAAGTAAAATTGAGGGAGATCATTTTTGTAATTAATGCTGATTTTTAGAAAACATAAGTCTAGGCTCATATTGAGTTTCAAGTTCATTAAAGAAATTACCTGGTTTGCATTCATTTGTCGTATATATAGTGGCTCTGACTTTTAATTTATACCTGGTCTCATTTAGATAATTATTTTAGACAAATCACTATGCTCACCTTGTAAGGTAATGTTATTCAGGCCACAGAGTTCTTTACAAGCTAAATTCCCCATGTGCTGAATGATTTTAAGAGTTTTTAAACACCAGTGGGAATCCATAAGTCATTAGATATTTGGTTGTTACTCCTGAGTACTTTATTAACTTTGAATCAAATTGGTATAAAGCAAGTGATTTAAAGTAATTTAGAATTTTCTGCTAGGCTTTTGCTGGAAAACAGATTGCTTGTTTTACTTCAAAAAAATCATTCTTTCAGGTTGAACTTTGAAGTAAATGTCTTGATAAATGATGCTTAGGAAATCCATACCTTATATTGTTATTTTATATCATATTACTCTTCCTATTTTAATTCAAAAGAAGATTGTGTAGTTAAGATGTGGTCTACTTTATTGCTTGTAGGTTAAAGTAATTATATTCTAAAATAAAATGATTAAAATGCCAAATTCAAGATTTACTTCTGTAATTAGTTCAGATAAAACCATAAAGCCCTGAACATGAGGAGGAGACTTGATATTTCCCTTTCTACATTTCAAAGAATGCATATTTGGGTCCAGAGGCTGAAAAACAGACATACAGAGGAGAGAAAGCATGAGACGAATTCTCATAATTGAATATTATAATCCTCTTTCTATATTGTTAACACCTTCACAAATAAGGATAAGATTCAAAATAATTTGTTTTGTTGACCTGGATATCAGATATATGGAAAACCCACATGTCTCTCTTTTCCCAAGCAATAGAGCAATGCAACTCACCTCTATGATCTGAAGAATAATAATTTTGTACATTTCAACAGAAACCACCACTCCGTTCGAGCTCTGTTAGTCATATGGAGATGACCAATGGGATGGATCCTCAGAGACACACTCCTACAATGGCTACAAGAAGCATTTTGGAGTGATATCATTGTAGAAACTTGTGCTAATAAATACATTGCATTCTTATATATAAGTCAGTACACTCCTATCTACACATGCGGATAATTATACACCTCTACGTTTAATTTGACAAAATAGGTCTATTGTGTGAGAACAAGCCATAGGAAATCTGCCTGACAGTTACAAGTATCAGGGAAGGCCTAGTGCTACATAATGAATCACTGTTGTTGAACGAAATAGTACAAAACAGCTATTATTTCCTAGATGAAGGTGAAGCTATTCTGGCTCTTTGGGTGATTGTAAATAAATCTTTTGCAATGTCCTGGAACCAGATCAGCCAACAAGAGAAAGAACATTTGTGAAGCTTCTAAGCTGTTTGACCACAGCCTGAGCTGAGGAGGGAAAATATTCTCCTTGAAAGTCTTCTTCCTCACACCTTCCGCATTTACAGGTCTTGGAGCCAGAGTGTAATACTGCCCCTACTCCCCGTTTTTTCCCCTTATAAATGGAACCGAAGTGTTGTCCTCTTTACTGGGAAAATTCTCCAAAGTGTTCAAGTTTTCCTTTCATTCGATTGCATGTAACAGCTTCATCTGGTGCCAACCTGCAGAAGCAGCGTGATCTGAGGCTCTAACAGGAAAAATTGGTGTGCCAAGTGGTACTGAGGCTCAGGGACAGAAGAGTACCGCAGTCAATGTTGAAACAGTAGTATTTGATGAATGGGCAAGTTATGTGGAGAATGCAGCTTAGCCCAGCCACAGGGGCACATTTGCCTCTGGTGAAGTCCTTTGTAGTAGAAGACAAGGTAGATGCCAACTGTCTCTGGCTCAGAATTTGTATGGAAAGGTTTGAATGTTGCTGTCATTCCCTTTTGTGGTTCAGAGTATCTGGGAAGAGAAGAAAAGAAGTAGGTAGGAACTAATGCCTGTATTGGAACCTGCCATTAAAAAAGAAACAGAGTGATAGAGAAAGATGATAGAAAGGGAAGGGAAAGGAAAGGGAGGGGAGGGAAGGGGAGTGAAGGGAAGGGAAGGGAAGAAGGGAAGGGAGGTAGGGAAGGGAGGAAGGGAAGGGAGGAAAGGAAGGGAGGAAGGGAAGGGAAGAAGGGAAGAAAGGATGGGAAGGGAAAAGAAGAAGGGAAGGGAAGAAGGGAAGGGAGGAATAGAAGGGAAGAAGGGATGGGAAGAAGGGAAGGGAACATGGGAAGGGAAGAAGGGATGGGAAGAAGGGAAGGGAACACGGGAAGGGAAGAAGGGATGGGAAAAGGGAAGGGAAGAAGTGAAGGGAGGGAGGGAAGGGAAGAAGGGAAGGGAGGAAGAGAAGGGAAGAAGGGAAGGGAAGAAGGGAAAGGAAGAAGGGAAGGGAAGGGAGGAAGAGAAGGGAAGAAGGGAAGGGAAGAAGGGAAAGGAAGAAGGGAATGGAATGGATGAATATAATGGAATAATGGATGGAATGGAATGGAAGGAAAGGAGGAAGAAAAGGAAAGAAAAAAGGAAAGGAAAGAAGGGAAGGGAGGAAGGGAAGGGAAGAAGGGAACGGAAGAAGGGAAGGGAAGAAGGGAAGAAGGGAAGGGGAATAGGAATGGAAGGGAAGGGAAGAAGGGAAGGGGGGAAGGGAAGGGAAGAAGGTAAGGGAAGAAGGGAAGTGACGGAGGGAAGGGAAGAAGGGAAGGAAATTACCAGGCTACTCAGGGCAACATCAGATTGGAAAATAACTGTTATGTTTGAAAGTTAGAATTCTCATGCCCACATCAACTCAGAAGCCCGCCTCCCAGCCTCCCCCCCGAGATCACTGTAAGGCTCAGGGATGCATGGAGTAGTGTGTGTGTTGCCAGCACCCCTCTGATGTGTCATATTCTAGACTATGTTGCCCATACAGTAGCCACTTCCTGCATGTGGTTATTTAAATTTAAATTAATTGAAAGTAAGTACAATTTAAAATTCAGTTCCTCAGACACAAACTACATCCAAGTATCCAATGGCTACATGTGGCTATGGCTACTATATTGGAAACCCAGAAAACTTCCATCAGAATGTTCTATTAAGACAACACTGTTGTAGAATATTCACGAGGCTTGTGGAATATCTCAAAGATTTTTCACGGGTAGGTGGTACAGGAGGGGACATGCGAACGTGGAACCACCTGAAATGGTGCTCTTCAGTTAATATTCCTCAGAAATCCTGCTACTCCGTGAGAAAAAAAAAAAAAAAAAAAGATCAGTTTCAAAACACTACCTTCTCTATCCCCCTCTAAGAAAATAGTAGTATACATAGTAAAGTTTCTGAGGGTGCCATTGTAAAAAACCTTGCTTGCTATTGATTAATTGATGCACTTCCAACATTATTTGAAGACATAACTTCTGTTTACAAGGAATCCATTAACTTTCCACAGAACTCAGGTTCCATAGAGCCCTTCTTAGAGGAGTTTTACCACAGAAGGAGCTCAAGCCAAGCCTTCATAGTCACTGCCCATCTGGGGTCACAGCAGATAATTAGGACAGTTCCAAACTAGAGTAAACTGACTAAGGTCTGCCTGGTTGGAACTTGTGCCTCATGATTTTAGAAAAACCAAGTTGCCAGGTATAAATTAGGGAAGCTCAGCAGTGAACAGGAATCAAGATGCTTCTCAAATGTTATTCCTGAGGATACTAACTACATATGCAATGCTCTTTCTAGAACAATTTGCTGATTATCTACTGGATATCAAGACTGTCAAGTGATCTGTCCTGGCTTTATCTCCTGCAGTCCTGAGACATGGCATTCTCTTGTTGCATAGAATTTGCCAAGCCAACCTTATCAAGTGGGAATCCTAGTTGGATTTCTCTGTAGACAGTGGTGCCAAAATTCTTAATCTACTCAGCTGGCAGAGATTTAAATTTCTTAAGAAAGATAGAAACATAGTTTCTAAGTAAGCCATATGTTCCCATATCATGGACTCAGCAGCACTGTGGAATGAGAGGGAAGGGGAAGAGGGCCTTGAATCTCCTGCAGCACTAATGGTTGTTTCATTCCATGGAGCAGAACCAGGATCCTTCCTACTCCCCCAGGTTTCTTTCCCTTTCTTCCCTTCCCCCTCTTTTTTTTTGCCTCCCCTCCTCTTCCCTTCCCTTCTCTTCCATTCCCTTCTCTTCCCTTCCCTTTGCTTTCTTTCCTTTCATTTCCCTTCTCTTCCTTTCTTTTCCTTTCCCATTCTTTCCTTTCCATTTCTCTTCCCTTTTTCTTTCTTCTCTTCTTTTCTTTTTCCTCCTCTCTTTTCTTCCTTTTCTCCTTCCATTGTGTTATACAGCTCTGATGGAGCCACTGCATTCCAGAGGCTATTATTATCCACGATAGTTTCTTTTAAAGATGTGTCCATGAACATAAATAGCTGCCTAATATTTGTCCTGTAAAAAACATCAGCAGTTCCTGTTAGGGTTTTACACCTGGAATGTATGCTGTGCAATTATAATAGAGAATTATAAGATGAAATTACCTCTATAATGGGTTTTTTTCCTCTCTCTCTGTGATGTCTCCCAACCTGAGAAATTTTTTCTTGCTTGAGGATCACCTGTAATGAGTGCTAACACTACAAAACAAAAAGTAAAAGAGAGGGAAAAAAACTTTGCTGCTCACCCTAATGCCACTAATATGAGGATTTCTACTTAGAATAGTGCTCTTCAAGCCCCACACTAAATGCTTACTGAAGGTGTCAGAAGTATTCACATTAATAATATTTTGAGCACTTTAACTTTAAAATATAGAATGGATTATGTCTTCGAAAGTAAGTAGTGTATAGCAAGCTGAGTTAGAACGTTTATGCTCATTGGTTAAGTCTGTCTAATATCTGTATTTGCAATACAAGTTGCAAAAGTAAAAGGGTAATAACTTCTCATAAAGATCTTTTTTTTTTTTTTTTTTTTTGAGATGGAGTCTTGCTCTGTCACCCAGGCTGGAGTGCAATGGCAGATCTCGGCTCACTGCAACCTCTGCCTCCCAGGTTGAAGCCATTCTCCTGCCTCAGCCTCCTCAGTAGCTGGGATTACAGGCGCACGCCACCACACCCGGCTAATTTTTTTATTTTTAGTGGAGACACAGTTTCACCATGTTGGTGAGGCTGGTCTTGAACTCCTGACCTCATGATCCACCCAGCTCAGCCTCCCAAAGTGCTGGGATTACAGGAGTGAGGCACCACACTGGCCCTCATAAATAATTTTTATAACAATATAGACCATTTTTATGTTACCCATTGCTACAAATCAGCCAAAACCCAAAAGGAAATATTTGAAAACGCTCAATATCTTCCAGGGGAAGGAATAAAGGTTTATAAATAAAATCCTAGGAATGGCAATTTCATTTTGGACCATATTTATCAGAGGGTATTTCCAATGTATTTTGTAAAAATATTAGACAAGTCTGGATATATACTGACAGTATCTCTCCTGCATCATACATTAGTGGTTTATTTTGTGGCACTAATTTAATAAAGACTCTCTGCCATGATTTGCAGAGTTTTGCACTTTGGCAATATAAAGAATACTACAATATAACCAATTCACAAATCTTATTCATATGTTGTAGACATGACCTGTAATGCTTTGAGATAAAAGCAAGCATAACAAAACTGTTTTGTTGAGAAAATCTCCATGTGCCAGCAAATAGAAAAGAAAAGCTGAAGAAGTGAATATGACATTGGTGCTAATCCAGAATTATGTGAGTAAATGTCATCTCGATGGGTATATTTTCTATTTTTGAGGCTCTCATGCATGACAGTGAGTTGACAGTTTCATATTCACTTAGTAACTAGCAGCTGAATGAGTTTGCTGGATTCCTTCATTTACTAATTAGAAAATAGCTCTGAATTACAACAATGTTTTTGTGTCTAATACAGATTGCACCTGCCTTTGTTGTTTTGGTGACACTAGGCACAGCTTCTCAAAATACAAACCCCTGGAGAAGCATTCTTGTGAGAGCAGGTTTTCTGTAATTATGATGTACCTAGGAAATAATCTTATAGGTCACTCTTACCCTCACTTTCCATGAATCCTAGCTCTTCTAACTTGAAGCATCTTCTTACAAGCTTTATGTTCCAAGAGTGAAACAAAATTGAAAGAAAGTAGGAAGATGTGCGTTAGGCATTATTTTGCTTTCTAGAGTAAGAAGTACAATTTATTGAAAAGTTTTAGTACTTCACAAAGATGTATCTCTATTTCTGTCAATACTTTTAGAATCACACAAATTCACTTCAACGATTCCTCCTGCAAAAGCTCTGTTTAGATCATAGACGCTTCACTTGCCTTTCAGTCATTTCTGTTCCATATTGTCCTTGTTCTCCACTGTTTATTATTATTATTATTGAGACGGAGTTTCACTCTTGTTGCCCAGGCTGGAGTGCATTGGCACAATCTTGGCTCACTGCAACCTCTGCCTCCTGGGCTCAAGAGATTCTCGTGCCTCAGCCTACCAAGCAGCTGGGATTATAGGCACCCACCACCATGCCCAGCTAATTTTTTTGTGTTTTTAGTAGAGACAGGGTTTCACCATGTTGGCCGGGCAGGTCTCGAACTCCTGACCTCAGGTGATCCACCTGCCTCAGCTTCCCAAAGTGATGGAATTACAGGTGTGAGCCACCATGCCTGGCCTCCACTGTTAATTAATGTTAGGAAGACACCAAAGCATTGAAATGAAGAAAATATTTAGAATAATGGAAACACATGTACCTGTAATAATAGCCAAAGTTGAATAAAACTAGGAAAAAACACGTATCTTCTATGCCTTGCTAATTTCCTTCAGCTAATTTTCTACCTGCGGGGCATATTCACTGATAGGACTCTTCAGGATTATATCTCCTTGTCAGTTTCAGAATGGAAATTAAGATATAGGATATCTAATTACTAAAAAGTGCCTGCTTTATTGCCCCCAAAGAAGTATTTGCTTCTCACCTTCTCTGTTTTTCATTGTACTTAGTTCATACCACTACAATTGCTTTCTTCATTTGCTCGTCTTTCTCCAGATAGATTTTGAATTTAATCTTTTTTCTCCTGCTTCCAGAATAGTACTTGGTACATAGCAGGCATTCTTAAGTAAAATAAACAGTGCATTAAATAAATAATAGTTTGCATTTAATTTTTGCCAGTATGTGTATGTGTGTATGTGTGTGTGACAGCAGCATCCAGCTGAACGGTAATAATAAATTTTGAGCCCATACATGCACACACACGTATTGATCATGTCTATTCATTTCTTGCTAGCATACATGAAAATATGGCAAAATAAATGTGATGTTTTGATACGGTGTATGCATGAAAATTGTATTCTGATTTCCAGAAACCAGGAGAAATTACCTTATTTTCCTTCCTTAATTCACATCATACTTTCATATAGATTTTCTTCAGTCATGACATTGATTATGTTCCTTATTGGCTTAGACATCTTCATTGACTCCTCATTGCCTATACATTAAAATCCAGACACTTTAGCATTTTTTAAGCTTATACCTTTTCCACTTCATTCCCCATTAATTCTCTCATTCACTGCTAAATTAATTCCCTGAACTTCTTTACTCATATCTCCAGCTCTGCATCCATATTCCACCTATATGAGCAGTACAACCACCTGGAATAATTTTTTTTCACGTTTGCATGTCCAAATGCTACCTATCCTGCATGGCTCAGGTCAAATGCCGTCATTACCTTCATGAAGATTCTTGGTCATCCAGATTAGAATGAATGACTCTCTTCTCAACATTGATGGCATTTGCATCTCCTTGGGATTCCTATAGCATGTATGTTTCCGGATTATTTATTGTAACAAACTGGTGTGCATTAAATATCTACCATAAACAAGCACAGTTATAGTGCCAGTGGTGTGCTTGTCTAGCCAACTCACTCAGGGCTTTCTCTAAGAGAGAAACACCAAATGTTGGTTGGATATACTCTAAAAGGATGTTTTTGACTTACAGTTCTACATGACCAAAAGAACAATTGAGAAGAAAGGAAACCACAAAATGAAACTCTGTAAAAGTTACTATCTGTATACATTACATGTAATGTGTGATTTCTATTTACCATCTGTTAATCCTATAGACACATGAAATGTATAGTGAATCATGAATAGCATGCAGGCTCTGTGTGATTCTGATTTAAGTTGGGTACTGGTGAAGTTTTTAGCTAGAAGTCACTAGGTTAGGATTATCTCTTCACTCATCTATCACCCTAATTTTTTATGGCTAACTTCCAATATCTACTGTGCATCTCATAGAAACGACACACTCCCAGACACTTTTTTGTTTGTTTCAGTGGCAATATTAGAATTTCCAAAATGGTCACTCTGATATTCTCCATTGCTCTGTCACATTTTAAACTTAGATTGTTTTTATTGTGCTAACTAATCCACTTACCTCAAGCAACTGCTACAGGAGTAAGAGGCAGGAAAATGGTGGGTGTTACATCTGGATCTCCACATTTTGGCCTTTATGAATGTCCCCGTCCTGGTCTTAGTGATTGTCCCCATGCCAGATTACTATGTTGAAGTAGCCCTGCTCCTAGGCACACAGGTTTCCCATGTCAAACTGAGGTCCTGTCTCTAGGAAAGTGAATCTGAGTCAGCCACCAGTGAATATACCCACCTCAAAGCTGATGTAGGATCGGCGATTCCCATATGATGCCCTTGGATGCTACGCTGGTGCTTAGCCCTGGCTTCAGAGCACAGCCAGGACTGACAAAGAAGTCGCAATGGTTTGAAATGATTTCAGGCAGCCCCACAGGGGAAAGCAGGAGATAACCACGCTAACGGGTTTGGGTGTGAAGTGTGGATTGCACCGCTCAATCAATTCCACACTCTTGAATTCTGCGTCATAGGATAGTAAAGCTGCCCAGGATAAACCAGAGAGAGGAAATGATCAACCTTTGGAAGCTTTTACAATACCTGAGCTGAAGGGAGGCGAAAAAGGACTAGATGAAAGGACACACCTAGCATATCCAAGCATCTATCCCCAAACCTGCAGGAAGATTTTATCTCCCTCTGAGACTAAAAAGGCACACTTCTGTGATTGATAATATTGGCCTGGTCCCCCAAAACAAAACCAGGACTCAAAAAAACACACTGGTTGACATGAATTGCTTCTTTCTCCCTACATCTTTATTGTGTCCCTTCAGGGATGATGTTTAATGAATGACTACTGCCAAGGTCTCTCAGTTCTGGCAGGACTATCTTTAGTTGACATCACCTATACCGTGCCACAACAGTGGCTGCAGTCGGATATGAAGGAGAGGTGGGTCCTCCCTGGGGACCCATTCAGAATAGAAAACTGGCACACTGGATTATCTCCTGTGACAGTGGGAGGGAGTCTGTTGGCACCTCCAACGGAATTAGAGGGAAGAATGATATATTCCTGGCAAAAAGCTAACAGTATTTTTTTAAATCTATGGTTAGATCTATCTCCCATTAAAAATGTCCCCAAGCACACCCTAATTCTATGATCAGTCTAGTTAGCATTTCCACTGTTGTATATTAACTAGCCTCATGTTAAGGATGACTTCATGCATTATTCATCCATCTGTGTTATAAGCAACTTGAAAGGCATCTCTGCAGTCTTTATATGCCCTCATTACTAACCCTATACACAGCAGAAACTTAGTGAATAGTTTTTTAGTCACAATCATAGCCATAGTCTAGTTCATTAAACTTCTCCTGATTTTAGAATGTATTATACCTGACATTTTAGTTTGAGCTGGTGCATGTGCTCTTGTGTGCCAACAGGAAAAAACAAATGCCATCCTGACACAGTGTTTCTTTAAACAATTCTTTCATTCACCTTTTTTGTGGTCACCTCATGGCAACTCATCATATTGAATCGTTATTTACAAATCCTGCGAATGCTTTCAACACAGCCCAACCAGTGGCACTGTATTAAGATGAATCTTGTTTTTGCTCCAGTGGATTAGTTACATCTCATTCGTAATTAATGATCTTTTACCATTATGGCTTGGAGGTGTCCTGATAGGAGGGGAGGAAGAAAGAAAGGAAAGAAAAAGAAGAAAGGAAGGGAGGGAGGGAAGAAAGGAAGGAGGGATGGAGAGAAGGAAGCAAGGAAGGAAAAAAGGAAGAAAGGAAGGGAGGAAGGAAGGAAGGAGAAATACTTTGTGATCAAATAGTCCAATTATAATTTATAACCAAATATAATTACATACAGAAAGTCATACCTGAAGAAACAAAGGGAAACTTAAAGGTCCTCAAAACCACGTCAATTCATCTTCAGATTGTTTAACCAACATAACCTCAAGGATGTTTATATGTTAGAGTCAGTGATTTGGTCATTGGTATTCAATCTACTGGTGCATGACTAAATCAGTAAAAGGTTTCTCAGAATTTTGATATTGATGTCAACTAGGAAATTACTAGTTAACAGAATTATGCCACTATCACTATAATGTAACCAGAATCTTGTTGGATCTGAATAATTAAGGTCTGTCTCTGGAGGGAAATAGTCACTATCATCCTTGCATATTTAACTATTTCCAGTATTATCAAGAGTCATCTTTGTGATCCCACAACTCATTCTAGAGTAGCAACTCTAGCAAACATTTTCCAGCATAACATGTGTTGTAAAGAACACTTTTAAGTCCTGTCTCTCCTTGGTAGGGCTCACATTCTAAATAGCAGGTACACAAAACTTTTCCTAATCACTTTCTAAGAATGTTATTTTTCCTCCTGC
This sequence comes from Homo sapiens, assembly GCF_000001405.40. Taxonomy (NCBI): domain Eukaryota; kingdom Metazoa; phylum Chordata; class Mammalia; order Primates; family Hominidae; genus Homo; species Homo sapiens. The sequence goes on along the minus strand of NC_000008.11, from coordinate 115,760,151 downwards.
TTTTTCTACATCAGTGAAGAGAAACATAACACAGTTTTTGGACTGATTAGGGATAGAAGTTAACAAAAGTTCATGTCACTTAAGGTTTCAGCAAACATGGGAGTGCCAGGAATTAAGAGTCAGTCATCAAATAGGTATCAACCATTCACCATGTTAATAGTTCTTAACACAATGATTAAGATGATGTCCAAATGCTCCTTTCAACTTATGGCTCAGGCAAGAGTCACCCCTTACGTGAAGCCTTCATGACTTATTGGTTGCTTTCAGCATTCTCTTCCACCATCATGATTTCCCATATAACTTTTTAATTATATTATACTATATATGTTGGCCCTTGGCTTTCATCTTCCATGCATTGTTCCCTGATTGCTTTTTCATGTCTAAGATTACCTCCCCAATAAGAAAGTAAAGCCCTGTGGGTACCTATAAATGATATTTGACCATAAAGTTAGAGAAATAATTTGCCTCAAGAAACTTGAACTTAGGAATTCCAGTGAGAGCCCTCAGCTGACAAACAGCCACCATGCTCCAGTGCACATGCATGGCAAGGCAGCTGCTACAACTCAAAAATATCTGGAGGCCTGTCCTAAGAACCTACACCTCATCTGAAACCTTAGAATCTTTTTTATGCTTAATGACAAATCTTTGAATTTTGAAGATAGATACGGGCTTTTGAAATGGCCAGGAGTCATTTGGAGAATGGACTTATGAATCGTTTAGTAAGTAGAAGGACAATACAGTTTCTAGTGAAAAATAAAGTGAGAATCTAAATAATTGAGAGTTGATTTTCTTGTGTGATTTATAGATCAGCTATGGAGGCAACACTGGTGGGTAGTGACACACATTTTAAAGAGTGGCACTTTGTCATTCTTCCAAAGGTGACTAAATTTCAATACAATTCCTGCTCATTTTGTTAAAACAAATCTGTCTTATTGTTTCATACGGGTACATCCTAGTTTTTCTTTTTTTTTTAATTTATTTATTATTATTATACTTTTAAGTTTTAGGGTACATGTGCACATTGTGCAGGTTAGATACATATGTATACATGTGCCATGCTGGTGCGCTGCACCCACTAACTCGTCATCTAGCATTAGGTATATCTCCCAATACTATCCCTCCCCCCTCCCCCCACCCCACAACAGTCCTCAGAGTGTGATATTCCCCTTCCTGTGTCCATGTGATCTTATTGTTCAGTTCCCACCTATGAGTGAGAATATGCGGTGTTTGGTTTTTTGTTCTTGCAATAGTTTACTGAGAATGATGATTTCCAATTTCATCCATGTCCCTACAAAGGACATGAACTCATCATTTTTAATGGCTGCATAGTATTCCATGGTGTATATGTGCCACATTTTCTTAATCCAGTCTATCATTGTTGGACATTTGGGTTGGTTCCAAGTCTTTGCTATCGTGAATAATGCCGCAATAAACATACGTGTGCATGTGTATTTATAGCAGCATGATTTATAGTCCTTTGGGTATATACCCAATAATGGGATGGCTTGGTCAAATGGTATTTCCAGTTCTAGATCCCTGAGGAATCGCCACACTGACTTCCACAATGGTTGAACTAGTTTACATTCCCACCAACAGTGTAAAAGTGTTCCTATTTCTCCACATCCTCTCCAGCACCTGTTGTTTCCTGACTTTTTAATGATCGCCATTCTAACTGGTGTGAGATGGAATCTCATTGTGGTTTTGATTTGCATTTCTCTGATGGCCAGTGATGATGAGCATTTTTTCATGTGTTTTTTGGCTGCATAAATGTCTTCTTTTGAGAAGTGTCTGTTCATGTCTTTTGCCCACTTTTTGATGGGGTTGTTTGTTTTTTTCTTGTAAATTTGTTTGGGTTCATTGTAGATTCTGGATATTAGCCCTTTGTCAGATGAGTAGGTTGCAAAAATTTTCTCCCATTTTGTAGGTTGCCTGTTCACTCTGATGGTAGTTTCTTTTGCTGTGCAGAAGCTCTTTAGTTTAATTAGATCCCATGTGTCAATTTTGGCTTTTGTTGCCATTGCTTTTGGTGTTTTAGACATGAAGTCCTTGCCCATGCCTATGTCCTGAATGGTAATGCCTAGGTTTTCTTCTAGGGTTTTTATGGTTTTAGGTCTAACGTTTAAGTCTTTAATCCATCTGGAATTGATTTTTGTATAAGGTGTAAGGAAGGGATCCAGTTTCAGCTTTCTACATATGGCTAGCCAGTTTTCCCAGCACCATTTGTTAAATAGGGAATCCTTTCCCCATTGCTTGTTTTTGTCAGGTTTGTCAAAGATCAGATAGTTGTAGATACGCGGCATTATTTCTGAGGGCTCTGTTCTGTTCCATTGATCTATATCTCTGTTTTGGTACCACTACCATGCTGTTTTGGTTACTGTAGCCTTGTAGTATAGTTTGAAGTCAGGTAGCGTGATGCCTCCAGCTTTGTTCTTTTGGCTTAGGATTGACTTGGCGATGCGGGCTCTTTTTTGGTTCCATATGAACTTTAAAGTAGTTTTTTCCAATTCTGTGAAGAAAGGCATTGGTAGCTTGATGGGGATGGCATTGAATCTGTAAATTACCTTGGGCACTATGGCCATTTTCACGATATTGATTCTTCCTACCTATGAGCATGGAATGTTCTTCCATTTGTTTGTATCCTCTTTTATTTCATTGAGCAGTGGTTTGTAGTTCTCCTTGAAGAGGTCCTTCACATCCCTTGTAAGTTGGATTCCCAGGTATTTTATTCTCTTTGAAGCAATTGTGAATGGGAGTTCACTCATGATTTGGCTCTCTGTTTCTCTGTTGTTGGTGTATAAGAATGCTTGTGATTTTTGTACATTGATTTTGTATCCTGAGACTTTGCTGAAGTTGCTTATCAGCTTAAGGAGATTTTGGGCTGAGACAATGGGGTTCTCTAGATATACAATCATGTCATCTGCAAACAGGGACAATTTGACTTCCTCTTTTCCTAATTGAATACCCTTTATTTCCTTCTCCTGCCTAATTGCCCTGGCCAGAACTTCCAACACTATGTTGAATAGGAGTGGTGAGAGAGGGCATCCCTGTCCTGTGCCAGTTTTCAAAGGGAATACTTCCAGTTTTTGCCCATTCAGTATGATATTGGCTGTGAGTTTGTCATAGATAGCTCTTATTATTTTGAAATACGTCCCATCAATACCTAATTCATTGAGAATTTTTAGCATGAAGGGTTGTTGAATTTTGTCAAAGGCTTTTTCTGCATCTATGGAGATAATCATGTGGTGTTTGTCTTTGGCTCTGTTTATATGCTGGATTACATTTATTGATTTGCGTATATTGAACCAGCCTTGCATCCCAGGGATGAAGCCCACTTGATCATGGTGGATAAGCTTTTGGATGTGCTGCTGGATTTGTTTTGCCAGTATTTTATTGAGGATTTTTGCATCAATGTTCATCAAGGATATTGGTCAAAATTCTCTTTTTTTGTTGTGTCTCTGCCTGGCTTTGGTATCAGAATGATGCTGGCCTCATAAAATGAGTTAGGGAGGATTCCCTCTTTTTCTATTGATTGGAATAGTTTCAGAAGGAATGGTATCAGTTCCTCCTTGTACCTCTGGTAGAATTCGGCTGTGAATCCATCTTGTCCTGGACTCTTTTTTGTTGGTAAGCTATTGATTATTGCCACAATTTCAGAGCCTGTTATTGGTCTATTCAGAGATTCAACTTCTTCCTGGTTTAGTCTTGGGAGAGTGTATGTGTTGAGGAATTTATCCATTTCTTCTAGATTTTCTAGTTTATTTGTGTAGAGGTGTTTGTAGTATTCTCTGATGGTAGTTTGTATTTCTGTGGGATTGGTGGTGATATCCCCTTTATCATTCTTTATTGTGTCTATTTGATTCTTCTCTCTTTTTTTCTTTATTAGTCTTGCTAGTGGTCTATCAATTTTGTTGATCCTTTCCAAAAACCAGCTCCTGGATTCATTAATTTTTTGAAGGGTTTTTTGTGTCTCTATTTCCTTCAGTTCTGCTGTGATTTTAGTTATTTCTTGCCTTCTGCTAGCTTTTGAATGTGTTTGCTCTTGCTTTTCTAGTTCTTTTAATTGTGATGTTAGGGTGTCAATTTTGGATCTTTCCTGCTGTCTCTTGTGGGCATTTAGTGCTATAAATTTCCCTCTACACACTGCTTTGAATGCGTCCCAGAGATTCTGGTATGTTGTGTCTTTGTTGTCGTTGGTTTCAAAGAACATCTTTATTTCTGCCTCCATTTCGTTATGTACCCAGTAGTCATTCAGGAGCAGGTTGTTCAGTCTCCATGTAGTTGAGCAGTTTTGAGTGAGATTCATAATCCTGAGTTCTAGTTTGATTGCACTGTGGTCTGAGAGATAGTTTGTTATAATCTCTGTTCTTTTACATTTGCTGAGGAGAGCTGTACTTCCAAGTATGTGGTCAATTTTGGAATAGGTGTGGTGTGGTGCTGAAAAAAATGTATATTCTGTTGATTTGGGGTGGAGAGTTCTGTAGATGTCTATTAGGTCCGCTTGGTGCAGAGCTGAGTTCAATTCCTGAGTATTCTTGTTGACTTTCTGTCTTGTTGATCTGTCTAATGTTGACAGTGGGGTGTTAAAGTCTCCCATTATTAATGTGTGGGAGTCTAAGTCTCTTTTGTAGGTCACTCAGGACTTGCTTTATGAATCTTGGTGCTCCTGTATTGGGTGCATATATATTTAGGATAGTTAGCTCTTCTTGTTGAATTGATCCCTTTACCATTATGTAATGGCTTTCTTTGTCTCTTTTGATCTTTGTTGGTTTAAAGTCTGTTTTATCCAAGACTAGGATTGCAACCCCTGCCTTTTTTTGTTTTCCATTTGCTTGGTAGATCTTCCTCCATCCTTTTATTTTGAGCCTATGTGTGTCTCTGCACGTGAGATGGGTTTCCTGAATACAGCACACTGATGGGTCTTGACTTTTTATCCAATTTGCCAGTCTGTGTCTTTTAATTGGAGCATTTAGTCCATTTACATTTAAAGTTAATATTGTTATGTGTGAATTTGATCCTGTCATTATGATGTTAGCTGGTTATTTTGCTCGTTAGTTGATGCAGTTTCTTCCTAGTCTCGATGGTCTTTACATTTTGGCATGATTTTGCAGCGGCTGGTACCTGTTTTTCCTTTCCATATTTAGCGCTTCCTTCAGGAGCTCTTTTAGGGCAGGCCTGGTGGTGACAAAATCTCTCAGCATTTGCTTGTCTGTAAAGTATTTTATTTCTCCTTCACTTATGAAGCTTAGTTTGGCTGAATATCAAATTCTGGGTTGAAAATTCTTTTCTTTAAGAATGTTGAATATTGGCCCCCATCTTTTCTGGCTTGTAGGGTTTCTGCCGAGAGATCCACTGTTAGTCTGATGGGCTTCCCCTTGAGGGTAACCCAACCTTTCTCTCTGGCTGCCCTTAAATTTTTTCCTTCATTTCAACTTTGGTGAATCTGACAATTATGTGTCTTGGAGTTGCTCTTCTCGAGGAGTATCTCTGTATTTCCTGAATCTGAACGTTGGCCTGCCTTGCTAGATTGGGGAAGTTCTCCTGGATAATATCCTGCAGCGTGTTTTCCAACTTGTTCCATTCTCCCCATCACTTTCAGGTACACCAATCAGACGTAGATTTGGTCTTTTCACATAGTCCCATATTTCTTGGAGGCTTTGCTCGTTTCTTTTTATTCTTTTTTCTCTAAATTTCCCTTCTCACTTCATTTCATTCATTTCATCTTCCATTGCTGATACCCTTTCTTCCAGTTGATCGCATTGGCTCCTGAGGCTTCTACATTCTTCACGTAGTTCTCGAGCCTTGGTTTTCAGCTCCATCAGCTCCTTTAAGCACTTCTCTGTATTGGTTATTCTAGTTATACATTCTTCTAAATTTTTTTCAAAGTTTTCAACTTCTTTGCCTTTGGTTTGAATGTCCTCCCGTAGCTCAGAGTAATTTGATCGTCTGAAGACTTCTTCTCTCAGCTCATCAAAGTCATTCTCCATCCAGCTTGTTCCCTTGCTGGTGAGGAACTGCGTTCCTTCGGAGGAGGAGAGGCGCTCTGCTTTTTAGAGTTTCCAGTTTTTCTGTTCTGTTTTTTCCCCATCTTTGTGGTTTTATCTACTTTTGGTCTTTGATGATGGTGATGTACAGATGGGTTTTTGGTGTGGATGTCCTTTCTGTTTGTTAGTTTTCCTTCTAACAGACAGGACCCTCAGCTGCAGGTCTGTTGGAATACCCTGCCGTGTGAGGTGTCAGTGTGCCCCTGCTGGGGTGCCTCCCAGTTAGGCTGCTCGGGGGTCAGGGGTCAGGGACCCACTTGAGGAGGCAGTCTGCCCGTTCTCAGATCTCCATCTGCGTGCTGGGAGAACCACTGCTCTCTTCAAAGCTGTCAGACAGGGACATTTAAGTCTGCAGAAGTTACTGCTGTCTTTTTGTTTGTCTGTGCCCTGCCCCCAGAGGTGGAGCCTACAGAGGCAGGCAGGCCTCCTTGAGCTGTGGTGGGCTCCACCCAGTTCCAGCTTCCTGGCTGCTTTGTTTACCTAATCAAGCCTGGGCAATGGTGGGCACCCCTCCCCCAGCCTTGCTGCCACCTTGCAGTTTGATCTCAGACTGCTGTGCTAGCAATCAGCAAGACTCCGTGGGCGTAGGACCCTCTGAGCCAGGTGCGGGATATAATCTTGTGGTGCGCCATTTTTTAAGCCCGTCGGAAAAACGCAGTATTCGGGTGGGAGTGACCCGATTTTCCAGGTGCTGTCCGTCACCCCTTTCTTTGACTCGGAAAGGGAACTCCCTGACCCCTTGCGCTTCCCAAGTGAGGCAATGCCTCGCCCTGCTTCGGCTCGCGCACGGTGCGCGCACCCACTGACCTGCGCCCACTGTCTGGCACTCCCTAGTGAGATGAACCCGGTACCTCAGATGGAAATGCAGAAATCACCCGTCTTCTACGTCGCTCACGCTGGGAGCTGTAGACCAGAGCTGTTCCTGTTTGGCCATCTTGGCTCCTCCTCCATCCTAGTTTTTCATCTGTATCTAGCTCAGTGCTGAATACTAAGCTATAAACAGAAAATTTTGCACACTCTTGGGCCAGACTGACTAGACTTGAAGTATGCCTTTACTACTTTCCTGCTGGAGTGAACTTGGACAGGTAACCTAATCTCTCTGTGTCTTAATTTCCTTATCTCTAAATGAGTATGGGTTTTTGTGAAGACTAAACAAGTTAATAAGTGTGAAGTACTTAGGAGAATGCCTGAGACATAATGGTAACTATTAGTATTACTGATTCAATCAGAATTAACTAATTGGTATTCGATATTATATTTATTATTCTTTTATAATTACTCATAATCAAAATCACACTATGAAAAGTCCTTTCCTACAAATGTAATCTTTTGTAACTTAAATACCAGAAGACATTCAACTAATCCTCTCTCTATGAGACAATTACCTACTGCTTGTGCCACTGGGTCTTCCCTAGTGTTCTAAGTCATGGATGCCAACAGTATGAAGACATGTTGAGCCAGCGGGTCCTCACATCACATCTGATGATGTCTGGTCTCGGCATGAACAGCACACTATACAAAGAAGTAAGCAGAAAGTGGCTTGGAAGGAGACAAAATATCTGGATGCTGGACGAAGGTGTCATATATGTCAAATGGCTTTGAAATGTCTGCTTACCTCATTAATATTTCTCCCAATATTCAGCTATTTAAGGCCATAGTCATTAAGGAAAGTGTAAAATATTTCTACTACACACCTATTCCTTCACTTGCCCCAAGGATCACAAATTAATTACAAGCCATGCCACAGTCTAAGGGTAAACATTTCTTCCATCATGGATCATGTAACACCAAGAACAAGGACTCTATCTCTCTTTCATGGCCTAGGATATCTGTCTGTGTGAGCAGGAAATCTATCTGACCCTCCAGAGATGGGGCAGCTGCCCCCGCTTCCTGCCACCTGGAAGTGGGTGGCCTTGAACCGAGGACCCATTCGTGTTGCAAACATGTATTGTGTAGAGTCCATCATCCTGTTTAACTTGGCATCACCTACAAGCACTCCAACATTTTATGAATGAGATTACTGCCAAATCGGTATGTTTCTGATTCAGTTACACTTAACCCATTATCTCTAAGTGCTTTCATGATGTTTGTGCTGATCATGAAGCCTGTCTTCAATCTTTCTTTCTTTCTTTCTTTCTTTCTTTTCTTCTTTTTTGAAGTAGGACTAAGTTTTCTCTTTCTGTCGAGGAGATGGAAAGCCATGAGAGTCATTCCAAAAACTTTTCAGGCTCTGCAGTGGCATTTTCAGTGGGAATTTGGCCAGGATGTATGTGTGAATGAAGACAAAGAAAGCCAGTCAGCAGTCGAAGCCCTGCAATTGAGCGTCTGCTTGTCCACATGTCAGAGAGGAAATGTGCAAATCTTCCTTCAACTCCTAACGGAGTATGTCTGCCTGAAACTCATGAGGTCTGATGCATTTTAGGAATTTAAACAGAGGAGGGAGGGAAAAAAAGCTAAAACATTAATGCAAGCTTTCTTGGAAATATTATTCCGTTAACAACTGTGGGTAGTCACACCCTTCTTCTGCTGCCTCCCAACAGTAAATGGAAGATATGACATAGGTTTTGTCTACATAGTGCCAAGCATCTGGGTTAAATTCAATCTTGGTGTTTTGATCTCATATACACATAGGGTTATTTTTTTAAACACCATCTGCAAGGCTGACATAATCTATGTCAGCTAGGATAGTATAATCATCAGCCTGCAGAGATTTTTTACCAGATCATAAAATTTTCACCAGTCTTTCTCTCGGTGACTACTGTTTTATCATGATTTTAAAAAATAAATTTATTTATTCTTTCTATGTGAAGCTGCGAATGTTTCTCGTTGGGATGGCCATTTTAGAAGCAGGATCTCAAATAATCTAGATTAGAAAAATCAGTTTTTGATGATGTTTGGATGGCTGCACAGCAGATTCTGGAGGGATTAGCCAAGCTTTCAATCATCAGTTCTGCTTTGGATTTCTTGATATGTCCCCCCAAAAAACATAAAAATATCAGAAGAGGCACTGATGCATAGTATAAAGAATATAGAGTTTAGATTCAGATATAGTTCTATCTCAATTCCAGCTCTGCTATATGCCATTGCACAAGTTATTTAATTTTCTGAGCCATAGTTTTCCCATCTGCAAAATGAGATTATAACAAAATTACATAATAAACTGGAGTAGTTATATCTTTATCAGATTATATGGTAGATGCTCAAAAACTCATAGTGGCCATTATTATTATTATATTACTAAAATGACAATATCATGAGCAATAGAAAAATACAAATATTTTAAAATTCCTTGATCTACTATTAGAGGTGGCCTCAAGGAATACAGATGAGATATAGAGGAAAGAGGACTGGACTAAGGGTGAATTTTCAGTCAGTTCTGCCAGAACTGGTTGTGGTCACCTTAGACAAGGCAGTTTTTGGGCTTCATTTTACTTGTTATTAATCAAGAACAGTTTAGATCTTCTGTCTAAGATCCTTTTAATCTCATTATCAATGTTTCGCTGATTACAGCTAATGCTAAACTGGACATATAAATACAATTCCTCTTATATCCCATTTTTTTGGAATTTGATTGTGCTTCATCAGTACCAGTTACTGAAACATATAGAAACAAAGAACAATCATGTTGAGAGCCTTTCGTATGGGTCCTCCTGACTAGCATATTTAAAAATGTATCACATTGATATTTTCCTTCCAATACTTTTGTTTTTCACCTGTGCCGTCATTTAAAATTCTTTATTTCTTGTCTCCAAACTGAATTTTACAATCTAATTTTCATTTTGAGTTTACAATCTGATTTTGATTTGATGCCCTTTGCAGAAGTCAGCACCTCCACTTTTCTTCAGCATCTTAGTTTGTGAGCCCTTGAAAATTGCAGAATGAAATAGCAATTCATTCTGAAGTTTATGCAGATGTGTCTATGTGTTTTATGAAATTTGATTCTTTTTCTCCACGTACATGTTTTTCCAATGTTTTGTCTTGTGTATGTTTACAGAGGGAAGAAATGGTGAGCTTTCATAATTTTTTTACAAGGCGGGGACACATCCAGTGGGAATCTCTTCTGTTCTTAAGGGCAGGTGATTTACTATCTGAGTGGCAGGACTTAATGTCGATTGTGCATATTCCCAATCAACTGCTTCCATGGCTTCAGTTGCTAAGCAGTTGATTCTTCTGTTTTGGTACCTGTATCACTATGTTGGGATTTCTCTTCCCTCCAGTGAATTAAGAGATGTTTTTCACTTTATCTTTAGAAATGTCCAAACATGTTTTATCTAACTGATATTGTAATAATTCCCAAAAGAAATCCCACATTTTAGGCTTTTTATTTTAACACTTTACTTGTTTTGATCTATTATTAAAGAAATTATATTTCTTCCTAACTTCATCACCTTTGAAACACATATTGAGTGAAGATGTGAAACATGCCTCAAAAATCTGGCTAATATTAGTGACCCTCTTCTTAAAGATGGGTTATGTGTTCATATGCATTATTAGGACTGAATTTTCTAAGCGTCAATTCAGCACATTATTTATATGCATTAGGTAGAGAAGCCATGCCTGTAAAACCAAAGAATTAGTCACAATGAAAGATAAAAATATCTAAAACTAAATATAAAGTTAAGAGGATTATTTCCAAAAGTGTCTAAAAGTATTTATTGAATTTGTTTTTAAATCATGTGGGCCTACAACAGCAAACCCTAAACGACATTTTTTTAAAGTAGCTATTGAAAAATTGAAGGAATATGAGGCCACTGGATACAATTTAGGATTCCCTAGCTTGAAAGAAAAGGCAGTTTATTACCTTGGAGGGAGGAATAAGAACAAAGTTAGTCTTTCTCAATAGACTAGATGGAGCTGTTGGTTAAATTGAAGATTAACTAATTCTTAGATTTAGCAAAATGTGACGCTCCTACATTTCCCTCCCAAAATGTTGTTATTGCCTTTTCAGCAATCACTGGCAGTTTCCAAGATACTAGTACATTTATTTGACCATGTCTGTGAAATATAGCAGTCCAGAGAATAGGTCCAGAACATGTGTCTTTATTGTACTATATATATTTTATATATATATATATAATATATATATATATAACCATAATATATGTAAAACCATTATACACAAACACACACACATATATATATATAATTTTTTTTCTTTTGAGACAGAGTTTCGCTCTTGTCGCCCAGGCTGGAGTGCAATGGCACCATCTCGGCTCACTGCAACCTCTGCCTCCCAGGTTCAAGTGATTCTCCTGCCTCAGCCTCCCGAGTAGCTGGGATAACAGGCACCCACCACCATGCCTGGCCCTGCACCATATATTTTAATTCAAATGTATTAGACTTTTCCTCAAATATGACTAAAGCATTTAAACTCATGTAGTATTTTTCTGTATTCTGTATTTTATTGGGAAGTATGCTTCCATATTCTGCTTTCTAATACTCTATCTGTATCCCATGCCTTTTATGTTGATTTTCCCTGAATTAACAACATAAACTATATGTATCAGAGTAGGCTAAGCTACATTAAACTACGCCATTAAACTCCCCCAAATCAGTAATGTTGTAAAGCAGAAGTTTATTTTTCTTATGAAACAGGCTGAGACAGAGGCTTTACGTCAGCAATGACTCTGCTCCATGCAGAATCATTGAGAAAACTAGGCTAAGGCTGACTCTGCCATTTTCAACTCATGCCTTTCTTCCAAGATCGGCATGATCTTCTCCATTATAGTCTTCAGGATGGAGAAAGAACATGGTGGCACTCGTAACTTCTGCCCAAATTTCACTGGCATGATTTCAGTCAGGTGGCCACATCTGGCTGCAAGGAAGGCTGGGAAACATGGGAAAGCTGTGTGCCCAGGAAGAAGGAGAATGTATATTTTGGCTCTCTAGCTACAAGCATTTACCCATCATGTTATTCTCCCTCCAAACTTACCTTTTATAGCATTAGTGGTTATTCTTCTCAACCTTTCTTTAATTTGATGTCATTTCTATTTTTCTCATTTGTGTCCTATTCTAGCTGCTCAGATCTCATGTAATTTGGATGGGTAAAAACTGGGAAGAAATTCAACACAAAAATTAATAGGAAGCCAACCTTGAGGTGGTTCTCTGGCTTAATTGAATTTTTTGTTTGGATCAATAAATGGGATCAAAATGACAAACATCTGGGTCAAATTTGTATCTATAAAATGCATGTGACCAAAAATTTTAAATGATTATAATAATAATAATTTCTAAATCTTGATAACTGGTGAATTGATCACTCAATAAAAGCAATAAGTAGCTATCAAAACAACTTCCATTAATATTTAGAGAAAAATGTAAGAGTTATATGTTGTGTTAAATAATATTTTTTAATCCTTTCAAATATATTCAAATTCAGTAATATGTTCACATATTTCTTATACTTGTCAAGTGTTTATCGTAACTTCTCATGCTATTTAAGAACCTTGATGATCATACACCAAAACTAAGGTCCAGTGTAAAGTCCATGGAAACTTCAAAATGTGTAGTAAGTGCTCAACAAACCTTGGTCATTATTACCATTTTATTGAGACTTTTTTCATTTATTATTTAAAAATTTGTTTCTGCCTCATATGATCTTCGGAATCATTTATTTTTAGTTGACATATAACAACTGTACATATTTCTGGGATACAGTGTGAATTTCTGATACATGTGTACAACATGTATAAGGATCAAATCAGAGTAGTTAGCATATCTATCCCCTCAAATATTTATTATGTCTTTGTGTTATAAATGTTTAAAATTCTCTCTTCTAGTTTTTTGAAAAATATGCTAAATTACTGTTAACTATATTCACCCTACAATGCTACAAAACTCTAGAACTTATTTATCCCATCTAGCTTTAATTTTGTATCCATTAACAAACCTCTTCTTATCCTCTCTTCCCCATCTTGACCATTCCCAGACGCTAATAACACCCATTCTACTCTAATTCTATGAGTTCAATTTTTTTACCTCCCGCATCTGAGTGAGGACATGCACTATTTTTTTTTCTGTGCCTGACTTATTTCACTTAACAGAATGTCCTCCAGACTCATCCATGTTGCCACAAATGACAAGATTCCATTTTTTTAAGGCTAAATAATATTCCACTGTGCGTATATATCACATTTTCTTTATTCATTCATCTGTTGATGGACATTTAGGCTTATTTAATACCTTTGCTTTTGTGAATAGAGCTTCAATAAACATGGGAGAGCCACATTTTTTTCTATCCTATGACTCATCTCTTTTATAAATGGTCACCAAATAGTTTTATTCAAATTAATATAGCAGGAGGGAAGCAGGCTTAAATCAAGATAAAAGTATTTGCTTTTTGGTTGGAGTTGGAGCTGGGGGTCCATCTCTGAAAGTTAGTTACCTTACTTATGAAATAGAAGAATGTTATTCTCCATTGTAAATGCCTTTTACACCTGCCTGGCAGGGGTCTTTTGAAATAGAAGGAAGTTTTGTACATGAAAGAGTTCTGAAAACCCAAAGCTAGTAGCTCTTTGACCTCCAATAATTTAGGTATTTGCAACTGATCTATGAGGTTCTTATGATAAACATGTTTCTAATTCTGTTTAAACACACACTTGAATCCACATTATCCTTGGCGAAACAGATTACCAGGGATGTTTTTAAAAGTGCAGTTGTCATTTTGTATCCTTTGGCCGACATCTTCTCACCTCACCTTCCAACTGCCCCAGCCTCTGGTAACCACCATTATACTCTATATTTTTAGGAGATCCACTTTTATAGATTCCATGTGACTGAGATAATATGGTATTTGTCTTTCTGTGCCTGATATTTTGTTTCACTTCACATAATATCCTCTGAGTTCATCCATGTTGTTTCAAATGACAGGATTTCCTTCTTTTTTATGGCTGAATAGTATTTCACTATGTATCTACACCAAATTTTCTTTATCCATTCATTCATTGACATTTAGGTTGATTCCATAGCTTGGCTTCGTGAATAGTGCTGTAATAATCATTGAGTGTGCAGATGTCTCTTCAACATACTGATTTCATTTCCTTCAGATATATACCCAATAGCAGAATTGCTAGATCATATGATAATTCTATTTTTAATTTTTGGGGAAAACTCCATCCGTTTTCCATAATGGCCATACTAATTTATGTTCCCACCAACAGTTTGCAAGGGCTCCCTTTTATCCACATTTTTGCCAGCATTTCTCATCTTTTGTCTTTTTAAAATTACAGTTAGATAGAACAAATAAGTTCAAGAGATCTGTTGCACAGCATGGTGACTATAGTTAATGATGATATCTTGTATTCTGAAAAAAATGCTTAGAGAGTGGATATTAACTGTTCTCACCACAAAAATAACTATGTCAGGTAATGCATATTTTAATTAGCTAGATTTAAACATTCTACAATGTATATATATTTCAAAATATGCTCTGATTCACAATAAATACATAGTTTATCTGTTCACTTAAAATCATACAATATATATTCATACACACACACACATATTTATGTATATATATATCTATGAATACTTTTAATTTAAATGTACTTGGCTGCTGCTGGCATGGTGTGCCTAAGCTGGTGCGGTTGAATTATGGATGTAGTAGGAGCAGAGGAAAGGGGAGAAAAAGGACCAAGCAGTGTGTGTCCCTCTTGCATTTCACATACAGTCACGGATACTGGTTTCCTTGCAGGGGGATGGTGATAAGAGGCCCCCACAGGAACTGAGATCCCATGATCCTGAGTGAGTCCGTGGTTAGATGCTTAGAAAGATGCAGCATGGTGCTGAGTCAATCAGCCAGAAGGACTGAAGGAAAAGGGAGAGGAGCCCTGGCTAAGGCATCAGGTGGCTGGTGACTGCCTTTCAGAAACACTCTAACCAACCCTGAAAGCATCACTTAAAATGACCACTTACTACCCTTTAAGAGGAAATTACAGGATGCTAGGCACCTTTTGATTTCAAGATTTGAAGTCCCTCTGAAGAAATCTTTTGCAAATATAAAGGGCCATATAGTCATCCTGAAACTTTAAATGGACCAGCACTTCCCATATTCAGAGCAAACCTTTAAAATAATATAGGAAGCCATGCTGCCTGTTAAATACAAATCTTCCTGTAATTTTTTACATGTTGACTCGTTTGTAAAAATAGTCGCCTCCATTCCTGCAGCTGTATCTTTTGGGACTGTTCCACCTCATATCAAATAGCATTGTCACATAGTTGCTCCTTATCTATGCAGCTGGACTCATAGCTGGCTTCTTAATAAGTTAGGTTAGAAACTCACTAATTATATGGTAAAGACACTAAGACATTTATTTGACATTACCCAATACACTCCTTGTTAGTAGTTGTGTTTTAATCAGAGCTAGCTAATAGAGAGAGCCTTTGCTACTTTGACATTTGCTATACAAATGCTGGAGATAAAACAAAGCTTAAAAGAAATACATAAGAGGTTAAACTGTTAACATGTAATAGTTAATACGTAACAGTTAAAAATTTACAAGATAAATTGATGGTCCCATTATATAACCTTGATTCTCAGTTTCTTGTCTGGCTTCTCCATGTTGGCAAAATAATCAAGTTGATATCACCAGCAATTTCTCTTGAAAACTTGATTTCCAATGAATCTATATAAATGCATAGTATAACTGCAGTTATACTACGGGAGTGCTTTTCCTCTGGCACTGTTAAATGTCTTTATTTTCATAGATTCTACTTTGTTTTGTGTTATACACTTAGCTTGGAAGAACTTTGGGGATACTAAATTCAGGTCCCCCAGTTCTTTAAAACTATTTGCTCATGACAAGTAACTACAAAGTCAAAATACAAGAGACATGACCTCCTGCTTATGAGATGGCTACACACAACATTAAAATAGTCATGATACTGAAATCACTGCTCAGCTGGCCCTCAATGATATGCGAGAAGCTGGTAAAAGTGGAAGTGGCTTGGAAGAATTATGTCAAGGACAGAAAGATAAATGAATTGATAGTAAAAGGAAATGTGCAAGGGCTTATGACCATCATGCTTGAGTTATTTTTTTCCAACCCAGTGAGATCTGTTTTAAAAAAGTCATGATGCACTATGACAAAGCCCTACCTGTTCCAATGCTTTGCCTATCACTCCAAACTCATCACCTCGTATTCAGACAAAGCCTTCTCTTGCCTGGTCATCTTGTGGTTTCTCCAGCACACCAAGCTGGAGTGCCTTTGACCTTGACTTTCCCTTTCCTGGAAAGCCTCGCTTGTTCTTCTGGCTTGCTGGTCACTTCATTCAGGTCTCTATTCAAATGTTTCAGCTTTAAAAAGCCTTACTTTCACTCTACCAAAAATAACCCCTTCTCTGTACCCATCATGCCCTTTTCTTTGTCTTGATGCTACTTACCTTGTCTGACATTAACTAATATTTTTATTGGTTAATTTGCTTATTGTTCATCTCTCCGACTAGCATCTGAGCTCCATAAGGCAAAGAATTTGTCATATTCCCCACCTACTTTCATTATCTAGAGAAGTTCCTGCTATGTAAGAGGTATTCAGTGATATATGCTGAATTAGTAAATGCGTGGTATTTAAAGCCATAAAGTGCAAATCTTTGCCTTTCAATCTGATGTTATTTCCTGGTCCTTAAAGTGAGGAAAAGACTTACTCTGCTTCTATAATAATGTGAGAATTAGGTTGGAATATGTACACAGAATGGCTTATAGTGTGTGAAGCACTACATAAAAGTTAGTAAGAGTCACTGCTCAGGCACTGTAATATGATGCAAAATTAGCTGAACCTAAGTTCAAGGTCAGGCTTTTAATGGAGGTTTTTTTCACTAGGTTTGATGTGTACCCTTGAACAAGTCTGTAACCTCTATTGGCCTCATTTTCTTCCCTTGATCTGTGATAATATAGTAAGATAATGTATTTTAATGCACTTACTGATTTCTAAGGTGATACAAGAATATATGATATTATCACATATTTGTATACAGAACTATCCCTCTCATTACCCTTATCTCTGATCCCCTGTCTATATATCTATACATATCTATAGATATATACACATGGGCATTTTTGGGACCTGCTCTCCTGCACTATATATATATATATATATATATATATATATATATATATATATATATATATAGGCAGGGAGGGAATAACTTATTCTATTGCTAGGCTGATGATTTTCCAGAGGTGAAAAGAAAATTGTTAAATGTATAAGTCATCATTCCTAAATAAGTAAGCTGAATTATCAGATGAGTTTATATGCTACTGGTGGCATCATAATGCCAAAACTTTACCATTTTCTTCATGACACTTTGTCTCTAAATTTGTTTTTGGCTACGTTCCGGGGTTAACCAATCCTTGCCGGAATTATTCAGTTCCACAGAGCCTGTGACGATCCTTGACCACTTTGGTTCAAGTTAAACCATGCATGAATTTAACCTTCTTCACATTATTTGCTCGTGCTGAAAGCACTGCATTAATCAGAGAAGGAGGCTTCAATCTTGAGCTTGTTCTCAGAGCCTCTGCTGCATTGTGTTGCCTTTGATGAAAAGCTTAAAAGGCAGAGAACAGGAAATCCACTCTGATTTCATCGTTCCCTTTGAACAGTTCTTTCCTCATAGGAACAATGCCGTTTGCCCAAAATGACTAATAATCACTACCATTTATTGAGTATTAATTCTGTGCCAGGCACTGTATAAAGTACTTTCTATACATCTTTACATTTCCTTCTCACATCAGTGCTCTAAAGTAAATTGTATTAATCCCATTCTACAGAAGAAGAAACTGAGATGTGGAGAAGTAAAAAAGATTCTCCCTTAGTCACCTAGAAAGAGGAGCAAAGCTGGGTGCAACCATATCTATCTAGCTTGCAGACTTATACCCTTAACCACTAAACTAGAAGCAGAAGCCTGAGAGGAGTTTTAGAAAGAGCGAGGAATCATTTCACATTTTCTATATTAATATTTGAAACCTCTCTAATTGTGGACAACCAACGTAATCCACTAGCATTGAAAAACCAAAACATTTGGTGTCTCTGGGTTTCATTATTTATTTTGTTCCCTGAAACTTGATAACCTGATTCTGCACAATGAAAATATGTTATCTTGAAATAATTGATTCAAACAGACACAACATTTTGAAGTATTGACATAGTACCTGGCATTGGTCTGGGTTTGGGGCAATGAATGTCCTACACAGTTGATTGGTGCTATCTATATTTAAAGCCAGCATTGTGGTTCCAGCGTAAGATTTGGAGTCAAGCTTGGCCCAGACCCAAGACTTTGATCTGTGTATGATTTTGAGCAGTTGCAAAACCTCTCTGATGTTCAATTCCTTCATCTCTTAAATGAGGATGATGATATCTTCTATCTGACAGACTTGTTTTGAGAGTTAAGTAAGATACTGTGTTTTCATTGGATCGTTGTAAGGACTAACTGAAACAAAATATGTGAATTATATAATACGGAGTCCAGGAAATAGCACTTTTGGATACTTATTTTCTGAAAAAAATCAAAACAACATTTTTTTTAAACACAATTGAAATGAGTTTTTGAAAAATCAGGGCTATTGGATGTATTTTTATGTGTAAAAAAATTTATTTTTTTTGTATTAGTTTAGAAACTCACATGTTTCTAAACAGCATTTGAGGTTGCCCAATATTTTACCTTTCGGCTGGCCTCTAAATAAATCACTGTCTTTTGTTATTCGGGAAGGAATGCTAATCTCTATATCTTGAAATCAACCTACAATTTCTCCTGGCATTTTTTTCATTACTCTCAAAAACAAAAAAACAAAATCTCCACTCCAGATTAACTAATTACCCTCAATCTCTCAAACACATTGGCATTTTTAGGCCCTGCTCTCCTGCTCAAAATGCCCTCTGCCTCATCTATTAATTTTTTGAATTCTGAGCAGACAGGCCCAAATATTCTTCTCTCTTTTTCCCTCCTCGGAACTCAACCAATACTAACTGACCATAATACTCATTTGGAATTTATCATTTTTTACCTGGTTGTATTAATTAGATTTTCATGTGTTTTTTTAATGACTTGTTTGCCTAGCCAGACAGTAGGCAAACTGTCTTATGATTTCTTTATACCATTCATATTGCAGTATTTCAATTTTACAAATATTTATTTATTATTAAATCTTCATATAAAATAGTTCACAAGCAGTAGGTAAGGAATGAAGTCTCCTTTTTATAGTGGCTTGTGCCAACATCCAGGCACTTGGATTATATCTCCGCTTCAGGATTCCATCTTTTGAAAATTAAAATTTTAGTCAAACACCTCAGTTTCTTGCAATGCAATGCTATAGAAGTAATTATATCTTCATTTACTTAACTACTTAGTTTATTTGTTTCTGAGTGTTAGCAATTGACCTAACTTACCAAATTAGTCAATTCCTGTGCTGTTACAGACATAGTACTAAGAAGAATATAAAACACTGATGGGACCTATTTAGGTGATACTGTACTTAATTTCACATTTTATAGGAATATACATAATAGTTGTTGATAAAATAATAATTTGGCAACCAAAGCCAAATTTTATGCTCATTCTATTCAGAGAATGTATCACTTTGTCTCAGACTGAGTACGTTTTCAACAAAGAAAAAAAAAACAGGTTTCATAATCTTGATAAACCTGTTTTTACCCACCCACAACTGATTCATGAAAAGCTTAAACCGATAGTAAGTCATTTGATCAAGTTTTGAGCTTCCAAGAATTACTTCAATCATGTTGGGGTTTCCAGAAGTGACCGCTCAATTTGAATAGTTTGGGTTGGTTTGATAAATACTCAGCATACTATTTATGTTTTGGTCATGCTATTATCAGGTACCCAAATAGATAATTTAAAAATGAATTCTGTATTTTCACATTAATCTGCCTTTATTCTCACATCTAAAAAGGGAAATGTGGTATCTGGGGTATTTCCTGAGATCAAATGTTTTCATGTGTACAAGCCAAGCAATTTAATAACGTGAGAAATATTGACACTCTTTGTCAATGAGCAATGGTTGAGTCTAGGCAGCCTGAGGAATCTTAAGGGGAGCCAACACATTTCAGTCAATAGAAGATTTGTTTACTTAGCTCCAACCTTAGCCCCAACCTTCTACAAAACACAAGAACTTTTTCAAGGACCCCTACTCAAACCACTACCATGTGGCTACAAAACCTTGAACAGCCTACCATGGAACCAAAGAAGTTCTGAAAACCAATAAAATATTTTGTAATATGCTCTCATACTTCTGAAAATCGCCCTTTCATAGCATTCATTATAATTTGTGTTTCTACTTACTGTATTATCAGTCTTCCACACTAGACTGCAAACTCTGTGAAAAAGTAGTTGCCTTTATTTTGCTCTCCATTCTACCTCTTGCATCTCCAAGGTACCTGACGTATGACAAATCCTTAGTAAATATTTGTTGGAGGAAGCACGCAGGGAAAGCAAGAAGGAAATAGTGACGCATTGAGTTGGCAGAGCATGTTTTAGGCAAAGATGTTAAAATTTGGTTCAGGGTTATCCTTCGCTGTCCCTGTGTTTGTGCTACTTCAGATTCCTCCTTCACATTTCTCAACGCTGCCCTCAGTTCCCCCATGGCAATCCAATTGTGTGTGCCCTGAACTCACACACAAAATAATCAGATAATTTTATTCACTAAGGCCACTCAGCGTTATACCATCACCGCAGTCTTTATTCTTAATTCTTAACCCCAATGTGTCAATCATTAACAATGGTGTAGGAGGTCAAGTAGAGGTTTCCCAGCACCAGACAACAATCAGTTCTGCTTACTATAAAGGCAACTATACTATGTGAGCAAAAATTCTACTTTCATTCATTCAATTAGTGAGTCATTTATTTAACTAATACTTATTTTACCCATATTTATGGAGCATCTGTTGTGTGCTAGGCTTAGTGCTAGTTAATGTGATCATAATCTGAAAAAAGAACTAGCTAAATTCTCCTTGGGGTCCTCTTTTGTCTTCTTTGAGCCAGCTTCCAAAAGGTGGAACTATGAGGGGTGCAGTCATTGACTGCAAAGGTAGAAGCAAATCATAAACCATTTTGAAACTGTGGGGAGATAAGAACCACTTTAGGAAGTGAGCTTGTTTTCTAGGCAACCTTTGGAAATATGTCTCTCCTTCACTGAGTCATCCAAGCAAATCTGCCCTAAACACTTTCTATGGGGCACCCGGCTAGGCCCTGGGGACATACAGATGAAAGAGAGCTCCCTCCCTGAAGAAGGTCACAGTCTAGGGACAGACAAGAACAGGCAAATTAACACTTATAATACAGTGATAAGTACAGGGTAGACATAAGCAGAGGATACTATGGCAACCCAAAGGAGGGGCACCCAACTAAGCCTAAGGCAGTGGGTAAGGCTTCCCAGAGAAGATGACATCAATTGAATGGGAGCAAGCCAGGTGAGAGGGTGTGGATGGGATGGGCTTTTTAACAAAGGAAACAGCAAATCCAAAAGCTTAGGGGTGAGAGAGAGCAAAACACTTGTGGGAATCTGCAAATTACTCAGTAAAGTAAGGACGTATGCTGTGGGGAGGAAAATAGCCAAATTCAGGTAGCTGAACAAGAACAGATTATGAAGGGTCTATCTGGGGAGCCAACAAATGTATGAGAAATTTTATAATATGATGGAAGTGGCTTTTTAGAAAGTTGCTTCTAGTAAGGAGAATTAATAAGAGAAACTTGGAGGACAGTGGAAAAAGATAAGAGTATTTTTTATTTGTTTGTATGCTTTATGATTTATATTCAATGTTGTGCTCAAAAATGATTTTAGATGCTTACCAAGACATATACAGCACAGTGACACAACAAGTTATAAGCAATGTTAAAAAATAAAGCAGAGGGAATAAATGGAACCCCAAATAAGATAGAACACAAAAAAGTATACCATGCACTTATAATCAACAGCTAAGGGTACACAAATTTGGCTGTAGGTTTCCTATGAGCCAGTAATTTGTTTATCCAGAGGGTAAACAACCCGATCAAGATGGAATTATTCCTGGAATCAAGATTTGAAAGAATATCTACTGAAGACTCTCATTTAAAGGAAGCCAGGACCAATCTTATACTTCATTAGAATGTAAGATCCAGGCATTTAGGGAATTTTTTCCTGCTGTATCTTCAATGACTTGAAATGTGACAAGCACATAGGGAAGGTTCTGTAAATATTTCCTCAATAAATGAATGAATGGAAGGATGAGAATAGATAGTTATTATGAACTAGAGTATTCTCCCTCCAATAATGAGATAAATGCTGTGAAAAAGCAGACCAGTATAGAATAGACCTACAGGATCCCCCAGCCATGTAATCTGTAAGAGAGATCAATGTTTCAACCACAAGCATTCCCCCTGAAAAGAAAGCAATAAAATCAAACTTTTGAATTATTCTGAAGCCTATAAAAACCTGCCCCCTTGAGCAGGAAGGGAGGAAATCTAGACAACCCTCAGTCTAACAGAATGAGCAGCATTGCTGTAAGTATCCTTAGAGTGAACCAAATAAGAATTTTCATAGAAGTGTCTCTAAATTTAGGATAAAAATGTCATTCTAAAAAGCAAACCTAATAACAGTGGATTATTTGCTATGTACTCAGTTCTCTGATAGTCTAGCATGATCTAAAAGTAGCTTGAAGAAAATCTAGGAGAATGGATGGACAGCATAATCTTCATTGATTCTTATAGAAATACCTAATGTAAATGACAAGTTAATGAGTACAGCACACCAACATGGCACATGTATACATATGTAACAAACCTGAACTTTGTGCACATGTACCCTAGATCTTAAAGTATAATAAAAAAAGAAATATTATTTCCCACAATCAAGGCTTTGCTATGTATTAGGTAGTATGAGTTTAGAATTATACTCTTTGGAAAGTATCTGCAGGGCAGCCATTCATTTTTTCCAGTTGAGGTTAAAGTCCATAATGAAACTGCAGGTGAAATTGATGCCCTTTTGAGAACACTGGAAAGCTTACCTAGGACAGTACTTGTATATCAAGGGACTCCTTTTCTATCCGGAAATAAGCCAAAGGAATAAAATCAGGTAGAACCAAGACATCACTGAGAAAATACACATTTGTTCTAACACAAAAGTCTAAATGATATGACATGACAAATCTTTAGCCTTAAAAAATTTAAAGAAGGTATGTCAAATTACTCTCTTACACCATTCAAAAACATCAATGAAGCACTCACGAAGCCTTTAGATTTGAATAATGTGTTAATAACTTCCATGTATACCCTTGACACTTAGGTACCTGAGTGAGGTGAGTTGGTCAGTAGATTTATTTGTAACAATAAAGTAAAAAGTTGTAAAACATTAGTAAAAATGATGGCTTTTATTCCAAAATAGTAACCCATAGCCTCTCTTTAAAGTAAATGTTATTCAGAAGGACCAGTTTTCTGTTAAAGCTAAACTAGTTCATAATGATAAAACTCTATCACATGCTTAAGAGAATGCTCACCTTTTATTGGCTGTCGAAAATGGACAAGCATTTTAATGATGAAATATAATACAAGATTAGAGCATTAAAAAGACCTCATATAAGTGTGGGGTCCAGAGGTTTAGATTTATTTAGCTTCATAGAAAATCTGCCTCTCACAGTGGGTCCATTCACTAGTAGAATAAAATAAAGAGAGGGTTTTAAGGGTCAATGATAAACTAAATGTTGGATGTGTCGAGTTCTGGTGAGTCATCAAAATGAAAATATCTAATAACTAATTGGATATATAAATCTTGCCTTTAAGATAAAAGCCTGAGTTCAAAATTGGTAATTTAGAAGTTATCATTTAGATTTAAATCTATGGCAATTTCTTAGAAGGAAATACTTACCTCATTATTAAACTTAGAAGATAATTTTGGTACATAGGAGAGTATCAGGTTATCTTTGTACATACAGTTCAGCTCTAAATTACCATAAACATTAGTAATTTATTAAGGGTAATTCGAACATTTTTATATAAGAAACCTCAACTCTTGATATCATGACAGATAAAATTTGAGGTGACATTTTCAAATCCTGGTTTGATCAACTATAGTCATGAAGTAGAACAATTTAAAAGAATAGAAAAGCATTTCTGAGAATGAGTAATTCGTGAAATAAAATTTGTACATTAAATGAAGTCTCACTTGAATATTGAATTAACAACAAGTGTAAGTGGTTGAATAATGGAGAATGGCAAGCTTCTTATATTCTGCATACATTGAAAAGGCTGATAAGCCTCCTCAGAATACTGTGATTTGGGAATTTTGAGAGTCAGTGTTGGACCAGGGAATAATCATGAAGTCAGGAGAGTTTGGCTTTTGTACATCTTCCCAACAGCCCTTGGATCCTTACCTTTCAGCACATCCCTTTCCGGAGTATTCAGTGGTTTTGTTGCTGGTTTATGTGCTTCTAGTTCCAAAACAAAATAATAACTTTTTTTATATCAATGGTTTCATTCATGCATTCATTTATTCAACACATTTTTATTGAGCATCTGCTATCTCTGTGCCAGACCTTGTTCTGTGTCCCAGAATATGGTGGCAAACAAGGCAAAGTTCCTGCCATCATGGAGCTTACTTTTTTAGAAGAGACTTTATTTTTTAGAGGAGTTTTAGGTTCACATCAAAATTGAACAAGAGATACAGATATTTTCTATTTACCCCCATTCCCACTCACGCATAGCCTCCTTCATTATCAACATCCACCAGTAAAGTGGTATATTTGTTACCATTGAGGAATGTAATTTGACACAAAATTATTACCCAAAGTCCATAATTTACATAAGGGCTCACTCTTGATGTTGTACATTCTGTGGATTTGGACAAATATATAATGACCTGTGATACCATTATTGTATCAGAGTGTGGTTTCACTGCCCTAAACATTCTCTTGGAGATTACTTTTATTGAGGTACAAAAGCAGTGAGATAGGTAGAAGGGTAGTTTAGACAGAGAGATGGAAAAATAGATATAGACAGATAAATCAACGATAGAAATATGAGAAGAAAGAAAGAAAGAGAAAGAGAAAGGAAGAAAGAGAAAGAGAGGGAGAGGAAAGGAAAGAAAGAAAGAAAGAAAGAAAGAAAGAAAGAAAGAAGAAGGAAGGAAGGGAGGAAAGAAGGAAGGAAGGAAGGGGAAGGGATAAAGAGGGACAGTTGAGAGGGGAGAGAGCAAGTGACAAAGCAAGAAGGGGAAAGAAAGAGAATCAGGTAGGGTAAATAATATATTGAGCAGGAAGATAAAGAAAGCTGCAAAAAGTAGAGGGTGCAAATACAGTTGGCATAGGTAGAGATATTTGAACAAACAACCGGAATGACATGAAGGAGCCAACAATGTAAGGAACAGAAGAAAAACCTATTTAGAAATAGGGATAGAAAGTGCGTGGCAGCTATTCTTTTTGGAATCTGGCCAAAACAGTATACCCCCTCCAGTGTGCTCTACTTACAGTGTGACATTGACACTACTTCCTTGAACCTGGAAAGACTGTTCTGTGCCTTGGCCAACAGGGTGTGGTGGAGGTGATGCTAAATGACTTTTGGGTTTAGGTCATAAAATTGCAATGCAATTCCTTCCCAATTCTCCTGGGATGCCTGCTTTTACTATCCAGTTTCCACACAGTGAGGAAGTCCAGACCACATGGAGAGAAGAGCAGGTGTCTTAGCTGAGAGTGCCAAATGAGTTCCCAGCCAATAGCCAGTATCAGCCACAGACAAATGCACAGAGATGCCTCCAGATCATATCAATCCCCAGCTGTGGAGTCACCCCCAGCCTTTGAGCTTTTCCAGCTGTGTGCCCAGACATAGTACAGCATAAACAAGCTGTCCCTGTTGTGTCCTGTACAAAACTGTGATCCATAGAGCCCGTGAGAATAATAAAACAGTTATTATCTGCCACAAACTTTGAGGTGGCTTGTAATAAAACAATAGATAACTGGAAGTAAATGCTAAATTTTTACATGGAAAGGAGCATTGGATATTCATGATGGCTACTGTGACTGGGCAGTGTTGACTTGAATAGAGTTTAGGGATGAAGACCGAGAGCCCGGTAGGACAGACCATGTTGGGCTTTCTAAGCCATAAAAAGTTTAGTTAGTTTGCTTTTCTGTTTTCTAAGCTTGATGGGGCCCCACTGACCTATTCCTAAAGGACTGAAACATAAAAGTGTGGTACAGAAAGGCACTTTAACACTGGAGCAAAATCATGTGGGCTCAGGGACATTTTCATCGTTTATTATATATGCTTACCTGAAAAATCTGTTAATTTGTTTCGTCCTCAGTTTCATCATCAGCAAAGTAGAAACGAATACAAGAGCTACTATTTCAAAGGGTGATTGTAATGTTCAAACGATCTGTGTGTGTGAAATTACTTAGGGTAGCAAAAAGGCATTCCAGATTTTACAAAGTTGAGAATAATATTACCTATATAAATAGTT
The DNA here is from genome assembly GCF_000001405.40 of Homo sapiens. NCBI lineage: Eukaryota > Metazoa > Chordata > Mammalia > Primates > Hominidae > Homo > Homo sapiens. Next base: position 115,733,682 of record NC_000008.11, on the reverse strand, counting down.
CATATTTTAGACAGAGAAGTTAAATGCATCACATTTTCTTTTCAAACTTGACTTTCCATTAGTTGATGATACCAAGGCACAGAATTACTATGCGAGGTGAAATACATATATTGCATACTCAACTTCAGGTTAATTGTAAAATACATGGGGTGGCAGGACTGGTGGATAAATGGAAGACAAAACTTGCAAATTTTGTTAGGAAAAGGGGTGATTGTTATTTATATACAGAGAGAGAAGGGAAGAACCTAGTGAGCATTTTGAATACCTTCCTTTTGAAAGCCACCACACCACTCAGTCCCCCTCTCAGGGTTTAGGGAAGTCAGGCTTCAGTACTAACTGATGTTTTGGCCCCAAACCTCCATGTAGAATTTCAGTGATGTAGATTGGATTATTAGCACTATTTTTGTATGTGTTAGATAGACTAATGCAGACTAGAACCAAAGCAGACTACACAGCACTCTTTTCCCAATACCAATACCCAGGAAAGAAATTACGTGGTGATGGTTGTGGGATGAGAAAGAGAGGCACCTATCATTGGATTCCCCCCACAGAAAGAAGCACCTATCCTAGACCACCCCTCTAGTTTCAGAAAGCAAATAGAATCAGAGAGTAATTGTGATAGAGATTATCTCACAGGTGAGCAGCTCGGAATCCTCACCACTCTCCCTATGTTTAGAAATAATGAACGCTGTTGTTGAGAATTGCAGTGATAATAGCATTTATTTATGCTAACTGTTTTAGGTGCATTAATGCATTTACTATCCACAATAAATCACAGTTTATCAATTAATCATTAATAATATTATCATCACCATTTTACAGTTGAGGCAACATCAGGCTTAATGTAGTTAAATAATTATCCAAGTCAGTTCAACTAGTAGGTACTGGGGCTGTGATTTGAACTGCAGTTCACTCTGACACCAAAGCCTGTGCTCTTAACAACCAAGATGTACATTTTTCCTAGTTTCCAAAGAGAAACCACACTCAAACACTCCAAACTTAGGTACAACAAAAGCTCATTTTCTTTGGCATAATGAGTTTGGAGTAAAATCCCTGAAACATGACCTATCCCTGATGGCAGCATTAGTAGTAGAGAAGGTGGACAATAATAAAGTTTTCACCAGTGGGCTTCAAAAATGAATAAGTTAAAGTTATCAAACTTTGCCCACGTTGAACTATTTCGATTTCAGCATCAGTGATATGGATGATGCATTCTTTGAAATGCCAAGAGCATAATTTAGTTTTGGCAAAAAAATAAGTTATATTAGCACTATCTTATCTACATATTTATTCAAAACAGGAGCAATATAGGCAGTTGTCTACGGTGAGATAGTCTCATAGCTTACCTTAATACATCCTTCTGTACTTGATGCCTACTGCCTGAAATCTCATCATTAGCATCTCATTTCTTGGGATTGAGCATTGTTCATATATTAGCTCATTTTCATACTGCTACGAAGAAATACCCAAGACTGGGTAATTTATAAAGAAAAAGAGAGTTGTTGTTGTTGTTGTTGTTTGAGATGGAATCTTGCTCTGTCACCAAGGCTGGAGTGCAGTGGCATAATCTTGGCTCACTGCAACTTCTGCCTCCCAGGTTCAAGCAATTTTCCTGTCTCAGCCTCCTGAGTAGCTGGAATTACAGGTGCCTGCCACCATGCCTGGCTAATTTTTGCATTTTTAATAGAAATGGGGTTTCATCATGTTGGATATGCTGGTCTCGAACTCATGACCTCAGGTGATCCACCTGCCTTGGCCTCCCAAAGTGGATTACAGGTGTATGTCACTGTGCCTGGCCAGGAAAAAGAAGTTTTATGGACTCACAGCTCCACATGGCTTGGGAGGGCTCGCAATCATGGCAGATGGTGAAGGAGGAGCAAAGGCACATCTTACATGGCAGTAGACAAGAGAGCATGTGCAGGGGAACTGCCCTTTATAAAACCATCAGATATCATGAGAACTCACTCAGTATCATGAGAACAGCAGCATGGAGGTAACCACCTCCACGATTCAGTTACCTCCCACTGGGTCCCTCTCATGACATGTGGGGATTATGGGACCTACAATTCAAGATGAGATTTGAGTGGGGACACAGTCAAGACATATCATTCCACCCCTGGCCACTACCAAATCTCATGTCCTCACATTTCAAAACACAATCATGCCTACCCAACAGTCTCCCAATGTCTTAAATCAATCCAATATTAACCCAAAAGTCCAAGTCCAAAGTCTCATCTGAGATAAGGCAAGTCTCTTCTGCCTATGAGCCTGTAAAATCAAAAGAAAGTTAGTTACTTCCTGGATACAATGGGGGTACAGGCATTGGGTAAACACAACCATTCCAAATCGGAGAAATTGGCCAAAACGAAGGAGCTACAGGCCCCATGCAAGTCTGAAATCCAGTGGTGTAGCCAAATCTTAAAGCTCTGAAATTATCTCCTTGTCTGTGAAATGATACCATGTCTCACATCCAGGTCACACTGATGCAAGCGGTGGGTTCCCATAGCCTTGGGAAGCTCCATTCCTGTGGCTTTTCAGGGTATAGCCCCAATTCCAGCTGCCTTCATTGGCTGGCATTGAGTGACTTCAGCTTTTCCAGGCACATGATGCAAGCTGCAGGTGGATCTACCATTTTGGGGTCTGGAGGACAGTGGCTCTTTTCTCACAGATCCACTAGGCAGTGCCCCAGTGGGAACTGTATTGGGGGCTCCCACCCCGTATTTCTCTTTTGCACTGCCCTAGCAGTGGTCTCCACTCCTGCAGCGCACCTCTGCCTGGACTTCTAGGAGTCTCCATATATCCTCTGAAATCTAGTTGAAGGTTACCCAACCTCAATTCTTGACTTTTGTGCACCCACAGGCCCAACACCACGTGGAAGCTGCCAAGGCTTGGGGAATGCACCCTTTTAAGCAATGGCCTGAGGTGTATGTTGGCCCCTTTTAGCCATGGCTGGGACACAGGGCACCAAGTCCCGAGACTGCACAAAACAGCAATGCCCTGGGCCTGACCCACAAAACCATGTTTTTCTTCTTAGGTCTCCGGGCCTGTGAGGGAAGGGGCTGCCTGCTGAGATGGCCTCTGACATGCTCTGGAGACATTTTCCCTGTTCTCTTGGCAATTAACATTTAGCTTCTCATTACTTATGCAAATTTCTGCAGCAGGCTTGAATTTCTTCTCAGAAAATGGGTTTTTCTTTACTATCACATCATCAGGCTGCAAATTTTCTGAACTTTTATGCTTTGCTTCCCTTTTAAACATAAGTGCCAATTCCAAACCATATCTTTGTGACTACATAAAACAGAATGCTTTTAACAGCACCCAAGTCACCTCTTGAACACTTTGCTGCTTAGAAATTTCTTTAGCCAGATACCCTAAATCATCTCTCTCAAGTTCAAAGTTCCACAAATCTCTAGGGCAGTGGCAAAATGCCACAAGTCTCTTTGCTAAAACATAGCAAGAATCATCTTTCCTCCAGTTTCCAGTAAGTTCCTCGTCTCCATCTGAAACCACCTCAGCCTGGACTTCATTGTCCATATCACTATCAGCATTTTAGTCAAAACCATTCAACAAGTCTCTAGAAAGCTCCAAACTTTCCTACATCTTCCTGTTTTTTTCTGAGCTCTCCAAACTGTTCCAACCACTACCTGTCACCCAGTTCCAAAGTTACTTCCACATTTTTGGGTATCTTAATAGCAGTACCCTACTCTACTGGTACCAGTTTACTGTATTAGCCCATTTTCATACTGCTATAAAGAAATATCATGAGACTGGGTAATATATAAAGAAAAAGAAGTTTAATGGACTCACAGTTCCACGTTGCTGGGGAGGCCTCATCATCATGGCAGAAGGCAAAGGAGGAGCCAAGGCATTTCTTACATGGTGGCAGACAATAGAGTGTGGGCAGGGGAACTGCCCTTTATAAAACCACCAGATTTTGTGAGACTTATTCACTATCATGACAGCAGCATGGGAAAACCTGTCCCCATAATTCAATTATCTCCCACCAGTTCCCTCCCACAACATGTGGGGATTATGGGAGCTTTTAATACAATTCAAGATGAGATTTGGGTGGGGACACAGCCTAACGGTATCATCCACATAAGATCAGACATTCAGGCAGTGAAAATTTTTATTTTCCTCTGGAAGTCTGACTTTAAAAGACACTGGCTTCATGAGTCATCTAATTCATTATTCGTGATAATAATGGACATTTTAACTAGTGCATGTTCTAACGCAGAACTGAATGCAGAGATCAGATAAAATGAAAGGAGACAGACTGGCACAAAAGTGATTTCAAGGCCTGTTTAATAATCAGTTTCTAAATATTTTATGGCTTCCAATATTTTATGGTAGTGCCAAGTTGGGCAGAAAGTAAGACAGTTCCAAGACATTGCAGTAGACATCTTTGTCCTTTTACCTTTGAACATTCCCCTGCAGTGAGTCTTTTCTCACTTCAAATGGTATCAATGGATTATATTTTTATTTTAAGTAGGAGTCAATTTTCTTTCTCTTCCCTCCTTCCTTCCTTCTCTTTCTTTCCCTTTCTTTCTTTCATTCTTTCTTTCTCTTCCATTTCTTCCTTTCTTCCTACTTTCTTTTTTCTCCCTTCCTTTTTTACTTTCTTCCTCCCTCTCCCCATTTCTCTCTCTCTCTCTTTCTCTCTCTCTCTCTCTCTCGCTCCTTCTTCTGTTGATAAATTCCTCTGTAAAACATTCTGTTATTTTTGCATATATGATATGATTCACTTCTGATGTCCTCCCTATACTTCTCCAGCCACTTCTTTTTACTTCTTTTGTCAACCCTTTCTTCTCCACCAGGCATTCCATAGGCCTCAGCCCTGGGTCCTCTTTACTCTCACTCTCCACATACTTCCCAGGTGCTTTCTTCCACTCTCATGGCTTTGAATGCCATCTGTAAGAGAGTAACTCCCACATTTCTATTTCCAGCTTGTTCAACTCCTTGAAACTTTGAATCAGTGTAAACAAGAACCTACTTGAAATATCTAGTTGCATATTTCAAACATAACATGTTTAAAATCAATTCGTGATCTTCAATATTCCTTTCCCTCAAAGGCTCTTTTTCTAGTGTTAACCTTCTCAGTAAATGACATTCCCTTTCCCTGCAATGCTCATGCCAGGGGACTCAAAGTCTGCCTTGAAGCCTCCATCTCCTACACCCCTGCAAATAATCATCCATTTCTTTTGTTTCTACACTTAAAATATCTGTAATTCACCCACTGAAATCCATCTCTACTGCCTATCTCCTAGTCCTAGGACATCATCTCTGTCCTAGATTACAGCTTCCTGATTAGTCTACTCTATTCTGTGCCTGGTTCCTTCTAATCCATTTCCTAACACGACCCTTTTTATTAAATTTAGAATGAAATACAAAGTCTATAGAAGGAAATGAAAAATCTATAAGGCAACGCATGATGTGGCCTTCAACTTTATTTCTAGTTTCTTCCTCTCCTACTTTTCTCTATCCACACTCACATTTACAGAATTTATTAAGTGAGCAAGGTTATGTCCTATCTGAGAAACTTGGCACCTGCCTTTTCCTCTTCACAGAATAATCTTATCCCATTCTTCACCTGAACATCTCCTCATAGTAGGTTAAATATGGCTTTGGCAGAAAAATACACCATAATTCACCCATATATTAATAGCACACACACACACACACACCCCTTTCTTCTGTTGATAAATTCCTCTGTAAAACATTCTCTTCTTTTGGCATTTATGATATGATACACTTCTGATGTTCTCTCGATACTTCTCCAGCCACTTATTTCTACTTCTTTTGTCAACTCTTTCTTCTCTACCTTAAGATCTAGATAGAGAGAGAGAGAGAGAGAGAGAGAGAGAGAGAGAGAGAGATGATAGATAGATAGATAATAGATAGATAGATAGATAGATAGATAGATAGATAGATAGATAGATCTCCACCCTCAAACTATTAAATCTGAATCTATGGAGGTGGATCCCAGGCCTCAACAAATTTTAATGTTCCACAGGTAATACTTATATGCTGCCAGATTTAATAACCATTAGCCTGAACCACTGTGTTTAACCCTTTTTGTTGCCATTAGTTGGTTTGGAAAAGATGTGAAACTGCTATGGTTTGAATATGATTCCCGGAAATCCATGTGTTGGAAACATAATCCCCAATGCAACAGTGTTGGGAGGTGGGGCATAATGGGAGGTGTTTAGGTCATGAGGTATCCATCCTCATGAATGGATTAATGCTGTTACAAAAGGGCTAGTTTGGCCCCCTTTTGCCTCTTTGCCCTTCTGCCTTCATCATTTGGGGATGCATCAAGAAGGTCCTTGCCAGATGCTGGCTTCTTGATTTTGGAATTCTCAGCCTCCAGAACTGTAAGAAAATAAATTTCTGTTCATTACATACTACCTAGTCTCAGGTATCTTGTTATGGTGGCATAAACCATACCTCTGTGGACTAAGAAAGATCCAACACTAACACGAGAGACATGACAAGAGGTCTTCTGGAGGTCTTTTGAGTAGTTTCCTCACTCCTAAAACAGAGACAATGTAAGAGACTATTTTATTTATTTCTGTGAACATTTTTGAGTCTAGATGTGACACGTGGACCAATGAGCAGCTGTCCTGCAAATATGAAAGGAGCAGGCACTAGAGTGAAGCTGAAATGCAAAGTTGGCAGAGTTGAGGATGGAAAGAACCAGGATCCATGATAATCACATTGAATTGCTGTTGCTGCCTGATGAAACTCATTCTATCTCTGGAATTCTGCCCATGTGAGAGGATAAATATCCTTACTATTTAAATCTGTTTGAGTGAGAAATTTTGCTACTCTTGCTGAAAACATCCTAAGTGATAGAAGACAGATCAAGAAATCAGTTTAGACTTACTGTAATTAATCTAAATGAGAGACCACTTGGAAAGGGACAGAAAAATTACATGGTTAAAGGATTAAATCAATGAGACAGATATAGAAGATGGAGCTAGTATGGCAGAAAAGCATGAACACAAATAAGTGAGAAGGAAAATGTAAGAATCACGGCAGAGATAAAAATAACATACTATGGGAATTCAAAGAACAGAATTTATTTCTCAAAAATAAGCATTAGAAAATGCTTTAGGAAATAGAGACATATGAGATAAATCGTAATAGATCATGGTGACACTAAGATGAAGAGATAACTCTGAGAGTAGAAAAAAACAAGGTTGGGATGACTGAAAAATAAATGTAACAAGTTTATAGACCAAAAAAATGGTTAAATATTGGAAAATTACCGAGAAGTTTGAGTGTAATATGGTAGTCAATTGTATCTATTGATGGTAAATTATATTTATTGCTTTTAAAAAGTTTCCATTACATTTCTAAGAGTGTCTTATAAAGTTGTTACTTCTGGGTTTTATTCTGAATTTGATGACCTGCTAAAGCAGAAGTAATTAAGAATAAACTAATTTTAAGTTAGTTGTATATTTAATAGATCCTCATTTCTTCCAGAGTAGATGAGACAAATGCTTATTTAAAGTAATATTTTTAATGATTCAAAAGTTCCAGATGACAACAAATACTATTAATTTTCTGAAAACACTCAGGTGTGAAAAAATTGTGATGCAAAAAGTTAAGGCATTTTATAAAAGAAAAATATAATTAATAGCATGCCAAAGCATGCCTCCAAAAATGTGATGCCCTTCTGAATCTTTAAAGTAATTAAAATTAAATAATAAAGGCAGCATATTGAAGGCATCAATGGAGTTTTCCAGTTACTAGGTTAATAACAATGGGTTTGATGCATATTGAGACATATGAGTTTATCAATATTTGATCATTTTTGATCTACAAATTGGACATCTCATATGATTTAACTCAATATTCTATTTATTGTTTCATGATTTTTAAGATGGATTTTGCAATTTTAAAATATATTGGTAAATTTATCCTGCTGTGTAGTAAATAATTTACATTTAAGAGACTTATCTGTCCTTGTATTTAAGAGCATGAGCTCTGAAGCTAGACAATGTGGAATAAACCCTAGCGCCAACCGTCATGCTTACTAGTTTTGAACAAGTTCTTTAACTTCTCTGTGTTTTTTGTAGCACATAGAAATGGGTAAAATTTAAAATGGGTATATGTATTTTGTAAAATGGGTAAAAAAATTGTACATTTCATAAGATGGTCAAGAGGAGCAAATGTAGGATTCGACCTACAGTGTGTGGAACAATGCCTAGAACATAGTAAATCCTCAGTGACTATTAGTATTCTCAGTTTAATATTCTATCTAAATATTCAAAACTTCAGATTTCATAAATCTGTGATATTGGATCCTGTCTACTATGTCTTGTTCTTGGATATTCTTACCAGGATAATAAGATAAAAACAACATCTGTTGCTTATATTTGCCCTGTTAAATATTACTGAATTGGGATTTTCCCATCTCCTTCCTTAAAGGAGAACATTAGTATCTCATTCCACCCAAAGTAGTGGTTCACCAAGATTCATACTGTCTTTCCTTCTTAACCAGTCTCAGTTTCCAACCTCTTCCAACACTAATCAATACTTCTGATAGACAAGTTTACTTATTTCATCTTCATTTGTTCCTCTATATGATACATGGAAAACATTAAATTATATTTCCCTTTTGCTTTCTGGACTCCTTTCCCTTTGAAAAGGTGAATAACGTTTTCAAATACTACTTTTTTCTAATGAGCCTGACCCAGGCGATACTTGCAATTCACTTATAAACATTTCATATTTCACATTTCACACCGGCTGTAAAGTTTTATGGGAATAAATTAGCATGTGCTAGCATTTCCTGTAAGAAAAGCTGAAATTTGGATTGGAAAAGGATTATTTTTTTGTCAAGTATGTCTTTTCAGGTTTAAAATAATAGAGCCCATAGATGCTCATAATAGTCATGTAATCTAATGCATCCAGTTAAAACTTTAAATAGGTGGATGTTGTTCAATTCAGATTTTCAACTAATTAGGTGAGGTTCCACAGTATGGAAGGCAGTCTACTGTACTCAAAGTTCTTCTATTGAAACTTAAATCTCATCCAAAAATACCCATGCATAATTATCTAGAATAATGTGCAACCAAATAGCTGTGCGCCATGGTCCAGCCAAGTTGACACATAAAATTAACCATCACTTTCACCCAGAAATGTAATTTACCTGTGCAAGGCCAACCTGGTCAACTCCTCTACAAAGTGACCTTTGCTGTGGTTAATTCACTTTGTCCGGGGTTTTGTCCATACCTTGTCCAACCAGAAACCTATATTTATAGGCAAAATGGATATGGGTCCAACTCTGACTCAGGTTCACATTAAACAAGTTCACAGATGGGTAAACACAGTTTATGTGTGTCACGGAATTCCTATGTGTACTTTGACAATGAAGGGAAAAAATTATGAAGCCAAGGAAAATCAGTGAGTGAGTCCACAAATATTTATTGAAGGTTACCATATTCCTGACGTGATGAATGCTGAGGAAAGTAATGGTGAACACCACATGCCCAACTCCTGTCCACAGGGAGATTGCAGTCAAACTGGGTATATTGGAATCTGCTAGACCACTGCATTGGTACCTTTGTGGATTGTATTAGTTTTCTATTGCTATGTCACAACTTAACCACAACCTTTGTGGATCAGAAGTAAGGCATGGTATAGATGGATTCTCTGCTCAAAGTATCACAAAGCTGAAATCACGATGTCAGGTTGAGTTCTTATCTGTAAGCTCTGGGGGAAAGTCTGCTCCAAGTTGTTTCATACTGTTGGCAGAATTTAGTTCCTTGAGACTGTAGGACTGCAGTCATGCTTTCTTGCTGGCTGTCAGCCAGGGATCACTCTTCAGCTCCTGGTGAAATCCCACCAGGGGCAACTGGACTTTGAAAGCATAAGGTGTTCTCCCCTTTTACTCTCGCTCTTACGCTCTTCCTCTGTTATCGTTTTGAGCAAAAATAGAGAAGGATTTCTCAACTTGGGCACTATTGACATTTTGGGTTGGATCATCGTTATGGGGGAACTGTCCTGTACCCTGTGGCATGGTTTGCAGCATTTTTGACCTCTTCTCACTACGTGCCAGTAACAGCCCCACTCCCCCAGTTACGACACCCAAATTGTCCCTTACTACTGCCAAAAATCTCCTAAGAACGAATCATCCTCCATTGAGAACCACTGTCCTCAAGCAAGCCTCTGTTCAGGGCGTTGCTTCTAAGGCTTTGAAGCACTGAGAAAAGAGAGTTATGTGAACTTAAAAAGCATCTCTCAGCTAATGCTGGCTTTTAGTTTGCTTACTCTCTACTACAGGGATAGCACTGTCAAGGAAACTGCAATCCTCAAGTCCTCACATTTTTCTTCCCTTAATGATTCTGATGATGCTTCTTGCTATTTCTGATCAACCTATTCCTTGATTATATTTCTGCTTATTAAATTAAAACTTTGTCTTGCCTCTGGGATTACTTCATAATCACCTTGACTGAAACTTTAAAGGTCTCTCTCCTGCCACTTTAATTACACACTTTAAAGACCCCATCTTGGTTTTTTTTTTTGTTTGCTTCCGCTGATACACATCAAAGTGATTGTACGTGGATTTAGTTTAACTCAAAGGGCAAACTTATTTCCAACTTTTTTGCAACAGAAAGAGAGAGCAAGTTTCTCATACCTTATATTTTGCATATTTATTTTTTCTATCAATTTATAATTATATTTTGAAATTTTATTTACTTTTATTCTCCTTTAGCCAAAGGTTCCTCTAGGGACAAGGATTTTGTCTCTTTTTCTTTTTTTTCTTTCTTTTTATTTTTTTGAGACAGTGTCTCACTCTGTTGCCCAGGCTAGAGGGCAGTGGCGCATTCTCGCCTCACTGCAACCTCCACCTCCCAGGTTCCAGCGATTCTCATGCCTCAGCCTCCCGAGTAGCTGGGATTGCAGGCACCCACCACCATGCCGGGTGCGGTGGCTCATGCCTGTAATCCCAGCACTTTGGGAGGTCACAGCGGGCAGATTGCCTGAGCTCAGGAGTTCAAAACCAGCCTGGGCAACATGGCATAACCCTGTCTCTTCTAAAAATACAAGGACGTTGCCTCTTTTGCTTCATACTGAATGTGTAGCCCTACACAGTGCCTGGCTTGTAGTACTAGTGCTCAATGAATATTTATTGAATTTTAAAAAGTGTGTGTGTGTGTGTGTGTAAGAAACTCACATGTATATGCAAGTATATACATAAGGCTTTCTAAGGAGACTTTAACATTTCTAATATTGCAGAATATTATAGTGTCACCTTCAAACAAAGTAAGATGCCTGAAAATAAACACTTAATGTGTGCTGATGTTATTTTGCTCTGTGGGGAAAAGGGTATCTGATAGAGGCTTTTACAGTTAAAAGCACAGGTGAGGGATGCTTTGCTGACTTTAATGTTCCATTCATAGCAATGGAATTCTTTAAGTGTTTTTTAAAACTAGTCAGGGGGGCCAGCAATATCTATCTTAATGTTTCTCTCCAGAACCTAGCTGAGATTTGTCTTTTTAAACTTTTTCTAATGAAAATAAAATAAAATTTAGAAGTAGGTGCTTTTAACAAGTGACAGAAGTAGCTTGAATATATTAACTATAGCATGTACTTAATAATTGCTAACATAGTTGAATTGTTATAGTAAACTGTTATGAGTAACAAGTACTGTAAATGATACATTTGAAACCATAGCATAAACCTATAGGATTGAAGTAAAACCTATTATACTAATGTATTTACTCCCCTATCAAAAATCAATAAAAATTTTTCTCCAAAATGCAGGCTATGTGGTGCTGGCTGTAACCTTAAGTCCAGTCACTCATCCTTTCTATACCTTGGTGTTCAACTGTTAAATAATGATTATATTATTTATTGAAGAAATTGTATTGTTGTGCCTGACATATACAAAGTGATTGACAAATCACTTTTGCTCTCATTAGGCAGTTACCTCTTTGTAAGAAATACCTTTATTTATGTCCCATAAAGACAAATAAAGGGGGGAGTTATTACTTAAATTATGATGTAATGCTATCTTTCACAGAGTGTAAAACACATTCTTTTCTGAAATGTTCAAATATGAAAAAGAGTGTTTTATAATCAAAGATATATGTTGTTATTTAGAAAGGATATCATTCACTCATTCATTCAGCAAACTTTTCCTGAGCACTTACTGCAAACGGTCATGATTAAAGTTTAGGTATATTTTCTTTTAGATTGCACAATTATTTGTACCATTTTAAGTATCAAAATAAAAGCCAAAAAATGTGATATAATAATGTCTTAATGAACCATTTATCCACAGTTTTACTTATTCTCTCTTTCTATGAAAAATATCTGAATCAGGCTTTCTCTTAGATCTAAGACAGAAAGAAAACAAATGAATTGATCCTTCTAGGAGGAAGCCAGACAAGAGAACACATAATTACAGTGCTACCATTGAATAGACTCAATGGCAGGAAAGCACTGTGAAAGAGCACAAAACTATAAGGCAATTCCCTCATTTTCACAAAAAGAAAATTAGAAACAAACAAAAAACAATGTTTTTGACTGACAATAAAGTATTAAGGATGATGATGAACTAGCTGACAACTACTTACAGTATTTCATTTGGTGGCCAGATTACAGAAGTTAGTTGAAATAAGATATTTTAGCAATGCTGCCTTTATAATATTCACATATTCCATGGAGCATTGTTTTCAAACTCTTCTGAGCACTTTCACGTCAGTTTCTTCATCATCATTAGAGCTGCTTTTCAACTTGCCAAACTGTATTTTAAAGCCTGTCATCTTCATTCTGTCAAATTGTTGGAGATAGACATTTGTCTAATCTAGGTATTGTCATTGGAAATTTTATTCAAAGTTATGTAAATAAATATTAGAATTTTTTAAAGTATCCTCTACATCTATACTATATGATCTCCACATAATAACCTCTTCCTGTATTTCATTGTTAAATGATCATTAAAAGGCTTTTCTCAAAGTATCTTATTTTCAGGTATGAAATCAAAGTAGAAAAATAATTTATAAATTGATGTAAATGTATTTGCCAGCTTTTAAAAACCAGTTTCATCAGGGACATCCCTCAGCACCGAAAGTAGTAATTTCTTGTTAATATGACTTCTCCCCAAGCAGTAAATTGTTACTCAAAATAGAAATTAAGAGAACTCCCCACAATATGAAGATACTTTGTAAAGAATTAAGGTATCCTTCCTCTTTTTTGAGGGATGATTTTGAGAGGAAAGCTCATTTTACAGTTAGACCTCTATGATAATCATGAGAAATTTGAGAAAGCTTGATCTGTGGGTGAGAGGAGCTCAAGTCAGGGCTTAGAGGATTAGTCAGATGTTCCCAAGTGCAGAATAAGGAAAGAAAAGAAGAAACAAAAGTATTCCAGGAAGAAAGAGAAATGCAGGCTCAAAAAAACCCAGTATTTTTAGGAAAAGATAGTTTTATTCAGTGGGAACACAGAGTATACTGTAGATGTGAGATGGGCCATTAAGCTAGAGAAGTATGTCGGGGTCAGATCATGTAGCGCTAATCCTGTAGGCAATAGAGAACTTTCCAAAACTTTTAAACAGGAGACTCATAATATTATAATTTTCAGATATATACAATAATGTTATTAACTTACCCTAAAAGAAATATAATGTAATAGATATAATAAAATCCAGCCCCATGCAAAATGAATTTTCATCCCCATTTGCTGTTTACGCCAATTATTTTTGTTTTTGTGCACATCTGCCTGCTCTATTGTGCTCAGTTTACTCCATGCTACTTACCCAGTGGCTTCATACACTTCCTTTCACCCTCTTCTATCAGAATTTCTTTTGGAAAAGAGAGGAAACCTATTGTGGACATCTTAATTCATCATCAACCATGAATTAAGCCCTATTATCACTGTTTTGCAGTCAACACAAAACTGTGCCTTAGAGAGGTTTAATCAGTTTTAGAGCTAGAACTGCTAGAGGCAGGTCTATGGGAACACACATCCCTGCACTAAACATGATTTAACACATAGTCTAGAACTGTGCTGAGTTTGATGTACAATATCAACAAATTACGATCTCAAAGGGGAAGAAAGACTAGCAGATATAGGGCCAAGAGGGAAGAATTCAAGGGTTTATATAAATTAGTAATAAATGACTTTGAAAGATGTTTTGCACAGAGATAGTCAATGAGCAAGGGTGATGGCAATTTCTATGGTAGGAAGTGCGAGAGCAGACACATGAAGGTATGATGTTCAAAATTATAAAAGGCAGCCACAGCAAGGACAGGTTCCAGTTGCAGGAAATGAGATTGGATATGGGTAGAGGGTTTAGTTATGAAAGTCCCTGATGTCAGATAGAGATTAGACTAAATGACTCCTTGTAGGATATGCTGTAGGTTTTGATATGACAAAAATGATAAATTAAAGAGGGCTCATCTAGCAGCCATATACAGGATAGATTAAGTTTGTGAAGTGATGGAAGGGAAGCCGACTAGCCAGGTGTTACAGTAATCCACCTGGACTGATGGTGGCCTGGACTCTTTTTTGCAATGTAAAATGCATGGCAACGACCATTTCTATGACGCCTTCCAAAAAATAACACGAAAACATGGGCTTGCCAACTTGGAGATTACCAGTTTAACTGGACAGAGTCCATGGACCAATGAGTCACTGGAGTCATTTTAAACAATGCATTCAGACAGTCTCACTGTGTATTCAGCTGCAATATACCTGGAAGGTAGGGTAAAGTTATCATCAAATACTGTGCTGAATAATTGTGATGCCACAGACCAGCCATACAACCTATAAAACTACAGCCTGTGACCCAAGCAGCAAATGGAATTATACATTAAGGAAAAAAGTAATCTATTGTTATACATTAACGTCAGTAGAATCCACTAAATGAGGAATGGTTGAGTTTATGAAGATTTAGAGAAAACAACAGTTTCTGTGGTTACTCTCAAATAATAGGAAAAAATCCTCCATTTTCTGCAATAGACAATGTCTTTAATTTTGGAAAATGGAAGAAAAAAATTAATGTTCTTAGGCACCCCAAAGCTTTCTGGATTCACATTCTTTTTCTATTTGCTTTTTCGGAATGTTTCTGCCTGTGTGCTCTGTTTACTAATGTGGACAGTGTAATAAAGGCTTCCAGGATGAAGGTACCGCTTCCTATTTGTATTCTACAGAGTAGTCAGAATCTACTTTGGAAGCCTGTATGGATAAGCACCTGAATTTATTTAGATGCTCCTGGCATTTCAAAGAACCTAGTGCTTCCCTCTGCTTTATCCCTTCAGATCTTATAGGAGTGGCAGAATTGACACTTGGCTAAAAAAAAAATCACTGAGAAGCAAGATTAGTTCTAGCAGCGATGCCTCCTGAACCATCATCTCATCAGATAATGATACATGTGCAACGTTGTTAGGTTGTGCTCATTTTGTGAGAAAGGACACTCAGGTATGTGTGATCTCTGGGGATTGCATTGGGGAGAGGTAGGGGAAAAAGCGGGGAACCTGAGTACATTATCCACAGTGCTTATTCTTTGCAGACCAGCACTGCCCAACAGAAATGTAAGGAGATCCACACATAGGAGCCATCTATGTCATTTTAAATTTGCTTGTACTCACATTTTAAAAAGTAAAAATCAATAAACAGCCAAAATTAATTGTAACATATTTCATTTAATCTAATCTGTTCAAATTCTCATTTCACCAAGTAATCAATATAAAACTTATGTATGTATATTTTGCATTCTATTTTGTACAAAATTTAGTGCCTATTGTACACCTACAGCACATCTCAATTTGGATGTGAATTATACACATTTCAAGTGTATAATAACCACATGTACCAGTGGCTAACCTCATGTACCCTACCTTTTCACAAAACTGCCTATACCGGGAAAGGTGTTCTCATTCTGAAATAAGAATATATCAATAAGATATGCTTATCAGAGTTGAAGAAGGAAAAAGAGAAGGAGTTAAAGAAAGTTCAATTTTACAATCCTTTTAAGCTAGTGTTTAAGTTTATTCTCAGAAGGGAATTCTCTTCTTGTGTGAAATAGAGACAGAGAGCTCTTAAATGAGGATATGATAAGGGGTAAATACTTATCTATGAAGAAGTGTTTCTTGACCTACAACAAAATGAGCAAAACAAAGACAATACAGTGAGATTCCCGTAAAGTGAAAACTATTTAATCTAGAACACTCCCTTTTATTTGTATTGCAATTTCTTTCTCCTTTTGTATGCTAAAATGCTAACTTCTATGAAATTATAGTAATAGTGAGTAGTCGATGGATGTACTCTTAATGTCTCCCACTGGCAAAATAAAATGTTGGCAAGCGTGTATTGATTCTGAGCTTTAAAAATGTTACTAGTCATGAAAACAAGTCCAGAGATAATTGTTAAAGGTGACAGAGGCCTATCTGGGGAGTCAGAAGCCCAGCATTCAAGTCCTGCTTCTGCTAATAAACACATTAAATGATCTGAATCCAATCACCGAGACTTTCTGGTCCTTATATATTCATCTGTAAAATCAAAAGTAAAATTGGGGATTTGGGCCAGTTTACCATGAAAGTGGGTAGCACATATGAAATTCACTGCTTTGTTACTCAGCCAAGATCTTTTGGTAGGACAGTGACAAGGTAGGAAAGGGAGTCTGTGTCTCCTGACACAGAATTAGTGCCTATTTCCACCAGATGCAAATTATGGGATCTCTGCTTTGCAAACCTCCTCCTTAAAAGCCTATGAAAAGAAATGTGCTATATAAATACATGATCATCAAAGGCAAGCTTTGTGGCTAAAATACAACTTGTACATACATGGTGATGTAGGCACGTAATACCTTCTGAGTCATACCCACGAAGCTGCCCCATCTCCTGACATGACTAACACACCTTTATCCAATCCTTAAGTTCAGACACATAGTTTTGGCAGTAAAACTGATTGATATTTGGCTTTATCATTATAATGCTTCTATAAAATACCTGTTCAGCCTGCTCTAATCTGTTGGTAAGTAGGAGTTGAAATAGTTTCCAATAAGTAAACTGAAATGTTCCTTTTATTACCTTGGGATGGAAGGAAGAGGAATTTGAGTTCAAGATATAATGGTATATATTTGGATGTATTGTATAAAAAGAGAACTGGATGTCATTCATTGTACAATAGTATTGATATTTCACTCAAGTTAGTTATTTTAAATATTATTTCCTTGTAAGACTTTGCATGGCTTTAAGTCTGAATTCTGCTACCTTGCTCTTACTACTCATTGGCTGGCATTTTGCAGTCCTGGAAATCATCAGTTTCCTGCACCGAAGCTTTCAAATTCTCATACACAGAATATAATGAGTATGTGTGGTAGGATTACTGCTTTTTTGTTTAAAGTTTAGGTGTGGATGATATTTACAAATAGCTCCTTTTTTAATATCTCACCAAAGTCTAATCTACTCTTCATTTTGGCCAAAAAAAAAAAAAGTTTGTTCCTAAATATAATCAGAGGCCATGCCCAAAACCAAAAATTCTATGTGCTGCTAACTTTCTGTAAAGAAAATATAAATGAAAAATACAAAATTTAAAGTGATAGTTTTAAGTAAAACTCTCCAAACCCCAACCTTTCTATTCTGATATTTACCTATTATAGAATATGCTTCCAAATGTAGAACTTTTGCTACCAAAGACATAAATTTGGCTTGAGTTCTATTTGCCTTACATATATTTAGACCTCAAATGAGCCAGGTTTAACAATTTTTAAATAAAAAGTTTCCATAAAATCAGAAAGTGTGAAAGTTCTGCATAATTGTTGAAAAATATAATATACTAAAAACCCGATTACATTATCTCCTTTGTCTTCTCACGGCAAAAATTAATGAGCCAACCTGATCTGCCTTCAGAATAAGTATTCTATTATTTGGGAGTTACATATACACTTGTTATCTGGGAAAAAACAGCTAAATTTTAACTATTTAAAATAAAGATGAAGATAATACACTAAAAAATGAGCTCATGCAGTATAATTTTCCTCTGCCATATTAAATTTTTGGTTGATAAATGTAACATTATGTTTATGCATATATGCATATATACCATAGAAAAAATTCTACTTCCTGAAGCTGTAACATTATAATGTTCCAACAAATGCAAGGAAGTAAACCAGATTTTTTTTTCCTGAGTTACTTAGAGCAATTCTTCTTAACATATTTACAATAGAACTAAATGCATGTTTCTAATACGCCTTTTTATCTGAACAGATGATTTCTTTCAGCTGAACAGTCGAAGATAATGAAGTCATTTCTGCAAAAATAAATCTCTTCTTTGCAAGTATTTGTCCACCAATAATGAGCAAGTTAGACTATCTTAAAAATTCCAATTTCTCTTAAGCATATGAGTTCTGTTACAGAATCTGGAATTAACACTATTGAAGTAGACACATTAAATCCTTTGTGAAAACAAGAATAGGAGTGAAATATAACTGATTATCTTCTTGGGTTTTCCAAAACTATAGTAATTATACACTTAGCTGAGTTCCTTAAGACATAGTTGGAAACATAACAGTTCATCCAATTAACATTTATTGAACTTTTGTTCATGTATCTTTCTCTTCATTCGTCCTGCAAATATTTTTGAGTACCTACTACGTATCAGTCATTGTGTTGGACACAGTGAATACATCAATGTGAAAGACCACATGATCTCTGCCTACACAGAGCTTACAGTCTAGCATGGGGAAGAATCACATCAATAAGATAATTGTGAGATTAATGTTATAAAAGATAAGGGGTTGTGATGAAGATTGTAAAAGATAAGGAAAAGTTGCAATGAGAATTCACAACAAGATTACGGGAACTCAGAGAGCAAAATCAAAGGATTTCCACGAGGAAGTGTTATGTAAGTTAAGAAGTGAAGGGTGAGTAAGAGTTAATGTAAGGCTAGAAGAGGAAAAGAAGGAAAGGATACACATTTCAGACAAGATAACAACAATGGCTTGAAGGGCCTGAATCCTGAGAGATGTTGGGAGCATTAGAGGAGTAAGAAGAGCAAAGTGAAAAACAGCATAAAATAAGGTTTCCAAAAACTAGTCAAGAGATACACTGCAGGATCTCCGGGTAATTACATAATTTTGAGGTTTAGTCTTAAGTACAATGAGAAGCCAGAGAAGTGTGTTAAACAGGAGCTTTAAGAATATCATTCTCAGGATGGAGCATGCAGAACAATGTAAGGGCATGCGTGAGTAGAGGCAGAGAGCCTGTGTTGGAGTACTGCAGTAGTCCAAGCAGACTCAGACTAGGCACCTGTCTGGGAAGATTGAGAAATCTGGAAAGATTCTAGACACAGTAATTAGAATGTAGATGCAGTAGGACCTTGATATTAGTTCAGCTATTGGGATAGAAATAGACTCCTAGGTTTCTGTCTTGGGCGACTGGGTGGATAGGGTAGTTCTTTGAGGAATCTGGAGGAAGACAAATTCATGGAAAGTCAGATGA